>NC_000018.10:73287528-74537528 GCF_000001405.40 Homo sapiens
TGGATGTTCATTAATTAATATTTCACTATTTAGGATAGAAATTTTTCTACTTTTCCAACTTTTGATGTATTAATGCCTCCAAGTGCTTGATAACACTGTGATATTTCTCAAGCTTATTAATACTTCTTGAAGTAATATATAAATGAATAATGTACTAAATACTTTTCACTGCCATTTTAATTTTTTTATTTCGTATTAGAAATTGGAAACTATAAATATACACTCAGGTAATACAGCTTTCAGTATGAAAATTACACTGGATCTAGACCACCATCTATGCCACCTTTTTTTCTATTGAAATCACTGTTTTTTAGAATGCAGGGCTTTCTCTATTTGTACAAATACACAGTCCTTGTTTCACCTGCACAGTGTTGCTCTGGGCCCTGGAGGCTGTCCCCTTCCACAGCTGGCTCCTGGTTGGATGGGGTGGCAGGAGAAGACAGAGGACGAGGTCTTTCTCCATGGCTCTCTCAGCTCCTGTCATGCTGCTGAGTCAGGAGCTGTGTCTTTCTCCAGGGACTCCTCTTCTCCTCTATTCCAGCACTGCATTTACATCCCACAACTTCCCTGCTTTGACTGTTTGTATTTCATATGATTTTATGTGTCATAGAGTATTAGTTTTCTGTGTATTTTTCAACCATTAACTATATAAGTAACATTTTTAGCTCCCAGCCCACATTAAAACAGTTGGTGGGCTTATTTGGCTTGTGGGTGTTCGTTTACTATTGCATGAACTGAAAAAAAAAAACGGATGAAATATAAGGTTCTATGAGTCCACAATAATACGATAGAGCTAGAAAGTAAGAGGTCAAAGAAATAAAAATGAAAGAAAGAGTGAACAACTCTTCTTTATAGGAGAATATCTGTTAATAATATAGAAAGATTTATTAACCTGGAAAGCCACATTGCCAATCCCCTGTCTTACTGAGTTCATTAGATCTGCTGTAACAGAACATCGTAAACTAGGTGGCTTTTAAACGATAGAAATTTGTTCCTTACTGTTCTGGAGGCTGGGACGTTTGAGATCAAAGTGTCAGTAGATTTGGAGTCTGGTGATGCCCCATTTTCTGATTCTCTCTGTGTCCTCATGTAGTGCAAGAGATAAATGAGATCTCTTCGGTTTATTTGATGAGGGCACTAAACCCATTTATAAAGACCCCACACTGAAGAACTAATCACCTCCCCAAGGCCTTACTCCTCATACCATCACCATGGGGAACAGGATTTTAACACGTCAATTTGGGTGGGAGGGTACAGAGATTCAGACCATGGCAACCCCAGATTAATAACTGAATCCATTCAGAATCATCATTGAATGTCAGACACATCCATACAATGTATTTGTATCATCTCCAAGTATCACGCACAGTATCACTTATAATTATGAAATAATAAATTTACCTTTAAAATAGATCTGGTGATTAAGCAAGTGATCAAGCTTAGCAAAAGCAAGACAACCTGATATTATTTACTTTGTAGGCTGGGTGCGATGACTCATGCCTGTTATCCCAGCATTTGGGGAGGCCGAGGAGGGTGGATCACCTGAGGTCAGGAGTTCAAGACCAGCCTGGCCAACATGGTGTAACCCTGTCTCTACTAAAAATAGAAAATTTAGCTGGGCATGGTGGCTGTAGTCACAACTACTCAAGAAGCTGAGGCAGGAGAATTGCTTGAACATGTGAGGTGGAGATTGCAGGGAGCTGAGATTGTACCACTGCACTCCAGCCTGGGTGACAGGGTGACAGAGGAAGACTCCATCTCAAACAAAAACAAAACAAAACAAAAAAAAAGTGCTTTGTAATGAGAATAATTACTATTACCTGTGAAGCTTCCTTGCCAAAAGCAACAACAAAAAAAGTTTAACTAAATCTAATAATCATGTGGAAACACTAAGAAAAACATTCTGAAAACACTGCCTTGGAATATTTTTAAAAGTCAGCTGTAAAAGACCAAAAAACTTTGCAGGATGCTTCCAGATTAAGGAAAAATGAAAGGATGATGATCAAATGCTATTTCTGAACATTGATTAGATTTCCTTTGAAAATGAGCAGATACAGTTATTTTTGAGGAAAAATAAATTTAAATTTAAATATGGACAACATATTAGGTAATATAATTAAATTAATATTTTGTATCTTGGATATTATAAAGGTATTGTTTTTATGTTAGAAAATGTTCTTATTCTTAGGCAAAACTTTATTAAGTTGTTCAGTGCTGGAATATCTACAAGTTCCTTTTTTTTAGGTGAATAATTAATATTTCAGCTTTATTTGCAGGTTTTTTTTTTGCTACTATCAGCTTTTGAAATTTAAATATATATCTCCACTGCACACTCCCAGCATCTCCCCAAAATAAACCCGCAAACTGATGATAAATATTTTGACAGATAAACGTTTTGGGTGTGCAGTGAATATCTCCACTGCACACTCCCAGCACACCCCTGAAAAACCCCACAAATTAATGATACATATTTTGGCAAAAAAAAAAGAACTCCCATCCTGGGCTTTTGCTAATATTCAATATTTTAAACTCTTTTTGTATTAGTTCAACCTCTAGCTCAAGCCTCTTATTAGTTACTTGGGGTGTGGCTTTTTAAATTTTTTTATCTTTTTAATTCCAATAGTTTTGGGGGTGCAGGTGGTTTTTGGTTACATGGTAAGTTCTTTAATGGTAATTTCTGATATTTTAGTGCACCTGCCACCCTAGCAGTGTACACTGTACCCAATATATAGTCTTTTATCCCTCACCTCACCTCATTCCCAACCTCCCCTTGCTGAGTGCCTAAAGTCGACTACACAGCTTTTAATGGTTTTGCATCCTCATAGCTTAGCTCCCACTTAGAGAACTAATAGTATTTGGTTTTCTGTTCCTGAGTTACTTCACTTAGAATAATGGCCTCCACCCACCCAAGTTACTGCAAAAGACATTATTTTGTTCCTTTGTATGGCTGAGCAATATTCCATGGTGTATGTATACCACGTTTTCTTCATGCACTCATTGGCCGACGGGCACTTAGGTTGGTTCCATGTCTTTGCAGTTGTGAATTGTGCTGCATGTGTCTTTTGCAGGCTCAACGACAACACAAGAGCAGGACAGAGACGGAGTAATTTGAATATGTTCATCATTCAAAAATTAAATAACATGCACATTTGAACTTAGTACTAATTATTCTCTTGAACATCGGAGCTTAACACATTCATTACATAGAAGTGGGTTAAGTTTGTTATCAGAACACAGGGTTTCGCTTCTGGCTGTGCCACTTTTGAGCGTTGTGACCTTGAGAAAGTTGCCATACCTATAAAAGGATTATAGCACAATCCTTAGACTGGGAATGATGATGGCAGTTTTGAAATATTAAATAACACTAATGCTTATATATCACTCAGCACTGCATTTTGTACACAGTAAGCACTCACTTGATATTAAACTGTTGCTTACATACTAATCAACTGTGTATCTGGTTTTATTATCTATATAGACCTGTTATGTTCCAAGCACTTTGAAGGGCATGAGAATACAATGCTGCGTAAGATACAAAACCCTGATGTTATCACAGAGCTTACAGTAAGATCGGAAGGACAGACAACCAAATAAGAAATTATAATTCAGATTATGAAGTACCATAGCCTAGTAGTAAAGGACACAGTACAATTTTACAGCAGAGTCATCAGACTTAACCTAAATGTATCAAGAAAGAAGCCAATATGAAGAGACCTTAACAAGGGAATCTGAAGGACCAGTGGAAGAGTGGACATTATCTGAGCATGAAAGAAATGTGTGTTCATGGAGACAGTATACATGTCTATATTTATGACAGGGCACTTTTTCAAAAACTGTAAAATTCAGAAAGCAGGGATATATAATATGGTTAAATAAATGATAACAAATATGTCTGGGCCAGTTTTAACATCTTAAGACTAAATTATAATATTTTACCTCTACAGCAGTAAACAGCGTAAGTGCAGTAAAGTACTACATGATCAAGAAAGTAAAGTTTAAAAATTATAATAAAATAAAGAGCATTCCTGCCATTAACAATTATTATATTAGGCTGGTACAAAAGTAATTACTTATTTAAACTATTAAACTTTAATAGTTTATTAACTTTAAACTATTAGGTTGATGCAATTACTTTTGTAATTACTTTTGTAATTACTGGCAGTTTTCATAAGACAATGTAGCAACATTGAATTGATGATGGAAAACTAGTATGTTCATTATCTTTTCATCTAGCAATAATCTCTCAATAGTCTTGTAATATCAAATCTTAAATTATATTTTTTCTTTCCTGTACACATCCTAACTTCCTTTAGCTTAGCGATTTTGTTAATTATCTTTATTTCCAGAGACCACCTGAAAGCCCTCAGCGGATATTTAGTTGTTAAATAAGTGAATGAATGACTCCCTTTTAGTAAATCTCAATAGAAACAATGAAAGAGGCCCATAAGGCTATATGGCTTATGGCTTAACAAGTCTAATTATTGAGTGTGACATGAACATTAGATATCATTTAAAGAGGGCATACATCATCACGGAGTATAAAAATGGTTTCCATCCTTGTCATACAATTTTAAAGCAAAGACTTTATAATCAGACACCTGTCATCCATGCACTATAAGGGCAGGCTACAATACAGTGATGTATGAAATTGACAAAGATGTCTGAGATTTAAACATGCATGCATATAAGATAATGCGAAGACTTTCGTTCATGTATTTTTTTAGGAACAGAGGTGCAAGATGAAAAATCGTATTTCATACCTCCTTTGAAGCTTCACATGATCATGATGTATGTCCCAGAGTTGCTCTGTAAGGACAGAAGCCAACCTGGGAGCCAGCCAGTGGAGAGACATATGTTAAAAGACTCAGAGCATATGGATATTACTGAAAACTGAAGCAGTAAATAAATAAACCATAAAGTGAAAACCGTATGTGGTGATGAGATTTATTAATCAATGCCAATGATATAGAGGATAAAACTGTTTATCATCATTAATACAAGCACTTTGACTTCTTAGGGTATCTTTAGTAACTGAGCTCCACAAGTCAGAAATCATCTATAATTCCAGAAGCCGCCAGAAAATTAAATTCCTGGAGTATTTTAAGTTTGCTTAGATTCATGCATAAGTCAACTATTTCAAAATGTAAAATATTTAAAGCAAAGCACCTAGCTGTAAATCCAGTTAATTTCCAACAAGCAACTTAGCGAATAAATTCATGCAATAATAAAATTAATGTGAAAGTGGTCAGGAAAGCTTTAAAAAGTACCTAACCCTCACATTCATTTGCTTATCATCATTCATGACTTTCCGTCCTCAACACTCACTTTGTGCTAATCACTGGGCTAGACAAAAAGTAAAATAAAATAAAAACTAGAAAAAATTGCTAACAATTCTTTAGTGCTAACCATACACAGAGCCTTTTGATGTTGTACGTGCATTATTTTTTAAACCCCTCAATAACAAAATGAGATGAGTACTATTGTGGTTTTTTTGAGATGGAGTCTCGCTCTGTCACCCAGGCTGGAGTGCAGTGGCGCCATCTCGGCTCACTGCAAGCTTTGCCTCTCGGGTTCACACCATTCTCCTTCTTCAGCCTCCCAAGTAGCTGGGACTACGGGAGTCTGCCACCACGCCCTGCTAATTTTTTGTATTTTTAGTAGAGACGGTGTTTCACCGTGTTAGTCAGGATGGTCTGGATCTCCTGACCTCGTGATCCGCCTGCCTCAGCCTCCCAAAGTGCTGGGATTACAGGCGTGAGCCACCGCGCCCGGCAGTACTATTGTTATTCTTATTTGACAGGTCGTGTGGTGGGGGGAGGGGGGAGGGATAGCATTAGGAGATAAACCTAATGTAAATGACGAGTTACTGGGTGCAGCACACCAACATGGCACGTGTATACATATGTAACAAACCTGCACGTTGTGCACATGTACCCTAGAACTTATACTATAATTAAAAAAAAAAAAAACAGGACAAAAAAAAAAAAAAAGGAAAATTGAGGCGCAGCGCATGTAACCTGCCTTAGATGACGCTGGTTGTGGGCAGGGAAGCCTGGCTTTCCATCCTGATGATGGGATCACAGAATCTCCACTTTTAAACAGTCCTTTATCCTGATCTTCAAAGCCAAGCACGGAAAGACAAACATGGTATGGTCTCACTTGTGAGATCTAAAAATCAAAACAATTGAACTCATGGCATAGAGAGTAGAAGGTTGGTTACCAGAGGCTGGGAACGGTAGCTGGGGGCTTGGGGGGAGGTGAGGATGGTTGATGGGTAGAAAAAAATAGAATGAATAAGACCTACTATTTGATAGCACAAGAGGGTGACTGTAGTCAATAACAACTTAATTGTACATTTGAAAATAACTAAAAGGGTGTAACTGGATTGTTTGTAACTGAAAGAATAAATGCTTGAGGGGATGGACATCCATTCCCCATCATGTGTTTGTTTCACATCACAGGCCGGGATCAAAACATCTCCGGCACCCCATAAATACAGATACCTACTATGTACCCACAAAAATTAAATAAATAAATAAATAAATAAAACTTAAAAAGTGTGTTAATGGGCAATTATGACACCAATTGTTATAACAGAACTAAACACAGAGGGAAGAGGAAACATAGTAAATAAAAGTTAGTTTATTTAACATTAATAAAAGAGTCAGGGAAGCTTTGTCAGAGAAGAAGAGTGAACTCATCCAGCTTCCCACAAAAAGATTAGACCATTTTTAGCCAAATGATAAAATGGGAGTCAAGCTGGCAGAGGGGCATTTCAGCCTGATGATAGAACGTGTGTGAAGGCTTAAAAGTAAGGATGGATTTGGCAGGTTCAAGTAAAAACAGCAGCTCCATTGACTGCGAGCCAGTTAAAGGAAAGGAATGCCTTCTGAGCGGGGTTGGGAGGAGCTGGACTGGACACAGGTCGGGACGTGGCCACAAATGGGCCAGGGGAAAGGCCAATGTCATCTTCGGGGCTGTCAGTTTCAAGCAAAAGGGAAAGGATGCCACATTTGGATTTTAGGAAGAAAAACATACTGTGCATCAGAATGGATCAGAGAGGACAACAATAAAGACGGAAAAATGATAAATTGTGAAAAATCCAAGTGTAAGATATTCAAGTAGTGACAGGGGAAATGGAAGTGAAAGCGTAAACAAATATTGGGGATTGGAGATGTAAATTTGTTAGGTCTTGGGCCAGTATGAGATTACAGGAAAGAGAGGGAGGGAGAGAATTCAGATTTCTGACATGGGAAGGGGATGCATAGGGTTTTCGTCAGGAATGTTTAGGATTCAGAAGGAAGAAGAGACGGTTGGGAAGTGTGCAGGAAAGGGAGGATGGCATCTGCTCTCCAGGCGTTATTCTGCCCTGAGAATCCTGGATGAAAATATCTAGGAATTGTGTCTTAATCTGGCTGGAGTGTGTGCAAAATGCCAAAGCAGTGGTTAATTCAAACAAAAGCAGTGAAAAAAAATCAGATAAATATCAAGTGATTAAAGTAATTTCAATCATTTAAAGTAAAAAATAATCAGTTTGTGTTAAATAATTGCCACTATACCAGTGTCATGGACTTTGTGTTGTGATTACTTTTAAGCATTTTGACCCACTGTGATTATGGCCCAGGTCTCAGAATTTCCTATGTCTTTACAAAATAATTATTTTGGGACCAGATTAAAACACTAGTAAGTATTTTCACATCTGTATTGGAGTAAAAGATGCAAGCAGCTAAAAACTAATTTTTTTTGAGAATTTTTAAATAAAATAAATGTGTTGGTTTTTATAAGCTACAATATTTAACATTATATAGAGTTTAAGTTTTTATAAAGCATGTTCACATTTTCTTAGTTAATGCTTAAATTAAGCTTTTGAGGAACGTAGTGTTACAACCAGTTTATAAGTGAGGAAACTGACTTTCTAAGATTTTATCTTATATTTTTTTCTGTCCAAAATTAATCAGCTAATATGCAGAGTCAGGCCATTATTTTAGTCTCAGTATTTAGATCATATATTCTATTCTCTTTTTCTACCTAAGTGAACATTTAAAGTATTAAAGTATTTATTTAGTAGTAGGACTTCTGATTCAAAATACTGTCTTCTGAAGACTCTAGGATAATTATGGCAAGGAACTAAAATGGGAAATACATCTATGATAGCAAAAAAATTTAGAAATGAGCCACACGGAGGAGAGACATATCAACACATTTATGGAAGACAAAATTACATGGAAATT
The DNA here is from genome assembly GCF_000001405.40 of Homo sapiens. Lineage (NCBI taxonomy): Eukaryota > Metazoa > Chordata > Mammalia > Primates > Hominidae > Homo > Homo sapiens. Next base: position 73,295,760 of record NC_000018.10, read on the forward strand.
TGGAATTAATGGTTTATAGTGAAGACAACACTGTAGAATCCGTCAGCAATGATGATGTCTGCCGATCTTCATGGTGGGACCCCAGGACAACATTTCGAGTTTCTAAGGCTCCAGCGAGAGAGGAAGAGTGAAGCATGGCTGAAACAGGGTCACTAAGTGAAAGCCTACCCACAAAAACCATCTTTACCCACTGTGCATCATCCCAAAGCATTCGGGATAAACATAGGCACAAAACGAAGACGCCACATTTTGAGCTGTCGATCATGATTGAAATATTCTCAATCTTGAAAATGTGAAAACAAATCCACAGTTGGCTATAGTTGGACAGTCAGAAAGGATCGACAGTTGTGTTCAGTGAGGCATAAACACCTTTATTTTGTGCAGAGGAAAACCAAGAGATACTTTCGAATATTAATTTGCCAACAAATAGAGGGTTAAGTGAAAGCTTAAAGCTAACACGTAAGCCATAGAACTAAAAATAATATAACTGGACAAAATGAGAATGAAGAGATAAAGTCGAGGGGGATAATGTAAAAAAGAAAAAATTTATGTTTCAAAATTCAAAGGGATAGGTACTGTTAAGAATTATTACATTGAAAAATTGATGCATGCTTGTATCATTTACAGTTGTTGAAGCATCAACCATGAGAAGTAAGAAACAGGAAAGTGGAAAAGTGTAGCCTCTGTGAATGAAAATGGAGTGGGCACAAGTGAATGGGAGACCATTGCTTTTTACAAAAATGTATCTTTTATATCAAAATATTCCATAATGTACAAATTATTTCATGTGCATAATATATTTTGATAAAAATAAAGGCATTAGTCACCTTACAAAACATATTGTCCTCCATATTTTCTTCTTCACTTTTGTCTTGTGATAATATCTATTGCTTTCTAACTTTGAAAGTTAAACATTTTGTCAAAAGCATAATGCAATTTAAAAATTTTCAAGAGTTTTAACTGATTTGAGTCAGAACACAAAACCGGTTTTTTAGATTGATTTTCCTTGCTCAATGATCTTCATATATCCAACTAATCTTTGACCTCATCACATTGCATAATATCCTTTGTGTTGTCTGTCTTATATTCTTTTACGGTCAAATGCAGAAGAAGCCAAGGTAATTAAAATAAACAGAAAGAAGCAAACAAAAGCAGCAGCTGAGACCAAGATACCTGCAGGGGTTGGGAGGATCCTTTGCCAAGTGTGGCCTGGGCCAGGGCCAGCACTCAGACCTCAAAGATCAGCAGGTCTGCATGCAAAAATATGAACAATCAGAAAAATGGTCTAAGCCAGTGAATTTAGAAGTATGATTTGTTTTAGAACTTGTCATTTAATTCCTCATTTTTAAAAAATTAATTGGAATAGTTACTTTGGAACAAGAGAGAAAATCCCAATGTACAAATTTTTGTTCATTTAGTAAACAGTCATTTAATATCTACATATGTAAGCACTTTTTCAGGTTCTTAGAATATCTCAGTGAAGAACACAGGTAAAGACCCTGTCTCAGTAACAAATTAGAAAGAACTATGGCTGTCCTCAGATTATTTGAATATAGAGTCAAATTGTTAAAGTCTAATTGTTGTGTCTTTACTGGGTTTATCATAAGCATACACTTACAATTACTAAACTACACAGATATTATATACAACAAAGAATTAATATTGCTTAAAAGGCATAAACCACAACTGATAAAACAAGTGTAACAATACAACTCTTAGAAGGTTAGAAATGGAACCATCACACGATGTTAATGAGTCAGAACAGCTGCTACCTGTTAATGAGTTTAAGAATAAAAAAGAAGCAATACCAACACTCTATCAATATAGTAAATGGCTCAATCCCCTAGTTATTAAGCAATACATAATAAAACAGCAATTAGATGATGAAATTTATGAATTTAGGGTTTTAAATTTATTTAACAATCTCAGCTGTGGCTGTGTTAAAACACGCCAGACATTAATTAAACATTTTACCAATATTACTAGGCTAATTCTCATAACATTCTGAGGATGAGGTACTTTACACTCCCACTTTGCAGATGAGACAATTCAGACACAGTTTGAAAAACTTGACCAGAACACACCTCTAGTACATGGTGGAGCTGAGATTAGAAGCCAGGTAGTTTAGCTTTGGTGTATTTTTTTTTCTTTTTTTTTTTTTTGAGATGGAGTTTCACTCTTGTTGCCCAGGCTAGAGTGCAATGGCAGGATCTCAGCTCACTGCAACCTCTGCCTCCTGGGTTCAAGTGACTCTCCTGCTTTAGCCTCCCGAGTAGCTGGGATTACAGGCGCCCGCTACCACGTCTGGCTGTTTTTTTTATTTTTAGTAGAGACAAGGTTTCACCATGTTGGCCAAGCTGGTCTCAAACTCCTGACCTCAGGTGATCCTCCTGCCTTGGCCTCCCAAAGTGCTGGGATTACAGGCGTGTGGCACTGTGCCCGGCCGCTTTAGTGTATTTTTAACCACAACACTATACTTGGAGGAAAAGTGGCCTCTGACTAGTTGCTCTTAGGAGCATAAATTGTTACAACTTTTAAAAAGGAATATAACAGTGGATATTAACATTTATAATGCACATCTTTTGAACTAGTGGCAAAAAAATAAAAATAAAAATAACACACACACACACCACCACCTCAGAAATAGGCAGACTGATTAAGAACAGGTAAAGTTTAAATAAATTATAACACATCCACTCAAAATGACCCATGTGTCTATTAAAATAAAGCAGGTTTGATATAAATGTGTACTCCAAAGGGTCATTAATAGTATATGATCAAGGCCCCCCAAAAAAGCAAACCAGATACTAAAAAGTAATATTGAATATAATCCATTTTTATAGAAAACAAAACACTATCTGTGCATATATATTTGCATTTACTCAGCGCGTGATCAAAGTAAAATCATGGGACAATGCATGCTACACTGTTAACATTGATTATTTGAAAGTCTGAGACTGAAGAAAAGGATATTAATCAATAACAATATTGGCTAAAGTGCATTGAGTGCTTACCATTTGCTTTAAGAGACCAGGATAGGCCGGACGCGGTGGCTCACACCTATAATCCTAGCACTTGGGGAGGCCGAGGCGGGCAGATCACCTGAGGTCAGGAGTTCGAGACAAGCATGACCAATAGGGTGAAACCCCCTCTCTACTAAAAATACAAAAACCTAGCCAGGCATGGTGGTGGGCACCTGTAGTCCCAGCTACTCAGGAGGCTGAGACAGGAGAATTGCTTGAACCCAGGAGGCGGAGGTTGCAGTGAGCCGAGATTGTGCCACTGCACTCCAGCCTGGGCAACAGAGTGAGACTCCATCTCAAAACAAAAAACAAACAAACAAACAAACAAACAAAAAACAGAGAGACCAGAATAAATAATAAAGATAAGGACAATAATCAGTGAATCAGAGACAAACAACAGACAACACAGAGATGATCAACAAAGGCAAAATGAAAAAGATAATGAAACAGAATAATCTGTGCCAAGACTAATTAGGAAAAGACAAATCACATGGAAGTATGAAATAGAATAGATTAAAATGAATTCAGACACAATGGCAATTAATAAAATCATGAGAATACTTTATAGTAATTCATACACCAATAAATATTAAGGAATTCAAAAATTTATATAATAAAAGATTTTTATAAATATAAGTTTGGAGAGACTAACAATCAAAAAATGATAATAAAAGAACTTTCCTCAAAATAACCCAACTCTGGATAATTTTACAAGTATGTTCTACCAAGCTTCCAGGAGACAGCCGATGTCTTTTATAAGTTATTCCAGAAAAAAATCAGAGATAGTTGCCCAGTGAATTTTAGGAAGATAATATATACTTAGTTTCAAAATCAGATGGCAGAATACAACCAAAGATGTATTTAAAAGCATTAATAAAATATTATATAATTTATATTGAATTCAGCCATCATTTACCCAAAGACGTGCATTAGAATGAAATGAAAATTCAGGGTAGTTTAACATCAGAAGATCTATTTATATAACTGACATTATTAGTGTCTAAAGAAAAAATTATGTATTTATCTTCAACAGCTTCAAAACCCTCATTTGGCAATACTCAACTCCTACTGCAATCACAGAAAAATGTTCTCAGATAAGTTGAAAATTTAGGGGAATCATGCCACTTGATAAAAGCTGCCTGTAAAAAAAAATACAAAAAAAAATACTTTAGAGAAAACATTATATCTTATGTTTTATTCATTGTGATCAGGAATGATATTGATACCAGGGATTGCTGGTATCCCAACACAATGTTGGCGTCCCAGCCTACACAATAAAACCACTGTGCAAGAGAAATGATAGAGGAGGTGTTAAAGTTGGAAGGAAAGTGGGGAAACAGATCACGAAATAACACTGAACTCAGCATTCACAGTGGGACATCCCGTTTCAGCTCATGGCTCCTATTATCACGTGTATGCTAACTATTCCTCTCTCTAGCTTTCTCTTTTACATGTTACCTAAATTCTTAGTGGCACAGATGCTCCAGAGCCTCCTTTTCTCAACCTAAGTTTCCTCCAAATTTCCTAGGTAAGTCAATGACACCCTTCTAGTTTTTCCCTGTAACTTGCAAGGAAAATCCAGAATTCATTTTTAAGTGATTCCTTTTCTCACAGGTCTGCATTCAATCAAATGACCAATTTATGTCTGCAATCTCTCTCCTTTCCACTCCCAATGTCATTACTCTAACTTAGATAATTGTAGAGTAGGGTATTTGTGACATGATGGCAACAGCAGTTTAATGGTGAGAAGTTAAATAGAAAAGAACGAAGCACACCAAATTGGTAGCAAATATTGTTAGGGTTAAAACATTAATTAGTATAAGTAGAGAAAAGCAGTGTCGGAATGGACTCTTCCTTCTAGGTAATAACTCAGGAATTCTGAATTTGAGTCTTTTCAGAGCAGTATGCACCATTTTAGTGTTGCATGCAAGTCTATTTCACGTTTCATTATTGTGTTAATACAAACAGGGTGCTTTACTAACGGCAAGTATATGAATGAATTCAAAATGAGGCATTTTAAATTTATCTATATATAGTTACTGATTTTACTATTGAATAGTGGGATTAAGGATTATTTTAAAGACACAACAAAATAATGGCTGAATTGTTTAAAATTAGTATATTATTTAACACAAATTATTAAAAAAGATAACCTAAATGATTATACTTTCTGCTCAAAACCAAAATAATCAAGTTAACCCATTGCCCAATAAACATCTTAATTGAGTCATTCTTTAATAATGGTGATTATCTGAACTGAGTATTCACATGTGTTTGCACATGGGATTCCTTCCTTTGAACCATTCTTCTTTTCTGCTTTTTATTATGATGAAATCTTACTCAGTGAAGGTAACTTCTCTTTGAAAATATCTGATTTAGATCACTTTATGTTCTCAGGAATAAATCAATGCATACACAATATACATAATATATAAGACAGTGATAAATAATATAGAGAAAAAATGCAGGTGGAGATATGGATTTCTGGGTTGTGGATGAAGGAAGTCATTGCAATATTAAATAAGATGTCACTTTACACCTGTTAGAATGCTTACTACCATGAAAACAAAAAATTAGCGATGGCGAAGATGAGAAGGAAAGGGGACACATGTTTGCTGTTGATGTAAAATGATGCAGCCACTATGGAAAACAGTTGGGAGATTTCTCAAAAAATTAAAAATATAACTATCATAAGACTCAGCAATTTGAATCTTGGATATATTTCCAAATGAATTGAAACCAGGATTTCAAAGAGATGTACACTTCAACGCTCATGGCAGCATTATTCACAAGAGCAAGATATAGAAACAATGTAAATATCCATCAGTGAAAAAACTGATAAAGAAAATGTAGTATATACATAGAGTGGAATTTTCTTTGGCCTTTAAAAAGATAGAAATCTTGCTATTTGCAACAACATTGATAAACCTGGAGGATGTTTTACTAAATGAAATAAGCGAGACACAAGGTAAATACTGAATGATACTACATAGATGGGGAACCTAAAATTGTCAAACTCAGAATGTGGAAGTGGAACAGTGGTTGCCAGGTGCTGGGTGAAGGGGAAAATAGATCTCTGTCAAAGGTTACAAAGTTATAAAGATGGATAAATCCTGGAGATCCACTGTACAGCATGGTGCCTATAGTTAGAAATACTATACAGCTAACTGTATATATATGCCAGTATAAATACTGGCATAAGCGCTAGAAAGGAAGATCTTCTGTTAACTGTTCTTATCACAAAGTAATAATAATAATAAATAATAAGCAAAGAGGGAGGGAAGAAACTTTTGGAGGTAAGAGATATATTTATGGCATTGATTTTGATGATCGTTTTATGGTTGTATACTTACCTCCAAACTCATCAAGTTGTACACATTAAATATGTACAGCTCTCTGTATGTCAATCGGAGCTGAATAGTGTGTTTCTTTTGTAAATCAATAAATAAGGCAGTCTCACAAGACTTCGTAAAGAAGGTGGCATTTGAAATACAACTATTGGTTTATTTTTCATATTTCCACCCTAAATTAAGCTAGAATAAACTATAATATCTTTTTTAATCACCAAGTATGTGTTGTTATTGAAAAGCACTGATGCTTGATCAAAGATGATTTTGACTACAGTATATTTAGGATTTAGTGTATCCTAATTTCTTTGGGATAACTGATGTTTTTTGATACATACAAACTAAAAATATTCTGAAAAAAAAATCCAGCTGGAATAGATCAAAAATCCATATTAAACCTTAACTATATCCTGAGATTGTTTTAGTGAATTATGTTTAATTTCTTGTTTGACCTTGCCATTAGCTATAGTAAAATGATTTTGAAAACTCTCAAGGTAACATGGATTTTCAAAGCATCTGCAAGGGATGTTAATGATGCCTTGAATCATTATATTCGTCAACATAAAGATCAGCCAGGATGTTTGTCAAACTATTAAATAAATTAGTTACAGACATGGAGGAAACTCAAGGCAACTAGCAATTTATTTTGGATTCTGTACATTTAGCAGATTTGAGCATGGAGTAGAACAGGCAGAGGCTATCTTGTAGAATTATTCAGTCTGGCATTCGTATTGAACTGGAAATCCCAGCATACATCTAGTTTATGTCTAAGATTTTTGCAGTAATCACTTCTCACTTCAAGTATTGCAGTCAGTAGTAGTGGAGTTGCTGTAGGTGAAGCTTGACAGAGCCAGCACTAACATACATTTTCCTTCCTCTGACTTTCCCTCCTCCAACTCCTCTTCCTTTTTCTCCCTCTTCATTCCTCTCCCCCTCATCCTCCTCCTCATCCTGCCACTCCTTCTCTTTGCTCTACTCTGTCTCCCTCTCCTCCATTTTCTCTCTCTCTCTTTTTTTTTTTTTTTATACAGGGTCTGACTCTGTCACCCAGGCTGGAGTGCAGTGGTGCAATCCTAGCTCATAAAGCCTCGACCTCCTGGCACAAGCAATTCTCCCACCTCAGCCTCTCCAGTAGCTGGGACCACAGGCGTGCACCACCATGCCTGGCTAATTTAATTTAATACAATTTTTTTTTTTTTTTTTTTTGTAGAGACAGGGTCTTGCTATGTTTCCCAGGCTGGTATCGAACTCCTGGCTTCAACTGATCCTCCTTCCTTGGGCTCCCAAAATGCTGGGAACACAGGCATGACCTCTCCTTCTTTTCTTCTTCTCTTTTCCCTTTTCACTCCCGCCTCCTCTTCTTCCTCCCCACATTATCATCATACAATCATTTTGAAGACCCCCTTACAGAAGAGTAACTCCTGTGAGCTCTACACATATAAGTGACTTGGTGGCTGTCATCTTTTCTAGTTTGTTGCCAAGGTAATACACAATGTAGAATGCTCAGAAATAGACATTGCAACTATCATAACAAATGGCCTATGTAAGCTGAGCTTATGATCAAGTGGACCTGATTGCTGAAGCAGTGGAAGCATTCTGCCATTTCTTTTCAGATGCTTCAATTTTCCAAACTGTAAATCTTAAGCTGGTGACTACCTCTCTCACATTTCTAGAATGAGATAATATTTTCTCAGATTTGATTTTTCGTGTTTGTTTTTCTTTCCATTTTTGGGAGCAAGACTTTCTAGGACATTTAGTGGGGACACTCTTCTATTTTTCTTTTATTTTGAGAACCAGCAGACAGTTGTTCCTCTTAAGGAGAAAAAAGAGAAAAATGATGGGGGATTGGGCAGGCCCTCTGTAGAGAATTTTTATTTCTCAAGGGGCCATACTGTAAACAAAGCAGCCTCATGCCTAGAGCAGCAGTAACAAAACTGAGATAGTCCAGAAAAAGCAAACAGAAAAATGCGACCTTCTTTACAAGGCTATGAAGCAAGGGCCTGTGCAACACAGAAAGGAGAGGTTTGGGACACAGCGGGAAGAGTCCTGGTCCCAGGCCTGGCTCCACCCTCAGCTCACACCACACAAGGTCACAACATCTCTGGGGCTTTGCTGCCTAATCAAAAAACAATGGGTTGGGAAAAGGATCTAAACTAAAATGCCAACAGCTGAAAGGAATGTATTTATTTTATTTTACTTATTTATTTATTCATTTATTTGTTTTGTTACGGAGTCTCACTCTATGGCCAGGCTGGAAGTGCAGTGGTGTGATCTTGGCTCACTGCAACCTCCGCCTCCCGGGTTCAAGCGATTCTCCTGCCTCAGCCTCCCAAGTAGCTGAGGATTACAGGCATGCACCACCACCCTCAGCTAATTTTTGTATTTTTAGTAGAGACAGGGTTTCACCATGTTGATCAGGCTGGTCTCAAACTCCTAACCTCAGGTGATCTGCCCGCCTTAGCCTCCCACAGTGTTGGGATTACAGGAGTGAGCCACCACACCCGACTGACAGGAATGTATTTCCATGCGTGATGAAAGATATAAAATAACATGGAGTCATTAGGCTTAGGAATTAGAAATTATGTGCTCCATGTGAAAGGTACTAAAATGAAAAAGCAAAAACTAACGTGCAGGCCAATAAAGCATCAGCCACAGCTGCAGGATAAATAAAAGAAAATGTATGCTTTGGAAGTAAATATCTTTTAACCTCTATATAGGCTATATTTTGTATTTACGTAACTATTTGCTAAGCTTACCTTACAGATATAATTTTTTTTCTAATTTTTACTTAGGTTAGCCCCAAAGTCTATATACTGTAAACCAGCTATCTCTTGTTATAGAAATGTTTACCAAAAGAGCTACAGACTTAGCAGCTACTAAGTATAATAAATATAAATCTTTATAAATCAGTGAATATCTATACCTGTATCTATATGTGCGTATGTATGTTTGTATCCCTAAACAGAGCTTGTTTGACCGCAGTGAAATTTATGAAAACTTGAAAACAGGTGAAATTATATTTTTGTCTTTGAGATGATCACTGTAGTTAAATTAAATATAACTAATTTTATAGCACTTCATATTTTAGATAATTTGGCTAATCCAAGACTAACTTGATCTTGTATTTAATTTTTTTCACTTATTACTGAACCAGATTGTCAATAACTAAGTTGTTTAAATCAATGTTAATAATAATTAGACGACTAAATCAATGTTAATAATAATGACCACTATTATGCCGGTAGTCATTTGTCCATATTTACACCATGGGAATTAAGTAGGTAGGATTTTATTTTCTATTCATGAGAAATCAAGAATTAATCTGTAGTTATGCTGCATGGGTCAGCTCTGACATACAGGTGCAAAGTCATCTGCTTCCTTTTGCTTTCTTTTCATCAGTTTATTTTTTCCCCATTCTAAATTTCTCTTCTCTCACCATGCTCTTACCCTTAACTTCCACTAGAAATTCCTCCTAAGTGATCTACATCCTAGGGCTTCAAAGAGTATTTGTGGAAGATCATTAGCATCTAGTTGAGGCTTTCCTATAACAGTCACAATGTGACATGCATGTTTCAATAGAGATTTATGCAAAAATGCACAAACCAATATCTCGTTCCGTAATTTATTGTTCTGTCAGGAAGAAAAAATCCAATGAGAATTATCACTGAAATATTTAAGAATATAACCTCATTTGAATAACAGAAAACCTGCTTTTCTAAATACTAAAAACTAACATTGATTTTATGCAAAACTGGGTCATTTCTATTCCCAATATTTTGCATATGCAATTATTCCCAAATGAAATGCCTTCTCCTTTAATCCAATTTTCGTTTACTTTCTTCATAACCCATATACAAACACCCCATTTACAAAAACAAAAAATATTTTGCTATTTACTCTAAATTTTTTTACTCATTTAGTCACTATCCTCTCAATGCGTTCAATGTTTCTTCTTGTCTATTTACACTGGTACTAACTTGGAATTCTGGCACTCAATACTTGTAGAAAGAATGAATGAAAGAACACAAGATGTTTTGGGTGCATATAATTATACACCACCTTATTTTTCACTCAGGAGGGTAATTTCCTTCCATTGTTACTTTGTAAATGGATTGTAATGAATTTATAAGTCACATGGCTTTGTTTCTCACTGGTAAAGCTATCTCCTTCCCTACTACCAGCTGCCTCCCCGAGTCACTGTCCTGTTAACAGGCGCTACAGGAATCTGAAATCTGTTAAACTGACGCACAGGAAAATTATCTTAATTTGCTACACCAGTGAGAGCTGACAGATTGCAGGGCAATAAGGTCGATTTAACATAATGCTTCAAAATATATGCCCACTTGATGAAAACATTGTAGTGAAGATTGTGTAGTTATATTGAAATAAGTGGAGGATTTGATGCTTTGATAATTCTTAGGCATTTTTAGAAAATATCTTCCAACATTCAAATATAATTTCTGAAACTTTTTAAAAATTTAAGTGTAATTCCCAGGTTATGGATGCTTCTACAAACCTTTATTAAATTTCCTTGTGGAAACAAAAGTTAATCCTGAAGTTTGTCTTTACATGATTTACAAAAATGGTACTTAGGTTTCACACAAAAATGTAATTAAGTGATCAAACTGTCCGTAACAAACCTTTTATAGGAATTGCACTGTCTTCGTTTTCATTTTTCATTTCCTACAATCTTTCTTAATTTGAAATGGCAGCTATTCTATGTCTCTAGGGTATAGCAGTCCTACTCTGGAGCATAATCTTTTAAATCCTGCTTGTAACGTATTTCCAACGGGCACATTGTTGCAGAAATACCAATGACTGATAGCTGTGATGCTGCTCCTGGTGGGATCAATTTGATCAAGATCCCAATTCTGAATGAGGGCTTTAGCAACCAGAAGTAATTTTTCTAATGCTGACTAATGAAAAAGCAAGTAAAAGATGGATTAACTATGCCAAATTCATTGATTTTTTGCTTCACAAGTAACCACAGATATAAATATTTTGGAGTTGATCAAACAGGCTTTCAGTGACAGAGCAATAACAGGTGACCTTCTCCTTAGGGGAGGAGCTCTTAGGTGTTTGCACCGTATTATCTGCTTTCACACAACACCTTGAGAAAATGTTTAAGATGGATGAAAAGAAGCTGAAAAACAAATTTTGAATAAATTATAGATATAAACTTGATGATTGAAATTCCAGGATAATAAATCATTAAAGCATGGCACAATTCCTCAGTGTGTACACCCTTTCTCTTGCCTAGCCCATCCCCTCACACAGCTTTGAATCGCTCCTCTGTGAGGACATTGCCTTCATTTTATCTCCAGCTTCATTTGAAATCGAGGGCCGCATTTCTACCTGCTTAACGGCTATCTCCTCTTGTGTTCTCCTGAGATGTCAACACCAGGATATCTCCCAAATCTCATTCGTTCATGCCTTTCATTCATTTAAATTGAAATGTTGAATTTGTGATCAGTGGTAGGCTCTCTATTGAGGGCCCAAATACTATTAAAATGCTACCCTCTTGCTTCAATGCTAATGCAGCTGAGTCTAGGTTAGTATAAACAACATTTTTTATTTTTTTGTTTTATTTTGTTTGTTTTGTTTTGTTTTGTTATCGTTGTTGCTGTTGTTTTTATTTTTGAGGCAGAGTCTCACTTTGTTTCCCAGGCTGAAATGCAGTGGCACGATCACACCTCATTGCAGCTTTGACCTCCTGGGCTCTAGTGATCCTCCCAGTTCAGCCTCTCAAGTCCCTGAACTACAGATGCAAACCACCATATGCTGCTAATTTTTGTATTTTCTGTAGAGACGCGATTTCGCTTTGTTGTCTAGACTGGTCTCGAACTCCTGGGCTCAAGAAATCCTCCCACCTCAGCACCCAAAAGTGCTGAAACTGCAGGTGTGAGCCACTGCACCTGGCTTGTGGTTCAGCTCTCGATGAGCTTCCAGGAGTTAGCAAAGTCTTCTGGAAAGAGACAGGTGAGTTCAGGTGTGTCAGGTCTCAGCTGTGAACACGCAAAAGCGTGGATACATGAGACAGCACAAACAGCATGAGGACTGGAAGAAGTTTTGCATTCATTATAGGGAATGGAGGGACAGGAGAAAGAAACGAGGCTGGAGGAATGGGCAGGAGGCAGCATGTGTCTTCTTACTATGGAGGTCATCAACTTTGAACTATTAAGAGTGACTTCTTTATTGGTCTCTCCATTTTTAACTTTCCTACTGGAATCTGCGTTACATACCACTGTTAACACTTCCTAATGCACTACTTTGATAACTTAGCTCTTCTGTTTATAAATCTTTAAGAGTTCATAATGCTTAGTTAAACCTACAAAATATTAACTATTTTCTATACCATATTTCCAGCTGCTTCTGCCTCTTTCCCCCTACATATTTATGTATGTGTCACATAAAATCCAAATGGCCTAGGGACTCAATAAATTCCCTCAACCCTCCTAAAATTTTTCTGCTCAATCTGTTCTCCAGTCTCATGACAAATTCTGTACTGTTGTGGGTCTCTATTGTAATAGTAATAATAATAAAAGTAATAATAATAGCTAGCATCGATCACATCTAAAAGTTCACCTGCATTACATTTCCTCTATGAACTCTTTCATAATTACTCTGTAAAAAGTGTGACAATGTTCTTTTCTGCACTCACTCGTGAATAAATGGACTGAAGATCTTATGAGTTTTTCACCTTTTGTGTTTAGTCACTTATGTTACACCTTAAACTCTAAAATATGAGATTATAGCTTAGTTGTTTAAAAAATTTCTTAAGACATCCAATGTAAGTCATTATATATAAAATGTTCACTGTACATTTGTTGTATACATTTGAATTCATACTATGAGAAAAAGATGAACTTAATAGTTCATGCAAAACTGCAGAATGTGTGTATTTTTGTAGACAGAGATGTTTCCTACATTTTTGAAATAATAATTTGAATTTTTCTAGGATTTATATCAGATGGCCTCTAGGAAAAATAATTTTAAAAAACAAGAAGAGACAAACATAGTATGTGACCTTAAATAGACTTATTATTTAACAGATTTAAAAGTCTACATGTATGTACATAATACAATTTATAATATTATATATATATGTATAGCTACATCTGTATCTATATCATATCATTTATATCTATATCTTTAAAGAGTAAAATAAAATGTAATCGAATTGCCTTAGAATGGCTTGGGAATCAAACATGATTGAACTCAACAAATAATTGGTCCATCAAACTCTGAAAGCCCATACCACCTTGTCAGCTAAGGTAACTTTATTATGTTGTGGAAGGCAGAAGCCCCAGTGGGAACAAACCAATTCCATTTCATCAATGGGAATACACCACAGCAATCAGTGCTGAAATATGGACTGTCCAATCTCATTTATTGCACTACCTAAGTGGATTGAATCAGAAGGGAATGGGCTCTCCCAGGTCTAAATTGCAATAGGTAATTTTCAGACAAGCATGGAAAGATTTGTGTATCAGAACCTTGGTGTGTTTAAAATAATAGGAAGGGATAATGTTTATTTATGCTGTGAGAATTATTGGTTATTTGGGAAAGACACAAGACCCTTCTGCTCCTTTTAAAATGCATATTAGAAAAAAATTCCCTATACACTTTCAGATTCTTCATTGTTTAAAACCATTTTGGAGGCAGGATATTGTATAGTTAAGAATACAGGAATGGGATGGGGAAAGAGTATGACTTTAACAGACTTGAAAAAATGTTTTAATTACCAAGAAGCCCCACCCCTCAGAGGACTTAGTTCAGTCTGTCAGTAAAAAATTTGATATGATAGCCAGAAGGAATTTTTTGAAAAATCAATCATCACCACTATCTCACTCGCCAGCCCAAATAAATAAACTCTCCTACTACATCAGTCCAAAAATTCAAATAGAAATGGCAGAGCATATCACCTGGCCTCATGACCAACAATGATAAATTATATAATTATTTTAATAATTTATATATATAATTACATAACACATTATTTGTTTATATAATTATATAATAAATTTTGTATTTATAATTATATGTATACTATATAATGAATTTAAAATACTTGCCAAAACATGATATCAGATATAATTATGAAGGGGCAATATGTTAATTAAACTCTACCTTTGAGGAACAAAAATGATCCATGGATTTAATGCAGAACAAAATAACTTTATGCACCTTGTTAGCATTAGCTATGACAACATCACAACAGCCAGCTGTTGAGCTAAGCCAGGATGTGTATGATTTTCCACTTGCAATTTTTCACCGAAATGGCTCAAACAACGTAAGCAGGATTTTCATTTTTTGGTGAATAAAATATAAAGATGTCTCACTCATAAATATGAAGCTTCAGCAATTTTCATAAAAATGGTGGTGGTGAAAAAAAATGGTACATCATTGAGCTATTTACCAACCAGTAGCAATCCCTAGAACCTGGTGAATAGAAGCCCTGGTTTTGTATGTCTGTGGTGAAACTCAACAAGGCACAGTGATTATCACAAGCTGTGATACTCTGTACTTTAACATAACCTGTAGAAAGAATGGAAACTCCTACAAACTTGGCAGCCTGCATTTATCAGTTGCATGCAGAGAGTAAAGTGTCTTTCCATGTTCAAATCCACATGGTAGATTGTTGGGTATGAAACCATTGGGTCCTCTGCCATTGGTAGCCCGCATAAATGCAGAGGACAGAGAGATTCTAGGCAAGTCCACAGTTCTCTGGCCCTTTCTCACTCTCTCTCATTGATTTTCATACTTAGCTCTTCCAAATTAAATGTTTCCAGTACTGGCAAGAAAAAGATTAAAATGAATATATTGTGCTTATTATATATGTGTTCAAGCAAATGAATGAGTGATAAATTTTTCTCTCAGCATTTTGAAAATAGTATTCTATTTCTACAGATCTTTTTAACTAGAGAGAATTCACCTACCAATTTCCTTTGAGGCCATTCATTTCAAATTTATTTATTTTAAGATTTTTACATCTATCATTGCCTTTCTACTATTTAAATATAATGTTCTTAGAATTTTTTTTAACCTAGTGATTTTATTTATGCAGCTAATAATATGACTTTTATCAATTCTGGAAAATACCCCAATATTATTTAAATATTGCCTAATATCCATATTATCTGTTCACTTCCTCTGAAATTCAAATACATGAATATTAGATCTTATTATTTTATGCAAAACTCTAGAACCGTAGATAATTTCTCAAGAGACATCATTCTGAGTCATCAATTTACTATTCTACTGAGTTTAGTGTAAAGCGTTATTTGGCTGTTGTGTTGAGAATATATTTTTGGAGTACAAGAACTTAAGCATGGAGATCAGGTAAGAAACCCTCAGTGTAATCCAGATGAGTTGGTAGTGGCACAAATACAAGGGAAGTAGGAGAGTAGTTACATTCTTGATATATTTTGAAGGCAGAGCAGCATGATTTTCCAACAGTTGGGGTGATATATAAGGGAAATAAAGATGTCAAGAATAGGCCGGGCGCGGTGGCTCACGCCTGTAATCCCAGCACTTTGGGAGGCCGAGGCGGGCGGATCACGAGGTCAGGAGATCGAGACCATCCCGGCTAAAACGGTGAAACCCCGTCTCTACTAAAAATACAAAAAATTAGCCGGGCGTGGTAGCGGGCGCCTGTGGTCCCAGCTACTTGGGAGGCTGAGGCAGGAGAATGGCGTGAACCCGGGAGGCGGAGCTTGCAGTGAGCGGAGATCCCGCCACTGCACTCCAGCCTGGGCGACAGAGCGAGACTCCGTCTCAAAAAAAAAAAAAAAAAAAAAGATGTCAAGAATAATGTTTAGGTTTTGACTGGAGCAACTATAAGAATGAAATTGCCATCGACTAAGATGTGGAAGGGCCGAACTAAAGGAAAGGAGAATGGGAATCCAACTGAGACCTGTTGAGTTTGAAAGTGTTTTGGGCATTCAACTGGAGATATTAAGTAGGCAGGTAGATATATAAGTCTGACTGCTGGAGAAAGGATTTTGTCATTTGTCATTCTAAAATTGACAGGTGACTAAGCTCTTAGAACCAAGGTAGATAATAGTTCTGCATATAGCCAAGATGTTATAAAAAGGATTGAATTTCAACAATAAAAAAACAGTTGACAAGAAAAAACAATTTTTAAGAGACTAGATATAAAAACAATAAAAAACAATTCTGAGAGATAATAAACAAGGTGAACCCTGTATTTTTCCCACCTTAAAAGAGTTTCATGCCATGATTCAGGGAGGGGGACCCTAGTCACTGCTCAGCAGACTCTCTGAGTCAAGGACTGGAGAGCCCAGGGCACTTAGAATTCACAATAACAGAGTGCCAAATAAGAAAAGAAAGCAGCAAAAAAGGAAAATGGAAACAAATTGGAAAATACATGATGAAGATGATACATGTAATCCTAACCTTGTCAATAATTACATTAGTTTTAAATGGTTTACGTACCCAGTTAAAAGGCAGAGACTGAAGATGGAATTAAAAAGTAAGACCCGTCTATACTTTGCCCATAAGAAATACTCTCTATAGATGAAGGCATAAGTTAATTAAAAGTAAAAGAATAACAATTATAGTTTCTCCTCCTTTCCTAATGTAGAGCGATGGAAAGAGCATTCCTCCCACATTTACAAGAAAAAAGCTAAACAATTAGCAAAATTACAACATTTCTTACATCAAACTAATCATAAAGCTGAGAGTGCAGAGCAACCCGATATCCTAAAATCTGCAGAGAATCAGGAGGCTTCTGTTTAGGGCTGCCAGATTTAGCAAACAGGAGCAAGATACTAAGTTAAGTTTGAATTTCAGGTAAACAAACAGACTTTTAGTCTAAGAATGTTCCAGATCTATGTAATTCAAATTTTACTTGGATTCTTGTGTTTATACGGTAACTATACTGCTGAAAGAAACATCTGAGCATTTTGTTATCTGAGATAGATTCTGCCCAATGCCATAAAGCTTATCAAAAATATTCATCTACTTAAAAAAATGCTAAAAGCCAAGGGTCGGCTAGCATGAGAATGTGAGGGCACTGGAGGTCACAGGTATCTAAATGGGTTCCCAAAGATTTCTCTCCATGAGTCTCTCTAGACACTCACATGAAAGATAGGCAGAAAATGGAAAAGGTTCCCATCATGGCGTTCCCAGCAGAAGAGGAGGAACGCCACTCCTGAAACTCTATCTGGATCCATCTTCCTTGTCTTTTCTATGGAGAAAGCCTTAATCTCGAAGGGAAATAGCAACAAAAAATTGTCACCTTGAGTCATTTATGGAAACCCATTGCAGCTCTGCGAAGGAAGCAGGAAGAAAAAGCTGTATGTGTTAATCTAGCACCACCTGAAAGGTGAGAGTGGTGCAAATGCCCATGAAGCCCAAATATGTTAGATGCAGGGATGCAGTATTGGACCAAGATTAAGTATTAATCAGAATATCAGAGAAAGCCTCTCTCCTTCTATTCCACCACCACCAGGCTAACAAGAATAGAGTGCATGGAGCTGGAAGAATTGTCACAGACAGATTCTTTTCAAGGTACAGCACAAAGAGAAAACCCAAAGTCAAGCTGTGAGCATACATTGATAAAATGACCTCAGCCAACCCAGCCCATATCCTGAACACATCACTGGATGAACCTGAAACATAAAAAACATTGAAAGTAACTACAATAACAATTCTCCAATGCAGACTGATTTCTAAGTTAACATAATCACCTATACAAAGATCTAGCATTAGAAGAAAAGAAATGACTTTCTCAATAAGAAACAGAAAACAAACTGGGAAATCATTTCTAGCAGACTACAAACATGTTAAAGAGTATTCTTCTAGTAGAAGGGATATCAGTCAGAAACACTACCAAACTTTTGAAGATGATGAATATGTTTATTACCTGGATTGTGACGATGATAACATGAGCATATACATATGTCCAGACTCACAAAATTTTATCCGTTAAATATCTTTATTTTTTTGAATACCAATTAAACCTCAAAAAGGGTGAAGAAAAAGAAACTTGGATCTACACAAAAGATAAATAGCACTGGAAATGGGAAAAAATGAAAGTAATAAATGTATTTCTTCTGATTTTGTTTTAAAAATACTGACATTGTTATAGCAAAAATAATAAAAATACATTCTGTGTGTATACATTTGTAAAGGTAAAACATGACAAAATGAACATGAAGGATGAGAGGGAGAAGTTATGAGTACAGGGAAAAGTGAGGAAAAGTATAGGGTTTACCTCGTTTCTAATCTCAGTGTTGTATTTTATTGCTTATATCTAGTGTTGTAAGATGTTTACTCTTTGTTTTCATTAGTTTTCTATTTCTGCATGACAATATTACTACAAATTTAGCAGCTTATAACAACCCCCATTTATTGTCTCACAATTCCATAGGACAGAAGTTTACACATGATATTACTGAATTCTCTGCTTACAAGAATAAGGTTAAAATATGTCAGGCTGAAATCTCAACTCGAGCTTGGGGTGCTTTTCTAGGCTCATTCAATTTGTTGGAAAAATTCGTCTTTGTGGTTTTAGGACTGAGGTCCTCATTCCCAGCTTGCTGACAACTGGACACTGTTTTCTGCTCCTAAATTCCACTAATATTCCTTGCCACATGGACCCCTCTATCTTCCAAATCAGCAACAGAAAATTTCCCTTGCATCAAATCCATTCCACACTTTGAATCTCTTTCAAAACTAAAAGGTCAGACTTTTAAAAGTCTCATTTGATTGTTAGGACCCCTAAAGATAATTTCCCTTCTTAAGGTCAACTGATTTGGGAGTTTAATTTTAACTATATCTGTAAAGTCCCTTCACAGCAAACCCCTAGATTCATATTTGAATAACTGGTAGAAGTTGTGTGCATACCAGGAGAGAGGTTATCACAGGGACCAACTTGGAGTTTTTCCATGACAACATGTAAAATGTTAAATTATTTCACTATAGACTCTGACAAATGAAATATATATATATATTTATTGTAAAGTCTACAGAAAACAATAAAAGTGTTTTGAAAAGGTGAAAAAGGAAATAGATTGTTAACAATTTTTAAATATTCAATAAAATATTCAATAAATTTAAAAAAAAGTCTGATGCTCTAAGCTGCTGAAATTTCGGAGTATTTGGTATGCACAAAGTGAATAAACACAACATGTTTACATCAAGACACTTCACCTGGGAATTTTGCACCTGGACTACATTAGTTTGACATTTATTGAGCAACTTTGGTATTTTTCCATCAGCACACAAAGAGGAAACTTCTAAGAAAAATTCTGACACACCCACTACTTTTTTTCAAGTAAGGAAAAAGAATTATTGATAATGTTGCTTACAAGTCACTTAATTCCTTCTTGACATGAGAGCACTTTCTCTTTGGTTTAAGTGACTGAAATAGCTGTGCTTCTCCTGACCAAATCACCTCTTATGGTGTTTCATGACATTGCAATGAACTAAGTAGCTGAATAATTCTGTCACTCTTTATTGGCTGCTGCTTCTTTTCTTCTTTCCAACTTCTATTTTAGGTTCAGGGGATGCATGTGTAGGTTTGTTACATGGGTAAATTGCTTGTTGCAGAGGTTTGGTGTACAGATTATTTTATCACCCAGGTAGTGAGTGTATCCCATTGGTAATAAGTATTTTTTTTGTTCCTCTTTCTCCTCCCACCCTCCACCCTCATGTAGGCTCCAGTGTCTAACCACTTCTTTTGTTGGCTTCTGAGAAGCAATGTCTAGCTATTTGAAAGCAGTTTGGGATACTCAACTTACCATGAGTTTTTCCTGTTTATCCAAACCTTCATTTTCTCTTTCCCAAGTTTGTTCATTTACTCACTTTAACCTTATTTCATTCTATAGGGAAGTACATATTGCCATAAACCCTCTTGGAAACAAAGTCATTAAAATAGGCAAATAATAAAAGGAAGATTATAATTAGGCCAAAGAAATGATCATACATTAGTTACTGAGTAGGGAAAGAATGGAAAAATATGGCCCTCAAATCACAGAAACCCACAGACTGCTAATCTTTATGTTACTAAAGTTAAACATTTCACCTGCAGCATCAATACTCTTAAGTATAGCTGGATATCTGGCAGTGTCAATATGATATGAAAACCTGATAGAAACAAACAAACCTGGACCCCTCCCTGCACGTACAGAATCAGAACTGTAGTCCTCTTCACAAATGACTCACATGCATCTAGTTTACTTAGTCTGAAGTTTGTAAAAAGGTGCCATCTGATGTTTTCTAGTGTCTTTCCTAGTATGATTGAAACAGCAGCTAAGGAATAAAATGCATTCATCACTGGAAATCTATTCAAGATATAAGAAAGATGTTATATGAAGTGATAAAGTATGCCAAAAAGCAACACAGTGAAAAAGGAGACTATAATAAACTTTAAGTAGTTAATAACTGATTGCTTAAAATGTATAATTATTACTTTATGTGCTTTACTGGTTTTATCTCATGGAATCCTTACATAGAGGTATGTGTTAGATTCCATAAATAGCCACCAGTTTTATGAAAGAAAAAAGAAAAGCAGAATGATTAAGCGACTTGTCTAGAGATTACACAATTTGTGGAAACCTTGATTCACAAGTCCTGAACACTTTGCCAGAGCATGTAAAAGACTTACTGACTCTTCTTAACTGACAGAGTAATTGGATTTTTATCACTTATAGCTGCCTATTTTCCATTTATTCTGAATCAGTTCAAATCTTAATAGCAAGTACAATATTAATTTGAAAACAGTGCACATATCAGGAATCATAACCACATTCTTTGCATATGTTGAGGTCAAGAAACCAAATTTTAGGAACCACTTAAAATTACAAATTTGCTTTTCATCTTTGGGCTGTGTCATTAAGGTTTTTGGACTTCTTTTGCTTAACTCTATCTTGTAGCTGTTGGACCAGAGATTGTTGTCTAAGAACCATTCCTCTCGAAATATTACAAATCTATATGTAGTGCTATCTTAACAAGTGCTTTAATGCCTTGAATGTTCAGTTTATTCTTTGGTCCTATCATTAGTTAACTTCTCATTATGGAAGGACTAGGATCAAAATCCTGCTGTATTATAAATTAAAACTGAACTTCAGTATTTTTGGGGGAGAAAGGCACTAAGTATACTCAACTCTACCATAACGCATCCAAAAATATATTCAGGTCTTCTTTCTAACAAATGACTCTAAAACTAGTCTTGTAAAAGGAATATAAGTTTTAACAGAAGTCAGTGTAAATCAAATGTATGTAAATAAATTGAGTAGCAGCTGCATATACACAATATTTTAATTTTTACTTCACATATTATGTGGTTTCAAAAGATTTTATTACATATACATACTATAATGTTTTTATGATTTTTGTTTGCCATTTTGATTGAATTGTCATTATGATAAAAACTTAATATTAAAATTTGGTTTATATTCTTATGTATAGGCTTCAGATTGATTTCTTAAAGTGAAATTTTTATGCAAACAATATATAAATATCTAATTATTTTAATTCCTAGACAAATATTCTTTGAGAAATATTATATGAAATGTCACTCCAAATCAGTGTGTCTAAGTGATTCGATCCTCCATTGACAGCCGTTAGTATTAGTTTCCTAAGTTTCTGACAATTTGATGAGAAAAAGTATCTCATTTGAATTTGCATGCCTTTGGTTTCTAATGAGACTACACTTGTAAGCATCTTGTAAGAATACTTCTTGGACAATTTTATGACTGCTTTTCTTAATTGTTGAAAACATTAAACCTTATCATTTTGTTATGTAATTTATATAATTTAATTGAGATATATATGTACATATTCAAGTCATATATATTGCAAATATTTCCCAGTTAGTCATTTGTGATGTTATTCTGTTTACATAAATTTATGTTTATCTTTCACTGAGGCATAACTTCTATAAAATGCAAAAATATTAAGTACATAGCCTGAAGAATTCTTACCAAATCAGGATTTGTACCAAATTAATATGCCAATATAATTGCTATGTGATTCAATATGCAGAATATATAGAATCATTTTTGTGTGCTTTGAAGTTATCCAGTATGTATATATGATAGTTTCAGCACAGTTTATTGCATAGAATGTTGTTTCCTCATTAGTTACATGGTGTCATTTCTTGTAAATCCCATCACCATGTAAGCCTGGGTCTGTCTCTGGACTCCCAGTTGGTCTATTTATCCTTCCTCACACCAATGGTCTTAGTTATTGCTGTTCTATAGTATTTTTAAAAATCTAGTAAAGTTTGTATTCCAATTTTATTCTTCTTCAGAATGGTCTTTCTATTCCTGACCCATTCTATTACTAAATTTGACATGATGGTTAATAAGTCACATACATATGAATTCTTATCTGCATCTGAATATGTTTGAGGTAATGCAGATGGGATGGAGAGAAAAGTAATGGGTTAAGGGAGAAAAAAATTCTGGCAGAACATTAAAATAGAAAATATTTAGTACTGAAAGTGTGGCCATTTTAATTGTCTTTTTTTAAGTTATATTTTAGCAAACATGCATTAAATTCGAAATAAGAAAAGAATAATCTAAAAACTGTATTTCCCTTTCTAAAAATACACCTCCCAGAGATATAATCCTTCATTACTAAGTAGCTGTGAATAGAATTCAGTATTCCTTCTTCATTCCTGGCATTCAAGTTCCTAGAAGCGATTTGCTCTATGATATGGCACAGAGATACGTTATAAATGAGTACACAGTTGAGATCATGAATCCAAACATGTCATTGTACTTTTTGGCAAGGGACAGATAAATGTTAATCATCACATCCAGTTTGCCAAGCAAAGAGACCAAAATAGAAAGAATGTAATTACGTATTTGTGAGTTAGATAACACCACAGCAGTCCCCTCTAGGATGGTGGAGGCAAACGTGGCCAATCCCTGTTTATCTCTGCCAATGTTTATTTATTTGTCAGTTGGTTCCCTGGCAGTCAGTAAGGTAATGGGCATACAATCAGGAAATGGAGATAAATATTTCAAATTTCAAGTCCCTTGAATGCTTAGTGAAATTAAAACACCTGAAGAAAAAAAAAGGAAAAACTTTGACATGAATAATTGGGAAAAACAGACTGGCTGAGTTCCATGAGAGGAATGCTTGCCATAGGTATGTCCCCGGTTGCCTACCTGTCCCGTAAACTGCCTCTTTTGATCCCACTGCCTGATTGGTCAGCTTGGCACCCATAACAGCACCTACCTTCCATAGAATGGATTGATCTTACATGTTAGGTCAAGGCCATCTAGAAAAAAATCAACAAGAGGGTACTTAATTATCCCTAGATATTGGTGAGTGTGGACTTTATAAGCCTGGATGCCCATGTTGAAGATAAAATAACTCTAAGATAATGAATGGAGAATTCTCAAAACCTGTAATAAATTAGTCATTTGAAAGTAAAAAGAGGGATGAAGAGAGGGCAATTTCTTGCCAATACCTCAACAGGATAACATTAAGGCAGAGATCTCCTTCTGAAGCTACATGAATGGTTAAAGCAAAAATGCCTTTTAATCACTGCACGTGTCCTCTAATGGGGAAA
The DNA here is from genome assembly GCF_000001405.40 of Homo sapiens. NCBI lineage: Eukaryota > Metazoa > Chordata > Mammalia > Primates > Hominidae > Homo > Homo sapiens. Next base: position 73,319,684 of record NC_000018.10, read on the forward strand.
AAACAAAATTATTTTGGGAATACATAAAAATTTCAGAACACATAGGGGTTGGGAATCCAAATTGGAAAACAATCAGGAAGATGTGCAACCTGGTAGATATCTGAATCCTAATTTCACAGAAGCTGCATTCTGTCCAATGTGGTGTCAAACTTTTAAACTGTAGGTTTCAGTGAATGATTGTAACAGTCTACCTTAGCGATGTCATAAAAACTTTGGAGTAAGGACTAGGATGATGGGAAAATAGACAGATTATAGCTCATAATCCAAAATAAAGAAGTCTTACACTGTTAGATCTATCCTCCTAGGACAATTTGATTCACAAATAGAGAAATGGATAAATTAAAACAACCATCCTGTTTTGGCTAATTTTTATTCTTGCCAGTATCCCCTCAACCTTTAAGAAGTTAAGGTGAGAAAAAAAAAATTCCAAGATGCTGCTTCTACAGAGTTGCTACAGGAAGAGGGATGGATAACTGATTAATAAAAAATAAAGCCAGAAATCTGCTTTGAAAAATTAATCCATGCCACTCCCCAAGAGTTTGTATTAAGAGGTTAACGTTGGTTAATTCCAACAAGCATTATGCCAGGAGCATTCCCTAGGTGGGTCCCTCTGTGCCATCTTCTTCAGTACCATGAAATATCGTTCCTCTTTCCCAATAAAAAAACTGACAGACATTTTGAAACACTTAAATCTTCCTCAACAAATAACACTCTTCTAACATCAAAGATAATTCTTGCTAATTGCTGTGGGAAGAATTAACCCTTAAATCAGAAAGCCCTCTGAGGCAAAATTCTGAAAAAATTCACTCTTATGTAGTTTCAGGAATCAGTTGGTGAAAAAACAGGAGAAGATGTTCGGCCAGAAGATAAATGTCTGTATCTTTCTCTGTTCATTCTGCAGAAGATCCCTTCTTCCTGGTATTATAAAAAGAAGTGAACTAAAAGAAAACAATAAATATAAGATAATTCAAAACTTAAGGGATGAAAACCAACTAAATAAAAAAGTGATGACAAAATAAAGAATGATATGAAGTATAAAATTAAATAGTTAAATAGAGATACTGAATTTATTAAACCTAAATTCAGTATCTATTTATTTATTAAAACTAAATTCAGTAATTTAAAATAAAAGCTCATGTACGAAGAAAAACACAAATAAAAAGTAGACTAAATAAATGAGTTTCAAGATCAGTGATAAAAAATGTAAAATGCCACAAGTCAACTGCTTTGAGAAAATAAAATGAGCTGCAAACACAGAATGTAAATAATTAAAATAATTCATAATAAAATGAATAATAATAAACACTTTTTAAAGTAACACGAATTATAGTAAAGAGACTTAATAGATTTTAAAGAAACAAAACACCACATATAAAACTTAAAGAATAAAAAATATAGTTAAAATTAGTAAAAAGTAAGAAACTGATAAAATTGAGATCATATAAATAAATGGAATGAGTATCATTTTCATTTCTTGAAATTTATCCTTAAGTTACACTTCCATAAATTAAAGTAAAAAAAAAGGTTTTTCTGTAAAACATTAACATTTATGTAAATGTAAAACCATATTTCCTCTTCAACTTAACACTACATGTTATAGAATACATTTATATATAAGTATATGTGATAAATACATGGGTGTGGGTATTTATGGAGAAATAGAATGTTAGTGGAATTCACAGAAGAATGAGACCAAAACTAAAATAAACTGAATAAAATAAAACAGAATGTAAAAGGTGACTTTAATGGACCTATGGCATACTATACGTTATGAATAGTATATGATGAACTCAGAAATGCTCTTCAGGATCAATCAAGCGATTTATGCTTACAGTGTATTCGTCCTTTTAAATTAATGTGTACGGATTATTCTATTTGTTTGAGTTGACAAATATAAACTACAAATATCTTGTACAATACGATGCCTTGAAATGTGTAGACATTGTGAAATAGTTAAATTGAATTAATTCACATCTGCATTACATCACATATTTATAAAAAACTGTGATGATAATACTTACTATACTGTCTACTTTTTAAAGCAATCTTCAAGAATACAATACATTGTTATTTACTATAGTCACCATGGTATATTATACAATAGATCTCTTGAGCTTACTCCTCCTATATAATTGAAATTGTGTATCCTTTGACCAATATCTCCCCACTCTTCTCTCCATCTCTCATCTCTTACTAACCACCACTCTACTTTCTACTTTATGAGTTCAACTTTTTGGATTCCACGCAGAAGTGAGATCATGGGGTCTTTGTCTTTCTGTGCCTGGATTATATCTTTTAACATCATGTCCTCCAGGTTCATCCATATTGTTGGAAAAGAAATTATTTCCTTCTTCTCTAAGGCTAAATAGTATCCCAGTCTGTCTATATACCACTTTTTCTTTATTCATTCATACACTGATGGACATTTAGACTGATTCATTATCTCAGCACATAAATAATTATATAAAATGCCAAAATATGTGCATGTATAATTGATTCTGGATTGTATAAATGTTTTATATAATCAAAAAAGAAAGTACAAAAATATTTTTTAAAGAAACTCTAAAATTGAATAAAAAATAGAAGATCAGTAGAGATAAAAATTTGATAATATACCTTCACTAAAAAATTAGTGAAGTCAAATAAATTTGCGATACATATTTTCATGATGTATTATAAGATATAAAGGACTGCAAAGAGTATTTAACTTCATCTAATGGGTTTTTTTAAAATAGTATTTTTGCAGAAATTCTGCAATTTATTTTTTGAATCTCTGAAACTAATGTAGCACAGAGTAAATGAGAAAATACTTTTTGCTGATGGGAATTCAAGTTGTAACTATGGGAGTAGAAAGATATCAATATGAAATTTTAAAAAGAAAAAGAGTGCACTGTGGTATTAGATTTGAATTTGAGATATCAATATGCACTTATATCTTAAAATAAAACATGTTTCCTATCTTGGTGCACTGAAAAATCTGGGCTCAGTGATCCCAGATCGTGTCCAGATCTTGATTTTTTAAATACCATTCCTCATTAAAAGGAAACATGGATTCTTGTTAAAATGTCTGCATCTATATAGGGGGCAGTGAAAGTTTGTGAGTCTCAACATCTTGTTTTGACAAAAAGAATTAAAGTGCAAACATACAGACGGTGTAGTTTCAACAGAAAACAGGAACCAGCTTGGAGAGTCTCACATTGGCCAAATTTGGGTACACTTGAATATCAGAAAGAATATTGATGACACTGATTTATTTCTTTCTAAATGTCTGAGTTCACACTGACTCATAAGAAGTCCAGAGAGGGGAAGAGGTAGGAAAGAATGTGTTACACAGAAAAATTTCACCTAACTACATGTAAAAAAGAAAAAAAAGGAGTATTGTACCATCACTTTTACAACTATTAATGGAGTAATTGATAAAGAAAGGGATTGCTAATAACCATCAGTTGAAGGTATGTTAAGGAACAGGATCTCAAAGTATCACCTTATCATTACAAAGTACCAGCCTGATAATTACAAAGGAACTTTGCAATGTAAATGTCTGATGGACAACATATTAGCCAAGTGATCAACATATCATCAATTTACTGGGACAAACTGACATTAAAACCCTCCAGATGGTACGAATTGAGATGCTCTCCATATTACATATGAAGAATATTTTCACAAAAATAATATCTTTAACCTTTGGTTTTGTTTTTTTTTTTTCATGAGAAAACAGTTATAAAAGATGCAAATTGTGCAGCAGTCGGTACTAGTCTAGGCACCTCAAAAATATCAATGTAATGAAACATTTTTTTAAATGTAGGTTTGTGTTCCAGGATAAAAATTGAAGAAATTTGACAACAAAATGTCATGTGTGATCCTTGATTTTTGAAAAATATAACGTTTAAAGATATTTCCAATTGTGAAAAAATATGAGCAGTGTAATAGTATTGCTAAATCAAGGTTAAACATTTAGTGTTGATAATGTTATTGTGGTTATATTGGAAAATGTCATTTTTAGTTGATACTTGCTGAAGTTTTAGGAATGTAATGTCACAATGTCTACAATTTATTTTCAAATGGTTCAGAAAGCACATACACAATGGAAATATATTTTTAAATGCCTACAGTTGAAGAATCTAGGTGAAGGCAATTGTACATTTTCCTGCTCATCCAACTCACATTTAAGTTCTCAATTGTTCAATATAAGAAGTTGGGGGAAAACAGAAATGAAAAGCCTGAATACTCCTACAGCCACTAATTAAATTTATTCTACTTCTCCAAACCTCAAACATGCAAAACATGCAACAGGTATAAAGGCAAATTCTTTCAGATTTTCTGTAAGCAAATACATTTGACCCTTGAACAACACAGGTCTGAACTGTGTAAGTCCACTTTTGCGCAGATTTTCTTCTGCCTCTGGCACTCATGAGATAGAAAGACCAATCCTTCCTCTTCCTCCTTCTCAGTCTACTCAACATGAGGACAATAAGGATGAAGACCTTCATAATAATCCACTTCTACTTAATAAATAGTAAACATATATATTTTATTTTGCTTATATTTTCTTAATGACATTTTCTTTTCTCTAGCTTACTTTATTGAAAGAATACAGTATATAATACACATAACATACAACATACGTGTTAACTGTTTATGTTATTGGTAAGGCTTCCAGTCAACAGTTGGCTATTAGTCATTAAGTGTTTAGGAATTCAAAGCTTACACAGGGATTTTCAACTGTAGAAGAGGTCAGAGCTCCCCTAAACTTCACGTTGTTTAAGGGTCAATTTTACTTCCAAATCCATATACTTCAAGAGAATAGAAAAAGAGAAATGTTGCTTCTCAACAATTTTTATGTTACTTAAATTCTTAATGGAAAAACTTAAGAAATAGTATGACATTTTAAATTAGGCTCTACCACTCATGAATATAAATGTAAATATTGTCAGGCCTCTGAGCCCAAGCCAAGCCATCGCATCCCCTGTGACTTGCATGTATACGCCCAGATGTCCTGAAGTAACTGAAGAATCACAAAAGAAGTGAAAAGGCCCTGCCCCGCCTTAACTGATGACATTCCACCATTGTGATTTGTTCCTGCCCCACCTTAACTGAGTGATTAACCCTGTGAATTTCCTTCTCCTGGCTCAGAAGCTCCCCCACTGAGCACCTTGTGACCCCCACCCCTGCCCACCAGAGAACAACCTCCTTTGACTGTAATTTTCCATTAACTTCCCAAATCCTATAAAACGGCCCCACCCCATCTCCCTTCGCTGACTCTCTTTTCGGACTCAGCCCGCCTGCACCCAGGTGAAATAAACAGCCATGTTGCTCACACAAAGCCTGTTTGGTGGTCTCTTCACAGGGACACGGATGAAATTTGGTGCCGTGACTCGGATCGGGGAACCTCCCTTAGGAGATCAATCCCCTGTACTCCTTTTCTTTGCCCTGTGAGAAAGATCCACCTATGACCTCAGGTCCTCAGACCGACCAGCCCAAGGAACATCTCACCAATTTTAAATCAGGTAAGCGGCCTCTTCTTACTCTCTTCTCCAACCTCTCTCACTGTCCCTCAACCACTTTCTCCTTTCCACTCTTCAATCTCTCCCTTCTCTTAATTTCAATTCCTTTCATTTTCTGGGAGAGACAAAGGAGACACGTTTTATCCATGGACCCAAAACTCCGGCGCCGGTCACGGACTGGGAAGGCAGCCTTCCCTTGGTGTTTAATCATTGCAGGGATGACTCTCTGATTATATACCCACATTTCAAGGGTGTCAGACCACGCAGGGACACCTGCCTTGGTCCTTCACTCTTAGCGGCAAGTCCCGCTTTTCTGGGGAAGGGGCAAGTACCTCAACCCCTTCTCTCCTTGTCTCTACCCCTTCTCTGGTTTCCTGGGGCAGGGGCAAGTACCCCAACCCCTTCTCCTTCACCCTTAGCCACAAGTTCCGCTTTCCTGGGGCAGGGGCAAGTACCCCTCAACCCCTTCTCCTTCACCCTTAGCAGCCAAGTCCCGCTTTCCTAGGGGGCAAGAACCCCCCCAATCGCTTATTTCCGCACCCCAACCTCTTATCTCTGTGCCCCAATCCCTTATTTCCGCACCATGACCTCTTATCTCTGTGCCCCAATCCCTTATTTCCGTGCCCCAACCCCTTCTCTGCTTTTCTGGAGGGCAAGGACCCCCTACCCCTTCTCCGTGTCTCTACTCTTGTCTGGGCTTGCCTCCTTCACTATGGGCAAGCTTCCACCTTCCATTCCTCCTCCTTCTCCCTTAGCCTATATTCTTAAGAACTTAAAACCTCTTCAACTCACACCTGACCTAAAACCTAAATGCCTTATTTTCTTCTGCAATGCCGCTTGACCCCAATACAAACTCAACAGTAGTTCCAAATAGCCAGAAAATGGCACTTTGAATTTTTCCATCCTGCAAGATCTAAATAATTCTTGTCATAAAATAGGCAAACGGTCTGAGGTGCCTGACGTCCAGGCATTCTTTTACACATCAGTCCCTTCCTAGTCTCTGTGCCCAGTGCAACTCGTCCCAAATCTTCCTTCTCTCCCTCCCGCCTGTCCCCTCAGTACCAACCCCAAGCGTCACTGAGTCTTTCTAATCTTCCTTTTCTACAGACCCATCTGACCTCTCCCTTCCTCCCCAGGCTGCTCCTCGCCAGGCCGAGCTAGGTCCCAATTCTTTCTCAGCCTCTGCTCCTCCACCCTATAATCTTTTTATCACCTCCCCTCCTCACACCTGGTCCGGCTTACAGTTTCGTTCCGTGACTAGCCCTCCCCCACCTGCCCAGCAATTTACTCTTAAAAAGCCAAAGGCATAGTCAAGGTTAATGCTCCTTTTTCTTTATCCCAAATCAGATAGCGTTTAGGCTTTTTCATCAAATATAAAAATCCAGCCCCGTTCAAGGCTCGTTTGGCAGCCACCCTGAGACGCTTTACAGCCCTAGACCCTAAAAGGTCAAAAGGCCGTCTTATTCTCAATATACATTTTATTACCCAATCTGCTCCCGACATTAAATAAAACTCCAAAAATTGGAATCTGGCCCTCAAACCCCACAACAGGACTTAATTAACTTCACCTTCAAGGTGTACAATAACAGAAAAAAGTTGCAATTCCTTGCCTCCACTGTGAGACAAACCCCAGCCACATCTCCAGCACACAAGAACTTCCAAACGCCTGAACCGCAGCGGCCAGGTGTTCCTCCAGAACCTCCTCCCACAGGAGCTTGCTACACGTGCCGGAAATCTGGCCACTGGGCCAAGGAATGCCCGCAGCCCGGGATTCCTCCTAAGCCGCGTCCCATCTGTGTGGGACCCCACTGAAAATCGGACTGTTCAACTCTCCTGGCAGCCACTGCCAGAGCCCCTGGAACTCTGGCCCAAGGCTCTCTGACTGACTCCTTCCCAGATCTTCTCGGCTTAGCGGCTGAAGACTGACACTGCCCGATCGCCTCGGAAGCCCCCTAGACCATCACGGACGCCGAGCTTCGGTAACTCTCACAGTGGAAGGTAAGCCCGTCCCCTTCTTAATCAATACGGAGGCTACCCACTCCACATTACCTTCTTTTCAAGGGCCTGTTTCCCTTGCCTCCATAACTGTTGTGGGTATTGACGGCCAGGCTTCTAAACCTCTTAAAACTCCCCAACTGTGGTGCCAACTTAGACAACACTCTTTTAAGCACTCCTTTTTAGTTATCCCCACCTGCCCAGTTCCTTTATTAGGCTGAAACACTTTAACTAAATTATCTGCTTCCCTGACTATTCCTGAACTACAGCTATATCTCATTGCCGCCCTTCTTCCCAATCCAAAGCCTCCTTTGCGTCCTCCTCTTGTATCCCCCCACCTTAACCCACAAGTATAAGATACCTCTACTCCCTCCTTGGCGACGGATCATGCACCCCTTACCATCTCATTAAAACCTAATCACCCTTACCCCACTCAATGCCAATATCCCATCCTGCAGCACGCTTTAAAAAGATTAAAGCCTGTTATCACTCGCCTGCTACAGCATGGCCTTTCAAAGCCTATAAACTCTCCTTACAATTTCTCCATTTTACCTGTCCTAAAACCAGACAAGCCTTACAAGTTAGTTCAGGATCTGCGCCTTATCAACCAAATTGTTTTGCCTATCCACCCCATAGTGCCAAACCCATATACTCTCCTATCCTCAATACCTGCCTCTATAACCCATTATTCTGTTCTAGATCTCAAACATGCTTTCTTTACTATTTCTTTGCACCCTTCATCCCAGCCTCTCTTCACTTTCACTTGGACTGACCCTGACACCCATCAAGCTCAGCAAATTACCTAGGCTGTACTGCTGCAAAGCTTCACAGACAGCCCCCATTACTTCAATCAAGCCCAAATTTCTTCCTCATCTGTTACCTAATTCAGCATAATTCTCATAAAAGCACACGTGCTCTCCCTGCCAATCGTGTCTGACTGATCTCTCAAACCCCAGCACCTTCTACAAAACAACAACTCCTTTCCTTCCTAGGCATGGTTAGCATGGTCAGAATTCTTATACAAGAGCCAGGACCACACCCTGTAGCCTTTCTGTCCAAACAACTTGACCTTACTGTTTTAGCCTAGCCCTCATGTCTGTGTGCAGTGGCTGCCGCTGCTTTAACACTGTTAGAGGCCCTAAAAATCACAAACTATGCTCAACTCACTCTCTACATTTCTCATAACTTCCAAAATCTATTTTCTTCCTCATACCTGACGCATATACTTTCTGCTCTCCGGCTCCTTCAGCTGTACTCACTCTTTAAGTCCCACAATTACCATTGTTCCTGGCCCGGACTTCAATCTGGCCTCCCACATTATTCCTGATACCACACCTGACCCTCATGACTGTATCTCTCTGATCCTCCTGATATTCACCCCATTTCCCCATATTTCCTTCTTTCCTGTTCCTCACCCTGATCACACTTGATTTATTGATGGCAGTTCCACCAGGCCTAATCGCCACACACCAGCAAAGGCAGGCTATGCTATAGTACAAGCCACTAGCCCGCCTCTCAGAACCTCTCATTTCCTTTCCATCGTGGAAATCTATCCTCAAGGAAATAACTTCTCAGTGTTCCATCTGCTATTCTACTACTCCTCAGGGATTATTCAGGCCCCCTCCCTTCCCTACACATCAAGCTCGAGGATTTGCCCCCACCCAGGACTGGCAAATTAGCTTTACTCAACATGTCCCGAGTCAGGAAACTAAAATACCTCTTAGTCTAAATAGACACTTTCACTGAATAAGTAAAGGCCTTTCCTACAGGGTCTGAGAAGGCCACCACAGTCATTTCTTCCCTTCTGTCAGACATAATTCCTCAGTTTAGCCTTCCCACCTCTATACAGTCTGATAACAGACCAGCCTTTATTAGTCAAATCAGCCAAGCAGTTTTTCAGGCTCTTAGCATTCAGTGAAACTTTTATATCCCTTAGGGTCCTCCGTCTTCAAGAAAAGTAGAATGGACTAAAGGTCTTTTAAAAACACACCTCACCAAGCTCAGCCACCAACTTAAAAAGGACTGGACAATATTTTTACCACTTTCCCTTCTCAGAATTCAGGCCTGTCCTCGGAATGCTATAGGGTACAGCCCATTTGAGCTCCTGTATAGACGCTCCTTTTTATTAGGCCCCAGTCTCATTCCAGACACCAGACCAACTTAGACTGTGCCCCCCAAAAAAACTTGTCATCCCTACTATCTTCTGTCTAGTCATACTCCTATTCACCGTTCTCAACTACTCATACATGCCCTGCTCTTGTTTACACTGCCTGTTTACACTGTTTCTCCAAGCCATCACAGCTGATATCTCCTGGTGCTATCCCCAAACTGCCACACTTAACTCTTGAAGTAAATAAATAATCTTGGCTGGCAGGACTATGCTGAATCTCCTTAGGCACTCTCTAATCAGATGTCTTAGGTCTAAGGACCTTTTATACCTGTTTTTCTCCTTCTCTTATTCCATTTAGTTTTTCAATTCATACAAAACCGTATCCAGGCCATCACCAATCATTCTATATGACAAATGTTTCTTCTAACAACCCCACAATACCACCCCTTACCACAAGACCTCCCTTCAGCTTAATCTCTCCCACTCTAGGTTCCCACACTGCCCCTAATCCTGCTTGAAGCAGCCCTGAGAAACATCACCCATTCTCTCTCCATACCACCCCCAAAAATTTTCGCCACCCTAATACTTCAACACTATTTTGTTTTATTTTTCTTATTAATATAAGAAGGCAGGAATGTCAGGCCTCTGAGCCCAAGCCAAGCCATCGCATCCCCTGTGACTTGCATGTTTATGCCCAGATGGCCTGAAGTAACTGAAGAATCACAAAAGAAGTGAAAAGGCCCTGCCCCGCCTTAACTGATGACATTCCACTATTGTGATTTGTTCCTGCCCCACCTTAACTGAGTGATTAACCCTGTGAATTTCCTTCTCCTGGCTCAGAAGCTCCCCCACTGAGCACCTTGTGACCCCCGCCCCTGCCCACCAGAGAACAACCCCCTTTGACTGTAATTTTCCATTAACTTCCCAAATCCTATAAAACGGCCCCACCCCTATCTCCCTTCGCTGACTCTTTTCGGACTCATCCGGCCTGCCCCCAGGTGAAATAAACAGCCATGTTGCTCACACAAAGCCTGTTTGGTGGCCTCTTCACATGGACGCACATGAAAAGTATCTTAAACATAAGTTAGTAAGATGAATCCAGCAATGTATAATAAATTGGTAATATATTAAAACTAATTAGTTTCCTATCAAGAATGCAAGATTGTATATTATTAGAACAAATTCACTAATTCAAGATATTATCAAATTATAATAGAGATTACCTCAGTAGGTGCTGAAAAGGATTTAATATAACTTGGAATAAATTATTTAAAATAACATATAAACTAAATTTAGAAGAAAGATCCCTTAGACTAAAATAGGTTATCACAAAAAATCCATAACAAATGTCATAAATTAGTGGTAAAATTGAAATCTTATTTGTTAAAGATCAGGAATAAGTCAATTATATCTCTTATAACTGTGTAATTAAATGATTGAAAAGTAATAAATCAAACATCTTTATAGATAACATGCTTGTTCATATAAAAAACAAGTTGACTGATAGGTTATTAGAACTCATGAAGAAGGTAGAGCAAAATAAAAATCTTGTTTTAAAAAAACGTATGTAGTTTTACAGGTAGGTGTGTGTGAAATACAATATTCAGCTGTATGTAATTATAAGGTTTAACAGTTATACAACTATATCCATATAAAACTATATATAACCATATACTGTGTATTTGTCTGTTCTCACACTGCTAATAAAGACATACCTGAGGAGCAAAGTCACGTAATACAATTTATAAAGGAAAGCAGTTCAATAGACTCACAATTCCACATGGCTGGGGAAGCCTGACAATCATGGCAGAAGGCAAAGGAGGAGCAAAGTCACGTCTTGTATGGTGGCAGGCAAGAGAGAGCTTTTATAAATCTGATGATTTATAAAATCATCAGATCTCGTGAGACTTATTCACTAACGGAGAGCAACATGGGAAAGACCCGCCCCCGTGATTCAGTTACCTCCCACTGGGTCCCTCTCAGGACACATGAAAATTACTACAATTCAAGGTTAGATTTAGGTAGGGACCCAGAGCCAAACCATATTATACAGGATAGTTAATTTATGTGTAAACTTGTTTAGCCCATAGTACACAGATACTTGTTGAAACAGGTCTACATGTTGCTGGGCAGGTATTTTTAGATGAAATTAACACATAAGTAGAATATGAGAAAAGTATAGTACCCTCCATAACATGGGTGAGATTCATGCCATCAGTTGAAGGCTTAAGAAAGAGACAGACCTCCCCTAGGAAGAGGGAAACCTGACAATTAGAGGGCCTTTGGACTCCAGCTGTGACATCCACTCTTCCTTGAGCACGCATCCAGCCTGCTGCCTGGCCTGCAGATTTTGAATTTATCAGTCTCCCAAATTCAGTGAGCCTACTACTTACATAATCTCTCTCTGTATATATATTAGACACACACCTCTTTCCCTTTCTCTAAAAATATGACTTCTAATCAAATTGATGTATAGATCCAATGCAATTCCCATAAAAAATCTTGTGAAAATACATGCACACAAGTGTGAAATGTGTGTGTGATTGCATACAAATTGACAGGAATATTTTTAAATGTATGTAGAAATGCAAATGACTAAGAATAAAACAAGATGAGGTGATTTTTCTGAATCTCTATCAAGAATTAACGTGTCATTGTTTAAGAATTAAGATAATGGAGTATTAGAACAGGAATAGTCAAATGGATGGAAAAATAAAGAGTCCAAAAGGAACAAAGCACAAATTAAGCTTTGATTAATGACAAGGCTTGGATTTCAAGTGAGTAGAAAAATACGGCCTATAAAATGAGTGTTATTGGGTCAATTCAGAATCCACATGGAAAAAAAAAAATCGAACCAGTGTCAAAATTAATGCCTATTAATGTATATTAAAAATCCATTGCAAAACACATTTTCAAAAGCAATGTGGAAACATATCATTACAACCTTAGATAGGATTTCTTAAGTAAAAAAAAAATTGCAATCTGTATGAAAGGACATTAACATAAATTCAACTGCATTAAAATCAAGTGCTTTGGCTCCTGAGGGACCCAGAAATATTGACTTCTGAACTATTCCTTGTGGTTGTTAACTAAGAAAAATACATTTTACACCTATCAAATAAAAACTTATTTTGTCTTTTATGTGAAGTCTGTTCCTTCTTCCCTAGAGACCTTGAAGATTTGTTGTTCAAGGAGAAACTGAAGAGCAAGAAGGAAAGTGAGAGCCAGCAATACCAGCAGAGCCAGATCTGAGCTGGGAGAAGGGGAGAAAGTTTGTGAAGAGGAGGTAAGAAAGTCGTTCTGAAAGATAATGAGTCCTGAAATTAAAAAGAAAGTTTTAGTTACACCCAGATGCTGTTAAATGGTAGTGAAGGACACTTGGAAAGAGCAAGTTTAAAGAATGTGATTATAGAAAAATAAAGAGAGGTGCCCTGCTAGTGCTTGGAGTCCTGCTCCATTTAATAATTGGTTACATATATTGACAAACTGATTCCCGGAGAAAGAACTTTCTGTACGTTAGAAGGGGTATCATAATCACACATGATGTAAAGCGGACCTCTAAGTTCAATGGCTCATCAGTCAACCATAGGTATGTTTGTTAATCAGCACAGGAATCTACTCTTTTAAACACATATTGAATGCGATGTATTAGGAGATTTAGGGATTATATAAATAAAATATTTATACCTTCAGGATTAAGGAGATTCATTCTTTCTCAGATCTCTCTGCTTTTTATGTTCTCACACTTGTAGAGTTTATTACTGCTTTATAGCAATACAACTTTATCCTAAAATCTTCCCCAATTTGACTCCTTTTGTGTAATCCCCCAGAAGCATCATTGGATCCTAGGTGAGGCACCAGGTTGGAGGTATGGAATGGAAGGATGCCTGGGCCTCACCTATTCTGATTGGTTAAATGGGGAGCCTTCCCTTAGAGAATTTAACAAAAGTCAATTGGACATTAGCCAAACGGACAAGAACAGGTGGACTGAACACAAAAGGGAATTCTATAAACACATTTACAAGATTAGGAAGTATTTTTTGTCTTGTTTTAAGAGATCTACTGCTATATTGCACAGGCTGGCCTGCCTCAGCAACATAGTAACGCATCTACTGGCTCAAGCAATCTTCCCACCTCAGGTCTCAAGTAGCTGGGACTACAGGAATGCGCCTCCGTGCCCGGCTAAGGTTTCGAGTTTTGCTACTATATTTTGTCATTCTTGTATCTAATTACAAGAAATTTATTAGTAAATATAGGTAAATATTATTAGGAACACTAATACCATTCCGATGTTCATCACGTGTTTCTCTGTATAGCACTAACTAAGCAGCAGGGGGAAAAATGCATTAATCGCTGCTTTGTATGTCACGCTTGAATATTATAAAAATCTTTGTTAAAAAGAAAAATACATGCCTCCAATATCCCAGAGGGCTTAACGGGTTTATGGCTTACTTCCTAGTTTGAGAAATGTTGGCCTGAAAAACTAAATTATTATTCTTTCAAAATGTGTTTCCACAGGAAGTTACCATTAAAAATGAAAAAAAAAATCTGTATAATGTAATACTTTATTTTGTATCAAAGAACAAATTTTAAAACATCCTCAAAGACCTTGTGAACTATTTATAAATCTTCATGAACCTTTGTGAAAACTAGTTTGCCTTATTCTCCATTTAAAAATTTCAGTTAGTAGTGTTAGATATCCAATGTCCCCTTAGTGACCTAGAACTGTAATGAGCATGACAGACCGATTCCAGACAATTCAGACCTACTTTCCTATTTCACAGGTGGGTATTTCAGCCTATATAACAGCTCCATTTTAAATTAAACGATATAGATATATTTTTGGTAGTAAGTGAAAGGCTCAATTTTAATTCACCGAATAGTCTCCTTAATGACATCTAATTAGGACATCTGTTAAGGGTACATGATCTTACATTCTTCATTTGGTTTTCCCCATTAAATTAGCTCTACTATTTTTTCACTCTTTTATTAGAAGCTTACTAATGGGGCTACATATGTGTGTGTGTGTGTGTGTGTGTGTGTGTGTGTGTGTGTGTGTATGCTCTAAGAAACTTTTATAATACTAGAATATGCTTCCTGATTAGGTTGAACAGTCATTCTTTTTCATGTTAATAATTGGATTGACCTTATTAAGAATTTAGAATCTCCTGTTCCCCTTTCTCAGAAAAATCTCTAAATTGGAGGACCTCCACAGAAGTTCCATCATTAGCTAGATATATCAGCTGACAGTGATTCAGTGATCAAAGTGATGATGTGATAAAGATGCAAATATTTGATGGTTTTTTTCCCCAAGAATTCTGCTTTGCATCAATATTACAGTGATGTGGCTTTGAAATATATTCTTAAGAAATTAATTATCCCTGTAGATATTATACATGTTTTACTTCTGATAGTTGTTTTCTATAATCTGGCAAATTATTATAAAATAGAAGATTTCCAGTTGAAGCTCTGTATTTTTTAATCACATAAAAATACCATAGGAATATTTTCATTTCTAAATATATACCTAACTCCAATGTCTATCTGCTTTTCCAGGGAACATTCATTATAAATTTAGCCTTAGTCCAATCTGCATATGTATCTAGTTCTCCCAACTAATTTTATAGGTCTTCAGAATTATTCCATTTATTAACTACTCCCTCATGTAAGTGAAGTTTATTAGGCAACAATTTAACTCATTCTGGTCACTGGCTTATCAGTTCTTTGATTTAATAGTATTACACAAATATCACATAATCCCATATTATCATCTTTTCTGTAAATCTATAGAACCAAACCAAACAAGACACAAAATCTCAAGAAGAATGATGGGATAAATGCTATTTGCTAAAATGTCTATGGCCCAGCACTTTGGGAGGCCGAGGTGGGCGATCACGAGGTCAGGAGATCGAGACCATCCTGGCTAACATGGTGAAACCCCATCTCTTTTAAAAATACAAAACAATTAGCCGGGCATGGTAGTGGGTGCCTATAGTCCCAGCTACTTGGGAGGCTGAGGCAGGAGAATAGCATGAACCTGGGAGACGGAGCTTGCAGTGAGCCGAGATCACACCACTGCACTCCAGCCTGGGCCAGAGCGAGACTTTGTCTCAAAAAAAAAAAAAAAAAAAAAAAAAAGAAATGTCTATGGAATGCCTTCTTGGTGTGAAATATGAAAAATAAATTCAGGAAACAAATTATAATATCTCAAATAATCAAACCATAGGAAGCACTTAGAAAAAACAGGTGGGTCACGTTTGAATTACTGATAATATAAAAATGCTCATAACAATCAGGAAGAAATTATTATAATTTCCAAAAAAATGGCTTTGGGCTCAACATAGTAATAATTCAATAGCCTTCCTGTTGGTATGCATTTAGAGAAAAGGTTTAAAAATCATGAGAAAATGCAGTGGATATATTTGTTAGCATTAATAGTATTAGTAATAATGCTGATTTATACAGCATTGTATTAAACAAATACATATAATTTATTTAACAATCCTCCCATTAAAAAGTGGGATCTATTTCTGTTCTCCTTGAATTTGGTCTTGCCTGTGACTTCTCTGATACTAAGGTAAAATGGAAAGAGTGGTACACCGTTTCTGGATAGCCTTTTCGAAGAGTGGCAGTTCCCATGCTGCTCTCAAGCCTAGAAATGTCATGTAGAGAATATGACTGCTCTATTAGAGAACCCTCATGAAGCAGCCCAGAAGCCACATGGAGGGAGAGAGATAGCAATCAGGGTTACCTTTTCCCACCGAGGTAGAGGTAGCAAGCCTGTCGGTGGAATCATCTTGAACAATGTGGCCCTGCCCCCCTGCTATCAGCAGAAAACCATTTAACACCAGACTAGAGCAAGGAAATTGCCAAGACCTTCCTCAATTTCTAACCCACAAAATCGTAAGAATACATTCACCACAGTTTTAAGCTCCTAAATTCAGGATGGTGTGTTAAGTGGCAATAGAAACTAGAACAGGATGTTTTATCAATGCGACATTTTGTATTTTAAAATAAGGTGATATATGCTGTTAGTTTTCATCCAAATAGCAGATTATGAAAACTTTGCAGTGAAAAAATTAGCTGGCATTTCCATGCAGGCAAACTTTGAGGCACAAATTGTGCAAAACTGGCCCAGAAAACATGGAATCCCTCTTCTTAAGTTAATACTGTTACTTAGAATATGACTGAACAAGCACAACAAGATTCAATATAGGGCATATTTTAATATTTATAGTTATATGAAAGTTTCTCTATGTGCCAGTGATTTATGCTATTTTCTTAATCTTTATAAAAGTTATGTTTATTTTTAACTGAAAATAACAACTGATTAAAATCTTTTTGAGAAGTGGAAAAATTTCCCTTACCAGTACGTTAATGTAAGAATATGATGATGGCTCTAAAGAAATCAATTATGGGCCGGGCGCGGTGGCTCATGCCTGTAATCCCAGCACTTTCGGAGGCCAAGGCAGGCGGATCACAAGGTCAGGAGATCGAGACCATCCTGGCTAACACGGTGAAACCCCGTCTCTACTAAAAAAAAAATACAAAAAATTAGCCAGGCGTGGTGGCGGGCGCCTGTAGTCCCAGCTACGCGGGAGGCTGAGGCAGGAGAATGGCGTGAACCTGGGAGGCGGAGCCTGCAGTGAGCCGAGATCGCGCCACCGCACTCCAGCCTGGGCGACAGCGAGACTCCATCTCAAAAAAAAAAAAAAAAAAAGAAAAGAAATCAATTATGAAGAAATAACTGTTCTGTGGCAGGCAGAACGCTATATGGAGTAATACAAAATAAAAAAAAATGTTTTCAACCGTAAAGTATAATCTATTGTACCTGAAATAATATAAGATTCCAGGATAAATGAAACACTTCAAAAAATCAATTGAACTTGACAAATTTTGAAGATATTCCAAGAACTGATATTTTTCAAGTTGACAATCTTTTTTATAAAGTAGAAAAATTAGCAAAATTTTAGCCAAATATAGATCTCCTGTAAGTGTCCTGAAAAATAAGTGAATAATGAATTATTTGTAGGAGAGCAATCATGGTAATTTTCTTCATGAGCTAAAAATTGTAATCACTGTTGATGTGATACAAGGAGCTATGACTCAGAATTCTTACATTAATTTTCTTTATTTGATTGAGAAATAGGTAAGAGAAAAAGGTAGCAGCTACCAGGACAAAAGCTGATGAGGGCTATCGGGAGTTGCACAGCACTGCAGAGACAAAAATTACAATTCTTGGCTCCCAGGGCAGACAACCTTGAGAGTGAAGATGCCAAAGTTGGCAAGTACAGCCATGGAAGCCCAATATTTGGTGCCACATTTCCCTCAGTGTATCTGCAAATTTCTTGGAGCCTAGAGGCTGAGAAGCCTAACAGAAAGCAGCAGCTGAGTCTAAGAAGCTAATTAGAGTTTTCACTGGGCTCAAAATGCATGGGAGGAAAAAAAAGGATGTTCAGTGCCTAGACATGAGTAAATTATGAAAAGTAGAGTAGTAGGAAAATATAAAAGACAGCAGAAGAGATAGATGGAACATAGCGTAAATTTGGAATCCAAGAAGAGCAACGAGGAGAGAATAGATCAGAAACACTATCTGATCATGATCAATAAGTTTCTAAAACATCTGAACAGTATCAAGCCCCAGAGTCACAAAGGGCCACAAACTAAAGCAGGGTCAACAAATCTATGTAAAAAAATCCAAAAACAATGAAATAAAGATACCATACCTTCATGAAAAAAAAAAAACAAAAAACTACTAACCATGACCGCGGCCTTATAAATATATAACTAAAGGATAATAAAAAGTAAAGAAAATTGGCTTTTTCTTTATTTATTCAAAATAAAATGTCTGAAAGAAAAAAAAGAATGAAAGTGAAAGTTAAAGAGCATTGAAAAGAAATACTAGATGATAGATCTAAACACACTGTATTTGTCATTACATTAACTATAAATAGATAAAATACTTCAATTAAAAAACAGATTGTCAGATTGAATTTTAAAACCTGTGATATGTGAATTGTATACATTTTAATAATCAGCGTACAAAAAAGATGAAAGTTATGACTGGAATAAGAAATACTATGCAAACATTAGCTGAAATATGGTTAAAATACCTGATATATTTTATCAGAAAAAGTAGAGTTGAAGGTAAAAATGAAAAATACTGGAGTTATGAAGACATTGTACAACTAAAACACGGTCAATCTTCCAGTAAAATAATTATAAGTATTGGCCAGGTACAGTGGCTCATGCCTGTAATCCCAGCATTTTGAGAAGCTGACACAGGCGGATCATGAGGTCAGGTGTTCAAGACCAGCCTGGCCAATATGGTGCAACCCTGTCTCTACTAAAAATACAAAAATTAGCCTGGCATGGTGGTGCACGCCTGTAGTCCCAGCTACTTGGGAGGCTGAGGCAGAAGAATTGCTTCAACCCGGGAGGCAGAGGTTGCAGTAAGCTGAGATCGCACCACTGCACTCCAGCCTGGGCCACAGAGTGAGACTCTGTCTCAAAAAATAAATAAATAAATAAATACATACATACATACATAATTATAAATATTTACTTGAAATATTTAAAACCAAAAAAAAACTATCAATTCCAAAAGGTATTTGGGGACCATAGTTGGCAATTTTGACTCAGTTCTCAAATGAAAGGATATATTAAATCAAAGGAGACATGATACCAATGAATAAACTTGACTCAAGGATAAGAAGTATTCTTATTCTTGATAATAATACTTATAAACTTGACTCAAGAATAAGAAGTATTGTAGTACCAATAATTTCAGAATACACATTCATTAAAAGTGTTAATGGAACATTTTCCGAAATTACCAAGATGATAAGCCAAAGTTTCAACAAATTTCAAAGGACTGCGATTATGCAAAATATCTTCTAAACAATGTGGAATTAATCCAGTAAATGAGAATCAGAGCAATATGAGATACCCTAACAACAACAACAAAAAGAATTATAGTCATAGTAAGCTTATTGAAAGCAGGATTTTGAAAAATATATTACAGCTGAGATTATAAATGGGCTCAACAATTTTAGCATAAAATAGATCACTAATAATATTAATATATACACTTTTTTTATATCCTCTGACCTAGAAATTTTACTTCTAGGAAATTATCATGTAGAAACAGACAAAAATTAAGCAGGAGAATGTTCTTTACAGCATTATTTACAATAATATTTTTAAATTGGAAACAATCTAAAATGTCTTGTTACATAAAGTAATTTGTATACATGTATAAATGAATACCTGCACGTAATAGGTCATAGTCTGCAGTTATTTAAAGAATGAAATACATTTCCATATACAGATGGGAAAATGTATATGCAATGTACTTTTTAAAAAAAACTTTGAGATAATTCAGAGAGCATGTTCTTATATTTTATAACCAAATATGTGTCTGTAAATGGATATAAAAATCCAGGGCACTATCCACCTGCTCATTCATAATAGTGATTTATGAATAAGATTAAAAGTAATCATAATTTTTTACTGTTACTTAACATTTAAATATTTTACAATAACAAATATCAAAAAATAGTTTAAAGTAGAATTCATGCTATAATATTACACCGGAATAGTATTTGTGCCATACTAGTACTTCTGGAGTACCAAAATCAAGTATCAAAATAATATCAAATGCAAAGGACATTTTATTGCAACTTCTGAGGGATGACATTAGTTGAATTTTAAGAATGATGTGTTAGGTTCAACTTATAAATCACTGTTAGACACATAATCCTTAATCCACCTCTATGTAGCAATCTAGAAAATAACATCAGATATAAAGCCAATAGGTAGAATTATTGTCAAAGTCTCTTTGTTTATGGGGTGATTGAAAATTTCTTGGGAAACCTGTCCAAGGGTATTTTATTGTTTTTTAAAAAATTATCTCATTATGTCTCCATGCACTAATAAAAGAGCAAGTGTGTTTCCTTCAGGTCCACAGTGAATGAACATGAAGCGTGGAAGGACTGAGGTAGATTCTGTGGTAGAATAAGTGGTGAACTGCACAAACTGAAACCAAGAAGCAAAATGTTTCATCAAGATCCTGGCCAGAAATAAGGGCTGCATAATTCTTAAGAGCACCAAGCACTCAAATAACGATTCATCCTTGAGGCAGGTAGAAGAATAAATTCCATTTGTGTGTATACACCCAGAAAAGTGCCCCGTGAGAACCACGTGAAGTAGGTTTCACGGCAATACAACTTCTGTTAGCAGGGCCCTCGGAGTTAGTCAATAATTTATCATTACATGAACTGAGCTTGGGAAAATCAAATTAAGCCTGAGCAAATAAGGAACATAGTTTTATCTGACTCTTGTCACTCATTAATCCGGAATTGATTTTTGGGTCAGACACCAAATTTTAAGTGGTTGTATGTGTCATTACTCAGATATGTTGTTTTCCTTTTGGTATTGCAATGAATCATAGAGACATGAACCTTGGCTTAGAATATTTGCATTTGTTAAGATGAAAGTCAAACCATTCAACTTTACAGAGAAAAGGAAAGTTAAGGGCAAAAACAAGAGTATTGGGAGTTTGTTTCTTGCATGAGACACTGCTTGAGTATTGCACTGGAGGATATGCAAATGTTCCTTAATCATGTGCCTCAAACAGCAAGTCTGAACTTCTTCATTAACGTCAGAGGACAGAAAAGTTACCCTTATCTTAGCCTGCTATCTTGATATAAGAAATTCACACACAGAATTTTCCAAATTTGATAGATTTTTTAATTATGAGGCATTTGAATTCTTATTTTAAATTTACATATGCCAATGAAATTACCTATGATTATAAGCATGATTTCAAACTAACTCTAACAGGAATAAAACCCCACATTACATTTTAATAAGGTAGTATCAATCTTGAGTTATTAAGAAATGTATATGCTGCACACTGCTCAGAAATATGTTAGCATGGTATTGTTGGCCACCCACGGATTATCACACAGATAAGGGCATGCTAGGGACCTTCAGAAGCAAATGTTCATTTCATGTTATGCTCACAGAGTTTTGAGACTGTAAAATGTATGGCACAATTTGAAGTATTTGGCCACTGTCAGTGACACGAATAGGTTATATAAACTGCATTTACTTCCAGTGGAAAAAGTAAACTACCACGCTGATGATGATAGCTGAGCAGACCTTAGAACACTACCCTAGAAGTAAATTTATGATCCTGTGGCATGCTAGTGGATCCCCTGAACACACTAAACCTTTGATTGAAGATTTGTAAGAAAAAAAACTAATTTCCAGAACTATATATATATATTTACACTGGAAAGAAAATGAAGTGGAAAATAAAGTAAGCAATAGCTTCAAATTTATTTAAGTTTATTTGAAACCTTTTTTCAAAAGCCAATCAATGCTCAGAACAGAGAATTAGAATTCAGACAAAACCATTTTCAGTATTAGTTTGTAAAATCTAAAATGTGATTAGGACAAGACATTAGCACTGGGAAATAATTTCTACTAGTAATAGTGAATAAAACTTACTGTGCAATATTAGTAAAAATGAAAATAGTGGAGATCTTTCTACATATTTACAAATGTCTATGAACAATGGGGAATCCAATTTCTCCATCATTGCATTGGAAGCAGTGTACTTTAATGGTAAGAATAAGCACCCCAGAGTCAGAGAAAGACCTGGATTAAAATTTTGACTCAGTTGTATACTCACTTTGGAAAAGTATTCAGTCTTCTGAACCTTGTGATTAACTCATGTAAAACTTAGTGTTAAAAATAAAAAAAGTAATTCGATTGTTCAATATTAAAGATAGTGTCGTATATAATTTGCATCAATAATTTTGCATTATAGGGTGTTAAATTAACTTTCTCCTAAAACTGCCACCTTATATATTTTAAGTCCAGCCTAAAGGTTTCTCTGTACACAGTGAACCGTAACCTAAATGGAGATGTAAGCAGACGGTAACTGAGGTTGTGCCAATCACTGAGCTTTGGCCAATCAAAAGGGACCATCTGTTCAAACTGTGTTCCAACAAGGGAAAAGCTGAGCTGTCACCAGTTATTCTATATGACTTTTTGCTTTTCCTGTCCATGAATCCTCTTCCACCACATGGCTGTACTGGAGTCTCTCTGAGCATACTCTGGCTCCAGAGGCTGCTGGATTGGTGAAGTGTTCTTTGCTCAATTAATCTCTGTTAAATTTAATTTGGCTAAGGATTTTCTTTTAACAAGGTCAATATAAAATCCCCAAGCTGGGACCACGCACTTTTACACGGTTCAGTCTTAACAGGAGGGAAGCCCACAGACAGAAGGACCCGGATCTCAATCTAGGGCTTGGGCTTTGCCTCTCAATGAAACAAATCCATAGGTTTTTGAATGAAGATTTTATATTAATCAGATTATATTAAAAACAGATTTCTGTAACTTTTTCATTCAGAGTATACTAGAGGGAGCGAGGAGGGAAAGGGCAGAACCATGGAGATTCTTTAAAAGCTATTTCCCAAAAATCTTTAGCTCACAGGACAGTGGTAATAGGAAAAGGGAGGTGAGGACATATTTAAATATATTTTGAAAGACATCAGGGTTTCCTGATGGATTGGATGTGGACTGTTTGAAAAAGAGAGAAATCAAGAACAACTCTAATTATCTGACACTGTAATTAAAAGGATATAATTTTCATCAATTTAATCAGGAAAGGCTGCAGGTGAAGCATTTTTTTTTTTTTTTTTTTTTGAGATGGAATCTCACTCTGTTGCCTAGGCCGGAGTGCAGTGGAGAGATCTCAGCTCACTGCAACCACTGCCGCCCAGGTTTAAGAGATTCTCCTGCCTGAGCCTCCCGAGTAGCTGAGATTACAGGGGCCTGCCACCACGCCCGGCTAATTTTTGTAGTTTTAGTAGAGACGAGGTTTCACCATCTTGGCCAAGCTGGTCTTGACCTCCTGACCTCGTGATCCACCTGCCTCGGCCGCCCAAAGTGCTGGGATTACGTGCCTGAGCCACCATGCCCGGCCGGTGAAGCAGATTTATGAGGAAAGACCAGAAACTCAATTCTGGAGATGTAAAGAATGAAATGTCTATCTATGAGAATGAAGTTAGGAATGTCAGGTGTACAGGTAAGCTTTTCAGACGTTCGTGAGAGGGGCGAGTTGATGAGATGTACTTGGCAATCATCAGCATGGACATGACATTTAAAGCCATTGCTAGGCTCCCCAAGGTCAGCATCCATAGGAGAGCTCAGCAACAAAGGCAAAAGTGATCAGTGAGGTACGAGGAAAACCAAAGCAGCACAGTATAAAGGAAACCGAGAGATGAAAGTATATTGAGGAAGAAACGACATTCTACTGGGTCAAATACTGCTGTTCATTGGCGTAAGACCTAAGAATTGTAGAGTGAACTGGGAAATGTCCCATATGAGAGTTTTCGGTAAAACTGACAAGCATGGCTTCAGTGAAGTGGTGGAAAATCCTCCTGACCGTAGTGGGTTTGAGAGACAATGGGGAATAGAAAATAGGAGAAAGCAAATACAGACACCTACCTGTTTTAAAGCACTTTTTTGTTTTTACAGAAGCAGATAAGTGCTGTTGTTTCATTATGTGGGGGAGCCGGCAGATTGTTTATAAGCTAAAAGGAGTAAACTCATAAGGAAGAGAAAATTATTGATGTAGGTAACAAATAGATACGTGAATACTTTTTTCTAATTGTTTATTATGGAAATTTTGAAACAAAGAAAGTAGAGAGAATATTATAGTGAACTCCCACAAATCTAGAAACAAGCTTTAATCATTGTGAACATGCTTTCAATCTTTTCTAATCACCCCACTTGTTTTTATTGTATTTACTTATTTATATATTTTAATTAATTTTTGCTGCAGGATTTTAAAGCAAATTCCAGATATCATACCACCTCTCCACTGAAACCAGTATGTTGTCCTAAATGAAAATCATATTAAAATTTTACATAACAATATGGAATTAACCTAACAATTTTGACCTTAATCACTTAGTATTATTTGAATAGTATTTAATATCTGCTTCATATCTGAAAGTTTCCAATTGAATCAAACAAAATATTCTTCTTATACCATATTTGTTTAATTCAGCATTTAAATAAGCACAAGTATTAATTTTGGTTGTTATGTCTTCTACATCTATTTTACTCTCCATTTTTTTTCTTCTTTAATCATCAAAACCAGCCCTAAAGAATGTCCAACTTTCCGCATTTAGTTTATTGCTTCTTCCTTATATGAGTTAACTTGTTCCTCTATTTCTTCCAGATGTTGCAAAAGTAGTTAGACCTAGAAAATTAATTAGCTAACAGTTCAATTACGTCTGTACATGATAAATTTTAGAGGCCATGCCTCACACTCTCCATTTCATCACATTTTGAGGCACTTATGCATCTGTGGTCTCTTTTGGTGATGCTGATATCACTGGGTAACGTGCAGTCTGAACTTTTCTCATAACATTCCCCATCAACTCTTCACCTAATGCTTACATCATCCACTGATCCATCGAATGTTGTCTAAATTCATTATTACATTACAGATCGCAATACAGTATTTTTCTAATTTTATCATCCCTTATGGAGTCTTTTCCAAAAATTAGAAAGTTAACCTAAAAGAAAACTCAGAGATGTATGGCAGGATGAATGCAAATCTTGCCAATTTTCCAAATCGTATATGGGCACCTTAGCAAACTCTGATTGAAAACAAGGAGGTGTTTCTTTTAAAAAAAAAAAAAATCTTTATCAACTCATGAATTTTAGATATATGTAATCCTTTCAACCTTTTTTGTTCGTGCTTAAATTCTCTCCCTTTAGTCAGAGTGAATATCTTCAAGTTTTCTGCTATACATTTTTAAAAAATTAATATACAATTCTTTGTTTAGGTTTGCGGCAAATTTGAGCAGAAAGTACAGAGTTCCCATAACCCTCTGTCCCCACCCATGTGCAGCCTCCGCTGCTATCAACATTCCACACAGCAGTGGTGCATTTGTTATAATCAATAAACCTACATGGACACATCATTATCACCCAAAATACATAGTTTACATGAGGCTTCACTCTTGATGTTTTACATTCTGTGGGTTTGGACGAATGTGTAATGACGTAGATCACATTATAGTATACAGAGTGGTTTCACTGTCCTAAAAATCCACTGTGCTCTGCCTGTCCATCTTTCTCCCCTCTAACCCCTGTCCACCACAAATCTTTTCACTGTCTGCATAGTTTTGGCTTTTCTAGAATGTCACATAGTTGGAATCATGCAGTGTGTAGACTTTTCAGATAGGCTTCTTTCACGCGGTAATATACATTTAAGTTTCCTCTATGTATTTTCACAGCATGTGTATTAGTGAGGGATTTCTACAGACAGAATTCCTAGATTCCTATCTCTAGAGATAGATAGATAGATAGATAGATAGATAGATAGATAGATAGAAGGTTGACAGACGGATGGATAAATGAATAGATAGAAAACAGGGGATTTATTTGGGGAATTGGCTCATGTGAGTATGGAGGCTGAGAAGTGGCATGATAGGCCACCTGCAAGTGGGACAACCAGGAATGTCAACAGTGTGGCTCAGTCCAAGTCTAAAAGCCTCCGAACCAGGGAGGATGAGAGTGTGACTCTCAGTCTGAGGCAGAAGGCCTGAGAACGTGGGGGCTGCTGGTGCAAGTCTTGGAGTCCAAAGGCCAGGGAAGGCTGGAGTTCTGGGGTCCAGGGCCAGGAAAAGAAGGGTGCTCTGGCTCCAAAAATGAAAGAGTGAAATTGCCTTCCCTCTATCATTTTATTCTATCTGAGTCCCCAGTAAAGTGGACGGTGCCCACCCACATTGAGGGAGGCTCTTCCCCACTCTGTTCAAGGACTCACATGCCAATTTTCTCCAGAAACATCCTCACAGACACACCCAGAAATAGTGCTTTACCAGCTGTCTAGATTAACTTTATCCAGTCAAGTTGACACTGAAAATTAACCATCACAGCGTGATAGCTCATTTGTTTCTAGTGCTGAATGATATTCCATTGTCTGGATAGACCCCAGTTTGTTTATCTATTTACATACTGATGGATATTTTGGTTGCTTCCAAGTTTGGGCCACTGAAAAAAATGCAGCTATCAATAGCTGTGTACCCATTTTTATGTGTACATAAATTTCCAATTTCTTTGGGTAATTTGCTATTTTTTTTTACATACCACAGTAGCTTTTGATGGCTTCCATGTAGCCCTTGTACATTTCCTTTCTCAAATCCACAGTAAGAATCTCTTTAATAATCTGTGCAACATGAAATGAGCAGGAAACACAAACTGTGATGTCATCTCATGCCACAGTTAGACTGTCTCTCAAAATCGGCCATCAGGCCTTCTGCTATATTCTATTCTTTCTCTTGAGCATATTATTTCTTTTCTCAAATGTATAAATTTGAATGTTCAAATTTTGGAAAAAGCAATTCAAACACACAAAAAACGACATTTCTAGTTGCCTTATGAATATTCCTAGCTTATTTTGGTCAAAATAAGATCAACATCCTACTTTTCAATTCTCTCATGTGTCTTATTTTAATTAACTCCAAACTGTCTATCATGTAGATTCAAATCATTATGATTCTTCCCCAATTTATCCACCTTTATTGATGTCTGTTACTTATAGACTAAGTGCAACTGCTTAGCCCAAACCTTAAGTATTTGTCTGCAACCTTAATTTATACTCCTTCTTTTGTAGCATAAAAGCATAAATAAACTCTGTGATTCCTGGAAAGATAGATTCAAGCACTGAACACTTTGTGCCTTAAATGTAAATAACATGATCAGGAAATATGACCAGACATTAAAAAACCATTTGAAAATTGTCAATGTTCCCTTCCCACAATAAAGTGATTTTTTAATGTCATTTTATTTTTAGAGTAACTTTCAATCTGGAAGAACAATATATACAATATTAATACATAAATGTTAATCATTTTATACATTAAAATGAGTTATATATGAAGGTTTGCTTGGGCAATGTGGGTGTTTTCTTGGACTATTTAGCTAAGAGTAGTAAAGGTATTTTTACTAAAAAGTGTGAACTTATTACTTGAGTTCCGCACTTCATTTTATATGTAATAGACTCAGTTTAAGGTTATACAATTCAGTGGGTCAAATTTTACTTACTCATATAAGATTTTGCATTCATAATACTTAGAGTCTTGTCTTTTCTGCAATGACAAAAAATATGTGGGTAACCTGTTAATACCAGTTCTTTGGTTGCATGTCAGGATCATCTTGTATAGCTTTTAGAAATGCAGGCTGGGGGTGGTGGCTCACGCCTGTAATGCCCGCACAGAGTTGGACTCTGTCAAAACAAAAAAAAGAAAAAAAGAAAAAGAAAGAAGAAGAAAGAAAAAGAAAGAAAGAAGGAAGGAAGGAAGGAAAGAAGGAAGGAAAGAGAGAGAGGAAAGAAAGAAAGAAAGAAAGAAAGAAAGAAAGAAAGAAAGAAAGAAAGAAAGAAAGAAAGAAAGAAAGAGAAAGAAAGAAAGAAAAGAAAAGAAATGCATAGCTGGCATAGCTGGGCCTTACCCTACAGCTACTGGATTTGATTCCCCATGGGTGGTGACAATCTGTTTTTAAAAAAATTATAAGTACTCTAGTTTTCACAGAACACTTGAAATTAAGATTTTTGAGGCAACAATTTGATATATTAAGTAGAGAAGTAATATTTTGAACATAACACAGTATTATTTCTAATTTATGGTCAAAACCTGAGGCACAATAATCACAAAAGTAACCAAAACTGTTTATCACAGTGTGGCTGGAAATAAGGAAAAATGTGGACATTACCTCAGTGTCAAACTAAAAGTGATTAGTTAAATGCATACGGTTCAGTCAGCTACTCAAATGCAATACAGCCATTATATGACAATTTAGATCTAAATGCACTGACACATAAAATATCTACTGTATACATTCTGTGTGAAAAAGAAAATGCTAAGTAAAAATGTGTACGATAGAATATACATATATGTATATTTTTCTTTTTTCTTGTTTCAATGTAAAAAATATATATATTTTACATATATATTTTCTTGTAAATATGTACAAAATTTAAGTCTAAGGAATATACACCATATCGGTAATGTGTATTTTTGTCTGAGTGATAGGATTATGTGATTATTCTTCACACTTTACTTATTTCTGGATCTCTTTTGTAGTAACTGATTTTGTTGTTGTTGTTACTTACATAATGTTTTCATTTAAAAATCCACAGCCTATTAGCAAAATAATAATGAAATAATTGACATCAATGAAATATGAAGAAAGGTAAGAGAAAAGTTTCTGGGGAAACTAGAGACTCTGTTGTCAGAGAGCACAAAGCTGATAAAATGTCTAGTACTTCCAAGTTGCCACTGTTAGAAGGCTGAGGTTACCCTGAGAGAATCACAGTACTTGGAGCACTGCTTTAGTAGTCAATAGTACCTCGTTTACCTGCTTCCTGATGCAAAGACCACATCTTGCCATCAGTTCATACACAGTCACTTCTGGCTTTTCCATGATCCTGAACACCAGCAAGCCCAGAGGATGCACTGGAAGTAAATACCAACTAAGATGAGTGATCCAGAGTGTAGAGGAAAGGGGAGGAAAACCACCACTAAGCAAACTCCCCCTAGGGAAACTAGTAGAAGTAATCAAATCACAGAGGTAGTTAGACTGTATTAATGTTTACCATATGCATAATTATGACCACCTCAATGAACATAAACATTCATATAGGTCAATTTTAAATGTCTAATTTCATAGTTAGTGACGTTGTTTCATTTTTCTCAGATCGGTGACCTGGGCTCCTTATGTGCCTGAAAGAGTTTGAGTTTCCTGTTAACTCCAAATCAACAGTATTTTCAACAAGAAATGTGCAATTGAAATCAAGTGCTGTTTAAGTGCAGCTAGGATTTCCACAGGAAGACACTTGCAGTGAACAGAGTTATGGAGCAGCAAAAACACAGATCTATTTGGAAAAAGAGAAAACATATGCGTTGTATTTTGCTTCAATTATAAAATACCATCCTCTCAAAGGTGGTTCTAAATTACAAAGGACTTTGATTTCTAGGTAGATTCTGGGTAGAGACTTCCTTTCATATTGAGGCATTAATGACACCTTTTAACCTGGGAAGCAATATGACTGGAGTTGTACTTTGAGAAGATTAATCAGGTTTGGTTGCAGAATGAAAGAGAAGATGAAGTCAAGAGATTGGTTTAGAGGCTCTAGCAGAAGCTTAGTCATATTTCAAAATGATCAAATATCAAGAAAAATTCTGAGCTGCATAACTTGTATAAAGTAATTTTCAGTGATTTTTTTCATGGTTATGATAAAAGAACTGGATTAGCAGAAACTTTTACCCTGAATCAAGATTTAATTTTTCTTTGAGCTCATCTTAAGGATATCGGAACATAGGGAGCAAACGATGGTGTGGCTGCCTCAGTGCTTGATTTTTAACGGTTTTGAAGAGAATAGTTACATTTCTTCTCCTAGTAAGAACTAATAAATACATTAACAGAAATGAATTCCCTATCCCTTTGTACACTGGTCTATTTCTTCAAAACATTAAATACTATTGATAAGATATCACCTTTTATAATTTGTGTTCATTACAGTTCTCTTGTCATGAAATGCAAATGAAATGTAGTATATACTAACAGCTTTTACAGAAAGACTAATCCTAAGAGAATCATATTTTTAAATTTGAATTTATAATAATTATGTTGTACATTATGGTTTCGATATATGTATATGTTGTGGGATGAGACACGCTCTTATTTTTTAATTTCATTTATTCATTTTTCAGTTTACATTATTGTCCCCTTTGAAGTAAAATTTAATAGGATGTTCTCAAATTTTATTGAGGGTTGACAGACGGCCAAGGAAAATGTTTATTTTTATTTTTTCATCAAAATACAACTTGCATTTTGATTAACCTTTATATTCTAAAAAGAACTCTTTCAGAATGCAGTCAGAAAGGGCAAATAAGTCTCTTTCATAGAAATGATAAAATTTCCTTCAACAGACAAAGAGATCGATGGGAAAGTCATGTTTTTGCATTTGTCACAGCTGCTGATAAACTAAGAACAAATCAAGTGAGACAAGGGAGGAGCCATTTTACATATAATTCCTGATAAGATTATCTATTTCAGCCTCCCTCTCTTCCCTTCCTTTATGGAATTTTGCATTCTCTTACTGCCTTTAATGTTACCGTCCTGTTGCATATGTATTTTTACCATGCAATAACTCATATTTATTTTAAAGAACTCTAGACTTGAAGTCAGTGGATCACAAGGAATGAGGGGGTTTGGATATGAGACCTAAATATAATGTAAAGCTTATTATGATCTTACGGTGGGTAGAGAGATGGAGCTTAAAAGGATCATAGGAAAGAAGTATTTGAACTACATTGCTGAAAGTAGCAAAAATATAAATCATTTATATATGGAAATTTGAGTAATACATTAAATACATGGTAAATTATTTGGGAAGGTTATGTAGCTCACATTTTATTATACCTTCTCTATCCTATGCAGTTTAATACACACGATGGGCCCTCCAAGTTAAATAACCCAATGAAACGGGAACATGCTCTTTTGTATTGAAGTTAAATTTAGTGAAGGCCACCCACTTTCAATAACATTGAAGCACATATATTCTGTTGTTGCTGTCCATTAATATTTATTTTTCCCCGTACAATGAAGTATGAAGCTATCGAGATAGGTTTCATAAATGACCTATGAACTGTTATTTCAAAGCACACAAACTATGTAAATTGGGAGTAGTAATTATATCCTTTACAAATAAATTCCTGTGTCCTTCATTATCAATTTAATGGAGTATTCTTTAGAGCTCAAAAGGAAAATAAATAATCATGGTGTTTAATATTGGAAATTCTAAACTTTATCTGAATAAAAGAGTGAAACCACAAATGCTAATATTTTTATCTTATTAAAAGCTAATTAAGAAATCCCTACTGGAAACTTTACATCTAAATGCCTGGTTCTTTGGAGAGACATCTGAGTCAGGCTGAATTAAGAAATGAAGCATAATATTTATAACCCTAAGAGCTATGCAATGGCTCTTAAATTTGTGATTAACAGAAAATATAACAATTCTCTAAGGGGAAGAAATCATTCAAAACCAATTTTCAATTCCCTAAACATGTTATTTTTTAAAGACCCAGTGAGCCATGTTGAATATTCAAATTAATTAATAATTATCATAAAGTGTACTGCTACGATGCGTTCTGAGATAATTCAAAGAGGAGTTTTACCTTGCAGCTGGAATAAAATTTCCATTCATTTACCTCCTAGATGTGTAAACAACATTATTAAGTCAATTTATCAAATGAATAAATACTATCATGTGTGACAGCATGGTTAATGGAGAAATTAAATATAAAGGGTAAAATTGTGCTTTAAACATGGAAACTGCATTCCCTTTGGACTGGTAAAATTGTAGCCTGGTGGTCAAGAAATACAAATCTAGAAAGAGGATGACAGAGGCTTTAACTCTATTGCCCCCAGATTTTGACTTTTGGTTGTCTCAATTTATATAATTTTCTGTTGCCTATCACTTAACACGTTGCTGTAGCTATTATTGTTTTTGATAGTTTTGCCTTTTAGGCTTCACACTAGTTATAAGTGGATTGCACTTCACAATTACAGTGTTGAGGTATTCTGGGGTTGTCTTCATTTTACCTATGAGTTTTATACCTTTGAATGTTTTCTTGTTTCACGTTAGTGTCTTTTTCTCTCAGAGTGAAGCATTTTCTTTTGTATTTCTTATATGACTAGTCAGGTGGTGGTGAATTATTATAACTTTTGTTTGGAAAACTTTTAACTATGTTTTCAGTTTAGAAATATATTTCTCAGTTTGAGGATTTCCATTTGACATTTAATTATTTCAATCTCTTCATTAAATATCTCTGATAAATTTCTGAATCACTTTTTTTTGCATTATCTTGGAGATCACTGAGTTTCTTGAAAATTACTCTTTTGAATTATTGATCAGAGAGCTCATGTGTCACTGTCTCACTATGGTGGTCACTGGTTCCTTGCCCTGTCCATTTGGGGAGGTCCTGGTTCCCTGTTTGCTGTTGTTTCTTATGGATACATGCCTGGGTCTTTTCATCGTAGGAGTATTCACTCTAGTCTGTGGATTGTTTGGGGGTTTTATTGGCTGTGTTTGCTTAGAGAATCTTCATAATTTACCTATTGAAATTCTTACATTTTTTCACCAGTGCCTTTGTTTCAGCACTAGATGATGCTTAAAGCCCAAGTTTGCCTCAGCTCCAGCAAGTGATCAGAGAGCACTGCTGGGCCAGAATGGGGGAGGTCCCCAAGGGGATATCCCATTTCACTGGAAGGCCTTGCAAGGGATTCGTGCCCAGAGGACCATGGAACACACCTCCTGCAGAGTGTTGCTGCTGAACAACCACACTAATTTGGTATCTCCTTTGGCTGAGTGACAGAGCAGAGTTTCCAGAACTGTGGATGATGGTTGCACCTCCCTCTTTGTCTCTAGATCTGTCTGCTGTCAGGCACTCAGAATATTTCCATGGGTGGAGACATTGTCAGGTCTCCCTGCCAAAGAATCCAGAATGCTGAGGATGCTGCTTGTCATCATATCTCACTTTTTGCAGCATGGAAACCATGAGTTGCAGGAAGTTTTCTGCGTGCTTGGTGCCAGGCAGACTGGGGTGAGAGGTGTCATGGGTATAAAAACAGGGTTCTCTGACTGTTTGCCTGCTGATTTTATTTCTCCATGACCTTGGGAATTAACTTATATTTGAGTTATGGGTTATTATTGGTGAGGATCTCAGTGCCGTACTTTTGGCTTTGGTTTTCTGGAGTAGGGGACAGTGAAGCCAGTTTGTGTCCATGTCACCACTTCAGAACTGGAAATCTGTATTGTACTCTTTAAATAGACATATGATAAGAATATTTCATATATTTCATATCTATGTTTTCCCAATCTGACTCTAGTTTTGTATTAATATTGGTATTTACAACGTAATGACAACACTTATGTGTCTATCACAGTTCTAATTACTTTATATGATTTAATGCTTATAATATATGTTATAAGTAGTGATATTATCTCCATACTACTGATAAGAAAAATGAAGCATATGATATTTAACTGTCTACCGTTAAATTGTCTACAAATTGCCTACATAGCTAATAATTACGCAAGTTGGGATTTAATCCCAGGCTACAAGTCTCCATAATGTATATCCTTAATCACTGTGACGCTCAGGTTCATAAATGGTCCTGCTTCTTTATAGTCGTCACTGTTTGACACATGGCTTAATCCATCCAGCCTGACAATCACCCGCTGCAGTGGTCTCAAATCTATGATTAGAATATCCTATTAAAGTAATGTGTAAAGGTAAACTTATTTCAGACAGCATTATTTAAATTACTAAACCTAATTTACTAATCACTAGTCTAAAATCATCTGTAAAATATTTTATTAACCTTTATAATAGCTATTTCCCTTAGGATATGACAAGCATCTCCAATCCCATTATGTATATTGTGAACTAAAGAACAGAAAACTTGAGCTATTGTCTATATTTTTAGAGACCAGGTGTTAAAGGAGGATTTAGAAGCAAATATTCTAAGTGACATCTCCATGATTAGCTTGAAATCCTGCACTGCCTCCTGTACTTATCAAAAATGTTTCTAATACCCTAAGACTTTAGAACCTAGCATAGGATTTACTGATCTGCCTTTTCTAGTTCTAGTCCTGCAATAATTTTCTCTTTAACCATATTCTTCTTTAGTCACTTGGCGTTGTTTCCTTTTTTTGTTTCAGAGCCTTATAAAATTCCTTCCTTAGCAAAAAGACTTTTTTTCAACCTACCTTAACTCCCAAGCAAAGCTTTCCTTTTCAAGGTTTATTGTTGTTTCCCTGAGGGACACTATCTTTGAAGACCTTTTCCAACTGCTTTGGTGTGTCTTTGAAGAAATCTTATATCTCAAACATTTTAAAGATCTACAGATTTTATATTTTGTTGGCAATGTATTATATAATCCTCATACTGTATCTTAAATGGGAAAGATGCCAGCAGCACTGAACTTGCCAAAATAATACTGAAAGTTCCATTTTTCACATATCTCATTCTATTCTCTTTTTATTTTTTTCCTTACAGACACCTAAGGTAGAAGTGCAACAAGACTTATCAAATTTTTCCACAATTTTATCCAAAACCCAAGAAATATTTTCACGATGGATGTGAGCAATCACACATCCATATTTATTATAAGGATTTGTGTCTGGGTACAGTGGCTCATGCCTATAATCCCAGTACTTTGGGAGGTCAAGGTGGACAAATCACTTGAGGTCACGAGTTTGAGACCAGCCTGGCCAACATGGTAAAACCCATCTCTACTAAAAATACAAAAATTAGCCAGGCGTGGTGGTGCATGGCTCTAATCTCAGCTACATGGGAGGCTGAGGCAGGAGAATCGCTTGAACCTGGGAGGCAGAGATTGCAGTGAGCTGAGATTGTGCCACTGCACTCCAGCCTGGGGGACAGAGCAAGACTCCATCTCAAAAAAAAAGAAAAATAAAAATAAATATTTGTGTATTGATATGTTTATTCATTTATTCATTTGCAAACATTCTCCAGCACCTAACGTACTATTTATTAGGTTTTTTGATAACAGTTAGGTATGAAATCTATGGTACCTTCTTTAAATCCATCATCTATTAAGAAAGATACCTATGTAAAAAGTAATTGAAATAATGTGCAATATGTTTTGAGTATGCAAGTAAAGGTGCAGATATAAGGATCAATTATATTTAGAAATGCAGGAATGGCTCATAAAATATTTCAAAATAGTTCATAGTAAAACCAAGCCTTATCATAGACAGCTACCATAGCAGAGCCACAGAGATTAAAAATGAGTATGATACAGTTGAGAAGTTGCTAGTGAGTCAAAGGGTGGGATTAAGTTCAACAATGGAGCAAAGCACAAGACAAGAGCAGATCTTCAAGGGCTTTCTGTCTGATATAAAAATTTGGACTTTAATTGGAAACCTAAGCAGGAATGAGTCATGATTTTTCTGGAATCACAAAAAATTCGAACAATGGAGTATGTATTATCAAAGAATGCTTAGTATTTCACTTAGTCTAATAAAGTGATTAGTTCCAGTATCAGTATATCTAATTGAGTTTAAAATGACAAGCAACAGAGACCAGGTAAACTTGGAATGTCCAAAGGTTAATTGTCAAAATAATATAGATCTGTCTAGATTTAGAGTAAACAAATTAAGTGCACTAAACACAAGTGACCTTCTGAAAGATATTTTCTACAGGAGCCACCTGAATACAATAAACAATTCATGGTCTTTAGAGTCAGAAAATCCTTGTTCTCATTCTGCCTCCATCAGTTAGTTGAGTATGACCATGGCAGATGACTTAGCTAATTGAGTCTTGGTCTGTTCATCTAATATTTTGAAGGAAAATAATTACACTATTGGTCTTCTTTTGTGGGTAAAATAATTGACATATATGAAGCACTTGTACATTGGGTGCTTAATAAAATTTCACTTCATATTGTCTTCTTACAAAACTTGGATCATTTCCCTTTGTTTCACTGAGAGGATAGGAAAGGAAATATTACTACAGAGAAAAATTTCCTATAAATTTTTACTCATCCTAATAAAACCTTTCAATGATTCTCTATTGCATATACAGTGAGAACTGTTTCTGCTGCATTTCTTACATCATTGCTTCAATATAGAAAATTATTACCCATTATTAAAGATGAAGCTCAGTTGTACCATAACCCAGGAAGTCATCCTTGATACCCAAGGCTGAAGAAAGCATCCTCTTATCCCTCCATAGCACCTTCTGTCTCTACCATATCCCCTCATTGTGCTCAAAAACGTCTGTTTATGTGTACTTATTCTGCACAATAAGCTCTGTGTAGCACAAAAGTAGCAGTCTTTATTCTGTTCCCCAGAGAATTCTAAGTATGCAGTACAAGGTCTATCATTATATAGGCTCCTTAAATACTCTTGAATAAAACAGTATCTTTAACTCTTTAAAAAGGTAGAAATTTATAAAGAACAAATAACAGATTTATATATTTTTCATTGATAACCAATATTACATATTTTCAAGATATAATTATTTTCATTCAGTTGTTTAAAGTTAATTTCCATGCTTTAAACTATGTTTAAAAGTCTATAAATGAAATTATTATTTCTCAGGACTTTTATGTCCAGCATTATGGCAGACAAGATAGCCTGAAAACTCATTCTAGTAAGAAACACCTAAAATACTAAAATGCGTGTATGTGCGCACTCGTGCGCACACACACACACACACCTATGCCTGTCTGGGAAAAAAGTAAGAAAATCCTAAGAAACTTGCCCATAAAAAAATATCTAAAACATGACTCCAGAGATGCATACATGCACTAAAGCTTACATCTGCTTTAAATAATTCTCATGATCTTCTGTGGCTTAAAGCTTTCATTTCAATGGGGTAGAAACAAAGTCTAGCTAAGGATCCTCAACAGGATCCCTGCATGGGGTTAATAAGTCTGTCAGAAAGGGAATTAGAAAACAAGCAATCAAACAAACCCCAGGCACTTTAAAGATGGATAGCATGAAACCAGTTGCTAGAGTCTGAACGTTTGTGTTCCCTTAAAATTTATGTACTGAAACCTAATCTCAAATTCAGTGGTATTAAGAGGTGGGGTCTTTGGGAGGTAATTAAGTTATAAGGGGTCTATTCACAGGAATGGAATTAGTACCCTTATAAAAGAGGCTTTAAGGGGGTCTGTTGGCCCCTTGCTCTATGTGAGGACACATAGGAGGAATCAGCTATGATGAACTGGCCCTCACTAGATGCCAGATGTGCTACCACATTGATCTTGGGCTTCCCAGCCTCTAGAACTGTGAATAAACAAGTTATTTGATTTATAAATGATCCGGTCTATTTTGTTATAGTAGCCAAAACAGATGAAGACACCTACATCTCAAATATGGTTCTGGGGTGTAGAGGCAGAGGTAACTGTTTGGGAGAGTCAATCTTATTTTCAAGTAGATTTTTCAGAGAAATAAACATGACCAGGATTTATAAAAGCAAATATACAAAACTTCAGTGTTATTGAGTAAATTTGGGAAGTAGTTATGGTTGTTTATGTAGTGATTTGTAAGATGAAGGTAAAGGCCACTTAGGCCTGTCTGAGAAGCCGTATAAGTAGATGTTTATTCTGGTTGCTGCATGAAGAATAGGTTAGAAGGGAACATGGGTAAAGATCACGAAGACACCACTAATGAGGTTCTTTGTAAATATGGTTCTGTACAGTTTGAATAACATTGAGTTTATGTGTTTTGTTTTATTTTGTTTTTTCAGAGACAGGGTCCTGCTTTGTTGCCCAGGCTAAAATGCAACGGCGCTATCATGATCATGGCTCACTGCAGCCTCAACCTCGTGGGTACAAAGTATCCTCCTGCCTCAGGCTCCTAAAGTTTTGGGATTACAGGTACGAGCCACTGTGCCCGGCTGTCATTTCTAATGAGAGTGGAAGAACTGAAAAGAGTGAAACACATCAGAGAAAAATCTTAGTGGCATAAATGATAGTATTTGTTCACAGATTAAATGCACACATAGGAAGGAAGAAATAAAACCAGGATAAGTCCCAAATTTCTGGGAAGACCAATAAATCAGGCTCATACCATTGTTATAAATCACGTTTGGGTCAGCTGGAGGCTGGGAGTATGGATGAGATCAAGATTTCAGTGGGAAGGTAAGTATATACGAATTTGAAGCTGCTGAAAATCCCAGCAAAGTTTTTATTGTGAATTAATTATTATTTTGTGGTTTTAAATAATACTTTCTGTTATCTTCTAGGGAATATACTCTTTCTTGTTGCTATTTACTTGTTTTTTAAAATATTTTTTATTCATTGCTGTCCTATAAATTGCAGATTTTTTTTTTATTTTTAAGCTTCCTTGAAAACTACTGCTGTGATTTTTATTAGATTAGCACTTAATTAAAATATTGATTTGTGGAGATTTTCCATCTTTGCCATACTGATCCCTTTCATCATAAACATATCCTTTCCTTTACTTAGGTTTTATTTTATATCTTTTAGTTATTTCTCCATAAATGACTTGCACACGTTTTTACTAATTTATTCATAAGAAATTTATTATTTTCATTTCTCTTATGAATACAAGTGTTATACTTCCTGTCTTACCTATCTGGTTATTGCTTTGGTTAGAAATATTAGCTATGTGTTTATCTTTTATTCACCAAACGTTCTAAATTATCTTACTGTTCTAATATTGTAGTACTCAGTAAGTTATTTGGTTTTTTCAATTTTTCCATATGGGCTATCATATAATTAAATAATATCAGTTTCATTTCTACCTTCTGGTCTTTATCTCTGGTGACTTTGTGGTTATGTGTAACTTTACAGATGGTATTGCCTGGAAGACAGGATTCTGAAACCAGCACCAACTTTCCTTCTGCCTTCTCCTTGGTCAGTGTGGACAGACAATCGCTGGAGAGGTAAGATCAGGGTGTTTTCCCTCCACCACAATGGCAAGCCTATACCCAACCTGAACGTGTAGATGTATTTAATTCATTAGGCAGAACTCAAAGTTACCTCAACCTGGCCGACCAATCACTCTCTGACCTTGTTTGTAACCCGAGTGAAAGCTCTTGACCAGAAATGAAGAAATGGAGTCACATTCATACCCAACCCTCTCTTGATATAACAGGAGTAGTGAATCCAGGCTTGAGAGAGATGGTAGATATCCAGGAAGTTACATGAACAGTTCCAAAGCAAAAGCACTGGCAAATACATGGACATAGGATGAAAGAGAGAGTTAAACATAGTGATATTGAAGCAAGTATAAGTTGACAAGAAAAACAAAACTGATGTACAGAAATGGAAGAAAGGGAACTACAGGTGATTAGATCAAAGCCATATCATAAAATATATGCTAGATTAGGCTGCATTAGAAAGTGAAGAACAACAATCTCATTTAATTCACAATAACAAACATATTTTATTTGTATTTGTGGTGAAAGCCACCTCAAGTTAGTTTTATAAGCAGATTGTTATATATAATGACACTATTAGCGTAACATTACTAAACAATAAAGTCTCTACAATGTTTTGTTTTTTTTTTTGTCTGAACCTAAATTTGACATGTTTTACTGCCCCTTAAAAGGTCCATGAGATGTTACAGAAATTGTAGAAGTGGTATATAATATCTTCTCTTTAGATAGTAAACATAAACCACCAGCTCACAGGGTCAACGAAATCAGGATCCATAGTACTTATACATCAGGCAAGATTAATCAATCTCTGCTCAGCTTCAAGTTACTAAAACACAGCTTGAAGATTAAGCGTAAGGAACACAAGACGCTGCATGAGAAAAGGCTGGCTCAAATTAGAATGGATGTTTAGCCTTGTGAAATTTCCATGGACCAGGTGACAAGTGTGATAATTATTATACATATGACTTATTTCTTAATAATTCAGTGGCATTTATTACATGAACAGTGTTTGCCATCACCACTCTATTTCCAAAACATTTTGGTCACCCCAAAAGAAAAGCGCTTACGGATTAAGTATTTAATCCCATTTCCCTCTCCTTGGCCCTGGCAGCTCCCTATCTACTTTCCATATGGACTTTATACTTTCTGCTAGATCTTTTGTATCTGGCTTCTTTCACTTAGCGTACCAACTTAAAGTTTTATCCACCTTGTAGAGTGTATCTGTATGTTAATCATTTTTATCTCTGACTAGTATTCTATCATATACATATACCATATTTTGTTTATTCATTTGCTTGATGAGCATTTGGGATGTTTTCACATTTTAGGTCTTGGGAATAGTGTTGCTATGAACAATTGTGTGCAAATATTTGTTTGATTACCACTTTTCAATTATTTGGGGTTTATGCCTAGGCATGGTATTGCTAGGTCAGGAAATCAGAAAGTGAATCTTTCAATGTGGTTCTTCTTCTTCAATGTTATTTTGGCTATTTGTAGGCCTTCACATTTCAATGTGAATTATAGGATGGCTTTTCCATTTCTGCAAAATGGCTACTGGAATTTTCATATGCATAGCATTGACTTTATACATCATTTTGGGTAGTATTGGCATTTTAACAATTATGTCTTCCAATTTTTGAATATGGTAGTCTTTCTGTTTATTCAGACCTTTAACTCTTTCCAATTAGTACACTAACGTTTCATCTGCTTGGTTAAATTAACTCCTGTGTAATTTAGTTTTTGATTTTATTGCAAATGGAATTGTTTTCTTAATTTCTATTTTGGATTGCTGGTGCATAGAAACACAACTGATTTTTTGTGTATGTTTATCCTGTACCCTTCATATTTGCTGAACTTACTTATAAGCTCTAGTAGAGTTTTCTTTTGTGAATTCCTTGGGATTTTCTAAATATAGAATTATATCATCTTCGAGTAATAACAATTTCACGTCATTTCCAACTTAATGCCATTTATTTCTTTTCTTGAATAATTACTCTGGGTGGAACTTCTACCATAATTTTGAATAGCAGTGATGAAAACAGGCATCTTTGTCTTTTTCTTGCCTTAGGGGAACAGGAAATATACACTACATTAATTTATTTTCTTATTTTGAACCAACTCTGCATCCTTGAGAGAAAGCCCGCTTGGCCAGGGTGCAAAATAATTTTAGTATGCATTCAGGTTTTATTTGCTAAGATTTTATTGAGGATTTTTGCATCTATGTTCATAAGATTTACAAAGGATATTAGTCTGTAACTTTTTTCTTTGCTGTCTTTATCTGGCTTTGGTATCATGGTAATGCCAGCCTAATAGAAAGAGTCAGGAGTATTCCCTCCTATTATATTTTGTCTTTTTTTTTTTTTGAAAGAGTTTGGGGAAAATTGGTGTTAATTTTTTTTAATGTTTGGTAAAATTAACCAGGAACCATCTCATCCTGGAATTTTGTTGTTATTTTGGGGGAGGTTTTTGATTATTTATTCAATCTTTTTACTTGTTACAGATCTGTTGAGATTGTCTACTCATTTTTGAGTCGATGTAGGTAATTTGTGTGTTTCTATACATTTATCTATTTCACCTGTTACCTAATTTGTTGGCATACAATTGTTTATAGTATTCTATTATAATCCTTTTTACTTCTGTAAGGCTGGTAGTAATGTTCCCAATTTTATTTGTCAATAACAATGATTTTCTTTGTATCATAACTTTTTGTCTGACAGTCTATTTTGTCTGATATTAGTGTTGCTATTCAAGCTCCCTTTTGTTACTATGTACATGCAATATATTTTTCCATAATTTCACTTTCAAACTATTTGTGTCTTTGAATCTGAAATAAGTCTTTTACAGACAGCATATAGTTGGAATATATATTTTTGTTCTATGCTGCCGATTTGTATCTTTTAACTGAATAGTCAAATCCACTTACATCTAAAATAACTTCTAATAAATAACACATTTCTGCAGTTTTACTGTTTGTTTTCTGTATGTTTTATACCTAATGTCCCTCATTTCTTTCATTCCTTCATCTTTAATTGATATTTAGTATAACATTTTGATTTCCTTTTGGTTTTCTATTTTGTATATTTATTAGATATTTTCTTAGGAACTACCATGGAAATTCCTAAACATTTTATTATTAATATCTTACATGTATAACAATCTAATTTGAATTGATACGAACTGAGACTCAACAGCATACAAAAAGTCTACTCTTGTAGAGATCCAGTCCACCACTATGTTGTTACTCTCACAAATTATACCTTTATACGTTTCATGCCCATTAACATGGATTTATAATTTTTTATGCATTTGTCTTATACATCATATAAGAAACAAGAAGACTAGTTAAAAGCAAAAAAAAAAAAATCATGCTGGCTTTGTATTTAGCTTTGCAGTTTTCTTTATTAGAATTATTAATATTTAATATAACTTTGACTTACTGTCTATAATCAATTCTACTATATGATATTGTCTACATTTTTCTTTCATTTTCAATAATAGTTTTGATGAATATCTTATTCTTTGTTGATAGTTTTCTTTTTGTTTCTTTCACCGCTTTGAACAAGTCATCCTACTTCATTATGGCCTCCATAATTTCTGATGGGCAATTGGTCCTTGATATTATTGAAGGTCATTTGTATATGATGAGTACTTCTTTCTTGCTGCTTTCAAGATTTTCTCATTGTCTGAATTTAAATAATTTGATTATAATGTGTCTCAGTGTAGGTCTCTGTTTTTATCCCTCTTGAATTTGATTGAGTTTTTTGAATGCGTAGATTCATATCTTTATGAAATTTGGAGAGTTTTCAGCCATTATTGTTTTCAAATATTCCTTCTGTTCCTTTCTTTCTTTCTTCTCCTGCTGGGACTCCTATTTTATATATATATATTAGTATACTTGGTGGTGTTCCATAGGCTTCTTAGGCTCTGTTAATTTTTCTTTATCTTTTACGTTTTTCTTTCTGCTCCTCAGACTAAATAACTTCAATGAACTAATCTTCAAGTGACCCTTTCTTTTGCCTGCTCAAATTTGCAGTTGAAAATCTTTAGTGAGTTATTTAGTTTTTCGGTTATTATACTTCTCAGATCCAGAATTTCTATTTGGTTTCTTTTTAAAATTCCCGTCTCTATTGGTATTCTCTATTTGATTATTCATTTTTCTCCAGGTTTCCTTAGCTCTTTGTCCATAGTGTCCATTACATCTTTGAGTATATATCAGGCAGTTAACTTAAAGCTTTTGCCTAGTAAGCCCAATATCTGTGCTCCCTATGAAACAGTCTGTTAATTTCTTCCATAAATAGGCTATATCCTCTTGTTTCTTTGTATGCTAATTTTTGATAGGAAACTGGACATTTTGAATACTATAATGTGGGAATTGAAATTCAGATTTTTCTCTTCCTAAAGGTTTTTTTTTTTTTTCGGTTGTTACTGTTTGTTTGTTTGTTCCTTACTGTGGGCTGTAGCTATTTGTTTAGTAACTTTTAGAAACAATTTTTATAATATCCATATTCTTTATTATTTGTAGTCTCTGCAGTCTCTGTATCCCAGCTAATGTTCAGTTAGCGTTTTCACATAAATTTCCTTAAATGGAAAAAAGGAGGAGAAAAAAGAGAGAGAAGGAGGAGAAAGACAAGGAGGAGGAAAAAGAGGAGAAAAGAAAAAAGTCATAAAGGCCAATAAAAAATTCCCAGCCTTTGCAAATTTGCCTTTGAATTTTAATAGTTTGTTTTGGGGCACTCTACTAATGCTTAGGCCATTTACAATTTTGTGTTCATCTTCATATTCTCCTTGCACTAACCTAGAGATAGACCAGAGGTTAAAACTTAGGGTCTTCTTAGTTCTTATCTCGGCATATGTTCCCCTTTCTAAACTCCTCTGTATACATAGGTACTTCTAAACTCCTCTGTATACATAGGTACTTCTAAATATCCCAGTTTCTCAAAGAGACTCTTTCCCCAGATTTTCCTCCCAGATTTTTCAGTGAATCTATTGTTTGCCTCAACCAAAATATTTTGCCCCATAAATCTATGGGTTATTCATTGACCTTACAGTGTTTTCAAGGAATGTTCACTGTTTTTTTTATCCTGAGTAAATTTCTAATTAGGGGAAATAAAGGCAAGTGCTCTACATGAGTTCTACAGGTAGCCCCCAGACAAATTCGAGCACATGCAATTCTTTGGGAACAAGGTCTGTACTGCTTCCTCTGCAATGAGGAACCAGGGTCCCACACTGGGAATGTGTTCCACAACACACAGCCACAACACTGGGGAGTTTGGGGTAAAGAGCCAGTAAAAATGCTGTGAAGGTCTTGCACCTTTTTCAAGGTGCTTTTTCATAATCCAGTATTTGCTTAATTTCTATAAACCTTTGACTATTTTCCAGAGTTTGGACAAAGTTGATTCTGACAATTTTCCCTAAATTATTTGATGTTTTTGTGAGGGGATGTGCCTTTGAAGATACCCACTCTGCTGTTCTCACTAAT
This sequence comes from Homo sapiens, assembly GCF_000001405.40. Classification (NCBI taxonomy): domain Eukaryota; kingdom Metazoa; phylum Chordata; class Mammalia; order Primates; family Hominidae; genus Homo; species Homo sapiens. The sequence goes on from NC_000018.10 coordinate 73,364,315, forward strand.
CACTGGCTCATAGACTTTTAAGTTCAGAGTTGAAATACTGAGTCAATATAGTGCCTTGTAGTATTTTAAATAATACATAGGTATTAACAAAATGACTTAATGGATACCAAGTCTGTTCTGATACATCAATAAAGTAGATGCCACATTATTTGAAAGGCCCTTTGCCAAAGTGGTTGGTTATATTATATACAAAATTTAAATGACTAGATAGAGAAAGCTTTCTATGAGTCTTTGTGAAGATGTGGCATGCCTCCTGCAGAGAAGTTTTCATGCATCATCACAAATGAGCATAAAAACATCCTAAGATTCAGGCAACATATTCTAAAAGCAAGAGGGCTGTGTTCAAAACATGCAGAGGACCAGGAGTGTTCAAACAGCAATTATCAACAAGATACTGTCAGATGAACAAAGAAATTGATGAAGAATAATCCCTAATCCTACCTCTAGTTTGCTCTTCCCCCAATATACCTAGCTATTGAGAACCCAAGGGATACTTTACGTAAGTAATTATAATGTCTATTCTTCATAACTAAACTAATTGGCAGTAGTGTAAACTGAGGCTCAGAAAGACTAAGTAACTTGTCAGCAAAATGCAGATATTTAATGTAAGCATAGGTCAGATGACTGTAAAGTTACTCTTCTTTTCAACTACACTTCCAGGGACCTTTACATTTTATAAGTAAGTGTATTCTTTCATCTTAACAAAACAACTTGGAAGAATAGCTCTGGTATCTTCTTGCAACTGGTGTTATCAAGCCAATTGCACGCATTCAGAAGGCTATATCACTCTGCTCCTGACTAATGGTCACTGTGGAAACTGTAACTATACTGTGATTCACACAGTTTGGCTTCATCCAAGCCCAGTGCCAGCAGGTCAGCTTCACTCTGTTAACTCCCGTGGGGTGAAGGTCATTACAGAACTCCGCCTTGGCTAAGCTTATGCACAGCTGATCATGGATGATGCTGCATAGTTGTTCTATAGTCATCACTCACTGACAGATCTTCTAAGTTAGTGCCTTCAGTTCAGAATTTCTATTGCCACTGGAAATTTCCAATGATTCATGAAGACCACGTTTTTTTCTGAATTTCAGAAATGGTATCATTTTTCACTTACCTCTCATTGTTGGGATTAGTAAGGAATGAACTCACAGAAATACTTCAGAAACTTTCGGATGACTTTGACCGTTGTAACAACTAAGTACAAAAGAAATATAGAAGTACAAATAAAGAATTTTCAATATTTATATATTTATCAGTCATTTAAATTTTAAGTTCCTCTTATTTATCAGGCCATATATGTCATATATTTTTGAATTATTCAATCCTATTTTTAAATAGCTTACTATTTGAACTATTAAGGTAGTGCTCCTCACTCATGTAATACAATGTCTAGTATTTTAAAAAGGAATTATTGATGATGAAAAGGATTTGTCATATATAATCAGTAGTCAGTAGATGTTTCAAATGAATTAAAATATACTAGGAGGAGTTGGGAACTTTTTAGAAGTGACTTTCAAAATTTCATTTGGGAATTTTTTAAAAATAGCATTTTATGATACCACCATTAAGGAAAGGAAAGGTAGGTCAAGCCAGAGGAAGAGAGGGAGACTTCTTAAAATTTTAAATTCCATCAATAGACATCTGACTTAATATTACTGATATGATCTGACAGAATTACTAACCATATATTTTAATATGCTAGGTGTCTTAGAGTATGGGTCTTTTCTCACTTGCTTTCAGGTCTTATACAGGCCAAAGAGGAAGTTGGCTAAGCCAATAGGGTCTTCAGCTCCACTTTGCTAGGATAAACCCATGCACTTTTGGTAAGCAACTTGTATGCTTATTTAGAACTCAGGAATCCCAAAAATAGAGTGTGCGTGTTGCTTTAATTCTGATAAAGAAGTAATATCTGGGAAGAAGAAAGCAAGGACGAATGGTACCTACTGTCCTGTAGCTCATATTCTTAAGAGAAAACAAAATACCATTAAATCATGAAGGGTCCCTGTCCCCCAACAACACAAATCCATAGGCACACAAATACACGTATGCCTTACTCACCGACCTGCAGTGTGCAAAAAGAAGGTTATATACAAAGAGCAACCTAAAGTCTACTTTCAAAGTCAGCCACTTTTTATTCAAATAAATTAGACCAAAATCTCATGTTTTAATGTATCTAGAAGTCATCTGGAAGTATCCAGGCTTTCAGGCTTTATCTCCGTAAGCTTTTCCTTATCTGAGATGCGCCATAGGAATCTGCACTTTCTGTCAACAGAGATAATCAGATCATCATGGTGAATGCTGTTCGATAATGGTATTTTAATAAACAAAAAATTAAAGTTCTTAAAAACCCTTTCAATATGATCACCTCTGACTTTTCATGTTGTTTCTTGCCAAGCATGTGTTATCATACATGGAGGTATGTTTCTGGATTGGAGCCTGGGGGTTGATTGAAGTGATTGTTCGGTGGGAAATGATTTCACAGCCTATGTGCCAGGCATTCAGGGGAAATGGGCTAGCCTTGACACTCATGTGAGAACCAGGAGAGAAGCACACACTGCGGATTGTTCTGGTGATGAGTAGAATATATCTCACTCCTCTTCACAAGTTTGTTTGGGCTGAGTGGCTTAAACTCCCACGGAGTTCCTCTACATTGGCCATTGATAAACATGCAGTAATTTAGGAGGTAATTTCAAGACATTGAGTCATAGTTTTAAGTAAGACATTTCTGTTCTTCAGCTAACACTAGAGAATAGCATGCTTATGTGGATTTATTTAACAAAAAGTGCACTGCTTGTACTCCAAGCAAAAGCAGTTCTGAGCCAATGTTTCCTATATCAAGCATATGTGATGTCTTGTGAGATGAGAACTTTGTGTCCAACTGGGATGTTTTAAATTATCCCAAAGTGTCTAAGTTTATTTCTATGTAATATTTCAGTTAATATATATATATACACACACATACATATATGTATATATAACAGGTAATCTCATGATATATATATATATGTATATATTTCATAGTATGGATAGGTTAAAGTTTACTTAAAATTTTTTTTTTTTTTTGAGATGGAATCTCATTCTGTCACCCAGGCTGGAGTGCAGTGGCACGCTCTCGGTTCACTGCAACCTCTGCCTCCCGAGTCCAAGCAATTCTCCTGCCTCAGCCTTCTGAGTAGCTGGGATTACAGGTGTGTGCCACCACGCCCGGCTGTTTTTTGTATTTTTAGTAGAGACGGGGTTGCACCATATCGGCCAGGCTGGTCTCGAACTCCTGACCTCGTGATCCGCCCGCCTCTGCCTCCCAAAGTGCTGGGATTACAGGCGTGAGCCACCACGCCCAGCCTGAAAATTTTCTAAACAAAATAATACAAGCCTTTATGAAGAAGCTTACATAATTTTGAATATCCTCCTTAAAGAAAAAAGTAGATGTAAGTACAAACACAAAATCAAGTTTAAAGTTAAATGTTTTTAGAATTAGAAAAAGCACAAATTTAAAAATGGTAAAATTGGATTAAGAATCTCAATTTTTTTAATCTAAAAACTATCTGGCATGCTTTTTTTTCTATATTTTTCCAAAACCTCTTAAATTTTTGGCTTTTTATTCTTTTACTGCCTCTGCAAATGACAGGCATTTATAACGTTATTTTCTCTCAATAGAAAAGAATACCATTAATCTGCCTTTTGTTAATGATGCTTGGAAGGTATAAAATCTATCTTTTCATGCAGCTATACTGTTTTCAGTACTATGTTATATAAAATTCAAATAAGTTCTAATTTTCATAATTTCTATAAAAATGTTTCTGTAATTGTGTATGTTACATCACAAGTGAATTTCAGAGAAAAGATAACTTCCGTTATGACTAGGCTAATGAAAATTGAATGCTTCTCTTCCATTTACCCATCTCACATAAAGAACAAATTTCCATAGTCTAGCTTCTGGCTCCATACATTTCAGACCCCTTTTCACATCACCCACATATTTCTGATGTCAAATTTATTGCATTTATGTCCTTTAATTTAACACCTGGCCTTGTACCTTCATGTTATGATGCTGTAGGTAAGTCAATACGATGAGTAGTAATAGCATGGCTGAAATCGATCCCTAGATGTGCTATAATCCAATGGATAAAAGTGACAGTAAAATTCATATATTCTACTAAATCCTGAATCCAAATATATCACTAATTGAGCCGCCTCCATTAGCCAGAATTTGAAAAATATACTTGTCTACTATAGAAATTACTGTTGGTAGCATGAGTTTTCCAGAAGTAAGTCAGATGGAAAAAGACAGTGTTGGGAAATATTGTTTCTAAAGTACTGGTCACAAACACTTCTTTAGCAAATTTTACAGAAGCATACCATTTGAAAAGATGCCTAGGGCCTTTTGCAAGACCAAGGGATAGGTCCATACAAGTGAGGAGCCATTAAGCTCCTCAGTCGCAAGGGTCATTAGTTCCGCAGTAAATTTTCCTGTGCATGCAAAAAAACAAATGGGATTATTTCAGGAAGAGTAACTCATAAAGATTCTGACATAGAAAGGGGATGCTAAGTTCCAAAGCTAACTTCTGCCTCTTTAAAGGAAGAAAACAAAATGTAAACACAACTTAAATTTCAAAACATCTAGTTATTTCTGATCTAAGATGGCGGGTAGGAGGCAGGACTAGCTTGCAGCTCCCACTCAGACAGAGCAGCATGTGGAGACTCACGTTGTAAACTTTTGCTCCAAGAACTACCACAGAAACATACCAGTAAACTTGAGAGAATCCACAGACCCTTCGAAGGAACCGGATCACCACTGTAGGCTCCCTGAGACACCAAAAATCTGTGAATCTGCTTGTTTTCTCAGCGTGCAGGCTGGGGATCTGTGGCAACTTCTATGCCCTGGTCATTTGCTGCCTGGAAATAGATTCAGTGCTGTTGAAGGGGCACAGTGGGTGTGAGACCAGCCTTTACAACTGCAGGCTGCATGGCAGCAGAGTGAGGTCTGTGGCTGCCGGCTTTCCTCAACATCGCTGGTGACCTGCATGACATAGCAGAGGCAGCCATAATCCCCCTGGGAATATAACTCCATTGGCCTGGGAACCAGACTTCCATCCCACACAACAGCCACAGCAAGCCCTGCCCAAGAAGAGTCTGAGCTCAGACACACCTATCCTTGCCCCTACCTGGTGGCCTTTCTCTGCCCACCCTGGTTGCTGAAGATAAAGGGCATATGAGAGTTCTATGGCCCTGCCTACTGCCTGAGAAACCTGAATACTTAACCAAGCAACCCTAGGGCAAGCCGGCATCCTCCCTATAGTACTGCTGCTGACACACTCTTGAAAGTGCCACCTCCTTGCTGGAGGCCAACCAACACAAACCAATGCACTAAACAAAAATACAACAAAGGACCCTCACAGAGTCCACTTCACTCACCTGCTACCTCCACCAGAGCAGGTGCTAGTATGCATGGCTGAAAAACCTGAAGATGGCTCACATCACAGGACTCTTTGCAGACATTCCCCTGGAGTACCAGCCTGGAGCCTGGTAGCTCTGCTGGGTGGCTAGACCCAGAAGAGCAAAAACAATCACTGCATTTCAGCTCTCAGGAAGTCTCATCCCTAGGGAGAGGGAGAGACCACCACATTGAGGGAGCACCCTGTGAGACAAAAGAGTCTAAACAGCAGCTCCAGAGTCCCAGATCTTCCCTCTGACATAGTATGCCCAAATTTGAATGAACCCCCCCAAAAATTCTGGTAATATGAAAAAACAAGGTTTTTTTTAACACTCCCACCCAAAGATTATACCAGCTCACCAGCAATGCATCCAATCCAAGACAAAAATCTCTGAATTGGCAGAAAAATGGTTCGTAATTTCAATTATTAAGCTAATCAAGGAGACACCAGAGAAAGGGGGAGTCCAACTTAAAGAAATAAAAAGCATGATACAGGATATGAAAGGGAAAATCTTCAGTGAAATACATAGTATAAATAAAAAACAATCATGACTCTTGGAGATCAAAGACACACTTAGAGAAATGCTAAATGCACTGGGAAGTCTTAGCAATAAAATCAGACAAGCAGAATAAAGAACTTCAGAACTTGAAGACAAGGCTTTCGAATAACCCAATCCATCAAAAACAAGAAAAAAATTTAAAAAATTAATGAAGCCTCCAAGAAATTTTGGGCTATGTTAAGCATCCAAACCCAAGAATAATTGGTGTTCTTAAGGAAGAAAATAAATCTAAAAGTTTAGCAAACATGTTTGAGGTAATAACTGACAAAAATTTACCCGGCCTTCTTTGAGATCTAGCCATCTAAATACAAGAAGCTCAAAGAACACCTGGGAAATTAATTGCAGAAAGATCATTGCCTAGGCACATAGTCATCAGGTTATCTAAAGTCCAGACGTTGGAAAGAATCTTAAGAGCTGTGAGGCAAAAGCATCAGGTAACCTGCAAAAGAAAATCTATCAGAGTGACAGCAGATTTCTCAGCAGATATCCCACAAGCTAGAAGGGATTGGGGTCCTATCTTTAGTCTCATTAAATAAAACAATTATCAGCCAAGAATTTTGTATCCAGCAAAACTAAGCTTCAAAAATGAAAGAAAGGTACAGTCTTTTCTAGGCAACTGCTGAGAGAATTCACCACTACCAAGCCAGCACTACAAGAACTGCTAAAAGGAGCTCTAAATCTTGAAACCATTCCTCAAAGTACACCAAAACAGAACCTCTTTAAGCATAAATCTCAGAGGACCTGTGTAATAATAACACAAAGAAAAATGGTATTTGGGCAGCAAATAGCACAATGAATAGAATAGTACCTCACCTCTCAATACTAATGTTGAATATAAATGGCCTAAATGCTCCTTTTAAAAGATACAGAATGGCAGAATGGATAAGAATTCACCAACCAAGTATCTGATGTTTTCAAAGACTCACCTAAAACATAAGGACTCACATAAACTAAAAGTAAAGGGGTGGAAAAAGATATTCTGTGAAAATAGACACCAAAGAGCAGGAGTAGTTATTCTTACATCAGCCAAAACAAACTTTAAAACAACAGTTAAAAAAGACAAAGAGGGTCATTTTGTAATAATAATAAAAGGACTAGTCCAACAGGAAAATATCACATTCCTAAATATATATGCACCCAACACTAGAGCTCCCAAACTTGTGAAACAGTTTCTACTTGATATGGTTTGGCTGTGTCCTCAGCCAAATCTCATCCTGAGTTGTAACTCCGATAATTCCCATGTGTTGTGGGAGGGACTTGGTGGGGATAATGGAATCATGGCAGCAGTTTCCTCCATACTGTTCTTGTGGTAGTGCATCAGTCTCAAGAGATCTGATGGCTTTATAAGGGGAAACCCCTTCTGCTTGGTCCTCATTCTGTCTTTGCCTGCCACCATGTAAGATGTGCCTTACCCTTCAGCCATGATTGTGAGACCCCCCCTAGCCATGTGGAACTGTGAGTCCATTAAACCTCTTTTCCCTATAAATGACCCAGTCTCAGCTATGTCCTTATTAGCAGCATGAAAACAGACTAATATAGTAAATTGGTACTGGTACAGTAGGGCACCGCTGTAAAGATACCCGGAAATGTGGAAGCAACTTTGGAACTGGGTAACAGCCAGAGGCTGCGACAGTTTAGAGGAGTCAGAAGAAGATAGGAAAATGTGGAAAGTTTGGAACTTCCTAGAGACTTGTTGAACGGTTTTGACCAAAATGCTGATTATGATATGAACAATGAAATCCAGGATGAGGTGGTCTCAGATGGAGATGAGGAACTTGTTGGGAACTGGGGTAAAGGTGACTCTTGCTATGTTTTAGCAAAGAGAATGACGGCATTTTGCCCCTGACCTAGAGATTTGTGGGACTTTGAACTTGAGGAATATGATTTAGGATATCTGGTGGAAAACATTTCTAAGCAGCAAAGCATTCAACAGGTGACTTGGGTGCTGTTAAAAACATTCAGTTTTAAAGGAGAAACAGCATAAAAGTTCAAAAAATTTGTAGCTTAATGATGCCACAGAAAAGAAAAATCCATTTTTTGAGGAGAAATTCAAGCCTGCTGCAGAAATTTGCATAAGTAACAAAAAGCCAAATGTTAATCACCAAGACAATGGGGAAAATGTCTCCACGGTATGTTAGAGACATTTGCGGCAGACCTGCCCATCACAGTCCCACAGGCCTAGCAGGAAAAAATGTTTTGGTGTGCCAGACTCAGGGCCCCCTGTTGTGTGCAACCTAGGGACTTGGTGCCCTTCGTCCCAGATGCTCTAGCTATGGCTAACAGGAGCCAAGGTACAGCTAGGGTCGTGGCTTCAGATAATGCCAAGTCTGAAGCCTGGTCAGATTCCACACAGTATTGATCCTGCAGGTGCACAGAAGTCAAAAATTCAGGTTTGCGAACCTCCACCTAGATTTCAGAAGATGTATGGAAACACCTGGATTTCCAGCCAAAAGTTTGCAGCAGGGGCAGGGCCCTCATGAAGAACCTCTCCGGGGGCAGTATAGAAGGGAAATGTGGGGTTGGAGCCCCCACACAGAGTCCCTACTGGGACACTGGCTACTGGAGCTGTGAGAAGAGGGCCACCATCCTTCAGAGACTACAATATTAGATCCACCAACAGCTTGCACCATGCACCTGGAAAAGCCACAGACACTCAATGCCAGTCCGTGAAAGCAGCTGGGAGGGAGGCTGTACCCTGCAAAGCCACAGGGGCGAAGCTGCCCAAGACCATGAGAATCCACCTCTTGCATCAGTGTGACCTGGATGTGAGACATGGCATCAAAGGAGATCATTTTGGAGCTTTAAGATTTGACTGCCCCACTGGTTTTCAGACTTACAAGGAGCTTGTAGTCTCTCTGATTTTGGCCAATTTCTCCCATTTGGAATGACTGCATTTACCAAATGCCTGTACCCCCATTCTATCTAGGAAGTAACTAACTTGCTTTTTATTTTACAGGCTCATAGGTGTAAGAGACTTGCTTTGTCTCAGATGAGACTTTGGACTGGACTTTTGAGTTAATGCTGAAATGAGTTAAGAATTTGGGGAACTGTTCAGAAGTCATGATTGGTTTGAAATGTAAGGATGTGAGATTTGGGAGGGGCCAGGGGCAAATGATATGGTCCGGCTATGTCCCCACTGAAGTCTCATCTTGAATTGTAGGTCCCATATTTCCCACATGTGAGAGGGACCCAGTGGGCGATAATTGAATAATGGAGGCAGTTTTCCCCATACTGTTTTCATGGTACTGAATAAGACTCATGACATCTGATGGTTCTATAATGGAAAACCCCTTTCACTTGGTCCTCAGTCTCTCTTTGCCTGCTGCCATGTAAGATGTCCCTTGGTCTTCTGCCATGATTGTGAAACCTCTCAAGCCACGTGGAACTGTGATTCCATTAAACCTTTTTTTCTTTACAAATTACCCAGCCTTGGGTATGTCTTATTAGCAGGATGAAAACATACTAATACACTGATAGCCTTAAGTGAGATAGACAGTAACACAGTAACAGTGGGGGATTTCAATACTCCACTGACAGCACTAGACAGGTCATCAAGACAGAAAGTCAACAAAGAAACAATGGACTTAAACTATATCCTCCAGAAATGGACTTAACAAATATTTACAGAATATTCTACCCCACAACTGCAGAATATAGATTTTTTTTTCATCAGCACATGAAACATTCTCCAAGACTGACCATGTGCTAGGCTACAAAACAAGTTTCAGTAAATTTAAGAAAATTGACATTATATCAAGTAATCTCTCAGCTCACAGTGGAATAAAATTGGAAATCAACTCCAAAAGGAACCCTCAGAACCACACAAATACATGGAAATTGAATAACCTGCCCCTAAATGATCAGTGGGTCAACAATGATATCAAGACGGAAATTAAGACATTCTTTGGGCTGGGCACAGTGGCTCATGCCTATAATCCCAGCACTTTGGGAGACCGAGGTGGGCGGATCACCTGAGGTCAGGAGTTTGAGACCAGCCTGGCCAACATGGCGAAACCCAGTCTCCACTAAAAATACAAAAAAATTAGCCAGGCATGGTGGCAGGTGCCTGTAATCCCAGCTACTCAGGAGGCTGAGGCAGAAGAATCACTAGAACCTGGGAGGCAGAGGTTGCAGTGAGCTGAGATCAGGCCACTGTACTCCAGCCTGGGTGACAGAATAAGATTCTGTCTCAAAAAAAAAAAAAAAAATTCCTTGAACTGAATGATAATGGTGACACAATCTATGAAAACCTCTGGGATATGGCAAAACTAGTGCTAAGAGGAAAGTCCATAGCATTAAATGCCTACATCGAAAAGTCTGAAAGAGCACAAATAAACAATCTAGGGTCATACCTCCTGGAACTGGAGAAACAAGAACAATGCAAACCCAAACCCAGGAGAAGGAAAGAAATAACAAAGCTTTAAACAAACAAAAAATCCATGTATAAATGAAACAAAAAGCTAGTTCTTTGAAAAGATACATAAAATTAATAGACCATTGGTGATATTAACCGAGAAAAGAAGAGAGGAAATCCAAACACGCTCAATTAGAATTGAAACAGGAGATATTACTACTGATACCACATAAATACAAAAGATTATTCAATGCTACTATGAACACCTTTACACTCATGAACTAGAAAGCCTAGAGGAGATGGATAAATTCCTGGGAATATACAACCCTCCAAGATTAAAGCAGGAAGATATAGAAGCTCTGAACAGACTAATAACAAGCAGCAAAATTGAAATGATAATTTTAAAAATGCCAACCAAAAAAGTTCAGGATCAGACAAATTCACAGCTGAATTCTATCAGACATTCAAAGAAGACTTGGTAACAATGCTATTGACACTATTCCACTAGAGAATGAGGGATTCCTCCCTAAATCACTCTATGAAGCCAGTATTACCCTAATACCAAAAACTGGGAAGAAGATAAGAAAAAAAAAGTGCAAACAATATCCCTGATGAAAATAGATGCAAAAATCCTCAACAAAATACTAGCTAACTGTATTAGTCTGTTTTCACGCTGCTAGTAAAGAAATACCCAAGACTGGGTAATTTATAAATAAAAAGAGGTTTAATGAACTAACAGTTCCCCAATGGCTGGGGAGACCTCACACTCATGTTGGAAGGTAAAAGGCATGTCTTACATGGCAGCAGGCTAGAGAGAAAAATGAGAGCCAAGTGAAATAAAAAATAAAATAAATAAAAATAAAAAATAAAGAAAAAAGCCTGTTAAATAATATTAAGAAAAAGAAAAATCTAGCATTCAATATGATGTTTTTATGTATGTTTACATCAATTAAAAATTAACTAAATAAAAAAAGTATGAAAATGTTAAATTTGAATAAAAAACGTAGAATCAAATAAAAAGTTTCTAGATGTGAATAATAATAATAAGAAAACTTTATTGACTACTTAGAGGAATTAATGTCTTTCAATATGAATAGATTTAGAAGTAAGAGGAATTATTGAAGTTGCAACTAAAAAAATAACAATCACAAATAAAATCAGTGATTCACAAAAAGCAAAAAATTGCTGAGAATAACAAATAAAAAAACTATTTAAAAGAACCAAACGAAAAGTCTGGAACAGAATGTATACACAATTGAACATAAAAACTAATATTTTAAAATTTCTAGAAAAGGGAGGATAATTTATTGTGACTTTTAATTAAGCAAAGATTTGTTAAACAAGACACATATTTTACATTTCTAAATAATATTAAATGAACCTCAAAATTAAAAACATCTGACTTTCAGTAGACATTGTTAAGACAATGAAAATACAAGCTCATAAATTGGAAAAAAACATTTGCAATACACACGACAAAAAATTATACATTCAGAATCAATATATAAAGAATACGTACTATGCTATTATGTATATACACGTGTATATACACTATAAATGTATACATTATATAATAAATTACATACTAAATTTAAAAACTAAGACAAACTACCAAATAAAGAATTGGCAAAATACCTGACTAGAAGTTAAAATACATAAATGGTCACAAGCATGTGACAAGATCATAATGAATCAGGGAAATGCAAATTAAAACTGAAATGAGATACAAACACATACATAGAATAGCAAAAAGTGTTGTCATGTGTATTAGTCCATTCTCATGCTCCTAATAAAGACATACCTGAGACTGGGTAATTTATAAAGAAAAAAGGTTTAATTGACTCACTTTTCAGCAGGGTTGGGTAGGCCCCAGGAAACTTACAATTATGGCAGAAGGGGAAACAAACATGTCCTTCTTCACAGGGCAGCAGGAAGGAGAAGAATGAGAGCTGAGCGAAGGGGGAAGCCCCTTATAAAACCATCAGATCTCATGAGAACTTACTCACTATAACGAGAATAGTATGTGGGAAATAGCTCCCATGATTTAACTGCCTCTCACAGGTTCCCTCCCATGACACATGGGGATGATGGGAACTACAATTCAAGATGAGATTGGGTGGGGACACAGCCAGACCATATCAGCAAGGATGTGGAGTAGCTGAAATTCTCATTCATAGTTGTTGGGAGTGTAAAATGGTATAAACACTTTGGAGAAACTTTGGCCAATATTATAACATATGAACTAGCAATTCAACTCATAGGCAATTTAGAAAAATGAAAACGTACTTTCACAAGAAGATGTGTAGATGCATGTTTCATAGCAGTTTTAATTGTGATAGTCAAACAAGAGTCTTGAAACAATGTAAATGTTCATCACCAGGTGAATGGATAAACTACTAGTAGTGTATCCATACACTGGAACACTAGTCAACAATAAAAAAGAAAGATATTACAAGAAAAAAACAAACAACCCCATCAAAAAGTGGGCAAAGGAGATGAACAGACACTTCTCAAAAGAAGACATTTATGCAGCCAAAAGACACATGAAAAAATGCTCATCATCACTGGCCATCAGAGGAATGCAAATCAAAACCACAATGAGATACCATCTCACACCAGTTAGAATGGTGATCATTAAAAAGTCAGGAAACAACAGGTGCTGGAGAGGATGTGGAGAAACAGGAACACTTTTACACTGTTGGTGGGACTGTAAACTAGTTCAACCACTGTGGAAGTCAGTGTGGTGATTCCTCAGGGATCTAGAACTAGAAATACCATTTGACCCAGCAATCCCATTACTGGGTATATACCCAAAGGATTATAAATCATGCTGCTATAAAGATACACGCATATGTATGTTTATTGTGGCACTATTCACAATAGCAAAGACTTGGAACCAAACCAAATGTCCAACAACGATAGACTGGATTAAGAAAATGTGGCACATATACACCATGGAATACTATGCAGCCATAAAACTGATGAGTTCATGTCCTTTGTAGGGACATGGATGAAGCTGGAAACCATCATTCTCAGCAAACTATTGCAAGGACAAAAAACCAAACACCGCATGTTCTCACTCATAGGTGGGAATTGAACAATGAGAACACATGGACACAGGAAGGGGAACATCACACCCTGGGGCCTGTTGTGGGGTGGGGGGAGGGGGAAGGGATGGCATTGGGAGATATACCTAATGTAAACGATGAGTTAATGGGTACAGCACACCAACATGGCACATGTATACATATGTAACTAACCTGCACGTTGTGCACATGTACCCTAGAACTTAAAGTATAATAAAAAAAGAAAGATATTCAAACATTCAGCAAAATGAATGAATCTCAGAAACATGCTAAGCAAAACACCCAAATACTAAAGAAAACACAATCTATGATTCCATTTATATGACATTTCAGAACAGCCAAACTGATCTACAGTAAAAGAAAGCAACTTCGTGGTTCTCCAGGACTTGGAATTAGGGTGAAAGATTGAATGCAAAAGGCCCTGAGAATTTTTGTAAGTTGATGGAAATATTCTACACCTTAATTGGGGGGTTACATGGTGTGTATATTTGTGAAATTATACATTTAAAATGGGTACATTTTCTTGAACATAAATTATATTATAAAAATGTTTATTTCAAAGTATAAGAGAAAAATAAAAGGGGATATTTTTAAGTAAATTATATACTCACTTTTACGTTTGGAACTATAATTATTACAAATAAATAATTCTTGGCATTATGAACATCAGACGTCTCAAATGGAGCCCGGTGTTTTTCCTACAAAAAAAGTAAATGCTGCAGCTGAGTTAGAAGAATTCAAAGATGCACAGTTGCTACTCAAAAGATAAGCATATATTTTCAAAACCTGTAAACATAAAAGGAAATAAAGCAACAACTGTTTAGAATATTTCTAGAATAATCATTTATCTAGAAGTGTTTGCATTATTGAGGCAGTAAGCTAGGTAGACTAATATCAAACGTTAGTTATTTTTATAAATGACAATCCTAAAATAGAATCTTCTCATGCCCTATTTCCTATCAATTTATTTCCATTATAATAAAATATTATCTTACTGATTTTTTGTTTTAAGATTTTTTTTGGCTTCACAATTTTATATTGTCCCCAAAATTAAAAATACATATATTTCCATTGTTACATTCAGTTTTCTAAAATCTGTTATGTTAAAAAATCATTTATTTTTAGTTCATTTCAGATATAGATAACACTTCATATATGTTATCTTCCATATGAAACATAACTCCAATGTGAAACAAAAGAAATATTACACCCCATCCTCTCTGTAAATCAGTTGAAAACATACTAAGTATAGATAAAATTTACATTAACTTTTAGTGAAAATCATTTTAATAATGGATTTTTTTAATATTTTAAAATACCTATTGAAAGATTATTTACAAATTATATTTAAATAACTTCAAATAAACAAGAATAAAAAGCTGAAATTATAATAACTTACTTTTGGATAATTACTAATTAATATCTTTGCAAAGCCAAAAACTTAGCCTTAAGGAGTAATAAATGTAAAAAATAATAATAAAAGTAAATGATGAGAATCAAAGTTTGCTCTGAGAATAATTGTGTATGAAACAAAATCATTTCTTGGTGAAGTGTCACATTTATTTTATATAAACTAATATGAGTTCATCCTTTCATTTATAAATTAAATCATCATAAAATATCTATCACTTTTGATAACCTATTACATTTTCAAAATATTCATCCAAATGAGTAATTATTCATATTATTCCTACATTCAACTGAAGAAATTGAAGACAGCCAATTTATTGGACTAGCCCCAGGATATATCAGTTGTCAACAGCGAAACTAAAATTTGATATGATTTCTGGTTGCCTCTTTCACCAAGCCAGACAAAGAACTGTAATTTTGAAAAGATTATCTGATAATATTCAGTATATTTTATTTTCTTTGGTTCTTTAACATTATACTACCTATCAAAAGAATTATTTGAGATATTTTATTTGTTCATTACAAATCTTTAAACTGATTTTAATGTGGTATACTTAAAAATATTTTTTACAGAAATTTCCTAATATTAACTAAAAAAAATGAAGAGTTTGTTTACCACTCCCTGAGATTAACTGCTGTCTATAATTATATAATCCTTATTTGTATTCAGGAAATTTCTAAGTTTCTCCTAAATTTTATGAAAAGAATATAGAGCAATGTATTAAAAATGATATGGAGACTGTGAAAAAAGTGCCATACAAATATGAAAATTAAGTTTACAATCTACCTCCTTCTTTTATAATTACTGCATTGAATCATGACAGAATTCCTAAAGCCCTTTAAATCTTGAAACATATTTTTCTAAAGAAATATGTTTATAGTTTACTTCTATGATTACATTCACTTTATTTGAGAATCCATAAAATTTATTCCATAAATTTAGCTAAACCTTAAAATTGACTTGAATTCTGTAGCTATATATGTTACTATATTTGCTTATATATGTGCATGTATATGTGCATGTATGTATATATAAATTAAGTCTGCAGAACATTCCTGTGAGGCAGTTATTACTATTTTTCCCAATTCGGCATATTTATACTCACTGCCATTACCTGGGAGTTTTTGTATTTTAGTTTCTATCATTAAATAAACCCCTTCAATTTGTTATCAATCTAGATCAGATCAAGTTGCCACTGTCTCCTAAGATATGCTAATTTTGAAGGTTTTTGACCCTGTCACACTCCCTGTCAGTGGCCAACCAAGAACAAGGTTAGTTGGGATAAAACTGGCTTAATCTTGGCCCCTTCTTCATAATGTCTTAGCATGCTTTGCTGGAAAATTCAAATGTGTTAAGCCAAGTTTACAATAAGTTGTTAGCTTTATCAAATTGTTATCAAAGTGCAAGACTACATATTAAATTCTACCAGTAAGTAATGATATATTTATTTATGTACTCTGACAGAATTATTATTAGCCGTGTCCCTGAGTCTGTGCTTTTAGATAATTTAAATATTTGAATTCAACTGTTCTCACCAAAAGAAAGATTATCAGAACCTAGAAGTAGATTACTGCTTTTACCATAGTGGTTATACATTGAATCAAAATTATGTTATATAAAGTTTCTGCATATATAAAAGTAATAAAGAAAGAAAGGAAAATTCAGACATCCTCTAGGAATTACTAATACATCCATCTACATTTCTGCCAGAGAATGTGGTAAGAGTGTTATAAAAGCATCGTTTTGACATCAAATACAATTTGAGGGCAAAAGAATATAAAATTGTCTATAACTCTTGTAATTGCATTGATTCCAAAAATGATCCAAAGGCACTTCTTCAATCTTTGAAAATATGATACTTATTATGGTGAAAAAAAATAAGAAAACAGAAGAAATCAAAACATTTTTCAAGGAAAATGACTTTACTTAGTTTAAAATAAGAATAAAAATAATGTTTTTTCTTCCACTAGACAGTTAAACCACAGAAAGAGAAAATGGCTGATAACTAAACATAGTTTTTCTTGTACTATCACCCTGGGGGCAGTTCATTTCTGAAGATGACTGCATATTTCCATGCTGATCTCAATGAGCATTTGCTTAGAATAACTAGAGAAAGACTTGAAAAAAATAATGTTTTCATTTTGTATGCCAAATTTTTTATAAAATGTGTGCGCATTGTTGTGATAAGCAGCAATTGTCATACAGCATATTCAGGGGAAGGTGGGCCAGTGAACCCAGAGCTATCCAGAAACTTTCTGTAATGACGAAAATATTCCAAAATCTTCACTACCCAGTACCATCACTAGCCAAGTTTAGCTGTTGATCACCAGAAATGTGGCTAGTGCACTTAAGAAGGTGAATTTTTAATTGTATTCAATTTAAATGGAGATAGCCACACAGGGCTAGTGCCACCACACTGAACAAAACAATTCAGATACCACTCTTTCATTTTAGTTACAAAAAAAGTTGAAATGCAGATATGAGTTGCCTGATAATACAGCAAAAATGGCAGAAACTCCCACAGATACCCCATCTAATAATGAGTTTGATGCCCTTTCTTCCTTTTAAAAGAAATATTTATCAGCACTTTCTGTAAGGGTAACAGGATGTTGAAGTTTAAGTGTATGTACAAAATGTGCACAAAAATGATCCACTGACTCAGGAATAGGTGTACTCTGAATCATTTTTTAAACATTTTTATTGCCTTTTTGGCACAGTGTCAGTATTTTATAAACAAACAGAGGTATCAAAAAAAAATCAAGGGAATTGAATCAAATCTGTGTTTACCCTGTGTATATAAGTTATATGGCAAAATTGGGTCATTGCATTATGAGAGATTGAGAATCTACAGTGAATGTGCTTACAGCAAGATGAAATGTGATAGATGTTTGATATGTGTTAACTTAATTGTTTTTAAGAGCTTGACTGAGGTATAATTGCCATAAAACAAATTGCCCATGTTTCGTGTATATAGTTTGATAAGTGTGATGCTATGACATAGAATTTCTTTTACAGCAGTAAATTGGGGCAGTTGTAGAATTCACCTCATTTGGTTTTCCTCTTCTCATGGATTCTCATCTTGATTTGCCTGATCTCAAATACCTTGTTTCATATATCTTGTCCTGATTTTTACTTGTTGTAGGCAAGAGTAAATCCAGTGTCTCTTACTCAGTCTTGTCCTGAAGTGAATGCCTGATTTGTAAACAGTTCGAGATACATCAAGAGGTGTTTTCACTCTTCCGCTGTTTCCCAGCAACCTTAAGCTTTTACTTTCCTACTCAAATTCTAGCATGTTCAACTGCCTTATACCTTGATCCTTTGTTAAAATCGACCCCCTCCCAAAATTCTCGATAATATATCAATACCATTATCTGCCTCTGTTACTTACAATGACAAGCAGTCATGCTTTGCCAGCAAAAGTCACACAACCAATTTGTTTATTCAATATAAGATATGTGAGGAGTAGTTTTGTTGCAGTTTCATCTACAATTGGGTCTAGGAGAGGTGATTGGGGAGAATTCAGAAGTAATATCAGATTTGGTTTAAATTACCCATGCTTATCAGGGACGTATAACTATTCCAAATATGTTTTGTATTACGCATATGTGCATCTTAAAAGCAAGCCATTGCATCACTACTTGGAGACCTGTAGGAGGGGGCTGTGAGTTTGAGAATGAATTCAAAACTGTCTTAAGTAGTTTTAAGTAACTGGAGGCTTGACTCAAGCATCTGTAATAATATATAACATTTCTGAGGATTTAATATATGCCCAGAACATTTTAAGTGTTGTGTATTAACTTATCTTCTATCTTTTTAGATCTTGGTAATAACCCTGCAGCTATTATATTAACTCCATATTACAGATGAAAAACTGAAACATGAAGAAGTAAAAATGTACACTAGACTACAGAATTAGCAATGGAACTTGGTTTTATTTTGAACATTTGCTGTCATCACACACTGTGTTAAATGAATATTAACAGCATACAAGATGGAGAGAGGTAGACTGCATTCTTCAGAGAATACTGTGTGATACCTGGACAGCACTAGTAGATTTGTGAAATGATTTTTTTCATTGATAGCTTTCTTTTTTGCCATTCATTTCTCTTATTTTTAGCACCCACGTCATTCTGGGTCCATTGTCTCAGGGGAAGACATCAAGGGAAAAATTAGAGAAAAGTATTTTCTGCTTTATGTTGTGTGGAGCAGGGGAGAGGGAGAGTCTTGAAGAATGCCATCTTCTGTATCTTTCAAGAGATAACTGCAGAGCCTCACATGGCAGAAAATTACTGGCAATGGCCATCAGATATGGGAGGTCATGTAGGTGAGAACAGAAGACACTGCAAAGGTGACCTTTGTGAGCCAGCACTGGATAAGGACAGTTGCCCCCAGTCAACACCTATGTGGACAAGGGTACAAATTCAACACCCCAACCCGACCCCTGATACTTCACAAAGCTGCAGTAACCTTTTCTAGGGGAAAAGAGACAGAAACTCCAATTAGACAGTTATTAAGTTACAATAACTCTGGACTGGTCATTGAAGGTAATGTGAGTTGTGGAAAAATAAGGAACACTCTACTCTTTGCACATTATGATTGTGTGCTGAGAGTAAACTCTGCCATGAGATCACAAAGATGTGGGTAAGGAACTCTGATGGTAACCCTGTGAGATTAATATGAAATGAGAATTTTACAAAGAACAGGATAATTAGGACTAAATGGAGAAGAGGTTGAACTGGTGATTTATGGAAAGGGGCCCTGACCAAAGAGATGTGAAAGGAGGTCAGGTATAGAACAGACTTAAGAATCTGATGAACTATAGTATCTTCTCTACATGACGACACTGTCCAAAATTTCTTTCAGAAATTCTTTCAGATGAACTTTCCATATATTTTACGTAAACAGAATATGCCATTATGTGAGATACTAGCAATGTTTCATTTGATATTATATGAGAGGCAGCGTGCTAGAGGCTTTGTAGACATATCTTTATCTTTTCAATAACTCTGAAATACATTAGAGTGTGCCTACCCTATAAGTAGTAGAGCCAAGGGGGAAAAACTAGTCTGAGTTTCAACAAAATCTTTTAAGTGCCGGGATACCATTTTAGGTTATTTTCAATAGTTTATTGAGTCATGTATTAAAATAATTATTCTATCACTTCATAATCATAAAAACTGAACAATAAGGGAAAAGTATTTTTATTAAGTTGAAAGGAGAAATGAAAGGAACGTATTTAAGCATATGAGTCAGGCAGGCCCACATGAGATTGCACCATTGGAAAAGGGATTCGACTAGAGTTCAGGGGTGGAAAGAAAGGAACTTATAGTATGGAATGAAAAGAATCAAAATGCTACCAGGGCTCGAGAGAACAATTTTTCTTCCTTCACAATATTGCCTATCACTTCTGGAGAGCAGTCAGATTTTGAAGATAAGAGAATGATTTATTGGAAACATACATTTAGACTTTTCCAGTGGTGTACATAATTTCATGTGCAATCACACACAGGCTGTGAAATTTTCTTTCCTCCTTGAAAACTAGTGTTACCCCTTATCACTGGAGGCAAAATAGTTTGATCCCGAAACAATGTAATTTATTGCTGCTGAGACCTCTCACACTCATTCTTTCCACACCTTGAAATCTTGATGCTTCTTGTACCAAGGACAAATGATTCAGAAGGCTCTATAGAAGAGTGAGGAGAAACTATAGAAAAAGATAACTCTTGGGGAATTTGCTTTGAAGCGTTTTATGGGAGCAAAGGTACATTAATAGATAATATTCCACATGAGGTTATGATATTAAGATTGAACTTCATCTTTGAGTAAATGATGTAAACTCGATCATTGCATGAAAGAAAATCGTTTCTCAAAAGTCCAAGAACCTAATTTTTGGTCAACAAATATAATGGCCTGATTGGTCTGAATCTGAGAATTTATTTAGAACTCTAACCTAAGACGTTCAAGCTGTAGCACAGGCATTGTGTAACTAAGAATGAAGGAATGTAAATCTATAGAGAAAGAAAATCATGAAGGCTATGTGCGGAGACTGTAGGAGAAATGCAACGGAAGGGGGGATATAACCAAGGTCACTAATATTTTCGAAGATATAACATAGGTCTCCAGTGCCCAAATTCAGAATATTTCCGGGGTTCTTAGGTTGATAAAACATCTCTACCTTCCATAATTATAATACAAATAAGTTATTTACTCACTTATTTGTTTACTTGAAATGTATTTAATTTATTTATACAAATTTATTTGCAATAAAAGATCTCTAATTAACCCAAGACAATAAGTCCGTTCTCATTTCTTCCTGCAGCTAAAACCCTTAGTATTCTCCATTAATACTTGAAACCATTTCCTGCATATTTTCCCAAATGTTAGGAAATAACATCAAAATAGCACTGTTTCCCGGCTTCATTACTGATTTTGACATTGAATTAACACCTGTTTTAGATACACTTTAGTTCTTCTAAAGGCATTTTTTTTAACTTGGATTACAAACTTTTAGAAGGCATATTATGAATATGAGATATCCTCATACTTCTGCAACATATAATACATTTTATGTACATTTTAAAGAACACTGAACTGTCTGTTGATTAAGTGGAATAAAAATGTGAATATAATAGCAAATTTAAGCAATTTCTGGGTGCCATTGTCTACTTAAGAAATAGTGATAATTCACGCCTGTAATCCCAGCACTTTGGGAGTCCAAGGTGGGTGGATCATGAGGTCAAGAGATTGAGACTATCCTGGCCAACATGGTGAAACCCCGTCTCTACTAAAAATACAAAAATTAGGTGGGCATGGTGGTGCACACCTGTGGTCCCAGCTACTTGGGAGGATGAGGCAGGAGAATCGCTTGAACCTGGGAGGCGGAGATTACAGTGAGCCGAGATCATGCCACTGCATTCCAGCCTGGTGAGAAAGAAAAAAAAGAAAGGATAGAAAGAAAGAAGGAAGGAAGGAAGGAAGGAAGGAAGGAAGGAAAGAAAGAAAGAAAGAAAGAAAGAAAGAAAGGAAGGAAGGAAGGAAGGAAGGAAGGAAGGAAGGAAGGAAAAGAAAGAAAGAGTGATATTATCTCAGTGATAGAAAAGTTTGAAATTTTGCTGATCCTAAGTATGCATTGCTTAAATAGGACCACCTATTAATACTCCATGGGACAGCCAAATCTATATTATTTTATTTGTCTGGGTAGCTATTTTAGAGTAAAATCTTTCTTACTGTTTCTTTTTTTCTTCCTTCCTTTTTTGCTTGTTCTTCTGAGAATAGCATAGGCATATTAACAGAAAATAATATTCTCTTGGCCTCACTATTTTCATGATTCTTCAGAACAACCTTCATTTTCTTAATGCAAATGTACAGCACAATGTATTGGCCATCACACTATGCAGCTACCTGCTGTATGAATGCTAAATGTATTTCTTTTGAAAAATAGTATATAAAACTATGAAATTGTAGCTAGTATCTGAGTTTAACAAATTATCATAATATTGAATCTTTTACACATGAATTTTTAAAATTATTTGGAGAACTTCTGAGTAGGTGATGCCAGCCACCTAAATCTGAATCTCTCCATATATCCTCCAAAACCTATAGTTAAAAAAAAAAGTCACAAATAGAACAAAATAAATCCCCTGTCTTCAGAATAACTGGGGCACGGAAAACACGATGTAGTTATAACTAGTCATGAGTAGAAAAATGTGTTTCAAATTTTTTATAGTGCTGTCTGTCAGTCTTTCTCCACAGCTTTTACAAAGAATGAGACGTGAGTCTGGCAAACGTGCACGAAAAAGAAGAATAGGCCAGGAATGTTGGCTCATGTTTGTAATCCCAGAATATTGGGAGGCTGAGGTGGGTGGATCTCTTGAACGCAGGAAGTCAAGGCTGCAGTGAGCCATGATTATGCCACTGCACTTTAGCACCCCAGCCTGGAAGGCAGAGCAAGACCCTATTACAAACAAGCAAACAACAACAACAACAACAAAAAAGCAGAGAGAGAGAGAGAGAGAAAGGGCCAAATGACCCACCAGAAAATGTGAACGTATTTGTACAGATGAGATCACTGACTACAGCAAAGGAACTGCAAGGGAACTCAAGGTAACTGTCCTGGAAAGTTCAAATTATGGGGAGAATGGGATTAAAAGGATAGAAGAGATGTCCTTGGGATTCTTGGATGTATGGGAGGAAGAAAAGGGGCAGGGGTTGATTTCAGCAAAATGGCAGAGTAGGCAGCTCCAAAGAAAGCCTGGGGAGAAGAAAGTAGGGACTGTCAGAACCAACGTTGTTAAAACCCTGGGAAACACAGGTTTATGATAACTCAGCAAACACTGAATCAGGAAAAAAGACAAGTTAAAAATAGGATAGGAAGGCTTTGTGTTGTTTACTCTAGAATGAAAAGTGTGGTAGTGACACCTGAGTTGACAGATAAGTAACATAGAATTGAAAGTCAAGAAATCATACAGTACCTATGAAACTACTTATTTTAAAACATCAGCATTTCAAGTCACTCAGGGAAAGATAGACTACACATAAAAATCATCTCCAAGTAGATCACATACCTAAATGTAAAAAAAATTGAAATCCTGGAGTTACTAAGATAAAGTATGGATGATTCCCCAATAACCTGTTGAAAATTTTTCATTCTATGACTCAAAATCTTGATGCAATAAAAAAAATAAAATAAAATATTCAACAAGAAAAAAAAGATCAGGAACTGAAAAAAACTGATTACATGATTATTTGTAAACGTGCTAAATTATGAATAAAGTCAAAAGATGAATTACAAGTTGGGAGAAAATATTTGTGCTGTATATTACAGATAATATGTTCATCCCTAATTTGTAAAATAACATTTTTAATTTTACATTTATTTATTTTAAATGGACAGATTAAATAGTACATAATTATGTACAATATGACATCTTGAAGTATATATACATTGTGGAACGGTTAAATCTAGCTAATTGAGATATACATTGTCTCACATAGGTA
Source organism: Homo sapiens (assembly GCF_000001405.40). NCBI lineage: Eukaryota > Metazoa > Chordata > Mammalia > Primates > Hominidae > Homo > Homo sapiens. The sequence continues at coordinate 73,388,157 of NC_000018.10, forward strand.
TCATTTTTGTAGTGAGGACAATTAACATTCATTCTCTCAGCATTCTTTAAGAATACATCATCAACTATAGTCACTATGCTGTGCAATAGATCTCTTAAACTTATTCCTTCTGCCTAACTGTAATGTTCCTATCCTTTGAGTAACATTTCCCCAGTTCCCTGTATCCCCAATCCAAACTTCTGATAGAAGAGGCCGCAGCCTCCAGTGAGGGCCCCTTTTGGTCCATGGATATCCCACTTTGGGAAGTCATTTTGCTGGGGGTTGCATCATTTTTAAAGGTACAGGGTTGGAAAAGGCCAGTGGTTTTCAAACTCTGTTATTTGGAATCAAAATAATTTCACACTGTTCTCCATAGTGGTTGTAATATAATAATTGTACATTTAAAAATAACTTTAAAAATGTAATTGGATTGTTTGTAACTCAAGGGATAAATGTTTGAGACCATGGATATTCCATTCTCCATGATGTGCTGATCTCACATTGCATGCCTGTATCAAAACATCTCATGTACCCTATAAATATATACAGCTACTATGTACCCAAAAAGTGTTTTAAAAATTTAAAAAAAATTCCACATGACCCTGCTTGAAGGACCCTTTAGAAGCTGGAGGTAGCATATGCAGGACAAATAATGTAGTGACTCCAGGTCCCTCATACAGAAAAAATATGCATTTATTTATTTAATTTACTTCGTATCTTTAATTACTTCATATTTTAGGCATCCACATTCTATTTTATATAAAGAAAAGCACCTCAGTGATAATATAATTCCTGAAATACTACTTAACTTTCTGATTTCTAAGAACATTTTCAGTTCTAATGATTTTCTATCCACCTATCTACCTACCTATCTTATATAATGGGTCCTATGATATACGTATATATGTATACATATGTATATATATGTACATATGTATATCATAGGAGGGTTAGGGTTGGATATGTACATATCCATGTACATATGTATATTATAGGACACATTATATATGCTAGGTAGGTAAATAGGTGGATATATATAATGTGTAGTAATGTATTACATTCCAGTGCTTCCAGCACATTATAGCCACATATCTACCTACCTATCATATGTAGATATCACCCTAAGATATATAGGACCCATTTTATATGATAGATAGGTAATAGGTGGATCTAATGTGCTGGAAGCACTGGAGTGTAACAAAAGTGTTTTATTTTGGAGGATCAAGAAAGCTTTAATGGAGGATGTGTGATTGAGCTGGACCATGATAGACATATAAGATTTCAACAAGCGAAGGTGGCAAAAGTCATTTCCAGGTGAGGGAACAATGTACTAGAAATAACAATAGGCAAGAACATCAAAAGTCACTTCATTTATTAAAAATTGGGGTTAAAAAGACAAGGGGCAGTGCCTCATGCCTATAATCTCAGCACTTTGGGAGGCAGAGACAGGGGTATCTGCTTGAGCCCAAGACTTCAAGACCAGTCTGGTCAACAGAGTGAGACCCCATCTCCACAAAAAATTTTAAAAATTAGCCAGGCATGGTGTCACACACATGTGGTCCCAGCTACTCAGGAGGCTGAAGTGGGAGAATCTCTTGAGCCCGGGAGGTCGAGGCTACACTGAGCCGTGATTGCACCACTGCACTCCAGCCTGGGTGACAGAGAAAAACCCTGCCTCAAAAAAAAAAAAAAAAAAAAGGAAAAAAAAGAGAAGGGGTTTAAGATAATTTAATGGTGTATAATGTTAGAAAACTAGTGTAAACCTAGGTAGAATGGGTTAAACGTCTTGCTTAGGAATTTTAATTTTATTATGTGGAAAATTCCCATTTAATTGAAATATTTAACTAGGAAATGCATAATCAAATGGTGCTTCTGAACAGTGATTCTGCAAAGCAGCATTCTCAATAGGCATAAATAAAAAAGATAGAAGTGTCAGATGAAATCACAGATTTAGATGAAATTGCCAAATGACAGCAGAGCCCGGAACAGTGGCCAGTCCGGGACAGAGGAAGACAACAGGTCAAAGCGAGAGATGAGGGCCGTCAGCAAGGCTGGGACAGTAGCAACAAAAGTCAGTTCACTTTCACTACAGAGAGGATCCTAGAGATTGGGAAAGGCCCTAAGTATGCCTGACAAGCTTTTATTTTCTCAGTGGTACCTCTCAGAGGCTCATGACATAAATACTGAAGTTCACGAGGTAAGATTAAATACACATGCCCGAAAGAATACAAATACTAAGAAGACCCCTCCGAATGTATTTTTAATCAATTCCCCACTTCTCACCAGAACACCAAAGGAACCGTTCTGATTTTCATTCTTCCCTGAAAATACAGTCATGTTGCCATCAGTCCTGCTAAGTTAAAAGGCACCGTGGACTTTGTGACTTGTTGCAAGGTCTTCTAGATGTCACCAATAGTGTTACATATGGACCACTTAATCCAGAGCCTGGGACCACTGGGAACCCAGGACACTAGCAGTCCAGGATCTCCAAAAAATGATTCTTATTGACCTCTTGTTTACATTTTTGGTTCTCCTTGTATTTGAATTTGTGTAACTCTAATGTGACATATGAATATGAGTGTGTGTGTGATTGTGTGTGTGTGATCATGGAGAGAATACAAATTTAGCTCAAGTCATTTTCTGAATGTTTCAAGAAATTGACATTTTAGGAGTCTGATGTAAAGAAAAATGAGTCCTTTCACTTCCAGGTTAGTAGTGTGAATTCAGCTCAGCTCAGTATTAACTCTTAACTATGAAATATGTGATGTTCCCCTTCCTGTTCAATTCCCACCTATGAGTGAGAACATGCGGTGTTTGGTTTTTTGTCCTTGCGATAGTTTGCTAAGAATGATGGTATCACACACCGGGGCCTGTTGTGGGGTGGGGGGAGGGGGGAGGGATAGCATTAGGAGAGATACCTAATGTAAATGACGAGTTAATGGGCAAAGCACACCAACATGGCACATGCATACATATGTAACAAACCTGCACGTTGTGCACACGTACCGTAGAACTTAAAGTATAATAAATATATATATATATAAAACAAAATAAAATAGATGAATAAATAAAAAGAAATATGTGCTGTTTGGGTTGGCTCCATTATAAAAATAAGATGTCTACCCATTCAGACCTGAAAGCCATCCATATTCTCCAAATCAGCAGCACACAATTTCTGACAAGTGAAGATAAACACAATAGGATGCAGTAAGATGGCTTAATATAGTACTTTACTCAAGCAGTTTGTAAATATACTCTGAATCATTCCAAGACAATTTTTATTCAAAATAGAAATTAAATAAGTAGGTTGTGACTTGTTGCAAGGTCTTCTAGATGTCACCAATACTGTTACATATGGACCACTTAATCCAGAGCCTGGGATTAAGTTGGCTACACATTAATAGTGGGGTGAATTAATCTATGCCTTACTGAGCCTCGAATTCGAGAGCAAGACCTTCTTTAGGCTGTAAGTAGGACGTGTTCTTTGGAGATGGGGAACATACCCTAAAAGTCCATTGCCAATTTTTTTACTTTACTTTCCTGTAATGACATTTTCTGCTGTGGTGCTGGTTCAGTGTAGATGCTGGATAACATTTTTATAATGAATGAATGTGTGAATGGATAGTCTGTGAGCTAAAAATAGAAGTAGAACCTCTAATATAATCAGTTTATTTTATACAGCTTGAAAATACATCAAAAATAACTGGAATGAAAAAGAGCACCATCATCTTGAACACAGCTTGGAAGAGAAAGCACAGATGGAGGAAGACAGCGTCACGCCCATCACCTGGCTCTTTCCTCAGAGATGGCTGCCCCCTCTTTTATACTTTCTGTACTGAACCTAGAAACAATACCTTTTGCCAACTCAGATGTGACATTGTTCTTCCAGCTTCATTTTACTTCCCAACCCTTTACTTAAATGTCTGATTCCTCCTGAGTCAAAATGAGTGTTTTCATGGGCAGAAAAGGAGTGTAAATGGGTGCTTGATAAATGTTTATTGAAATAAATGGAATAGGTCTGTGCTAATTTTTATTTATTTATTCCAAAAATACTTAAGACTCAAGGATGTATTAAACATTGCTTTTGGTGTTAGAGATACAGCAATGAAGAAAACAGACAAGAATTCCAGCCTTGGCGGGTGGTTAGACACATAATAAGCAATATAAATAAGTAACATCTTAGACAAAGCCTGGAAAAGTTTGTATTGAAATGGGCCTTGGAGAGAAATCATTGCAATTTTAGATTAGGAAATCAGGAAGACCCTTACTGATAATGTGACATTTAAATGGAGACTAGAAAGAGATGAGGAAGTCAGCAATGGAATATCTAGAAGAAAATCCCAGGTAAGGTTAATGGCAAGTATCAAGGCCTTTAGGTGGAAACACCCCAGGATGTGGAAGAACCTAAAAGACAACTCCAAGGTTTTGGAACTAAGTCAAATGGAATTTCCATTTACTGAGATGAGAGAGCTGATTCAGGGTAGACTACATCAGATATTCAACTTAGAAAATACTTGGTTTTTAAATGGTGAGCAGATGTTCAAACACAGATATCAAACACAGAGTTGGATATACATGTGTGATGGTTAATGTAGAGTGTCAACTTGATTGGATTGAAGGATGCAAAGTGTTGATCCTGGGTGTCTGTGAAGGTGTTGCCAAAGGAGATTAACCTTTGAGTCAGTGGACACGGAAAGGCAGACCCACCCTCAATCTGGGTGGACACAGTCTAATCAGCTGCCAGCATGGTCAGAATAAAAGCAGCAGGCAGAAGAAGATGGAGAGAGTAGACTGGCTTAGCCTCTAAGCCTACATCTTTCTCCCATGCTGAATGCTTCCTGCCCTCAAATATCAGACTCCAAGTTCTTGAACTTTGGGACTCAGACTGGCTTTCTTGCTCCTCAGCTTGCAGATGGCCTATTGTTGGACCTCACCTTGTGATCATGTGAGTTAATACTCCTTAATAAACTCTCCTTTATATATACATCTATCCTATTAATTATCTCCCTCTAGAGAACCCTGAGTAATACAACATGTTCATATGAAGTCAGGGAAAGGATCCAGCCTGGAGATATACATTTAATACTTGTTAGCAAATTCAATATATTTTAATCCAGGAGTCTGGATAAGTGCCTCAATGGAGTGGCTGTCATCAAAGAGAAGAGGCCCAGTACTTCAGCCCTAGAAGGCATCATTAAGGCCAGAGAGAAGCAGTAACTGGGGAAGGGAAGAACATGCGTGGAAAGAAAACAAAGGCCATGTAAAGTCCTGGGAGTCAAGAAAATATTTTGAGAAGAAGAAGTAATCAGCACAGAAATGCTGATGGGTCAGATAATTGAAATAGGCCAGAAAACTGAGAATTGATGATAACATAGTGGTCATTGGTCTGTTTGATAAGAAGAATTGTGGTAAAATGGAGGAAGCAAAAGACACATTGGAGGGAAACTGGAGGAATTTCAAGTTTTCCTCCAAAGGGACACAAATGTTATGATACCCAGGGAAGAAAAATGAAATAGGGGGTGGATGGGATTTATTTTAATGTTTGAGTAATTTTCAATGGGGGAAATACAAGGAGGTTTATGTGACAATGAGCTGGGAGAAGAAAATGTTGAGTTAGCTTAGAGGAGTGATCAAGGGACTCAAAGTGAAGTCTGTGGGACCATGCAGAAATGCAGAATCTCAGAATCCAAGAAGACAATCCCCAGGTGATTTGTATTCACATTAAAGTTTCAGAAGCACTGATCTATTGCAGTGGAGGGATTGGTCTTAGCCAGATGGGCCCAATATCATCATAAGGATCCTTAAAAGTGAAAGAGAACATTGGAAGAGAACCAGAGAGAAAGCACCATGAGGAGAATTAAGCCCAATGGTGCTGGCTGAAATTAAGATGCTAGCAGAGCCGGACACAGTGGCTCACGCCTGTAATCCCAGCACTTTGGGAGGCCGAGGCAGGTGGATCACTTGAGGTCAGGAGTTGGAGACCAGCCTGGCCTACATGGAGAAACCCCATCTCTACTAAAAATACAAAAAATAGTTGGGTGTGTTGGCGAGCACCTGTAATCCCAGCTACCTGGGAGGCTGAGGCAGGAGAATTGCTTGAACCCAGGAGGCAAAAGTTGCAGTGAGCCAAGATGGCACCACTACACTCCAGCCTGAGTCACTGGAAAAAAAAAAAAAAGATGCCAGCGGGGCTGTGCTCTCCCAGGAGGCTCTATTGCACAGGTAGAAGAATTTGCCTCAGCCAGAAGAGCCTGCAGTTCAACTGTAATAATCAGAAAGAAGATATAGCCATAGGTGATAATGAGGTTGAGAGATGTCATGGTGAAAGTTTGTGGGGTTCCTGTCTGATTGCTTCTCCTTTCTCATTTCAGTAGGAAAAAAAGCCTCATCTGAGACTGACTATGGGAGAAAAAGGTATCAAAACATAGATACATTGATAGTAGATATGAAACAGTCTCCCAGGTGGGTAGAAGAGGAAGTAGTCAAGGGAAATACAGTATTAAGGTCCCAGTCGAGGTTAGTGGATGAGTTTAACGTTAATTCCTTTGGCATGGCTTTGTGCTCTCCCACATCAATGGTTAGGTACCAAGTGTATTAGTTTCCCGTTGCTGCTGTAACAAATTACTACAAATCTAGTGATTTAAAATGATACAAATTTATTGTTTTATACTTCTGGAGTTCAGAATTCCAAAGTGGGCCTCAGTGGGCTGAAATTAAGATGCCATCAGAGCTGTGTTCTCCCTGGAGGCTCCAGGCAAGAATCCATGGGTTCATCCTTTCCACCTTCTGGACATATTCTTTAGTCCATGCTCCCCTTCATCCATCTGTAAAGCCAGCACCATTGGCCTTGATTCTCTTCATGCTGCTTTCTATCTGGTTCTTTTCCAATTTTCTCTTTCACTTTGAAGGACTCTTATGACATTGGGCCCACCTGTATGTTCTCCCTAGCATAAGGTTTGCTGATTGAAAATATTAATGCCATCTGCAACCTTAATTCTGCTTTGCCATGTAAACAACCATATTTTCAGGTTCCAGGGATTTGGATGTGTACACTTTCGGGGGCCATTATTCTACCATCGTGCCTAACACACCATGGTGCAGTGAAGAAGTAGGATGTAATCAAGCCATGGTTTTGCCAAAGGAGCACACGCTGTGAAGTGAGAGCAGGAAGGGGTTTCGAAGGTATATCCAGATGAGTTATTATAATGATAAGTTATGAAATTTTAGCTCAACAAGAAAGATAATTGTTAGATGACAGGCTTGAGAACCTTTAGAAAGAAAGGTTCATAGATTGATATGATTAATGGAATCAGAGTTACAGGGCAAGATAGGAGATGTTGATCAGAAAGTGAAATGTTTGAAATCGAGATGAAGGAAAGGTTGCAGATACATGTGCCTCCAAGACTCAGGGTACAAGTATGGGCAGATTCTCTGATGGAGAGAATGACAGATAGGTAGGAGAATAAGTTACCTGGATTTTGAAGTAATCAAAAATTGTGACACACATCATGTAGGAATTCACCAAAGGGATGAATCCCAGCCAGACAAATAATCCTTTCTTTCCCCTGATTTTTAAACAATCCACATAGCTTTGGAACATAGTAGACTTAATAGATATTTGTAGAATGAATCTTATAACAATTAAATGTAAATGCAGTGATACCAAATACAAAATCTGGAGAGACCACCGAACCAGCATCATTTTCTAAGAATAAGTCATGTTATATCCAGGATGGAAATCTGACTGGGGTGTGTGTGCGTGTGTGTGTCACTGGATGCTATTATTTTATTCTACATATGGTACTACCTTTGAAACCAGCTATAACACATGTTAGTTGTACATATATTCAAAATATTTCTGAGGTCAAGGATCTGATATGTCTAGCTCAGAAAGCTATAACTCCTATCTTAGATTAAATAAACAGCTATGGTTGTTCACAGTGATATACATACAATTAAAATATTAATATTAATCAAAGGAGAGTTTTCTGGTTATCAGTTGCTATGGACGGAATTGTGTCCCCCACAATCATAAGTGGAAGTCCTAACTCCCAATGTGATGGTATTTGGAGACAGGCTTTTGAGAGGTAGTTAGGTATAGATGAGGCCATGGGGTGGTGCTCTCCTGATTAGATTAGTGCCTTTCTAAGGAGAGACACAGAAGAGCTTGCTCCTTTCTCTCTGTCCTGCCATGTGAGCATGAAATCTGTAACCCAGGAAGAGGGGCCTCACCACAGAAGTGAACCAACCAGCTGGCAGCTTGACCTTGGACTTCTGAACCTCTAGAAGAGTAAGAAATAAATTCCTTTTCTTTAGCCACCCAGTCTGTGGTAAGTTGTTACAGCAGCCTAAGCTGACTAGGATACAGCTCAAAGGGAAACTTGCGAGATATATATATATATCTGTATAATCTATGTCTTGCTTAATGCCTACTGAGCAATGACTGTAAGTTAACATTGTTCTAAGTTCTTTAAATACCTCATCCATTTAAGTAATCAAAAATAAAACTTTGAACATTCTGTTATAAATTTATAGCATTAAATATTAGACACTATATTGAATACAAGGTAATGGTTGTATATATATAAAATATATTATGCTTTTTAAGTTCTGGGATACATGTGCATAACATGCAGGCTTGTTACATAGGTATACATGTGCCATGGTTGTTAGCTGCACCCATCAACCCGTCATCTAGGTTCTAAGCCCTGCATGCATTAGGTATTTGTCCTAATGCTCTCCCTCTCCTTGCCCCCAACTCCCCAACAGGCCTTAGTGTGTGATGTTCCTCTCCCTGTGTCCATGTGTTCTTACTGTTCAACTCCCACTTATGAGTGAGAACATGCAGTGTATGGTTTTCTGTTCCTGTGTTAGCTTGCCGAGAATGATGGTTTCCAGCTTCATCCATGTCCCTGCAAAGGACATGAACTCATTCTTTTTTATGGCTGCATAGTATTCCATTGTGTATCTATGCCACATTTTCTTTATCCAGTCTATCATTGATGGCCATTTGGGTTGGTTCCAAGTCTTTGCTATTGTGAATAGTGCTAACTTGTGATATAGTTTAAACCATGGATGCATGTAATCTCTTTACCTTATTTGAAATCATGTTTACTCAGCTTTTTATATTGCATAAAATGAACAAATGTTCTATAGCAGATGATCAACAAAATCGTTTTTTGCTATAACTTTGTATTCAATATAGTGTCTAATATTTAATGCCATAAATTTACAACAGAACGTTCAAAGATTTATTTTGATCACTTAAATGATTGAGGTATTGAAAGAACTTAGAACAATGTTAACTTACAGTCATTGCTCAGTGGGCATTAAGCAAGACATAGATTATACAGATATGCTTCTAAATACATGCAGATTTTCAAGTAAGTGTCTGTTGCTGATTTTTAAAATGAGTAAGTAGTTGAATCTGCAAGCTATTTTTTGATTATTTTAATTTCATCCAGTTAAGAAACACCTGAGAAATAGAAAGCAGTGGTGAATTTCAGAAGTATGTTTACAAGACAATAAAAGAAGCAATTCATATCTTCACATCTGAAGTAAAAAAAATGAACAAAAGTCAGAAACATGGAGGATAGCTGAATTATTGATATTAAAATGACAGCTTGAGAAAACTGTCATTTAAATGGCTGGGGCCCTCTGTCAGGTTTAAGAAACCTCCAACGAATATGAAGAGCTGTGCAAAATGTTCTCACTATAGTAAGATTATTGCAGCCAGATACCATAATAAGGCAGTTGCAAAGAGCTGACCAAAAGGATTACATTTTTGCTTGCAGTGAGGCACTGAGGTCAAGAAAGACATTTGAAAGGACTTGTAAATTGCAGATTAGGCTAAAACCTCTTATCAGGTTTTCTCTGATGAATCCTTTGCTATCAGCTTTTAAGTACTACCGTGTTTAGAGTCTCTGTTAAAAAAAATATATAATGTAGCTACTGATTGCCATAGAAAATGTTGAGAAAAATGCATAGCAATCATTGACTCTAGCTTTACCATTGTGAGAAATGGACTTTCAATATAAAGTGATGTGATCCCTATATACAGTTGACTCTTGAACAACTTGAGAGTTAGGGGCACCATCCCCCACCTCCCACCTACGCAGCAGAAAATTTGCATGTAACTTTTGACTCTCAGAAACGTAACTACTAATAGCCTACTCTTGACCAGAAGCCTTAATGATAATATGAACAGTCAATAAATGCATATTTTGTATGTTATATGCATTACCTACTGGATTCTTCCAATAAAGTAATAATTATTCCCAAGAAAATATTGTTTAAAAATATAATGAAGAGAAAAGATATTTACTATTCATTAAGTGGAAGTGGGTCATCATAAAGGTCTCCATCCTCATCATCTTCACGCTGAGTGGGCTGATGAGGAGGAAGTAGAGGCGTCGATTTTGCTGTCTAAAGGGCAGAGTATTAGTTCATTCTTGCATTGTAATAAAGAACTACCTAAGACTGGGTAATTATAAAGAAAAGAGGGTTAATTGGATCACAGTTCTGCAGGCTGTACAGGAAGCATGACTGGGGAGGCCTCAGGAAACTTGCAATTGTGGTGGAAGGTGAAGAGGAAGAAGGCATGTCTTACATGGCCAGAGAAGGAGGAAGAGTGAGAAAGGGGAGGTGTTACACGCTTTTAAACAACCGTGTCTCCTGAGAACTCCCTCACTATCATAAGAACAGCAAGGGGGAAATCCACCCTCATGATCCAGTGACTTCCCAATAGGCCTGTCATCCAACACTGGGAATTACAATTCAACATGAGATTTGGGTGGGGACACAAATCCAAACCATATCAGGTGGCAAAGGCAGAAGAGGTTGTAGGCGTGGGGTGGAAAGGGAGACAGGAGAGATTTATTGAAAAAAATGTATGTATCAATGGACCAGTGCAGGTCAAACTTGTGTTGTTCAAGCATCAAATGTAAAGAAAGACTTACTCAAGTCATGGGCTAGTATGGGTTAAGGAATTACTTAAGACCAGACTTCCTCCAATCATAACACCCTCTTTTATATGACGGTTGAGTAAGAGCCATGCTGCCTTCAAAAGTGAATATGTAGTAAGTGGAAGATGAAGATGAGAAAACTACAAGGGAAAAGGATGAAGGGGGAGGGTTGTGATGAGGAGGGGAGACTACTTTACTGAGCAGAGGAGTGCTCCTTCTTCAAGACCTCTTCTATCATTACATTTACTTACTTCTATCTAACACATCTGTAGAATTCTTTTTGTCATTGTCGTTGTTGTTTCTTAGGAAAGGGTCTCGATCTGTCATCCAGGCTGGAGTGCACATCATAGCTCACTGCAGCCTTGATCTTTTGAGCTCAAGCCATCCTCCTGCCTTGGCCTTCTAAGTAGCTAGGACTACAGGTGCGCCACCATGCCTGGCTAGTTTTTTGTATTTTTGGTAAAGGGTCTCCCTATGTTGCCCAGGCTGGTCTTGAACTCCTGGCTTCAAGCAATCTGCCTACGATCTTGGCCTCCCAAAGTGCTGGGATTATAGGCGTGAGCCACTGCACCTGGTCTTACATATAATTCTTGTTTTATTTTCATGAAGGAACCGAACTCGCACAATAACAGAGGCAGTAGGAAGATAGATGCTCACGGTATTTCTAAAATAGACATGGTAGCTTGCACATATTTACCCACAGAGCTGTGAAGAATTACCACAAATTTGCTGGCTTACGACAACACAAATCTATTACCTTACAGTTTTGAAGGTCAGAAATACAAAATAGACCTTACTGGGCTTAAAAACAAGGTATCAGCAAGGCTGCATTCATTTTTGGAGGCTCTAGGAGGAAGCGTTTTCTGGCTTTTTCCAGTTTCTAGAGCCTCACTGCCCTCTTAGCCTCACGGCAGTGACCAGTCGAGTCTTCTTCACATTGTGGCACTGTGACAAAGACACACCAGCTACCCTCTCTCATCTTTAAGACTCTTAGTATTATATTAGCTGCACCGGCATAAACCAGGATAATCTCCTTATTTTAAGATCAACTGATATAGCAATCTCAGTTTCACCTGCTACCTGAATTCCCCTCACCATGTAAAGTAGCATAACCACAGTTCTGGAAAATCAGTACAGGGACACCTTTGGGGTCCATTATCCTGCACACCACCCTCCCCGTACATCGCCAGCATTATTGGCAGATTCATAGCCAACTACATTTTCTACTTTCAGGCACTTTTACTCTTGGCACACTTCTGTATGGCATTGAACATTTCTCTTGATATTGACTGGGGTAAAGGGGCAATGGTACCTCAAAGATGAATGATCAGTGAAGAAAAGCTGATCCAAGAGAGGCCTCATGAGTTAAATATTAATGATGAACTTGTCCACTTAAATGTGGTAGTTGCCTAAAAAGAAAACAAAAAAATACTTTGACTGTATCTACTTGTTACAGGAAATTAGAATATTTTAATAAAAGAATCTTATTCATGGCACATGTCTCATTTAAATTATTCTCCAAAATATTTTATCTAAGTTTCAATGAATACTAATGATATTATTTATTAAAATATTAACACTCTGGATAGTCTTAATATTCTAGCAATTATCACATTATCCAGAGTGTTGACTATAGTAATATCAAATTAGTTTTAGATAGATACAATCTTTTTTATAGTTTAATATTTAGTTATTGCACACGTTTTTTGCATTACACTGAACCTTTGTTTACCTTAAATTTATGCCTATTTTAAAAAGACTTGTGATCCTGGGAAAACCATTCATATGGAAATCAGAGTAAATGGATCCCATTTCTCACTCTACCAGGATGTAGCTCTAAATCAAGTCACATAATCATAGAGACGTCAGTTTACTAAATCACAAATGAAGTCACTGGATTTGAATTCTATGAATTTTTAGAATTATGACCATGAGATGTTCATAAGCCAATTTCAGTGAAAATATTAAGGAAAACTATCATTATCGCTAGTGCACAGAGCCAAAACCATACAATCATTACCACAAAAGCCTCTAAAGGCTATTATCGAGTCACTATTTACAATTGCTTAACCCAGAAACTTGTATTTCGATCCTCGGAATAAACATTGGTAATTGCTGATTTAGAATATGGTTGTAATATTTGAAATGACTAAATAAGTAAATATACCCCACCTTTGTTCTTGTGACATTATTATTCCCTTTTATTTGTTTCCATATTCCATTGTTATTATTCTACCTGTCCCTGAATCATGTCTGTTCCACCTTTTCTGATTTTAGTAGTGATAGAACCTCCTCCCAGCCTGGATTTTGTTTGTATAATTAGTCACTGATATGGTTCGTCTGTGTCCCCACCCAAAATTTCATCTTGAATTGTAATATCCCCGTAATCCCTATGTGCCAAGGGAGAGACCAGGGGGAGGTAATTGAATCATGGGCGCAGTTTCCCCCATGCCGTTCTTGTGATAATGAGGGAGTTCTCACAAGATCTGACGGTTTTATAAGCGTTTGGTAGTTCCTCCTGCATTCACACTCCGTTCTGCTGCCTTGTAAAGATGGTGCCTTGCTTCCCCTTCACCTCCTGCCATGATTGTAAGTTTTCTGAAGCCTCCCTAGCTATGGTAAACTGTGAGCCGATTAAACCTCTTTCCTTTAAAAACTACCCAGTCTTGGGCAATTCTTTAGAGCAGTGTGAGAATAAACTAATACAGTCACCCAGCTAAAGACACAGCTTCCTTTTGCCCAGAAATGTGGATATTCCGAGGCAGTACTCTACTTGCAAGTTAACAAGTTAGTCTGGATGAATGCTAGAAAAACAAACAAAAACACATGAGACTCTTTTGTCAGAGAAAAACGCACTTTATCACTCACACAGATAGCAGTATCAAGATGTATTAATTATCTAAAACTGCCATAAGAAAGTACCACAGACTGAATGGCTTAAACACTGGACATTTGTTTTCTCACAGTCCCAGAGGCAGTAAGTCTGAGATCAAGGTGTCAGCAGGATTGGTTTCTTCTGAGGACTTTCTCCTTGGCTGGTGGACAACTGTCTTCTCCCTGTGTCTTCACATGGCCATCCCTCTCTGCATGACTGTGTCTTTCTCCTCTTCTTGTAAGGGCACCAGTCATGTTGGAGTAGGGTCCACCCTAGTGAACTGATTTTAACTTAATTACCTCTTTAAAAATCCTATCTCCAAACATAGTAGTGGGTGGAAGTTAGGATGTTGACATATGGAATTTAGGGGAACACAATTCAGTCTATAATGCTAGAGTATAAGCATTTTCTTGCTCCAATTCTCCAAGGCCCATTTGCCACAAGAAGAAACGAGGAGAAACAAATAATACCTGTTGACAAAGTGGGCTGAGTTACAGGGAAATAACCCTTAGCTTAGGGAGAGCAGACTTTTCTAGAGGGCAGTGAGCACAATTGCCCTTTGTTCTGGTGGGAGACACTATCTCTGCCTTCTTTTGAGGCTGTTCATTAAACAAACACACTTAAAATTTAGCCCTGAAAAAAAGAAGACAGTCAGTGGCATACACTGCTTGCAAGACGTGCATAAAGTTGAGAGAGCCGAGGAGAATTACCTCCCAACAAGATGCAACTCTTATTTCTAGACTTTCTTGGCTTCTGCCTAATGTTTTGATTAGTATAGCACTCCACTGGCTTGACAGAAGCTGAGACCAAATCTCTTAAATTTCTCTCATTTGGAATTTTCTTAAGCTACTATCAACAAGTGCCAGGTTACAAATGCCTGGAAAGCTGGAAGCATGCCGAATGTTTAGTTGCAAAGGGCTGGAATGCTGGTGTCAGTTGATAATCTGAAATAGCAATACCATAACCTAAAAAAAGTACCAATAGCTCCATGGCATTCTTGATAAATAGAAAAGAACTTGAAATGTCTGGTGTTTGTTAGCAGCAGCAACTTCTTTCCACCCTTTGCAAGTGTAAATAGAGGTGTCTTTAACCATTTTTGCCTGGGGTTGCAAGTTTTTGAATTTTTGCAATCAGACCTTGGCAATGACCTTGAGCAGTAGGATATGAATAACTCTCACATACTTAGCGTTCCAATAATGGAACACTAGGCATAAATTTAATCTGTCTGCTTGTGATTTTCTAAGTGATAGATCAAACTGCTAGGCCATTGACTACAGTCTCATTTTACAGAATAAGTAAAAATATGACAAAACTAATCCAGGAGAATATTGGCTGGAACCATGAGAATGTCCTTGAATGATGCCCACTGAGGAAATTGACCATGTTGATATTTGGTTGTACATAGATGGCACTGAGATGAACAGCACCACGAACCAGTGGGCACCACTGGGTTTCAGCTCAGCAAACTACCAGCGAAACAGACCCAGGCATTTAAGAGAAAGCCTGTGAACTGAGGGCCAACTGAGCCAGCTGCTCACTTTTTCATGCCAGGCCAAGTTGCCATGGGGAGGCCTAGCTGCATTTTTAAAAAGACCGTTTCCATTTGATAAGTGAATCTTATTGAATCCTTTGTCTCTTGTTAATTATTGAGTCTGATTGTACCCACCCCACAGCCAGAACATCAGGTTAGAGAGTCACAAGACCTCCATGGATCAGGAATTTGCTTCTGAGAAGGAAAGTAAAAGTGATTTTCAAAATCAATGTGACAAGTGACTGTGTCATGGAGGTGAGGCATCAGAAACCCAAAGACATCTTTGGGTGCTACTAAAACTTCTATCCAAATGGCTCTTTCTGACAAGAACCAGCACTTGCAGTATTGGAAGTATACACATAGAGCAAATCAATTCCTACTACACTGTCAAGGTTGTAGGCCATTGAAAAGGACATCAAATCAAATCAACCCTGCTCATGGGCCCTACCTAAAAGGTTACATTAGCTTTCCTTCCCCATTAATAGTGATTTGGTCACCTGTATCAACAAAGCCATAAAATCTGAATTTCCTCACGTCTCCCAAGTTTCCCAGCATGCTTGGATAGATGTGAACGGCTTTTAGTCCCCAGTGGGGACTGGGACACCTCAGCCAAAGTTTTAGTCATCTTTCTGTTTAAAGCCAGAGAGGAAGGGGGAAGGATCAGGGCAAAGAGGAAAGAAAGGCCCTGTAAACAGACTGTTGTGGTGCAGCTTGTGGCCCAGCCACGTGAACTTACAGACTTTTCAGCCAGGTCTTCATGGCCGACACCATGCCAGATGACACATTCATCCGGAGTGGATGGCATTGCAGTAGAGGAGCCCTGCACTTAGGGAGCCTTGGAGATCCCTGAATTCAGCAGCCACAGTTGTACTACTTTCTGGCTGGGGCCATGGAGTTTGCACCCTTTGGTTGAATCAAACCTAACTTATTCAGATGCAACTCATTTTCTAAGGAGTGTTTTCACACTGCTATAAAGTACTACCTGAGACTGGGTAATTTATAAAAAAAAAAAAAAGAGGTTTAACTGACTGCACAGCTGGGCAGGCCTCAGGAAAAGTACAATCATTGCAGAAGGTGAAGGGAAAACAAGACACGTCTTACATGGGGGCAGGAGAGAGAGTATATGGGAAAACCACCACACACTTTCAAATCATCAGACCTCATGAGAACTCCCTCATTATCATAAGAACGGCACAGGGGAAACTGCTGCCATGATCCAGTCACCTCTCACCAGGTCCCTCCCCTAACACGTGGGGATTACTCTTCAACATGAGATTTGGGTGGGGATGCAAATCCAAACACTATCAGCATCCCAATCCAATGGCTGCCATTTGCTGCCCATTTCCATAAGGCTTGAGCTTTTGCCCAATTTTAACATGAGGACTAAAAGAGCTTTCCAGGATAGTGGGGTAGATGCAAGAGTGTATCAGGACTTTCCTGGTCAGTTCCTCATTGTCCTAAAGGCCACCTTCATCAACACTATAGTTGAATAGAGGTCAGTAAGAGGCCCCAAACTGCCCAGAGCTGAATCTATGAGTTTCCATGATACAAGTATGTTTTCTTGGAGGATTCTCCACAAGAGAATCAAAGCTTCCTTAATGTAGTCAGGAACCACTGAAAAAATAAATCTCTGAGAACTTTAATGCCATCCCTAAATGAATCAAAGTTGGACAGGAAGACTACAGGAGCTATTGAACCATAAAACGGCAAAGCTGTTGCTGTTCTTTCTTTTTAAAAAATTTTCCCCTTTTTAATTGACAAATAATAGTTGTACATGTTCATGGAACACATGGGTTTTTTGGTTGTTTTGTTTTTGTTTTTGTTTTTGTTTAGACACAATTCCTCTCTGTCACCTAGGCTGGATACACTGGAGTGATCTCGGCTCATTGCAACCTCCGCCTCCCACGTTCAAGGGATTCTCTCACCTCAGCCTCCCAAGTAGCTGTGACTACAGGCACATGACATCATGCTCGGTTAATTTTTGTATGTTTTTGTAGAGACAGGATTTCACTATGTTGCCCAGGCTGGTCTCAAACTTCTGAGCTCAAGCGATCTACCTACCTTGACCTCTCAAAGCACTGGGATTACAGGTGTGAGCCACTGCACTCGCAGCAGTGATGTTTTTATGCATATAATGTATATGTTCCGGGAACTTAGCATATCCATCATCTCAAGCATTTATTATTTCTCTGTGTTAGGAAAGTTCAATATCCTCCTTATAGCTATTTGAAAATATATTACGTATTATTGCTAACTATAGTCATCCTGCAGTAGTGTAGAACATGAGAACTTATTTCTTCTTTCTTTTTTTTTCTTTTTTGAGACACAGTCTCGCTCTATCACCAGGCTGGAGTTCAGTGGCACGATCTCGGCTCCCTGCAGCCTCTGCCTCCTGGGTTCAAGCGATTCTCTTGCCTCAGCCTCTGGAGTAGCTGCGACTCTAGGCATGTGCCACCACGCCCGGCTAATTTCTTGTATTTTAGTAGAAACAGGCTTTCACCATGTTGATCAGGATGGTCTTGATCTCCTGACCTCATGATCCACTTGCCTTGGCCTCCCAAAGTTCTGGGATTACAGGTGTGAGCCACCGCTCCTGGCATCTTCTTTCTTTAAAACTATTACTTTCCCCAGACTGTCATCCTCCAATCAAAACAGCCAAAATACTGATTTTCCTAGTTTCAGCCAAGTGCTGTCATGAATTTCTCTCATGTTATGCTGAGTTAGCATGCATCTCTATAACTCTTATCTGAAAGGAATTGGAATGTCCTGGTCACTCAGGACAGATTTCAGTACTAGGCAGTGTGATGCACTGAACCTGTGTCTGGTTGCTGGATGAACCAGGAAATCCTCCCACCAGAGGAGTGGTAACCACAGCCAGATCATTTGGGCAGTGGTCTTTAAATCTCCTTTGCGCTTGCTCAAACTTTAGCTATCTCCCCAACTTCTCCTCACTATCAGTCAATAAAGTGAAGGGCCATTACTACCAGGTAGACTTTAGCCAACATGTTTCCTACTGATTCTCACGGACTTCCTACAAGTCCCTTTAATCAGCTGACAATGCCCTCATCTTTTATTTTCCACTATGCTTATCATTATCCCATCAGTATTGCCAAAGTTGTCAAGAACTCTTATATAGGGCTGAGATTTTACCCTGCTTTCAAATTGACAAGTTAGCCTTTCTTAGTGTCACTGATGCTGGCAGAAGATAGGAGATTTCTGGAGAAAAAGGGCTTTGTTGCTTAAGCAATAACAGTATCCACAGCATAAGCATTTTATTGTGACAATTCCCCGTGCTCTAATCCCCACAGAGTGGTGTGGAGACGGCCAGATGACACATTCATCAGGAGTGGATGGCATTGCAGTAAAGCATCCCTGCGCTTAGGGAGCCAAGAGGCAAGCGAGTGGGAGTTCCTGTTCCCAGCTCTCACTTTGGAGGGAGACATTCTCATTGTCTTTCAAGGCTATTGGTTAGACAAAAATCCTTGAAAAACGAATCCAAAACAAAGGGAACACTGTGCCTTACCCACAAGATGTGCACAAATGTGACAGCCCCATGAGTGTGAGAGCCCCAGGCCTGCTTTGTTGCTAGGTGTCAGAGTGTGGTTAAATTTTGACTGATAGTCTAAAATAAGTGAAGTGTGGACACAGGTTGCTTCCAAATCTTAGCTACTGTAAACAGAGCTGCAACAAACATAGGAGTGCAGATATCTCTTTCATATACTGATTTCCTTTCTTTTGGGTATATACCCAGCAGTGGGATTACTGGATCGTGTGGTAGCTCTATTTTTAGTTTTTTTCGGGAACCTCCAAATTGTTCTCTATAGTAGCTGTATTAATTTACATTCCCATCCACAGTGTATGAAGGTTCCCTTTTCTCCACCTCCTTGCCAGTATTTCATTCTCTATGATGTGCTTATTTCACTTTACATGCCTGTATCAAAACATCTCATTTTCCCCATAAATATACACCTACTATGTACCCAGAAAAATAAAAAAATAAAATAAGTGATGTGTCCAATATCATTTTAGGGCCTTAAAAATATGAATGTTCTTGCCTTCCATGTTCTCCTTTATCTCTGTCCAGTGTGAAATGATGAGCTAGCCTGTGGACAACTGGGGTGGTGTTTCAGTTACAGAAACAGAAACCACATGGAAGGAACACCAGAGCTTCCCTGCCAGGAAGCGTTCCTGCAGGACATGTTGACACAGAGCCCTCCCTTCCTCCCTCCCTTCCTCCTTCCCTCCCTTTCTAGAGCCTTATGGGGGAGAAGAAGCAGCAACTGCATTTTGTGGTCTGTGTGTTTTAGCAGCTTGGTCTCAAGCCTATCTGTTACAAGCATAATACTACTTCAGGATATAACATCCATAGGTTACAGTGGAAGATATTCATTTTAAAGTAATATGTCCTAGGCCGCTTAAACTAACACTTGATTGCATTGTTATGGAATTTCAGACTTCTTAAGCATTATTGCATCAAAGAACCAATGATGTATATTCCATTTGATTTATTTCAAAAACAACTGAAATATATAAGATAAAGAAACAGAAGCAGAATGTGCTTACAAAACATATGTCTTAAAATCAGAAATGTCCAATTTTCTTATGGAAGTAACAGAAGGTAAAAGTGTTTATGTGTCAGATACTATGTTAAATATTCATATTATTTAAGGTTTGGGGCAATAGTCAAACCAAGATTGACTCATAGTAACAAAGTGTCAACATGCTGTTAACAGGCAAATAAATTTGAAATGTGTGATGGTAGCTTAAAAACATTAAATCTAGAGAGATTAGATAATCCAGAAAGAAGTGTGATAATTAAAAACTTCAGAAACAGGAAACGATGTGAAATAAATTACAGAGAGATATTTAGGTTCATATGAGGAAGAATTTAGTAATTAGAAGGTAAGCTGCCTAAAGAAATAAGCCAGGAGAAATACAGAGAACATTATAGAAAAGTAGACATCCATTCCATTTTAATAGTTGTGGAAGGCAGGGGATGCTTTATATTCTAAGGAAGTGGTTGTCAGGGGGCATTCCCCCAACTGCAGCGTCAGCATGAGTGGGGCAGTTGGAAGAAACCGAGATTCTCAGGCCTCACCTCTGACCTACCTCAGCAGAATGTCTGGGATGGAGAGAAGGGACTGGAATCTGGGATGCATCAGGCCCTTTGGTGATTCTGACGTGGACTGAGGTTTGAGAAGTAGTCTAAGGCACTTCCTGTGAAATGTGAAAGGAAATAAGCAGCATTTATTTCTTTTGTCTCGTAAATTATGTGGCATGCTTGTCACTCCTTTGGTTAACTTGTCTGAAGGTGTTTTGCAAAGTTAAGAAAAGAACACATATTATCATGATTGTCACATTCGAAAACGCTAATACCATCTGAACCCTAATTTTGTAGCAATATAGAAAACTAAGTTGTACATTTATCCTGTATATTCTCAAAAAGTTGACTTTTAAATTATGGTATGTTCCCCATGTGGAAAATGTAAGCTTTAAATAAATTAATAAATAATAAATTATTAACCTGGATTTTGGATTAATGATTCCTATGCGTGTATATGATTTTTGTAAACATGCTCAGTAGCTGATGGATTGGCACCACTTGGCTTTCTTGTCTAATGTATGTTTTCACGTACCTAATTGCTCAGAAAACTATAAAGAAATCAATCCTTTTTTTCCATTTAAATTCACAGCTGGTGATTCTAAACTTGACCTTTTTAATGACTCATAAATTTCATATATTTGATTGTGTTATATTTATTGCAACCATTTGGCTTCCACTTTTGTCCTAGCAAATTAATTTTTCAGACGTTAATCTCGAACACAGTTGCTAGCAAGATTCTTTTCTTGGTTCAGTAGTTTGCTAGCACAAAATATTAACAGTAAGCCTAGGGAATTCTTCTTAACCCAAAACAAAACAAACAAAAAAATAGTGGTCTGGGAAAACAGACTGTTATGCTATGATAGTTGCTATGGATACTAAGCTACTTCGCAGATTTGAGCTGTGTGTATGAGCATAAAATATTAGCCATTTGATTAACTTGTGATTTTATTCAGAAATGCTATAATTCACATCTTTTGTATGTTCTACAATATATTAACGTATTTTAATTCACAGATAAGACAACTTTGAGAAGAAAACTCTCCCTCTCTGATTTCTAACTTCATTGAAAGAATGATTAGAACTACATCAAGAATAAATATTTAAAACTTTAAATAAGAAATCACATTTACGAAAACTTGCATATCCAATGAGGTTTTTTTTTACTATTTTGAAGTAACAAGTAAAGAAGAACATTAAAGAAATTTTACAACATACCTTAGCAAAAGAGTTTAGATAAAAATGTTATAAGGATTGTGAATAAGAACATTATCAGTAGAATTTTTGATAAGCCACAATTATATCTTAAATGAGGCTCACCTTATTTAATTGTTTTCAGTCATGTTGCTAGTAAAATATTTGCAGTGATCATTTTTCAATTTCAGGCAATGTAATTCCTTTTATCCTTCATTTATTAAAAATGCAATCTTATGTGCAGAGTTATATTTAACAATAATAGAATATTGTAAGTTTCAACTATCTTAACTGTCTATATTGACATGTACCTTGCAGCACTATTTTCTGTCATTTCTGAGATTTCCCTGTCTTATATTAAAAACATCTCATTTATTTGATAAAGTAGTGTCACCTAGTAGATTTTACTCTTTAAAAACAGATTCATAACAAACTTAACTATTCTCCCCTGCCTCCAACTCCATCCTAACAGTAGATTACAGATACATCTGTTCAACTAAATACTTCTTGTGCTTCTTCCTCACCTAATCAGTTCCGCTACTGCCTTCATAGTGTTCAAGTTTTTAAAATTTTCCTTTAGCTTCTAAGTCTTTCACTCATTTTACATTTTAGGTCAAAACACATTATTCATCTATTTTAGCAAATTATAATTGTCTTGGTCATTTTGGTGCTTAAAGAATTACTAAATAAAGAAAACGTTGTTTTTCCATTACTACTTTTTTACTTATTAACTTAGGCTTTAAGTATATATTTAAATATACATATGTTTTAATGATAAAAAACAGAATCTTTGCAGATGGGTCTCAGAACCTCAGATTGATAAATAATTAGCTTGGAAGAAAAATAAATTATTTACACCATTCATCTTTTTTTAGTGCTAAATAATTTTATACATTACAAATATATTAAATGGATATTTTAAAATAAGCTTTTCTCTATTTTGATATATTTAGTGGCTTATGGTAACATAAGAAAGCAGTGCATTGAGTCTAATATAAAATGTAAATGATTCAATAATTTTTAAAGTTAAATTGAAGTCCTGTTTCAAGTATAAAGAAAAAAATGTTTGGGCAAATTATTAATTATTTTTCTATAAACCTCAAAGAAATTTCTATTCTTCAGACCTACCATCTACCTAAAATATGTTCCCTCACCATCAAGAATTTGTGCAAACTTCATACACTTCCAAATCTTCTGTAGCTGAGACGAGTGAATGACATTTTATTCCCATACCAAAGAGTGTAATTAAATTATATAATATCCAAACCAGTTGATCTGGGGAGTTAACAAGGGCTTTGGTGTTTGTATGCACGTGTGTGTGTGTGTGTGTGTGAGAGAGAGATTATTAAAAAGTCATTTAATTTTACTATTAGGTACTTATATTTTGCCAACAGGTAAAATGTTCAAGGTAACAGAAAAGACATGTTGCCACTCAGCTTTCACAAATGCCCACTTTCCCATGCATAGAATTCCAAATATGTTTTCCCCTACCTGAGATACTGTCATCCCTTCCCACAAAGCACCAGTACACAATGAGCCAGATGCCTGAAATAAAAGCCATACCCTCTATCATATCCAACAACCTGATGATTTTATCCACAACATGGTCAATATGCAATACTAAGATAGAACTTCATAATCATGACAAAAGTTTTATTTTGAAAAGCCAACAGGAAAATAGCAAACAGGGCTCAGGGATCCACTGTACATTGTGCTACTGCCCAATTAGTCTGTCGTTGGTGAATCTGTCCCTGTTCTGCTCCCAAGAGACTTTTCCTTGCTCTTCATTCTTTTTGGTCACTATATTTGCCTGCTGAGAATTGTGTAGTTATCAAAGGTGAAGGCTCTGGAATTAGAAGAACTAAGTATGATTTGTATAAACTACTTATAACCTTGTTGGGACTGGCTGGAGAAGGATTCTGTCTCTGCCACTTCTTCTATGTGTGTAAAGCTGGGCACAGCCGTTCTATCCGACTTCTTTTTCCTTTAGCATTGAAAAAATAACTTCACAATAAGCTCTTAAATGCAAATCAAAACCACAGTGAGATACCATCTCACACCAGTCAGGATGGCCATTATTAAAAAGTAAAAAAATAGCAGATGCCGGTAGGGTTGCGGAGAAAAGGGAACACTTGTACACTGTTGATGGAAGTGTAAATTATTTCAACCATTGTGGAAAGCAGCCAGGCAATTCCTCAAAGAGCTAAAAACAGAACTGCCATTTGACCCAGCAATCTTCTTACCGGGTATATACCCAAAGAAAGATACATCATTCTGCCTTAAAGACGCAACCACACATACGTTCATTGTAGCACTATTCACAATAGCAAAAACATGGAATCAGTCTAAATGCCCATCAACCGTAGACTGTATCAAGAAAATGTGGTACATATACACCATGGAATACTACACAGCGATAAAAAGAATGAGGTCAGGCCGGGTGTGGTGGCTCATGCCTGTAATCCCAGAACTTTGGGAGGCTGAGGCAGGAGTTCAAGACCAGCCTGGCCAACATGGTGAAACCCTGTCTCTACTATAAATACAAAAATTAGCTGGGCGTGGTGGCGGGCACCTGCAGTTCCACCTACTTGGGAGGCTGAGGCACGAGAATTGCTTGAACTCGGGAGGAGGAGGTTGCACAGCCAAGATCGCACCACTGCACTCCATCCTGGGTGATGGAGTGAGACTCTCAAAGCAAAAACAAAAACGAAAAAGCAATGAGATCATATTCTTTGCAGGAAGATGGATGGAGCTGAAGGCCATCATCCTTAGCAAACTAACCCGGGAACAAAAAAACAAATACCGCATGTTCTCACTTATAGGTGGGAGTTAAATTATGAAAACACATGGACACAAAGAGGGGAACAATAGACACTTGGGCCTACCTGAGGGTGGAGAAGGGAGAGGATCAGAAAAAAATAACTGTTCGGTACTAGGCTTAGTACCTGGGTGATGAAATAATCTGGACAACAAACTCCCATGACTTGAGGTTACCTATATAACAAGCCTGCACAAGTACCCCTGAACCTAAAATAAAAGTTAAAAAAAAATCTCTTAGGAGAGTGCCTAAGACAAAATAAGTGAATGTTTTTGTTCTTGATGTTATTATATGTTTCCACTATTGCCATTTATGACATTATCTGCAAAGGTCATTGTGGTGGACACTTTAACAATCAACTTCTTGATATGCTTGTTATCCTTGATATTACTGTATGGATCTGCTAGTTTTACCTTCTTAGGCAATGCAACTTTAAAATATCATTGAGGGCCTCTGATTCTGGTAATGAAAGACTAACTAATTTCTAAGGATTGTCCTAGTAAAGTTGACTCGAAAATGTAAAGTAAATATTTTCTAACTTCCTCTTGGAGGGATTAGAGATATTATAACATGACAAAGAATTATGGGGCTAAGATCCAAGGTAAGAAAACCCAGAGAGGTAAGCCTGACACTTGGAGTCACTTTTTCAACACTTGTCAACCCATCCTTGAAGAAAAAACTGAAAGCCCAAGATTATAAATAGCAATTTTGACAGCTGCATGGGGCTCATGGGACCAAAATGAGAACACCCTCTCTGCAGACAAAAAGTAGAGGCTTCTTAGCCTTCCGATTACTGTTATGACTCTTTTTTTTGTTTGTTTTGTTTTGGTTTTGTTTGTTTTTTGAGTTGGAGTCTCATTCTGTCACCCAGGCTGGAGTGCAGTGGCACAGTCTCAGCTCACTGCAACCTCCGTCCCCCAAGTTCAAGCAATTCTCCTGCCTCAGCCTCCCGAGTAGCTGGGACTATAGGCATGCGTCACCATGACCAGCTAATTATTTTGTATTTTTATTAGAGACGGGGTTTCACCATGTTGGCCAGGCTGGTCTTGAACTCCTGACCTCAGGTGATCCACCCATCTAGGCCTTCCAGAGTGCCTGGATTACAGGCATGAGCCACTGCACCTGGCCTGTTATGACTCTTGAGTGCTTACAGGATTACAAGTGTTCTAGCAGTAGTCCAGTCTATGCCAGCACTGGGGCCTAGATTTCAACTATCTTAACCCTTGACATTTGATTAAATTTGAGTTAACCAACCATCAGAAGCAAAACTAAAGAAACTTGGAGCAATTTTTTCAATCCTAAAATAATTACTAAGTTTTTTTGAAGTTTGTAAGTTGATAAAAAATAAGACACAAACTAGACAAAAAGTATGACTAACAATAAAGAAAAACAATATACATGGAATAGACTCTAGAAGAGCCCCAGATTGGAGAAATTACCAAACACAAACCTTAAAATTCTAAGCTTAATAATTTTACAATAAATAAATTTTACAAAAAATGAAAATGAATTCATTTACTAGTATTGATTGAGGAAGCGGTATAAAATTTGTAGAGAAGGTAACTGGATAGTTGAGTAAAAATATGGTAAAATATTGTAAAAATATTGTAAAAATATTGGAAATAATATAAAATATTGTCAATAAATATTGTAAAAATACTGTAAAATATTGTAAAAATAAATTTATAATGTTACTGGGGTTTTTGCTAGAGAACACAGAGACATAAAAGAAAACTAAATGGGAGGACTAGAATGATATAATACCTGTAATTAAAGACTCAGTGATTGAACACAAAAAAAGACCTGAAAAGAAAATTAGTAAATTGAAGGATAGAGTGACCATAAGTTGGAAAAATGGAAAAGACTGTATAAGCAAGTAGAAGTGTTTTAGACAGAATGTATATATCTCCCCAAAATTCATGTATTGAAATCCTAATACCCAGTGAGACTATATTTGGAGACAGAGCCTGTAACAAGTTTAACCTTAGTCAAGGTTAAATGAGGTCCTAGAGGTGGGGCCCTGACCCAATAGGGTCAATGTCCTTATAAGAAGAAACACCAGTGAGTCTGTAACTGGGTATCCCACATAAATACTAGCAGTGTGTAATTATAATTGCCAACTTACTTCCCAGCTGAGATAGAATGATTCTCAGGGCTGTTCTATCTAAATCCTCTGGTGAGTCAGTTTCATATTTCGTTATCTGTTTCTTGATATTTCCCACTTTTGAGAGTAATCCTGTACCAACTTTTCTTACGAATTATGAAAAGTATGATTCATACTTTTACATTATGAAAAGTACGTATGATTATTTTTCTTACGAATAATGAAGCATCTAACTCAAAATAGCTTGAAGAATAAAGAAGAAGAATTTCTTGAGTCATGTGACTAAAAAGACCATAAATAATCATTTGGGCTTCAAGCAGTATTGACTCTAATCCAATTTTACTTCTCTGCTTATCTCTCAGCTCACCCTCTTTGTGTAATGGTTTTGTATAAAAGCCTTACTTTGACTTTCCTTAGGCATTAGGTTGAAAAGTAACTACTCTCATAATAAACAGGAATGAAGGAGCCACTAAACCATTACAAATATCCAGTGCTTTAGTCCATCCCTGAATTAATTATTGTGGAAAATAGAATCTACAAATTGGCCTAAGGCTGTAATTTGTGTCAATCCTTTAACCAAATATAAAGACATAGGACCAGAATCATACAAATTGACTCAGATCTGCGCTGTCCAATATGATAACCATAGCTATATGTGGTTATTAGACATTTGAAATGTAGCTACTGTGCTGGAGAAATTAATTTTTAAAATGTATTTAAGTTTAGTTAAATTTAAATGGAAAAATATTTCATTCAGTTATTAGGAAAACTTTAAATATGTTTGGAACAATTTTCAAATGGAGAATCTATGTTTCAGGTGTACATTTTATAAAATTTAAATACAATTCAAGGATCTCCAATAAAAATGTAACCTTTTAATTGAAATATACAAATATATCCATATATCTATGTTTATTTATAAAATATACACCGAGTCTTAAAGACTTAATTCTAAAATGTAATATATATCATCATTAATTTTATATTGGTTTCACGTTGAAATGTTAACATATTGAATATATGTGGTTAAATAAAATATGTCATTAAATCAATTTTGTCTTTTAAAAAAAATTTTAAA
Organism: Homo sapiens; assembly: GCF_000001405.40. NCBI lineage: Eukaryota > Metazoa > Chordata > Mammalia > Primates > Hominidae > Homo > Homo sapiens. The sequence continues at coordinate 73,415,801 of NC_000018.10, forward strand.
GCCTGCTAAAATATTTATAATTGCATATAAAGATTATAGCATATTACTATTTGTCAGCACCAATTTAGGTCATTTAGTGCTCACTTCTGAACAATGGATTGGGGATGGAATGGATATTAGAGAGACAACCAGAAGTTACATTGCCTGAAGGTCACTAGGAAATATCGGTTTATTTAACTTTATTCATAATTGACTATGCTGATGGTCTTTATCCACAGGAGGGGAGCTGGAACACTTCGGGTGGGCATTTGTATTGTCATCACCCTGCCCATTCCCACTGGCGCTACATATTCTTAGCTGTTACCATCTCCCACTTGAAGTACCGTCATAATTTTCTAAATGTTTCAACAATTTCCATATTCTGTCTATCTTCAAACACTAGCTTACTTCAAATCATACTATAGGCCACTGCTAGACACAACTAACCAGTTACCTTCTTTGTAAACTTCACACCACTCCCTCAATCAATACTAGTGAATGAATTCATCTCTGTACTTTTGAGAGTTATGTATTCATATAGTCTTCTATCATACTGCTTGTCTTAATTGCTTTATTTATTTGTTTGCATGTAAAACTTCACTAGGTAGATCATGAGTGCTAGAGGATGAGGTTCAATTCTTTTCCTCTTTTAATTTAAAGTTTCCCACACATGTTTTGGCATACGTTAAGAATTTGCAGGCTGGGAGCAGTGGCTCACGCCTGTAATCCCAGCACTTTGGGAGGCCGAGGCGGGCAGATCACGAGGTCAGGAGATCGAGACCATCCTGGCTAACACGGTGAAACCCCATCTCTACTGAAAATACAAAAAATTAGCCAGGCGCGGTGGTGGGCGCCTGTAGTCCCAGCTACTCGGGAGGCTGAGGCAGGAGAATGGCGTGAACCCGGGAGGCGGAGCTTGCAGTGAGCGGAGATCGCACCACCGCACTCCAGCCTGGGCGACAGAGCGAGACTCGGTCTCAAAAATAAAAAAAGAATTTGCAAATAAATTAATTAAGCAATCTATTTATTTACAAAAGGATAAACAAAAGAGTAAATCTTCAAGTTCTAACAAAGCACGCCATGGGGAGTTGAATCGTTGCAATTAATTTAATTTTCCAAGTTCAAAAACTTTGTTAGAAAACTCTGGTTCAGACAAGATGACGTGCTCAGCCATCCCTACTCCTCCCTGATTAGTACAATTATAAACAGTGGAAATAATACAAGAGGCAACCAAATAAGAACTCTGAAAGGTAGAAACAAGAAGGACTGTAGCAACAACACGGCTTATGACCTGCCACTGAACAGCAGAAGACAACCGAGGCCGACCATCTCTGGAACGCAACCTAGCAACGGAAGTTATCCCAGCTAGGTTCATTCCTCCCCCGTAGCACAGAAATCTGTCTAAGAATACCAGGCAAGCCCACTGCCACCAGGAAGGCAAATGCACAGGAAGCTCTATTAATAGTAAGTGGCCTTAGGAGGTACTCCTCTGCCCCACCCAGAAGGGGGGCAGCCAGAGGCACCTGCAAGAAAGACGAAGTCACCGTGACTCCACTTGGGAAGGTCTCTTTGACCCATGGGCCAGAGGACTCCCTTCCTCACCTAGAGACAACACATAGCTTGGCATCACAGACAAGAGAGTCTTGCCACTAAAATCACCGGGGACAGAAACAGAGAAGCTCCCCATCTACTGAAACTCCCCTCATTCCTATGGGGATACCTGGTGACCAGAAGGTACTAATGAGGAGCGTCCCACTCAAATAAGTAAATGCTTACCCCTAAAACCTTCTTTGATTCCACCGGGCAGAGCTCCTGATCTCACTTGTAAACACCAGGCATTGGGGGTTACCAATAAGGAGCAACAAGAGGCTGCCAGCGGAAGAGCAAGAATCTCAACACGGAAAGTGCCAGATGCCACAAGGGAACTTTGTCTCCAGGGGCAGAGACCCCTTACCCCACTGAGAGGCACCCCTGCTCTCTCCTGGGGAAGCTCCTTCTGCTCCTTCACATGGCACCAGCAGAGATCATTAGACAAACCAAGCAGACCAAAATAGCACCACAAAAGCTGTTAAAATTAAATTGTCATTGAAAACACAATTTTCTCAAGATTTAAATAGAACCCAGCATCTCATAATATAATAGACAAACAACAAAAATGCACACACTAAAATACTAAGAACCAGAAAAATCACATCTTAAATAAGGAAAGACAAGCAATTGATGACAGCACCAAGAAACATCAGCTATTGGAATTATCTGACAAGGCTTTTGAAGAAGCGATTATAAAAATTCTTCAAAAACCAATAACAATATATTGAAACAAAGGAAGAAATAGAAAATATCAGAAAAGAACTAGAAGTTATACAGGAGAACAAGATGGAAAGCATATACCTGAAAATTACAATAATTATACAACATGACTTAATGGGATTTATTCCAGGAATGCAAGTTTCAACCTTCAAAAATTAATTGATGTTATATACCATGTCAACACACTAAGGAAGAAAAATTATATGATTATAGTAATTATTGCAGAAAAATCGGAACCAATTAATTATGTATGTCTCACGAAGTAAGGACTAAAAAAGAAAGTCTCAAATTGGTTAAAAAACTATTATCTACAAAGAATCTATATCTTATATCATACATAATGATGAAAGCCTAATGTTTACATACTTGTATCAGAAATAAGGCAAGGGTAAACACACGCATCACTGATATTTAAAATAGTACTGGAAGTTCTAGCCACATTGCAAAACGAGAAAAATAATAATACACATATTGGTTTGACAAGAAGTTATAATATTGTCCCTATTTGTAGATGACATGATTGTCTATGTAAGAAATACTAAGGCAGAAATCAACCAAAACAAACCAAGATTTAATTAAAAAAAAATTTCTCGAATATGTGAGTTAAACAAGGTTGGAGGACACAAGACCAATACACAAAAATTAATAGCTTTTGTTAGGAACTAATTTGCCCTCGAATAGCCAAATTGATCTTGAAAAAAATAAAATGAATGGAACCACTGTACCTGATGTTAAAGTTTACTATACAGATATAGCAACAACACAGTGTGTTATTATGTGTTGTTGTTGTTAGAGAACCCCAAGATAGACCCACACAATATGCCCAGCTGATTTTGACAAAGATGCAAAACCAATTTAAAATGGGAAGGATGGTCTTTTAAACAAAAGATACTAAGGTAATTGAATAGATACAGGCAAAAAAGCTAAAACAAAAACAAAAACAAAATTTCAACTTAAATCTCAAGCACCTTATATGAAAATTAACTCAAAATAGATCATGTGCTTAATCATGAAACATAAAACTAGAAAATTTTTGCAAAAAAGAGAAAGTTTTCAGAATTGAAGTTAGGGAAAGATATTTATACTTGATACCAAAATCATAATTTATAAAGCCAAAAAAAAAAAGATAAATTGGACCTCATGAAAATGAAATGCTTTTGCTCTGTGAAAGACCTTGAGAGAAGATGAAAAGACAAGCTACAGGTTGGGCAAAAACTATGAAAACCATGTATCTGATAAAGGGGTAGTAGCCTGAACATGTAAAGTACTCTAAAAGCTCCATGCAAAACAACAACACACCATAGTGTAACTGGACTGTTTGTAACACAAAGGATAAATGCTTTGGGTGATGGATACCCCATTTACCCTGATGTGATTTTTACACATTGCATGCCTGTACCAAAATATCCCATATACCCCATAAACATATATACCTATTATGTACACATAAAAATTAAAAATTAAAAAAAGGTAGAGATATGAACAGCTATAGGCAGAACTCAGAGACATCGTGGCTATAGCTCCAGATCCTCACAATAAAGTGAATATCACAATGAAGTGAGTCACAATTTTTTTGGTTTCCCAGTGTATATAAAAGTTATATTTATGCTAAACTGTGGTTAGCGAATGAGCAAGAACAGCTGTCTAAAACGCGATTACTTAAAAATATATTATTGCTAAAAAATGTTGACAGAGACATGAAGTGAGCAGAAACAGTTGGAAAAATGGGACCAATAAACTAGCTTGGCACAGGGTTGCCACAAACTTCAATTTGTAAAAACCACATTATCTGCAAACCACAAGAAAGTGAGGTGCAATCAAACAAGGCATGACTGTATTTCACCAAAGATGCAAATCACAAATAAACACATGAAAATATGTTCAACATCATTAACCATTAGGAAAATACAAATTAATACTATAATGAGATATTACTATGTACCTATCAGAATGACTAAAAAATAAACAAATGAATAAACCACCACCACCAAATGCTGGTTTGGATGAAGAAAAGCTGGACAACTTACACATTGCTGGTGGAATGTAAAATGATGTAGCACTATAGAAAACAATTTGAGTTTCTTATAAAAATAAACATGCAGTTACCATAGGACCCTGTAATTGCACTCTCACATTTAACCCTGAGAAATAAACACTTCTGCTGACACAAACACCTGTACATGGACATTCATAATAGTTTTATTCATAATATTCCCAAACTGGAAACAACCTGGATGGCATTCAAAGGGGGAATGGTTAAACAAGCTGCGGTACATCTGTACCATGGAATACTACCAGCAAGAAATGAAATGCACTATTGCTAACTCATACAACTATTGATAATTCAACAGCTTGGATGTGTCTCAAGGCAATTATCCTGAGTGAGGAACAAAAAGGCAATCCCAAAAGATTACATGCTGTGCAATTCCATCTACAGGACATCGGTGAGATGACAAAATTATAATAATGCAGAACAGATGACTGTTTGCCAGAGTTTAGGATGGTTTAGGGAGACTGGTGTGATTGTGAAAGCACCACATGATGGATTCTTTTGGGGATGGATTTCTTATATCTATTTACAGTGTCAATAGATTCATGAATCTACCCATGTTAGAATTGCATAGAACTAAACAGACGCACATATAATTCCATAAAAATTTTAAAAAGTACATATAAATGTGGGTAAATACAAAAAAGATGAGCAAATTGTACCATGCCAATTATGTTTTTGTGATATAGTACTACAGCAAGATGTTACCATTGGTGGAGACGGGTTAAAGGGTAAATGAAACCTTGCTGTATTATTTCTTACAGTTGCCTGTGAATCTGTAATTATCTCACAACACTTTAAAAAGATTATTTAAAATTATTAGTAGAATTCCACATCCAACTTAATACAAAACAATAACTTTAGGAGAGTATTCCATGAATAGGGAACTCAGAGGATAGAAATAAAGGGTAGGGGGAAAGGACTCTTCTAGGCATAGAAATGGTTTCCCAGGAGTCCATGCCACACTGCACAGTTAAACATTCATAAATGCTTAAAGATAAAATGCCTGTGTATGGAAATTAGTCACAAGAGGGACTTAATAGCACAAATGTCTTAATTTGACAGATGAAATAAAGCTTGTCTATGTAATGAAATGCCAAGTCAACTAAAAAAATGCTGTGAACTATCAAGATGCATAATATTAACACATTACCATAATTTGAAGGACAAATTTTATGGTATCAGTTATTCAGTAAAAGAATGTTATTGCATAGCATTATCTTAAAAACAACTACTCAATATGACAGTGAGGAAACAATTTTGATCATGATTAAGGAGGACTATAATAGGCAAATTAGAAAATACTTAAGGTATGTGCAAAATTATGATCTAGATAAACCTGTATCTACACAAGTGACATCAGAAAATGACACAGCAGCTTTATAAAATGAATAAATGCCAAACCTATGTAAGAGACTGCTAACATAAAACAGACTAAGAAAATATAGAATTTTTCAGACTTTTTAAGATAATTTTGATCAATATTTAAAACAATAAAGGAAGTGGTGACTGTTGTTTTCTTTAACAAATCACAGGAAGTTAACCTTGAAACATGAATTTACTAATTTAAAAAAAGTAAAATAAAAACTCAAATTTATATATCAGATATTAAACTTCATAGAATATTACTCTAAGCCGCATAATTTAAAATCCTAATAGCTTCAAATAAAATTAGGATAAATTTATTATGAGGGATTGATATGTTTGTGGTGGATTCTGACATGCTTTAGCTTACATTTCTCTTTTTTATGTGAGTAATATTTGGGAACAGAGCTATGACATATACCACAGTTCAGTACTCTCTCTCAGAGAGAAGATACTGACCTGGTGATATATAGTTTCTTGATTTATTCCAATTACTTCTATTCTTTATATTACAAACAGAAAAATGGAATTTCATAAGACTTCATGGGAGTATTTAAAAGGAACGCAATTTTCTTTTAAAAGGAAGATGGATTATTTCAGATTTATGTCCAACACTTTAAATTTTTAACTTTAGAAAATAAAGAATTCCTAGTATTAAATTTCTATTGAACTTGAACATTAACTCTTTAGAAAACATTAGCAACATATTTAGATATTTGTTGCTTCATTTTATTTAAAACAATCTCCAGACAATTTATAGTTGACCTTTAAAAGAAAGCATTTATAAAATGAAACAAGTTTGACAAGGTAAAAATAATAGAACAAATTCCAAACCCATTTCAAAAACTAACATGTAATTTGTTGCTAATATAAAATTAAAGAAGACAATATTTTAGGATTCCTATTTTAAATTGTACCTCATTAATAAAATCCTGAAAAATAAAATAGGTACAGTGAACTTTTCCGTTTCTTGCTTGCCCTTGATTTAATTAAACAGACTATTTGAAGTGATGAAGTTTGATTTTTGACCTGTGCCATGGAAAGTCTGCATTGTAAACAAAGTTCAATTTGTAATGAGGTTATAAGCAAAATATAAAGCAATCGAAAATATTTCTTCTGTTTTCTTAAGATAGTAGTCACATTCAAAGATAACCATAATACTTGACAAGGAAAAAATATAAATATAATATACAAGATCTCTCCAGTACTATTAAAAGGATAAGAGCCAATTTTTTTTTTTTTTTGCTATTTCAGAGAGCCTTTGTCTAACTTTCACAAAAGAAACAGAAAAAAAATGCCAAAAATTAGATATATCTTCCGAAGTTGAATGCACAATATTGAGGCTTTACCACTTCACCAGAGCGGATAATTAAAGAATTGCATTAATTATAAGTTGACAAAGCACAGGCAAACCTAATGAATTATTATTACATTTTACAAATGTAGGAAAAATACATTTGGTAAAAATTATTTTCTAGAACAGCAGTAATACTTTGGAATTGTTTTCAAATCCTGTGGTACTTATAAATCTTAATAATGCATGTCATATTATCCCACAGAAAGTTGTACAAAAGTGTCTTTTTAGGAAATTATAAAGCTATGATATGGAAGGATTTCTTTATATGAGTAAACTACTAAGAAATAGAATTTTTGAACGTGTTCTTAAAGTTGTTTTTGTATCATTGATTTTTCAGCTTATATGTAGCTAGCATTATTCAAGGCATTCAACCACAAGTGAAGACTCAAAATGCTTATTCCCTAATCTCTGCAGCACTCTTAAGTCCTTGGCCATTTCAGCATAGCAAATGCCTATCATTGAAAGATTCTTGAAATGGTTTGGCTTTGAAACATTTCTTTTCCAGGATTTAACAACAAATTGGCAGGGACATAATAGCATCACTGGAATTGAGTCTGCCCTGTGATGAGAAATTTGCAGCATCTTCATCTTCATCCCTGCAGTCTCAATTTTTCCTAAAGTATTAATAAATTTGATCGTGCCACTGCACTCCAGCCTGGGCAACAGGGCGAGACTCCGTCTCCAAAAAAAAAAAAAAAATTATATATATATATATATATATATATATATATATTCAATTCAGCATTTCTTCAAATGTTAAGGAAAACAAACTCTAGGTAACATGATAATCCTAAATTCTATCTAAATGCCCTTCATTTCCCATATTGCTAAAAACATTAGAATGCAATAAATATTTTAAAAATTAGCACTCTAGGAGGTAGAATTCTCACAAATAAGGTCATATAAGGAATCTTAATCTTGTTAGATATAGGAATGAGGAGATGTGGGGTTTCTACATTCTTAGAGTCCAGCACAAATGATCCCGTCTTGACACTGCATCCCTGCACCTAGTGACTGCCTGAAAGAACATGGAGTTATTCTGCCTCCCTTTGCTGTAAATGAAGATCTTTGGGTTACTTCAGTAGCAAACAGAGAATGGGCAAAACGCAATTTACATAGTTACACAAAACCTGAATTCTAATTTTATGAATATTCCAGCCTCGGTAAACAGTGGAAAAAGTAACTTGGCCTTCACCGAAATCTTATAAAACAACCAAAAAAAGACAAACCCAAAAACAATCAAATTTAATTTCTGCAAACTGTTCTAACGGATTCAAAATAAAAATATGAAACTGACATCACAGTAGGATATTATGATCAGAAAATCGTAAGGTGAGAAAAATATGAGACCACTTCTCCCAGAAAGAAGAATGAGAGAGGAAGGGAAGGAGCAGAGGGAAGTAAACCAGATGAAGTAAAATGGGCTCCATGGAAACTGAGAATACAAAGGCAGACATTAAAATCACGTTGGAAACATTAAAGAATTTATGTAATACTGAAGAAAATCGCATTGATGAAGCCCTCATAAAATGTAGAGAAAGCAAATGACAAAGTATAGATGGCTGGCATTTCTTAGAGACCAGAACGAATAAGCATATAGATGGCAAGCTGGCTGGATGGGTGGACAGATGGGTGAAGGGATGGATGATAGACATGAATGATAGATATATGGATATATATGCATAAGTGTATATTATGCATGAATGTATGAGTACAATAGATACGATGTGGATTATAGATGCATTTTGTTTTTATATTTATTTGTTAATATCATTAATATTTATAATACTAAAAACGTTCTAAGGTATAAAAATTTTTTTTCACCAGATTCTGGAACAAGTAATAAAAATAGTGCCACTACTAACCACACAACTGTGATAGAGATTACAGAGAAAATTATTTAAGCACCTAGAAAGAAAATAAGTTATCTAAAAACAAAAATGATATAGAATACAGACTTGTCCTGTATATGCTAAATATCAAAATATAATGGTTATCATCTCCAGAATTTTTAGGATAAGGATTATGTGAGGTTGGTATTCTGTAAAACTACTTCCCATAGGAGAATGTACAGTCTAACTGTGGGTGCCAGCCATCTTCTGAATGTCAGTGACTGCCCCCACTTTGATTCCCCTCACTAACATAGACCAGGTAATACATTATGAACCTGCTTCCAATGAGGCTGTCTGTCATTTTTTTTAACAATTTACCGAATAGCTAATGTGCAGAATAACTGATATTCGCAATAAACTTTTTGTTTTTTACCATTTAAATTATTTCATTAATTTTCCTCTTCTTTTTCCAGAACTATATTTTTAGGAGTGTTCAATTATTTCCAGCCCCCTGATACTACAGCATGCAGCAGACAGGCAGAGTGGAGACTGTGTCCTTTGCCAGCATACTTTTTTCCCTAGAACACTCAATTTGTACCAGGCTATGTCATTCACTAATTCTCACTGTTTTGTTAATTCATTCAATCCAATTTTCTTAGTTTCTTGGACATTTTACCTCCCGACTCAATTTCACTCTCTCCAACACATCTCCTTCTTAATTCTTGGTGATTTCAATACCTGCATGCAAAATGCATACACAGGACATCTCAATTATTTGATCTCCTCTTCTTCAGCCGTTCATTCCAGGATCATTCCCTGGAATTTCTCAACTTAAAAACTGAACACCTTGTAAAAATGATGATTTCAAATAACCTCTATCCAACCACCTCCTATTTTTCCAATTCACTCCCTCTCACACTCTGAATCCAAAATCCTGCATCTCAACAGAGACTCACAGATGTTACCACCTTTGTATCATGCCTCAGCTCCACCTACCTATTTGCTCCTTTTTAGTTTGCCTAAATCCCAAGGTCATTTATTTTAACCATTACAGTGAATATGCCATCAACTTCCTGTTTTTTTCCCCCTTCATTTTATTCTGGGGCAAATCAGAATAAAATGAAATAAAATAAAATAATGAAAAATAGTCCAATTTATAAGAAATTTCATTAAACTGACATAACTGCTAAGCAACAAACAATATACCCACTAAATGTTTAGAGCAATAACTACCAGAAAACCCATAATAATGCTTAAATTTTAATTTAAAATTAAGTTAATTAATCTCATTAAAATTGATTAGATTTTAATTTAATTAAATTTAAATCTAAATCTAAATTTAGATCTGGTTAAATTTAATCTGCCTTATCCAGGCCTGCACTTGTGGAATTGAACATATTTGGAGATAAATACAACTATTTTTACCCAATATAAAATATGGTTCGTTTGGCTGGTGAGTCACAAATGACTCTCCATGAGAATGCATGTTTTGATCAATGGGAGTTTTATTTCTTAGTGCTAGCAAGGAGGACGCTGGGAGTATTCTCCAAGGCAGTGTCTCCCTGAGGGAAATTGACAGGGGGGTTTCATGGGGTGATGGAGAGGGGAGAAGGCACATTGTCACGTGTAGAGGAGATGCAGGTGCAGGGAGTCATCATGCCAGCACATAGGTTGCACGTTGTGGTGATAAAGCTATAGCTCCTCCCTGGTTTGGGTGGAGACTTTAGCATGGCCATGAAGAAAGTTCACTTGAGTTCATCTGTAAGTTTCTAGGGTCTGTCAAAGGCTAGTTCCAACAACCGAGGTGACCACATTCCATACGGGGTTTGGGGAGAAGCAGGCTGCAGGGTAGGAGGCTGTAAAACAGGCTGCTTGCTCGAGTTGACTAAATTCATGTGGTTCCTTGGAGACCCTGTCTCTCCTCTTACCCTATGTTGACTTCATCAGTATAAACACTTTTACTCTTTCATTTACACTCCTAATAGGAGGAAAAGACAAGTCACACAATGGAAGGAAATATTTGTCAATCACATACCTAATAAAGGACTTTTTCCTCAGAATATATAAAGAACTCTCAGACTCAATAATAAGGAAACACACAAGCTCCCCAAATCCTCAAATTATTTGAGCAAATACTTGTCCAGAGAATATGGACGTATGGTAAATGCACATTTAAAAATGTGTTCAGCATCATTAGTCATAAGAACCACGGTGTGATACTACGTACACTTTTAGGATGCACAGAATTTAGGCCGGGCACGGTGGCTCACGCCTGTAATCCCAGCACTTTGGGAGGCCAAGGCGGGCGGATCACGAGGTCAGGAGATCGAGACCATCCTGACTAACACGGTGAAACCCCGTCTCTACTAAAAAATACAAAAAGTTAGCCAGGCGCCTGTAGTCCCAGCTACTTGGGAGGCTGAGGCAGGAGAATGACGTGAACCCGGGAGGCGGAGCTTGCAGTGAGCCTAGATCGCGCCACTGCACTCCAGCCTGGGTGACAGAGTGAGACTCCGTCTCAAAAAACAAAAACAAAAAAAGAATGCACAAAATTTAAAAGCCTGATCAAATCAAGTGCTGGTGAGGATCTGGCAGAACTAGAACTGGAACTCACTGCTAGTGGGATTATTGTATGGTGCAGTCACTTTAAGAAACACTGGGAAGTTTCTTTAAAAGGTAAACATACACCCACCATATGACAGCCATACTACTCCTGGGAATTTACATGAGAAAAGTTAAAGTATAGGCTCATAGAAAGACTTGCATGGCAATATTCACTGCAGCTATTTTTAGCAGCCAAAAAAACAAAGGCTAGAAATAACCCAAATTCCTATCAACAGTTGAAGCAATTTAAACATTGGGTATTATCCATACAATGGAATACTACCCAACTATCAAAGGGATTGGACAATGAATACCGGTAACATCAGATATGGATCTCACATTTATACTGAGTGACAGAAAGCACACAAAACAATATGCACTGTATGATTCCAGTTACAGAAAGTTTCATAAAGGCAACTTAATCTATCGTGAAAGAAGCAGATTGGCTGTTATGAGGGAAAGAAGGTGTGAGGAGGAGGGATTCCCAAGGGGCAGGAGACAACTTTTGGGGTGACCACAGTGGCCATCACTTCCCTGTGAGCTTGACTAAAGTTTAGACAGATTTCTTCCTGACTCTAGGCTCCAACCTCTCTTGTTCCAGACTACTACATAATTGTCAATTCTGCCCCTTTGAGCTGTAAATCTTTTTTTAAAAGTCTCTGATCAGTTTCACAACACAAGACTTTCTTTCTGAGAGACCTGGGAGTCATCTTTTTGAAATGTAATAATCAAGAATGACCACTCTCTGTGGGACAGCAGGAGCCTAACTTTGCGGAGTGTCTTTCTCCACGTTATTAGAACTGCTTCCCATGAATACAGAAGAATTTGTTCAAATTAATATTTGGCCAATTGAGTTTTGGTGATCTATGCTGCCTCTGTGAACAAAACACAGACAAACAGAACATGTTTCTTATTGTCAAGGAATGGTTTTGCCTCCTTTTGGTGTTTTTTCCTGTTATGAAGGTTAGGCATATTCTTGGGTCATGACTTTCTCAGACCTGAATATTTCTAAATGGATTTGAACCCAAAACATAGCAATTTAGTCAATAAATAGCAAAACACTAACATATTCCTGTATGTTTTTCAAATATTATTTTATTAGCTAACTCCTCTATTTAGCTTTTCTGAGTCTTCGACTTTCTTAAGGCAATTAATATCAAATAAAAAAATTAAGGACAGATATAGCAAATGATTTTTCCTGCCACGGGAACTTTGTGGATTGCATTCTGGTTTCCTAATATATTTCTCAAAGGTCGTTTTGTCAGAGTTCTTCCTGCCCTCAATTCCATGTCAATTTCTTTATAACGTACGCTCTTGTCTACACCCACTTTTCCGTCATGGCACCCATCTCTGTCGTTTTATCTGTATTGTGTGGATGTTTGACTGATGCTCACCATGCATGAGAAATGTGAGTACAGAAACATGCAGGACGGGCTCTCCTGTGCTCACTGTTCTTTCCTCAGCAGCCTATGTTGATCTTGGTACGTGGCAGATACTCAATAAATATTGGTGAAAAAAATGAATCAGTGAAAACGCTTTGCAAATCTGACATTGCTATAAAGCATTATTAATGTTTGTTGTAAATTTAGGCAAGTGCTTCAAACCCAGTATCTTATTGTTATTTGGTTATAGTTAGTTGAGCATATTTCACAATAAACTCTAATACACACAATATATTATATAACACGGGGGTATAATACTGAGTCCATGAAATTCAGTCAAGTTGAATTTTGTATTATTGTTAGTAATACTGTTTATTTGTTGTAGTTTGTTTAAATATGGTTTTAATCAACTAGAGCATCGAAAACTTTCTATAAATAACTACTGGTCTGGTCCTATCATTGTCTTGCTTCAAGACTGAAACATCTGTATGTGTGAAGAACAAATCGTAAATTGTAATAGGTCCTGTAACATCTTCAGCTGACTAACTAAACAGCACATATAGCAGTCTTTCACTCCTGTAATTAACATTGAATAACAAAGCTGGAACATTTATTATTCATCTTAACATAAATAATACATTTAGTTCTGTTATACTTCAGATGAACATATTTCAGGCACTGTTATAATAAAATATGTGCTAATTGTCCTGTTTATAAGTACATGTAATTGTAACTGAAATTTAACATAGCCATAACACAGAATGAAGTTTCATAGTTAAAATATTACATACGGTATACATGTATTGAAATATCACACTGTACTCCATAAATATGTACAATCATTGTGTGTCAATTAAAGTAATAAAATAAAAAATACAAGTTCCAGAAGAGGCATACTTCAAAAATTAAAGGAGAATATATATGTGTGTTTAAGTATTTGAGGCTTATGTCTTCTAGAACTTGTATAATCTTAATATATATGAAATACATACATATATCAAATAATATATTTTAGCAAAAAAGAGGGTATATTTTGTTGAGCCCCATTGAATAATGTATGGTAAGTAGCCAAATAATGTATAGTAGTTAGCCAAGCAATTAAATAACATTTATAATAAATATGCTAAAAAGTGGTTCTTACCCATAAAAGAGTAAATTTTTATACCAAACTCAGAAAACCATTTTATTTTTTCATAAGAACTGAGAGGTTAACACTGTTAAAGGTAGTTAAATTGGTGACAATAATAAAGATGCGATGTGATTTGTGGTGAGAATGAACTAAACCATGATCTGCATTGGACACTTTAAAATATTCAGGCAATTTGAAGGAAAATATATAAAATAAAAAGAGGAACATTTTATCTGTAAGAGTGATCTAGAAGTTAATCAATATTAATACTACAAATTAAATATTAAAATTTGAGAGAATGACATATTAAATAAGGAGAAAAAATGTGCATCATCTTAACCATAAAATATCTGATGGCTCTGGCTGTCAATGGAGTTGACATCTTCCATTCCTAGCACCCTCATATCACGCTCATCCAATTTATCTTCTTACAATCAATCAGTGAAGCTAAAAGGATATCAGAAAACTAATGTTTTGTGAATGGTAATTATGGAAGACACTTTACTTAAATTATCACAATTAATCTTTACAGTACTCTGTGAATTAGATATTAACTCAATTTATATATGCAAACAAGCTCAGAAAGGTTAAGTAACTTGTAATAAAATAATATAATCAGTGAAAAACAGGGCCTAGAATAGCATCTGTTTGTAAAGATGAGCTCTGTCCACTCTACTACACTGCCTCAGGCAAATAATTCTTATCAGATTCAATTAACCCAATATTTTTATCTTAACTGATATCATAATGTGCAGATAGAAGCAGTTATCAAGAATATTGATTTTATCTCTGCAAAGAAAATGAGCCAGCTTTTTTCTTCCACAAATAAATGAAAAGAAATATTGTAACAGAGACATGTAGGTCATTTTTTGAGAGAGAGAAATGTAGCAACATGTTTTATTTATTTTATTAAAGCACACAATTAAAAAAATCAAAAGCTCTAGAATGAACAGCATGGCTGTCTGTTCTATCCTTCAGCACCCTCAGGTCTGTCTGCAGAGGCTGCTGGGTATGATGGTTTTGATGTTTGGTGTTTCTGGGTAATGACTTCCATGATTTTAAATGTACCTTACAGCTGTACTTATGTGTCAGTTTTACAGAATGCATGTGCATGGTTGTTTTTGAAAGATGAACATTTGACTCACACAAATTACTTTCTACCTTCCTTCTCCTCCTTGCCCACAAGCTGATACAATTTTATTTTATATTCATCTATTGTTTGTGTTTGCATTTTTAAAAATTGTATACTTAATCCTCTATGTCATTTTCTTTCAGTTTTAGTTGTAATATCTTGTCTTCCCATTGTGTAAAATAAAGATATCATGGCTTACTATATCTCCTTAACACCTCCCATGCAATATTTCCCTCTTTACAACTTTTTTACTGTCCAGGTCACTGACTTTATTTATATTCTGTTCTATAACCACGAAGCATTAAATAAATGATTATATATTTAATATTTTATCTCTCAAATGCCTAAGATTTTTGAAAAATATTATTATGAATATAAATTAATAAGATAATATTTGTTGTTTTTGAGTCAAGTAATGAGTTAAGATTTCATTTTTATCACATTCTATTATTTTATTTTTATTACATATTTTTTACTAGTGACATACAAATAAATCTGTTTATAGTATCAAGGCAACCACTTTGCACTCCAGAAATTTCTCAGAGTCATATCATGTATTATTTTGCATTCTGCAGAAGAGAAAAAGACTGGCTGACAAGGATTATAGAAACATCCTAGAGGAAGAGATCCTTTAATTACAACTTAATGAATGGAAAGAAGGAACCATTCAAGTGGCGATGAGGAGAGACATTCTAAATGCAGGGAATCAACTGAGATAAAGCAAGAGAGGGAGAATTATGACTCATTTGAGTACAGCTTTAATCCCAAGAAGCATAGTAGGGGAGATATGGCTAGCAATGTAAGCAGGGACAGAATTCAGGCTCCTGATGAGGATATTTTACCTTGGAATAATGGCAATTGGAAAGACCAGAGGGTCAGGGAATTCTGCATAGCCAACTCAATCAGTGACTCAGTAGGGAACCAAGGCTTATGAATAGCAAGCCATTCCAATGACTAGCTGAGAGTTTCACGTGGCAAGTCATTTTATACTAAGAATTGGATGTTCAAGGGAGAGAATATGACAGATATGTTATAACCTAGTGTTTTTTTCTGATATCCCACTTTATTGAAAGATGGTTTACAGCACATATCCTATTTTTATAAATGGCAATCTGCTTCTTAACAATCAGCCTTTTACTTTACCTAAATTCATGATGTATTAGAAACAAACTATTCAGGGCATAAAATATTTAAAAATCAGTAGGATTTCTATATGCCAACAGTGAACGATCTGAAATCAAGCAAGCAATCTCATTTATAATAGCTACACCAAAATAAAATGCTTAGGAATAAATTTAACAAAAGAAGGAAAAGATCTCTGCAATGAAAACTATAAAACACTGATGAAAGAATGAAGAGGACGCAAAAATAATGAATAGGTATTCTGCTGTCACATATTGGAAGAATTAATATTTTTAAATGTCCCTTCTACCCAAAGATCTATAGATTCAATGCAATCTCTATCAACATACCAATGACATTCTTCACAGAAATAAAATAAATAATTCTGAAATTTATATGGAGCCACAAAAGACCCAGAATAGCCAAAATAATCTTGAGGAAAAAAACAAAACAAAACAAACAAACAAAAAAAAAACAAAGCTGGAGGCATTACAATTACCTGACTTCCAATTATACTAGAAAGCTATAGTAATCAAAACGGTATGGTACTGGGATAGAAACAGAGACATAGACCAAGGCAACAGAATAAAGAACTCAGAAATAAATCCCTTCATTCATAGCCAACTCATTTTCAACAAAGGCACCAAGAATATACACAAGAGAAGGACGCTATCTTTAACAAATGGTGCTGGGAACCTGGATAGCCATAGCCAGCAGAACAAAACTAGATCCCTATCTCTCACTGTATACAAATATCAACTCATAATGAATTAAAGACTTAAATGTACGACCTTAAACTATGAAACTACCAGAAGAAAATATTGGGAAAATTCTTCAAAACATTGATCTGGGCAAAGATCTCAAAAACACAGGCAACAAAAGCAAAAATAGACAAAAGGAATTTTATCAGGCTAAAGAACTTCTGCACAGTAGAGGAAACTATAAAGCAAAGAGACAGCACACAGAATGGGAGAAAATATTTGAAAACTCTTCAACTGGCAAAGTATTAATTACCAGAATACGTAAGCAACTCAAATCAACAGCAAAAATAATAATAATAATAATTAAAAATAAGCAAAGGATTTGAATAGACATTTCTCAAAAGAAGACATATAAATGGCAACCAGGTATACGAAAAAATGCTCAGCATAGCTAATCATCAGAGGAATGCAAATCAAAGCCACAATGAACTATAATCTCACTCCAGTTAAAATTGCTATTATTAAAATAACAAAAAAATAACAGAGGCCAGCAAGGATATGGAAGAAGGGAAACATTCGTAAACTGGTAGTGGGAATGTAAATTAGTACAGCGACCACAGAAAACAGTATGGTGGTTTCTCAAAAACTAAAAATAGTACCAACATATGATACAACAATCCCATGGCTGCCTATATATCCAAAAGAAGGAATTCTTAATACATGTTTATGTTATATATGTGTTGATTTCCTTATTTGCAGGTTATATTTTGTTATTCATTTCTGAGATAACTTTTTTCTTTAATGTCTTTCTGAATTTTTTCCACTTCAATTGTATATCTTTTGCTGTTCATTCATTCCTATTTTAAATTTATGCCTATTGGTTTGTATTTCTATATGATGGTTGCTTATTTAAATGATTAAGCTATAAATTTTCTCATCTTTGCGCGCTAGGTTTCTTCCCTGCTTTACAGATTTTTTCCTTTAAGTATTTTCATCAGACTATGTCTCATCTTCACTCTGTTTTCTTCTCATAGCTTTGATTAAATGAAGACTTAGATTTCCTGCTCATTATTACATACAAGGATATTCCTTTTTAAACAATGATAAATTATTTTAATAATTTTATGATGGGAAAGTTTAAGTAGCTTAATTCATTTTTTATTCAAAGTACTCTCTTCTGTTGGTATTGTGAGGCACCGCATTATTAAATCAATGACATCTACAGAGAGTCCATCTTCTTGTAACTTTTTACACAATACCTGTTTTAAAACAATCTTTCTTGCAGTCACTTTGTTTTAATACCTTTCCTTCTAAGTCTACAAGTAATGCCTTCCCTCCCCCAGGAGCTTTCATTTCTAAGACAGGCACCTCTGGTCCTTCGCAATTTCCAACTCCATAATCGTTAGTACTACTCTCAAACCTGTTGTTATTCCATCATCACTCATGTTGGGGCAGCCTTCTTGGACTGACCCACCCCTCCCCACCACCACTGGGTACGCTTGCGCTTCTCCACCATCTGTCACTTCTGATCATCTTCAGCTTAACTTTCCCTTAATTATATTGCTGATAATAGTTTTAGAAACACCTCTGCTGACCTCAGGAGTTTATTTCCAAATTATCAGTAAATTAGGATTTATCACATTCTTTATTTATGAATTATCCTCTTAGTATGAGTTTTGAATGATAGTATATGTTGTCTTTATTTAGCTCAATAACTTTTAGAAAATGTGTGTAGAAGATTTCATTTAGCAGTCACATTTATGCTATAGGATATAGGAATCCCTCTCTATAACTGTCGTTATATCATTATCACCATTCGGTTTCCTAAGGGCAGCTTTTAAGCAACATTCATCTTAATTTTTTTTTTGTTATTATTTAGTTTCCTTAGGTAAGCTTTTAAATATCACATGACATCTTATTTATATATTTAGAATTTTAACCTAGAAAATCTCTAGACTATGGTTAAGCATTTTTAATTTTAGAAAACATTTATTTCCCTACCTGATCTCAGCAAATTCTCAGAACTGTTGTTTCTTCTTTGACGTCTTTGTGCCAAAATGAGAGAAATTACACCAGGAAGAAATTTATACACATAAAATGAAGATTAGTGGAAAGTGCTGAGAGAGAAAATGAAAAAATATAATATGTCTGCAAGAGAAATGAACAGCAATAGGATAAATGTATTGATTGATACTATGACATTTTTCTTTTATTAAAATGTATTAAAATCTCAGTAATATAAGACACCTATAATTTTAAATATTTCTCCAAATATCTATATTGGAATATAAATTCCTTCACCTTCATTATTAATAGACGTCTGAGTCTGAAGAATGTATTCTTTACCTACCACAGTATTTTTTTAAACCCTCTCATTTTAAATGGTGATTGAATATATTATTTTACTTAGAAGATACCTCAAAGTACAATGATAGATTATATATAATAACACCAACATATTACATGAAGACTAAGATTAATGCTTACAACAATTCTCTAAAATAAGTATCAACATTAATATTATAAAGCTGATAAAGATTGAGAGACTCACCAAATAAACCGTACTAAAGATGATAAAGCTGAGGCTTTCAGCCTGTCTTATCTAACTTCTACCATAAAATTATGAGCTCCTTCAAAGAAAACATAATTTACTTAGTATTTTTGTCCAAAAGTAAGCAGAATGCCACAATAGAAGGTAATGAATAATGTACTGAATATCTTTTTACTTGTATATATCTTATTTTATAGAAGTAGCAGTATTTCAACAGTGTTACATCCTAAAGTAGATATCATGAATCATGAAAAATATGTTCAAATTTGATCAATTAAAAATTATTCAATTCATTTTATAATTCATTGGTGTTTACTCAATGAACATTGAATGTAAGAGAGCCCATGCTTTCAAAAAACTTATAATCTTTTGAGAAGCTCATAAACTAATAAATTCAGCAGAGTATAACACATGCAGTAATAGAGAAATATAAAAGATACAGAAGACATACAATAATGAGAGTTTAGGGAATGTCTTATAAAGGAGCTTAGCTTTAGCTTTACGTAAAGCTAAATTTGAAGTGTAAATATCAGTTCTTCAAATCTGGCTAAGAAAAGAAAAGAGTTTCAGAAAGAAAAAATGATATATGGAAAATCAGATTCCAAAAAAAAAAAAATGAAGTATGTTTAAATATCTACCTACAAAAGCCAGACAAAAGAGGGTATAATAAGACATTCTGCTGGTTTCTGAAAGCAGTAGGGAGCCTCTAAAATGACCCAAATTATCCTCCTTACTGGTATTACTACCTTTTTATCCCCTCTTCTTTATTGTGGTTAAAACTAGTAACTCTCTTCTTAAAAATAGAATATGGCAAAAATGACGAGATGTCACTTTCTGGGACGTGGATATGAAAAGATTGTAACTTCTATCTTGCCCTTCCCCTGTCTTAGAACCTTAACTCTCAGAAAAACAAGCCACCATTTTTTCCATAGACATAATGAGACCAAACTGGCAAGAAACTAATGTATCTGGTCAACAGCTAGTGAGAATATGAGGTCTGCCAAAAAAGCAAAAAAAAAAAATAAAATTTTAAGACAGCTCTAGGCTGGTGGACAACATGATAGCTTGTTATGAGACTGAGGCAGAGACAGTTAGCTTGGCCATGGCTGGATCCTTGCCATCATGAGATGGTACATGTTTGTTGCTTTAATCTGCTAAACTTTGGTATAAATGTACCAATAAATAACGATTACAATTGGATAAAACAGATGATAGAGAGTCCATACAAATCACACTGAGGATACTGAAATTTGACCCCAAAGTTATGGAATACATAACGATTTCAGTAATAGTGGCAATATTCGTAAATTAGTATAACTGAAATTTCTTTAATATTAATGAAAATGGATATTTGATATTAGAGGCAGAGGGCAGAAAAGCCTAATGGGAGAGGAATTCATCTCAGCAAAAAACAGTGAAGTTTGAAAGGCAGAAGTGGAACTCAGAAACACATAGAATGCAAAGCAGGAGACCTTTGTTGCAATCAATTCAGAGGAGGCAAATGAAGAACAGTCTACGATGATGTCAAGATTTTCAGTCTAAATGATTGGCTGGATAAAGAGGCCACCATTAATCCCAAGAAAGACCAAAAAGGAAGAATAAGTTTGAGTTAAGTGGGGAAGGAAGGGGGCAAAGGATGATTTCCATCTTCAGCTTGTCAGACATTTGAAGGGCTTACGGTACCCTGAAGTGGAAGTGTGAGTGAATGAAAGCTTCCGGGGAGGAAGAAGAGAAAGGCCAAAAAAAAAAAAAAAAAAAAAAAAAAAAAGGCCAGCATCCATGTTGAACACCAGCATCTACACTGTGGAAAGAAGATAAGGAGGAAGGAAAAGAGACAGAAGGGAGTATCAGAAAGCTGCAAAGAGAGCTGGGGGAGCCCAAGGTCATAGAAATCAAGGAGGAAGGATTGCTGCAGAAGACAAGAGGGAGGTGCCAAATTCAGCAAGAAAAATAGTTGCTTGAAGCCTGGCAGAGAGTTGTAGAGCTCTGGAAGCACCTGACTACCAGAGCTGTAGCATTTTCACTACTGCTGTAGGTATGCTTAAGACTGATATTCTGTCTTCCTTGTCCAGAGCCTGAGTTCTGAGCATTCATTAACTCTTATTTGCTTTTCTATACCAAGATAAGCACTACAAGAAGGCCATGTGTCATGGATATATAAACTATATTTTGAATTTAATTTTTTTCATGTTTTTTTTTAGCAATGAGAGGAAATAAAAACCTGTTACTAAATGGTTCACCGTCAAGGGTTGTCAATGAAGTCTGGCATTAGTTGCTATCTTGAAACAGGAGCGGGGTACTAGCCTCACTGAGAAAAATGGGGAATATAATTTTTTGACCTATCTAATAGTGAAAACACTTCAAAAAAAGAGAAAATCACATCAACTTGTGTTTTCTTAATTCCTCCATCAGACATCTTTCCTCCACTATTCTTTGGATTTATTCATCAAATAAAGTCTCTTCCTATTTATAAGTTAGAAATAACTAAATTAGACCCACACAGGTTTCTACTAGCCCCTCACCCAATACAAGCATTTCACTTGCAAAGCAAACATTTATTTTCTGAAGCAAGTTAATCTGACTCCCCAATTAATAATGTTGAGGTAAAGATAATAATGTTCTTTTTAGGCCTTCCAATTTTCTCAGTCTGTTTTCTCTCTCTAGGTATGCAAAATACGAAGGCAGAGAGAAAGTTTTAGAACACACCTATATGACCCAAGTAATGAGTTTCCATGTGTGCCCTGGAGGTTGGAAGAGGAGTCAAGACAGATGCTGGAGGCAGATGGGCCTTAAGGCACAGACTGCCCTTGGGGTATCATTTCACAGGTATTTGGTGCAGCAACTGGAAAGTCAGATCATTTTCCATTTACACATATCCCAGCGGGTAGAGACCATAAGTGCTCTGAATCCATGGTGGCTGCAGGTGCCAAGTCCTGTGGTCATGACCATAAGTTTATCCCTGCTCCTGCTGTTCATGGTGTTGCTATTTAATACCATGGAAAACATTCTGCTTTCCAGCATGATAGCAGCACGGGAGCAATGTGTGTTCTCTCTCAACTGAAGGGATGGTCTTTTACTTCTATAGTACCAGATGGATCCAAATTTAATTTCGGCTAAAACCCTGTGAATGAACAGTCCTAAAGTGAGAATTCAGAAGCTCATGCTCATTCCTCAACCATTGAAAAGGGAAGGATGCATTGAAAGGGATGAAAAAAGAAAAACGAATCTTTCAAGTCGTGATTCTCTTACATTATTTTGGTGAAAGATATTCAGATTTCTATTCTTCTTTATTTAATGAAACATATCCAACAGCAGGAGAGAGAATTACATATAGTCTGCAGGCACGAACAATCTCCTATAATACTGTTGTTTCCAGCAACGTTTACCCAGCTATGAAAAATATTTATCCAATAACCCCAGGACCTTGAAAAGAAATGAGCTGTCTGTGACCCTGACCTGAAGTTGTTTAATTACCTCTTCAAGAGAAGTTTTTGCTTTCATATTTTGTTTTCAGCATTTTCTGATAATGTTGGTAAAGTTTTCATTTTTTTCCTTAGTTTACTTAGTTTTTAACCCCTTAATTTTTAAAATTTACATTCATTTTGTATTTATGTTTTAATTTTGAGTTTATATAGACATTTTGTTTCTTAAAACTGAGTATTAGTAAATCAAGCAAACAAAACAAAACCAAACTTTGGGAATCACTTGTATTTACAGTCCTTTCCATATAGATGGGATTAGACAATTTAAACATCTTAAGTAATCTTTTAATTTTTATCTTTTTGGGAAAAAAGCAGGTGTATATATTTATGGGTTACATAAGATATTTTCATACAGGAACACAATGCATAATAATCACATCAGAGTAATGGAGTGTTCATCACCTCAAACATTTATCCTTTCTTTGGGTTACAGGAAAATCAATTATGCTCTTTTAGTTATTTTAAAGTGCACAATAAATTATTGTTGACTGTAGTTACTCTTCTGTGATATCAAATCCTAGGTCTTATTCATCCTATTGAATTAAATTTTTGTATTTTTTTGTCAAAGGGGCAAAATGAGTTCACTTAAAGGAATACTAAAATACTTATAAATAAATGTAAAATACATGATCTAAGATTTCTACTTCATCAGAGAACAATTCTGATTAGTTTTTTCCCAAAAATTATATTAGACTGTAGATTTGAGATTTTTAAAAACAAGCACCCTATGATCAGATCGTATTATTAGGACCTATAATAGAAAACAAGGTGATATGACACTAGTATAGGAGAAGGTGACAGATTTGGGGGTTTGAAAAGAATGGAGTGAGTTTCAATTGCCCTCTTTAGTATGGGTGGGAAGCTCAGCAGGTGACATAGGAGGCTGGCTGGGCAGCACGGGAGACCCTGCTAGAAAATGGAGCCCACCCTGTCTCATTACTGGCATCCATTTGTACTGCATGGGCTCTTTTTAAACAGCAATGATCAAGCTGGTACAATGTGAAGAGGGCATTTACCTGGATTCAAGGAGGATTTCATTTTATGTTGAAGAAAAGTTGAACATTTTTGGAATGGAAGGGTTAGAATATGGGCCAGAGCATGGTTAAATGAAGAGACCACTAGACATGAAAGGGAAGGGTTTCAGCTGAAAGAAGATTGAAGGCACTGGAGGCCTGGGGGAACTGAAAGAAATGTAGTGGGGTGAGATACATGAGGGAGTAAAATGTTAGAGTCTGAACAGGATTCCCAGCATGATCTGGAGGACATGGTGCTGTGGGCTTGTCAGGTAGGCAGGAAGGCTCAGACACAAATGAGGAGCAGCTCAATACGGGTGAGAAGCCAAGAGGCTGAGGCTCTGGCAGTGACCTGGTGTGGGAGGCAGCCCAGGTTTGGGATGGAGGAGTGGAGTGTGGCATGGGCGACACAGTCTCTAACTAAGGAGTGAAAATTATCATCAGTGAATGAGAGTGGCCAAGGGGTATGGCGATTCCACCCTAAGCCCCAGGACTGCAAATACGTCATCTTACATGGCAAAAAGGACTTTGTGTATGTGCTTTAAGTTACTAATCAGTTGATTTTAAGAAATATCCAGGTGTGCCTGAGTAATCACACGAGCCTTTAAAAGCATAAGGGGGAGTCCAAGAAACTCAAAGCACTAGGGTCTGGCTTTGATGGAGCAGGGGACAACAAGCCAAGGAGTGCGGGCAGCCTTGGGGCCTGAGGTTGTCCCCCCAGCTGACAGCCAGTAAGGAAATGGGAACCTCATAACCATATCAGCAAGCAACTGGGATTTTGTCAATGGCCTGAATAATGCTGCAGACAGGAGCCTCTAAATAAGAGCCCAGACTCTCTGAACTCCAATTTTGTCCTTACAGGATGCTAAGCACAGTGCCCAATTGAGCCCACCAGAATTCTGATACTTCTGACCTGTAGAATTATGAGATAATAGATGGATGTTGTTTTAAGCTGCCAAATGGTGGTATTATTTTCAGCAGCAACGGAAAACAAATTCGTACCCAGTTGTCACCACCATTATGTCTTTTCATAAAGTAATGGAAGGACAATAAAATAGACTCCAATGTGTGAACTGAACTGGAAAGGACTGTGACTCTTGGGAACATGAAACAGAATAATAAGATTTGAGAGATTTGGAAGGAATTTAACATGTTTGAAGAAAGAGAGGCTTCAGGTAAGGTGAAATACAGGAGAAACCTTGGAAAAGAGTATGGATGCAGAAAATGGAGACAAATGTCCTGGTTGAAGAGGTTCCATGGCTGAGCAGGCTGAGCAGGCAGTGTTACGGATTCAGGCTGTGTGATGAGAGGAGATATTTTCTCCACGTTGTGTGGGAAAGGCAGGGACAGGCAGCACATCTCTTGAATAGGAAACAATTTATGATCTCTGTATAGAGGTAAGTACACAAAAACAAGTAGTTTCTGGGTAGGTAAGGATGGGAAATTTTATGTATGAAGCAACTTGGGATAAGAAATTTCATTTGAAGAAGGCTAGCATTCAATTACAGAAAAAAAATGAAGTTGAGTGTTTCCGTATCCTCTGGCCATATCCTATCGTACTCTTAACCCTTTTTAAAAGTCAGAGTCTTTACATAGCTTCTCTCTTATTTATAGTTGATCCTCTTAAAATTTCTATTTTACTGATTTGCACAATTAATGGAGGAGCTGGGATGCTGAATCCAGAGCTCACGTACATGAGCATTAAATTATATTGCTCAATAAAGGTACTACTTATGGCTGTGATGGATAGAAAGGGAAAGATCTATCCTAGACCTTAAAGCATTATTAAGATATAAAGAGTCAAAAGAGAAATATCACTTACAAAATAATGTTTTAAAATCTCTATCTGCACATTTAGTCTGTGAGATCCGATGTGCATTTTAGGTGCATGTAATTGTAACCATACTTTAAAATAATTTTTTCAAATTTCTCTTACAGATTTTGGCTCCTATAAATGATACTTCTGGGAAATTAAGATATAGATGATACACATCACAACTCCTTCAACCACAAGTAAATCAAGCACATTGGTAATCCTTTACAAAACTTAAGAAAATTTAATTACGTTATTTCTTCAATTTGAATTTTCAGGTGTATGGCAAATATCTCACCAAAGAAAATTATTAGTGAAACCTCAAATTGAGCAGTTATTACTCTTTCACAAAATTATATCTTATAGAATCCTTGAGCGCATCAAGTGAACTGCAATGTCATGAGTAATAAATTAAAAAGAACGTACCCATTCATGTGTTGAGTTTTCACTCAGAGACCTGGGATGATCATTGATATTTTCTTCCCAGAAAAATATACAAAGAAACTGACTCGGTGTTTTAATATTCTCTGTATTTGTTATTCATGTTTTTCTGGACAAATTACCTTTTACTACATTTTATAAGTAAGATAAAAAGAAAATATCATTCTACTGCCTTGGAATTTTAAGTAGTTTATTACCTAACAGTTATTTTTATTTGAGGAGAAGAGAAATGATCATCAATCATAGAAATATATTTACTTAAGCAAGAAACATAAAGTTGTCTCAGTCTTCTCATTTACTCTGGGAAATGAGTAATATAGCTAATTGAGAAAACATATTTATATATAACTTTCCACATGACCGATTATTTACAGATATGTCACTGCTACTAAAGGATTAACTTGTTTCTTACATAAATCTTAAAAACTAGACTGCTCATAAATGCAGCTATTACACTAAAGAATTCAGATTCCAATCTCAATAATAGTAAATACCACTTTCTGTATAATGTAAAGAATCTGGACTTTTTTTTTTTAACAATAATATTATATTATTTTATTTTTTTCCAATTCTTTTTTTTTAATTTTATTATTATTATACTTTAAGTTTTAGGGTACATGTGCACAATGTGCAGGTTAGTTACATATGTATACATGTGCCATGCTGCTGTGCTGCACCCATTAACTCGTCATTTAGCATTAGGTATATCTCCTAAAGCTATCCCTCCCCCCTCCCCCCACCCCACAACAGTCCCCAGAGTGTGATGTTCCCCTTCCTGTGTCCATGTGTTCTCATTGTTCAATTCCCATCTATGAGTGAGAATATGCGGTGTTTGGTTTTTTGTTCTTGCGGTAGTTTACTGAGAATGATGATTTCCAATTTCATCCATGTCCCTACAAAGGACATGAACTCATCCTTTTTTATGGCTGCATAATATTCCATGGTGTATATGTGCCACATTTTCTTAATCCAGTCTATCATTGTTGGACATTTGGGTTGGTTCCAAGTCTTTGCTATTGTGAATAGTGCCGCAATAAACATACATGTGCATGTGTCTTTATAGCAGCATGATTTATAGTCCTTTGGGTATATACCCAGTAATGGGATGGCTGGGTCAAACAGTATTTCTAGTTCTAGAACCCTGAGGAATCGCCACACTAACTTCCACAGTGGTTGAACTAGTTTACACTCCCACCAACAGTGTAAAACTGTCCCTATTTCTCCACATCCTCTCCAGCACCTGTTGTTTCCTGACTTTTTAATGATTGCCATTCTAACTGGTGTGAGATGGTATCTCATTGTGGTTTTGATTTGCATTTCTCTGATGGCCAGTGATGGTGAGCATTTTTTCATGTGTTTTTTGGCTGCATAAAGGTCTTCTTTTGAGAAGTGTCTGTTCATATCCTTCACCCACTTTTTGATGGGGTTGTTTGTATTTTTCTTGTAAAATTTTTTGAGTTCATTGTAGATTCTGGATATTAGCCCTTTGTCAAATGAGTAGGTTGCAAAAATTTTCTCCCATTTTGTAGGTTGCCTGTTCACTCTGATGGTAGTTTCTTTTGCTGTGCAGAAGCTCTTTAGTTTAATTAGATCCCATTTGTCAATTTTGGCTTTTGTTGCCATTGCTTTTGGTGTTTTAGACATGAAGTCCTTGCCCATGCCTATGCCCTGAATGGTAATGCCTAGGTTTTCTTCTAGGGTTTTTGTGGTTTTAGGTCTATCGTTTAAGTCTTTGATCCATCTTGAATTCATTTTTGTATAAGGTGTAAGGAAGGGATCCAGTTTCAGCTTTGTACATATGGCTAGCCAGTTTTCCCAGCACCATTTATTAAATAGGGAATCCTTTCCCCATTGCTTGTTTTTCTCAGGTTTGTCAAAGATCAGAGAGTTATAGATATGTGGCATTATTTCTGAGGGTTCTGTTCTGTTCCATTGATCTATATCTCTGTTTTGGTACCAGTACCATGCTGTTTTGGTTACCGTAGCCTTGTAGTATAGTTTGAAGTCAGGTAGCGTGATGCCTCCAGCTTTGTTCTTTTGGCTTAGGATTGACTTGGCGATGCGGGCTCCTTTTTGGTTCCATATGAATTTTAAAGTAGTTTTTTCCAATTCTGTGAAGAAAGTCATTGGTAGCTTGATGGGGATGGCATTGAATCTATAAATTACCTTGGGCAGTATGGCCATTTTCATGATATTGATTCTTCCTACCCATGAGCATGGAATGTTCTTCCATTTGTTTGTATCCTCTTTTATTTCCTTGAGCAGTGGTTTGTAGTTCTCCTTGAAGAGGTCCTTCACATCCCTTGTAAGTTGGATTCCTAGGTATTTTATTCTCTTTGAAGCAATTGTGAATGGGAGTTCACTCATGATTTGGCTCTCTGTTTGTCTGTTATTGTTGTATAAGAATGCTTGTGATTTTTGTACATTGATTTTGTATCCTGAGACTTTGCTGAAGTTGCTTATCAGCTTAAGGAGATTTTGGGCTGAGACGATGGGGTTTTCTAGATATACAATCATGTCATCTGCAAACAGGGACAATTTGACTTCCTCTTTTCCTAATTGAATACCCTTTATTTCCTTCTCCTGCCTAATTGCCCTGGCCAGAACTTCCAACACTATGTTGAATAGGAGTAGTGAGAGAGGGCATCCGTGTCTTGTGCCAGTTTTCAAAGGGAATGCTTCCAGTTTTTGCCCATTCAGTATGATATTGGCTGTGGGTTTGTCATAGATAGCTCTTACGATTTTGAGATATGTCCCATCAATATACATAATGGTAAAGGGATCAATTCAACAAGAAGAGCTAACTATCGTAAATATACATGCACCCGATACAGGAGCACCCAGATTCATAAAGCAAGTCCTGAGTGACCTACAAAGAGACTTAGACTCCCACACAATAATCATGGGAGACTTTAACACCCCACTGTCAACATTAGACAGATCAACGAGACAGAAAGTTAACAAGGATACCCAGGAATTGAACTCAGCTCTGCACCAAGCAGACCTAATAGACATCTACAGAACTCTCCACCCCAAATCAACAGAATATACATTTTTTTCAGCACCACATCACACGTATTCCAAAATTGACCACATAGTTGGAAGTAAAGTTCTCCTCAGCAAATGTAAAAGATCAGAAGTTATAACAAACTGTCTCTCAGACCACAGTGCAATCAAACTAGAACTCAGGATTAAGAAACTCACTCAAAACCGCTCAACTACATGGAAACTGAACAACCTGCTCCTGAATGACTACTGGGTACATAATGAAATGAAAGCAGAAATAAAGATGTTCTTTGAAACCAACGAGAACAAAGACACAACGTACCAGAATCTCTGGGACACATTCAAAGCAGTGTGTAGAGGGAAATTTATAGCACTAAATGCCCACAAGAGAAAGCAGGAAAGATCCAAAATTGACACCCTAACATCACAATTAAAAGAACTAGAAAAACAAGAGCAAACACATTCAAAAGCTAGCAGAAGGCAGGAAATAACTAAAATCAGAGCAGAACTGAAGGAAATAGAGGGAGACACAAAAAACCCTTCAAAAAATTATTGAATCCAGGAGCTGTTTTTTTGAAAGGATCAACAAAATTGATAGACTGCTAGCAAGATTAATAAAGAAGAAAAGAGAGAAGAATTAAATAGATGCAATAAAAAATGATAAAGGGGATATCACCACCGATCCCACAGAAATACAAACTACCATCAGAGAATACTACAAACACCTCTACGCAAATAAACTAGAAAACCTAGAAGAAATGGATAAATTCCTGGACACATACACCCTCCCAAGACTAAACCAGGAAGAAGTTGAATCTCTGAATAGACCAATAACAGGCTCTGAAATTGTGGCAATAATCAATAGCTTACCAACCAAAAAGAGTCCAGGACCAGATGGATTCACAGCCGAATTCTACCAGAGGTACAAGGAGGAACTGGTACCATTCCTTCTGAAACTATTCCAATCAATAGAAAAACAGGGAATCCTCCCTAACTCATTTTATGAGGCCAGCATCATCCTGATACCAAAGCCGGCCAGAGACACAACCAAAAAAGAGAATTTTAGACCAATATCCTTGATGGACACTGATGCAAAAATCCTCAATAAAATACTGGCAAACCAAATCCAGCAGCACATCAAAAAGCTTATCCACCGTGATCAAGTGGGCTTCATCCCTGGGATGCAAGGCTGGTTCAATATATGCAAATCAATAAATGTAATCCAGCGTATAAACAGAACCAAAGACAAAAACCACATGATTATCTCAATAGATGCAGAAAAGGCCTTTGACAAAATTCAACAACCCTTCATGCTAAAAACTCTCAATAAATTAGGTATTGATGGAAATATTTTTAATACCAACTGGATATTTCTAAATAAATATTTTAGAAATATTATAATCAAATCGCAATCTCAAGACTGAATATTAATAGCAAACAGAAGCAACTTAAAAATATACATAGATATTACACATGTAAAGAAAAAGTACATACATGTCCACAGTCAAAAGAAATAGATAATAATACACAACACTCCAGTTAGTTTTCGACAAAAAATGTTTTCCACCTTCCACCCCACCCATTACTCTTTGAGTAGGTTCTGAATGATGATAGCAAAATGAGTAATGCTAGCTGACATCATTATGAATGGCAGCCTAAAAAAAATGCACGAAGGACATGCTCGTTACAGGCCCTACATCACAGATTCTATTGCAGCTTTGAAGCTAAAAACTAAATCTGTTTCCTGATGTGTTAATGGAACTAATAACTCCCATTTCTGCCTCGAATTCCTTTTCATTTCCCTAACTCTGAAAGCAAGGGAGACTTAAGGTTTGCAAAGTAAATACCAAGTAGCAACCTCAGTTGCTGTTTCTTGAACATACAAACTGAACAGTAGAAACTATTATTAAACCTGAATTTTGATCATTGTTTGTGCAGATGAAATATATTTCAAAACCAAAATAAGTATTAAGCATAATTAATAAGAGCCTCTTCCCAATGTACATCTGAATGAGAGTGCAAAATAATTATTCAAACTTTCTACCTTGCAAACACTTTACAATAAGAAGATGTATTCAGTTGCTTCCAAGTTGTAACTCTGAACTATTAGGATTAAGCATTTATAGATACTTCTTGGGCTATGCCTTTTGTAATTACTGTCAAAATGTGTTTTATCTAGTACAATACAGCGAGTTTTTCTGAAACATTTTGCTAAGTAGATAGTCTATAATATACAAGTTATGAAAATCAGAAAAGTGAGGATTTTGTGCAACATTTTTATTATAAAAATTTATGTCCATTTCATGTACCTAATTCACAACAGAGTGTGTTGGGAGTTTACTATGAGTCAAGTAACACTAATTACTCTTCTACAATGTAGCTTTATTTGTAAATTTTATTTACATTACACATAAAACCAAGTAAAACCTATGGCATTTTAACGTTTTTTTTTTTAACTAAAAGGTCAAATCCTAGAGAAAATTAATCAATAATTGTAAAACCTAAGTTTCACATTATTCTGTGCTTAGGTAAAGCCATATACAAATATAACAGTCTAAAAATGTGTAAATAGATCCTCACATATTATGAAGAAAGATATTTATCTCAGTATATCCATCTGAATGTTCTCAGGATGAAAAAGCCACTACAAATATTAAAAGATTAGGAGGCAGTATATACAAATTACTGTTTGCACAAGAGTGTGAAGAGCAAAGAAGAATATTCAATAACCACTGCAGCTCAAAGCCTTGGTGCCAGAGCAAAGGCCAGAGAGTGCAGGCAAGTGTGAGAGGCAGGATGCACAGGGCTTCAAAGTGAGAGCCCGTGGAGGGTTCCTGAATCTGCCTGGACGGTGGCCCGGGAGCTCCTGCGGAGGTCTGCACAGCATCTGGGTGCGTGGCAGCCTCTAAATGTGTAGAAACAGCCTGCTCCCTAGGCGCCCCACATCTGAGCCTCACTGTGTACGACAGTCATCAACTTCTGAGAATAAATGCTTCCACTGCCTTCCCACCATCTCAATCTTGTGTCAGTTTCTCTAATTCACAGATTTTTAACCAGGAGCTTCAGAGAAAATAGGAGTTAGAAAATAATTCCCATCCTTGAAAGGGACTGGGGTGGGGATGCCTAGGAGAGTTATTAAACTGGTCTAGCATCCTTCTAGGGGTAGAATTTTGTCTCCCTCTAAATTCATACGTTGAAGCCCTGTCCCTCACTATGGCTATGTTTGCAGTCAGGGCTTTTAGGAGATGATTAAGGATAATGAAATAAGAGTGAGGCCCTGATCTGATAGGGTTCATCTCTCTGTCCCCACACATAGATACCCCAGAAAGACCATGTAAGCACACAGCCATCCGCAAGCCTTCACCAGAAAACAACCAAACTACCACCCTGATCTCAGACTTTCAGCCTCCAGAACCATGAGAAAATAAATTCACAGTGTTTGCACCATCCAGCCAATGGTATTTTCTTACAGCAGCCTGAACTGACTAATACACACACACACACACGCAGGCACTACCTTTACTGTAAATGGTTCACAGTCTAAAGTTTGGCATTGTATTTCTGATTTCTTTTCTGTGATAGGCAACGTGACTAAATATCTAGAACAAAATATAAGTAAATCTAGTAGAATAATGATATTTAGATATTTTTACCAAATGAAAGTGTCTAGACAGAAAATATTTCAGAGTTTAGAATTCCCTAAAAACAGTACATTTATAAAAGAAGAAAGTCCAGAGGCTAATAGTCATTGCTTCCACCAGATACATTATCTATAATATAAGCAGATTTTAAGTAGGGGTTATAAGAAAATCAGTTACAAACATATAAATGTGTGCCCTAAATATATGTCTACTTTTAAGAAAGCTATTCCCAAAATTGCAGATTTGACTTTTTCTGTGTTTTTCTTTAACGTAATTGAAAACTCCCATTTTGAATCTGGTCTGGCCTTGTAACTTGCCTTGTTCAATGCAATGTGGTGCTGGAAGTGATGATGGGGAACTTCCTAGCTCTAGTCTTAGGAGGACTAGAACATTTCTTTGTATTTATTTATTCATTTACTTTTATTTTTTATTTTTTTGAAATAGAGCCCTCACTTTGTCGCCCAGGCTGGAGTGCAGTGGCACGATCTCGGCTCACTATAACCTCCGCCTCCCAGGTTCAAGTGATTCTCCTGCTTCAGCCTCCCAAGTAACTGTGATTACAGGTGCTCGCCACCATGCCTTGCTAATTTTTGTATTTTTAGTAGAGAAGGGGTTTCACCATGTCGACCAGCCTGGTCCGGAACTCTCTGCTTAGGTGATCTGCCCACCTCAGCTATTTATTTATTTATTTACTTTTGATTTTTGTGGGTACATAGTATCTGTATATCTTTATGGGCTACGAGGGATATTTTGATATAGACATGCAATGTGTAATAATCACATCATGGAAAATACAGTATTCACCACCTTTGTGATGAGGAAAGCATTTTTCCTTTGTCTTACAAACAATCCAGTTACATTCTTTAAGCTATTTTAAAATATACAATTAAGTTATTTTTGACTATAGTCACCTTGTTGTGTAAGCAAACACTAGGTCTCATTCATTCTTTCTAACTATTTTCTTGTATCCATTAACCACCCTCATTCCCCCACCACTGTCCCTCTCTAATTATCCTACCCAGCCTCTGGTAAGCATCATCCTACTCTCTATCTCTATGAGGTCATTTTAATTTTTAGCTTTCACTAATATGTGAGAACATGCAAAGTTTGTCTTTCTGTGCCAAGTTTATTTCATTTAACATAATGACCTCCAGTTTCATCCATGTTGTTGCAAGTAACATAATCTTTCTTCATGGCTGAATACTACTCCATTGTGTATATGTACCACATTTTCTTTATCCATTCATCTGTTGATGGATACTTAGGTTGCTTCCAAATCTTGCTACTGGGAATAGTCCTGCAATAAATATGGGAGTGCAGGTATCTCTTCGATGTACTTATTTCCTGTTTGTGGGGGTATATAACCAGCAGTAGATTTGCTGGATCATATGGCAGCTCTATTTTCAGTTGTTTGAGAAACATCCAAACTGTTCTCCATAGGAGTTGTACTAATTTACATTCCCAACAACAGTGTACAAGAGTTCCCTTTTCTTCACATCCTCACCAGCATTTGTTATTGATTGACTTTGGATAAAAGCCATTTTAACTGGGATGAGATGATATCTCATTGTAGTTTTGATTTGCAGTTCTCTGATGACCAATGACGTTGAGCACCTTTTCATATGCCTGTTTGCCATTTGTATGTCTTCTTTTGAGAAATGTCTATTCAGGTATTTTGCCTATTTTTAAACATATTATTAGATTTTTTCCCTATAGAGTTGTTAGAGCTCCTTATATATTCTGGTTTATTAATCCCTTGTCAGATGGGGAGTTTGCCAGTATTATCTCCCATTCTATGTGTTGTCTCTTCACTTTGTTCACTGTTTTCCTTGCTGTGCAGAAGCTTTTTAAATTGATGTGATTTTATTTGTCAATTTTCGCTTTGGTTGCCTGTGCTTGTGGGGTATTACTCAAGAAATCTTTGCCTGGGTTAGACACTTTTATATCCTCCTTCGTAGAAGTCAACCACCACCATGTGTAAGTCAGTCCAGTCTAGACAACTGAATGCTTGAAGGACTGGAGAGGACACTGTGGACAATGAGAGGCCTACTTGGTGGCTCTGGCCCTCTCTGAGCTTATGGCTCAATGATGCTGACTGGGTGGCTCCAGCAGCAACAGACAGAGTTTGGAAAAGCAGCACAACTGAACCCTGCCTGAATCCTGACTGATAGAATCATTTAAAAGGTGAAAAAAATGTTGTATGAATACACTAAGTTCTGGGGCAACCTACGATACAGCAATAGAGAAGGGACACAAAATTTTGTATCTGGAATGGGAGTGCTACTGAAAAATTTGAAAGATATCATTGATTTTGGACCAGGTTGAGCATTCCAGGTGAAACACTGAAAGTGTCAGTCAGCTTCTTTTTATTTATTTATTTATTATTTTTTTTTTAATTATACTTTAAGTTCTGGGGTACCTGTGCAGAACGTGCATGTTTGTTACATAGGTATACACGTGCCATGGTGGTTCGCTGCACCCATCAACTTGTCACCTACATCAGTTATTTCTCCTGATGTTATCCCTCCCCTACCCCTCCACCCCGTGACAGGCCCTGGTGTGTGATGTTCCTCTTCCTAAGTCTGTGTGTTCTCATGGTTCATCTCCCACTTATGAGTGAGAACATGCGGTGTTTGGTTTTCTGTCCTCGTGATGGTTTGCTGAGAATGATGGTTTCCAGCTTCAACCATGTCCCTGCAAGGGACATGAACTCATCCTTTTTTATGGCTGCATAGTATTCCATGGTGTATATGTGTCACATTTTCTTTATCCAGTCTATTATTGATGGACATTTAGGTTGGTTCCAAGTCTTTGCTATTGTGAATAGTGCCTCAATAAACATACATTCGCATGTGTCTTTATAGTAACATGATTTATCTGTAAATAGCTTAGGATGAAGTGTGGAAAGAGAGAAAAGCTAAAGAAAAAGTTTTTTAGTTTTCAAGCAGAATTTAGAAGAAGCAGTTCCAAACCAGACTTATTCTATTGAAAAATAAAATTGCTTCTCACTTTGAACCTCTCTGGATAGCAAAAACTTCTCAAAGTTAAAAACTAAAAATAAAAATGAATTTTAAAAATGATAGCTTCAAAGTAAAGATGAAATCTAGGGTCCAGGGGACTCCACGTAAAATACAGCTTCAGTGGAAACATTAAATAGGTTTGTGTCTGCACAGTATTTTTTGAAATTTCAGAAAGATTTAAAGTGTTACATTGTAGATGTTATCAACAAACTAAAAAGCCATCTAAAAATCTTAAAGGTTTTGTCCTTTAGCATTCTGACTGGCAGCCCAAATGTAAAGAGAAATTCAGCACATATAGTTTTATGGGAGGGGCTTTTAATATAGGAAATGCATGATTATTTTACGCATGAGAAGCCCACAGAGTTTTTAAAGGAGGTATATCTGCTTATATTTAAAGGAGCAATGATGGTTTAAAAATAATGATTTTAAAAAAAGCGGCCGGGTGGGGTGGCTCACGCCTGTAATCCTAGCACTTTGGGGGGCTGAGGCGGGTGGATCATGAGGTCAGGAGATCGAGACCTACCTGGCCAACTTGGTGAAACCCCATCTCTACTGAAATACAAAATTTAGCCTGGCATGGTGGCACACATCTGTAGTCCCGGCTACTCGGGAGGCTGAGGCAGGAGAATCGCTTGAACCCGGGGGGCAGAGGTGTCAGTGAGCACTACAGCCTGCCAACAGAGCAAGACTCCATCACAAAAAATAAAAATAAAATAAAATAAAAACATCCAACTTTCTACATCCAAAAACAAGCTGAGAAAGCAATTCAGTTGCATACATAGGACATTCATGTATGGAAAAGAATGGATCAAGTAGAGCCAAAGTCCAGAAGACAGAGCCAAGAGTTGCCGAGATGTACTCCGAAGAAGAACTATGCCCCAGTTGAAGAATGTTCCCTGCCGCTAGAATAGGAAGCCCTGAAAACCTATGCCCAGTTGGATTTCGGGATTGCGTTAGACCAATGGCTTCTCTGCATTTTTCTGTTCCTTGCCTTTTGATTGGGGAGATCTATTGCAGTCATTCTATTCCTGTTAGGTGCATGGGTGGGGAGGCGAGGCAGAAAAAAATATATTTTGAGTTTACAGGTGACCACACTGAGAGGAGCTATACTTGAAAAGCTTCTTTATCTAAACCTTAATTTAAAAATCAGTAAACTAACAGGATGTTCAGAGAGTGTGCGAATGTGTTTTTCTTGTGAGGGATGTTGATGTTTATGACAGGCCTCATATTATCTTATAGCCATATGCTTGTTCTCTTCCTCACTTCAAGAAGTGGAGTCTATTTTCCCTTTCCTTGAATCTAGTTTTATGTTGTGACTTGCTTTGATCAATACAATATGGCAAAAGTTATGTTCTGGAATTTCAAAGCCCAGGACATAAAATCAGGCAGCTCTGCTTCCTCCATCTTAAACCCCAGTCACTATGCAGTAAGACAATCAGACTAGAGAACTGGCTGAGAAGGCAAGTGAAGATAAACACTTGAAGGCTGAGAGTCCATCTTACTTCTTACAGCTCCAGAGAAGCTCACTGCTCAAATTCCTGGTTAAGAGAATTACAAGAAATTATACCTTTGATATTTTAAAGCCAAAAAGTCTTGAAACAACTTGTTACAAAGCTATAGATAACTGAAATGCTGTCTTGTATCTTGTTTGAAATATTTGATAACATTATTGTTTTGTGTGTTTTACTTAAAAATATTTTGTTAAATTTTCTAAGTTTTTTCTAAACATATTTTGTATATATTTAAGATATTTTTATCTATTGATACATTGAAGTAAAAGACTTTCAGATACTAGAAATAATCAGCCTACTCCTCAGATAGATTCTATATCTTCAATGCTACTATACTGTTAAATTCTAGTTTCTATATGGCATTTTATGCATATAAGTTTAGAAACTAGCATTTATGCATATATGAAACTAGCATGTATGCATATATATTTATAAGTGAGATTATTCTGTTAAAGGTTTCGTCAAGTTTTGATATCATGATTATATTAGTTTTAGAAATTGTGTAATTTCTCTCTTTTCCTAATCGCTAAATAATTGCATATTTTATACATTTGTTTGATTTTTGAAAATTTCAGAGGGTTTATCACTGTGCTATTTTAACCCTACTTTTTAGACGTATTTAATATTTTATGTCAATTGATAGACTTAATAGACTTCTATTTGTAGAATTGATTTTGATGACATATTTCTTTTAGCTTTTAGATAATTATTCATTATATATTATATTAATATTCATATGTCTCTCATTAGATGGTAAATATATATTAACTAAAAATAGATTCTGGTAATAGCGCCATCATATAAAACTTGGGGTATCACACTTAATTCAAGTTAAACTAACTGATAGAAAATATACAGTTTATTAGAGACCAGATTTTTGTGATTTTGTAAAAGAAGAAATTTTAAGTTCAGGACAAGCAGGTTTGACACAGAGTAGATTTTCTATCCACCAGGAATTTGAAATTAGTGGAAAAATTCTGTATTCAGAGTGGAAATCCGGCCCCTGTCCTTAAGGTAATTGGTGTCTTGGAAATTATTCCCAGGAGTGCCGAGATCAAAGCCTGGGCTCTGCCGAATCCTCATTCCAGGGATGCCATTTCCAGAACAGTTGTCCTTTTCTCTGAAGCTTACACTTCTGAACATTGTAATAGGCAATAATTTGAGTTCATTAATTTGTTAATGTGTATTGATGAATTTTTCATGTCATTGTTTAAGATAAGCTTATTTCTATAAGAGTATTTCAGCTTTTATGGAATGCATTCAAAATCTGTACTGTCACAGTTAAACAACAGGAGATCAAAGTTACGATAAGCAGCTATGACCTCTTCTAATGATCAGTACCAGCAATTCTAAATTCACCAACAGATTTTATAGCATATAAGGCATTTAACTTGTTATGACAAAATAACTTTAGTCTCATTTTAGTATAAATATAGATATTAGCAGAATACAATTTTGAAATAAATAAAAGACCTAGCCCCTGCTAATGCCTGTGTGTGTACATCCGCATTCTGTGTCTTTTCTCAGGAGATTCAGAATCGCAAATTCACACAATAGAGAAAAGATGCCCATGGACTCTAGTTTTAGAACACCGGCTACAAGAAAACACAAAGCAAAATAAGCAACTGAATAATAGTCAACCGAGATGTCTTCTAGTGCCTCATGTACTCACAGTAACTAATGCAGGTGAAAACACACCTTATCTGTACTTAAGTCCACTATATTGTAGTCACTTAATTAACTTATTTATAGACTACAGAGCCATGAAAAGACATTGAAGAATCTTATAGATATATTGGTACATCAAATAAGACAGTCTGAAAAGGCTATCTGCTGTATAATTCCAATTATGTGACATCCTGGAAAAGGCAAAATTATAGACAGAGTAAAAAAAAAAATCAGTGGTTTTGGAAGCAATAGGAAAGGTAAATAGATAAAGCACAAGGGATTTTTAGGGTATTAAAATACATTCTGCATAAATCTGTGACGGTGGATGCATGACATTATATATTTGTAAAAACATAGAGGTCTTAATGACGAAAAGAGTCCAGGCGCGGGGGCTCAATCCCAGCACTTTGGGATGCCGAGGCGGGTGGATCACAAGGTCAAGAGATCGAGACCATCCTGGCCAACATGGTGAAACTCTGTCTCTACTAAAAATACAAAAATTAGCCGGTCATGGTGGCGGGCGCCTTTAGTCTCAGCTACTCAGGAGGCTGAGGCAGGAGAATCCCTTGAACCCGGGAGGAGGAGGTTTGCAGTGAGCCGAGATTGCACCACTGCACTCCAGCCTGGGCAACTGAGCAAGACTCTGTCTCAAACAACAACAACAACAGCAACAGCAACAACAACAACAGAGATTCTAACCTTAGTACACATGTATGAGACAGACTCACTGAAGCAGGGGAGGGAAAAGGTACACATCTAAGTAACTTTGGAAGTGAGTGGGATCTTTAATGACTAAAGCAAAATGACTTGCGTATAAGCACTGTCCTCCAGATCCTACAATTGTTTCCTAGGGGTTACACAGATGAACAATTCTGACATTGCTATAACAGTTCTCACACATGTAAATTAGTGTCACACATTTAAGTAAATAGATGGCAGCCCATGGTAGCCAGATTTGTCATTGTTGGGATAGGAGTTTACAGATAAGCAAAGTGAGCAGGTTAGAATGATCCATGTGGTAATGCATGAGAGTTGGAGATACCAGTATAAATTCACGTTTCACTCAGATGTCCTTCATACAGACACAGATGGTTGCATATGGAAATATTTATAGAAATACATGGGTTAGTGTGTGCACATAGATTTCATTTCTATGTCAGATGGTATGACACCGAAGAAACAATAGTCTAGTAGCAAGAAGCACACCCAGTTTCCACATCTTGGTTTCTAATACCATTCTCTAATAAAAGGAAACGGCTCCTTGATGAAATGGCTGATTCTAGCATTGAAAAGGAAATATACAAGATGAGCATCTGATATCTTGTATTCAGAAAGTAAGGAAGTGCTAAACACACACACAAACACACATTGGTAGGGGTGTGTCAAGGAGACACAGGAGTCAACTGAAAGAGCTACCAAAATCCAAACAGAGGTGACTTGAGCAACCAAATAAAGTAAATTCAATGATAACCCAAAGTGTAAAATAAAATCCATCAGTACTTATCAATATAAATAAATGACTGAATAAATTAACAAATGGTGGAGAATGCCTGGGCCAAGAATCCAAAACACTTATATAGATACTCCACCGTGAAAGAAGAAGAGCCTCATCCTCTATGCCTTAAGTGTGGGCTGCACATGGTGACTTCCTTCCAAAGATTACAGTGTAGAAAGAGCAGGGAAAGGAACTGTACAGCAGAGAAGCCTAGCAAACCTCAGTCGATTGATTAGGTCAATCTTAACAGGTTGTTAGCCATCTTAACAGAATGTAACCTCGATATGTTGTGATAATGAAAATAGCATTTTACCTCTGTGGTGTTCTTTCCAATGAACAGGACTAGCAATCTACTCACGAGACAAACATCAGATCAATTCCAATAGAGAGGCATCCTGCTATAACAGGGCCAATATTCCTCAAAACTGCCAAGGTCATCAAAAACAAAGGAAGTCTGTCACAGTCAGGAAGAAACTGCAGAGACATGATAGTTAAGTGTAAAGTTGTATTTGGGATGGGATCCTGGAATAGAAATACGACATTATATAAAAACTAAAGAAATCTGAGAAACTAAAGGCTTTAGTTAATAATTATGTTTCAATATTGGTTCATTAATTTTAAGAAAGGTACCTTACTAGTGTAAAATGTCAATAATAAGGAAAACTCTGTGGGGGTACATGAGGATTCTCTGTATTACGGTCTCAAATTTTCCAGTCAAAAACTGTTGTAAAACATAAAATGCATTATACAAACACAAATATGAGTTAAAGAAGATCTCTGTTCTCAAGAAGCTTACTGTCTAGAAAGAAGACAAATACCCAAGAAATTACAGTCCTGTGTGGTAAGTTTTATGATAAAGGGAAACAAGGGACATGAGCATCTGGTGGTGGTGTACATAACAAAGGCCATCAGTTCTAGGGAATCCTGTAGGAGAGAATAATTATGAACTGATATTACAGGAATCAAGGAGTGAAGAGGGCATGAGAAAATGCAAGAAGCAATAAAGTCCAGCCCTGAGTAGTTAACTCCTTTTATTACCAGGATCGAGAACAAATTCCCTAGACTTTTATGGTTATTCTAAATTTCATTGCAAATGTTCTTTTCTGCATTATCTCCTACTACTCAACTCTGTATCATTAAAAACTCTCTGTTTCTATCTAGCTTGGATGTATCAATTGCTTAAACATGTTCTGCCCTCTCTGGCC
This sequence comes from Homo sapiens, assembly GCF_000001405.40. NCBI lineage: Eukaryota > Metazoa > Chordata > Mammalia > Primates > Hominidae > Homo > Homo sapiens. The sequence continues at coordinate 73,457,610 of NC_000018.10, forward strand.
TTCTCTGAATAGTTACTTTCAGGATGCTGAGCGCATTTTTGCCCCTTTAAAAGGCTATGCAGTGTTTAATACTGGCCCTGTTTCACTTCTCCTTGAAAAGTCCCAAACTCTTCCACTTCATAAGTTCCCTTCCTACTGCAAACTCAGTTTGTTGCGTATCCTTCATTTTTAACATCAAGTATATATCACATCTTTTTAGAATCCTCTGAATCCAATTTTAATAATTTTATTTTTTTAAAAAATATTTTATGGTAACTTTGGAATTATGTACATTCTTATGTACTTACACATTTTCACCAGTTATATTTCTCAATCCTCCAAATAATGAACTTATTTTGAAATCATTGTTTAAGAATCATAGAATCCTTGAGTATCATTTTTCCCTCCACCATTATTTAAAGAGGGAAAGAATAAGAACTCATATTTATTGATTTCAATGTATCAGGAACTGTGCAAGGCATGTGAAACATGTTAACTTTTCAACCCCCCAAACTCCTACGTGGTAGGTATCATTATTTTCATTTTCTGTGAAATGAAACTATCAAAGGTCCCCATCTATGTAAAATCTACCCAAGGAAATATGTCAGAATCCTGAGCGTGGAATCCAACAAGCAACAAAGTTCAGGCTGTTTCTATTCTCACATACATCCTCCTTTGTGCAAGCAAAGGGATTGAGACTCATAAAGCTGCAATTACTACTGATTGTCATTTTTGTATGACAGCCACAGGCCTTGCCAGATATATGACCTTAAGCAATTTTTCAACATCCTAATTCCTGTTTCCTCCTTTTTAAAATGGGGCTAAAAATAGCACACATCTAATGAGATTGTTGTGAGGAATGAATGAGATGACGTGGGTGAAGTGCTTAGAGCATCCTCTGACCAGGAAAGCCCTGTTGCTACCATTGTTAACATCATCATACTTTATTGTCATGATTTCTTTTTTCTTTTCTCCGTTCTCTATGGCATAGAAAACTCCCAAAACTTACGTGTTTGTTTTATGGTTTCTGGTTTTACTTCTATGACTGCCTTCTCATTTTCCAGAGTATAAAAAATGAAATGGTATTTGACTTCAGTTCAAGAGCTTCTGTTAGTCACACTAAAGTGCTTAAGGAAAAGTAAGGGTGTAGTTAAGGCTGTCAGGAAAATATGGGGATTGCCACACGGCTCTGAGCAGGTAGTGATGGGGGCAGTGCAGGTGCATGCAAACTTTCTCTCCTCGTCTTCAAGCACCCTAATGAACTCAGAAAGGAAACTTTGACATTGAGAGCACAGAGAGAAGAGACCCTAATTGAAATACAGCCATAAAATGTGTGATATATGTTAGTAATTAGAGAAACTGCTTAGTTCTCTTCTCAGGTTTAATAGCTTCTCAAAGATTGTGAATAAGTTGGGGTACTTTTTAATATTCCTCTGAAATATGTATCCATGTACAACTTTGTATTACATAACTAAAAATGTCTTTGATCTGAAGGTCTTAGATTTATCCTAGCAAATTAAGTATTGAACAACTGATCTCTAGGCCGGCTTTATTCATAAAGCAAATTAGTGAAGGCAATCAGTGCCCAGTTTAGGATGCTGGTCAACACAGAGGGGTACAGAAGCTTCAATCACATCAAATAGCATGAGCTGTCATCCAAGAAGAAGGAATGCAGGGTGATCGGCACCATGAGAGTTATCTTAATTCTGTTCAGTTTTTAAAAGGTAAACAATTTTAAAGATGTCAAGGGTTGGAAGTGTATAACCACATACTCAAATAGGACCGTAATGCAGAAAAGGAGTATTCACAAAGACGTGCCTTTTGTCTCCCCCAGAAAAATACATAACACGCTTCAAAATTGAATCATGTGTCACACTAGAGAATTAAAAAATAATAAAATAAATGCATGCATCTGCAAAATTGTCAAAGATGTTCTCAGTTTCATGAAATTAAATTATATTGAATTTCATGTTCTCAGGTTCACGATTGATTACCTCCAGTTTCTCATGATCAGCAGTGCTCAATGTCAGTAGGTCTCACTTGTACCGGATAACCTGAAAGTTACTGGGAGGTTTGGGTCAACTTTCGAGTCTTCAAATCTATTCAGGAATTTTATTCTTCTTATTTCTTTTTTAACTTTTTAGATTCAGGTGGTACATGTGCAGGTTTGTTACCTGTGTATGCTGCATGAAGCTGCGGTTTGGGGTATGAAGCGACCGGTCACTCAGATACCAAGAATAGTACCCAACAGTTTTTTGTTTTGTTTTGTTTTGTTTTGTTTTGTTTTGTTTTGAGACAGTTTCACTCTGTTGCCCAGGCTAGAGTGCAGTGGTGCGATCTCGGCTCACTGCAACCTCTGCCTCCCAGGTTCAAGCAATTCTCCTGCCTCAGCCTCCCAAGTAGCTGGGATCACAGACATGCACCACCATACCCGGCTAATTTTTTTTTTTTTTTTTTTTTGTATTTTTAGTAGAGACAAGGTTTTGCCGTGTTGGCCAGGCTGGTCTCGAACTCCTGACCTCCGGTGATCCACCCGCCTTTGCCTCCCAAAGTGCTGGGATTACAGGCGTGAGCCACCGCATCCAGCCAACAGTTTTTCAACTCTTCCCCCTCCCCCTCCCTCCAGCATCTAGGAGTCCCCAGTGTCTATTGTTGACAGGAGCTATGTTAAAACCTTTCCGTTTGTATATTTGTATATGTGGATATCAAAATGTGCATAGCAAAGGTAACTATAAAATGCTTGGTTTCAATGCATCCACTTTAATTCTATGAGTTATATTAAAGCTCTAATTCACATAACTGTTGAAGACAATAAGCACAGCACTGAGCTATGTGAAGTGCATGAGACATGCCTGGCTCCATTATCTTACATAACTTGGCTGCGAATACTGAAAGGACATTGTGTATCAAAATATTTTAGAAACAAAGACTGTTATACATATATTTGTTGTATTTTTAGTTTTTAAGTGGGCCATGTATATGGCAGAGCAGGCAAATTTCTATTTGACCGTTTGTTTTGTTTTGTTTTCCTAAGAGAGAGAGGGTCTTTCTCTATCACCCAGGCTGGAGTGCAGTGGGGTAATCTCGACTCACTGCAGCCTCAAACTCCTGGGCTCAAGCAATCCTCCCACCTCAGCCTCCAGCGTAGATGGAACTGGAGCTGTGAGCCATCATGCCTGGATAATTTATTACTTTGTGTAGAGACAGACTCTTGCTGTGTATCCCAGGGTGGTTCTGAACCCCTGGCCTCAATCAATCCTCCTGCCTTGGCATCCCAAATATTTGACCTTATATGTGGTTTTATTAAAAGAAATAGGATGTTTCCAGTAATGGAAGTGAACCAAAGGAAGTAGTAAAAATGTATTGAAGTGCTAAATTTTACATTGAATTACATTTAAAAATGTTAACACTGAAAGAAAATATCATTGTTACGTCACCAGCTTTTCATGTTATTGACTTATCATAGTAAAATGGCACCTGTAATTAATTTATACTAAATGGCACCTGTATTTGAAATGCTAAATTTTATACCGAATTACATTTAAAATGTTATTAACACTAAAAGAAAATATCATTGTCACATCACCAGCCATTCATGATATTCACTTATCATAGTTAAATGGCAGCTGTCATTTGTACTAATGTGAAACATTGGTGATATGTGCCGACCGTCAAGACATATTGAATGAAGGGGCCTGAAGAACAGGTTAATGTGATGAATTGAGGCAGTGCTCCTTTCACGAGGGCACTAGCTGCGGGGGGGTCTGTTCCTGCAGACCCCTGATTCCGACAGATGAATAAAGTACACTGACACACACATCTGCTCCTGAGCATTTTAAAGCATTTTTATAGTATGCGGTTTTGCCTAATACGGTATTCTCATAGCAAATAAAATGCTCTGCCAGTCCAGCTGAGGGTCTGAGCAGCTTACAGGCTCCAAGCTGAGTTCTGTAAACAGCTGCGACTCGGCCCTGATCCACTAGTCAGGTTTGCATTTATTCAGTAAGACTAATTAACAAAAGTTGTGAGTAAATACCACTAGAGGGTAAAGATTAAAGGCCAGGTTCCCAGGCCTAAAGCAAACACCAAACTTCTGCGTAGGAGGCCGTAAAGTACCTAAGATAGGACAAAAGTTAGTCTTAAGCCCATGTAAGTAAACAGTTTTTTGACTATTACTGTAACTAGCTTTAATATATTTCCTATCAGCCAGTTCAAATCCCAGCAGTGAATCAGTACAGTCACTCCTTCATACAGGATGGGCTAGACATTCTTTATGCAGGAAATGAAATAGATGAAAGCCTTGTTATGTCAACTTCCAGTCACAGTTCTTAATCATTCCTCATGGGGCTAATCATTTTGTGCCTTTAGTGCAGAAGAGTTCTGCTACTTTGTAGCTCAACTTTGTACTGATTTCCAAAGACATATTTACAGAGAAGACAACACATCTCTCTTCACAATTCACCGTACTTAAGGATGGTCTCCTATTCATAGATTCAAGAAAATATTTTAATTATAGTCCACAATTTTCCTGTAACTTCTTTTCTGGGGGAAGAGGGAGAATAGGAGTCTTATTATTGAGGTGGAAAACATGGAGAAAGAGCTTAATTGTTGCAACAGCAGTACTTTTATCAGGGTAGAGCAATGTCGTTCTGTTCACTGAAGGATCTAACAGTTCACCCAAGTTACACCGTGTTGTGTAGTCATGCTCCAGGCAGGGTGCCTATTCTTCTCTAGGAGACATAAGTCAAAACATGGAGAGCTGCCAGCTCTTGATTTTTACTGGCTACAGAGATAAAGAGGAAATGGTTATTCAATAAATAACATTTTTACAATTAAAGATAAAAAGGTACTAGAAATAAACAGAATATTCTTTGGTTTCATCTACATGGTTACCACAACCCATAGTGCTGAATGTAGGCATATTTCCTGATATGACTATTAACATAAGGCCCTCTAAATATTTGATGAGTTTATATGTGCCTTACAGAAAATCTAATTTCCAGGTTATCACTGACAGTATGTTCTGCTTCTGAGACTGCTTCTCTTCTCTAAGAGGAGACAGATTTTCAGGCATATACTTGCTATATCCTAGCAACACTTGGATATATCTGGTCAAGATAAGACAAGATATTAAGAACCATAAAATTATTTATGAACCAATCCAATGATTTAGGATATACTTATATCAATGAAACCAATAAGAGGCAATGTCAAAATAATGCAGAAGTAGCAAGAAAAAAAAACCTTATTTATTTATAGCTGCAATACATTGTTGTATTGGTTTTACAAGGTTTTATTGAGCCATTGTTGTATTGAAACATACATGCTTTCTATAATCCTAGATATTTAATTTATGATTTTTAAACATATAATTTTTGAAAATGTGAAAATACAGAATAATTTAATTTTGATTAAAATCAGGTAGTATAAAACATAAATAATTATTTTGAGCAAGTAATGAGTTGCATTATCATTGTAATTTTTAAGTCTCTTACCTTAATTAATAATATTGCAATCTCATATATCAATAAAAATACAACTGGAACAAACAGATGTGACTGAGGCATAAATTGCTTGTCTATGTCCAGAATCCAAACATATGATATACTTTACTGTTGAAGATATATTATACAAGAGGCTCAAAGAACAGTGCCTCAAACCTTTATTCTATTACTATGTCGAGAAGGAGGCATGCAGAATAAACTTAAATTATTATTCATGCTTCAGGATATTCAAAGAAAATTTTATTTGTCCTACAGAGACCTTTGAGCCTGAATAAAGTGAGCAAAACCAGCAATATTCTGAATGTTCAAAGCTTGTTTCAGTCTGCAAATCTACTATGATTTCTGTAAAGTTATGACTTGACAAGATTTATGCTTGTCTTGTTACATATTCACTTAATTGTGAGTTCCAGAATCCCTGTACATGAAAAAAATGCTACAGGAAGGGCTGGTTTCAGTAGATTTTTCTGCTGAAAGATTACGATATCTAGCATTAGACATTGAATTAAATTTAGCATTATTCTAGCTACTACACATAGAAGAAAGGGCAGGCAATATTTTTTGTTGAAAGGAAAGCACGAAAGCATATATGTGCCTCCTCTTCTCTCTCCTTCCCTCCCTCTCTCCTCTGCTGTCTTGTATTTGCTTCTCTCCCTCTCCCACCCCCTTCTATATAAATACTCATGCAACATCTGCGATATAAAAATCAGCTTTCAAGATTTCTTCTTTTTCTTATCAGAGGTTTTGTAGTTTGAATGGTATGAGAAAAGCAGCAATTTAAATCTTGATTTTGTTGAAAGGGGTTTAATGAAATAATAACATCTTTTCTAGTTGATATGCACTGATAGAATTTTACTGCAAACATGTATGAATTAGTTCAAATATCATGTTTTGAAAAATCTACTTTACCCTGATGAGAACAGAGAAACTTGATCAACAGAACACTGAGGGCACTAAATCAGAAAGAGACACAATTTTATGAATTCTTTTACTCTTTCAAAAAACACAAGTGAGCCAAATATTCTTTTATCACTAAGGATATAATACAAAGAGCTATTGTTGTTTTCTCTCAAAAGCTCACAGTCTGGGAGAAGGTAAAACGTGTATAATAAGAAGTGCATGTGCTCTAGGTCACTTGGATACAGGTTGATACTGAGCTTCTCATACACATCAGCTATGTTAAAATATAAGAACAGTGGGCTGCAGGCATGAGTTCCTCAAGAAGGGGGGACTTGAGCTAATTTTTTCTTTTTTTTTAGACTGTTTCTCACTCTGTCACCTAGCCTGGAGTGCAGCGGTGCGATTTTGGCTCACTGCAACCTCCACCTCCAGGTTCAAGCAGTTCTCCTGCCTCAGCCTCCCAAGTATCTGAGATTACAAGTGTGCACCCCCACACCCAGCTAATTTTTGTATTTTTAGTAGAGAAGGGGTTTCATCATATTGGCCAGGCTGGTCTCTAACTCCTGACCTCAAGTGATCCACCTGCCTTGGCCTCCCAAAGTGAGCTAAGTATTAAAGGTTAATTTTGGTCAAAGAATGTGTATGGGGAAGATTACACTAAGAGAACAGACCAAGAGAGTGTAACATTGAGGAACTGCAATTTTTTTGGATGGATGAACTATAAGGAACACATGAAAAAAAAATGAGACGCCAGAGAGGTCGATTGAGATGATCTCTTAGGTCACATTAGGAAAAGTCTTATTATGTGAATGCCTTTATTTTGGGGGGAAGGAGACAACAGGCTACTTACAGATTTTAAAGAGTGGATTACCACGATTCACATGCATTTAGAAGTATAATCTTGGAGACAGTTGAGAAATTTACTGGAAGAAGACTACGCTGAATGAGATGATATGCATCATAAAGCCATTCCCACTGTTAAGGTAAGAAAAATCAGCCTGAAATAAGGACAATGGGGGAAAAGAAGAAAAGAAACAGTCAGAAAATCCTGAGGAAGTAAAACAAATTGATGTGGTTAGTTTTAGAGAATATAGAATTTGAGATTCTGGCAGAGCTGTCCAGTTAATGGAAAGAAGACAGTTTGTGAATTCAACACTAAAAGCATATTTTGGGTGGTAGTTGAAACACTGGTTGTAGGCGAGGTATCAATGCTGTTAGAACAGTGAAAGGAAAAGAAAACCATGCATAAATGTAGAATTTAATGCAAAACTCAAATAATAACATTTCCCAAATTTTAGGTCCACATCAAAGTTCCTCAAGGGACAAAGCACATTTCCACAAATCACAGTGGCTTATTCTATGATATGGTTTGGCTGTGTCCCCAACCAAATCTCATCTTGAATTCCCACGTGTCTTGGCAGGGGCCTGGTGGGATGTAATTGAATCATGGGGGCAGGTCTTTCCCATGCTGTTCTCATGATAGTGAATAAATCTCACGACTTATACACTGGTATGTTGTGTCTTTGTTCTCGTTGGTTTCAAAGAACATCTTTATTTCTGCCTTCATTTCATTATGTACCTAGTCGTCATTCAGGAGCAGGTTGTTCAGTTTCCATGTAGTTGAGCGGTTTTGAGTGAGTTTCTTAATCCTAAGTTCTAGTTTGATTGCACTGTGGTCTGAGAGACAGTTTGTGGTCTGAGAGATCTGATGACTTTATAAGTGAAAACTCCCTTGCACAAACTCTCTCTCTTTGCTTGCCACCATCCACGTAAGATGTGATTTTCTCCTCCTTGCCTTCGGTCATGATCCTGAGGCCTCCCCAGCCATATGGAACTGTAAGGTCCATTAAGCCTTTTTCTTTTGTAAATTGCCCAGCCGCGGGTGTGTCTTTATCAGCAGCGTGAAAATGGATTAATACACTGTAGAAGGGAGTCTCCACTGGGATCTCTGGCTCACTGTGGAAAATAATCTCCACTGGGATCTCTGTCTCATTGTAGAAACGAGTCTCCAGTGGGATCTCTGGCTCACTGTGGACAGGACTCTCCACTGGCATCTCTCTCTTGGGTTTTCATGTCCACATTCACCAGGTGCTACTGCCTCTCATGATACCTCTGTGAAACTCCAATCTAGTCAATTATCTTTTCTAACGCTGCATTTCCTAGGTTATAATCATCTGGTGTAGCAGTCATTGAAATAGTGTGAATATTATCCTGAGATACAGGAAGATTTTTCTAAGGAATTCACTTGAGTTGGTAAATTTTAATTATTTGATTATTTAACAAATTAAAGGAGGCATAATTGTTAAATCATAAATTATTTAAAATAATTTTTGATGACAAATAAGAGATATATAATAACATTGCTATAACAAGGTTACTTTATACCTTATTTTCTTATTTATAAAGTTTTTGATAATTTACATAAAAAAGAAAATAAATTAAAGCTGAACATTTGAATTCTAGTAGTAATTCATATTCTTATATTGATACTTAAACTTAAAACCCCATTGATTTCATTGTGTGATATATTTCTAATAAACAACATTTGCATACTCTTGGAGAAAATGTAACTTAGTACAGCCATTATGGAAATCTATATGAAGGATCCTCAAGAAAACAAAAATAGAACTACCATATTATCTAGTCACCCTACTGCTGAGATATACCAAAAATATTTGAAATCAGTTTGTGAAGAGATTTCTGCACTGCCATGTTCATTGCAGCATTATTCACAATAGTCAAGTTATGAAATAAACATAAATGAATACTATTCAGTCATAAAAAGAACACAATCCTGTCATCTGAGACAACACAGATGAACCTGGAGGGCTTTATGCTGAGTGACATATGCCAGACACAGAAAGACAATTAACTGAAAGTTCTTACATATATATGGAATCTGAAACAACAAAACTCATAGAAGCAAAGAGTAGAAGGGTGGTTACAGAGGCTAGGGGATGAGGGGAAGAGGGAGATGATGGCCAAAGGGTACGAAATCTCAGACAGAAAGAATATTTTATATTTTGAGCTCTATTGCACAGCATGGTGAATATAGGTAATAATAGAATGTTGTACATTTCAAAATGTTCACGAGAGTAAATTTCAAAGGGTGATGAATCAATTTTAAATTATAACATCAATATATTACAACACACTAGAAATTACATCACATGCAACAAGTTAAAATTAGGATGAAACATTTTATACATCAACTTGAAATACATAAAGGAGTTAATTTTAAAAAATTATTTAGAGAAGTTTACTAGTCAGAAAGGTAAGCTCATTCTTCAGTAATAAACACCAATGACTTGACTTGACCCTCTCTCCCAGTGTTTTTTTTTTTGCACATACAGAGTCTTTTATAATATGCACGAGTGAAGGAGAGGATGAACATGAGAAGACTCTGCTTGACATTGTTCCCTGGGGACTCAGCTTGACATTACTACCTTTACCACCCATACAGTCATCGGCCTCTTTAGGAGAAGAATGAGGGCTCTGGAGAGTTATCCAGCGTCTTTTCACTGCTGTCATCTGGAAAGGCAGACGTCGCTTTCCATCTCAGTTCATTGGCAAGAATGCAAGCATCATGGGAAGTGTAGTCCTCCATCTTCCCCGGAGGGAAAGAGAATTTTAGTGTTAGTAATATCTACCAGTAAAGTGTGTCACAGGATATATGTGAATGATGAAGTATGAAACCATTGACTTTCCAACAGTTTGTAAAAGTGGGTGCAGAGGTGCAGATGGAGATAAGAAAATATCCAAGACTCCTGGCTTCTCTGTGGGCTTGTGACATCTGCTTTCCACCTCAGCTAAGATCTGGAACCTCTCTGATGCTACCTTGAATTTTAGGCAGACCAATTGTCCTTTAAGAAATTTGTGTTTGAAATCTTAGAACTGGTAAATAGGCCACCTGACATGGCCAAAGGGACTTTGCAGACGTAATGAAGTTAAGGACCTTGAGATAAGAAGGTTATCCTGGATTATACTTGGGGTGCGTGTGTGGGACAATGTCATCATAAAGTTTCTTATAGGAGTAAGGGGAAGGCAGGAGATTAAAAGATGAGATGACATTCACAGAGGAGGGAATGATGTCATCACTTGGTTTGAAGCTGGAGGAAGGGACCAGAAGCCAAGGAATGTGGGAAGCCTCTAGAAGCTGAAAAAGGCAAGGAAATTAATTTTCCCTCAGAGCTTCCAGAAGGAACCATCTCTGCTGACATTTTAGCAACAATTTTAAGTTACTAGTTATTCTAAACAATTATTTGTAACTTGTCACTTTTAGTAAATCCTTTTGCACATGTTTTGTAGACACCCAAATCTTAACAATTCCTCAGCTCTTCTGTCTCTCTCAAATGACTTAATGATTATTAAAAATCCCAATTGTAGCTCTTTAGATACTTTATACATTATTTCCTTATATATTTTATATTTAATGTTCCTTCATTTGAAATATTTTTTACTGGTTTGTGTGCAAGCTTATTGAATGCAGAGGTCAGGACCTATTTATATATTTTGTTTATTTTATACAATGACTTGCATAGAGATTGGCATATGGTGGAGCATCAATATAAATTTCCTGATTAATTCTACATGTCAGTCTCATTTCATATATTTTTAGATGTGCCATTTAGAATGGAGTTGCCCAAGTCTATTCTCCCATCAATGGTGTCTGGCCCTCTTTGGATCTAGCCTTCTGTTTCTCTCAGTTGTAAGTTAAATTATGTTCTCCACAAATTTAAACATTAATGTCCTTACTTCTAGTATTTCAGAATCTGATCTTTATATATATATATATCTTAAGTTCTAGGGTACATGTGCACAACGTGCAGTTTTGTTACATATGTATACATGTGTCATGTTGGTGTGCTGTACCCATTAACTCATCGTTTACATTAGGTATATCATCTCCTAATGCTATACCTCCCCTGTCCCCTGACCCCACAACAGGCCACAGTGTGTGATGTTCCCCTTCCTGTGTCCAAGTGTTCTCATTATTCAATTCCCATCTATGAGTGAGAACATGTGGTGTTTGGTTTTTTGTCCTTGTGATAGTTTGCTGAGAATGATGGTTTCCAGCTTCATCCATGTCCCTACAAAGGACATGAACTCATCCTTTTCTGTGGCTGCATAGTATTACATGGTGTATATGTGCCACATTTTCTTAATCCAGTCTATCATTGATGGACATTTGGGTTGCTTCCAAGTCTTTGCTATTGTGAATAATCCCACAATAAACATACGTGTGCATGTGTCTTTACAGCAGCATGATTTATAATCCTTTGGGTATATACCCAGTAATGGGAAGGCTGGGTCAAATGGTATTTCTAGTTCTAGATCCTTGAGGAATCACCACACTGTCTTCCATAATGGCTGAACTAGTTTACAGTCCCACCAACAGTGTAAAAGTGTTCCTATTTCTCCACATCCTCTCCAGCACCTGTTGTTTCCTGACTTTTTAATGATCGCCATTCTAACTGGTGTGAGATGGTATCTCATTGTGGTTTTGATTTGCATTTTTCTGACAGCCAGTGATGATGAGCATTTTTTCATGTGTCTGTTGGCTGCATAAATGTCTTCTTTTGAGAAGTGTCTGTTCATATCCTTTGCCCACTTTTTGATGGGGTTGTTTGTTTTTTTCTTGTAAATTTGTTTGAGTTCATTGTAGATTCTGGATATTAGCCCTTTGTCAGATGGGTAGATTTCTAAATTTTTCTCCCATTCTGTAGCTTGACTGTTCACTCTGATGGTAGTTTCTTTTGCTGTGCAGAATCTCTTTAGTTTAATTAGATCCCATTGGTCAATTTTGTCTTTTGTTGTCATTGCTTTTGGTGTTTTAGACATGAAGTCCTTGCCCATGCCTATGTCCTGAATGGTATTGCCTAGGTTTTCTTCTAGGGTTTTTATGGTTTTAGGTCTAACATTTAAGTCTTTAATCCATCTTGAATTAATTTTTGCAGAAGGTGTAAGGAAGGGATCCAGTTTCAGCTTTCTACATATGGCGAGCCAGGTTTCCCAGCACCATTTATTAAATAGGGAATCCTTTCTTCATTTCTTGCTTTTGTCAGGTTTGTCAAAGATCAGATGGTTGTAGACGTGTGGTATTATTTCTGAGGGCTCTGTTCTGTTCCATTGGTCTATATCTCTGTTTTGGTACCAGTACCATGCTGTTTTGGTTACTGTGCCTTGTAATATATTTTGAAGTCAGGTAGCGTGGTGTCTCCAGCTTTTTTCTTTTGGCTTAGGATTGGCTTGGCGATGTGGGCTCTTTTTTGGTTCCATATGAACTTTAAAGTAGTTTTTTCTAATTCTGTGAAGAAAGTCATTGGTAGCTTGATGGGGATGGCATTGAATCTATAAATTACCTTGGGCAGTATGGCCATTTTCACAATATTGATTCTTCCTATCCATAAGCATGAAATGTTCTTCCATTTGTTTGTGTCCTCTTTTATTTCATTGAGCAGTGGTTTGTAGTTCTCCTTGAAGAGGTCCTTCACATCCCTTGTAAGTTGGATTCCTAGGTATTTTATTCTCTTTGAAGCAATTGTGAATGGGAGTTCATTCATGATTTGGCTCTCTGTTTGTCTGTTATTGTTGTGTAAGAATGCTTGTGATTTTTGCACATTAATTTTGTATCCTGAGACTTTGCTGAAGTTATTTATCAGCTTAAGGAGATTTTGGGCTGAGACGATGGGGTTTTCTAGATATACAATCATATCATCTGCAAACAGGGTCAATTTGACTTCCTCTTTTCCTAATTGGATACCCTTTATTTATTTCTCCTGCCTGATTGCCCTGGCCAGAACTTCCAACACTATGTCAGATAGGAGTGGTGAGAGAGGGTATCCCTGTCTTGTGCCAGTTTTCAAAGGGAATGCTTCCAGTTTTTGCCCATTCCATATGATATTGGCTGTGGGTTTGTCATAAATAGCTCTTATTATTTTGAGATACGCCCCATCAATACCTAATTTATTGAGAGTTTTTAGCATGAAGGACTGTTGAATTTATCAAAGGCCTTTTCTGCATCTATTGGGATAATCATGTGGTTTTTGTCTTTGGTTCTGTTTATATGCTGGATTACGTTTATTGATTGGTGTATGTTGAACCAGCCTTGCATCCCAGGGATGAAGCCCACTTGATCATGGTGGATAAGTTTTTGATGTGCTGCTGGATTTGGTTTGCCAGTATTTTATTAAGGATTTTTGCATCAATGTTCATCAGGGATATTTGTCTAAAATTCTCTTTTGTTGTTGTGTCTCTGCCAGGCTTTGGTATCAGGATGATGCTGGCTTCATAAAATGAGTTAGGGAGGATTCCCTCTTTTTCTATTGATTGGGATAGTTTGAGAAGGAATGGTACCAGTTCCTCCTTGTACCTCTGGTAGAATTCAGCTGTGAATCCGTCTGGTCCTGGACTTTTTTTGGTTGGTAAGCTATTAATTATTGCCTCAACTTCAGAGCCTGTTTTTGGTCTATTCAGATATTCAACTTCTTAATGGTTTAGTCTTGGGAGGGTGTATGTGTCTAGGAATTTATCCATTTCTTCTAGATTTTCTAGTTTATTTGCATAGACGTGTTTATAGTATTCTCTGATGGTAGTTTTTATTTCTCTGGGATTGGTGGTCATATCCCCTTTATCATTTTTTATTGCATCTATTTGATTCTTCTCTCTTTTCTTCTTTATTAGTCTTGCTAATGGTCTATCAATTTTGTTGATCTTTTCGAAAAACCAGCTCCTGGATTCACTGATTTTTTGAAGGGTTTTTTTGTGTCTCTATCTCCTTCAGTTCTGCTATGATCTTAATTATTTCTTGCCTTCTGCTAGCTTTTGAATGTGTTTGCTCTTGCTTCTCTAGTTCTTTTAATTGTGATGTTAGGGTGTCAATTTTGGATCTTTCCTGCTTTCTCTTGTGGGCATTTAGTGCTATAAATTTCCCTCTACACACTGCTTTAAATATGTTCCAGAGATTCTGGTATGTTGTATCTTTGTTCTCGTTTGTTTCAAAGAACATCTTTATTTCTGCCTTCATTTCGTTATGTACCCAGTAGTCATTCAGGAGCAGGTTGTTCAGTTTCCATGTAGTTGTGCAGTTTTGAGTGAGTTTCTTAATCCTGTGTTCTAGTTTGATTGCACTGTGGTCTGAGAGATAGTTTGTTATAATTTCTGTTCTTTTACATTTGCTGAGGAGAGCTTTACTTCCAACTATGTGGTCAATTTTGAAATAAGTGCGTTGTGGTGCTGAGAAGAATGTATATTCTGTTGATTTGGGGTGGAGAGTTCTGTAGATGTCTATTACGTCTGCTTGGTGCAGAGCTGAGTTCAATTCCTGGATATCCTTGTTAACTTTCTGTCTCATTGATCTGTCTAATGTTGACAGTGGGGTGTTAAAGTCTCCCATGATTATTGTGTGGGAGTCTAAGTCTCTTTGTAGGTCTCTAAGGACTTGCTTTATGAATCTGGGTGCTCCTGTATTGGGTGCATATATATATGGATAGTTAGCTCTTCTTATTCAATGGATCACTTTACAATTATGTAATGGCCTTCTTTGTCTCTTTTGATCTTTGTTAGTTTAAAGTCTGTTTTATCAGACACTAGGATTGCAACCCCTGCCTTTTTTTGTTTTCCATTTGCTTGGTAGATTTTCCTCCATCCCTTTATTTTGAGCCTATGTGTGTCTTTGCACGTGAGATGGGTCTCCTGAATACAGCACACTGATGGGTTTTGACTCTTTATCCAATTTGCCAGTCTGTGTCTTTTAATTGGAGCATTTAGCCCATTTACATTTAAAGTTAATATTGTTTTGTGTGAATTTGATCCTGTCATTATGATGTTAGCTGGTTATTTTGCTCGTTAGTTGATGCAGTTTCTTCCAATTCTAAAAATCAGAATCTGATCTTATTTAAGTTGCTGAAGGCATATTCATTAAGATAACTAGGGTAAACTCCTATTCCATTATGATAAGTGTCCTTATAAAATGAGGAAATTTGGACACAGATGTGCAGGAGAAGAACATCATGTGATCATGTGCAGGTGAAGGCAGAGATGAGGTGATGCACCTGCAGGCCAAGTTATGCCAAAGATTCCCAGCAAGCTAGAAGTGAGGAGAGAGGCCTGGAACAGCTTCTCCTTTACAAACTTCAGAAGGAGCCAATCCTGTCAATACCCTGATCTGGAATTTCTGTCTTCCAGAGCTGTAAGACAATACATTTCTGTTGTGTAAGGCCCCTGGTTTGTTATGGCATCCCAATAGACTGATATGACTCAATAATCTTTTCTCCACAGTGGCTTCTCATACTGTTTAGGTTAGTTTTCAGAATCTGTTAGACTCTTTTTCTTTTTGCAGCCTCTTAAGGGCTGGATTAAGGGGGCATAACCCTCAGATTGTTTTACTCTCATCTCAGCAGAAACTGCCTATTTATATTTTCAGCACATACAACTTCTCAAGAGAGTAAATACACATTTGCTTGCTAGTTCTCAATGTTTTGCACAAAGCTCTTCTTAGGGTTGATTTCATTTATTATCAATGAAGTTTTCCTCTTATACCCTTTTGTTTTGTTAATAATTTATACCAGTATTAGAAATGCTTATGTCTTCTATAATTTGATTTCCCTTAGGTTTTATCTAGTTATAAATTTAGTCAACAAAATCTATCTCTAGTTTCCAAATAAAGGAGTCCATGGTAATTTTATCAGTTCCTTTCTCACCTTGCCCTTTGTTATAATGTGTGATCGTTTAAGAGCATGGCTACATAAAGTCTACTAAAATCTATCTTTCCCAGATATTCCTAACTTAAAAAGGAAACAGGCAAAAGTACATAATACAAATTGATGCAAAAGGATTCAAGTGTGATAAAAATATCTTTTTGCCTAGGCAAATTAGAGGACATCAAAATAATTTGTGTTCATATTATTTTATATATGAAAAATTTTATGATTAGGTGAAATAAAAGAATCTCAAGAATTCCTCCCAGACTGTTTAGTGGTAATTGTTATGTTTAAATAATATTAATTTACTTTAATTGCAATTAAACACAGTTAAAATCAACTTAACTTTATATTTCTTGTATACATTAAAGAGTCGATTCCTACATTTATAATTATATTTTTTATAATAGGTATGCTATTATATTTCATATTTTTAAGTCAGTATATGTTCTAAATAATTATTTGTTTCCAACAATCATTTTTTATTGAATGTTTTGCATGTCTCATTCAAACCTTACCAGTCCTTCAAGGCCCATATTAAGTGCCAGCTTCTCCATAAAATGACTTTAACTGATGTTAACAATAGTAGTAGTTGTATCTCTGTAGGTAGCTTATGAATTATTTGCTGACAGATTTTATATTTGATGTTTCATTTATTAAAGTATTTGTTTTTGGAGTTCAAGCTCATTAAATACAGAGATCAGGATATATATATATAATTTGCATATATAGTGCCTAATATAGAAGCACTGCATATGCCTTGCATAGAGACGGGCATATGGTGGAACATAAATACGAATTTTTTAATTAATTTATCATATCAACCTTATTATATATACGTACTTTTTTTTTTTTTTTTTTGAGATGGAGTTTTGCTCTTGTCACCCAGGCTAGGGTGCAGTGGCGTGATCTCAGCTCACTGCAACCTCCGCATCCCAGGTTCAAGCGATTCTCCTGCCTCAGCCTCCCAAGTAGCTGGGACTACAGGTGTCAATCACCACGCCCAGCTAATTTTTGTATTTTTAGTAGAGACGGGGTTTCACTCTGTTGGCCAGGCTGGTCTCAAACTCCTGACCTCAAGTGATCTGCCTGAAATGCCTGTAATCTTGTTGCTGTTACACAATATTTTATGTTTGTAATTTTTATCTGAATCTCTGCAACTGAATATGAAATCTGAAAAGGAATTTTAACGTTGCTTTTGGAATTTATATTCAAAAAATAGAATAACTATTCAAAATCAAACCAATTTCATGAAGTAGCACCACTACAAAGTATGTATATATATTAAAAAGTATGTATATATATTAAAAAGTATGTATATATATTTTTAATGGTACTACTTCAGGAAATTGAGTTGATTTTGAATACTTGTTCTATTTTTTGAAATATAAATTCCAAAAGCAAAGTTAAAATTCTTTTTCAGATTTCATATTCAGTTGCAGATAATAATTACATACATAAAATATTGTGTAACAGCATCAAGATTACAGGCATTTAAAAAATAATTTGCAGATATTTACATTTCTTAAAATACGAGTACAAAAAATAATTACTGAGTAGAGTTTTGCACCCAATCTGACATCTGTTTGTCAGTCAAGAAATGTTTATTGAATATACACAATAGAGACAAGAATGTTATAAATCATTTTAGAATTTTCAATCATAATTTTTTTGGCATGATATGTTTTCCCATGAGAATAAATGACATGTCTCTTTTGTCATTAGATAGCCCTGATACATGAGACTGAGGTATCATTTTATTGAGATAGAAATGTTTTATCATTTTTCTTTTTGTTGAGAACATGATTTTTCTTTCCTACCTTGAAATGACATCTCAGGGAATGATTGACAGGATGATAGAAGTAGTTAAGTGGTGACATTTTTAGTTTGAATTGAAAGAGTAATTCTCTAAGCTCAAGATAATTGTGTAGAACTGTTTTTATACAAATGCTAGTAATTTTATGGCTATGTTGGTACAGTTTCAGATAAAAATTACAAACCTGAAATACTGTGTAACAGCATCAAGATTACAGGCATTTAAAAAATAATTTGCAGATATTTAAATTTCTTAAAATTTGAGTACAAAAAATAATTACTGAGTAGCAGTTTACACCCAATCTGATATGTTTGTCAGTCAAGAAATGTTTATTGAATATACACAATAGAGACAAGAATGTTAAAATAGAATTTTCAATCATAATTTTTTGGCATGATGTGTTTTCCCATGAGAATAAATGACATGTCTCTTCTGTCATTAGATAGCCCTGATACATGGGACTGGGATATGATTTTATTGAGATAGAAATGTTTTATTATTTTTCTTTTTGTTGAGAACATGATTTTTCATTCCTACCTTGAAATGACATCTCAGGATATGATTGACAGGATGATAGAAGTAGTTAAGTGGTGACATTTTTAGTTTGAATTGAAAGAGTAATTCTCTAAGCTCAAGATAATTGTGTAGAACAGTTTTTATACAAACGCTAGTAATTTTGTGGCTATGTCGGTACAGTATATAAGACAAAATTGAATTGAATATGAAAAGTATCATTAGCATCGCATGAGTCACACATATCATCAAAATGCCACTTAAAAATAAATGCAAAGGTATGCAGAGTGACAGATTGGCACAGACCAATCAGCAGCACACTGCAGAAACAGAGGGAAAATGCAGTCTTGCAAAAAAGTTATTATTCCTGAGAAGAACAGTTTTTAATTCAGAATGGCTATAATAGTGCTTGATTGTCTTAATTTTATTATTAACAAGATTGATGATAGAAGAGTTACAGCATTGTCAAAATGTCTGTAAGCAAAATAGTAAAGTATTTTTTATTATCAACATAACACAAAACAGAACCAGTGAAAAACAGAGGCCAGAAACAACAGGCTGCAGTATCTTGGCTTCTTTTATGGGTAAGAGAAGAAACAGCAGTGATTTGTGCACAATTTTAATTGTACTCAGCAAATGTTTGACCACAGGTTTTATAAAATAAGGTAAGTGCATAAGGAATACAGTAAAGGTGCATATGACCACTCCAGGGAGACAGAGGGGGAGATAGCAAACAGAAGTGCTCAGATTTGAGCTCTAGAGAATTGGTTTCAGCATTTGTGCTGTTTCCCAAAGAGCTGGTTTGACTCCTGGCCAGACACTCAATGATATGTGCCATTAGGTAAATTATTTAACAGTTCTGTCTTTTGGCTTTAGAATATTTGAAAAATTAAAAATAATTAAAAATTTTTAATAATATAACCATTCTGTATCACCACAGAAGATACAGCAAACTTCAGAAATAGAAAGTTAGCTTACACATAAAGAGTAAATGTTTTCTTAATATAAATAATGTTGCCTGTAGAATTCTTAGAATCAACTATGTGTGATAATAAGGCTGACAGAGACTAAATGAAACACTGATATGGAACTGCTATTTGGGAATCTAACTTTGTATTAGTCCGTCGTTTTCATGCTGCTGATAAGGACATACCTGAGACTGGGCAATTTACAAAAGAAAGAGGTTTAATTGGACTTACAGTTCCACCTGGCTGGGGAAGTCTCACAATCATGGTGGAAGGCAAGGAAGAGCTAGTCACATCTTACATGGATGGCAGCAGGCAAAGAGAGAGAGAGCTTGTGCAAGGGAACTCGTCTTTTAAAAACCACCAGATCTTGTGAGACTTATTCACTATCACGTGAACAGCATAGGAAAGACTTGGCCCCGTGATTCAGTTACCTCCCACTGGGTCCCTCCCACAACACGTGGGAATTCAAGATGAGATTTGGCGGGGGGACACAACCAAGCCACATCACACTTAGATTTGAGTCACAGCATCTCCAAATTCTCCTTTGATAAGTCACCCAGAGCCATGCTTTCAATTACATGATTCTTGGTTTCTTCTGATGTAAAATGGGAATGCAATAATGAGTATTTCATAGAGCTTTTGAGGAAAAAATGCAGATAATTTATTAATGTTTTCAGCACAGCACATGACATGGTAAATGCTCAGTGATTATTAGCTATTCCTATCATGATATCTTAATTAGGCACATTAATTAGAATTTTATGCAAGATAACTGCTTCCCAGAGAAACTTCTGTGATGATGAAAATGCATTGGCCAATATGTAGCCAATGAACACATGTGCATATTGAGATCGAGATGTGGCCAGTGTATCTAATGAAATGGTTTTTATTTAATTAATTTAAATTTAAACAGCTTTGTTGAGCTAGTGGCTATGTTATCAGACACTGCATTTCTGGACGCTTTCCTCATTCTACACTCTGTAAGTGGTCCCACCTACATTTACTGCCTGCATGATCACCTGTATCCAGGTATCCCCCAAGTCTCCATCTCGCCACAACGTAGCACCTAATATTAATGGGACGTGTTTTGGGTGCCAGCCATCATTCTACGTGCACTGCACGCAATATCTTATTCCAGCCCTCTGCATCTCTGTGACATAAGTACAATTATTCTAGTTATCTTGCAGATGAGAAAAAACGAGAAGCAGGCGATTTGTGTTTAAATGAGAAGTTAAGATAAGCTTCATGGCTGCTGTGATGATCCTGGCACAGGAGCCCATGTTAAATGCTTTGCCTGAGGGCGTGGCTGCTTCCCACAAAGTAGGACTGGAGTGCACTCAGATTCCAGCTCACCTCCCAATTCTGATTTCCATTATGCCATATTGTAGAACAGAAGCCTGCTGTATCAGCAAAAATGCAAAAAAAAACCAAAAAACAAAAAAGCTTTCAGATTTACTGAGGAAATGGGGTGGATGTGGGAAGAAAGATGCCAAAGAAAGAAGTCAAGTTTGTTCAGGTGAGTGCTGGTGAAAGAAATTATATGGGATCAATTCTGAATTTGTTAAGGGAAAAGTCTCTCTCTTTGACTCTGTGTGTGTTTGTGGGTATGTATAGGCATATATATAAATAAAATGACCTTTAATAGTATACCTATACATATGTGCGTGAATGCATACACACATGTATACACATACGTATACCCACACTATGCAGAAATAATTTAAAATAACTATAAAATGGAATTTTTCAATATGAACTTTAATGAATCCAATTATACATCAGCCTTTTATAAATTGTCTAGAGTGTGAGTCTATAGATCTTTAAAAACTCCTTCTGGTTCTCTCTGACTGTGGTATGTCAGACAGTAATTTGACTTTCATTTGCATAGCTTGAAGAACATATTGGAAAAAAAAAAATGAGACACCAGAGAGAAAAGGCAACAGAATGTTGCTGTTTCCTTTGTTCCTCTTTAGAAAATCAAATATCTCTTGAAGCTATTAAAAAGAACACAAAAAGGTCATTTCCCAGACACTATGAGAGGAATGTATTTAATCTCAAAAACATTCAGAGAATATAACTTTTTCTAAGATCCTATACATCTTTTTCTAACCCTAGAGCACTTTTGTGCTCACTGGTAAGAAATTAAATGCAATTTTTAAAATCGGACAATTTTTCCAGTTGACTTGAGATAAGATTATAGTTATCTGAAATACACAAAGAAGCAACTTAATGGGCTTGATTTATCAACAGGAAAACACTGGCTTTCTTTTTGGTTAAATATTTGACTTATTTTAATATCACTTCCAAATGTCATCAGATCTCTTAATTAATGATTTAATTTAGAGATATTCCATTGTTAATATCAGTAAACGTCAAGGTAGAAATTTGGTAACTCTGCCTAGAACTATCTCTACAGAAAAAGAAAATATTAACATTTGGGAGAAGAAAACATACTTTGCCACTACAGAATAATTAGAGTTCACTGTTGTTTATACGATTTTACAAACCCATTTAGAATGCCTACATGCTTTACAAAATATTGTCATATTTTATATTTTCACAACCATTTTAGCCAAAATAAGCAGTGACCTTTACCATCTCTGAATAAGTTGTGGCTCTAGTTTCTAGATGTCTAAACCTAATCAGCTTCACCTCACAGCCTGGATTGAATGCTGATCCCCAGGGAGCATGATTCATGCACAAAGCTAACAGCTTCTGGAATTGGGGTTACCTGACTCACCAACTCTTGTTCATTATTTGGGAGCACTCCCAATAAAACTCAGAAAATATGTTGTTCTCATACGTTAAAATTTTAAAGATGCATAGAATTAGATTGTCCTCCTGCCTCATCCCTCTCCCTTCTCCAGTGTTGCTAATTTTACATTCCCCCTTGTTTAAAGTAAGCTCACTAATGTAATGCATAACATTTCTTTCAGGAACTCTTACCCTTCACCACATAAACCAATTTCAGGGAGCCAACCCTCCATGTGCATTCAAACCAGCCCAGTCTCCATCACTGCCCTTACCACAGGATGATAAAAATCTTCTTGTGTATCTACATCTCACACTAAGGCTTGAAGATTTTTAATGGCAGAAGCTGAATGTCACTCATCTTCCAATAACCTATAGCTAAAAGCTAACTTGACACTTAGTACCTAGTTAATTAAATACTGCTTGGAAAAAAATGAGTAAGTTGAAAGAATGAGGGAAAGAATGCCTGAATAAATGTAAATTTGGCTAGCATAAAGACTAATGTAACTTCAGCTTTGTGACGGAAAATTGAAACAAAATATTGCTTAATCTCTCTTCTACCAAGAGTTTTAGTTCCTTCTGACAATCAGAGATAGTTAAGAAAATAAAGTGCATTTATGCTTTCAGCTTTGCATTTAGGAAATCTGTATTACTCCATTAAAAAATTTTTTTTAATTCCTTTAGCTCTTCTCCTTTCCTCCATCAAAGATGACAATTGCTGGTGCTTCTCAAATCATGGGCCATCAAATAACATCTTATTGCCTAATAAAATGTATGTGTTGTGGGCACAACTATAATGTTCGAGCATCAGAAAATGAACCACAGGTACTGGAAGTGGGAATCTGAGGACCAAGAGTAAGAAAATCATAAGGAGGTGGCTGATTGAAGAGTGACAGCAAAAGGGAATAAGAGATCAGAGAAGGAATACTGCTTCCTGCCTGAAGAGCAGTAAAAATGGAGCAAACACCTCTCCTTGAACCTTTCCCTCTTTACTTTGCTCATGATACGTGAGATGCAGATAAAGAGAGCGTGAGAATTCTCTGACTTTAACATTTTACTTTTATGTGCCCTCCAATCCAATAATCATGCTTTTGTGGAATGAGCTAAATTTTAACAAAATATATTAATATATAGGCTCACATCATACCACAGAATACATTTCTGCTAAATTAAAGAGCTACCTATAAAAGAATAATATTTTTAAAGATGCAAATTAAGGCATCTTTTCTCTGAAGATGGGAAATGATCTTCTAAGCATAAATCCATGTAAGAAGTCTTAAATAGATTTGACCACTTTGAACTTTTTAATGTCAAAACTAATTATTAAAAATTTATAAGGAAACAAATTGGAAAAACAATTTATACAAGTATGACAGACAAATTTTTACAAATAGAGGTCATAAACCAATAAGGAAAGGAATTTTATCACCTGCCTGCTAGTTTCTCCAGCCTAAACCCCAGGAGTCACCCTTGATCTTTCCTATCAGGCTGCCACAACCAATGAATACAGAGGCTCTTTTTAACTTTGTTTATATATATATATATACACATATGTATATATATATATGTATATATACGTATATATATACATATATATACGTATATATGTATATATATACGTATATATACATATATATGTAAACAAACACATATTTTAACTTTGAAAAGAATCCTCCAGATGTACAAGTGACTTATCATTATTGATTCTGAGTACACAAATGTATAGTTCACAATGCCAGATAAGGATCATGATACATAAAACATTACCATGAAATAATATCATATGAAATATAATCAAAATGAAAAATTTCTTTACTTAAAAATTGTTAGGTTTTATGTTAGTTATATTTTTTATAATCAATTGAACATTACAAATATAAATGTTTGTTACTTGAAAATCGAATATACTTTGTATTCAGTATTGCTTAGAAGAGAGGTGCCTATTTTGTAAGGAAGCAGTAGGTCCCCTGTCTGTTACTATTTCAAAAGGCATTTATAGAAAATGCCTATAATTGTAAGACAATATTGTGAGGTATTATGATACTCTCTAAAATTATATATTTTGTGTTCTTTGTCAAGATATTTGTCTGATGTCCTCAATAACATTCCATTAAATCAGTTTTAAATATAAATTTTTAATATTATAAATAAAAATTTAGAACCTGTATTTTAAATTATGTTACAACTTTTCACAAATTTTAAGAGCACTTTCTTAAAAGAAATGCTACTTTGTCATAAGAAATTCCCTTTGTTACTTAAACTGAAAACCTCAAATAATGTTAGCTATGTTGTAAATGTTAATTTGTATAATACATATCTTATTTAATTTTCTTTGATTATCTGAGAAATTACAAGGCAAAATATAAAAGATAAAATCAGCAACTTACCAACATTATAGTCATTACTAAATAATATTTTAGAATGATGAATTCTTAAAAAAAAATTAAGTTCAAGAACTAAGCCTACCTATAACACCTAAATAGTTTATGAACAAGTTTTGCCAAATGTTCAAAGAACAGATTATTCACAACTTTTACAAAGTATTTCAGAGCAAACAATGGAAAAATACCATAATCATTTTCTCAGACCTAAATAACCATGGTATTCTGCCAGAAAATGATGGCAAAAGAAAGAAAACTACAATTCAATATCAGTAATAAGCACAGATGTACCATTCTCCAAAAATTTTACCAAATTGCATTGAAAATATACTAAAATAAAAACCACAACACAATCAACCAGGATTTACCTCTGTAATCCAGAATAGTTCAAATTACATAACATAATAATATAATTTTCTATATTAATAAGTTAGAAAATACTATGCAAAGACAAAACAAACAAAACATTCAATATATTCATAACGTAATTATATAAATAATATACAAAATATACCTAAATATGATTTTTAGAAAATATGATAAAATAATAAATTTTAACATTGAATTAAAGAATAAAAGTTTATAAAAATTAAATAAGATATATCCACATATTAAACATACATAATAAAATCTATGTGAATTAAATATGAATTCAATTATTGTTGTGTAGTAATAAATAGTAATATGAAAGGAAACAGATAAGAAACAGAGACTGAAATATATTGGAATTTAGTTTATGTTTCTAATAGTTTAGATCGCATTTCGTTGCATGCAGCAGAAAACCCAACAACACCAGCGCAAATAAATTGTGGTTAATAGTATTTCAGCATTGAAAACAGTGGTGTAGTGATGCTGTTAGAAACACAGACCTTTTCAGCTTTTTCTCCCACCCTCCTTCCATATGGAGCTTTGTCACATGGATTCAAGACAGTTGTTCCTCAAAACTCATTCATATTCTAAGCAGGAAGACCATGACTGAACCAAAGCCAAATGAGGGATGCTAAATGGATCCATAGATGAAACTTTTGAGGAAACCCCATTGAAATTCATTGGCAAGAACTGGATCACATGTCCACAGCAAGCTGCAAAGGAATCTGGGTAACTGAATGTCCACGCTTTCTGACAAATATAGAAAATGAAGAAAAGTCAGAAGGAAATCTTGGCTGGCTTTTGTGTAGACAACACATACTAATGTGGTGATTTGCATTCAAATCAATGGGGGATTAATAAAACTAATGGTACTTGTATACTTGTTTATTAATATATAAATTTATAAATTTAGAGTCACTTAGCATCACATTAATATTCCAGATGGATTTAAAAGATAATAACTCAAAATATTGAAGGGAAAATATCAACATTTTTATATAAATTTAAACTAAACAGAGCTTCTAAGAAAAAACACAAATCCAAAAAAAAAAAACAAAGAAAAAGATGCAGTTTATTCCTTCAAATTTAAAATTGCTGTACAACATACTATTTATAAAGTTAAAAGTCAAATCAATTGGGAGAAATTATTAAATATTAATATTGTTAAAGCAAACTAAATATGGCCTGAGAAGGAGTCTGTAATTCTGTATTTGAGTCTTTGTGGAGGAACCATAACCTAGCTTAATAGGTAGACGAGACTGAAAACCTAACTAGGAATATGCGCCTGTAACAATTGCTGAGTCTTGGCCAATCCTAGGAGCCACACTTCAACCACTCATACACTGCTGAGCATTCAAACTGTGTTCAAATAAAGCAAATGCCAAGCTGTAACCAATCCAGCTGTTTCTGTACCTCGCTTCTGATTTCTGTACCTCACTTTACTTTTTTTGTCTATAAATTTATTCTGACCACATTGCACCCCTGGAGTTTCTCTGAATCTGCTGTCATTCTGGGAGCAGCCTGAAACGCAAATCATTCATTGCTCAATTAAACCCCTTTAAAATTAATTCAGCTGAAGTTTTTCTTTTAACAATACCCAATAATTCATATGCAGAATATGTTTAAATCCTATATCTCTTTATAAAAAACAATGCAGTAAAAGAAATAGACAAGAGACGTGAATAATTGACTCACCAACACAAGGCTGAAAAACCTAAGAAAAGATGCTCAATCTCAGTAATAATCACTAAAATGGAAAGTAAATAATGACATACGATGTTTCTCAACCACCAGATTAAAAATATATGAAATTTGATGATGTGAATTTGTCGTGAAGATGTGATAAATGCTAAGGAATTTTTTAAATGTTACAGATCTTTTAGTGAACTTTTTTTTATAACTTTTTAAAAATGTAAGTTCCCCCCTACAATATTACTCACACATCACCCACAGATCCAAAAATTGCAAATCTGCATTTATGTGGAATAAAAGTACACAGATATAAAAGATTTTTATAATGATGTTGATGTGCATTGCGTGATTTTTTGAAGCAGAAAAATAGTGAGTTACCTAATTCTTTACCAAGGAAGAGGTATATATATATATATATATATATATATATATATATATATATATATGGTGAGATTCTACACTCAGAAATAGGAAAGATATCTTTAACATGTTGTTTGTTAAGTGAAAAAAAAGCAAGAATACAATATCATTTACATTTAAAGCTAAGACATAGGCTGCATTAGATAAATAGATGAACATACATATGTATACATGTATATGCATACATGGTTGAAAGTTTGGAAGGCTGTAATTCAACATGATAGTGGTGGCTCATTCCAGGAAGAAGATTGAGATTGGAAGTTTGGAGATCATCTTGATCAGTGAATTTTTTTCAATGAAAATATAGCCACTCTACTGCATTAAAGAGTATAGTTAGAAAGAATGTAAAAGAAGTTGACACAAACGAAAATAATTTTTAAGAGAGTATTTCTCTCTGGTACTTTAACAGTGACAAAGTGAAAGATGAATGCTGATTTACAAGGTACATTCTCACATTTTGAGACAGCCACCACAGCGGAGCTCTGCAATTAAAGTCCTGACACATGAACAGAAAGGCAAACATCCTGAAGATATTAAACAAGGATGACTTTGTTGTTAAAATCAAACCACATCAGATACTAGAATGGCAAAGATATTTCTACTAGTATATAAAAAAATGAGACTTTTTCACATTATAAATGCTCATATGCTGTGAGAATCAAACACAAACAAAGGCCAACAACTTGCATCAAGAACCTGCAGAATTAAGGCTGTTATAGAAATGAGGGCACAGTACCAAATCTGTTGTAACATATGTTTTACTGAACGACACAGAGGCACTGAAATCACAGCATTGACAAAGAGCAACTTCAGTCGGTTTATCCTAATGCATCTAGGAGGAAAAAAAAATCATGTGCTAAGTTTTCCTAGAATCGTTAAAAGAATGAATTTGTTAAAATCCTGTTAAACTCCACTAGAAATTTTGAATACAGGAATAGTAAGGAAAATGCATAACTGCCAGGACTGAATAAATTTAAATATTTCAGTGTACATGTTAACAAAGCAAAAATTTGTAGCATTTCCTGAATTACTTTAAGTCAATAATAGGTTAATTTTTCAAATTAATTCGTAACACAGATAAAATGAGGACATATATTCAAGTAAATAAAACTGCTTGGAATGACAGAACAGGTTATAAAATTATGGAAAATTTGAAGAGAAGTGATTTTAACAAATGTTTAAAGTTTATGCTTTAAGGCAAGATTGAACCAGGCCCCAGATCCCTTCAGAACAATGTTGTTTCACTTGAGTTAAGATCATTTAACACTTGTTTGGCATTTGATTACGTTTTGTTGATTGATTGGAGTCTAAACATTGACTCTATTTCTCCCACCTTGTTAGCTGTAATCTACTCAAATAAGTTATTTAGAGAAGAAACCCTCAAAGGTTGTAAGCATAGGAAAAGCTGTATCACAATTTAATGTTCCACAAGAGTTTCCGAATACGTCTCGTGGCTCTGAAGTACAGGTGGACTGGGGATTCCACAATGATACTGAGCAACTTGACTGTAGCTGATGCCCCTGCTAGACCAATCATTCTCAAAGTTAACTTCCATCCTCATACCTTTTACATTTGCCTTTAGTAGAAGCATTCTATGTATGACATTTGAACATGAGACACAAAAAGACATATTCCATATTTTACGTAATCTGCTCTGTCATTCTCAAGAGAAGGTTGCTTTTCCAGCACATTTTGGCCAAACATCTTGAAACTCCAATTGCATGCTTAACTCCTCTAGGGAGTAGATGGGAGATTCAGAATGCCCTCCAATCATGACAATATTATAGCTGTCTCATAATTTCACATAAGATAATTATGTATTTCATGGAAGTTTTAAATCTGTGGACAGCTTATTCACCAGTAGTTTCTTGAAGAATCATCAAACAACAGCTCCAAGATGTATAGCCTAGAGAGTGACTAAACATTTCCTATGGAGCTAAATGTTTGCTCTTTGATGCAGGAGTTGGTATTTTTTGGCTACCTATAAGGTGGAACTAGAACTTATTTCCAACCTGAGCATTGATATAATTTCCCTCAGTATACCTTGGCATTATATCCTCAAGAGATCATTCCATAGGGCTCTACTGGTAGACCAGAAGGCCAAAGTGTCCATCTCAATGTTAATTTATACTAAATTCATAGACTCTGTTTTTCCTTCATTCTCCTTTCTAGAACTTTTCAGTTGCCAAGCTCAAAATAAGAGAAACATGCTAGGAAAAATACAGCCACTCTTTTAGAAGAATACGCTATGAAGCCAACAATAGTTGGAGAATAAACTAACCATTTTCCTTCCTTCCTTCCTACCTTCCTTCCTTCCTTCCTTCCTTCCTACCTACCTTCCTTCCTTCCTTCCTCCTTCCCTCCTTCCCTCCCTTCCTTCCTTCTTTTTTCTTCCTTCCTTCTCTTTCTTTTTCTTTCTTCTCTTTCTCTCCTCTTTCTTTTTTTTCTTTCTTTCTTCCTTTCTTTCTTTCTTTCTCTTTCTCTTTCTCAAATGTCATTTTTTTGTTTCATTTATTTATTTATTTGGTCATTGTACACCAAAGCAATCTGTAATTTCATAATTTCAGGCTGCCTAGACTTCCTTATTTTCTTCCTTTCCCTTCCTTTTCCTTCCTTTCCTTTCCCTTTCCTTTTCTTTCATGTAAAGTATGTTGTAGGAGTAATCTATAAACAGCCTGCGGCACTCACAGAGAATAACAAGGGTTATGAAGTCCCAATTTGTTGCTCTTCTCAAATGTCATTTTTAATGAAACTCCCAAATGGTTAGGTGGCCTGTTGATGCACAGGATAATGATAATATTCGGTACTTTCCCTGCATAACTTATTTCAAACTATTTGTACAGAATGCATACTAAGAAAAGTAGCTTATATAAGCTGTTATTTTGTCAATATATTTTTATAATATGACAGATATAGTGAGGACACATCAATTTACTAGGAAGAATAATGAATGCTTAGTCAAAGTTAATTTTTTGAAAAATCAGCGAACATATAACTAAACAGTATTTTCTTTGTCTCAGGGTAACGTTCAATGGAGGTAATAATGAAAGTGCCATTTGTTGATACAAAAACAAATTTACTATTTTTCTTAAATGGAGTTTGGCAGGAATTAAATCAAAGATGTACAACAAGGTTACACCATACTTGAAAGAAAGAGTTCTGATAAAATACTTATTAATCAATCTCATGGTCACAAAGTTTATGAGAATTGAAGAGAATACACCCATGAATTATGAGCATTGTCAACACAGCCTATTTCTTGACTAATTAGCAAATTAGTTCTAAGTGGAATTTCGGCACCTTCAAATGAGCTTCTTATAGCTAATTTATCTTGGCCTTCCTACATAATTTATCAAATTCTTAATAATAAAAAACCATTAAAATGTTAATCTATAATAGATTCAAATAATTTAGTGTTGGTTTTTCTTCTTTTATGCTTTACATAGTGTTGAAAGCAAAGATATTCTGTACATTGCAAAAACATTTATTTTACAAGTGGTGAGATCATGAGTAATATGCAGTGTTGAAATCCATCTCATACAGAAGCGTGGGACTCAGACTGATGGAGTGAATGGTCATGCAGAACCTACTCAGTTACAGGCACTGAGCAAAAGACACTTTGGCAAATATACTCATGATATGAGCATCTGGCATTTCAACTTATCGCATGTGTCAAGCTTATGTTATTGGATATATGTGGGGAGCTACAAAAAAGAATTTTGTTTCTTTTCAAGTCTCATTAAATATCCAAATCACATGTCATCATAGGCTACTAAGTGATTATAAGTTGGTGATGAATACAGTGTTAGTTATCTGATGACCAGTAAACTTATAGCACACAGAGGAAGTCAGACACATAATACCTTCCCCCGCTCCACCAAAAAAAAAGTACATAATTTTATTTTCCCTGTTTTTTGTTAACTCTCCATGTCCAAGGCTACATTAACAAAATATATGGCAGAATACTTTATCTATATATAGAGATAGGAAAAAAGACAGAAACAAAGCCTTCTGAGGCCAATCATTTCTTTATTCAAATCAAATCAAGCCATCTTAATCAACTCTGTAAGCACTTCTTGAAATTTTATACATAGCAACTGGATATTGCCTACATGCATTGTTCTTAGAGTCATTAAGACTTTAGATGGTATTTTAAAAATATAACTCCATGTGAGTTAGCTAAACAATTTGATTGGGCAAGGAAAGCAAAAACTTACTGTTTCTCTTTTTTTTTTTTTTTGTTTTACCAGAACAATACTTGGTATTAATACAGTAGTACATCTTGGAGCATGCTGGATTATGGGAAAATGGCAAAAAATCTACAAATGTGTTACGGAACTAATTCATTTGTATGCAGCAAAAATGCCAGATAAATTTTATGTAAAACCCGAAGGTTATTTATTGACTGTCACCACTGGAAAGATGACAATGTTGTCAAGCATAGCTTGATCCAGAACCCAGACACCCTCAGAATCCATGTCATCAGTTGGTTTTCTTGCGTGTGGCTCATCTGAGGATTTAAATGTCCTTTGCCATCTTGGGGTCTCCCCACAGGGTGCCTCTTTAGAGCCTCACAGTG
Organism: Homo sapiens; assembly: GCF_000001405.40. Classification (NCBI taxonomy): domain Eukaryota; kingdom Metazoa; phylum Chordata; class Mammalia; order Primates; family Hominidae; genus Homo; species Homo sapiens. The sequence continues at coordinate 73,489,180 of NC_000018.10, forward strand.
GCCTTACTTGGCCAAGACTGATGTCTTAGTCTGTATCTGTTGCGATAACAGAAAACCTTAGACTTGGTAATGTATAAAGAACAGAAATTTATTTCTTACAATTCTGGAGGCTCAGAAGTCCAAAATCCAGGCCTCAGATCAGGTGTCTGCTGAGGACTTTCTTGCTGCATCCTCACATGGCGGGAGGTGGAAGGGAAAAGGACAAAGTCACTAGGGTACTCCTTTCCACCTCTTTTATAAGGCAGTAACCCATTCATGAGGGTAGAGCTTTCTGACTTAATCACTTCCAAAAGGCCTCGCCTTGTGACACCATCATCTTGGGGTTTAAGTTCCGACACAGGAATTTAGGAGGTACACATACATTCAAACCATAACAACCACTCTAGAACCAATTGTGGTGGTAGTGAAAATGAGGTAATCTGATTGCTTTATATTAGAATAATCCCAAATGACATGAACGGATGTGGGGAGGGTTGGTTGCCAAAGGAAATTTGAAGTTATGACATTACGAAGAATGGGAAGTGGGTTTGGGGTAGCAATAAAATGTATATTTATTATTTACTTATTTAATTTTTTTAACTTTTGTGGGTACATACCAGATGTATATATTTATGGGGTACATGAAATATTTTGAGAAAGGCATACAATGTGTAATAGTCACATGATAGAAAATGGGGTATCCATCCCTCAAGCATTGATCCTTTGTGTTACAAACAAGCCAGTTGTACTCTTTTAGTTATTTTAAAATGTATGATTATGTTATTATTGACTGTAGTAACCCTGGTGTGCTACCAAATAGTAGGTCTTATTCATTCTTCATATTTTTTCTACCTATTAACCATCCCCACATCCCCTCTACAGCAACCCCACTACTCTTATTGCCCATCTTAATACCTTCCATTATCTCTCCATAACAGTGTACCGGTGAATATGTGTTAGAGGAAGGAAGGGCAGCTAATGAGGAAAACAAACAAAGCTGCCTCTTTTTTTTTCCTGCAATCTTCGCCTTCCCGGTGGTAATTCTGATATCACCTCTTCTAATGACCTTGTCTCATCTTTTGATATTCCATCTTGGTTATTACCAAGCTCCTTGGCACGTGGTAACAAATTCCAAAAGTCCTACATGTACATATATACCATATGGAAGGAAATCTGTATTATTCTTTTCCCACATTTATACCCTTGTTATAATCTTGTTGACAGGGGTTTTGCAATCTGGCACTAATAAAAAGTGAAATATGGATATTACAATTAGCGGAGAGCAACAGGAGAAAAGAAAAACAATTTTCAGAACTGTCAAAAACATCAGTCTTTTCATCAGGAAATTGGGTCTGAGCAATTTTTCCAGTTTTCTCAGAATATTTTGCCATTATTATCAGTTCTTTCTGCAATTCTTTATAACAGAACTCAGTATATAAACTTAGCAATTATCCTCAGCACCTAGAAACTCAGTAAGTTTTCCAATTATAAAAAATATACCAAGAACTTTGTTGTAAATGAACTTTTCCTTATATGAATGTAAACAGAATCATATGTTTCTTTAAATAAATACCACTTTCCTTTTCATTGTATCCAGACCTCAGCATGTTGCCCTACATATAGGCACCCAAACTAACACTGAGAAATGGAACTGAAATCTCTTTTAAATTGCCATCATTTGTAAGGAACTTTCTGTAGCCTGGTTGGGAAGTTTAAAATCTTTCATAGCTTATCGATAGCTAATATTTTACCTTTAATTTTTATATAAGAAGACCTGAGCACATTACTTTTCTTTACAAATCCTCTTTCAGGACTATGACTTTGGAAAATAGTACTAGCTACAATGAAATATTTATAAACAATTAATAACTGGTTTGACAAAATGGCCCAGTTAATAATTCAAGAGTGGACTTTAAATTTTATATTAAAAATCATTCAGGTCTTAGAGTATTGTGATTTCTAGATATATATTTCATTTAAGAATAGTTATGATCCAAATGAAACCCTGTGTGATCATTTTTCCTTCAAGAAACATTGTCAAGTTGCTTTGCTAACAAAGCACTTTCTAAAAAGAGGGAACACAAGTGCTGAACATTTACTCATCTGGTCCCAATTCTGAGATTCAATCTGTGTGCATTAGTTTTATTCATCGTCGCCATCCATTTTTGAACCAAAATTGACCTGACAGTAGGAAAAAAGAAAACCCTTGAGAAGATGTTTTATCTGGATTTCTACTGTTATACACTGCTAATAATTTGTATTTTATTTTTCACTTGTATTGATTTAGCAGAGATAATTGAAAATTATCTAATATCCTCTCACTTACTATGGCTAGCATAATCCCCAATAATAAATAGTAGTATGCAATAAATGTCTATACACTATATAAAACGGTTTGAACGAAAGAAAAATTTGAGTTCATAAACGAATTATATTTTTATTACAGAGATAGAACAAAAAACTCATTAGAGTCATTCTCAATTTTTAGTTTGTATCTCAGAAGTTCTGCATATTTAACAAGAACTTCAGAAGGTGCACTCTAAAGACACACTACTCTTTAAACAAATGAATATGGTTTTGAAAATTGCAGATCATTTACTAACCTAGAAATATGGAGAAAATAAAACATGTGATTCAACCAGAATGGACTGTATTTTATTAAAATCTTAGCTTTAAAATTCTGGGGATAAACATCAATATTAGTTATAGAGTGGTGGTCACCTTGTTAGGTACCTGCCTTTTAATGACTCCTTTTTTAATAACAAAGAAACCTATTAATAAAGAATGACCATTACCCAAGCAAGAATCATATGCAGATTATTAGAGATTGGGTCAAAATTACACATGGATAAATCTAAAAGGAAGATTTAGTCTTATTCTGACTTTAACATCCATTCTCCCTTAACTAAGAAATCAGTGAGATCATTTGCCAGACAAAACCAAATCAGATTTCTTTGGGCTCAGCTGTTTTATTAACATTCTCCTTTTTATAACATTCTAGTTCCTTTTCAGTGACTGATGCTATTTGAATGATGAGCCATCTGTATTGAATCGATCCTTTTCACAGACCAGGACTGTTGGTATGAATTGCACAAAATTATGTTTCTCAGTCTATCGTTATTCAAATTTCATACTTTTAAGTTTAAAGTCTTCCCATATTTGTAGTGTCCTATTTTTTTCTTAGTTACACAGATAGGGTCAATTTTCTTCTGCAAGTCAGCTTGCTCTCATTATAACGTGTACTGGCAGCATGCCGTTCTAATTTTGCATGCAGTATCTCCAATTTGTTTGTCCTTGAGTTCTATAACTATAGAAATGGTTGTAGAGTACCTGGATTTTGGTGAGAAATCTCAACTGCTAGGCTAAGCTTTATCTAGTTAAAGTTCCCTCTTGTGTAGAAAACAAGAAATTTAGGGCATTTTCTGAATCAAACATGATCATTCATACTTCCTGGTTCCAGTAGCTTATAGTTTGATCATTTTACCATATTATGCCCCAGATTGACAAAAAAAAAAAAAAAAACTTTTCTGACTTAAAAGCGCTCTAATGAAAAAGGCAGGAGCCACAGTTGAATATATGTTCACCACAAAGACAAAGTCAGGAGTGATGGACAAGCTTATTCTCAATAATAATCTGATGAGAAAATGAAAAGGATGATCTGATGATGACCTCTTTCCACACATCTCTGTATGTGTATGCATGTGTGTGTGTAACTGGGTTGGTGCCAGTAGGCTGAAGAAAGATTGGGGTCCTAAGGAAATTTGTAAACTTAAAATAAGAAAAAAATAAATAAATGTCTTATTTCTTCCTAGGCATCTCAGGATCTTGAACATTATGAGAACAAGAATATGTGCAATATCTTAACTAGACATTTGTACTTATAAGTTAGATGATGAAGGACCCCAGAGTCCCTATTTCCTCCAAAAGTTCGTATCAGGTAAAATCAAGCATAAACTTTCAAAGAGGAAGAAAACATTCAGAGTCAACTAAATCCAATATCCTCTCATTGTTGGGAAAATACCAAGGATCCAAAAATACAGTTGACCCTTAAATAACACAAGTTTGAACTTCATGAGTCCACTTATATAGGGTAGATTTCTTCTGCGTCTGCTACCCCTGAGACAGCAAGACCAACCCGTCCTCTTCCTTCTCCTCCTCAGCCTACTCAATGTGAAGACAATAAAGATGAAGACCTTTATAATGATTCGCTTCCACTTAATAAATAGTAAATATATTTCTGTTCATATGATTTTCCCTAGTTTACTTTATTGTAAGAATATACTGTATAATACTTACATCATACAAAATATGTGTTAATTGACCATTTGTGTTATCAGTAAAGCTTCCAGTCAACAGTAATTAAGTTTTGGAAGAGTCGAAAGATACACACATAAATTTTCAACAATGCAGACGGTCAAAGCCCTGACTCCTATGTAGTTCACGGGTCAAGTATATTAAATTACCTGTTAAATATCACATCTGGGGCAAGAACACACATTTTTAGCTTCCCCAGGATGATGTTGTTTCTATTTTGACATCTCATAATCACAGACTTGATTTTTTTTTTTGTTTAGTAAACAAAAAGTGAAGCAAAATAACACAATATTCTCTTCAAAGAAAAGAAACCCTTTTTCCTTAATTAGAGTTAGCAGATATTAGTTCATTCTACTTTGGAAGTTCAAAGTCACAGACTTCTATATATTAATATATTTAAATAATCATTGGATTACATTGCATAGACAAGAGACAAACTTGTACTAAAGTGCGCAGGAAAGTTTACTGACAGCATTCAAATAAGCTGAGACTACTTATTCCACTCTCTTTGGCATCTAGGCTTCAAAGATTCCCTGCATTAAACTGGAGTTCCAACTATTCATACCTTGGTGTAGTTCTTCCTATAGTGATTCTGGGCTGGTCAGCTACTCGGGTTCATGAATTGCAGGTGGAAGAAGTGACACTGTACCAGTCTCAGGTTAATCTTGAAGTTAAAGTGCACTACAACTTTTGTCTGAACCTTCTCGAAACATTTGGTGTTTTAGGGACCAGGAGCCACCTTGTAAGAAGTTCAGCTCCTCTACTGCATAACCTATGTGAGTGACCACAAAGAGAGCCATTATAATTTCCTATTATACAACAATAACACCAACACCATTTACTCTTAGGAACACCTGCACCTTGCTAAGTGGTTTGCAGTCCTCATGCCCACTGGGTCTATCTCAGTTAAATCAAAGGTTAATTCTGCCATTGAAAAATTTTCCACTTAACAATGATATTTCTGTTATAGACATTTTCTATTTTTCGTTTTCATTATTTTTAATTTTTCTAAAATTCTAAGCATTTCTTGTATCTTGAAGCCTAATGAGATTTTTTTCTTGAAGGTTTCTAAAAGAGAGCCCTATTTTTATACCAAATTTCATATCCCAGATATTAATTAAACATAATTTTACTTGATTACTATATAATTTGGCTCTTGAGCCAAAGATTTATTGCTTTACTGTCAAAATACAAACTTTATTGAATACATAAGAATATATCAGTAAGATAATTTGGGGCATACAATTTTAACAAATTGATTAATTAAATTAACCTCAGTTGCCTCATTTAATCTGAAGCCTTCAATTGAAAGGTCTGATCAAGGGGTATAATCCCTTTTAAGAACTAGTATAGTATGGAAATTCCTGGGAAAATGGCCTAATGGAGAAAATAAAACTTAAGCAGCTAATTAATAGAAGCGTGGACTTCCCTACTCAATCTACCAGACAATGCAGAGGGCTCCAGACCTTCTACAATTAGAACAAGAATGTACAGAAGAAGCTAGGCTTTCATCAACCATTTAATGCATCAACTGGGATAGTAAGAAGACGTGGATAAATGTGTGAGAATTAAAGTGTTGGGATGGCAATAGGGCTATTGCTAGTGTTTCTGAAAAACAAACTCTAGATGTGGGAGAGAATTTCAAAGATAAGTTATGGAAAGATGAGGGTAGAAAGTTGGGTAGGGTAGGGGGTGTTCAAGGGGCCGCATAATTTCAAGTTAAGGTCCCTAGAGCAAATGAAGAACTCTGAGGGTGGCACAAGGTAGACAAATCTAAGAAACGGCAGAATCGATCGGTTTCTACCAGGGATGGGAAAGCTTGCCATCATCGTTAGGAAGTGAGGGGTTTGGAGGATGGCTTCTGGATTGAGTTCAACATGATAAGGAGATTGACAGTCTCCCATCCTCACATTAAAACAAACAAATAAATAGCCGAGTAAACTGAAAATCAATGACTTCCTTGGACCCATCAAGGATTTGAGATCACAGAGCAAACAGACCCTGAAATTGAGAAATATGTGAATATAGAGAATTGTAACCAAAATCAGGTTCCCTGCAGCAGAAATTACTGGAGCTGTATGCTGGTAGAGACACGTAAATGGTAATAATGACACTTTGCTGCTGGAGTAGACTGGCAGAGGAATGAGGAACTATTGGAGGCCCAGTCTTAGCTGACCCCCACACTTTTGTGGGTTTTACCCCCAGGAACCTCACTAGAGCCTCACAATTAAAACCAGCCTCATTAAATTAAAAAAAACAAGCATGTATTTTATTTTACCACAATGAAATAAAATTAAAAATCAGCAACAGAAACTAACTTAAAAAGTGACAAATATGATGATAGTACATGCCATACTCCTAAATATCCAATGGATCAGGCAAAAGTAACAAGAGAAATTAGAAAAAAAGTTTTATATGAATGAAAATGAAGACATAAAACACCAAAATGTATCAAATTAAGCTAAAGTCATATTTTAAGGGAAATGTATAGCTATAAATGCCTTTAAAAGAAAAAAAGATCTCAAATCAACAATTTAATCTTCTACCTTAAGATAGTGGAAAACAAAGAGCAAATTAAACTCAAAATGAAAGAAGGAATAGTTAAGATGCAAAATAGAGAAAATCAATGGAACTAAAGGCATGGTCTTTGGAACAACAAAATTGACAGATTAAAAAAAGGGGGGGCGGAATCTAATTACTAAAATTAAGAATGAATTAATTGAAAAAAATAATTTACATTAGTAATTTTTAAAGTTTCCATACAGAAAAGACCCACTGTTTCACTGTCTGCTTCTATGAGTTTAACTTTTTTAGATTCCACGTAGAAGTGAGATCATACAGCACAGATGGCTTAACAGGTGAATTCTGCCAAACCTTTAAAGATATTAATATCAACTCCTTTCAAACTCCTCCAAAAAATATACAAGAGGAAGAAACACTTTCCAACAGATTATATAAGGCATCTATTTCCCTGACACAAACCCCAGAAGACATCATAAGTAAACAACTGACCAAAATCTTTTATGAAGACACAAAAATCTTCAACAAAATATTAGACAACCAGATTCATCACCATATGAAAATGATCATACACCATGATCAATCGGGATTTATCCAAATATGGAAGGGTGGCTTAACATCTGAAAATTAATTAATAAATATAGCATATTATTAGAAAAATGTTTAAAAAGATGGTTATCACAATAGATGGATAAAAATAATTTTTTAAAGTCTTACAATACTTCATGATAAACAAATAAAAAATAGAAATAGAAGGATAACTTATCAACTTGACAAACAGCATCTACAATAAATCTATGGCAAATATTGCAGTTGATGCTAAGCGAACAAATGCTTCTGACTTTGTCAGATTTTAGACAAGGGTGGTCATTATCACCACTTCTATTCAACACTGCAGTGAAATTCTACCCAGGGCTCTTAAGACATAAAATGCAATAAATGGCATACAGGTTGGAAAGAAAGATAAAACAAGCTCTATTTGAAGATGACATAATCTTGTATATTAAAAAATCCTAAGACATCCACTAAAAGTTTACCAGAATTAATAAACAAATTTGGCAAGTTTCCAGGATGCAAGGTCAATACGCAAAAGCCAGTTGTATTTCTGTACACTTTCAATGAACAATCCAAAAATGTAATTTTTTAAAAAGTCAATTTATACTAGCATTAAAATGAATGAAATAATTAGGAATAAATTTAACTGAAGAATTAAAACACTCACACTGTGAAACTGCAAAATAAAGAAGACCTAAATAAGTGTTAAGTTACCCCATTTTGATGGATCAGAAGACTTCATATTGTTAGGATAACAATATCTGCCAAATTGATGCACAGCTACAATTCAATCCCTATCAAAATCCAGCTGATTTACTTGCCAAAATCAACAAGCAAATACTAAAATTCATATGGAAATTCAAGCTGACCAATAACAGTCAAAACAATTTTGAAAAAGAAGAACAAATTTGGAAAAGAAGAACAAATTTGGAGGGCACACAGTTCTTGGTCATAAAACTTAGTATAAAACTGTGTAATCAAGACTGAGATAAAGTTATAGGGTAAATATATAGACCAATGGATGGAAATGAAAGTCTCTAAAGAAATCCTCACATTTACAGTCAATTCATATTGAACAATGGTCACAAAACAATTAGGGGGGGAAGAATGGTGCTGGGATATCAGAATATTCATAAACAAAAGAATGAAGTTGGGCACCTTCCTCACACCAAATGCCACTCACAAACTTTAACTCAAAATGAACACAGACTTAAAATGTAAGAGCTTAAATTATACAAACTTAGAAGAAAATATCCGAGTAAAGATTTGCAACTTTAGTTATGCAAAGTCCCTTTAGATAGGGCAGTGAAGTACTAGTGACATAAGACAAAAAATAGATAAATTTGCCTTTGTCACATTAAAAAGTTCTTTGCTCACAGGATACCATCAAAAAAGTAAAAAGACAACCCACAGAATGAATGGTAATAAATATTTGAAAAGTATATGTATTATAAGGGACTTGTACTTAGGATGTGTAAAGAACTTCTCCAGCACAATAAAAATATAAATAATTCAAATAAAAATGAGCAAAGCATCTAAATGGGCATTTATCTAAAGGAGACATACAAATCACAATAACAGAAAATAATGCTTAACACCATTAGCCTTCATAAATGGAAATCAAAACCAAAATGAGATACTACTTTATACCCAATAGGATGATTGCAAGAAAAACGACAAAAATAATTGTTTGTAAGGGTATTAAGACGTTGGAATTCCTGGTGGGAATGTAAAATTCCTGCTGGGAATGTGAAATTCCTAGTGGGAATGTAAAATGGTGGAAGTACTTTGGAAAATGGTCTGGTGGTTCCTCAATAAGTTAAGCATAGAGTTAATATTTGACTCAGCAATTTCACTACTAAGTCTATACCAGAAAGAAGGCAAAACATATGCCCGCACCAAAACCAGTGCATGAATGCTTATACCAGCATAATTAATAATAAGCAAAAAGGGGAAACAACCCAAAATGTTGTACATTGATACAATGAAATATTATTTGGCAATAAGTAGACTGAAGTACTGACACATTTTGCAATGTGGATGATCCTGAAAACATTATGCTATATGAAAGAAGCAAGTCAGAATATATGTTGAATGATTTTATTTAAATGATATGTCCAAAATAGTCATGTATATAGATATAGAAAGTAAATTAGTGATTGCCTAGAGCTGGAGATTTAGAGGGATAAGAAGAGTGACTGCTAATGGTACAGGGTTTCTTTGGGGGTGGTGAAAATACTGCAGAATTGATTGTAGTGAGAACAGTCCAGCTCTGTGAATAAAGCAATAGTTGAATTGTATAGCTTACAAGGGTGAATTATACAGCCTGTACATTATATCTCAACAAAATTGTTATAAAACTCTTATAAAACTGAGAATTACCCTGTAAAGCCATCCAGGGCTGGTACTTTCTATTTTAAAAGGTCACTCATTATTAACACAAAATTTTGAATAGGTAGGGATGTTCGGTTGTCTATTTTTCCTCGTGTGAGTTTTGGTAGTTTTCATATTTCAAGGAACTGACCCTTTCAATCTAAATTATAATATGTGGGCATAGAAAATAGTCCTTCATTTTTTTTTTATTGTTCACAGGATCCGTGATGATGACCCTTCTTTTATGTCTGATATCAGGAATTTATACGAGTGTTTTATCTTTCTCTTTTCTTTTCTTCTTTTTCCTTTTGTTTTTGTTTGTTTTTTGTTTTTTTGCTTAGTCTGTCTAGAGGTTTATCAACTTTATTAATTTTTTTTAGAAAAATGTTGATTTCTATTGCTTTCCTGTTTTTTTCTGTTTCATTGATTTCTGCACTAATTTTTGCTGCTACATTTCTTCTGCTTGCTTTAGGCTTAATTAGTTCTTCTGTTTCTAGTTTCCAAAGGAAAACACTTAGGTTAACAATTTTAGACTTTTTGCTTTTCTAATATATATATTTAATACTATAAAACCTCTATAAGTATTGCTTTACTGCATCCTTCAACTTTCATTGAAATTTGATATTTCAAGGAATTTTTTAATTTCAAATTTAAATATATTGAAAAATAATTCAAAAATAAAAATATTTTAACATAGTTTATTTTTCATTTTTTCTTGATACTTTTTGATCCATATGTTACTAGAAGTGTATTGTTTAATTTTCAGTATTTAGAGATTTGTTTATCTTTCTGTTATTGATTTCTACTTTAATTTTGTTGTGGCCTAAGAACATATTTTATGCTGTTTCTATTCTTTTAATTTTGTTAAGTCACGATTTATGACACTAAATATAGTTTATGTTGTTGAATGTTCCTTGTTGACTTGAGAAGAATGTGTATTCTACTGTCATTTCAAGTATCCATAAATGTACATTAGATCAAGTTGATTGATAGCACTGTTAAGGTTTTTTACATCCCTACTGATTTTCTACCTTCTTGATCTTTCAGTTAATAACAGAGAGGTCTTAAAGACTTCAACTACAATAGTGTATTTGTCTACTTCTCTCTTTCCTATCCGTTTGTGCCTCATGTATTTTGACAGTCTCTTGTTTGATATAAAGTCATTTAGGATGGTTATGTATTTTCAGAGAATTGACCCTTACCATTATGTAATGCCCTTTTATTATTCCTAATAATCTTCTATCCCAAATGGTTCATGGTATTTTACCAGCATGTGTCAACTTACGAATGAAAACATTAATTCATTCTTCTCAGTTATTAGAGAAGTAAAGGATATTAATGTTATTATGATAGAAATAGCCCTCCATTTTAAATCAGAACATTGCTCCTGAAAGCTTTGTTATATCTTAAAACTTGTCCTATTATTTGATGAAACACCAGGTCACATATTTTCCTTTATTAAATAGGATAAATAATTTTATCTTTAAAGTTAAAACTGTTTGGATCTAAAAGTTTTGGGAAAAAATAATCTAATTTTAAGATAATTCTATTTGAAAAAATGGACATTCTACCCAATTCTCTTCCTGGGTACTTCTCGCACTGACCCATTAGCAATTTTCTATGGAGAATTATGCCTTGCCTAGGATATCAGTGTACAAAATAGACATACTCTCATTCATCAAAGTTGCTGAGGGCATGGGAAGGCTAGGAAATAGTCTGTAGTCATTTCTCTGGACGCCCCATTCAATGCTGGATGATATCTTAGTAAATTTGCTCAGTTTGAAAACTGAGCCCTCTTGCTTTCAGGCTCAGAAAAGTGACTTATCCAATGAACTAAGGGTAAATTCACCCCAGCTCAAGTGTGACGAAAAGGAAGCATTGATTAATTCGATGCCAAGTGGCACAGTTACCACAGGCTTCAGATTATCACTCCCTGAGATTTTACCTAAACAGACAGAGAGGGGAAGCTGATAGTCGGGGTGAGCCTAAAATCAACAAGAGGAGTTAGAGTACAATATTTAACTATATCAAGAATGATACAGACATCTCAAGGTAGGAATTGTTTTACCAAGAGGCTGGAACACCCCAAGTCCATTGGCTCTGATTCTCGCTGCTCAGAAAATTGAAAGTGGTCCTCTCTTTTTCAGCTTTCGAAGATGATTGAATGGCCTTTGAATTGATATTTCCTAACTTATATATGATAATGTACTTAATTAAGTTATAAACCCACCTATATATTTATAGAAACTATTTTTTTTCTCATTCTAAAGGATTTTTCATACCTCTACTCTGATCCATTATGCATTGATTTTAAAATTTCACTCTAGGGCAATCTAACTTTCCAACTTCTTGGACTAAGTCTTACTATAAATTCCATTAACAAGAATGGCTAATAATTTATGATGCCTTTGCATGTGTGCCTAGGTTTTAGAAATTGCTGCTAAGACTTTTAACTTATATCATCTAAACTACAAAAATATTTTTTATTCTAAATACATTTCAATGGCTGGTGTCACATTTGTTATTCTTAAAAAACAAACTAATAAGCTATCAATGAAGTAAATATTTTGGTTGAGAATTTTTAAAGGAATGAACCAAATGGTGTGCGAAATGCAAGTGGAGAATATAAATAGCCATTTATTTGTTTGTGCTACCCTACAAGTCTGCTTTGTTTTATTATTTATTTATTTATTTATTTTTTAGAAGGGGTCTCCCTCTTTCGCCCAGGATAGAGTGCAGTGGCGTGATCTCAGCTTACTGCAACCTCTGCCTCCTGGGTTCAAGAGATTCTCTTGCCTCAGCCTCTCAAGTAGCTGGAATTACAGGCACCTGCCACAGCACCTGGCTAATTCTTGTATTTTTAGTAGAGACGGGGTTTCACCATGTTGGCCAGCTGGTCTCGAACTCCTGGCCTCATGTGATCCATCCGCCTCGGCCTCCCAAAATGCTGGGATTACAGGTGTGAGCCCCTACTCCCGGCCTTCACCTTTAATTTTTAACCCTACTAAGTTCAGTGAGCAGTCAAAGGTCTTGTGTGCGAACGAGATGTAGAGAGGTGCAAATTCAAACAATAAAAACAAATGATTTTGTAAACTCAAATAAAGCAAATCAAAGAAAGTAAAACATTGTTCCGAACTGAAGCAAACCTAGGGATTGATACATTGTATAGCACGATGATGTGCAGCAAACAATGTCAGAGTACATATTTCACCTTAGTTCTCATTGATGTGTCTCTGATGCATAAGAATAAAACAGAGCAAGAAATAGAGGAAATGAATGCAAATGTAGTGTGGAAAGGTGAGGAAGAATTTATTAGCCATATTTCATGTAGGCATCAAGCCACAATCACTAACTTAGTGTCTTCAGTAGACCGTAATGTTTTCATAGAAGTTTTGAATGGAAAGAGTAGCATATACAGAAAAATAAAAAGAAGTGATAGTTGAGATGATTTATTAAATATACCCAGGAAACCTCACCTATCAGCATTTTGTTGATGAAACTATAATTGGTCCTAGACACAAAAATTCAACCTAGAATTTACTCCACAAACCAATAGAAAATATAAAATACAAATAAACTGAAGTGATAGGATTAATCTTATTTGAATTTTATTCATTTTTTTCATTAGGAGTAGAAATTTCTTTTGAACCAGACTTGATCATTGGAATGACCAGTGTATTCTTTACCTGAAAAATGTCTTGAGAAGTCTATTTATAACCAGGTAGGCATTTTATCTTAAATGAATCAGAACAGAAGCAGTTATATAATGAAAACATTTAATTTTAAGGCCATTGTGTGTGTGTTATGGCAGAAAGGAATATTCTGCCATATCCGGGAAAGGTAGTTAATACTTTTCCCGGAAGTTCTAGGAGAATATTGTAATAATAATCATTGTAAGTACATTTGTATCAACACAAAGACCAAGAAAAGTCCAATAAAACTCAATGCCCCATTCAGCTGAGCACACATTAAAACCTAATGTTTCTGCTTTAAATACAGTAGATGTAATAAGTTACTTTGTTAAAAATTAATAAACAAATATAATCAACTATTATAAATATTCATCAGTTAGAAATGGGGAATATTCATCAGTTAGAAATAGATAAATATACCTGAAAGTAAGAAAACAACATGAATAGTAGGAACCAACGTTTTCTAGTAAGGGTATGGAGAAAGTCGTCTGCACACGTAGAACTGGGGACAAGGATTTGAAGCATATGTGAAGCCCTGGGCTAGGGTCCTACACTGTGCAGAGCTAAGACTCTAGATATGCTGTCTGGCCACACCAGGGCCCAGGAATCTCTCATACTATCCTCACCCCCCTGGAGAGTGCCAGAACCCAGCTGAGATACAACCATCGTCATGTCCAAGAATGGCAGAAGAATGGCACCATGGACATGACCATGGACATTCTTGGAGATGACGTGGGTTGTAACCAGGTCCCAGAGTGGGGCATCACATTAGGAAGCAGCTTGAAACCACATTGGTCACACATGAGAAAAGCCCTAAACAAGATGACCATGAAAGACTTGGACCAGAGCTGGGCTAAAAGACCAGTGCTGAGGTCATTACTAAAGCATCCACAAAGGATAACCTCATGCTCCATACCTGGACAGAAACTGTGATTCACCCATACTATGACCTCAAACCAAGAATCACTGAGTATAAGACCAGCCCAGCACAGTGAGAAACACAGCAGCATGTTCAACAAATGGAACACATGAAAGTGAGGAAAAACAGGGAACTGAGCAGCTTAATAGCCTTTATAGTAAGTGTGCTTGAGGGAATTGAGCATTTTGATAGCCTTCATAGTAAGTGTGCTTAATACTGCCCATGATAAACAGAAGGAATAATGCCCACGAAATAGAGACTGGGTCATGAAACATAAATACAAAATAATGAGGCTATAAAATTTAGAAAAGAAAACATATTTTTTAAATATTTTTTTAAAAATTAGGAAAACAACAGTAGATGTGTTGAATACAAAACTAACAGAAACAAGAACTACTAAACTGGAAGATTCAACTGAGAATGTAGCTAAAATTTTTTAAGTAGATTAACATTTTTGAAAAGCAAGTTGGATATATGGAGGATAAATCCATTGGTACTAACATATATCTGGTAGAGAGAACACAGGTGACACTATATTTGAAAACATAATGGCTCAGAATTATCTTCAGAAAATTGCAAGGCTTCATTTTGGAAAAGTCATAAGGATACAAGACAAATCAAGTAATAGAAATAACAGTAGATACAATGAAATAAACTAAAGAATATTAAGGAGATAAAATGTTAAAAATCAACTTGGAAGGAAAAAGCAAGGAGATTACCAATAAATGAAACTGAGGTGGATCTCAAAACCAGAAGCTTGAATGTGTTTGTCTATCTATGTATGTATCTATGTATGTATGTATGTATCTATCTATCTATCTATCCACCTATCTATATCTATTCCTCTACCAGTCTATCTCTCTGCATCAATACATTTTTAGAAATAAGCTAAACAAAATTTCTAGACAAAAATATATTGGGAAATGGAAATGGAGATATCCAGAAATATTAAAAAGAAAACTAAGGTTTTTGTATTATTTAGAAAGAGGCTAGAGGTTATGATTTGTTTTAGCATTTGCAATAAAAAATCACATTCAAAATAGGCATTCAATATCTAAGAGTAATCACAAAAAAGGAATATAAGTAGAGTGTGTAACTTCCAAATCTTTAATGAACAAAATTTTTTAACAACAAAAATAAATAAAACAATGAAATCATGTCACCAATCCATCTGAAGCCTGAAGAAAGATAAAAATAGAAACAAACAGGACATGGTAAAGAGGAAAGATAAATATAAGATGAAAAATTAAAACAAATACATCTGTGATAAGAATGAGAAAAAGGATAAATTTCCATGATAAAGACAGTTAATAACGAATTAGATAAAAATCAACAAGAAAAACAAATAAAATGTATATACTATCTCCACATGACAGATAAAACAAAATGACACAGCAACACTGAAAGATAGAGATCAGAAATCACAGATTAAATAAATGCAAAACAGCTGTCAGGATAGATATCGAGAGTATTGAGAAAATTTGAATGACATTTTAGTTCGATAGATGATAGGTTGACCCTACAGACCAATACTTGTGTGGAAAAGCAAACACACTCCCTACTTTCATACTCATTGCCTCTGGGAGAATGCATAGGAATATTGAGTTCTTTCAACACAGTTGAAACATTCATTTGCCACTGATTTTCTTAGGAGTCCTAGGTCTGTTGATAGACTCCAGATACTTATTGCTTGGGGATCATTAGAAAGTCCCTTGTCATGGGAAGTATAGATCTTTAAGTCATTTTTAAGTGTGGTCCAGGGACAAACAATAACACAGACTGTGAAAAGAACAAATTCAGAGTGTGCTGTTTCTTGTGGTGCCCTGAAGTTAGAGAGCCCTGGCTCTCCAGATCTGATTGTGTGTATCACGGATGTAAGAGTATTTACCCCAGGCAAACTGGCAAGTGCTACATATTGGAGGTTTTCTTTTGTAAAAAAACATTCTGGCACACTGTAAGCTCTTGTTTCATTTTCTTGGAAAATGTAGATATCGCTTAGAAAATAGAATATTTTACATAATTTTATCAATTTAATTCAATTATATATAAATTAATTATTACTTATTAAAGTGCTAACAATTTATTTTTCTTTTTAAATTAAATCTAGAGCTTTTAATAATTTAAATTTAAATTATTAATTATAACACCAATGGAGAGAAAGAATAAGGAATAATTGCATTTCAGTCTTTTTTTTTTAACAGATAAAGCCATCCTTTAAAGGCATAATGCTATGAAGGACTGATCCATACATTTACACATCATTACAGTCTATCCTTGTAGATGTATAATGGTGACTTGCTGTGATATATATATATATATATATACACACACACACACACACACACACACATACACATATACACAACATGTATGCTATATATGCTATATATATATAAACACAACCCATAAATATCAGCAAAGAAAATATATATAGCTATATATAAAATATATATTTTTATATATTTTATATATTTTTATATATTTTATATACAGCTATATATATTTTATATATATAATATATATATTTTGCTAGCCTTACATAGGCTAGGATTTTCAGTACAATATTTGATAGAATTAGTGACAGTGGACATCTTTGCCTTCTTGATCTTATAGGGAAAGAGCTTAATATATTAAAAATAAATACGCTGTTAACTATGTAAGTTTTTAAAAAATGCCATTAATTAGAATGAGGGGGTTCCTGTCTACTCTGAGTATGCTGAGAACTTTAATTATAAATGTATGGTGAATTTTATCTAATTACTTTTGCATCTTCTAATAGTCACAATGCAATGTTTAATTTTGAATTTTAAACCAAAATTCCATTTATAGGATAAACTCCTCCTGGAAATTATATTTTTATATTTTTGACTATACTTTATTATTACAGTGGTTTGCATTTGTTTGTATCTATAGTCATTAAAGATGTTGGTCCTAATTTTATTTTCTCATAATAGACTATATATGTTTTCTATCAGTGGTACGCTGCTTTAATTACCAAAGTTTGGCAATGCCCCATCTTTCACAATTAAGGGAAATTGTATGCATAATATTGGTTCTCTTTTTTTTTTTTTTTTTTTTTTTTTTTGAGATGGAGTCTCACTCTGTCACCTAAGCTGGAGTGCAATGGTGCTGTCTCAGCTCGCTGCAGCCTCCACCTCCTGAGCTCAGGCAATTCTCCAGCCTCAGCCTCCCAAGTAGCTGGGATTACAGGCATGCACCACCACACCTGGCTAATTTTTGTATTTTTAGTAGAGACAGGGTTTTATCAGGTTGGCCAGGATGGTCTTGATCGCCTGACATCAAGGGATCCACCCGCCACGGCCTCCCAAAGTGCTGGGATTACAGACGTGAGCCACCGCACCTGCCCCTATTCTCTTCTTAAATGAAAAATTTACTAATGAAGTCATCAGGTCTTAGATTTTTTTTAATGGGGAGATTTTGTATTATGAATTAGAATACATATTTTGAATTTTCTTTTACAGTTTCATTGCACAGTGTTTTTGTTTTTTGTTTTTTTTGTTTTGTTTTGTATTGTTTTAGCTTTTATAAGTTCAGGGGTACAAGTGCAGGTTTGTCCCATAGGTAAACTTGTGTCATGAGGGTTTGCTGTACAGACTACCTCATCACCCAGATATTAAGCCTAGTACCCACTAGTTACCTTTTCTGATGCTCTCCCTCTTTTCACCCTCCACCCTCCAAAAGGCCCCAGCGTGTGTTGTTTCCCTTTATGTGTCATGAGTTCTCACCCTTCGGCTCTCACTTATAAGTGAGAACATGCATTATTTGGTTTTCTGTTCGTGTGTTAGTTTGCTAAGGATATGACCTCCAGCTCCATCCATGTCCCTGCATAGGACATGAGATCGTTGCCCACATTAAAAAGGAAGAATTTTGTTTTTAAAATAGTCTTTGAATTTCATCTAAATTTTATAGTTATTTTCATGAAGAGTGTTTATATATACAATTATTTCCTTTTTAAATCTATAGGATTCTTAGTAATAGATCATTTAAATTAGAAGTTTGGTTTTCCCTCTTTTGACCAGATTACTAATGGTAAGAATTTATGTTTTTCTAAAAAAAAAAATCAGGATTATTAAATTATAATTTATTTTCAGTAAAATGTACCATTTTTACTAATTCAATGAAAGTTTTATGCAAGTGAGAAATTAAGTAATTTTATTATTGTTTTACCTATCAGGTTGGGGAAAATGTTGAAAATTTATAATATTCATTGTTGAAATATTATATAATAGGACACTTTATTGTTGGTAAAACTTTTTAAAAATATTCTTATTGTTTTAATTTATAGAAAAGTTTACTCAGAAAAATTGAGATGGCAGTACATAACATTCTGGTATACCCCACACCAAATTTCTTTCTCTTATTAATAACATCTTACATTACTATGGTACATTTGTACAATGGGCCAACAATGATGTGTTATTGCTAACTAAAGTCCATCGTTTACTCAGCTATTCTTAGTTTATACCTAATATCTTTTATTTTCCAGATTCCCAACAAGGACATCTTATTACATTTAATCATCAAGTTTCCTTCAGCTCCTCTTGGGCATGACATTTTTTTCAGATTTTCCTTGTTCTTGATGACCTTGACAATTTTAAAGCATACATTGGTCAGGTATGCTGTAGGACACTCATTTATTGAAGTTTAATGTTGCTTTCTTTTCATGATTAGACTAGATTTATAAGTTTGGTGAGGAAGACCACAGGAGTAAAGTATTGTTTTCATCACATCATATCACAGTACATGCTATCAACATAATTTATCACTGTTCATGCTAACCTTGAACACATGGCTATGGTAAGATTGGTCAGTTTTCTCTGTGGAAAGATTACTGTCCCTTTCTGTGTTACTCAGAGCTCTCCAGAGAAACAGAATCAATAGGAGCGATGTAAATATAAAAAAAGAGACATATCTTGGGAACTGGCTCACATAATTATGGAGGCTGAGAAGTTCCATGATACATTGTCTGCAAGCTAAGGAACCAGGAAAACCAGTGGTGTAATTTAGTCCAAGTCCTAAGGCCCTGGCAACTCCGATGTCTCAGCTCAAGAATAGAGTGAATTCACACTTCTACCTTTCTTTCCATTCAGGCAATCCGTGGATTGGATGATACTTTCTCACATTGGTGAGGGTGGATCTTCTTTGCTGAGTCTACTAATACAATGCTAATCTCTTCTGGAAAATCATACCCAGAAATAAAGATTTGCCAGCTATCCTAGTATCCCGTAGTCCAGTCAAGTCACATAAAATTACCACCACCCTCTTTCTCCCTTTCCACACTCTGCTCTCTGGACAGAAGTCCCTGTGCAACTCGAATTTAACAAGTGGAGAGTTATGCTCCTCCTCCCTTAGAAAACAGCATCTGTGTAAGTGATGTGGAATTTTTTTGCTTGGAAGATTTCTCTCTTTTCAACTGCTGATTAATTCATTCTGACATTTTTTAAAAATCTGCATGAAATCACCAACATTTATTTTGTACTTCGGATTATAATCCAATATAATCCAATCCAATACAATTTTTTTTCAGCTTTGACCATTGATGGCTCTTTCAATGAGCTCCTATGCTCTTTTGACACACTCCCATCAATGTGTTTTGTTCTGTTTTGTTTTTTGAGAACTTTCTGGCACTAGAAGAGTTACAGGTTCATCATGTATATTTCTGGCTCACTCATAAAATAAGCATTTTCTCATTGGAGCCCCTGGTTCCACAACAACAGAACTTCAGCAAAATAGCAGTGGATTACAGCCAGAAAGCTGCAAGGTGTAGACTGTATGTCACAGGGAGACAGTAGGAAAACTAAAGAGAAAATGGGAGAAAAACAAAGTTAGAGGCAGTGATGGCTCTGACAATTTAGCTACAGTAAACAGAAAACACACAGCAACTCCTAGCAGATAATTATAAAACCCTACAGTAAAGTTTTGTTTACCTCACTTCTTATTATCCTGTACTGTATGTCTAGACTTTAACAAAAAAGTACACAGCATGCACAAAGGAATGAATTTTTTTAAAAAAACCTACAACTACACACAATCTGAAAAGACAAAGGAAAGCATCAGAATAAGACTCACATATGGCACCGATTTTAAAATTGCCAGACAAGGAATTTAAAATAACTATGATTAATACATTAAGGATTCTAATGAAAACAGTGGGCAACATGCAAGAACAGATGGATAATGTAAGAAGAAAAATGAAAATTCTAAGAAAGAATGAGAAGGAAATGGTAAAAACACGTAAGAGAAATGAAGAGTGGCTTAAATATGCTCATTAGTGACTGGCTATGGCCAAGGAAAGAATCACTGAGTAGAAAGATCGACAGAAACTGTTCACATTGAAAAGCAAAAGAAAACAGAATGGACAACAACCACAATGACAGAATATTCGAGAACTTTGAAGTTGTGAAATATACATAATTGAAATACACAAGAAGAAATAATGTAGCAGAAGCAATATTTAAAGCATTAATGCCTGAGAATATTCCAAAATTATGGCAGACACCAAAAAAAATCACAGATCGAGGAAGAATACCAACCAGTTTAAATAGCTCCCCAAAAATATGCCTCATTATATCACATTTAAATTGGAGAAAACCAAAGGCAAAATAAAATATTAAAAGAAGACAGAAAACAACACCACCACATTACTTAGAAAGGAGCAAAAATAACAATTACATTGGACTTTGCATCAGTAACCATGAAAGCCAGAAGGGAGTGGACTAAAACACTCAAAGGATTTGAAGAAAGAGAATCCTAATAACCTAGAATTCTATATTCACTGAAATTATCCTTCAGAAGTGAAGGAGAACCAAAGACTTCCTCAGACAAACATAAGTTGAAGGAATTAATCACAAGTGGAAATGACACGCAAGAAACATTCGAAGTTTTTCGGGGTGATAGAAAATGACACAGGTCAGAAACTCACGTCTACGTGATGCAATTGCAGTGGGGAAGAGATAAATGAAGGTAAAATAATATATTTTACTTTTTCTTTGTTCTTAATAGATCTAATCGGTAATTATTTGTTCAAATAATAGTGACAATGTAGTAGGCAATTATACAGAAAAATGAAATGAATGACAGCAATATTATAAGAAACAACAGCAATATTACAAGGAAGAGAAGAGAAGAGGAGCATTCTATAATCTTACGGTTAAATATCAGTCTCATAGTGGCCTGTGTCCCTGGGCAATCACCAACACACGTTGCTCCCCTTCCCCACACAGGAAGGCTAGATGGGGATGGAGCTGAGTAATTGCTCTTCTACTAGGTCTGAAGAGGCCCTGGTAAGGTCTTTTCCTTTGCAGAGTAGGCGTTTGTCATGATGAATCCTCCATGTGTACATTAAAATTGTTGCTTTTTCCCTTCTCCTGCCAGATACAAGAGGGTTTTCTTTTTCTCTTGGCTCTTCATGAAAACCTAGTGGGGCTTTTGAGATAAGACCCATGAAAGGGGGTGATCCTTCAGGATTACCACCCTGAGGAGTTTCTCACACTCACACTGGTGTACACTCAGCCTCCATAAAAGCCATTTGTGAAGGTTACCATTTTTGTATTTCTACCAGTTTATAATAACAGTGGCTTCTGCTTCTGGTAAACTGATCTTAGCTGTGATTTTCTGTGTTTATCTGTCTGTCCAGAATTTGGGGTGGCAGTTTGCCCTGCAACCTCAGTTCTCTGATGTTTGCAAGAAATCTCACTGATTTTCAGTTTGTTCAACTTTATTTTCGTTATAATATAGGAGTGATGAAACCACAGTGAAATGAATTTTGGCATTTCATAGAGTGACATAACCATCTCCATATCAAATTATGGATGGTTCATAACTCCAAATAATTTCCTGTGTCCCTTTATATTTATGTCATTCACACAACCTTGTATCTGGCACCGCTCTTCTCTGTCCTTAAATTTTGCCTTCTCCATTTATTACAAAATTGTCCATTCTACGGGTGGAATGCCACTTAAATGGAATAATAATGTATGCAGACTTTTGATTCTCCTTTCATTTATTTTACCTGTTCAAGAAAGAAAAAAGCTGGCATGCTTGCTACAGGTTGCTCCCTCATCAAGTACTATATTCAGCCTTTCTAGCCCAGCTCTCACACCCTGCATCCTATACCATTCCAGCATTCAGGAAATGTCCAATAGGGGAAAATGACCATGTACTCGAAGTTCCTCTAGATTCTAAACTGCATGGCAATTCACATGGTCAGTTTGTACATTTAATAAATGAAACGGTAAATAATTTGAAGACCGTGTAAAGATGACCTTTAATAATAATGTTACTAACTCTGTGAATTCGACTTAACTCAGGAGACTGTCAACACTTCTAACTTAGCGTATACAGGGTACATCATATGTGCGAGAAGTGCTACACAGCTTCATGATTTTGCAAGAATGTATTTGCAGCATGTGGAACAGGAAGCAGCTGCTCCTCCTCTGTTTACTTCAGTGTAATGTTAACGCAATTCTAATACGAACACATTACTCTTTTGCCATTTAATGTAAAGAAAGTCTATTATAAACAGTAACAAACAGCTGGATTCAGTGATGGCCTTTTTATCTTCAAATACACTTAACTTTTAATTAAAGTATTTTTTCTTAGTAATGTCATTAATACATAAAAGCATCTAGGCCTAATGAGTGGAAATTTTCCCATCATTTAGGGAGGAGTTGTAATTACGCTCAGGCCTCATGGCTGCCGTTTAGGAAATTGCAAACACAGTTCACTAAATGGCACTTTTATCAAAAGACTTGCATAGCATCCAAGTTGTTAGTCACAGTAAAGGCAGGTCTCCCACGTGGGTTTACAAGGGAAACTGGAACAGCTTCGTTTTGCATGTGTAAGCCAACATCCATATTACACTCACTAGAAGTGGTTCAGAGGATGCTAAATTTTTATAATAAAAATTATTTATTGTTTATACGTATAAACAGTTAAGTGTGTTTTCAGATACCCACAATCTTATCTTATTAGCATACCTGAGATTTTCTAGAAATTTCAATGTTACTTTAGATTATCTGTTATTTGTAATTAGTGTTTTTAAGCATTATACTGAATGTGTAAATGTGTTTATGTACATATGTACATATATGTACACACACATATATACATATGTATGTGTACATATATACATATGTGTATATATACATATTTACACACATATATATGATCCCAGAAGGTTCACTGATATAATCTTCATTAGTCAACAGGTATTTATTGGGTGTTTATTATGCCCCAAGCACTAGCTATGCAACTGTGAATAATGGCCCTTGTCCTTCTGGAAATTTTAACCAAATAAGCAAAAAAGACTCTAAGAAAGCAATATAACACAAGGAAATGCCAAAGATAGCCCCATTAACATAACCAGGATTTAACTCTATCTTTCCTTTAACAAAGGACATTTTTATCCTCTAAAATAATAGTAGCATATAGTATCAATTCCAAATTAGCAAATGAGAAAAGACAAAATATAGTGACCTGATAAATTAGGCAAGTATCAAGTACAGGTGAAAGGGAAATGACAAATAAGTAGTAGGCATACATACAATGTGAGGACTAGAGTATAACAGGTCTCACTAAATAATGGGCCAACTGCTTGTTAAAGGGAATTTATAAGAACTACATTAAATTACATTTTATGAAATGTAATATGAAGGGATGGGTAGCTAAATACTAAAACAAAAAGGTGGGATGTGAGTAAACAGAAGAACTGCAAAACTAATACTGATGCAAGAAGATTAAAGATACTACGAAGGCCTATGTGCCCCAAAAAATTAAAAATTAAAAAAAAAGCACTACGAAGGCAAACAACATTTTCAGAGACAAATTGTTAAAAATTCAAATAAAACTTGGAAAAGCAAACTATATTGGGATATTTCAATCTATCCCAATCAATTCTAATAGCCAAAAATATAAGTAAAGAAATGGGTGAAATGAATAATCATCCTAATAGGTATATAGAAAATATTCATTTTATTATATCCATGGAACAATTAGATAATTGATTACATAGTTAGCATCCCCCAAAAGACATATTAAAAAATAAATTTAAATTATAAAATTAGTGCTAGCTATATTCTCTATTCATAGTATACATATAGAAGTTAATAATAAAATAAATAATAAAATATAACATATAAAAATATATTTGCAAAAGAATGCTTATTGCAACATTTTTGTAGTACAACATATGTACCACATTTTGTTGATTCTTCTTCATTTGGGTTGCTTCCACCTTTTGGCTACTGTGAATAATGCTGTTATGAACATAGGTATGCAAATATCTCTTCATGAGCCTGTTTTTGGATATATACCCAGATATATCCAAATTATTTTTGAATATGGGGTGAGGTATGAATCCAACTTCATTTTTTTACATGTGGATATTCAGCATGTTCAGCATACCATGGTGGATCACGATGATTCTATTGAATTTTTGAGAAACCACTATACTGTTTTCCATAATGGTGACACCATTTTACATCCCCACCAACAATACACAAGAGTTCCAATATCTCCACATTCTTGCCAACTGTAGTTATTATTTCTCTCTCCTTCCCACTTTTCTTTCTTTCTTCCTTTTCTTTTCCTTCTTTCTTTCTTTCTTTCCTTTCTTTTCTTTTTCTTTCTTTCATCTTTCTCTCTTTTGTCTTTCTCTCTTTCTTTCTTCCCTCCCTCTCTCCCTCGCTTCCTTTCCTTCATTCCTTCCTTCCTTCCATCTCTTTTTCTTCCTTCCCTCCTCTCTTCTTTTTTCTTTCTTCCCTCCCTTCTTCCCTGTGTCCCTCCATCCTTCTCTCCCTCCCTTTCTTCCTCCTTCTTTTGCTTTTCCTTTGAAAATAGCTATTCTAATGGACATGAGGTGATATTGTCACAGGATCCTTGCGGTGTCACTTTGCCACCCAGAAACCTCTGTGGCTGGTGGCCCTTTGCCCAAGATTTTATTCAGGCCTGCTGGGCTCATTCTGCCCACTCAACCTGGCAGTCTGCATTCATCTTGTGCTACCAACCTGAATATCATGCCTGCCAAGGGTGAGCCAGGTGCAGAGCTATGAGGGGTGTGTAAGCAAGCAAGCATGCGGTTCAGCCACTGCACACAGCCAGGCACACCAGCTGTGGAGGGGGTGGCAGTTACAGACACCAGCACAGGTGCTGCTCCCTGTAAGGCTGCAGCTGGACCAGGTGTACCACAAGCAGGTTCTACAGCTGGCACCAGAGAACACAGTGGCTCTTGGAAGCTTGGAGACAACAGGAACTGCAGAGCCCCAGAGTGGGTGTCACAGCCCTGGCTTGGGGAGTTCCTAGGTCTGGTCTCCCCAAAGGGCCACAGCTCTTCTCCCCTTTTCTCTTCTTTCCTTGTTTTTACCTGCAATGTGGTGATCAAGTGGTGTATTTCAGCCCTGTTTGCATTACAGCTCTTTTAGCCCCACCATTCGGCAGGTCCCAAATTCTTGTCCTTTGTCCAGGAAGAATAAGATACACAGACAAGTGGAAGGTAAGCAAGGAGAAGAGGAGCTTTATTGAACAACAGAACAGCTCAGAGGAGACCTGCACTGCGTAGCTCCTCTCCACAGGCAGTGTGTCCTGATGAGTGTTCAGTTCTCAGCAGAGAGAAGACCCTGCAGTGGGTAGCTCCTCTCTGCAGCTGGTAGTCTCTACATCTACCCAGCTGTCGCACAGTATGGTGTGATGGTTAATACTGTCAACTTGATTGGATTGAAGGATGCAAAATACTGATTCTGGTTGTGTCTGTGAGGGTGTTGCCAAAGGAGATTAACACTTGAGTCAGTGGGCTGAGAAAGGCAGGCCCACCCTTACTCTGGGGGAACACCCCCTAATCAGCCGCCAGTGCAGCTGGAATATAAAGCAGGCAGAAAAATGTGAAAAGATGAGACTGGCCTAGGTTCCCAGCCTTCATCTTTCTCCTGTGCTGGGCCCTTCCTGCGCTTGAACATTGGACTCCCAGTCCTTAAGTATTGGGACTCAGACTGGCTTTCCTTGCTCCTTAGCTTGTAGACAGCCTATTGTGGGACCTTGTGATCATGTGAGTTAATACTTAATAACCTCCCCTTTATATACATATCTATCCTATTAGTTCTGTCTCAAGAACCCTGATTAATACAAATTTTGGTACCAAGAGTGGTTCTAGAGGAACAGAATACTAAGGATGGAGTTCCTTCATTGGTTTGGGGGTTTCTGGAGTTGGCTGCTTAATATGATTACACACCAAAATGCTAAGGATTCTACTTATAATAGTGTGGAGAACACTGATAGTCCTTGGCGTGACCTGTTTAGAGAGTTATGCAAAATAAATGCCTTTGAAATTCCTGCTTCACTGCTCGTGAGAGGCAAGGACTTTAGTGACTCTATACGTAATACCTTTGACCATATGTGGAGAACCAAGGAACAATAATGAAGTTGGTTGGTTGCTCCTCAGTTCAGTGGACAAAGTTAGGGCATCCCTTAGTATCATCATGCCCTGTGATTAAGGTCAATGAGAAACTACAACAGCTTTGTCCAGGCAGGACTACAAATGGCCCAGACCCTTCAGGAATGAAGGTTTGGATCACTCCACCAAGAAAAAAAAAAAAATGACCTGCTGAGGTGCTTCCTGAAGGCAAAGGGAACACAGAATGGGTAGTAGAAGAAGGTAGTCATCAGTACCAGCTACAACCACATGACCAGCTGCAGAATTGTCATGAGTATTTCCTCCTTTTGTTAAAAACATGTTTGTGCATGTATACACTTGTACTAAGAAAACATCTTCATTTTATTTCCTTTTCCCTTTATCATGTAACATAAGACTTATTGACTTCATATCAGCGTTTAAGTATTGTTAACTTAATGTAATAGTATTTGGGTTGGGGATTGGTGCGTTTCCAGTTGTATGAAGGATAGTTGTATTATGTTAGGCATAATTATGACCTTATTATTGTTTTTATTTGAAGATTATGTGTGATCTCAGGAGATGTGTATGGGTTCAAATTGACAAGGGGTGGATTTGTGATGGTTAATACCGAGTGTTGACTTGATTGGATTGAAGGATGCAAAGTATTAATCCTGGGTGTGTCTGTGAGGGTGTTGCCAAAGGAGATTAACATGTGAGTCAGTGGGCTGGGGAAGGCAGACACACCCTTAATCTGGATGGGCACCATCTAAACAGCTGCCAGTGAATATAAAGCAGGTAGAAAAACATGAAAAAGTGATACTGGCCTAGACTCCCAACCTACATCTTTCTCCTGGGCTGGGTACTTCCTGTCCTTGAACATCAGACTCCAAGTTCTTAAGTTTTGGAACTTGGACTGGCTGCCTTTGCTCCTCAGCCTGCAGATGGCCTATTGTGGAACCTGGTGATCATGTGAGTTAATACTTAATAAACTCATATATATATATATATATACACATATATATCAGGGGAAATTCAGCCAGATGTCAGGCTGAATATTTCACGTAGGTTCTTTTCTATTTTCCCTAAGTGTTGGTCAGTCTGAGAAATAAAGGGACAGAGCGCAAAACAGAGAAATTTTAAAGCTGGGTGTCCGGGGGAGACATCACATGTCGGCAGGTTCCGTGATGCCCCCTGAGCCCCAAAATCAGCAAGTTTTTATTAGTGATTTTCAAAAGGGGAGGGGATGTACGAATAGGATGTGGGTCACAGATCACGTGCTTCACAAGGTAACAGAATATCACAAGGCAAATGGAGGCAGGGCGAGATCACAGGACCGCAGGACCCGGGCAAAATTAAAATTGTTAATGAAGTTTCGGGCATGCATTGTCATTGATAACATCTTATCAGGAGACAGGGTTTGAGAGCAGACAACTGGTCTGACCAAAAATTTATTAGGCGGGAATTTCCTCGTCCTAATAAGCCTGGGAGCACTATGGGAGACTGGGGCTTATTTCATCCCTACAGCTCAACCATAAAAAAACGGCCGCCCCCCGAAGCGGCCATTTTAGAGGCCTACCCTCAGGGACGCATTCTCTTTCTCAGGGATGTTCCTTGCTGAGAAAAATAATTCAGCGATATTTCTCCCATTTGCTTTTGAAAGAAGGGAAATATGGCTCCGTTCTGCCTGGCTCACCGGCGGTAAGAGTTTAAGGTGATCTCTCTTGTTCCCTGAACGTTGCTGTTATCCTGTTCTTTTTTCAAGGTGCCCAGATTTCATATTGTTCAAACACACATGCCCTACAAACAATTTGTGCAGTTAACGCAATCATCACAGGGTCCTGAGGTGACATACATCCTCCTCAGCTTATGAGATGACAGGATTAAGAGATTAAAGTAAAGACAGGCATAGGAAATCACAAGAATATTGATTGGAGAAGTGATAAGTGTCCATGAAATCTTCACAATTTATGTTCAGAGATTGCAGTAAAGACAGGCATAAGAAATTATAAAAGTATTAATTTGGGGAACTAATAAATGTCCATGAAATCTTCACAATCCACGTTCTTCTGCCATGGCTTCAGCCGGTCCCTCTGTTCGGGGACATAAATATGTACATATGTGTGTACATATATGCACATATGTGTGTACATATATGTGTACGCACATATGCACTTGCGTGTGTACATATATGCACATATGTGTGTGTACATATATATGCACACGTGTGTGTGTACATATATATACGCACACATGTGTGTGTGTACATATATATGTGTGTGTGTGTGTATGTGTATATATTCCATTAATTCTGTCCCTCTAGACAACCCTGACTAATACATATGGTAAGACTATATTCAGTTTTGTAAGAAACGGCC
Organism: Homo sapiens; assembly: GCF_000001405.40. Classification (NCBI taxonomy): domain Eukaryota; kingdom Metazoa; phylum Chordata; class Mammalia; order Primates; family Hominidae; genus Homo; species Homo sapiens. Next base: position 73,518,313 of record NC_000018.10, read on the forward strand.
AACTGTGTTCCAAAGTGGCTGTGATATTTTGCATTTCCACTGGCATATGCATTCTGATTGCTCCACATTTTTGTCAGCATTTGGTTTCATCATATTCTGTATTTTGGCCATTCTAATATGTATGCCAGTAAATAGATTTATTTTTACTGTTTTTAGTATTGTGTGGCAAATTGTTTATTAAATATTTATTTTTGTTAAAGATATCTTTCAAACATTATATATATAATATAAAATATATATGTGTGTGTATATATAATATTCCATTTAAAAACTGAAAGTATACCATCTTTCCAGTGTTTATCTCACTATTTACTGGGTATATAGCCATTTTGATACAATCTTCTCTATATTTATTTCTTATTGCTCAAGACTTTTCCTACCTAATTATAGCATACTTTATTCTCCACATAAATGCATTTTATTACCAACCGTAAGCTGGATAATATCAGGTGTTCGAGAAATAGTTGCAAAGTATTAGCAACATATCTCCTCCATTCATTGTGAGGTAATTTGACACTTCAAAAGATAGTAACATCACTTGTATCTGATAAAAGTGGAATCCACTAACATTATTTTTATTTCACAAGCCTCCCTAAATAATAAAGTGCTTAATACTAAGCAAAGCACTTCTCCTCTCTCTACTTATGAAAAACACTCTGACTTGATATCCTCTGTCACCTTCCTTCTGAGGCTTTTATCGACTTCACGGTAAAACTACACCTCTCAAATTTGACAAAGCAATGGAATCCCGTATTTTAATAGAGGATTATGGTTTTATGGCTTTAAAAATCTTCCTTGCTTCAGTGTGCTACTTAGTTTCAGCTTAAATCTCTAATACTGCTGGCTTTGATCAGTGACATTTGTAGGATTGGTGAAGTGTTTACTTCAAAGAAATTGTGTGCTTTATCCAATGTTTAAGGATTTTTAATGTAAACATTTTCAGGTATTCTAAAGTACATTCTAATAGAAAGTCTTTATTTGGGTTTATCATTGCAATACAAGTCAGGCCTATAAAATTATATAATATAATTTTATGAAACAAATCAACTTACAGTACAAATGAGTCTTGCTTACCTAAAAGAGGTCCCATAGAGGAGATACATACTTATCCAATCATAGTGTCTCTGCACAAAACCTTTTAAAAAGAGTATTGCTTTTGGGATCAGTCAGTGAGTCCTCAATGGTACTCGCTGATATCTTTAATTAATCTTGAGTAGACTCTTTCTGGTTCTCTACAGCAGCTGTTCTATATTCTTCCCACCTTCTTCTGCCTCTCTAATGTATTTTTGTTTGTTCACTTTCAAACGACCTTGATTCCTACTTTACCAGGGAAAAAATGAGCTCTTTACATACAATTTTCCTCGCCCTTACTCTGCTTCAACATATTCTCTAGTAATTCTTAACCTGTTGGGTTGTAGAACACATTGAGACTAATAAAAATCAAGTGTCATATAGAATGTCAACCCATAATATTAAGGGTAGAGGCTCTGTGATCCCCTTTGTGCTACCATTTTTTCTGGGGTATCTGAGTGAATTAACTTAAATGCTGCTCAAATCTTTCTTTTTATTTTATTTTCTTTTTTTCTTCTTAGACCTACCTCATTTGTCATCTGCTTGAAATTATAAAGCAAACCTTCTCTGTGCCATGGTACTCAATTCTTTTTGCTTGGAAGTCAATATTTTCCAAAGTAAATTCATGATCTTCCCACTCAAATATGCTCCTGTTCTAATCCTGCCTTTATCTCGATGACTGAGTTTTTGATGATGCCTGTCATGTTTCGAATAACTCATCTCATTTCCAGCCCAAGTCTCACTGCTCAATGCCAGCGCAGCTCCTCACCAAGCCCACCTAACTTAGAGCCATCCCCAACTCCTTTCTCTCCATCTCAAACATCCAATCAACTACCAAGACTGTTAAATTATATCCAAACATTCTACCCCTTGAAATCATCCTCATCCTCCTGTGAGGATCTCACCATTTCTCCTGTGGATTCTGCTTGGGGCTCCCTGACTGCTCTCCACATTGTCACGGGAGTTACCGCCTTGTAATGCACAGCTCACTAGAGGGAAGCCCTGCTGCAAATTCTCCAGCACATCTGCGTCACCTGCAGGACAAACTCCGAACAGCACAGCCTGGCTAATTCATCCATTTGCTATGTCATTCACTGCCTGACCCTTCTTAATTTTTCAGACTACTGTTTTAATTTCCCTTTTTAAATTGATACAGCAAAGGAAATAATCAACAAAGTGAAGAGACAAGCTACAGATGGAAGATAATATTTGCAAACTTCCATCTTCCATCTTATATCGTTTGGCTGTGTCCCCACCCAAATCTCACCTTGAATTGTAGCTCCCATAGATAACTGAATCATGGGGGCAGTTTCCCCCATACTGTTCTCATGTTAATGAACAAGTCTCATGAGATCTGATGGTTTTAAGGGGAAACTCCTTTCACTTGGCTCTCAGTTCTCTCTTGTCTGCCACCATGTACAACGTGCCTTTCGCCTTCTGTCATGATTATGAGGCTTCCCCAGCCATGTGGAACTCAAACCTCTCTTTCTTTATAAATTACCAAGTCTCAGGAATGTCTTTATCAGCAGTGTGATAACAGACTAACACACAATCCAATAAGAGAGTAATAATCAGAATTTATAAGGAACTGAATTCAATAGAAAAAAATAACTGATTTAAAAATGGGCAAAAGGCCAGGCATGGTGGCTCATGCTTGTAATCCCAGTACTTTTGGGAGGCTGAGGCGGGCGGATCACCTGAGGTCAGGAGTTCAAGACCAGCCTGACCAACATGGGAAAACCTCATCACTACTAAAAATACAAAATTATCCGGGCTTGATGGTGCATGCCTGTAATCCCAGCTACTCAGGAGGCTGAGTCAGGAGAATCACTGGAACCTGGGAGGCAGAGGTTGCAGTGAGCCAAGATTGTGCCATTGCACTCCAGCCTAGGCAACAAGAGTGAAACTCTGTCCCAAAAAACAAACAACAAAAGGGCAAAAGACCAGAATAGACATTTCTCAGACATACAAATGATTAAAAGATATACTTTTTAAAAACAGCTCAATGTCACTAATCAGAGAAATGCAAATGAAAACCACAATGAGAAACAATCTCATCCCAGTTAAACTGGTTTGTATCAAAAAGGCAGAAATAACCAATGCTTGCTGGCAAGAATTTGGAGGAAGGGTAACACATACACTGTTGGTGAGAGTGTAAATTAGTACAGCCACTATGGAAAAAAGACCACTTTTATATGAAATGGTATCACTTTTTAATTGCTATATAATTGACATATAATAAAATGTATACATTTTTAGGTACATTTTTATGAGGCTTGACAAATGATACACCCATATAACTGCCATCTCAATAAAAGGAGAGAATGTTTGCATCTTTCCAGAAAGTTCCCTATGCTCCTTCCATCAATCCCTGTCTCACCAGCCAGCATCAACCCAGTGCAGTAGTGGTTGTGATTTCTGTTACTATAGAATAGATTTATTATTTCTAGAATTTCATATGTATGTGTGATTTTTTTCCCTCATAATAATATTCTCACTATTCAAAAATGTTGAGTTTATATCAGTAGTTTATTCCTTGCATTGCCTAGTAGTATTCCATTCAGAATATAGCACAATTTGTTTATCCATTCTCCCATTTATGTATATGTGTTTTTTCTGGTATAGTCTGTTATTAAAAAGCTGCTAGGAATATTCTTGAACAAGTCATTTGGTGAAAATGAGTTTTTATCTCTTTTAGATAAATGCCTAAAATTGAGACTGCTGAGGGGTGAATTGTGGAGATCTGTTCAAAGATTTAAGTTGTATCTGCTCACTGTGATATCTCCAGTGTCTGCAGCAGCACCTGGCCAATAACAGATGCCTACAAACATTAGTTGAAAGAACAGATGGTTAAACAACCTTCATTGATCATTTATTCTGAGTGATGTGATATCCTTAGAACAAATAACAATACATATTGTCCTAGCAGTACATATGGATTCCAGGCAAAAGAGTGTTCATTTTTATTATTTTGTCGGAGTGTGCAATGGGGAAAACTTTGGTGGGAAATGTCGATAATGAGGGAGGCTGTGTATGTGTGAGGGCAGGGAATATATGGAAACCCTCTGGACTTTTCTCTCACATTTGCTAAAATATATAATTGTTCTAAAATAACTAAGTCTGAGAAAAAATAATGGGGTAACCTTTCCTTGGCAGAAGACGAGTATTTTGGTTGTGGTGGCTTCCCACCGCGAGGAGCAGCTTCAATTTACCTTGTGCCCCACCTTGCTTCCCCTCCAACCCCTATATCTACTTTTGGAATCTTCCTGGAGGTTACAACCCACTTGAAGAGCTCTGTTTGAGATTTTAGCCTTGGTTGAATTAAGGAATTTTAGACTGAGAGCTTAATTTCTCTAACCTCCATTAAAGCCTTAACTAACTGCCTTGTGGCTTATTCCTTCTCTAAGTAGTTGCAGCTTCTTATTGTGAGATTATTTTAGGCTTCCACAGAAAAAATAAACAAGAAAACATAGTTTCAAGGGGCCTTTTTGTGTGTGTGTGTTTCTTTAGAATTACAATCTCCTAGGCTTCACTGGATTTTGCCATGAATCTGTTCTTTGGTGCATTACAATGTCTTACAACTCATGAGTGCCCTACTTTGTTGATAGTACACTCCCCGGGGTTTTATTGTAAGCTATTGTTACTCTTACTTTTTAAATATCTCAAGATTTGGGAGAGGAGTGGTAAGTATATCATCAGCCAACATCTTTATATAGAACAGGCATTTATTCCAAATAATCTGTCATTTAAATTTACAAATTATATTATTTTTACATAGCTGTTTTTTCATTTCTCATGGTGGGAGTTCTTAACATGCAACATTACAGTTATATAGGATAAATAATTCTGAGAGACCTAATGAACAACATAAGGACTATAGTCGAGCTATTTGCCAAGATATGTATAAGAAAGAAAGAAGAGAGAGAGGAAAGGAGGGAGAGAGGAAGGGAAGGGAGGAAGGAAAGAGAAAGAAAGAAAGGGAAAGGAAAGAAGGAAGGAAGGAAGGAAAGGAAAGGAAGGGAGGGATGGAGGAAAACTATATGAAGTGATGGGCATTTTAATTTACTTGACTGTAGCAATGACTTATGTATAGGCATATCCAAGCTTTATGTTACACACCTTAAATATACACAATAAAAATTATTAAAAATAAAACGATTATTAATACAGTTGTAAAACACCACCAAATACGTTAATTTAATTTGTACATGGCAGGTTTTTAAAAAATTTATCAGTGTGAGAGTTACGTCACATGTTTAATCGTGGCAACATTTCTTTACACTTCCAAATATGTCACCTTCCAGTTGTCATAGAAAAAGAATTAAAATTTTCTTTAGAGACGAAATGCTCAGTACATACCAATTGGTACAGTAAAAAAGTAAGAACATTATTTTCTTTTATATTCATTTTTTTCCACTTACAATATGACTATGAGTAATAATAATTTATCAACATTTTCAGATATATTTATCAGGGGGAAATTTATATGTTTTATTTATTTATGTCTTTTACCCTGTACATTTCATGCCTTATTATTTATTTCTTTGTAATTCTTGCAGGATTTTTCTATGAAAATAAGTAGTCCCATCTAGTAACCAATCATTAATTTACCAACCACTAATTTACTCATGAATTCATTCATTCAGCCACTATTTATTAAACATCTATTATTTTTAAGGTTTTTCTTCAGGCACTCCACGAGATACAAAAGTAAATGACACTTTTCCCCTTTGACATTACAGAAATCCTAGTTTTCATAAATTTTTCCCAAGGATATAATTGCACAATTTTGAAAGGTTTAAATGAAGGACATGTGTTATAGTATCTTTATAGTAGATAACAAGGAGCAAAATAAAGAAAACTATTAATCAGGAGATATTGGTTAAAGAAATTCCATTTTTCTAAGTGAAGTAACTCAGGAATGGAAAACCAAACATTGTATGTTCTCACTCATAAGTGGGAGCTAAGCTATGAGGGCGCAGTGGCATAAGAATGATAGAATGGACTGTGGGGACTTGGGGGAAAGGGTGGGAGGGAGGTGAGAGATAAAAGACCACATATTGGGTACAGTGTACACTGCTTGGGTGATGTGTGCACCAAAATGTCAGAAATCACCACTAAAAATGCATCCATATAACCAAATACCACCTGCTCCCCAAAAACCTACTGAAATTAAAAAATTAAAACAAAGTAATTAAAAAGCAAAGACATGTAAAAACCCAGATTTTAATAATTATGTACATATTTTAATGTCTGTTATTAAAATATGTGATATCACAAGAACAGAAATTCCAAAGTATCTCTAGCTACTTAGTATTTAGTGAGTCATTAAAATGGACTATGTAAATCTCTATATTTTGTATTTTTATTTTTATTTAACTCAAATTTATAATTTTAAAATTTATAATTGTAGATATTTATGGCCTACAATATGATGTTACAATGCATGTATGCACACTACATCAAATGGGGGTAATTACCATATTCATCACTTTAGACATTTATCTTTTTTTGTGGTGGCAACATTCAAAATCTTCTCTTCTAGCTGTCTTGAAACATACAATACACTGTCATTTGCTATAGTCACCCTACTGTGTGATAAAACACAAAAATATATTTTTCCTAATTGTAACTCTGTACCCATTGACCGGCCTCTCCTGGTCTCCCCTCCTCCCTACCATCCATCCCCAGCTTCTGGTAATCACTATTCTACTCTCTACTTCTATGAAATCTCTCCTATGAAATCAGCTTTTTCAGGTTCCGTATATGAGTGAGATCATGCATTATTTGCTTTTCTGTGCCTGGCTTATTTTATTTAACGTAACATCCTCTAGGTTCATCCATGCTGGATTTCATGATTTTCTATGGATAAACTGTATTCCATTGTGTATATGTGTATATATATTTGTGTGTGTGGGGGGGATATACACCAAATTGTATATGTATGTGTATATTTGTATGTATGTGTATATTTGTACATATGTATATATAACACATTTATTTTATTCATTCATCATTAGATGGATGTTTAGGTTGATCCTGTATCTGGCCTTCCCCCCCCACAAAATCATCCAATTTTAAAATAAGCAAACACATGAATAAACATTTTTCAAAAGAAGACATACAAATGGCCAACAGATATATGAAAAAATGCTCTACATCACTATCATCATGGAAATGCAAACCAAAACCACAATGAGATACCACCTCACTCTAGTTAGAATTACTGTAATTAAGAAAAATAATAAATGCTGGGAAGGATGATGAGAAAAGAGAACTCTTACACACTGTTGATAGGAATATAAACTAGTACAGCCATTATGAATAACAATATGGAGGTTTCCCAAAAAATTAAAAATGAAATGACCATATAATACAGCAATCCTATTATTGATTATATATCCAAAGGGAATTGGTATTTTTAAAGATATGTTTCAGGATTTATTCATTTTTATTTTAGATACTTTTCCTCTTTAAAGAGTTTTAGGTCAATCTTCTTGTTATATAATAGACTAAATGTAAGCATTACAAGTTACGGGTTCCTACTCTGTAATATTTGCAAGAAAACAGCAGTGTTAAAATATATGAATTTTTATGTCACAGACAATTTTTATTGATGGTGTCATGTGTAGCCCCTTCAGTGTCCTCATAGGATGGAGGTTCCTGCGCCGGGAAGATCCCTTGCTGGCTGGGCTCACTGGGACTGACCTGGAGCTGTGGTGGAGAATGATGTTCTTAATGATAATTTGAGAACAGGAAGGCAGGGGCTGTGGACGTAAAGCTGTGGGCTGAGGAAGATCAGAAAGAGGAGGAGTTGCTGTATTAGGAAGATTAGAGGCTCCCAGAGGTCCTGGAAGTATTCTTAGAGAGTCTATAAAGCAAACACACTCTTTTATCTTCCCTATGAAACACTCAGTAAAATATAGATTCCTCACTAATATTTTCTTTTCCTTCCCTTCTTTTTTTATCCTTCCTGGTGAAAACAGTACCTGATTATGGCAACTGCAATTATTTGAGTTCTGTGTGCCTTGTAAAAATTTCACTTAGCCCACTTAAGAGACCAAAACACCCAACATATAAATGTTATAAGTGAAAAAATATGTGTGAAGCAGAATGTAGAGAAAATCACAGTGTGATACTCGCCTTTCTTCAAGGCCCTTAGTGAAATTCAATTATTTTCTTTTCTTCCTCCCCGTTCATTCCTCATACCAGCTTGACAGTGATTCTCCCTAAATGTAACCCTATCTTAAGCAACCAGCATACTCCAACTGCCTCTTCACAGAAAGCTGGAACACCCTCTCTCTTTACTTCAAATTTATTTGAATCAAATATAATTGGCTCTTCCTGTTTATGCAGAAAAGTTACTTACTCCAGGAAAGTAAAATCCTTCCCCTGTATTTTTCTACCACTTTCTTTCACTTTCCTGGGGCAATGCACCATCAATTACATCCTTCTCCATCTAATTTGAATGATGCTCCTCCTCTCCCCCTCCTCCTCCTCTCCTCTTCCTCTTCCTCTTTTTCTCCTTCTCCCCTTCCTCTTCTCCTCCTCTCTTCCTCTTTCTTTTCTTCCTCTCCTCCTGTTTTCACCTCCTTTTCCTTCTTTTTCTTCTTTCTCTTCCTGTTTCTCCCTCCTCCTTTCCCTCTCCCCCTCCTGCTCTCTGTCATTTTATTTGAAATAAACAAAAAAAGTCTTCCTTATTCTAATAAAATATAATTAAATGCAGTATTTCCCAACTATAGTTCTGTCGTTTATGGGGTAAAAAAGCTATGCAATAAGCTGGTATTAACTGCTGAAAGAAAAGAAATACATAATGGAGATTATAGAAATAGATACGCATTTCAACTTTTCCACCTATAAGACCAGGAATCTCAGGGAAAGGAACTTTTTCTCTCTGAACCCAGTGGAATCACCATTTCCTCCTGTGAAAACGTGCCAAACACATTTCCCATAAACTTGAATGAAGAGTCCCACAGTGTCTAGTCTAACAAAAGTACATTGTTGATGCTCAATGCATGCTGTTGACCTTTCCTTCTCCCATCCCTAACATCTGCCCCCGCTGGTTGTGGACCATTGTCTCCCTCCTCCCCTGGTTCCCACACTGATTGTGGAAAGGCTCTAACTTTGCTAGATCTTCATACTCCACTGTTTCCTTTTGTGTCTTTCTCTATCCTGTCCCCCAAATCCAAGCACCCTCAAGTTCATTGGCATGCTTCTCCATTCTTTGTTTTTATTTTCTTCTGGATAGTCTTATCTAGATGGCCTTTCCATGTGGCACCCTGAGCATTGCATGTTCCCAAGTATTTCCAGATGCTTCCATACAGATGTTAAACTCGTTGTGTAAATGTGATGTGCTACTTCAAGAGGACAGTGTTTTTCCTTTCTCTCCATTTTTCTTCTCATTTTTAAAAAAAATTTCTTTCTCTTTATTTCTCCTAAAAAACAGGATACATGTGCAGAACAGGTTGATTTGTTACATAGGTATACATGTGTGCCATGGTGGTTTGCTGCACCTATAGACGTGTCCTCTACATTCCTTCCCCTAGCCCCCCATTCACCAATAAGCCCTGGTGTGTGTTATTCCCCTCTCTGTGTCCATGTGTTCTCATTGTTCAACTCTCATTTATGAGTGAGAACTTGCAGTGTTTGGTTTTCTGTTCCTGTGTTACTTTGCTGAGGATGATGGCTTCCAGCTTCATCCATGTCCCTGCAAAGAACATGATCTCATTCCTTTTTACGGCTGCATAGTATTCCATGGTGTATATGTACCACATTTTCTGTATTTAGTCTATCACTGATGGGCATTTGAGTTGGTAGGAATATAAATCATTCTACTATAAAGGCACATGCACATGAATGTTTATTACAGCACTATTTTCTTATCATTTTATGGCCTCTACCCACTGATTCAGAGTTATTCATTAACTCAGAAGGAAAATCACATAGCATAAAACAAAGAATTATGTTTCTGAGTGGACTTCTTTTTAAACTAAGAGAGAACGCAGCAGGTGGACCTGCGCTGAGAATGGGAGTCATTTAGGCAGGCCGCGTCTGCACGGGCGCTGACCTGGCTGCAGCACTAAACCTTTGATGAGAAATAAGACTGAGAGGATGGGCCTGACAAAGAACTGGTGGAATCCACGGCTTCCCAGCAGGGCATGAGGAATGTAGGTGGCAGGTCCTGTCCCCCCAGCCAGACAGGAGGGAGACTCTGAGAGAAGAGCAGCAGAACCAAAAATACCTGGGCTGAAAAAGGAGCGGGGATGGGAGTGGGGAGTCCTGCAGCTGGAGGCTTTGACAGGACCAGCAGATATCAGTGAACAATGAGAAGGACCAGAGGAAAGGAAGCTCATCTAACCATCTAACGAGGGCCACGTATGGAGAGGGTGACACGGTGGCTCTCCACGCCACTCGCTCAGGCACAGGGTGACACGGAGGCACCCCAGTCACCCCTGCCCCCAACACTCAGCTCACTACCTGGGGCAGTTAGGCAAGAAGGGAGACACAGGCGAATCCTGAATCATCCTATTATTTTTTTCTCTAGAAACTGACTTTTTCACAAGAAGTAATTTAGGATGGTTTAGCAAAATTAGATTTTCCACTTAACATACAGAAATTAAGATTCAAAAGCAAAGTAAATTTTCTTTATAAATAAATAAAGTTACATACTTGACAAATCTAAGTTTATGATTCACAAAATCCCTCTCTTATTATGCACACAGAAATGGGCTCCTTATCTAAGTCCCAAAGTCTGTGTCTCCTTTGGATTTTCCTCACTCCACTCATGGTCTTCCTGATCCCTCGGGTCTATAGAAGATATTCCACCATTGAGGTAAAAAAGAAGAAGTACAACAACCACCATTCCAAGTCCGATTCCTGGTGCACAGTGTTTTGAATTCTTACTGACAGCAGAGGAATTCTTGTGGAAAGGCCTGCTGTTCTTCATTTTGGAAGGCCAGGGCTGTGCAATGGAGGATGGTATAAAATTGAGCTGTCATTTTTCAGAGCAGCTCCAGGAACCACTTTGCACACACCATGAGGTCTGCTACCAGACACTGCAGGTATTTATCTACTTAAAGCGGGTTAGTGATACTCCCAAGCATATTAACAGGTTCTGCCCTGGTTAACCAAGACCGGTGCTGGTCATAATTTCTCAGGGGAAGTCCTGTTATACCACTCTACCTAGACAAAGGCCATAACTCTTTCAAATAATTACATGTTCTATCTTTTAGTTCTGAAATACCCTCTTTTTCTTAATTATAAGCTGGTCATTAAAATGGCTAAAACCATCTCACTGCTGTACTGGAAAGCATTAGCACGATTTATTGGCTTTCTATCACCATGTTAATATGTCTTAATCTTCCTGCTCTCTCTGTCTTTTAAAACTAGAATTATTATTTCAATATAAAAAGTTCTCACTTACGGAACCAGCAATGCTCAGCTCTTTTTCAGCCTCCTCTCATTTGATTTTGCAAAAGACTGGTTGTTACCAAAAGAAGAGATCAACAGTGAAAGTGGAGGTCCAGGCCTCAGCAGCCAGTGACCAACATGCTTCCAAACTTCCTCCATTTCAGAGCTGTGGCTGGAAGAAGAGGATAGAGGATTTTCCACATCAATGCCTCTTTCTTTCTGCCATCACCTTCACCATGGTTACAGAAGCATCCACATCCGAATTAGGATGGTGGAGAAGAATGGACAAAAAGAATAAGAAAGGTAATGTATTAGTCCGTTTTCACGCTGCTGATAAACACATACCAGAGACTGGGAAGAAAAGGAGGTTTAATTTGACTTACAGTTCCATATGGCTGGGGAGGTCTCACAATCATGGTGGAGGGTGAAAGGCACTTTTTACATGGTGGCAGCAGAAGAGAATGAGGAAGAAGCAAAAGCAGAAACCCCTAATAAACCCATCAGATCTCGTGAGACTTAGTCACTATTACGAGAATAGCACAGGAAAGACCAGCCCCCATGATTCAGTTACGGCCCACTGGGTCCCTACCACAACACGTGGGAATTCTGGAAGATACAATTTAAGTTAAGATTTGGGTGGGTGCACAGCCAAACCATATCAGGAAAGAAGGAGGACAGAGAGGAACGCGGGGAGCTAAGGTAAGCCGAGAAGGGGAATCTGATGGAGGCTTTGTGAGCTCAACCAATGAGGAGCAAATTCATTCCCCAAACACTAAGTGCGATTATTTGTCAACTCTGGGCTCAGTTATGAGGGTGGAGGTGGGAGTAAAGTATGACCTTGCAACAGGGGAAATGGTAGGGACCAGGGAGAGGCAGTCAATGAAGACCTTTCCGTGGTAGACACAAGGTCAAGGTGCTGGGAGAGGATGAAGGAGGAGGAGAATCCATTCCACTTGCTGAGAAAGGGAATGTGTTTTTTGGACAGCATCGTGCCTGAATAGCACCCTGAAAAATACCAATAATAATCACCAAAAGCCTCGTCTAACCCATGATCATTAGTTTATTCAATATAATTTATGCAATTTCCATCACAACACTATGGGATAGATACTTTAAAAATTATGATCAGGATTTTTTCAGTAGATGAAAATGGAAGGGAGAAAGCCAAGTAGAGGGAAGGTAGGAAGCAGATTCACTGGCACAGAGCCCAGTGAGACCCCTCAGAGAGGGAGAATGCCAGGCAGCAAGGTTGGGACCAGATTGTGACCCTGAAGCAACATGGGCTCAACCCTACCAGCTGGGCACACACCACAGAAGAGTATTGAAGAGAAGGGAATATAGGAAGCTCGGAACTCTCATTGAGAAAGATACTTGGCCAGGGAAGAGAATTGCTTGAGACCAGGTGTTCAAGACCAGCCTGGGCCACACAGTGAGACCCTGTGTCTACCAAGAAAAAAAAAAAAAGAAAGAAAGAAAACAAAAAGAAAGAATATTCCTGGCCTCTCATGTGGAGGAACCTTCCCAGACTCTCTGTGTTCTCATATCTCTGGTTTGGGATAAAGGAAAAGCCCACTTTTTCCCATTCTGCACTTTTTGCCCTACGCAGCAAGCTTCCGAAGGGCCGGGTCTGTCCTTTTGGGAGGCCTCTATGGTGTGTGGTTTTTCAACACTGCCTGGGGATGGTGCATTCATCTGTCTCTATCAAAGGGGAAGGCTTATTAGTCAGTGAAGTCAGCTGCAAATCCAAGGCCATATTTTCTGATCAGCTTTATTGGTAATAAAGCAGATATTGTGATACCAAAACATGTAATTTCTGCCTTTATCACTCAGGAGATCATGACCCTAGAAAGCAAAGCAGGTTGTTATTTATTGGCCCCCAAAACCTAACTGTACACATGCATGGCAAGACAGAGAGAGAGAGAGATGATTTTGATATGCAGTATAAGCATACACTTCTTATTGACGATGAAATGTATTAAAAGGCAAGCTAAACAAAACTGAGGCACAATAAAATTCTTAATAGTTTATTTGAGCAAATAATGATTCCAGAAGTAGGAGCTCTATGCCAAGAGTGGTTTGGAGCCCTCATGGAAGGAGCATGAGGGTCATTCTTTTATAGGATGAAGGAAGAAGCCACGCAAAGAAGATATGTGATTGGTTACAAAGTTGCCTTATTTGTTCTATTCCACCGGAAAGTCTCTAGTTACATAATTGTAAGTTTGTTGGCTCCTTTTGGTTGGTTGAGCCTATGTTCTGTTTTTCAAAATAGGCAATTACAAGAAATAGCTCATTTCACTTATGTTTGCAAATCAAGCAAAGTTGGTGTCACGAGGCCTAACAGGCTTTGTCTGCTTGGGGCTTCTGCAGGCCTGGTCCCCATTTTAATTTACGTTAACAGATGGGAGACTCAAGTCTGTGCTTTTTCATTTAGCCTCACAAAATATGAGATTTATTTTTTTAACCTGTTGAGGGTGTGATTATAGTGTTCAAAAATACAATATGCTTTCTTGACAACCTGCCTCCCAAATATAGCACAAATAATTTAGTTTGTGTTCAAGTTTAGTAATAGTGATCTGTTCAAATGATTTGGGAAAAAGATGTCCTGACTTGGACATAAAGACACGGCACCCGTATTGTTCTCTTGTGGCAATTTAAGGTATTCTGAAGGGCAATTTTAACACTATCCTTAATAATATGTTATTGAAAAAAATGTTGATCTAAATATGTAATGATCAATTCTCGCCAAGGGAAATCTTTGTTAAACATATAGGCAGTAACAACCTTTGACTTTATATTACTACCCTAAATAAAAACAGATAAAATCACTTTGGTCTCATATCTCAGACTTACCAAATCTTCCAATGGCTGAAAGAGTTTTATAAGAGTCATTTGGGAGAGGAAAGAAGTGATTCCTTCTTCAAATGCAGATGTACCTAGAGGGAATCAAATGTCCTCTTACATTTTCATCTAAGTTTTGGTTGAGAAAACTCCCAAAGAGTTTTTGAAAAAGAAAGGAATGAAGAAAAGAAAGAAAGACTGAAGAAAAAGAGAAGAGAAGCAGAGGAGAAGGGAAGAGGGAGGAAGGTAGAGAGGGAGGGAGGGAAAGAGAGGAAGAAGGAAAGGCATATTCAAAGCTGGGCCCCTGTACGTTTTTTAAACAGCTTTATTGAGGTGTAATTGACATAGAAAGAACTGTGCAAATTTAAAGTGTACAGTTTGATGAGTTTGAACATATGCACACGCCTGAAACCGCCTTTGCCAAATTATAACTGAGGAAACTATGACAGTGAAAGAAGTCAGACCTAACTGGCTCCATCTTGCTTCTAACTTTTAAGCTGTCCTTGTTCATTCCCGGGCATAGGTCGACTAACTTTGGGAAGGAATTCAGTTCACGGTTTGACTCTGAAACAAAACTGATAACAGCCGTTTTCCAAAAAGACCCCCTTGTTGCCTGGGGACTAGTCTGCCTTTGCAGGACTAACACATTCACTACAAGATTAGAAATTACAGTTTAGGGGTTGTGCGGCCTCTGGCTCCAAGCATCTAAGCCTCCCCAGATTGCTCCTGGGGATAACATCACTACTGCAAAACCTAAGATCAGGCCTGGCGAACATGGTGAAACCCCGTCTCTACTAATAATACAAAAAATTAGCCAGGCGTGGTGGTGCATGCCTGTAATCCTAGCTACTCCGGAGGCTGAGGCAGGAGAATTGCTTGAACCTGGGAGGCGGAGGTTGCAATGAGCTGAGATTGTGACATTGCACTCCAGCCTGGGCGACAAGAGCAAAACTCTGTCTCAAAAAAAAAAAAAAAAAAAAAAAGTCTTGAGATATTTTGCAGAACCTGTCCTTGGTGGATCAGCTGACACCACCTGGACCTGTAATCTGGCCCAACCAGTTCTGCCATCCCACCCAGGAACAGAAGCCAGCAAGAACAACTGACTTTGATCCCCTATGATTCCATCTCCAACATGAACAACCAGCACTTCCCACTTCCCAAGCCCCTACCCACCAAATTATCTTTAAAAACTCTGATCCCCAAATGCTTGAGGAGACCGATTTGAGTGATAATAAAACTCTGGTCTCTTGCACAGATGACTTTGCGTGAATTACTCTTTCTCCATTGCAATTCCCGTCTTGATAAATTGGTTCTATCTAGGCAGCCGGCAAGGTGAACTCCTTGGGCAGTTACACACCCATGAAGCCATCAGAACAATCAAGGCGATAAACATACCCATCACCTCCAAAACCTTCCTTGC
This sequence comes from Homo sapiens, assembly GCF_000001405.40. Classification (NCBI taxonomy): domain Eukaryota; kingdom Metazoa; phylum Chordata; class Mammalia; order Primates; family Hominidae; genus Homo; species Homo sapiens. Next base: position 73,534,052 of record NC_000018.10, read on the forward strand.
ATTCTTATAAAGCAAGTTTGCCAGGGGGAAGAGAGAGAAACCAGTGAGGGCTTTCAGAGCCCAAATACATATTAAAAAAACTGGGTAGGGCTTCCCAGCAAGAAACTCTAATATGAATCTAGAGGCAAATATTGCACTGGACCAAGGTAACCAGCTAAGGAAGGCTGTATTCCAGGCTACTGCAATGAGAGAAAAGTCAGGACTCAGCCCCCAGAAAGAAGAGCTGGAGTTGGAGAGAGTATCTGAGGCCATCTGTGTTTGCTAATTGGCCTTATGCAAAGGAAAAGTACATTTCCTCTTATCTTCTTGCAGGAGGTAGTTGTACAACTTACAGCAAGGAAGTTAGGCTTCTACCCTCTCCCAAAGACTGGGAGGTGGGGACGCTAGCTTCTCTGATTACATGTCAAAGGGGTGGCTCCCAGGTGCTTGAAAAGAGAGTTCTGGGTTACAAAACTGCCAAGGAGCATTTTAAAAGATTTACATCTTAAACAGGTGATGATAATAACCAGTTTTCTAAAGCAAATGTTTTAAGGAACAGGAGTGAAAAGGCCTCTGTGGTTAGGGTAACTGCATTCCGTAAGGGCTGGTGAAGGGGAGTTCAGGCCTACAAGCAGGAAGCCTATCTGAGGTTTGGTCAAACTAAGGGCAACATGGAGGCCACCTTGGTCCTTGGAAATAATTCAACAGAGATAAAATTACTCTGAAAGATGGAGAAAAAGAGGAGGGCTACCTGGGGATCCCTGGACTTGGTGACACTGAGGTGAATTCGGCAAGCTTCCCCTTTATCTCCCTTATATCTCAGACTGGGAACCAGGGTCTTGGACTTTGAAACTAACAACAGGCGCAGACCAAAAGAGAATAGGAAAAACAAACAAACAAAAACAAACCTGGGCCGGGCACGGTGGCTCACGCCTATAATCCCAGCACTTTGGGAGGCCGAGATGGGTGGATCATTTGAGGTCAGGAGTTAGAGACCATCCTGGCCAACATGGTGAAACCCTGTCTTTACTAAAAACACAAAAATTAGCAGAGCAGTAGTGGTGCACGCCTGTAATCCCAGCTACTCATGAGGCTGAGGCAGGAGAATCCTTGAATCCAGGAGGCAGAGGTTGTGGTGAGCTGAGATTGTGCCACTGCACTCCAGTCCGGGTGACAGAGTGAGACTCTGTCAAAAAAAAAAAAAATCTGGCTTCTCTCTGGACAAAGTGGCGGGAAAGGGACAGACCAGCAGAGGCCTGGCAGGGAGATCCATGCCTGGGCACACGTGGGGAAGAGCAGGCCTCCCCAGCCACAACAGCCTGAGCAGCTGCCCTCCCCAGCCGCCCTCCCCAGCCTAGGTGGTGGTGACTCAATCTGCCAGCAGCATCAACTTCAGCAGAGCCTGGGCAGCTACCTACCCATCATCACCCGTCCTATTCTCAGTGGTGTGGGTGGCCCTTGGGCAGTGCCAGCTAGCCTGATATCCCTGGGACCTCCGCTCTGCAGCAGAAAATGGCCCAGGGCCAGCATTCCCCTGAACCTCCCCTTGAATCAGAAAGCAAATTAGGGTCAATATTTGTTTTACTCCTACCCAAAGGCACCTGCAGAAATCAGAGACCCGGAGACATCAGAAGACTGAAAGCGTACCAGAATGTTATTGCAAGTACTCTGAAAACTGTTATTGGATATAAAGCTTATAAAAGTAAGACAAGACCTACAAGCTAAACCTTAAGAAAGTTCAGGAAAAAAAAAGTTTGGCAAAATAAGTCTAAGTTGTCTGCTAGAATATATTTAAATGGGATCAAAGTCTCCCAACATCCAAAATGTCTAGAATATGATGAAAAAGCAGATATCATACCACAAACCAGGAAAAGCACAACCTGAATAGTATAGACAATCCACTGTTGCCAATGAGAAAATGAACACCAAAATGAATCAGATATTAGAATTATCTGACAAGAAATTTAGAGCAGCCATCATTCAAATGCTCCAATGAACAATTTGAATTATCTTGAAACAAATGAAGAAATGGAGAATCCCAGCAAATAAATTAAAGTTACTAAAGAATTATAAAGGCCTTGCCTAATAGCCTCTGTGTGCAAGTCCAAGGATTCATCAATCCTGCTCTGTGACAGAGAGGCCAAGGCCATTGGTCCTCAGCAACACATCCTCATGGTTACATGTCATGTCATTAATAATTTTATAATAAGCTACAGCATCTTAGATTGTGCCTGCCTCAAGAGAAGGCTGTCTCATTAGCTAAATAGATTTCCTCCCAGGCTGCAGGTTTTAAAAGCAACCTTCCCCCTTCCCAAGTAAGAAGTTAGGTCTTCTCGGTCCTTATTGTGCAGAGAATGACCTATTCACGAACGTGCCTGAGGTCTGGGGATTAAAAAGGTGGGCCCTCCAGCCACGTATTGTTGCCTTTTTACAATGGATATTTCTTGAGTTTTCCCACATTTTCATCCACTACTAGATGGACTTGTCAGGTTTGAGTCTCAGTTTACTCCCTGATGAGACAGTGTTTTCACCTGGGCCCAGAAATAGACAATAATTGCACTCAAAAGGGATAAAGCCTTCAGGAGAAGGGACTTCCCAAAGTCCAAACACCTAAGGGCCAGAGAAATACCAGAAGAGAGTGGATGCCAAAGGCTCTAATCTGATTTCAAATTGATCACAGCCTCTTTTAAGTCCACTGGAAATCCTACAGTAGAGGTTGTTGTGAAGTTATAAGTGGCTTCATTTGGACGTCTAAAGTTTGTGGTACATTTTTTCTAATTCTTTAAATCACCTTTCAAAACATAAGTGAGAATATGCTACCCTTATATGAATTTCTTCAAGAGGATATTTTAACTATTTGTACTTAAAGTGTCAAATTCCGATCTGTTAATAATTTTATAAGGTACAGTATGTGTAACTGTTTTCTCCGTGATAGTCCAGATATAACTATGAGGTTCTATTTAATAATGATTAATCAATTTAACAGTGATTAAATTGTCCATTGTCATTAATGATAGTGAATTCATGCATTTAATTTCAAAGTAATTATTTTTTTCTGAAATTCTAGAATTATTCTCGTTCCCAGCTTCCTGTTTATTAAAGGTAACACTTCAGTTATCATAAGGAGGAGCAGTAACCACAAGCAGTCTGTTTTCTACTAGTTGCCACCTGCGTTGGCATTTTATTCAGAAAATACCTTTTGTGTTGTTTTGTTTTCAACATTTCTCAGTCCTAACAAAGTTTGATTTTTTTTGGGGGGGGTGGGGGTTGGGAAGCCTTTATGTTTTTGCAGCATGTCACTTGGGTTTAGCCATGACAAAAGTCAGAAGATGTAAGCTTCCTTACAATTCTAACATGCCCCGTAGTAAAAATGTTGTATTGGTTTGTATTAACCAATTTTCCTATGTAAAAATCTACTTGGAAAATCTATATATATATATATAAACATTTTCGATTTTTTCCTTATTTTCTTATATTACGACATGGATTGCATTATTATTATTTTAATGAGATTACTAAAAATTGAATTTACCTATGTTAAATAAGCTACTTCTCAAAAATTTATTTTAACTGGGCATTCTAACACTTGTTTGCAGAAGACTTAAAGTTAATTTTTTAAATAAAAGTTTTCGCTATTTCAACTCGATGCCTAATTAAACATACAAATAGTTATTTGGGCTACCTAAAACTGCCAGTCCAATAGTACCACATTAATTGAACACTGAGAGATTATATCAAGGTTTTAAATAAAATGTATACTGTCCTTGTTATGCAACTCAAGGTCAGCAATATGAACATGTATGGTATCTCAGCTGCATGAAAATAAAATTACAATCAGGCTAAGTGGTTTCAAACGCTCTAAAAGCACAATGAAGCTGTTCTAACTGGGGTCTGCAAGGCTTGCGCATACCATGATGTGATTAAGAACTATTCCAGAGATATTGAAGAAAATAATAGAGAAAACATCAAAAACTTCAACAAAATATTAAACTCTTTGGCATTTACATCTATCTGGAATAAACCAAAGTATCCCCCATTAGCATGAAATTTAATGATCTTTCATTCCAGTGTTTCTCACATTCATTGTGTGCCTCAAAATCATCTGGGGTGATGGAAAAACGTGTTACTGAGCCTCATCCCAAATCTCTCATTTGGTAGGACTGGGCTGGGACCTGAAATTTGCATTATTAACAAGTTCTCAGGGTTGCTGATGCTGCCGGTTTGTCCAGGGAACACACTTTGATAACCATTGTTGTAGAGAATTAGATGTGATCATGTGTACCAATTCCAAGAAAAATACCAGGCTTATAGTAAGCCCTCAATAAATCCTAGCTAGTTAATAAAAGTAGTCAAAGAAGAAGCAGAAATAGAAACAGCAACATTTTTCTCTTAAGACTATGAAAATTGTAGAATCCACTTCTGCAGATCCTGCTTCTGAGCAGGGTGGTTTTCTTGGACACTAGGTTTCTCTGCAATAATGAAATTTCTTCTCACTTTTCACACTTTTTATGCCTTCATATTCTGCCTTAACTGTGTGTACAAAGGATAATGGACTAGGAGAAAGGGAAAGATTTGAGATTCTAATATCTCAATAAATTTACCTTTTAAAAGTTGTACTAAATGTGAAGTGGGAGGATGAGAGAGATGAGATGGTATAGTTACAAATCCATGTCGTTTAATTCAATATTATGAAGATGAAAAACTTTTCATGATAAGACCCAGGAAATGAGCAGAATATGAGTTTCAGTTAGGTAGGGAATACATTTGCTTAACATACCACCACATTGATTTATACAGTGACTTAATTCAGTTAACTAAAGTTAAGTGATATTGACAAATATTGAATTCTAGAAGGTTGAATGGAGGACTCTCTGTGTGCTGATTGAGAACACCGCTGTAGACAAGGTATAGCCTCCTTGCAAAATGAAGAGAAGTGACTGGGAATGTTATGAGAACCCTAACAAAAAGGGCTAAATGGAGATGCAGCCAAGTGGTTAGATTAGTGAATGGGACGAGGACATGAGTCATGGTGTACCAGAAGCAACATACAATCAAATTGATAAGTAAATCTGTAAAGTCTCCGATCATGAACAAAATGTTCTGAGAGAGAGTGATCTATAAAACATCCAGTTGAATTAGGGAATATTTTAAAGCAGTGCGAATATTTCAGTGAGGTTTCTAAAAATGAATAGGAATGTCATAGGTGGAGAAAGAGATATTATCCATGGTAGAGGAAATAGTACTTCAAAAAATATGGAAGCACAAAATAAAACTGGTTGACCTACAGGAGAATTAGAAATCATTCATCACAATGAAAACAACAAAAATATAGGTGTGTGGGTATGTCCCTTGAATAAACTATGATTTCGTTGTGGCTAAGAAACATTCCTATTTCCAATTACCTGTCCCGCAATCACCCAATAGCCTGGCTTCTTCATTCCTTTCTCTCCTCGGAGCTTGTACCCGCAAAGCTGAGGGTAGTTAATTAAGAACATACGACCCTGTTAGTATGTTTCATTTTAAAGCTATAGATGCACCTTCCAAGTGATTCTCCAACAATCCCTAGTTGCCATAGGACAATTACATGGTCAACTAATTTGTCTACTCACTGAGATGAAAATTTCACAGCCTGTCCCTCTCTCTTTCAATTTAGCTAATGTCTTTACTGATTATTTCCCCTGAGAAATAAAGTGAGATTTCTTTATCTTTCAGCTTTAAATCCAACCTGTGTTTGTGCTTTCTTAGATGCTCTGTTCATTCTCCTTGCTCTGGGCAGGCTGAACACATGAGTTACAGTGAGATAGAAGAAAGCAATTCTAGTAGCAAGCTGTTGACACCGGTCTAAATCTCAACCCAGGGAACAAGGAGGGTGAGCTCTACCTTTATCCAGGGCAAGGCTTTTATTGATTTTGTTTCTTTACTTTTTTTTTTTTTTAGTAGAGCAGGCCAAATGAGCAGGAGAGGCAAACTTCACCAAATTCTTTCTTAAAAGGGAAGGTTCAAGTCAATTCTTCCAAAACTAATGCATACCGTTCCACGAATGACACTGTTCTTTGCCATAAGCCCCTCTTAAACTTCTCACCAAATCTCTCAAAGCGAAACCAAGTAGACCACAGCTGCCCTGCTTCTGACTGCTCAGTTTTTTGCATGTCATTTTAATTCATCAAATACCACAGACACAAACTGGGAGACAATTCTGTTAGAGCAACAGTGCACTTTTGACCAAAACTTTTGAAAATTAACTTTGAGACATAATTTACATAGACTAAAATGGACACCAATGAAGAGAGCAGATCAAACGGTTTGACTAAAAGCCCTTCCCGCCAGCATCACAATCAGCTATGGAACATGTTCATCACCGCAAAAGGTTTCCCAGTGCCCCTTTAAGGTCAATCTAACTGGACCCCTGACTCTAGGCAACCAGTGATCTGACTTTTAATTTCTGTCCCTATTTACATGAAATTCTAGAGAATTTCATGTAAATGGCATCACACGCTATAAACTCTTCTGAATCTGGCTTCCTCAGAGGAATATATTTTAGATTGCTCCTTAACGTTGCATGAATTGATATTTTTGGCTATTTTATAACCAAGTAATATTCCTGGCCAGACAGACATTAATTTGTTTATACATTCACTGTTAAAGAACTTTTGACGTTTTCCCAAGGTAGAGCTATTACCAATAGAGCTGCTCTAAACATTTCTGCAGAAGTAAGTGTGTGTGAAATAATTTTTCATTTCTCTCGGGTAAATATGTAGGAAAGAAACTGCAGAATTGTATGTAAGTTTAGGCTTATGAAAAAGTGTCAAACTGCATCCCTTAGCAGTCATTGTACCATTTTACATTCCCCCAGCATTGCATGAGAGATCCAGTTGCTCCATATCCTTGCCAATGACTGGTATTCTCAATTATTTCTAACTTTAGCAATTTCAATTTCATTGTTATTTTTACTTGCCTTTTCCTGACAACTAAGATGTTCAGTATATTTTCACTTGATTATTGGCTATTGTTGGAGATATATATGTGTGTATATATAATATATATATGTTGTATGTGTATGCTCACATTTTTTGGCTATTTTAATTTTTGTCTTCTTATTGAATGTCAAGAGTTCTTTATATATTATATATTTATATCACAGAGAGATATAGGTATGGTATTATACATGGTTTAAGGTAAAGATAAAGATTTATTTATTCCCCTCTGCATACACATTTGGTACTGAACAATTGATTGAGTGATTTTTCTTTCTCCATCTAATTGCCTTGGAATGTTTGTTAAAATCAATTGACCTCATATGTATGTCTGTTCTTGACTATTTTCTTCCATTGATCTACATGTCTATTCTACATCAGTAACATACTGTTTTGATTACTGTAGCTTTGAAGTAAGTCTTAACACCATATAATCTAAGTCTAACTTTTGTTTTTCTCTTTCAAAGTAGCTTCAGGTATCCTAGATCCTTTATATTTCCAAGTAAATTGAAATACAAGTTGTAAATTTTTACAATAAGCAAATAAATAAATGTAACCCTACTGGGAATTTGATTAGGATTGTAGAGATCTGTGTATCATTTGGGGTAAAAATGAACACCTTAACAGTATTGAGTCTTCCAACCCATCAACGTGGATTACGATTTCATTTACTTTAGGTCATTTTTTTAAAAAAAGTAGTTTTTGTAGTGTTTCATGTACAGGTCTTGCACATATTGTATTGCAAGATTTGTCCTATGTATTTGATATTCTTGGGACCTCTATTAAGTACTGAATATTCTGGGATACCATTGCAAATGATCATTTAAATATTTTCACTTTCAAATTGTTGTTTGCTTAAATGTAGAAATGCAGTTAATTTTTCATATTGACCTTGTATGCTGTGACTTTCCTAAATGACATATCAGTGCTACCAGCACTAAGAAGCCTAAAGATTTTTTACATGCACAATCATCTTCTCTACAAATAGGGACAGTTTTACTTCTTCATTTCCAATCTATATGAGTTCTTTTTTCACTTGTCTTACTGTAATGGCTAGGATCTTCAGCACAATGTTGAATAGAAGAAGTAAAAGCAAATATCCTTGTTTTGTTTTGTTTTGTTAGTGAACTAGGAAAAAATCAGTCTCTCATCATTATGTTTGATATTAGCTATTTAAATATTTTTTATTTTTATTTTATTTTTAGCTATTTTTTATGGATGCCTTTTACCAGGTTGAAAAATGTCTCTTATTCCTAGTTTGGTGACAGAATTTTATGATGAATAGGTGTTGATTTTTTAAAAGCTTTTTTTCTTTTTTGACTTATTAATATGGTAGATTACCTTAATTTTAATATATGCAAACAAACTTCGCATATCCTGGGATAAAGCATGTCTCTCTATATGTATGTACACACACATACATATGGTTGGGTACAGTTTGCTTAAACTTTGACTATTTTTCTCTGTATTAATGAGTGATTTTGTCTGTAGTTCCCTTTTATTATAATGCTCTTCCTGAGTCTAAAATCAGAGAAATACTGGTCTCATGATGTAAGTTTGAAAGCGTTCCATTTTCCTGTATGCTACGGAATATTTTGTGTAAGATTGGTATTTTTCCTTAAATGTTTGATAAAATCTTGGCCTGGAATTTTATTTGTGGGAAAATTTTAATTAGGAATTCAATTTATTTAATAAATATAGAGTTATTATGATTTTCTTTTTTTTCTTGAGTCAGCTTTGGAAATGTGTGCTTTTAAAAGATTTTGTCTGTTTCATCTAAGCTGTCAAATACATTGTTCTGAAGTTATTCATAGTATTATATGATAAATAACTTAAATAATAGTATTGTTCCCTCTTTGATTATTGATATTGGTAATGTGTATCTCCTTTTCTTTTATATTTAGAGATTAGTCAATTTTATTCATAATATTCAAATAAACTAGCTTTTAGTTTCATTGATATTTTTCTATTAATTATCCATTTGTATGTATTCACTTCTACAATTATCTTTATCATTTCCTTATGTCTACATAATTGACTTTAATTTGCTCTTTTGTTTTTACTTTTCAAAAATATTTTATAGGAATGAGGTATCCCCATGTTGCTGAGGTTGGTCTCAAGGGATCCCCCCTGAACTCCTGGGCTCAGGTGATCCTCTCGCCTCTCATCCCATATCTAGTGGCATCAAATTGTTATTTTAATTTGCAGTAACCTTATGGCTAATAAACTTGAGAGCCCCTTTCCATTTTACTGTTCGGTCAAATATATCATCTTCTATAAAAACACCCATGTCTTCTGCCTACTTTATGTTGGGTTATCTTTTCTTATGGATTTTTAGTTCTTTATATTTTTATATTCTGAATATCTTGGATATGAGGCATTATACACACACACACACATATATATACACACATTGGTGTATATATATTTGTATACATATATGTGTGTGTATGTGTGTTTGTATTTGTATACACATATACATGTGTATTTGCAATGTGTGTATTGCAATACACATATTGCAAATATCACCACCCTCTCTACAGGCTGACTTTTTCCTCGCTTGATGGTGTCTTTTGATGAACAGAAGGTATTAATTTTCATGTGGTCCAGTTGGTCAAACATTTCCTCTCTGGATAATGCTTTTGGTCCGATTTAAGGAACTTTAAGTACTCCAAGCTCATAAAGATGGGTTCCAACAATCTATTTTTTACCCAACAGCCAGTGAATCTTCCTTGAAATATAAATAAGACAACAGAATACTATTCCCACACTCAAAACCTTCTAATGGCTTCCCCTCATGTGTAAAATAAATCTGAACTCTAGCCCCTGACTGGGTTTCCTTCACTCTTCCTTCACTTGTTTCTCCCAATCACATTGATCTCGCTCTTCCTTAAACATGCCAAGTTGGTTCCCACCTGCTGTTTTTTTTCTGATCGAAATATTCTTTCTCTCACTTCTAATTGGCTTATTCCCTCACTCCTTTCAAGTTTCTTCTCAAATATCACCTCCTTAGAGTAGTTTTCCCTCAAAGTCTATAAAGCAAGCAAACAACAGGTAGCCCAGACATAAAATATCCTGTGTATTATTTTAGCCTGCTGTGGTTTCTTTTTATTCACAAGACTTATCTCTACCTGACACATATTTATTCACCCACTTCATTTCACTACAGTGTAAATTGCATTTACAAAGAGCCTTTGTATCTTTTGTTTATTGCCTTATCTCAGATACCTGGAACAATTATTTACTCATAAGACAGCTCAATAATATTTACCGAATGTTGAATAATGTTGCCACATGCCTTTGCAGAACAGGTACTTAATGAATGTGTATTAACCTGCATTGATTTTCCCCATTTTCTCAGTCATTTCAAGCTTATCTAACTTAAAGCCACACTGGCTCAAGAGAAATAGAGAGCTACTGTCTCAGGCTTAGACTCTGTACTTATGACATAAAATTGCTTTTTTCAACAGGCAACAGAGCATTGAGTGGTTAACTACATAGGACTCACTTTCATGTTTCTTTCATTGTATGAAAGGTCATTGTAGAATTTGTATTTGACCAATAATACAATGAAAGACAAGAAACTTTGTCTGGGATGGGAAATCTTTTCAAGCCATATATCTGGTGAGTTTCCATCTTGTCACATAGAAAAAGCAACCCGAGGAACAGAATATATTTGGTGTTAGTCACCAAACAAGGCAGAGATGAAAGTTAAAAGAAGACAACTAAGTATTCAACATACTCTTAGAAGTAAAATTCTTTAGCAGTTTCCATTTTAAGTTTGTTACCTTAAAAACATAAATTGCTGACAGGGCGCAATGTTGTAAATCAACCCACATCAATATTTATTGAGTAAATGCTTCACAGAAGACTCTTTTCTCATTGAGCTTATCAGGCATTAAAATGTATCACATCATAAAAAGGAAATCAATTGCCTGAGTCTAAAATATAGCTGTTAAATTTTCCTACCAGCCATTTGAAAAGCTAAACTCTGCTTGTAGGGGGATAATGCCAGGATTTTGAATGTTATCTAATAAACTCAAGATGAGTTTGCAAGGAAATTTTTAATTTTTTTAAAAAAGGATTTAATTGATTGCTATGTATAGAACAATAAAATATCATTGCTTTTATTTGCTAGTGTATTTTATTCTGATGTAGGGAGGTACTCCATTAAGAAAATCCCAATGTTCTGAGATGGTTGATCAAAGAGATATTTAGTGCCAAATTCAGATGTGCTTTGAGTGATAAGTAATCAAACATGACATGAGAAATTAAGCCAAAATTGACTCAGTAAAAACATATAAAATACAAATTGCTGAAAGTCTTCTTTTTAATTTTAATGATACGTCTTAGAAATGGTTCAACTCATACAAATTCAGGCAAGACCAGTTTAAAAAGCAGGAACATTAAGAATCATACTTGAACTTAGTTCAAGAAAACAGTTGACAAATTCTAAATGTTAAAAGAAGCAATGACAAAATGACAAAATCTAGTAAATGATGACCATGATGATGATGATGATAATGATGATGACGATGATGATTCACAGCCAGCAGCTCCTGTGTGTTTGACATTGTTTTTACAGCTAATGTGTTATTTAATATTTGTTAAGTGTCCTGGATGTGGAAGTAATTTACAATAAGGCAAAGGACAGATAACAGTTTCCCCATTGTATACTTTAAAATATGTGACTCAGGTTGACTCAGTGACTTTCCAATATTGACAATGTTAACTATTGCCAGGGAGGGGACTAATGTGCTCCTCATTACATAACACTCCCAGGATTTCTTTACCTTGTGATTCTAAGATGTAACACTGACATTATGGGCTCAAAGCCCACTTTACATGCAACACACACCCATTTATGTGTCCATTCTGTATTGAGGGCTTGTGTTCACAAGACACACTAAAGCCAAGATAAGAAAAACAAGAGATCCTCTTTTATGAGTTACAGTCTACTAAGGCAACATGCATTAAAAAATCAATTATTCCAATACATGTTTAATCTACTTCACATATGTACATATTTCTAAATAGTTAATATATACTTAATAAATAACGTATTCTTAACACAAAAATATGTATTAATAGGTCCACTTTTTACCAGCAGTGTGCCTGGGGAAGTCTCAAAACTTCTGTTCCTTCCTGTGCTCACCTGTACAATGTGAAGATTAAATGAAAAAATGCATGTGTTCTGCTATACATAGTTCTGGACACCTAGGAATTTTCAGCCAATATAGTTACTACTCAATAATAATTATTGTTACTCTAATTACAATAATAAAATATTGTTCTTATATAAATAAGATGGATTTTACATAGTATGTGTACAATAGCTATTAAGAAAAACAGATTTATTCAAATGCAGATTATGTTTTTTATATAGATTTCTCATTGGGCTCTATTTTATACAATCCCAAAGAGGCTTTAAGAATCACAAACAAACTATTAACTTATATTTAGATGAATTTAAAATGTAAGGTAAATTTATTCATTATATACAATGGATTTTCATGTTTCATGGTAGTTATGTTCTATAAAGCTGCTGTAAACACCGAATTAACAAATACAGAACCGTTGCTCCTAAGGGAAATGCAGGGTTAGATTCCTGTGAGCCTCCAGTCATTTTCATCAAACAATCTATACATAACCTTTTTGTGTGTGTGATTTTCTTGAAAGACACCTCCTTTGATGTATATTATGGATGCATTAACATTATGAACTCATTGATGATCTGTAACTCATGCCCAACTGAAGCTGATCCCTGACTTCTTGTATCTAAGAACACTACCCAGCAGTTTGGCACTATGCTTGGGGGCCATAGTAAATGCAGAATCATCAACAAAAAGCACACAAATAGGGCCAGGCACCGTGGCTCATGCCTGTAAACCCAGCACTTTGGGATGCCGAGGCGGGCGGATCATTTGAGGTCAGGAGTTCGAGATCAGCCTGGCCAAGATGGCAAAACCTCATCTCTACTATAAAAAATACAAATAAAAAAAAATTAGCCAGGCATGGTGGCTTCCACCTGTAGTCCCAGCTACTCAGGAGGCTGAGGCAGGAGAATCGCTTGAACCCGGAAGGCAGAGGTTGCAGTGAGCTGAGACTGTGCCACTGCACTCCAGCCTGGGCAACAGAGTGACTCTGAAGAAAAAAAAAAAAAGCACACAAATGTGAAAATCACGGCAGTACATAGACTGCAAAATGAGCATGTGTTCCTACTGTGAGAGCTGAAACAAAAAGGCAGGGCATAGCCTTATCTGTCCTCAGGTGGGAATGTTGGCATCAGGTGACTCCAACTTTTACTGCTTTGTGCACCATGAAAGGACTGAGAGTGTTGGTTAGGGGGCTACAAATAAATCTTAGCAAGGCCAATTCACAAATAAAGATTTCATGAAATAATGAGAATCCACTATACTTGCTATTGTTTTTGCTAATTGAAACCTGGAGAAATTGAGAAAGAGTTTGAATAACACCAAGTTACACTAAGTGGCAGGAGAATTCTTGTTCCCAGAAGGTACCTGACATGGTTTGGTTGTGTTCCCACCCAAATCTCAACTTGAATTCTAGTTCCCATAATCCCCACGTGTCGTGGGAAGGACCTGGTAGGAGGTAATTGAATCATGGGGGCGGTTACCCCCATGATGTTCTCATGATAGTGAGTGAGTTCTCATGAGATGTGTTGGTTTTATAAGGGGCTTTTCCCCATTTGCTCAACACCTCTCCTTCCTGCTGCCCTGTGAGGAAGGTGCCTTGCTTTCCCTTCACCTTCAGCCATGATTGCAAGTTTCTTGAGGCCTCCCCAGCCAGCCAAACTGTGAGTCAATTAAACCTCTTTTCTTTATAAATTACCCCGTCTCAGGTATTTCTTCAGAGCAGCATGAGAATGGACTAATACAGTACCCTATAAACCTGCAATGCTAAAACAGAAATAGTGTGACTCAAAAGCTAGTTTTTACTGTATTTGGACTGTGGTTTTTTTAAAGCTGGTTGATGGTCATAATTACCTGGTTACTTTATTAAGAATATAACTTCCAAGTCTCATTCCCATCTTGCAGAAACACAATCTTTAAAGACAATGGGAAAAAATAAATTTTATCTTTAAAAACATAGACTTTTTTTGGTCAGTAATTACAAAAGTGCCTCAATACTTCATAAAACCTTGTGGTCATCAGTATGGATGTCAATTATAATTATGTATGGCCAAAAGATGTCTCCTTGATCAGTTAGATTTCAGGGTACTAGTAGTTGTTAACACTGTCAACAGATCTCAGTCTGTTATTTCAATCTGGCATGATGACCCAGGTTAAATTATTTTACATTATTATTTAACATTTAAAACAAATATTAAGGCATTTCATTCATCTTTAACAAGAAACAAGACATTTCTAAGACAAAGAGCAAAAACAGAAGTACTGTTTTTTGAGACAGAATTTTGCTACTTGCATTTGATGGATTTATGCATCACTGGATATATGTAAATTTCTGAATATGCCCCTCTCTGTGGCATAAACATAGGTTGGCTTACTCAAAATAAAACTTTATTTAAGGCCATGTAATGTTAAGACCTGAGTAATTGCTCTGATTCTTGAATAATTTTCTCAATTTATTCCCAAGCAATTGTTTTTTTTTTTTCTTTTCCTTCCTTTTTCCCATGTTTGTTAAGCAAATCTCTTTGTAACAAGATAAATCTTTCTGGTATAATATAAAAATGTAAAAGTTATGCAAATGTACATGTCTGAATGTCTGCACATACACACACGCGCCCATGCACACACACGCGTATGTTCCTGCTCAGAACACAGGCAAATGTCTAGTACTATCTTAAAATTCTAAGTTCATTTTATACTGTAGCATTGATATGGTGGTTAAATTTGTTATTAAAATTTAAAAAAATTTACCTGGAAAACTTAGAAATTTTAGGTCAGATAGGTTTTATACAAGGAGTGATTTATAGTCAAATTATCTCTGTGATTATATTCTTTCTGTATTTCAGCACTAAATAAGAACATACTTGCTAAAACTTGCCTCAAAATACACTCTGATTAATTTGGCCGCTGTGAGTACCTTAAAGTAAAATCCAACTGTACTCACAGGCATCTTCTTCCTGGAGAAGATTACAGATAATATTATGCCAGAACATCATTTTGTGGCTCTCACATTTTCATAAATGCCCCCACAGCTGAGAGAAAACAGAATCAAACTTCAATGAAGTATTTGCAATGTAATGGTTCTCTGAGGTTGTAGTTTCAGCATTTATTTTTGTCAGTAAAATCTGCCGTTTGTTGATACAAGAGAATGTCTATCTTTGAAACTCAGCTTGCATTTGAATGAGGATGTTAAAACAATTAAGCACCGGGCTCTATCATTCTGCCATCCGCTTCTCCTGCGTGGCTAAAACACTGAACATCTTGAGCTGCATGGTGCCTGGAGCTGTGCCACGTGGCTTGGATGCAGTCAGCAAATCTGGGAACTGCCAATTACTATGTCCTCTGCATTCTGTCCCAATCATTCTGATTCCTCCCAGGGAAGGTTAGTCTCAGTTAGGACACCATAGTCCATAAACTATAACTTTAACAATGAGATTTGTTCAATCCCAGTGAGGTTCACATATACTTTGAATGCCACATAGGGTCTGTCCCCAAATGGCAAAACACACAAATGGGAAACAGTTGTGTAAATACGAAAAATGTAACTCTTGTACTATAAAAAAGCAGGAAAACATCAGCACTAGCAGTAACTAGAACTTTCTTAGCACATGCTGTATGTTAGGCCCAGGCTAAGAGCTTAACTTTTTAAAAATTTTAACTCCCACAGCACCCACATGTCACTGATACCATTATTATCCCCATTTTCTGCACCCGCATGTCCATTGCAGCATTATTGACAATAGCTATGATATATACACAACCTAAGTGACCATTGACTGATGTATGGATAAATCAGTTGTATATATACACACACACACACAAATGATGGAATATTATTCAGCACTAATAAAGAAGGAAATCCTGTCATTTGCAACAACATAAACGAACTTGGAGACATTATGCTAAGTGAGATACACCGGACATAAAAAGAAAAATAGGCATGATGTCTCTTAAATGTGCAATCCTAAATAAAAGTTAAATGCAAAGGAACAGAAAGACCTTCAGAGATGGTGATAGGAGGAATGAGAGATGTTGGTCAAAGGGTACAGGCTGCACTTATTCAAGATAAAGTTGAGAGCTCTAAGATACAGCATGAGGGCTACACTTAATATTATTGTATTGTGTATTGGAAATGTGCTAAAAGAATAGATTTTAGGTGGTTTTACTATATACACAGAAAAAGATAATGATGTGAGACAATACATATGTTAATTACCTTGACTGTAGTGATCATTTCACTCTGCATATTGTATATCAAAACGTCATGTAGGGCCAGGTGCAGTGGCTCCTGCCTGTAATCCCAACAGCTTGGGAGGCCGAGGTGGGTGGATCACTTGAGGTCAGGAGCTCAAGACCAGCCTGGCCAACTTCGCAAAACTCCGTCTCTACTGAAAATACAAAAATTAGCCTGGCACTGTGGCGTGCACCTGTAATCTCAGCTACTCAGGAGGCTGAGGCAGGAGAATCACTTGAACCTGGGAGGTGGATGTTGCAGTGAACTGATATTGTGCCACTGCACTCCAGCCTAGCCGACAGAGTGAGACTCCATCTCAAAAAAAAAAAAAAAAAAAAAAGGACACCTTAAATACTTAAAATGAAATGAAATAAAAACAAACAAAATCAACAGAAATGCATAAACAAAGAATAAAGAAGAGTAACAGGAAGAGCAATTTAAGAACATGCCTGTAAAAATTCACATTTAAGATTTATCCAGTGCCTCCACATATATTATCTTAAATTTATTCTCATGTAGGTTATTATGTCTATTATATGGGTTTAAAAACTGAGGTGTGTCGGTGTTAGCAACTGCCGAAGAACACAATGCAACCTAAAGCCAGGATTCAAACCCTGGTGTTCTAATGCTGAATCTTCTACTCTTTTCTTGAGTAGGAAGACAGTACTGGCCTGCACTGATTTAATTCAAAATAGAAACTCCCACAAAAAGAAAATACTTCAAATGATTTAGATTTTCCTAGAAGAAATGCCGACTTACAAATACCGAGACTAAAAATGTGTGTGCTACAAAAAAAGACTTTTGCTTAAAGTATAATCTATTTTATTCATATTTCATAGGTGTGTTCACACCATTGTTACAGACGATAGTTTCTGCACAAGATACTCGGTTACTGTAATCTTCTGTTTATACCTTCTCTATTCATTAGCTCCTTGTTTTCTGTAATTGAAAATGCTTTCCAAGCCATCTGTCAACATGACTCAGGTTTTAACCTCTCTGGCAGGCCCTTACCTACTTCTACATAGGATTAGTGCATGGCCCAGATGCTGTCAGAGTTTCGAGTGAAAAACAGCATCAGAAATGCCACAGGGGGATAGTTATCAGTAGCCATTATTTAAACATATAATGTGTTATGGGTGTATTTAAAAAGAGCTCTTTTAATTTGCAAAATCATTTCTTAGAGTGGATTCTCACCTGGGAGAAGCATAGAGAGGTAACAGATGATGTGTGACCAAGGAAAGCAATAAAATTGTACAGTTCTCAGTAGTTTTCCAAAATAAAAAATAGTGAAAATCTCTGCTGTGGCATGTGTCTAGGAAGATGACGCTACGATATGTAATATTTTAGGAGAAGAATCATTAAGATCTCTGGTAACATTGTTACTGATTGTTTGAGGTGTGGTTCACCCCTACTAAAGAACATACATGACCTATTATGTGGAATGAGGTTATAATCACCTCCAACTTACCCACCAATGTTTTGATATTAAACTATTCATTCCTGATACCATTAGAGAAATTATTTTAGAAGTTATTATTATATTAGATTACATTATATATAATACTTTGCTCACTATTTTATGCCTTTTCTTTAATGCTTTCATGGATAAGACTATCGTCTACCTAAAATTTTGAGAGCAAAAGCTATATACCCTTGTATTAGTCCATTCTCACGCTGCTATAAAGAATACTACCCAAGACTGGAAAATTACAAAGGAAAGAGATTTAATTGACTCACAGTTCTGCATGTGAGTCTCTGGGAAGGCCTCAGGAAACTTACAACCATGGCAGAAGGGAAAGAAGGCACGTCTTATGTGGTGGCAGGTGAGAAAGCATGCATGAGAGCAGGAAAAACTACCATTTATAAAGCCATAAAATCTTGTGAGCATTCATTCACTATCACAAGAACAGCATGGGAGAAACTACCCACGTAATCTAATCACTTCCCTCCCTCCATATGTGAGGATTACAGGTTCCTCCCCCTGTGGAGATTACAATTCAAGATGAGATTTGGGTGAGGACACAGCGCCAAACTGTGTCAATCCTCATGGTGCATAAACTCTTAACACGAAGCTTTCAACCTAGGAAATAGTCTATAGCCACTTCGCCAAGTTGTTTTATATCAGGCTTCAAGATATTATTTAACTGACTGATAATTTCCCAATTCAAAATATATTTTATAATACAGACTCTATACCTGGCACTGCATTAGATGTCATAGGAGACAATATTGAATTCTAACTTCATAAGTGAAGTTTTCTTCAAAACAAAGGCAATTAATTTAATTTGAAAATTATGAGATTAATAATGTTAAGATATTTAATTGTGTATGCAGAAACCTGGGCTGCATGTATGTGTTAAAGAATAGCTAAAACAAAGTACACTGTATGAAATAAAAACAAAAACATAAATTAGTGTGGTAAAGGACTAATAAAAAGCTTACATCAAATAAATCAAATTCTGCTTCATTAGAAAAAAATTAAAATAAATGAATCACTAATTTAATCTATAAAAAGGTAAGATAAAGCAGAAGTATATAAACTAAGAAGAAATGAGGAAGAAATAATTATTGACACATAGAAAATTAAAATTAAAACAATCCAATACAAACAAACCACCCAAAGAAGAGGGAAAAATACTGTTTATTCTGCTATGTGAAAATTGGAGGTGTAAAATATACTAGCCAGCCTCACAACTATTGTTATTCTAATACCCAGCCCAGGGTAAATTATAATTGATGGTAATACATGATGGTAATACTAGAGAAAAGGGATGCATTTTTACAAAATACAGTCTTCCAAAATTGACCCTATTAAGAGATAGAAAACTGAAGCAGTCAATTTTTCATAGAAAAAATAAAAGTTATTAAAAATTACTTTATAAAAAAGAAAAGAGAAGAGAAATGGTAGGTCGTGGTCATCTCAAAGGAAATTCTGCCAGACTTTTAGAGACCAGATAGTACTAATCTTGCACAAATTCATCAGAACATAGAAAGCAAGAAAAACTTTCAAATTATTTTTATGAAACAAATGTAACACTGATAATGAAACCTGATAAATGCAGCACACAGAGAAAAAAATTAAAGGTAAATATCATCTGTAAATAAGCATGCAAAAATATTGACTAAAATGCTAGCAAAAGACCCCAACATTACATTTAGAAGATACTACCTCAAGCAGGTTTTATGTCAGGAATGCAAAACTACTTCAAAATTTGAATATGTATCACAATAATTGACTATATTAATCAATACAAGGAGAAAATTTACATTACTATCTCCATAGATCATGAAAATGTATGACAATAACTATAATTTATTACTATTGAAAAGTCATGTAGAAAAGAAGGTAGAATATCTGTCATCTCTCTATCTATCAATCATCTATCTATTGATATATAGAGTGAGACGGGATGAGGAGAGGGAAAGAGAAAGAGAGAAATATTCTAAAGCCAACATAATCATTTAATGGGAAAGCCCTACAGAAACAGTCCAAGTCAATGGACTTGGTCAAGGTCAATGACAGGATGACTACTATTTCCACTGCTATTTAAGATACTTCAGTAGGTACTAGCTAATGAACTTGGACTTCAGAAAACAATTGGAGACATAATATGCAAAAAAATTAAACATCTCAATACACAGATGACATGATACTATTATTCATCAGAATTCTATTGAAACAATAGTAAAAGAAACCAAAACACAAAAGAAGTTAAAGTAGCAATATACAAAATTAACATAACATTAATAGCATTTGTATTCACATATAAAAACCAGTTAGAAGATACAATGAATGAGATAATCCCATTTATAATAGCCATAAAAATCATAAAGCATTTGGTTATAAACTTAATAAAAGTGTTTAAAATCTATAAAAAATTATCAAATACTTCTTAAAAATTAAAAAAAAGGCCATGAACAAATAGAAAGCTGTTTCTTGTTCTTGGTTATGACACTTCTACATCATTAAGATGTCAGTTCCCCTCAGTTAATTTATAAATTTAATGCAGTTTTAATAAAAATTTCAATGGGAATTTTTTAATGAACATAAACAAGTTTATCCAAAGTTATTTGAAAAATAAAGATACAACAATTGCTAGGAAAACAGTAAAGCAGAAGTACTCCAAATCCCATTCGTTGTTAAAAGTTAATAAAAAGCCTCTATAAATGTAGTTGTCGTGCATGCATAAACAGACACAATAGAATACAATGAAAAGTTTAGAAATAGATTTGGCTGCACTTAAAAATCTACTATTTAATAAAAGTGGTGTCTAACATCACTAAAAAGGTAGCAATTTGTAAAAGATCAAATTAGGTCTATTCCTCACACCATGTATGACAATCAATTTCAAATGTATCAGACGTCTGTATGTAAAAATGAGATCTGCAAATACTAGAAGAAAACACACATTACTCACAACCTGGGTTTCAAGAAGGGATTTTTAAGCCTGACTAGAAATATCAGTGCAGTAAAAAAATTGATAGATTTTACTGCATCAATTTTTAATTACAAAACATTGTAAGCAAAGTGAAAAGATAAATGACAAACTGGGAGAAACCACTGGCAACATGCAGCGCAGACCACATATTAAGGGCTACTATGCCAAATTCATATAGAAATTCTAGAAATTGAGGGAAAAGGGCCAAAATTCTATAGAGAAATAGATAAAACATGAACAGACAATTCACAATTAAAAATATTAAAATGGCCCTCTGTCATATAAAAACATGTTCAACTTTACTCATGCTAAGAGAAATTCAAGTTAAAATGATACAGAGATGCTGTTGTTGCTCATCCAATAGGAAAACACAATTTTTAAAACTAGACACATGCACATGCGTGTTCACTGCAGCACTATTCACAATAGCAAAAACATGAAATCAACCTAAATGCCTATCAATGATGGACTGGATAAAGAAAATGTGGTACACATAGATGGTGGAATACTATGTAGCCATGAAAAATAATGATATAAGATCACTTGGAGGGACATGGATGAAGCTGGAGGCCATTATCCTTAGCAAACTAATGCAGGAACAGAAAACTAGATACTGCATGTTCTCATGTATAAGTGGGTGCTAAATGATGAAAACACATGGACACATGGAGGGGAATACACACTGGATTCTATCAGAAGGTGAAGGGTTGGAGGAGGGAAAGGATCAGGAAAAATAATTAATGGGTACTAGGCTTAATACTTGGGTGCTGAAATGATCTGTATAACAAACACCCATGAGACAAGTTTACCTACATGTACCTACAAGTACAAACTTGCACTTGTACCCCTGAACTTAAAATAATGTTTTTTTAAAAGATAAAAACATTTAAAAAAAAACTAGACAATACACTTTTTCAGTGAGATTTGATAATGCCTTAGGGAAACTATCATTACTATCATTCCCCATAGACATTGCTGATGAAATGAAAAATGGGATA
Organism: Homo sapiens; assembly: GCF_000001405.40. Classification (NCBI taxonomy): domain Eukaryota; kingdom Metazoa; phylum Chordata; class Mammalia; order Primates; family Hominidae; genus Homo; species Homo sapiens. Next base: position 73,555,826 of record NC_000018.10, read on the forward strand.
TCATTTCTGCAGGGAGATTTGGCAGTATCTAATAAAAGTATATGTACATGTACACGTAGACCCTAAGTGTGTGGGCAGCCTAAAGCACAGCTTCGAAATACACAGCAAAACTGATAGAACTGGGGGAGAAATGTGAATGCTCCTTTCTCAATACCTGATTTAAAAAATAGACAGAAAATAAGTAAGGATAAAGCAAATCTAAACAACACTATTGACCAACCTGATTTTATTGACATTTACATAATAATCCAGCTAACAACTGCAAAAATCCACATTTTATTCTAAACATTCTCTAGTGCTTTATAGATGAGGAATCCCTAAACAAAGATGATAGATAGATAGATAGATAGATAGATAGATAGATAGATAGACAGACAGATAGATATAGATAGATAGAGATGGATAGATAGATAGATGATAGATAGATAGATGGAAATTTGCTATCAAGGATACAATCCAAAGTTATAGAATATTGACAATAGATGAATTATATAATTGACTAATGCTAGTCCATTAAAATCTATAATTTTAGAAAGACTGAAACCATATAGATTATGATTAGAATGACATTAAATTAGAAAATAAATTTGTGCTGAAAATCTCTAAATATTTGAAAATTAACACAGTTACAAATATACATTAGAGTCCTTAGAATATTAATCACTGTTGTTTAAATATCCAGTCTGATAATTCTAACTTCTCTGCTGTGTCTGGTTCTGATTCATGCTCTGTTTTCAAAATATATCTTGCAATATTTTCTTGATATCTGATATCTGATAACCAGACCTGAGGTACCAGGTAAAAGGAACTGCTGACCACAGGTCTTGATTAATGTGGTGGTAAGGTGTGGCAGAGTGGAAGTGTTCTACAGTCCTCATTTTAGGTCTTGGTCTTTTTTTGGGAGCCTGTGCCTGGGGACTGGGAACTTCACAGTGCCTCTCAGGTGGGACGTGATGGCTAGAGTGTGCTGGAGTTGGGCATCTCCCTCCTCCCACCTCTGCTAGGCTCCAGTAATACCCCAGCCTGTTAGGGTCTGGTTAACCAGGTTATCTTGCAGGCAGGCCTGGTTAAGAAGAACAAAGTGCCCTCGTGTATTTCAAAATGGTTCCTTTCTCCTCTCCCTAACAGGAGCACAGAGGGATTTCCCCCTCCTAGTGAGAATCTGATCAAGCTCCTGGAGGATTTCCCCTTTCTATTTACTGTGAGAATCTGATCAAGCTCCTGGAGGTAAAATTCACAAAAGTGTGTGCCTTCCCGCCACACCCCACATGACTGGGTCCTGGTGGAGTTTTCAACTCTCAGACTCATCTACATGGAGCCTCCAGCAATTCATCACTTACAGCTCGGGTCTGCCTGGCCTGTCACTTGTTCCCAAGGTGGTTTCTGCTCCTGTCTGTGCTCTGGCAGCCGTGATTCCATGTATTCCCATCTGTCTCTCTGGACTTGGGGACAGCAGTTTTCCCTGTGTCTTCATCTCCCTTACAGACCCAAGAAGAGTAGTGTGCCTTTCAGTCTGATCAGCTTTCTACTCGTTTTTAGGATGGAGTGGCAACTTTCATGCTCCATACATGCAGAACTGGAAGTCCCAATGCTCATTTTTTAGATGAGAAACCTGGGGTCTTGTGGGGTAAAGGAGCAAGCCCAAAGTTCAGATAACCAGTGAGTGCTACAGCCAGGATTTAAATCTAGATGTGGCTCTATAGTACTGCAAGTAGGAGCCTGTTCAAAACAACTCTGACCACATTAGACATGTATACATACATTCATTTGTTACTACGCCATTGCAACATGAGAAATGGTTTAATGTCCTGGGTAAATTTGTTTGATAACTACATACTCTTTCCTTGTTAAGGCCAGTTTCTTACCTTCCAAGTATTTTGCAAATGTTACCATATAAGAACTACTCATCCACTATTTTAAAATTTATTTTACTGGTAAAAATTGAGATTCTATGAATTTTTCTAGTTCTACTATTCTGTAACTTCGGATTTTATCCTTGATAGCAACTTCTATCTATCTATCTATCTATCTATCTTTGCTTAGGATTTCCTCATCTATAAAGTGCTCTTGGTCCTAATTTTATATTTTATTTTGTTTACATCATGACGATAAAGTCAAGATCTCAGCAGACAGAAGCTTGGAAAAAATAGAAAGAATGTTAGGCCCCTGATCACTAACACAAGCTTCAACTACTACTACTACCTCTATTTCTACTACCTCTTGTGGACTACTACTATACTACTATTACCATTACTACTATTGGTTACCTCTTACTGGTTACTTAAAAATGTTGAACACTGAGAGTTTTACACACTTGCACACTGGATTTCATTGAATTCCGATAATAGGTTGACACTCTTTTATGAATTGTAATTTTCTGTGTGGCTAAAACAAAATATGTTAGATGCTCAGCACAAGTGGTGGAAATAAAATTATAACCAGCATTTGTGTCCAATATTTAATTATTTGGAATCTCACATGTTATGATAATCATTACCTAATTTCTACAAGTATCATTTCCAATCTTGGTCACCTCATATGATTCCAAATATCCATAATGCCAACCAACTTAGTTTTCTAACAACTGTAAATTCATAAATACTTCACATTTCTATGAATTCCCAACATTGGAATATAGCCCTTACTGAACATCCAGTCAGTTCAAGATAGCAGCTGACCTGGTGCTCCTAACAAACCATAGTCTTGTCTGGAGCTGGACCTCCACCCCTGGTCTCTGTAAGATACTCCTCCAGGTATCATCCAGTGAAATCTAGACCTGTATTTCAGCCCTTTTTCACTCTGTAAAATACTTGCTGTCAAAGTAAGACTTTAGTGTAATTTAATCTCAGATTTAGAAGAAGAGAACTATAAAAACAGCTTAAATAATCATTCACCTCCCCAACAAACTATAAAGGACTATAAAAAGTTATGTAAGTTGTACATTATAACCATTGCCACACCCTGGATGTGTGTCTTGCTGTCTACTCACTAGTGTTATTTTTTTGTAACACAGGAGAAATAATCTCAGGTATTTTATTTGAAAATATAATCTGATTGTGATTCTTATATTTATAATTACATGTATTTATTCAACTAATATTATTCAACCTGCACTTCCAGGAGCAGTGCTAGTTATGCTAGTAAAAATATATTGGGCCAGCCACCAAAAGGCAATAGACTTCTTATTAGAAAAATAGTATGTCGTATGTCTTTAGCTATATTTGAAAATAAGTTCCAATAAGCTTAGAACTTTCTTTGAAACATTTTTTGGAAAACATAATCTACCATAAAGCAGAATGTAACGCAGTAGATCTAAATTGAAATAAATAGTTTTATTATGTCTCCCCTCTGAACCTTTATTGGGGTTGTCTATATAATTTGGGGCAGGTAAACATCCTAGCTTGCTAGTCAGTGATATTAAAATTGTTTAATTTTCATTTTATAAAACTGTATCCTTTCTATAAAGTTAAATATATTTTCTTTCTGGCCCTACCTTTTATGACTTTCTCATTTCTCTGCATAATGACCAGTTTATTTTACTAACCTGGTTATTCCGTCTTCTTCTTTAACCAGTTTACCTGGTGATTCCTCCATACTCTCAGTTCACATGCCAACTATCTGTGAATGTTAAAATATTGAACCCACAAATTCATAAAGGCCTGTAAGGTCATATTATCCACATTTTCTCTAAGTTCCAAGGGAAAGTCCATATTTGAAACTAATGGGAATGTTCGAAACTTCTCAGGGCAGGAGACTGACTACATTAAGATGCAAGCTAACCATTGACTAGGTCTTCCCATTTATTAGAAAATCTTTCTTATGTTGACGTCACTTGTTACTTGCTCATTTTTCCCCAGAAAAAGAGGGTTTTTTTTTTTTTGAAGCCACAAAGGAGAAACTTCTCCTATATAAAGTATTCCCGAGTCCCGTCATGTTGTTTTAAAGTGCACTGTTCTCAGAGATTCTCCAAACTCTGCCACCTCTGTAACTAAATGACCACACTGTGTGGGCATTGCTGTGTGTGAGGCCCATTAGCTGTGAGGAAAAGAGGTTCACTCTTTACCTAAAATAATGGAGACTTATTATGAAAATCTATATAGAAATGATGAAGGCAGAAATCTCTAATTGAAGAGCCAGGCATCAAAAAACAAACAAACAAACAAAAAAAAAACAACCATGGAAACAACAGCCAGGCAGGCTACAGAGATAATAAAAAAATAGAACAGCATTCATGGCACACCATGATTCCAGCAACTGGGCCATTTTATTGCTCCCAGTACCACTTCAGAGGCAGAGTCCACTGATCACCTTCTTCAATGCTATGACATTTTCCAATGCCCCTGTCTGTACTTACACATTTTAACTTACACTGACTCCTCTCTCTCCTGCCACCTTCCACCTTCTCGTGATGTCCAGGACCACAGATTTTGTTTGTTTGTTTTGTTTGTTTTTGTTTTTTATACCAAGTTGTTGCCCAGGCTGGAGTGCAGTGGCACGATCTCAGCTCAACACAAACTCCGCCTCCTGGGTTCAAGCAATTGTCCTGCCTCAACCTCCCGAGTAGCTGGGATTACAGGCACCTGCCACCACGTCCAGCTAATTTTTGTATTTTTAGTAGAGACAGGGTCTTGCCATGTTGGCCAGGCTGGTCTTGAACTCCTGACCTCGGGTGATCCACCCACCTCGGCCTCCCAAAGTGCTGGGATTACAGGTGTGAGCCACCACGCCTGGCCAGGACCACAGATTCTTTATGTGGCTCTCAGATTTTTGCTCTTCTTACACATTATTTAACTTTTCCAAATTCAAACTTCCTCATAGAGAGTTTCAACGAGTAATCTGTGCCTCTTTGCACAAATAATAATAGCTAACATTTATTATCTTGTTCCTATGGATCCATTTTATATATTAGGAAATTGAGATGTAAAAAAGTTACATGTTTCCCAAGGTCATACTGCTGGTATATGTCAGGCAGGACTTGAACTCAGGCAATCAGCTCCTGAGGCTCCACCCTTAACAATTACTGCATATTACCTGAGGTTTCAAATCAGATTATTCCAAGATCACTGGATAGTCTTTGGCTGTTGTTGGGTCTAGTGTCCACCCCTGTATCATCAACTAGAATTAGGATACAGAACACACCACACTCTATTCCCCCTTGCAGAGCCTCCTTGAGCAGTTCTGTAAGCTCTCGGAGGCCAGTGAACTGTGTTAAAAAATAAACTCTATATTCTAATTTATCACATTCAACTAAATTGTAAAAGCAGAAAGCCAATGATTATATTCATTATTATGTTCTATTTCTAGTGAAGTTAGATCTTTTATTATTACTCAGAAACACTTTTTTATGTCCAGTAATTATTTTTGCCTTAAAGTCCATTTTATTAGATAGTAATATAGCTACACGTTCTTGCTTAGAATGTGCTTGGCATATCTTGTTTAATTGTTTTACATTTAACCTTTCTGTATTCTTATGTTTTAGATCTATCTCTTACAAATAATTTATATTTAGATTTCTTAATCCATTCTGTGCTGTTTGTTCTGTGTATCTTTTCTCTATCCTCCCTTGCCTTCTTTTAGATCTTTTATATATACAAATATAAATTATACCATATTTATACTATATATTATATAGTAAAGTGTATATATACTATATATGATATATTTACATATAGCATATACTATATAGTTTATATATATATGCTATATATTTTAGTATATACTAAATATAATACACTTAATACTTGCAGCTATTTACTCTTGTTTGGAAGTTATGTATCCTTATTTTTATCCTATAAGTCATAGGCAGTTTTTAAATGTATTATAATTTAATATTACTTAATAACTTTAAAATCTTTCAGGACAATAGAAGAAACTGAGAACACTAATTCCGTTTACTACTTCCCAACATACATACTACCAGTGTTGTATATTTTAATTCAACATTTGTAAAATACCACAAGGCATTATTATTTTATGTAGTTAAATTAATATAGAATTACCCATACATTTGCTCCTTTTTAAAAATGTTTCATCCTAGAGCTTCTATCAAATCAAATTTTGTCACTCTGAGGTAAATCCTTCAATATTGACTCCAGAACAATTCTTCATCTTCTCTCTTTTATTCCTTTACAGAATCTCATTAAAATTATGTTAGACTTTCTTTAATTTGTATGTCACTTGTGTCTTCTCTCTTCTATAATTATTCATTATTTTGTCTTTTCCTGTTTCTCTCTAGAAAATTTCTTTTCACCCATTTTCTGTTTCACTAATTCTCTGTTTATCCATGTGTCATGTGTTTTTGAACTCAAATATTAAGGTTTCAGTTAGAGTTCTTGTATAATTTGTTAAAGTTTGGCTTGTAACTTCTTTAAATCTGCATTGTATCTTTTCATAATTTTCACTTTATACATACTCAAGCTTGCTTTTAATTTTTTAATACACTCTTTGTGGGCCTTTTTTGTTTTGCTATTTTTTCAGTTAAAGATTCTGGATTGCTTTTGTGTCTGGTCATCTTTGATCCCGTCTGGACAGCAATCATAAAAAATCTGTAGAAATAATTTGAGGCTTATAATAAAAGTACTTTTTCTAAGGAGAGGATTTATGTTTGCTACTATTGGTTACCTGGGGGAATTATTTCAGGACAACATTAAGCCATGTTAAAGATAAGGTTTTCTGGATTTTCTAAGGCACACGAAACAATGCTAAAAGTCATTCACAAATGGTTATCATAATTCCAGTTTGTCTTTACCCAAAATGTGAAATGTGTGTCCCCCTTGGTGCCAAATAAAAGTGAAAAGGATATTTATCTGCTTTCCCTCTTGGGTAAGCCCTGAGCTTTCACTCACCACCTTTAGCCAACTAGACTTCAGAAACCTTCACTTATAGGCAAATAACCCTTCAAGAAAAATGGTTTTGAATTGTCCTCTTACATTTATGGGTTTTATTTTTTTTTCCAGTTTTTTTGCCCTATAATTCCTTTCTATCTTATTAGCTTTTAGAAATGTTTAAGAAGGTTAATATATTTCATTCAGATTTATAGTTCTTTTTTTCGCTTTTATTTTAAGTCGAAGGCTACATGTGCAGGTTTATGGTATAGGTAAACTTGTGTCATGGGGGTTTGTTGTACAGATTATTTCATTACCCAGGTATTAAGCCTAATACCCATTAGTTATTTTTCCTGATCCTCTCCCTCCTCCGACACTCCACCCTCCTAAAGGCCCCAGTGTGTATTGTTCCCCTCTATGTGTCCATGTTTTCTCATCATTTAGCCCACTTTTAAGTGAGAACATACGGTATTTGGTTTTCTATTCCTGTGTTAGTTTGCTAAGGATGATGACCTCCAGCTCCATCCACGTCCCTGCAAAGGACATGATCTCATTCTTCTTAGCAAAAACATTTTTCTTAGCTTTTCTAGCCCACCATTAGTTGAAGTGAATATTCACAATATTTCTAATATATGAACTTTCAGGTACATTTCATTGTTTTTCCAAAATTTAACAAAAACTTGTGATGAGAAGTGTGATCTTTGGGATTTTCTGAAAATAATCATGACTGGACTTACCTTCAGGTATTCTGATTCAAAAGATCTGTAGTCACAGTGGGGATTTGTGATGTTGAAGAAATTTCCAGTTGATTCTGCCATGAGCTCACTGACCGACACCCACACAAAGAACATCAGCAATTTGAGAACCTCTGGTTCAAATTATACACTCTCCATAGAGAACTTCAAACTTTGTCTCATCTAGCATTCCTGATGCATTAATCACACTCCCCAACACGTTCCCCAAATCTGTCATAGTGGCTCCCAGTCACAAGGACTTTTCTCAAAGGTAATGGATTCTTAGGGGCAGGTAGATTCGTAGTTTGAAAGAGCCCCAAGGAGAAATACAGTATCTTTCTCACCTCACTGTGCGTTGAATATAAGCATTATCCAGACTGCTTTAGTCAGGTAAACTGCAATTTTAGAAACCAAGGAAACATAATGATTAGATCCCTTGTGTGTAAAGATGACAGTCTGCATCCCCTCATGACTTTGTATTCTTTATTATATTTATAGTTTTGTTTCTTTTCATTTCAGATGGTGACGCATGCAGATAGAAGACAAAAGAGATCTTAAAAATTCCTTGTTTTCCCACAGCCTCTCTGATGCCCCATTTGAAAACAATTGCACAACATAAACAGGAAAAAGTAGGTAGGGTCTATTACTTCCTCCTCTTTAGTGCTATGTGTTTGTGGGAGGGTATGCATATCAAATAGTGATTTCAAAAAAGAGGCACTGAATGCCCTATATCACATTTCACTAAAGTACTGTGTTTATATTGGATCTACTGCCATGTGTCAATTGAAGAAAACAATAAACAAAGCCAAAGAACAATGAAAGGAAATGATATTTAGAACATCTTGTTTCCTGCACTTTTTCCTTAGTCATACAGCCACTCCAGAAGAGGCATCCAACTGGTTTTGGGTGAGTCACATTGAGAAGAACCAGGAAGTTTACTCCAACTCTATGTATGAGACAATGAGTAACTACTCAAGCAGAGGAGGAAGAAACAATGTTTATGCCTCCAAAGAAGTACTGGATAAATGACAAGTTGAAAAGTACACTTTTTTATTTGTCTAAATGTAAGGGGTGCAAATGCAGTTTTGTTACATAGATATGTTGTGTAGTGGTGAAGTCTGGCCTTTAAGTGTAACCATCACCCAAATAGTGTACATTGTGTTGCTTAAATAATTTCTCATCCCTCACCCCCTTCCCACCCTCCCACCCTTCTGAGTCTCCGATGACTGTTATTCCACATTCTATGTCCATGTCTACGCAGAAAATACATTGTCTTCTAATACTCAGCACCTTATATTGTACACAATATGCTCAACAAAAATTCTGTTCCAATTGATTTGTGGGGACAAGCAGTTCAGCTAAACATTCATGAGGGAGAAAAATGGGAATTTCAAAGGTCTCTGGCCTTGTCGTAGGTAAACAAGGGAGCATCTGTGACTTTTATCGAAGTCATATGGGGAAGCGGGATTCTTTCCAGAAAGCTGTTTCTGGAACATAGAAGAGTGAGAGAGATTTTTTTTTTTTTTTCACTTTCATTGTTTTCCAAGGACACAGAGCTCAGGTAAAGTTTGACATTGTCGATAGCCTTCATCATCCCCAACCATGTTAGCCAGTATCCTTGTGATTTCAACGGAGCCAACATCTCCTCTTGCCTCCAAACTATTTTTTCTTATAATCTACAAGATAAATTTGTCTGGATTCAATATTCTGTCAATACTGTAAATGCTAAAATCATTGTTTTAGATACCCCAATCATGAACACAATGATCCTATCTTTTCTGATTATTTGGTAAACCAGTAAATAATCATCACTTGTTATTTGTTTACCATAAAAATCTGTCTTCCAAGACCTACTCAGTCTCCAGTGCAGAGGCCTGAGAAGCAACACATGAAATAATCATCCGGGTGACCCTTATTGTTGGGCACGTTTGAGATAAGTACCATTCTACACCTGTCTTCTCTTCCTTACCTGGGCTTCTCTTAGCCCAGTAGTCTTCAATCCCGACTATTTATTAGAATCATCTATGGAAACTGACAGGGTCTTATTGTGTGCCCCCAAAATTCATATATTGAAATCGAATCCCCAGTATGATGGTATTAGGAGGTGGGACCTTTGGGAGGTGATTAGACCCTGAGAACAGAGCCTTCCTGAATGGGATCAATATCCTTATAAAAGAGTCTGCAGGGAGTTATTAGATAAACCCTTCCACTATACAAAGATACAACAATAAGATGTCATCTATGAACCAGGAAGTGAGCCTTCACCAGACAGTGAATCTGCCAGTACCTTATTCTTGGACTTCTCAGCTTCCAGAACTGTGAAAAATACATTTCTGTCATTTGTAAGCCACCTAGTTTATGGTATTTTGTTATAGCAGGCATAATGAATTAAGACAAACCTTTTAAAAAATACTGATGTCTGCACTCCAGCTTAGACTAATTGAATTAAAACGTCTTCTGGTGCTGGGATTCCAGCACAGGTAATTTTTAAGAGTCCCAGATGATTCTAATGCTCAGCCATGGTTGAGAAACAAGATTCTGCTTCTCTGATCTCTTTTCTTCAACTCCCCTCCCTGTCCCTTCAGCTCTCTTTCTTTTTGTCTTCCTTACATGTATCTAACTTAGATTCCATAATCCATCATTTCACTAAGTTTCCTGTCATTATTTAAAACTCACCTTCCTTTTGTATTTTGATTGAGTATACCTGTCAAAACCAAAGCTGGATATCGTGGTTCATGCCTGTAGTCCCAACACTTTGGGAGGCCGAGGCAGGAGGATCACTTGAGGCTAGGAGTTTGAGACTAGCCTGGGAAACATAGTGAGATACTCTCTCTACAAAATTAAAAGAATTTAGCCAGGCGTGGGCATGCATGTCTGTAGTCCCAGCTACTCAGGAGGCCGAGGTGAGAGGGTCCCTTAAGCCCAGGAGTTCAAGGCTGCTGTGAGCTGTGATTGCACCAGCACACTTCAACATTGGGGAAAAAAACAAGACCCTGACTCAAAAACAAAACAAATCACTACTTGAATCTTAACCATTGAGCAGTGCTATAGAAATTATAATTATTGTGCAAATAAATAATACCACAAATTAAAAAAAAAAACAACTCCCCAATTATCCTATTGAATTTTTTCAAGCCAGTGATTCTCTGGCTTGAAAATGTGGCCTACAGAATAGAAGTATCAGCATTACCAGATCATTTGTTAGAAATGCAAATCCTTGGAACTTTTTCTGGACCAAACCGAATCAGAAACTCTGGGGTTGAGCCCTAGCAATCTAGGATTCATCCAGTCCTTTAGGTGATTCTCAAGTGAGTTAAAGCTTTTGAACCACTGTTCTAAGTAGCATGCCCTCTTTCTCTTTACAATAACGTCTGCAGTTTTTCTGCTTTGATTGACATTCTAAACTGTTTATCCCTTTATGTTTTAGTAGTCCCCCAAACTCTGATGATTTTCTAACCACATTTCTTGTTACCTTACCCTCTACCACTAAAGAGCTACCTGTATGCCATCAGCTTCCAGCCCTCCAGCTGGCCCACTGCACCTCTGTTTGGCTGGCCTGGTCCCTGCGCATTATAGTGGCAATAGCAGGCATGGAATGTGGGGAAAGCAACAGTGTTTATGGTGTTGGGGCCACAGCAGGCATATGCCCAGCACCCATTTGGCTGCCTGAAGCCGGCTTCATACCAGCTCTTTGAATTCCCCCCAGTCACCCTTGTTTGGCTGCCTATGAAAATGTAACCATGAAGGGTGCCAACACAGCTGAAAGATTTTTGAATATTACTCCTGGCCTCACAGTGCCCATCCTCTTAGCTGACAGTCTCACTTACTATTTCACAGATTGTGTATATATCTGTGTGTGTGCCTGTGCAGAAGCACATGTGCGCATGTGTGTGTGTGGTAGTCATAGTCATTAGTAGTCACTTGGAGACAGGGACTGCAACCAAACCTGTCACTCCACCTTTATCTGCTCTAACTTATCTCTACCTGTGATAATCTGTGCTATGAATTTTACTTTATTTTAGTATATCAGGGGCTGGAATTATGACTATATTCTCCCATTCCCTTCTTTATCGCATTCTTTATACTGCAACCAGTGAAGTCTTTGTAAAACACAAATGTGAGCATGGTGTTACCCTGCATGAGAATCATTCAGAGACCCTGCCTTACCTGGCTCTTGCCTACCTGTGCCTGCCAGTCCTGCCACTTTTCTCTGAGATCTCCCTCCATCTGTCTTCTTTCATGTTCTCAGTTGTATCAGGCATCCTTCCACTTCACAGGATGTGCTCTGTGTGTAGAATGCTGCTCCTTCACTTTTACGACAATTATTTTACCTTAATCTGACCAGATATTTTACTGGCACAACATGAACTGAATAGGAAGAAAGCTAGCTCAATAAGATGATAATTACTGGCTATATTTTAACATTCATATTTTGTTTTTTCTATAATGAACGTGTGTTGTTTGCATAAAGTGTTTTAAAATATATTAAATCAACAAGAAGAAAACAAATGAAACCAATGATAAAATTTTAATATATACATACTCCCAATTTTTATGAGTGCTAAAGTAGACTTTTAATATATAATCCTTCTATATATGCTGACTTATAACTTATTTCTATTTTAAATTACTATATATCAATATATTTTAGTAGCAATATATATGTTTTATATCATTATTTTTAACTGCTACATAGTATTTCCATATAAGAAGATTCCATCATCAATCTCCTATTGCAGAGACTTAAGGGTCTTTCAATTTTTCACCATTATAAAAGCTGCTGAGGTCAACATTCTCATGTGATGATTTTGTGTTCAATCGTGACTATTTGCTTAGCATAAATGTCTAGAAATACAAGTGGTGGATCCAAAGATAGATAACATTCTAAGGCTATTAATTTCTGAAAAGATTTTAATAGTTAATGTGAAATTGTTCACTGAAAGAAGATCCTCACTCAATAATTTTTATAATTGTTTATTTCCTTTTATGCTAAAAAATAATGGTGCCTTTAAAATCACTTGCCAATTTGACGGTTTATCACCAATTTCTTGGTGTTAAATTTAGACTTACTTCTAATATTAGAATTTATTCTAAAAATATCACTGAGACTTTTAAGCAGAATTGTGTAAAAGTTTGTTAAATTTTTAAGTAATTAATACAGAGTTAGCTACTACAATATTACTTCATCTAATTCAGAAACATAGTTGTATGACATTCAGTAACATTTTATAGTATCTTCATACTAGTTTTCCTATTATATATTATAAATATTTTATGTTTATTTATATATTATAAATATTTCTCATGTTTATTTATTTATCTAGATGTTTTATAGTTTTTATGCTATTGCTAATATATAGCATTCATCATATAATTTGACTTCATTACTGGTACATGGAAAAGTTCATAGTCCTAGCATCCTTGACATGATTTTTTATTTATTTGTAATTAAAAATAAAGTAGCCTTCTTTTCAATCATTATCGAACATCTCCTTAACTTATTGGGCAGGTGAGAAATTCTGGAAAATTGTTACTGGCACAGCACAAATAATTTGTGCAGATTTTCTATCCTCAAGAGGTAATATACAACTTTCAACTCCTTACATGCGGGTTATATTTTGTGGCTTCCTTCCAAAGAGTACGGTGGGCGAAGGGTGAAAAATGAGTAATAATACAGTGGTGAAAGCTGACAAACAGCACTTCAGCCAGGTGATCAAGATTGACACCAACCATGATAAGTAATTTGATGGTTTGTTATATAGGGATTGTAAGACTGACAGAATGGACTTTTTTGTGGTAATAAAATACTGTTATAATTCAGGCTTAAGGCCATGTAAGGGTTAAGGAACACTCCCCTACACTTAAAGAATAAATCTGTTTTAACTGTCATGGGATTTTTTTCTTTTTCTTTTTTAGCAGGTAGACAAAAACTGGCCTTTAATATAAACAATATTAAAATAATTATAGCTCTCCAACTGCCAGCTACTCACTAACTGGCTCTCCTGTTTTGCCAATCATAACTATAGTTTTGATTGAACAAGAGACTGATTTTAATAATTTTTTTCTGAAAAAATTAGAGACAATGAACTGGTTCTGACTGGTTTACAGAGGCTGTACACCAATTATCTCCATGCCCCTGCTTCACCTTTTGATGTATAGGGTCTAATTGTAATACATTTAAATGTTACATCTCCATCCCAAAGTAAATGTAAGATGCATGTAATGTGCCTATTTGCTTATCATGCATATGCATGTCCCCCCTTCATAAATATGCATAACCCCCTTATACCTGTTAAATATGTATACTTGGCCGACCCTTTCAACATAAATTCCTGTTCCGCCCTCCCTTCCCACAAAGTGCCATCTTCCAGTCTCTGCCAGAGGTTATGCATGCCTCCCATTCTGTCACGATGGCCAATCTGCAGGCTGTAACCATATATAAGAAATTAAGTCTCCTCTCCAAATTTATAAACCTCGTGATTCTTCAGTTCACAGTATCCTTGATTTGTAACCTTGACATGATATGATGAGCATGGCACTTTACTTCTGGCATCTCCATCTCAAAACCCATCACCACCATCTAATCATGATGAGAACACAAAAATAAGGGGCACTTACAAAATACCTGACCAGTACTCCTCAAAACTATCACGGTCATAAGAAGAAAAAGGCTGAGAAATGGTCACAGCCAAGAGGAGCCTAATGAAAGCTGGAGGATTAAAAATAATGTGGGATCCTGGAACAGAAAAACGACAGTAGGTAAAATCCAAGGAAATGTGAACAAACTACGGACACTACTTTAAAATAATGTTATCAAGGTTGGTTCATTAATTTGTAACTAATATACTATAAGGATGCCAGGTGTTAATTATAGGAAAATGATTATGAAATATGTGAGAACCCTGTACTAGCTCTACAACTTTTCTGTAAATCTAAAACTGTTCACAAATAAAAAGTGTTTTTTTTAATGAAATAGTCACATTTGATACAGAGAAAAATCCAGTAAACGGATGCTACTTAGCAGTCAAAGTTTGAAAATGAGGAATGGAGACTAATAAGCAACAGAAATGTGACACTTAACCAAAAGAAATTGGATGTAGTAATATTAACAGCAGACAAAATTAAATTTAAGATAAAAAGCACAAAAAGTCCTAAAAGCAGATCACTCTTATTGACCAAGTAGCTAACCAAGAAGATATTACAGTTGTCATCTTGTGAACATCTATAAATATGTCCATAACTGGTATGAAAACAAAAACCTGATGGACATAAAGAAAGGCTTGACAACTCCAAAATCATAGCACAAACATTGTATACCTCTCTTTCAGAAAGAAGATAAAATATTATTAAGAAAACAGAAGATTTGGATATCGAAAGTAACAAGTGTTATCTAACATGTACACAATATGAGTATCTGATTCTTGTCATGTAAATATGAGATGCTTTCAATTTTTGATCACATAATGACTCACGAGGGAAATACTCATAAATTTTAAAAATTATAACATCATAGAAACCACATGCATATAAATTAAAAATCTACAATCAAAAGACTTTTAAAATCCTATGTGTAACATTTTAAAATACAATCCTTACATGTTTTTGTTCCATTCATATACAATATTTTGCAACAAATCTCATAAAACTCAAAACAAGGATCACGTTCATTCTGATGTACCCACAGAGGCCCAAAAGTCAGGATTTGCGTTATATGTCGGAAAGCATCCTCATGCTAGCAAATTTAACACTGCAAGACACTTTCTTCATTTATATATATAAATACACAAACATGTGTATGTATATAATATATACAGTATAGTATATACATAGTATATGTGTATGTGTGTGTTTTATATATATATATCTTTATCTGTCCAGCATTGGTCATTGTTTTCAGATAAATACCATCATGCAATTTGTGCACATTCGAAAGGACATAAATTCCTTGTTTTAGGGAATAAAATTAATTCATGTATATATGGGGTAATACCTATATAACTCACTAGGCTGTTATTATGGATTAAAACATAAGTAAAAATGCATTGTAAGCTACAAGAAGATAAAAAATAGACAGCATTATGTTAATTTATTGGCAACAACTATTACTTCCAAGCTGGTAAATAACACTATTCACACCAAAAGAAAGGCAAAGGATGTACTTTGATTTTTTTATCTATACAGATTTTCAACAAAATTAGTCCCTTAGGGACGTTAGCCACTTGCTGAAAATTACCCTCAGCATATTCGTTTGCCCTCAACTTCAATAGAGAAAAACATCTTAAGCTTTACGAAAAATATGTACAATCAAATGCCCTTATTATTAAATATTCAATGAAGTGTGTTAAAGCTGTCAAAAGTAATTGATGGCAAACATAACGATTCACCACAGGCTATAGAGTCACTAAAATTGGTGCCACAGCAAGATAAAAATATGAAACGTTGAAAGAAAGCATGCACATTCCTGTTAGTAATACTTATACAGAAACTTTTATTTATTTTACTCTACTTTTCATAAGTCACTTTTTTCTTGCTGAAAAAGTGAAAGATAGATTTTCTGCTTCAAATTAAGAAATTCAGTAATAGAAAGATAGAATTCAGTAATGCACCTATAGCATTCATCCCAGTGCAATGTAAAATTTTGCATCTAATCTTACATACCCAAAACAAAGGTAAATGTCAGGATAAAAAATGATGGATTTACAAATGATAATACCTTCACTTGGTGTGTCCCAGTTAGAGTATCCAGACTGAGCAAATACAAGTATGAGATGCCTAGTTAATCTGAATTACAGATGAATATTTTTAGTAGAATTGTGTCCCAAATATTGCAAGTATATCCTATTCAATATTTAGGATAAACTTCTACTAAAAATTGTTCATTTGTGTATCTGAAGTTCAAATTTAACTGGCTCTTCTCTGTTTTATCTGACAGCTCTAAACCCAGTGAACCTCAAGTATTCATTTACCAGCTCTGAAAAGAAACATATAGTCCACTGAATGAGAAAAGTTTGGAACATTTGATCAAATGATCACAAAGCAAATGAATCAAAATCACACAGAAAATTACCTACACATTGCCATGTGTGAATACAGAAGGTAACCTGGTTTTAGGAGTGCACATTGGAGTCAAAGATTTAAAGTTTCTATTCTGTGTTTCACCCCTCACTGTATGGGTATCATAGGCCTGTTACATACTCTTTCTTAGCCTCAAGCTTATCAGATTTAAGGTGCGAATAATATTTTTATATTTGTTATTACCATAACATTGCTCAATAAAAATAGACATGATATAAATGTTTGTCCCACTTCTTTTCATTTTGGAGAGCATTAGAAGGCCCCAGTGATTTCAAAATGTATTCTTTTATTGCCAATTTTTATTTAACTTCATATCATTAGAATATTTCTTAGCTATAAAAGCTTTAGTCCTTTAAAAATTGCAAGTAGTAAATGTAAGCTGCTGACTCTGGAAGCTGTTTACAACTTAGTGAAGCATGGGAAATCCAGGTGTTTTAGTCTGTCCTGGGAGAGGTCACAATTTTACTGAATCCTTATGCAAAAGGAAGAGCTCGAGGGTAGTTAAGATGTGGAAAGACAAGCTTGGATTATCTTTCCATTTCTCCCTCGCTTATTCTTTTAGGACTATTGAGGCGTGTGTGTAGACAGCAAAGCAACTTCTTAGTGCAGTTTTGTTCTGAGAAAGATCTAAAATAACTCATTTGAGATCAGAGATATATCAAGAGGTTCACTTTCATCCTGGGCCCAGCTTGGGTGGGTCTGGAGTTTAAAAACCATGTTTAGAGGAGGGAACCTATGCCTTTATACAACTCTAGGTCAGGGTAAAATTTCATTCTATTTTATCAGATCTTCATAAGATCCTGGGGGCAAGGTGTCTAGCAAAGTTGTCAGGGTTTGTTATATGTGAGCCAATCGAGCAGATCTCTTGAGGAAGAAAATTGAGAAAAAGACATAAAAGATTTAAGAAATAAAGGGATGGATCATGAAAGGGATCACCTTTAATGTTCGGCCTGAGATATAAATACAATATGGTTATTCCTTTTCTTAATACCTTTGGTTTCTGAGGTGTGTGTATGTGTGTGTGTGTGTGTGTGTGTGTGCGCGCGCATGTGTGAATGGGATTCTTGAAGACATGAGGTCAATGGTCCCCAAGTGTATATTAGAGTCACATCTGAAAAGGCTCATTCCTGCAACATCAAAAGATTCTCCTCACACAGGATAATGTGGCTACAACTAGAGAAGAAAATTAAGCCAGCACATTTTAATTTTGTTTTCCTAAAGCCTGAAGAACCTACAATAAGACCCTAAAATGTTATGTTCCAGAGTTGAGTATGATTTTTTTACCTCTTAGCCTTTAAGATGTGTGAATTTTTAAAATACTTTGTCTAACCGGTGCCAACATAACAGTTTGGAGACAAGACACTGAAGTAATATGTTTTCTACATATTGGTTTTAGTGTTTTAATGAGGACAGGCTTATTGTTAAAGCATGTGGAAATTAATTGCTATAAATCTAAGTAGTGGTAGAAGAACACTTAAACTAAGGTAGTTATTGTCTCACAGATGTCTTTTCATTTCTCACCATCTGATTGTCAATGCTAACATCATCTGGGAGGTACTGTGCCTAAGCTATTGCAGCAGTATTTGAAGTGCAAGGAAATCCTCTAGGACACTGATTAATAATAAATGTACTGAGTTTTGAGGTGCAATTTGAATTTAGATATATTCTATAACATAAAATGTTGAGATGACAGTTTATCAGAAATACATTACTAAAAGTGAAACCACATTTTAATTTATTTGTTATATTGTCTATTAATATAATCTGTTGATATCTTCTATGTATATAGTCATAGATATATATATATATTCTGTTTCATCTTGTCTATTTTAACTAGAATGTAGATCAACAGAGAACAAGTACACTGCTACGTTCACAGTGGAATATTTATTAAATAAAATAAAATTTATTAAATCTTTGGATAATTATTGCTTTTTAAAAATATTTTATTTTACTTTTGGCTGGGTGCAGTGGCTCACGCCTGTAATCCCAGCACTTTGGGAGGCCGAGGCAGGCATATTATGAGGTCAGGAGTTCAAGACAAGCCTGGCCAACACAGTGAAACCCTGTCTCTACTAAAAATACAAAAATTAGCCAGGTGTAGTGGCGTGCACCTGTAGTCCAGGCTACTTGGGAGGCTGAGGCAGGAGAATCACTTGATCCTGGGAGGCAGAGGTTGCAGTGAGCCAAGAGCTTGACAATTCACTCCAGCACTCCAGCCTGGGCGACAGAGTGAGACTCCGTCTCAAAAAAAAAAAAAAATTATTTTACTTTTTACAATGGACAGGTAAAAGTGAATGTATTAACTGTATACAACATGATGTTTTCAAGTATACATACTTTGTGGGATGACTAAATCTAACTAATTAACATATGCATCACCTCATATAGCTATCACTTTTGTGATGAAAACACTTTACTTGCAATGTCTTCGCATTTTTTGACAATAGAGGATAATTAGCTACAGTCACCATAGATCTCTCAAACTTATTCCTCCTAACTGAACATTCATATTCTTTAACCAACATCTGTCCACCCAACTCCAACCCACCCAGCCTCTGGTAACCACCATTCTACTTTCTACTTCTATAAGATCAACTTTTTTAGATCCTAGGTACAAATGAGGTCATACGGTATCTTTCTTTTTGTGCTTGCTTATTTCACTTAACATAATTTCCTGGAAGGTTATCCATGCTGTTACAAAGGACAAGACTCTGTTATTTTTCAGTGCTGAATAGTATTCCTACCATATTTTCTTTATTCATGAATCCATTGATGGACACTTAGGTTGATTCCATATCTTGGCTGTCGTGAATAGTGCTACAATGAATATGAGAGTGCAAATAACTTTTTAACATACTGATTTTTCTTTCTTTTGGATATATTCCCAGTGGTGGATTGCTGGATTATATGGTAGTTCTATTTTTAATTTTTTGAAGAACCCTCATACTGTTGTCCATAATGGCTCTACTAATTTACATTGCCATCAACAGTGTACAAGGGTTCTCTTTTCTCCACATCTGTCTAACACTTATCACTTGTCTTTTTGATAATAGTCATTCTAATAGGTTTGAGGTGGTGATTTTAATTTGCATTTCCCTGATGATTAGTGATGTTGAATCTTTTTTCATATATACCTGTTGGTCATTTGTGTATCTACATTCAGATCATTTGCTCATTTTAAAATCAGGTTACTTGTTTTCTTACTATTGAGTTGTTTGTGTTTCTTACATATCTTAGATATTAACCCCTTATCATATGTATAGCTTGCAAATATTTTCTCCCTTTTTTTGGTTGTCTATTCAATCTGTTGATTGTTTTCTTTGCTGTGCAGAAGCTGCTTAGTTTGATGAAATTCCATTTGTCTATTTTTGTATTTCCTGCCTGTGCTTTGAGAATGATATTTGTAAAGTCATTTTCCAGACCAATGTCATGGAGCTTTTCCCTATGTTTTCTTCTACTAATATGCATAGTTTTGAGTCTTACATTTAAGTCTTTAATCCATTTTAACTTGATTTTTGTTTATAATGAGAAATGAGCCTCTAGTTTTATTCTTCTTCATGTGTATATCCGGTCTTTCCAACACCATTTACTAAAGAGATCATCTTTCCCCATTGTATGTTTTTAGCTCCTTTGTCAAAATAAGTTGGATGTAAATGCAGAGATTCATTTCTAGGCTCTCTATTCTTTAATATTGCCCTTTGTATCTGCTTTTATACCAGCACCATGCTGTTTTGGTTACCAGAGCTTTGCGATAAATTTTGAAGTCAGATATTGTGATGCCTCCAGCCTTGTTCTGTTTGCTCTGGATTGTTTTAGCTATTCAGGGTCTTTTGTGGTCCCACAAAAAGTTTGTGGTTGTTTTTTCTACTTTTATGAATAATGTCATTGATACTTTGACAGACATTATATTGAATCTGTAGATCACTTTGGGTGGTGTAGACTTAACAATATTAATTCTTCCAATTCATGAACACGAGATCTCTTTCTGTTTGTCTTTGTCTTTCTCAATTTTTTTCATCAATATGTTATGGTTTTCAGTATCCAGATCATTCAACTTTTTGGTTAAAATTCTTCCTAAGTGTTTTATTTATTATTTTTTGTAGCTATTGTGAATGGAATTTTCTTGATTTTTTTCGGGTAGTTCAATTTTAATATGTAGAAACATTACTGATATTTGTATGCTGGTTTTGTATCCTGCTGAATTTGTTTGTTAATTCTAACAGTTTTTTGATAGAGTCTTCAGGGTTCCTGTATATATAATTGTGTCATCTACAAACAAGGACAATTTAACTTATTCCTTTTCAATTTGGAATTTTACTGCTTTGATTTTGGAAGTAATTAATTAGGTAAATTTTCAGTAACAGACAACATTTCATTTTACCAGCAAACAATGATGGATTTCAAAAAGAAATCCCGCTTTAAAATAAATTAAATCTACAAGATATCTTGAATGCATGTTCTATAAGGCAGGACATATTTAGCAACCTATTTAGGGGAAATTACCTGTGGCATATATCCAACTACTATATCTTTATTCTAAAACTTCAATTAAAAACAACTAGCAAATAAAAAATGAATATTTCTCTACTACAAACTAAAACATTTTTCTTCATCTTATGTGAACAGGAGATATTACTTCATACCTAGTGAGGAAGTCAGCCTAGAAGTTGCAGGATTTTCTCCCTTTGCATGGGAAATAGGACAGCTAGTAAATTTCCTCTAGAAATCACACCTTTTATTCAGAGCATCAAGTTCAGAGATATCTGAGCTTTCTGCAAATGGAAATTTACAGCAAGGCTGGAAAGTGGGTACCTTTTGATAAACAATAATTCATGTTGAATTTCTGGCTGCCTCCTATTTTAAAGTAGAGTGGTATTGTCTTTTTTCCCCTTTCCACTCCATTCTGACCCATTTTTTCTAGATTATTTCTGAGAAATTCAATTTCCCTTTTGTTTTCTCTATCAGCTTATCACAGCCCTGGTTAGTAGGATTAAAGGAAGACTACTTTTTTCCTAATTTCTTATTTTCTGTTCCCCAACAAAGGACTATGCTTTAGCAGATTAAATAGCAACTGACAACTCATCTCATTGGGAAGGATTAAACTGTGTCATAGTAGCATTTTGCATGAACTGCATTCCAAGTATATTACAGCAACTTTTGGCTGCTTATTTCTTTCACTTTTTCGCCACCTTTTTTTTTTTGCTTTTAAAATGGTGAAGTTGTATATATTATTTGAAAAAAATCATCAAATGATAGATATAGTTTTAGAGATGGCATTAAAAGCCTACATACATTTTATGATTATTGGAAAATAATACATTTGTCAAATTTTAAAATAATTCTTCAGAGTATTTGCTCAAAGCTAACATCTCAAATTAAAAATTGAGCAATGTTATTACATTTCTAATTCTTCATTACATTTTTTATTCTTTAAGAGTTCTCAAATATTATATGCAATACTTCAGTAATCTCAACTATCGGTTTTTTATTTATCTAGGATTTCACTTTGGTAAATCTCACTTCCTTAAAAATGTAACATGATATCACTCTTCATAGGAGAGCAACTGAGAATTTGCTATCGGAAAATAATACTAACTTTTACTCACAATGGTAACGCTGGCTTGGATGCCTAGGCTGAGACTATAATCCAAAAACACAGTTTCATCCAAATATGCATCAAAATTCAAAGGCAAGGATTCAGTTAGAAATCATTTATTCAACCTGAAAGGGGAATCCAACAACTTAAGGCTAAATATATAATGAGTTAAAGATGTTCAAACAGCCTATTTCAATGAAAACGCAAGTCAAGAGTAGTTCTTCAGCCCATAAATGAGCATCTTTAATAAATCTCTCCAAGAGAGGGGTGTCCTGCAGAGTAAAGGAATTCATAGGAAGTCCTGGGTAACTCCCACTTCATCAGATCTACTCTCCACCTGCTGTAAGTCCCGTGAGCTGACTCTTCAAAAGGACCCTCTTGCTTTCTGGCCCTCAGTTCGGTTCAGCCTATCAGAATACTAGCAGGGACATGTAAAAGCAATGGCAAGAATGACAAACCATGAAGAACCAACTTAAACTCAATTTAAAACATAAGGGGCATAAGGGGAAGGCTTTGTGACATTGGTCTGGGCAAAGATTTTTTTGGGGTAAGACCCCAAAAGCACTGCCTATAAAAGTGAACATAGACAAATCGGGTTGTATCAAACTAAAAAGCTCCTGCACAACAAAGGAAACAATTAACAGAGTGAAAAGATAACCAATGTTGTGAGAAAATATTTGCGAAATATACATCTGATAAGGTGTTGATATCTAAGATACGTAGGGAACTCAAGCAACTCCATTTAACGAGTTGCCTATACAAAGTAAGTTATTCCACATGGCACTTCCAGGCATAAGAATTCTACCAGCAGGAACCAGTGATAAGATGAGTGAGTTCTTCAGGTTGTCCTTGGTTTTTTGCCCAATGTACAACAAAGTTAACTTCTAGAATGAGCCAAGAAGGCAAAACCAATCTGTATATCATAAATGTGAAAAGTTAATAATAAGTAGAATGACCACAGTGAACTGCAGGGAAACAGTAAAAGCTACCTGTAGAATTAATATATTATTTATAATAGGTTTAAACTGTTATTGATTTTAGAAAGCTGCACAATATTAATTTAAGGCAGTTGTTGGAGTTACAATGTGATAATTTTATTCTTCTCATTCCACCTCCTGCTTAATTTTCCTGGTTAATTCTTGAAAACCAAGCCTGGTGATCTTTCTTTTGTCATTAAAAATATGTCTTGCAAATTTCTCTAGCTAGAGTAGATTTATAACAGCTTCATAGTATTACAAGGAAAATGTGAGCTGTTTCAAGATAGGTGGCAAATACTATATAACTGTAAAAAGCAAAAATGCAATATTTTATTGCTGATTTACAGTGATTGTGGATTACTTCCGATTAAGATTACCTGACTTAGCAAACAAAATGTACAGGATTTGTAGGACACTTAGTTAAATACTCTTTATTATAAGTATGTTCATGAAATATTTGGAGCATACTTACAGGAAAAATAATGTTGGTATTTATCGAAATTCCAATTTAACTGGGCTTCCTGTATTTTAATTGGCACGCAATCTTGGATGTTTATTAGTCCTCTACAGCTTGCACTTTGACCCTCAAACCAAATACGTTGTGTTTATGAAAGTCAATTCACAAATCCCATGTAAAAAGGTTTTTAAGATAAGAAGCATACAGAAAAAATACATAATTGTAAACTCAATAAATTTTAACCATGTAAAATGTCAAGGTAATTGGCACACAGGTCAAGGTGCAGAATATTCTGAGACCTTAGGTATGTTCAAGCTGTGTCCCAGTCACACCCACCCAAAGATAATTCTATCTCAGCAAAACTCATTTTATCCTTGAAGTGCTTGAGAGAGGGTATCAAGAATGAATTAGGGATTTTCAGCACCCTGGGCAGTGTCTGTCACATGATAGAGAGTATATGTGAGTGAATAATTTAATAAATATGGCAAAATATTAATACCTGTAAGTTTTGCATAGAAAATTCAGAGTATCATATTATTCAATCCATTCATTGAATGAGCTTATATTGAATTCCTACTTTGAACAAGGTTCTGCTTAGGGACAAGTCATTGTCCTTATAAAGGCTTAAGTAAAAGACATTGGCTCAGAAACTGTATGTTGTCTAGGAACCGTGACCCACTGACTCACTTTTCTTTTTCTCACAACTTCCACTTTGCTATTTTAGTGAAGATAAGCAAAGCTGTTGATGAGTGAGATTAAATGACTTTACTAGGAGTGACTTGCATTTGCCTTTTTTTTTTTTCTATTTTCTACCCTAGGCCTTGCTAATTGGGCATTACTAATATAACACTACAGCATGTGTTTGACTAGATTAGAATGAAATTAGAAGTTTTGGTAAGAATAGTCATCCTTCCCTGTAAAGGGTCCACTGGCTAATTTTATAGAGGCAGAAAGTGAATAAAGAATGAGCCACCGAGTGGAAAACAGTTGGAACATTCCAGTGCGTGCTTTATACTCCCTGGACAAGTTGATCAGTGATGACATCTAGCATCATAAGTCATGCAAACTTTCTCTTATCCCAAGGTTATACTTAGGATGTGCGTTTACCTGAAGATTAAAATGAAGTCATTATTATGTTTCTGATAAAAATGAGTTAAAACCAGAAGAAATAGCTATTTAAAACATGAAGTATATTTGTAATTTGACTCTTTAATAAAAATTAGAAAAAAATGGTTATGTTTATTGACACAACCATCTAGGTTAAGTATCTTAATCGTTGGTAATTATATCATAATTATGCTTCAATCATTTTATTCATAATAATGTCACTTTAATTCTGAATCTCAGGAATCCTAATGTATAGTTTAATGAAGCATAAAATGCAGTTTTAATCTTTTGGACAGTTATATAGCAGAATAAATGGCCATATAAACAGATAAAGATATGTAAAAGGTCAAAAATAAAAAGACAAATTTTAATATAGTAATTTAACTCTCTCAACTAACTAGGTCTAGGTTTATTTGCACTGTGAGACACACACTTTATGAGTAAATATTTTAAGCTTTGACACAGGTGAGTTATTGCTACATTGTTCAGTTATACCCTAGGTGAGTCTATGAAAGGAAAATGAAATGGAAAACTACTAATTAGCCAATAAGTTCAGTTAATAATTGTGATAAGGTGGATAAATCTAATTTTTACAAAAGTAACAGTGCACTTAGTTTCAGGAAGATGGGTTTTATCCATGTCACTCTGTTATCCACCTTAATGTTTTTATTTATTCGAATCTACATAGGACACAAAATCGTCATTCTAAAGTTTGTCAACCAGATTCTTAAGATTCATGGATTTGGAAAAACTCAAAACATGACAGAATTCAGCAACATTTACCCAGATGTTTGGCCCTTAAAGACCATAGCCTGGACATTCTGTCTCTCCCAGGGATGTACAATGGTACAGCGTCATTCTTACTCTAACAGAAGAAATCGTAACTTCTATTTTTATTTATTGTGTTGATATATCATAGTTGTAAATGTGTTTGGGGTGGATGTGATATTTTGATACATGTATACAATGTGTAATTGTCAAGTCAAGGTCACTGGGATATCCACAACCTCAAATATTTATCCTTTCTTTGTGTTGTAAACATTATACTACTTCTCATCTAGCTATTTTGAAATATACAATAAATTATTTTAACTATAATTTTCCTATAATACTACTGAGTACTGGAAATTATTCCTTCCATTTAACTGTATTTTTGAACCCATTAACCAACTTCTCTTTATCTCGCCTTCTCCCATGCCCTTCTCAGTCTTTGGGAACTATTATTCTACTTTCTACTTCCACGAGATTCAATTTTTTGTTCCTACATATAAGTGAGAACATTCAATTTATTTGCCTGGCTTATTTCACTGTACATAATATCCTACATGTCCACCCATGTGGTCTCAAATGACAGGATTTCCTTCTTTTAAAAGCTAGATAGCATTTCCTTGTGTACATATACCAATTTTTCTTTATACATTCATCTGTTGATGGACACGTAGGTAGATTCCTATCTTGGATATTATGAACAGTGCTGCAATAAACATGGGAGTGCAGTTATCTCTTTCATGTACTGGTTTATTTTCTCTTGGAAATGTACTCGGTGGTGCGATTGCTGGATCATAATGCAGTTCTGTTTTTCGTTTTTAGAGTGAAACCTCCATACTGTTTTCTGTAATGGCTGTACTACTTGACATTCCCACCAATGGCATATGAAGGCTCCCCCTTCTTCCTATCCTTGCCAGAATTTGTTGTTTTTTCCTTTTGATAGAATCCATTTTAACTGTGCTTGAATGATATCTTATTGTGGTTTTAATTTGCATTTCCCTGATGTTTACTGATGTGGAACATTTTTTCACATACCTGTTGGCCATTTGTTTGTCTTCTTTTGAGAAATATTTATTCAGATCACTTGCTCATTTTTTAAAATAGAATTATTTGGGTTTTTCTGATACTGAGCTGTTTGAGTTCCTTATATATTCTGGTATTGATCTTTTATTGGATGCATTGTTTGCAAATATTTTCTCCCACCTGGGCCTATCAGAAAGCTGAGGTTTCTTAGCAACAAATAAGCCCAAAATTCAAGGGAAATCAGACCACTGTGAAGAGAAACAGGATGCATGACCTAGATTATTATGTTATACTTGGGAAGAAATAGTGGTCATCAGACAGCCACCAAAGAATGCACTTAAAATTGGAATAGATTGCTATTGACTGAGTGTGAGCTGGAGTAAATAGCATAAGCAAAAACCATGGAAACCCCAGAGACAAGGGGGAATCCCGACTCATAGAATCCATCAAGTGCTCAAGGGGATAATTGTGGGAAGACTGGAAAAAGATTCCTGTATTGGTGCAGGAATGAAGGAAGAGATTGGCAACCACTAGGGGAAAGATAATGTTGTTCTACCTCCCAGCCTTGTCCCTTCTCTCTTAGCAATGGAAAGGTTTATGGTGCTGGAGGAGGGGCAGCAAATCCTATCACTCCCACACTCAAAAGAGATGAACAGTAGCCGAGGGTGGAAGAGGTGGAAGGCACAAGGCATGGCCAACTGCCTGATCTTGTCTTCTACCTACAAAAGTCTAAAATCTTTGGGAAGGGAGGTGAGTAGGAAGGTTGCAAAGCCTCTTTCTCAGGATCACAGAGAAAACACTGGCTGGCTGGAGGAGTGCAAGTTTCTCTTCCACTGGGGGATATGCAAGAACTAACTTGAGCCACTGTGGTTGCAGTAAGGAGGAAACAACACTTTACCTCACAGGAGGGTCAGAAACAGTCTTGTGCCCAAGGTTCTACACCAATGCAAGGAAGGGCTTGAAACAGCAGGCAAAGAGGGAGGAAACTCTGTCCCTGAGCAAGAACCCACCATGTAAAACAGGAGATTGAGTGCCATTGTGAGGCAAGGCAGGAAAGCTAGGAAAGCCACATAACTGGGACTAGCTCAGCTACCTACATGGAAGCTGGATCAACACAATAGAAAACTGTACACATCCCACCACCATAGGAAGCAATGAATAGTCAGCAGGAGAAGCCTACCTGTGGGAGATGGGTAAGGATGTAGAGAGAAACTCCTCTGTAATGCAGGCATGCAGAAAATGCCCACAGCTGGGGATGAAACAGAAACATTTAGAAAAACTCCCAGTAGCCGCAGCCACTATTCTAGGAACAATACAATAAACAACCTACAGTTAGAAGCATGTGAAGATTTTGATGCACTAAGCATAACCATAGCAACCATAAATCCCAAATCCAGCCCAGATTCTCACCAGATTGATGTCACTTTCAATGCTAATTAGCTTAAAACAGAAGAAGCATGTTCATTTCTAGATATGAATACTATTTATTTCAGTCTCTGATACTCCTTACATACTATTCAACATTTAGTCAAAACAGAGACATACCAACTTAAAACACAACCTATTGTCAAAATAAAACAATTAACAGATCCAGATGTAGAAATGACCCAGATGCTAAAACTGTCAGAATGGAAAGTAAAATGAATGTGACGTATATTAAATAACCCAGTGGAACAGATGAACAATTCAGGAACAGATGAGGGATTTCAGCAGAGAGGTAGAAATTACAAGAAAAAGTAGAATGGAAATCCTAGAGATGAAAGATTCCTTTGATAGTCTTATCAGTAGACTTGACCTGGCTGAAGAAAGAATCATCCAACTTGCAACTACATTGATAAAAATAATAGAGCACCAAAAATGGTGGGGCAATATCAAAATGTCTAATATATATGTGTAATTTTAGTCCCAGAATTGGAAGAGAAAGGTAATCCGTAGAAGAAAAAATATTGAAAAGAAAATGGCAGAGAAATTTCAAATATAATAAAAATGTCAGGCCACAAACTCAAGTAACTCAGAGATCCTCCAAGGGGGATGAACCCCAAGCAAACAAATCCATGAATAAATATTTAAAACAAAGAAAAATAATCTTAAAGGCAGTGAGAGAAAAGGAAACACTATATACTGAGGAATAAAAATATGAATTACAGTAGAATAATTATCAGAAACCTTGCAGATCAGAACAAAATGGAGTGATTATTTAAAGGAAAGGAGAAATATGTAATATGAAATATGTAACACATTTTTATTAACTATAGTCACTATGTTGTGCAATGGATCTAA
Organism: Homo sapiens; assembly: GCF_000001405.40. Classification (NCBI taxonomy): domain Eukaryota; kingdom Metazoa; phylum Chordata; class Mammalia; order Primates; family Hominidae; genus Homo; species Homo sapiens. The sequence continues at coordinate 73,584,670 of NC_000018.10, forward strand.
AAAACATATGTTTCCTATGTAAATAAAACTTTGTAGCCTTTCACCAATTTCTCTCCTGCACACCCTACCCCTTCCCACTATCTAGTAACCAGCTTTCTACTCTCTGCTTCTATAAGTTCAACTGTTTTTGATTCCACATGTAAGTGAGAACTGGTGGTATTTGCCATTCATGTTTTCAGAAGTGACAGAATTTCATTCTTTTTTAAGGCTAAATATTATTCCATTGTGTATTACACCACATTTTAAAATTCATTCATCAGTTGATAGACACTTAAGTTGACTTCATATCTGGGATACTGTGAATAACACTACAATAAATATAGGCATGCATATATCTCTGCACCATACTGATTTCATTTTCGTTGGATATATACCCAGAAGTGGGATTGTCGTATCATCTGATAGTCCTATTTTTAATTTTCTGAAGAACCTCCATATCGTGTCTGGTTATACTAACTTACATCCCCACAACAGTGTACTGAGGAACAAAGGGTTCTTTTTTCTCCACATTCTCTCCAACACTTATTATATTTTGTCTTTTTTATAGTAGCCATTCTAACAGATATGGGGTGATATCTCATTGTGTTTTTAATTTTCATTTTCCCTTATTATTAATGATGTTGGGCATTTTCTTCATGTAGTTTTTCATGTGTCTTATTTTGAGAAATGTCTATTCAGATTCTTTACCCATTTTTAATCAGGTTTTTTCCTTCCAATGACATAGGTTAGAAGTAAAATGATGGGGAAAGATATATCATGCAGAAATAAAACTGTAGTGGCTATATTAATATCAGACAAAATAAGCATCTGGAAAAAATCTTACCATTGATAAAGAGTAATGTTGCATATTGAAAAAACTGGTCAATTCAACCAGAAGATATAAATGTCCTCAATATGTGCATAACTCAAGGAGAGAGCTTCGAAATATAAGAAACGGAACAGATGACTTCTTGTGTAGACGAGATGTAGTAGACTTGTCTCTCCCCGCTATCCTCCTAAGTATAAATTTAAGCTTTGGAAATAACAAAAGAGGCAACTAAAAGACGTCTCTGAAATATATTAAAGGAAAGAGGAACTAGTTAGGGGCTCAAGGAGTGGAGGATCAACACAGTGGCAAGGCATCTTAGGTGACCCCAGCTACCAGACAAGGCAGCAAGAATTCATGCCTCCCATCTCCAACACAGCAACAGAGGCATCCCAGTAACCATATTCTTTCCTTGGATGGAATGTGTCTTCCTTTAACACACCAGTTGAGCCCAGCACCACTGGCAGGGGGAACCATAGGAAACGCTGCCAATAAGGGGCCAGGTGATGGATTTGTTCATGACTTCGATTGTGGCAATCATTTCACAGTGTATTCGTACATCAAATCATCCCATTGTATACCTCAAATGTACACATTTTTGTCGATTTTGAGTATAATTAAATACGCTCAGAAAAATCGATTCAAGAAAGTAAGCACTGTGTCTAGTATCAAAATAAAAAAGTGACTAGGAGAAGAACTCTCCCTCCACACAGGCCACCGTCTTCTGGAGGCTCCTCCCTGACACACCAGGTGACAGGTTGGCACAATCTAGAGGCATTCCACCACAACAGGTGTCCCAACTCAGTTAGCCTCTTTGTCCCTAAGGATTTCATCCCCTTTTTTCAACCACAGACACCAGAGAAACTGGGGTTACTGGTGAAAGGGACTATACCACAAGTGACTTGGCCCAGTGCCCATATCCTAATCACTGTAACTTGTGAATATGTCATTTCATGCGGTAAAAGAGACTTTGCAGATGTGATGAAAGTTGGAATAAAAGATTATCCTGGATTGTCTAGGTAAGCTCAATATTATCACATGGCTTCTTAACACTGGAAAAGAAGGCAGAAGGGTAGGTCAGAGTGATGCAATGTGAAATGGACCTTACCTGCCATTGGTAACTTTAAAGATGGGGAAGGGTCCGTAAGACCAGGAATACACATGATCTCTAGAAGCTGCAACAGACAAGGAAAGGAATAGTACCCAAAGCCTATAAGAATGCAGCCCTGTCAACCTTGATCTTAGTCCACTGAGATATGTGAGAGACTCTTACCCTCAGAACTATAAGATAATATATTTGAGTTGCTTAACCCACGCAGTTTATGATTATTTGTAAAGGCAACAAGAGAAAATCAATACACTAGGAAATCTTCTTTATCCCTGTGGGCTTTTGACTCCCCTTCTGGCCCAGAAAAACAGGGTGGCTTATGGGCATTGCCCAGAGAGTTCACCATAAAATGTGGCCCAGCCAAAGAAGCCTCTTTGCCCCCACAGACATGAGACTTTTCCCCAGAGACATGGGTGGCTAGTGAGCACTGATACAGGAGGTCCCACTCCTGCAAGTGACCTGCTTGGAAAGTCCTCTCTATCCAAGGCAGAAAGATCTCATCATAACAAGCACTGAACCAGAGTAGCCTCTTCATGCCCATAGACCTGAGACTCCCTTCCTCCACTGAGAGACAGTAGGTGGCCTGGAGAAACCCTGCCCATTCAGGCAACAGCAACAGCGACCAGTGGAAACCAAAGCAGCACCAAATAAACTAAGCAAACCAAAATAATATTGCAAGGCATCTGAAAATTAAACCATCATTTGAAATACAGCCCACAAAAGTAGGCTAGGAAATGCATGCTAAACATAAACAGTGGGGCTTCCTACTAAATATTTAAGCAGGACTCATTCTGCTATTATAATAGACAAAATGGCCAGAATACCATCCAAAATCAGAAACCAAGAAGCAAGAAATCAAAACTTCATTGGAAAAGACAATCAATTGCCAATGCTTAGATAAATTAAATGTTGGAAGTATCTGACAAGTATTTAAAATCATCAATCAGAAAAAAATGCTTCAACAATCATATAAATTTACTTGAAAAAATTCTCAGCAAAAAGTATAAATTTAAAAAAAAGGAAATAAAAATTATAGACCTAGCAAATACAATAAGCAAAACTTCCTTGATGAGTTTAATAGTAGAGTGTGGATGAGAAATAACAGAATCAGTGAACTTGAGGACAGATCAATAGAACTCACTCAATCTAAACAGCAGAGATAATACAGACTCAAAAAAATTTAGCAGTCTCAGGAATCTATGAGAAAATAATAACAAAATAGTCAACCTTCTTATCACTGGAGTCCCAGAAAGAAATGAGAAAGAGATAGGCAAAGCAGATATAAAACCAAGACCCAACAATACGTTGTTTACAAGAAAGCCCTTCAAATTTAATGACCTAGGTAAACTGAAAGTAAAATAATAGAAAAAAAGATACACCATGCAAACAGTTATTTTCAAAAACAAGAACTGGGTATATTAATATCTGATAGAGTTCAGAGCAAGAGAAATGACTACAGACAAAGAAAACTATAACATAATATCACACTCATTTTAGCAACTGATAGAGGTACAGTACAGAAAATACACAAGGATATTAAAGATCTGAAAATATAATACTCCAACAGGATCTAATTAACATATATATGATTATATATATAATAGGTTATATATATATGATTATATATATAATAGGTTATATATATATGATTATATATATAATAGGTTTTATATATATATATATATATATATATATATATATATATATATATATATATCTCCAGTCAACAATAAGAGAGTACACATTTTTTTCAAGGTACCCATAAAACATCCACAAAGTTAGACTAAATTTTTTGGGCCATAAAATAAACTTCAGTATATATACCATCATGCATTGCTTACCAAGGGGGATACATTTGGAAAAATTCGTCATTAGGCAATTTCATTGCTTTGTGAACATCATAGAGTGTACCAAAACAAACTTAGATGATACAGCCTACTACACACCTAGGTTATATGGTATAGCATATAGCTGCTATGCTACAAAACTGTACCACATGTTACTGTACTGAATACTGCAGGCAATTGTAACACAGTGATAAGTGTTTGTGTATTTAAACATTTCTAAACATAGAAAAGGTACAATAAAAATACAATATTGTAATCTTACAGAATCACTGCCATATATGCAATTGTCTTTGATCAAAATATCTTTATGTAATGCCATAGTGTAAAAGAACATAAAAACCATCCAGAGAGTATTATCTAACTTAATAAAATCAAATAAGAAATCAATAACAGAATGACAGCAGGAGATCTTTAAATATCTGAAAAATAAACACAACTCTTCTAAATCCATGGGTCAAGATGTCTCAAAAGAAATAGAAAATACATAGAAATAAATATAAATGGGCCAGTGCAGTGGCTTATGTCTGTAATCCCAGCATTTTGGGAGGCTGGGGCAGATGGATCACCTGAGGTCAGGAGTTTGAGACCAGCCTGGCCAACATGGCAAAACTCCGTCTCTACTAAAAATACAAAAATTAGCCAGATGTGGTGGCGGACACGTGTAATCCCAGCTACTTGGGAGGCTGAGACAGGAGAATCACTTGAATTCAGGAGGTGGAGGTTGCAGTGAGCCAAGATCACATCTTTGCACTCCAGCCTGGGCAACAAAGTGATAGTCTGTCTCAAAAAAGAAATTAATAAATAAATAATAAATACAAATGAAAACACAATTAATCAAAATGTGTGGGGTGCATATAAAACAGTTCTGAGAAGGATATTTATAGCACTAAATGCTTGCATTATAAACAAGGAAATGTCTCAAATTAAAAATCTAAATTACTACCTTATGGAAACTGAAATAAATAAAAAATATATAAAGGGAGCAGAAGGAAGAAATTAATAAAGAACAGAAATAATTAACATTAAACAAGAAAAAAATAGAAAGAACCAATGAAAACAATCCGGTTTCTCAAAAAATTTAATAAAATTAGCAGACCTCTAGCAAGACTTAGAAAAATAAATATAGAAAAGACACACATTACCCTTATCAGGTTTGAAAAGGAAGCTATCACTTCAGATTCCTAAGCCATTAAAAAGATAATAGGGGAACACTACCAAAAACTTAACACTAAAACATCTGACAAACCCTTGAAAACCACAAACTACCAAACTTGACAATCATAAATAAATAATTTGAATAAAATTTAGTTCATTATTAATAATCTCAAAAATAAATTTCCAGGTTCAGGTGGTTTCACTGGAGAATTCTAACAAACATCTAAATAAGAACTTATACCAATTCTACACATTTACTTCCATAAAATAGATGGAAAATAGGCAGAAACATTTTCCAATGCATTTTATAAATCTATTATTACCTTCATACATAAATTAGACAAAAACAGCACACAGTAAAAAGAAAACTGTAGACCAATATTTCTTATAAGCTTAGATGCAAAAACACTCAACAAAACTAAATACAACATGACAAAACATAAAATATATACAACAACCAAGTGGAATTTATTAGTCACGCAATCCTGGTTTAAAATTCAAAAATCAATTAACATAATCTACCATATCAACAATAATCATATGATCAAATTAATTAACACAGGAAGTCATTTGACAAAATACAATACCTATTTATGTGCAAACTCTCAGGAAAAATAGGCATAAAGGGAAATTGCTGCAACTTCATAGAAATCATATGCAGAAATCCTACAGTGAACACTGTACTAAATGATCAGTCACCCCCTCTCAGCTTGGGAACATGGCAAAGATGTCTGCTCTCAGTAATCTAATTCAAGAGAGCTGGAAGTTATAACTAGCGCAATAAAGCAAGAAAAAGAAATACAAGGCATAAAGAATGGAAATGAAGAAATAAAACTTTCTGTTTTCGGATTATATGATTGTCTATGTAGCAAATCTCAAGGTGTCCAACAAACAACTTCTGGATCTAATTAGTCAGTTCAGCAAGTTGCAGGATACAGGAACGCACAAAAATCAATTGAATTCTTATACACTAACAATGATCATGCAGAAACCAATTTAAGAAAAAACATTTAAAATTGCTCAATGACAAATAATTCATATAACACTTAACAAAATATATACAGTATCTATATGCTGCAAATTATGAAACACAGACAAAAATAAGTCAAAGATCTAAATGAGTAGAGATGTACAAAGTTAATAGATTGCATGTCTTACAATAGTAAAGATGTCAGTTTTGACCAAAGTGATCTATAGTTTTAATGCAATTTCCATAAAAATTCCAGCAAGGAATTTTCAGCCTTCTGGCCTACTACAAACTTCAAACTTGCCGTCCTTCACAATCTCATGAGCCTGTTCCTTAAAGTAAGATAAATATGTCAATAGATAGATAGATATCCATCCTATTGTTTCTGTTTCTCTGGAGAACACTGATTAATAAAATACCTAATTAGATAGAATTCAAGTCTGAAAGCATATCTTTTGAAATATTCAGAAAATATCTACCATGGCGCTGGGTATTTATACATTCAATTCGCAAATTGGTATGGAAGAAGAGAGATTAATCTCAGCTTGTGAGATGCAGAATCTCACGGTGAATAGGTTCATGGGCTCTAGAGACAGATTTACTGCTATTAAATCACAGCTCCAAAATGGCTAGCTGTGTGAACCATGAGCAAGTTGCTTGATTTATCTGTACTTATTTTCTTCCTCTGTAACCTGAGATAATATGAGAACTCATCTCATATGGTTGTTGTATTAAATGAGTTAAAATATAAGGTATTTCAAATAGTGCCTGGCACAGGGAAAATACAGACGAATTTAACTAAATATTAATTTTGATTATTATAATATTCGTTAGGCAGGGCCCATTGAAGTATCCAATCCTTTAATTAAATACCTTTACCTTCCATATCATATTGCAGAATATTATTATATAATGTTTTGTCACAATCCCTTGTACATTTTTTAAAAGCCTCAGCACTTCAGTTGGTAGCAGTTTTTAATATGGAAAAAAATATGCATCTGGGAGGTGAACCCTCTACAAAGATATTTGTGCCTTTCTCCGGGTAGTTTCCTAGCCAGTAATGGAATTGGGGCATAAATAATAAATGCGGTTCTTACATTCTCTTCCAATTGTGAATTTCTTTTACTTAATAAGTAATTACTTTTAACAATAAGATTGATTTGATTTCATCTCACTAAAAATTTTAATGGTGACTACAAAAGTGTGTATGTATAATTGCAATTTTAACAGTGCTTTATAAAATACTAAGAAATATATTTCATTTTGAGAAATTACTGTATTCTTAAAAGCACATGCATCTATAATTACAAATATACAGTGCAAAGCCAGTTTTCAAATAATAATTCTACTGTTTTTACAAGATATGGAATGATGCACTAGGTAAGGCACTCAGATACCTTCAGAACCTGAGTCCTAGATCGGGATCTTATAACTCTCTGTCTAGCTATGTGTACTTACACAAGTTCGCTCTCTTCAGTCCAATACTCCAATATGTTAGTGTCCATACTAGCATTTCTAATTTCTTCCTTACACTATTGAGCAATTTTAAACCAAAGCACTTAAGAACATTTAATAGGCTGGGCACGGTGGCTCACACCCGTAATCCCAGCACTTTGGGAAGTCAAGGTAGGTGGATCATGAGGTCAGGAGATCGAGACCATCCTGGCCAACATGGTGAAACTCCATCTCTACTAAAAAATACAAAAATTAGCTGGGTGTGGTGGCACATGCCTGTAGTCACAGCTACTCAAGAGGATGAGGCAGGAGAATCACTTGAACCCGGGAGGTAAAGTTTGCAATGAGCTGACATCGTGCCACTGCACGCCAGCCTGGGCGACAGAGCGAGACTCTGTCTCAAAAAAACAAACAAACAAAAAAGAAAACATTTAATAACTTATAAACCATAATTCAAAGATAATATCTTATTTGGAATCACACTACCAAACAAAGAATCATTGATTTCTAATGTCTTACATCTATGTGGCAACAAAACATGCCAGATGGCAAAATCCTCTTTAATCAAAATGTTGAATGTTAGTTGTAGAGCTTCACAGCGTTTCAAGTTTAGACATCATTTCATTAAGCCAGTCATTCTAGAAGTGCTAGTTCTAAAGTTCTATGTCTTCAGGAAGATTTAGTCCCAATGTTAACACAAAAAGTTCTAAATTTATTTATTTTACCAGTAAGTGGTAGTTTTGTTTAGGGAAGTTTCAGGAGCAGTTTGCATTCATTTGTTAATGTTGTTGCTGGATGCATTTTCTGATGTAGATTCCTCTGCCATCATTTATTCAGTGGTGGATAATAGATAGGGAGAGAGATTGATCACAAAGTTGTAATTCAATCTGTAGATTGTGATGTTTATGATATCATCAGTATCATGAGATTAAATTACAAGTTGCAATCTATCTTCCTTCTCTTTGCTCATTTGTTTTCCTAATATATGAGAAAAATCTCAATGTTTTGTTGGCACAGACTTAAATATTTTTTGAAAGGAAATGTATCCTAAAGTTTCTGAAATGATGTAGGGTTGTGATGGGTAATTAATTTGATTTTTCTTTAAGATAACACACTGATAAATTAGTAAAATATAAACAAAAAACACTTGAGTATTCATTAGAGTGATTCACTTTCATTAAATTTTTTAGCGCTGTTAAAAGTACTAAGACATCTACCAATAATAACTGTTTAACAACTCAATGTAGCTTTTCCTGATTTCTCTGCAGATATAACCAGTTGTAACTCATACTTTTCAGTTTCTTTCAAATGTGAGTCTATGCCTGTGCTCTGTCTCACTATCTAGAATTATAGATACACGACAAAGCTCTCATGGCTCCTCGTGTGCTGATTTGTATATGGGGAAACCCACAGTTGAGGGACTTACCCAAGATTATCTTGAATCTTCTGCCCAATCAACATGTAAGATTATTACCATGTGTAAAGGCTAACCTGGCTCATTTCTATTCAATAGTCTTTGGTAAAATAATGCTACTCAAAATTTAATGTGCATAAAGAATTGCCAGGGGTTATTTATTTTCAAAATATATCCTGCCTCTAGAGAGATGCACAGGAATCCATATTTTTAACCAGCATATTATGTGATTCCAACATACTACCTTTAGAGACATATAACTCTAGAAATGAAGCACTTAATCCAAGTATATTACAAAGGAATGGTAGACTTAGTTCTCAAAAATCTTCTCATCAGTTAAGTACAGAAATACGACAGAGGAAGGTAAAAATACATTGGTCTTTGGAACAAATCTAATCTCCATATTTGGAGGCTGCTCTCATGCCCCCTTGGGTCTTTTTTTCACCACAAACAATGCCCAGTGATCCTCGAACTGAGCCTTGATGTCCTCTCACACTTGCTCTCTTCTAAGTATCTCCTACATTGATGCAACATGAAAATTACAGAGTTGGATGAAATCATTAGCATCTTCCTTCATCTTAAAAGATAGTTGCCTAACTATATATTTCATAAAGTGAAATGGTAATAACCCTAGAGAAGACTTATTTGAAGAAATGTAGAATAGAGGGAAGGACAGGGAACCCTGGGTCCAGAATTAGTCTTTAAATTCAGAGGCTGAATTTACAAGGTATATGACCCTGGGCAAATTTTTTACCTGTAAAATGAGAAAATAATAAACACTATTGTTACTTTGAGCATGAAAGTAGGAAAAAGAATATTCCTTGCACAACTGCTAATAAGCTTTAAGGTAGCATATTTCTCTTATCCAAAGTAAACTTTCCCCTCCCAAGTCATTCTCTGTATCATACTTCATTTTATTTTATTAATGTTTATAACTATATAAATTGATTTAATTCATTTGTTTATACCTTTATTAAATGAATTAATATGATTATTTTTCCACCTCATTAGAGATATGTTTCCCTCCAAAGGATAAGGACTTCAGCTCTCTTTGTCACTGATACATTTTCAATACAGATACATAATAGGTACCCAATAAATATATGGTGATTGAATGAATGTTTGGCACATGGTAGTCATACAATAAGTGTTAAATTGCTTTTCAGATGAGGTTATGAAAGCACAGAAAATACTTATCTAAAAAGTACCTTGTAAGGAGTTCATTAAACGTTTTTCAGAAAATTCTGCACATCTTGCAAAGGTATAAGATAGATAAGATTAAGCAAATGGTACTTAAGCTTTTGCAGAGGGTGACATAGAATGCTAATTATTCCAAAAACCTGTTCTTTGTTTTTCATTAAATAGGGAGTAAATTCTGACCTTTAGCTGAACATATGACTGTTCAAAATGAACCCTCTATTCTCAGCTCCCTTTGCAGTAATCTGGGGCCATATAATAAAGCTCTGTCTAACTACATGCAACCAGAAGTGACAAGTACGAATTCTTGGAAGTGCGCCCTTGTTGGCACTCTTCCTCCTCCATGACAGTCAGAATGGAGGTGTTTGGTGAGCCCTCATGAGTCACGTGGATGAGAGCAAAACACTAGGCTGGGGGAGCAATGAGGTAGAAAACTCCTGCATTCCTGATTCCCGACAACCTTGTAGAGCAGAAACACAACAGCCTGAGAAAGAACCATCTTTCTTTCTTTACAAAATAATTATTTGGAGTCCTCATCATATTTAGACAAACTTATATCCTGAATATAAATGCACAACATCAGTTCTTCTAATGTCTTCATTTAATAGCATCAGTAGCTTCTTGGAAATTGAAACTTTAAGTGACACGACATATACTGAAACCAATTTTTTTTCTTATCAACGTGTAAGAAGATAAGTTGAAGGAGGTGATGTTATTGGAGGACCTGTTGTTTGCTTTTTCATTTACAGTTGCAGTTTTCGAGACCCAACCTATCAATAATGTTAAGTGAGGACTTACTTGTAATTTTAGCCACTAAACACAGGGTTGGTAACATATTGCTTGTCATCCTTATACAGCTAATTTCTCTGTTTTTATTGACATATTCAAATTATCTTCTGCTAAAATAGTGATTCGATAATGTTTTTCATAGTGAAGTAGTGAGTGAATAGAATAGCTCCCCCCCACCCCCCAAAAAATTCAGGTCCACTCAGAACCTCAGAATGTGACTTTATGTGGAAATAGGGTTTTTGCAAACGTAATTAAGGATCTCAAGGTGAAATTATATTTGATGTGGGGTGGGCCCTAAATCCAATGACTGATATTTTCATAAAAAGAGAGGAAGATTTACACACAGAGACACACAGAGGTGGCTCCATGAAGACGCAGGCTGAGACTGGAGTATTGTGGCCATAAGTCAAGGAACACCAGGAGTCACCAGAAGCTAAAAAGAGCAGAGGAGAGTCTTTCCAAGAGTCTTCATGGAAAGTGTGGCCCCGCTTCCATGGTGACTATTAACGTCTTGGCTTCAGTACTCTGAGAAAATAAATTGTTTTGTTGTTTTAAGCAGCCAAATTTGGGAAATTTGTTATAATAATTCCAAAAAACTAATACAGGAGATAAAAATAGATTGCTGTAGTTGAAAGGCCTCTTTTGGCACTCAGTGTCTCATTTTCCTGGGGTCCCACCAAGAACAAAATCAATAGCACTTTAAAAGGATTAAACTGAATAAAGTTAAGATTAAGGGAGTCACCAAGGGCCAGTGATGCACCAGCAACAGGGGAAATCATTTCAGCCCTGGAACTGAAGACAGATGTGGGGACAGCGTGTCATAGTTCTGGACCCTGGTGAGATGAGGAGCCTAAGAAAAATGGCCACTGACAGGAATCACGACCTTAGAGGAATGTGTCACCACCAGAACCACCAGTGCAATAGGGAGAAATGCGGTCATAAACACCCAGAACTGTCTCCCACCCTGGGTCCTCCGCTGGTCCCTCTCCTTGGCCATTTTCAACTAAAGTCAGGGGAGATCATGTTAAACAGTCTACGGCAGTTGGCCTGTGAGGCACAGAGCAGGGCAGAAAGGGGCAGAAAAGGGATCTGGGTCCTAATTCAAATGGGCAACACTCAGCAAGGATTCAATGACTTGATTTGGCAGAATATGCAACCATTTGGAAGGGTAATCCCAGTACTGAGCTCCTCAAGGGAGAATATATTTAGTCATTTTAGCAAACTCAGCAACTACCACAAACTAGGCATCATAAATTTTCTTATATACATTACCTGTCTTTGGTAGCAAACATTATTTATTCCCATTATAATGACTCCAAGTTTATATGTCATCTAAAATCTTGTCTACTCAATAGGCTATTAGGCACATGGTATATAAAATGTGACTGCCAAGTATATAGATTTGTTATGCATGTGAGGAACACTTGTTCATCCCAGTTTGTACTCTCGGTAAATAGTGTTTGAATGCTGGCTGGATGCATAAAGATTTCTCAGATTTGTGCCTTAAACTCCTAGAGGTATTAAGAAAATATCAGGTCCAACATGCTCCTGGCCAATCTAATCTGCTGAAGAATGCTCTGTATTTTCTCTTGAGAACTGTTTTCCCAAAGCACAAAAAGACATCATAAATGTACAATTCTTAGAGACTCAGACTTTGAGTTTTTCAAGAAAATAAAATAAGACAAGTATGAGCCCTGCTAAAGGTAAAATCCCTTATCATGAAATTCCTTTCACCTTAGAAATAATTGATCTCTATTTTCTAGCAACGTCTCCTTCCGGATGATCAGCGAAGCGATACATGCTCTGTAGGTTTAGGTGCAGAGAATATTAATAGAATGTATCATACGTATAATTTGAGTGGAAAATAGCACACAAAGAGAAACTTGGAGGAAATGAATTAGAAAATTGGTCACATTGAAAAGAAAGAGGGCAGCAAATTTGCTCAGAGTCATGAGACTGATTGAGCCTTGACGCCTTAGGGCATCATATTCTAGAGAATGAAGAAGCAACAGAAACATTTACAGGTAGCAGCTTCTCCTTCTCCCTTATCATGATGAGCCCAGGATGGTTGGGACAGAAAGCAGAGCAAAATTCCTTAAAGCTCGCTAGGGAAGCCGTGCCATTTGTGAAAGAATACTGAGATAAAGGACGCCTCTCAGTAGTCACCTGTGATCAAGTCACCCCCCGAGTTAGCACCTACCAGATGCTAAGTGCTGTGGAAAGTGGAAAGAGTGAAATTAGAGAGCATGATTCCCACTCTGAAGGGCCTCTAGTCTAAGAATGAAAAAAATAAATAGAACATTGATTAAATGTGGTTTGCTGTCATGATAACATCTCCACGGTGCTATAGAAATAGAGGACTAACTCAGCTTCGGGAGCCTAAATAGGCTTCCAAGAAGGAATACTAGAGACAAGGTGCGTAGACTAGTAGAGGGTGAAGGATGGATGGGGAAGGAGGGTGTGTCTAGTGAAGAAAGTAGCATGAACAAAGGCAAGGAAGTATGAAAGTGCTGGTGCTGAAAGACAGCTCAAACAGGTCCATGGTTGTTGGTGAGGGGTGTGGCTTAGCAAGGGGCATGCTATAGTGTGGAGTGTGGCTATAATGAAAGGTGTGGCCATAGTGAGGAGTGAAAGCTTGGTAAGGGGCATGGCTATTAGTGAGGGGGTGTGGCTATATGGTGAGTTGTGGGGGTGGTTAGGGGTGTGGTAAGGGGTGAAGCTTATTACCAGGTGTGGCTGTCAGTGAGAAGGTGTAGTTGGTGAGGGGCGTGGCTATAGTGAGGGACATGGCTGATAGCAACGGTCTTAGCTGTAATGTGGGATGTGAACCTGTAAGAGGCCATGGCTGATGGTGAGAAGTGTGGCTGTTAGTCAGAGGATGTGGCCGTATTGTGGGATGTGGTGTGGTGAGGGGCATGGCCATTAGTAAGGGGGTGTGGCCATAAGTGGGGCTTGGCTGTAGTGAAGGGTGTGGCTGTTAGTGAAGGGGTGTGGCTATAGCGTGGGGCATGGTCGTCGTGAGGGGCATGGTTGTAGTAAGGGGTGTGGCTATTAGTGAGGGTCATAGCTACAGCTATGGACATGGTGAGGGGCGTGGCTTAGCTAGAGTTTGATAATAATGAGGGGCATGGCAACACCATGAGCATGACCACAGTGACAAGGTTGTTTTGAATGAAAGAATATGAGGCTGAAAATAGATGGAGTATGGAATATGTAATTTATTGATTGAAATACACAGATGTCAAGCTAAACAGGTGAAATCATTCTGAAGGTAATAGAATGAGACTAGAAAGTTTGCACTTAAGAGAAGTTTCTCTAGCCACAGTATTAACAGATGAATTAAAACAGAAGGATTGGAAGAAAAGAAAGAAATTAGAAAACTATTGAATAGTCCAGAAAAATAATATAATAGCATACACTAAGAGAGTGGGAATGGAAGGGAGATGACAGAGCATCAAAAAGATATACCAGTCAAGAGTGTTTAACTTGGCCCCACCCCGGCCCCCTTCCGTGCCTCGGGAGCCCACACTGTGGCCACATCTCTCACGTGGTCATCTATGAAGAGTTCCCCTTCTGAAATCTTTAGCTCCACTAAACCGCCTTGTGCGTAAATTATTATTCTCTAGAATCACTCCTGTTATATCACTTCTTTGACCTCATCAAAGCCACCTACACCTTTGCTTTTTCTCTAAACTCCTGTGTTTGGTGGTTCATTTAATGCTGCCTCTATCAGCTGGCATGCGCATCTCTCTGCAGTGCTCTTCAAGCAGTCCAAGGAGTCCAGGAGACCCATCTGCCTTCTCCATTCAAACACCCAATGTGATGAGTACTGTTGGAGAAAATCACCATTATACTTTTCTCTGGATTTCCAAGGCCTGCATAAATACCTGTTTCCTGGTGATCTCCACCTTTAATTCACTATATCCAAAAATTAGCTCAAAAGCTGTATTAACCCCCATTCTGAAGCCTGACTCTTCTTATCTTGGTGAATAGTCATTCAGTCATCAAAGTCAGGAGCCAGGAGCCAAGCCCAATTCTTCCCTTTCTCTCACTGAAACCATGTCCCAAAGAGTTAAAGAAACCAATGACTAACATAATTTCTTGAGTTTGCATAACAAATTTTAAAACACACACAGACACAAAACGCTGAAACTTCTTTTGCTTGTAAGACAACAAAACTGGCTGACATCAGTTAAAACCAGTAGAGCCAACTAGATTATCTGCAGAACAACCTTGCTGAAATTACAGCCTGAATTTCAACAGCATATTTCATATGAACGCCTCCTGAATTTGCACATGGGACCTATGAGGTAACATGAAAGAATAGCTGCCCATGCCTGAGGACTTTTTTCCTTTCCTTTTCCTTTTTTCCTTTCACCAATTGCCTGCTAATCCCCCAATCCACCTTTAAACGTTTTTAATAAAAATATGGCCATAAAGCCAGCAGAAGGAGACAGATTTGAGCTGCACACCTGGTCTCCGTGTTGGTCGACTCACAATAAAAGCCAGTATTGGCTTCCAGTGCACCGGGCAGCGAGACCCTCTGCTCAGTAACATCACCTCCTATGTTTGCTTGGTGATCAAGTCCTGTTGAAGAGTGGAAATTAAAGAATTTGTGCACTTTATTTTTTTCTGTAGTTCCTCTGTGAAAGTAGGTTTCAAGTTTAGTTTCTAAGAGTAACAGGGACAGAAATTAAGGTTATTAGGCTGGGCACGGTTGGTCACATCTGTAATCCCAGTATTTTGGGAGGCCAAGGCAGGTGGATCACTTGAGGTCAGGAGTTCGAGACCACCCTGGCCAATATGACAAAACCCCGTCTCTACTAAAAGTACAAAACTTAGCCGGGCTTGGTGGTTCGCACTAGTCCCAGCTACTTGGAAGACTGAGGCAGGAGAACTGCTTGAACCTGGGAGGTGGAGCTTGCAGCAAGCTGAGATCACACCATTGCACTCCAGCCGGGGCAACCCAGTGAGACTTGGTCAAAAAAAAAAAAAAAAAGACATTAAGGTTATTGGCTGTTAAATTCAAAAGGCAATTTTCTGAGCTATACAACATGAGAGTGGGAAGTAAAATAATCTCTAAGATTCCCTTCAGTTTATTTACATTATTATTAATGATCCCTGAGTGCAACCATTTCAAAAACATATTTTCAGGTATTTTTTGAAAATATGTCTTCAGCGTTTTATATCACAGATGCCTCATTATGGAAATCTCTCCACCCTTGAAATTCAATTCCACTCTCTGTCATAAAGAAATTATATTTTAATAAAATTTTCTGAGTTCATAAATACATGCAACACAAGAGACACAAGAAGTATAAACCTAAATGCCCAAGCTAAAATGTGCCAAAATAAAATGTACTTAGGAGTGAAGAAAAGAAGCCAAAAATAAACTGACTGAATTAAGACAAATATATGGGAATTAGTGCATTTGCATAAAACAATATATAATAATGCAAAATAT
This sequence comes from Homo sapiens, assembly GCF_000001405.40. Lineage (NCBI taxonomy): Eukaryota > Metazoa > Chordata > Mammalia > Primates > Hominidae > Homo > Homo sapiens. The sequence goes on from NC_000018.10 coordinate 73,600,871, forward strand.
AATGAAAGTCACTGTCTAAGTTTTTTTTTTTTTTTAAATAAGACTGGGTCTTGCTCTGTCACCCAAGCTGGAGTACAGCGGTGGGATCATGGCTCACTGCAGCCTCGACCTCCTGGGCTTAAGCGATCCTCCCACCTCAGCCTCCCAAGTAGCTGGTACTACAGGTACACACCACTCCGCTTACCTGATTTTTCTTTTTTTTTTTTTTTTTGTAGACACACTGTTTCGCCATGTTGCCCAGGCTGGTCTCGAACTTCTGTGTTTAAGTGACACCCCTGTCTGGGCCTCCCAAAATGCTGAGATTACAGGCATGAGCCATTGCGCCTGGCTCTAACTTAAATAGAATAAAGCACATAAACTCTTGTGTAGAGGGTTTTCTGTGGCTAGATTGTACTGATTCATATGTAGAAGAGTATAACATTAATAAAAAGCCTTATTAAATTGTACATGGTGTATATAGATACTTGCTGTTATTAAGATGCATGGCTGGTAAAAGGAACAAATAATGTACTCATGCCCTTTGTTTCTTAGAAATAGCTACAGCTGGGCAAAGCCCTTGGATGTCAGAAAAAAAATGAAGTTGTATTTTTCATGCCTTCTGATTAACTTCCAATGCCTCCCAAGCACCAGTAAAGCAAATGAAGAGTGCTATCTTAAGCTAAACATTTTGTTAGTAAAAAAAAATCTAATAATTGTCAGAGGACACAAATCAAAAGCTAATCATGAAAAGAGTTTCCATATTCTGTTTTCACCCTAATTCAGTACATTAAGCATAAGGTGAGAAAAATAATTGCAAGAATGAATTTTTTGAATGTATTATTTCTATAACCAAGAATGACTCTGACTTCAGTGTTTGTGTGATGTGTATGTATGTGCGTGTGTGTGTGTTGTGTAACTTCAATGTCACAATATTTTATGTCAGGTTGTTTGGATTCAGACCTCATAAATTACTTGCTGTGGGGCCTTGAGAAAGTCAACCCCTGTGAGCTGAGTTTACTCTTATGTAAAATCGGGACAGTGATACCTATCTCAGAAACTGCAGACATATCTGTGATGTTGAAGCCCTGCATAAATGATAGTTTTTATTATGATTTGCACATATAACTGTTTAATAAAGACATGCTTTTAGCTCTTATTGACTCATGTCCAGCTCAACAGAAAAAAAAGTGCCTGGAAAAGAGAAACAGCAAAAAATAAATGTGATTTCATATATATGTATATATTATGCTGTGAATTAAAGGTGATACACACAAAATGATGAAAAGTAGAGATACCACATTGTTTTTGAAAACAAAATGAAGTTGTTTCTAATTAATAACTATCAAATGAATTTTTCCCTTTTTGTGTGACATATCACTATGAGTTATAACACTCACAAGCTTCTAGTGGTGGGCCTGCAAGAACTATCTAGTACGACTCCCACTTCAGAGACAGCCAGAGCTAGGAGGAGCATCACCAAGAGTGCAGCTATTTCACTCTCCCGGTGTCTAGTTCATTGTCCCTGCTGGTCTACACTAATTCTAATCCCTTGGAACTCAACATTCAGCTTCCGATCTGATGTTATCCAGCCTTTTAGGAAAGCAATTGAGTGTCATGAGAAAGAACACAAATCACCCATTCTCTGTCACATTAATGCAGCCAGTCTCTGAGGGAATCGGATGGTGGTAATGTCATAAGGCTCTTGGCATGTGTTTATATCTAAGGAGCTCATACCAAGGTATGGTAAATTCAATTACAGACACGGATCTTCAGAACACCTGTTTTATTTCTTCCCAAATTTCAGATTGAGGAATGTATGTCAGAAAGAGTTGCTTATTTGAATTAAATGTATATTGTGGACAGAATAACAAATGAGCAGAATATCAGTACACTTATCCATGTATCTTTACCTAGATCAATTTCTATTTTCTATCTACCCCTCCGTCTTCAAACTGTGCTTCTTGAGTCATTTTCAGCATATTGTTGTATCCAAGAAAAACACAAAACCAAGACCAAGGAGTCTAGAAGAAGAAATTTAAGTTGTTACCAAAAGTTCATAGACAAAATGAGCAGGAGATCTGCATTAGTTAAAAATTCAGGTTCTGAAGTCAAACTCCCAGGATTCTTTTATCTTCTCGGTCACTGGAGCATTTAACCTCTGTGTGGTACAGTTTCCTTACCTGTGAAATGGCCATAATAACCGTTCCTGCCTCTTCGTTCATTGAGAGAGTTAAATGAGTTATTTTAAAACTGTTTCTCACATGTGGATTGTAGTGTTGATAACATGATACACTTTGGTAAAAATGCATAGAACTGTATGCTTAAAAGCATGGATTTTACTGCATATAAATTAAACTTCAATGCATCTTATGCTAAAAACTTTTTCTGACACACCTAACAGCTGAATTATAATTACTATAATCATCAACCTTGCACAACTCAGAAAAAGCCTTCCTGAAAACTGTATTTGCATTACCCTTATCTAAATTCCGCATCGTCAAGCTGCGAATCATATTCTCTCCTCTCGTCTCACCCTCACTCTTGCTTTCTTAGTTCTCTTCATCCTCAGGAACACTATTCTCTCCTTCCTCCTTCCTTCCCTTCCTATGCACGCTTCTTTACATATAATAGCTTAGAACGGGAGAAGAGGAAGTAAAATGGGTGCATATTTTGGATTGTGCTTTGATGTGTATATGTGCAGACATGTGTGTCCAGTCATTTAAACCAAAGTCATAAAATACTAACTCAACAAAGCAGGGGTTCTTTTTAGAAGAGTCCTTTATCATCTCTTGGACAAACAGACTAATGGGAAAAACTAGACAGCAGCCGAGGCTCAGGAGTAACTAGCAGCTGGAAGTGACCATAACTTCTTTACTCTTCCTGTATGTGAACTCCAAAGGCTCCTGAGCTTTATTGAGCAGAGCGTCAGCTCCGAGGTTGAGACAGGATCTCTTGGTGGGTCACAGTCCAACCCTAGAGGAAAGCACGATGTTCAGAAACCCCCTCAGCAAAGTAAGTACTGGGGCCATGTTAAATATCACAATATTGATATCATAAAATAATCCTTTACATAAATATCATGAGCAAGTTTTATGTTGGCTGGGCCAGCATGGTATTAAGCGAATGTCTCTGAGTAAAAGCTGGATGCAGAGAGGTCAACTAGCTGAGTGGGCATTTGCTCAGAAGCTTCAGCTCCTGGTGGCTTGGCTGAACTTCACAGCTGATGGTGCATAAAGGGGTTTCTTCCAGTTAATGCAGATATGGATCCACTCAGCTCTCCAGGTGGCCAAGTCATGCAATATAAACATTTTTGTGTGTTCCATAACATATAGAATTTAAGAATCCCTAGCTTGGAACTGGATTTTAAACTGCCATCAAAATGGGGCTAAGAAGACAAAGTCTGAGGTTCTATTAGGATGGGAGTTTATATCAGGCACTAGGGAAAAATTCAGGAACTTGAAAGACAAAATTCTAGAGGAAGAAATAGAAAATGAAAGTAAGGCACCTTGAAGATATGCTTTGTTCCTCTCTTGGTCTTAGCTATGGGTAGAGAGGAGACAATGAAATGAATTTATGAGCATTCCTAAACATAAGCCCAGTTTCATACCAATTTTTAGCTTCCTTTAGTACCCTAAGAAAGCACAATTTGGGATTAAGTTCAATGATCCCAGCATAATGGTGGCCCTAATGCCCAACTGCATACGAAAATTCCTCACAAATATGAACACAAAAATTACCAAAAACTAGCAAACTGAATCCCACAACCCATTAAAAATATTATACACTGCAACTAAGTGGGATTTATCTCAGGAATGTAAGTGCGGCTCAATGTAAGAAAATTGATCAATGTAATATGCCATATTAATAGAATAAAGTACAAAAGACACATATTCATCTCAACTGATGCAAAATAAGCATTTGACAAAGTCTAACACCCATTTATGATAGAAACTCTCAACAAATAGAAATATAAGGTAACTTCCTCAATTTGATAAAGGGCATCTCTGAAAAAACCATAGCTATTATACTTAATGGTAAGGGATTGAAAGAGCTCCTCTAAGATTAGGAACAACAAAATAATATCTGCTCTTACCACCACCACCTCCTTCTACTAGAGGTTGTAGAGAGGGCAATTAAGAAAGAAAATGAAATAAAAGCCAACTTCTTATAAGACTACCATCTCTCCGTTCCCACAGTGAATGAAACATGCATCACGTCAATTTCCCTTGGATAAAGCCATTACCCCTGACTAAGGGTGCCAGGTAACACAGAAGGTATCTCCCAGCACCCCTGTAGAAACTGGCATCTAAGCTCACACTCCTTGATTTCTGAGCACACAGTGCATATTCCTCACATCCAAGGATGCTATCACTGTTGTCACATGAATAAGAAGCAGCATTTCTTATGAATAAGAACAGCATTTCTCTGCTGGAATACAATACCATAGTGTATGCAGCTGCACCCAAGTCCAAGGACTCCTGTCTGCAGGAGATCAAAAGAATGGGGGACTAATGCCATCCACCAACCTTCAGTCCACAACTTTTAGCTGCAGCAAGTGGCATTGTTGATGTTCACCCAAAACCTATGCATCACAGTTTCTAAAGAAATTAAGGGTAAATTTATAAAGTTCCACCCTCCACCCTAAGAAAGACCAATTCGCAATCATAGAAGAAAGTTTTAACATACCTCTCTCAGTAATTGATAGACCAAGGAGGGAAAAGACATGAACCAGAATAGGGAAGCTCTGAAAATTAAAATCAACAGTCTTGATGTAATTAACACACGTGGTACCCTACACCTGAAGAACATATATTAACTTTAAGCACACACAGAATACCTATGGAAAATAAATGTCCATTAGGAACTAAAGGAATTGTCAACAAATTTCAAAGAACTACTGTCATACCATGTATCTGATTGATTGATTACAGTGCAATTGTGTAAAAATAAACTTTTAAATGACAACCAAAAATATGTGTTTAGAATAAAATAGTATTGAAACATAACACAAAATACAAAATAAATATCCATAGCACGCACTGTTGACTGAAAAACATAAGGGAGAAGAGACAAATCAATCATGCAGAAGAATTCCAAATAATTCAGAGAGATACTTCCCCATAAAGAAGGAGAACATAAGTCATTGCTCCTTAAGTGGGTGTTGCTCATAGCGACTGAAAGGGCAACAAAAGAGTAACTTGTGGAGAACCTGTGGAGAAACTTGACAACACCATCCCAGCAGTGTTCAAGGTCAGCACCAACAGTCAAAAATCACAATGGTAGTGCCTATCTTTGATTGGATGTGACGAAAATGACACATTATAATCTTTTTTTTTTTTTTTTTTTTTTTTTTGAGACGGAGTCTCGCTCTGTCGCCCAGGCTGGAGTGCAGTGGCGCGATCTCGGCTCACTGCAAGCTCCGCCTCCCGGGTTCACGCCATTCTCCTGCCTCAGCCTCCCGAGTAGCTGGGACTACAGGCGCCCGCTACCACGCCCGGCTAATTTTTTGTATTTTTAGTAGAGACGGGGTTTCACCGTGTTAGCCAGGATGGTCTCGATCTCCTGACCTCGTGATCCGCCCGCCTCGGCCTCCCAAAGTGCTGGGATTACAGGCGTGAGCCACCGCGCCCGGCTGACACATTATAATCTTTATCCCAAAAAATATACAATCTCAATCTAATCATGAGATAAATGTCAGATTAATTCTAGTAGAAGGGCTTCCTACAATATACCTGATATTCCTCTAAACTGTCAAGGTCATCAAAAGCAAAGAAAATCTGGGAAACCCTCACAACCAAGAAAAGACTAAGGAGAGAGGATGCCTAAATATAATGTGTTATCCTGGATGGAATCCTGGAACAGAAAAAAGACACCAGGTAAAACTGAGGAACTCAACTTTGAACTTCAGTTATACTAATGCATCAATATTGATCGATTACTTGTAATGAAGATACTGTAAAGATGTAAGATGTAACAACAGGGGCATCTGTGTGGGGGACATATAAGAATACTCTACACTGCCTTCTAAATTTTTCTGTAACTCTAAAATGGTTCTAAAAATAAAGGCTATTTAAGAATAAAATATCTGCTTTGAATTCTAATAACACACTTCTAAGTAATTCATGGGTCTAAAATAAGAAACAATGATTTTGAAAATACTGCATTTTATAATGAATAGAATGTAGCAACAAACAAAAAATGGTACTCGGAAATGTATACCCGTAAGTGTTTATATTAAAAAGAAGAAAGTCTGAAAATGAAACCTAAGTTTCTGGTGTAGGAAAGCAGAGAAACAGCAAAATAACGCCACATAAAGTAGAAGAATTAAAGAATAAAAATTAATGAAATAATAAAAATAAATGAGACAGAATTGTTCTCCACAGGTTGACTTTATCCACTCTCATAGTTTTTAATTTCCACCACTTTACTTCTCTCCTCTGAGGTTTAGAATAAAATCTTCAATCACCTATAAGATATCTCCACCTAGATATTCAGCAGGTATGTTAGAGTCAAAATATTCAAATCTGGACTCATCATCTTTCCTGATAAAACCCTTTCTCCTCTTAATTTGAGATCTCAGATGATGGCATCAGTCTGTCTAGTCACCTACATCATATACATGCCATTTGAGACTCCTCTCTGCAGATAATCACCAAGTCCCATAGAAATTTTTTGAATCTACTTTGGTTCTTTCTTGACACAGGGTCTCCCTCTGTTGCCCAGGCTGGAGTGCAGTGGCATGATCTCAGCTCACCGCAGCCTTGAACTCCCAGGGTCAAGTGATCCTCCCAACTCAGCTTCCCAAGTAGCTGGTACTACAGGGGTTGGCCATCACATCTGGCTAATTGTATTTTTTTAATACAGAATTGGGGTCTGGCCATGTTGCCCAGGCTGATCATGAACTCCTGGGCTCAAACAATCCTCTCATCTCGGCCTCCTAAAGTGCTGGGATTACAGGCATGAGCCAACATTCCCGGCCCCTCGTTCTTATATATCTTATTTCACCTAAAATACCTCAATTGTCTTTTTGGTTCCAGTTTTGATGTTATCTCCTTTAATTCATCTCTACCATAGCCATATTTAAAAATAAAATATGACCAAGTATTTCTCCAAAATAAGATCCTTCATTGACATCCCAGTATCCCAAGGTAAACGATGAACTTCCTTAGAATGGCAAGCAAGGTCCTCATGACCAAGCCTGGGCCCACATTTTCAGCCCCTTCTCATGACGTTTTCCTTCTTGCTCATTTATACATTTAGGAGGGAGCTGCTTGTAGCTTCCTGCATACATGATGTGGTCACATATCTCTGGGAGTTTGTGAGAGTCTTCCAAGGACTCTCGTGCCCCCTTTCTTTGAAAAACACTCATCTTTAAAGCTCCCATCAGGTATCATCACCTCCGGAAATAATTTCTTTACATCCCACTGAGCTCTGTCCCCCTCATCCCTATTCCTCTAGCATCCTGTGCATCTCGGGACTTGACAATGCTGTGTTGAAAGTATGTGTGCAGGTGTGTCTATTTCTTCCACGGACTGTGACTTCGGAGTTGAAACACTTTGTTCAGCTTTTCACCTCTGTAACCTAACAGGATACCTGATACAGAAAGTTAAAAAATATTTGTTAAAAAAAAAGCTTGAAATAAACATCCATGAATATTATTATCCAACCAAATTTGATGGAAATAATTATGTTCACTGTTTTTTCTTTTGTAGTCCGGGTAATTTTTCATTAGCAAGCATGAAGCTCCTAAGACTTCTTCACTCATCTTTATTTTTCCAAAATACTCTATTGTCTTTTCCTTCCCTTCTCCTTTTATTTTTTCCACTTTCTCCAGCAGCCCCTTTCTTGTTTCTGTTTGCCGCTTATGATTTTGCTTTGAGATAACCCCAGCTCTTTTCTCCTTCAAATTTGTCCAATTCAATATTTATATTTTTATTCTAAATTATGTAATTATGCACAAGTCTTTCAAACAACCATATTCTTGGTGGTGAAAGCACACAAAAAATTCTCATGATTTCTAAAATGTTATAACCTCTCACTTAATTTTCCTCAGCCTTCTTTTATTTCTCCTAATCCTTCTTCTTTTATGCTAGTATTATTTTTGGTGTTTAATTCCTATGCAAAATCATGCAAGACAAGCTTGTACAACAATATATTCTTGAAATCCTCATATGATTTCAAAATATCAACCATGGCATTTTTTTTTCAATTATTTAGGGAACAATGTGATCATAGCTAAAATTCCCTGTAGGATTTTCTATCTTCCTTTCTCATTTCCTATAAGCATTTGTTTGTAACCTTGGAGATACAACATTTGTCAATAACTGCCAAATGCCAGATCTCTATTAGAATTAACACTTCATGAAAAGTATAATTTCATATGAAACATTTAGCAAGGGAATGAAAGCAAATGAAAAGTCAAGGTTAACAATGTAAAATTATGATACATTCAATCTCAGAGAAATATTAGAATCCATAGACAGATGAACTATTTGTATTAGAAATATCTCCTTTACATACAGGTCAATCAAACAGAATAGAGAACCCAGAAATAAAGCCAAATACTTATGGCCAGCTGATCTTCAAGAAAGCATACAAAAACATAAACTGGGGAAAGGACACTCTATTCAATAAATGGTGCTGGGAAAACTGGCAAGCCACGTGTAGAAGATTAAAACTGAATCCCCATCTCTCACCTTTTACAAAAATCAACTCAAGATGGATCAAAGACTTAAGACCCAAAACCATGAAACTTCTAGAAGATAACATCAGAAAAACTCTTCTAGATATTGGCTTAGGCAAAAAATTCATGACTAAGACCCCAAAAGCAAATGTAATAAAAACAAAAATAAATAAATGGGACCTAGTTAGACTAAAAAGCTTCTGCACAGAGAAAGAAATAATCAGCAGAGTAAACAGACAACTCACAAAGTAGGAGAAAATTTTTGCAAACTATGCGTTCAACAAAGGATTAATATTCAGAATCTACAAGAAAGTCAAACAAATCACCAATATGGGTACAGTGTACACTGCTTGGGTGACAGGTGAACCAAAATTTCAGAAATCACCACTAAAGCACTTATCCATGTAACCTAACACCACCTGTTCACCAAAAACTATTTAAATAAAAATAAAAATAAATTTAAAAAGAAATAGCCACCTTAATCTTTAGCATATAGGATGTAACTCTAAAAGCTTCTGCATAAAACCTCTTGTCCATTGTTTTACCTATTGCAAGAATAAATCAATAAAATGAAGTTGGTAATTTAATCACAAAGCTAGGATAAATAAGATAAATTTTACTCAATAGTAAATACTTGGCAGGAGAAAAGACAATCGGGTGAAATTATAAAGATTCTCAGTAGAGAGGCTCTGAAGGTCACCACCACCCATCACAGAGAAATTACTAGTACTTACTCTTAACAAAATTTTATTGAAAAAAATCACTATTTTACCCACCTCTCAATATACAAGCACAAATACAAAGGTGAAGCAATTGCAGTTTCTGCAGGGAGAGTTAAGCCAAAGAGGTGACCTCCTTCCTCTCCTTTCCTTCCCAACTATCACTTTACCTCAGTACAAAGAAACTTTCATCTCATCCATCCTAAAATAACAAAAGTCCTCTCTTGGCTCATGTGGTCCCTTTTACCTCTTATTATTTCATTTATTCATTCATCAAATATTTACCGAGCACCTTCTCTGTGCCAGCAACTGTTTTTAAACACGGTAGAGTGTCTATAACACTGTAAAACCAGGCAAAAACTCTTGGGTTCATGGAGCTTACATTCTGTTCTCCACTTCTCATGCCAAAAACAGTCTTCACTCCTCCCCACCCCATTCAAAATTATCACAAGATTATCTGGCAAATGCCACACTACTTATTTTTGTAATATCTTTATTGAAATACAATTGACATACTATACAATTCACCCAATAAAAGTGTACAATGATTTTTAATATATTCAGAGTTGTGCAACTAACAGCACAGTTGATTTTAAAACACATAATTTTTGATCTAGAGAAAAATCACTATGGCTGGTGTCTTGCAGAGAATAAATGAGAAGAAAACAAGACTGGAGTTGGGAAAACCAGTACTGAGGCCTTAGCCTAGGAAAGATGATGATGTATGCACTAGATAGTGCAGGGAAACTGGAGAGAAGTGTCCTGGCTTTGGGAGAATTAGAAGGCAGTTTATATGAGATATGTATAGATACACACAACGAAATACTATTTGGTCTTTAAAATACTATTTATCCATGTTGACATTTACAACATGGATGACCCTGGAGGACATTATGTCAAGTGCAATAAGATAAAAACAGAAAACAAAATACTGAATGGTATGACTTTTACGTGGAATCTAAGAGTCAAATACATAGAAGCAGGAAATAGAAGGATGGTTACCAGGAGTTGAAATGTTGGGGGAATGGGGCAGGTACAAAGTTGCTTTAGGATAGAGATCTAATGTACAACATGAGGACTACAGTTAATTATATTGTAATGTGTATTGAACATAGAGGGATTTTGCTGGAAATTTGCTAAGAAAGAAGATTTCCAGCATTCTCACCCCTTAAAAAGTAACTATGTGAGGAGATGTGTATGTTAATTTGCTTTTGCAGTAATTTTGTCTCTATGTATATGTACTTCAAAACATTATGAGGTATACCTTAAATATATACCACCTTTATTTTCAAAGTGATAAAAATTTCAAAAACAGATGAAAAATTTCCAAATTTAAAAATCATTCATTGCCACAATTAATGGACTTCCCTGGAACAGTATTAACATTGTTAATTTCCTCTTCCTTCTCTACATGTTCTTCTCTTTTTATTTCTGTGTCACTCTGCTTTGATACTTCTGTCCTGAAGTTCTGATTGTTTTTCTCCATGGGTCGTTCTTCTTTTAACCAAGGTAGATGATGATGGCATTTCACCAGGTAGGTTCTGTCATCAGCCTACTTTTTTCCTCACTTTATATAAGCTTCTGCCCAATCTAATCTTTTATCTTCTGTCTTCAGCCTACTTTTTCCTTTACTTTACATAAGCTTCTGTCCAATCTAATCTTTTATCGTCCAAATAATAATGAGTATTAAGTTTACGTCTCAAGTCCCATTTGATTATATTTGCCTGACCTTTCTATGCTCATCTACTCATTGAAAATTTCCATTAATTATGGGCATATTTGTTTATTATTTACTGATTTCACTTATTTATCGATATATTTATTCATACAAAAGCTTGCCCTAAGTGTCAACAAAAGCAACCTTGGGAAAATAATTTTCAACTCAGATCTGAAGAATAAAGTGGTGTCATGCTGGTAGGTGGGAAGAAGGAGCTTCTTGGGAAAATACATTGGCAGAAAGATGACAATATTTATTCAAAATGAGAAAGAACAATACACATCCAAGAAATACCAAAAAGTATAATGTGACTGGAGAGTACAATGTGCACAAAAGTAACAGATACAAAATGAATTGTTCTCCTACATTACACAGTCCCTGGTGCCTGGGCTGGAAGGATGCCAAGGTCATCTCAGCTGATACTGTCACTAGATCACCTGTAAATAACCTCTTCAGGTAGCTTGAGCGTCTCACAATATGGCAGCTGAGTTCTGAAAAGAAATGTTTGGACAGGGGATATCCAGAAAGCAAGTGCCCAAAAGGATTACTTCTTTCTCATCTAGTTTCTGAAGTTGCATAGTATCATGTCTACAATTCTCTATTGGTCAAAGCAGTTATAATTCAGCCAAGGTTAAAGAAGAGGAGAAATAAATTCTACCTCTCAATAAAAGGAGTGTCAAAGAATTTGAATTTCACTTTGTAAACTTTTCCTATTAGAATTAATTCGTGTCAATGTCAGGTAGCATATATTGATGGAAGTCAAGCAGAAAATAGTTGACACATTCAAAGAAATAATGGAGACATTTTTAATGAAAGATCTATTTACAGAGGTGTGGGTGGGGTTAAGGGAACCAATAATGAATGGCAAAGAACCCAGGGAATATAACAGCAGGAGGCCAATGGCCACCCCTAGATGTGAATGGACAAAGGAAAGACCCAACTAGAGCTGCAGCCATGGGACAGGGACTGCTATTAAGAAGCTCTGCCTTTATGTAGAGGAATGAATCTGCCATTCCAATAAAACCCAGGGCTGGGCGCAGTGGCTCATGCCTGTAATCCAGCACTTTGTGAGGCCGAGGCGGGTGGATCACTTGAGGCCAGGAGTTTGAGACCTTCCTGGCCAACATGGCAAAACCCCATCTCTACTAAAAATACAATAATTAGCCAGGCGTGGTGGCACATGACTGTAGTCCCAGCTACTCGGGAGGCTGAGGGACGAGAATCACTTGAACTCAGAAGGTGGAAGTTGCAGTGAGCTGAGATCATGCCACTGCACTCCAGCCTGGGTGAGAGAGCCAGACTCTGTCTCAAAAATGCATAAAATAAAATTAAAAAGCCCAGCAGGAAAGAAAGGAAGGAAATTAAATTCATAGTGTTCTTCTTATCCCAACTCTTGTTTCCTGCCAGTGACTCTAGTGAGAGCTAGATTTGACTAGAAATCAGAGGGTAGGAGAGCTTGAGAAATGTCTGCTCTAAAGTGCATCCTCTCAAAGCACAAAGACAGGAAAAGAAGCACAGAGAAGGAAAGTGAAGGGGTGTTTGTAGAATAACCAGCATAATTTCTGACCCCCGTTCAACCTCAGCATCCACTCTTGACTTTTGTTCAGATGCAAAATTGCACGTACCTAACATAGACAATACTCGTGTTCCTATCAGACACCCCATCACTGTGAGGTGAGGTTGTTTCGGTCAGCCCAATCTAGACACTAAGTCAAAATGTTAGCCACCACCATTGCTTCTCCTAGAAAGGAAGGAAAGGGAAATGAATGACAAATAATTCATATGAAATATAACTGCTATGGTCCCTGCATTATAGCTGGCCATAGAACTGTTAATAATCACAGATTTCTTCTCCCTCATTCATTATATATTCCCTGACTTTCTGCCAGTACCACAGCTAGTCAAAGATTTTACCTGGTGATGAGTCAAACCTTCATTCCCAGTTTCCAAATCCTTAAAGTCTACTCTCTTTATTACTTCATCAGAGTTTCTTATTAATCATTGTTATTTAAAATAAGAATATCAAGAAATATCTCAGTGAAACCCCTAGCTTTCAGATATACTCTTCCATGCCTGCCTCCACCCCAGTCTGTTTAGCAGCAACTCTCTTTCCTCTTGACAACCAGGATTAATTTCTTCACCAGGAAAGAGACTACCTTGTCTGTTTCTTGGTTCGGCAGCAAAAGTTTCATATGTAGGTTATGCAATGGATATTGCATAACTTTTACAATATTTATATTGCAAGTGCCAAGGGGAGAAGGAATCAGTGATTATTAATGTAGCCCTGTGGCCAGCTTCAATGCATGAACTATGGCAATTATGTTTGCTATGAATTATTTGTTACTAATTTCTTTTTCTTTCCTTTCTAGGAGAAGCATTGATGGTAGCTAACGTTTCAATTTAGCTTCTCTTTGGGTTGGCTGAAAAGACTTCTCCCCACAGTGATGAGTGGGCTGATAGGAATATGAGCATCATCTATGTTGTGTATGTGCAATTTATTTTCATCCAAATACAAATCAAGAATGGATGCTGAAGTTGAAGGGGGAAATTATGTTGATTGTTATAAATAAGCCCCTTCACATTCCTTCTCTGTCCTCCTTTGTGTTTTGCAAGGATGCACTTTACAGAAGACATTTCTCAAGCTCCCTTGCCCTCTGATGTATGGTTGAGTTTAGCCAAACCTTCTAGCGCTGAGTGTTTTGGAGAAAATTTATATACAGAGAAGCAGTAGTAATTATGTGGATACTCCATTGCATCTTGCATTCCAGGGTAGTGTACAGAGATTTAACAGGACTAGACATTAGACTTTGGGAGAAAGATGCTAAAATTTGGGCTGTTGGAGCAAACTGCATGATAGGAAACACTGGCTTCATTCCTGGTATAATCAAGGGCTGGACTATAATAGCATGAGGATGTGGTGGAATTGTAGTTCCAGCTCTATCCTGCCAGCTCAGCATTCATATCTGGTGATGAACCAGCCTTATCCCTGGCACAAATAGGTAGCTGGGGAAACAAGCCTCCTGGCTATAGATGTATCGTGTGGTTTGCTAGTAGCATGATTCACTACCAGAATATTCAAGGTTGGGACTTGGGGGTAGAATAGCTCTTCTCTGGTATGATGGAAGGGGAAATGGATTCCAATAGGATTTATTGCCTAGGCATTTAGCTAGTTTCCTCAGAGCTTTGAAGGGGTACTGCTTTTTTTCTCTGTGGCCAGCCTCCATGGAATTAATCTTGGGCTAGTTAACCCTCACTTCTCCATGCAACAATAAAAGAAAGCACTAACATTTCCACATCTTAATAATAAGATCTGTGTATTGTGGCTGTGGAGAGAAGACATCATTTTGGTTGCTGGAAGTTAAGAAATATACCACGTCCTATAGGACCCCAATCCTTCAGTCTAATGCCTCCCAGCTGGTGCCGTAAATAAGCCTTCAGAAGATTATTTCAAGATCATATCAATTGCTTAAAAGTGATGGAGCATACAGATTTTATGGGCTTTCACCAATTACTACACTTCTTTCACCCTGCAAAGAACTCCTTAATCAGAGCTTACATTGCTTGGGACATTGTCGTGATGAATAAAACATTTAGTAAGTCCACAAATTGTGCTGCTGGTAGAAGCAATGTAGGAAGGAAGGCAAATATAAATGTGGGACATACATCTATTCTCGTGAGGATGAATCATTAGCCACCCCCCACACAGTGGAAGTAGTTCAGTGTAATAATCCTAACCAGTTGGTTCTTGTGGGTCCATCCTGAGAATTTAGCTTTTGTCTTTGTTGTTGGCAGTGTGAGTAATTAGCAACAGTAGTAGCCAGATTAGCCTTGGCAATGTGAAATCCTAATTGTTGAGCCCATGCATAGCCTCCATTCCTGTTGCCATGGCCCTTTTGGACAAAGGCTCATTGAGCAAGTGGTAGAGAGCACGGAGCAGACAGGAGAGGAAGAGGCTGGATAATACCCACTGGATGGGTGATCTCCACCTAATAAGAGCATTCTCTGGGGGGCATTTGCACAGTACATGGATGACTTAGCACAAGAAGTTCATAAACACACCACTTCCTCTTTGTTCTTCCAATATTCCCTTAGCCTTGCATTCTGTTACTTCCAAATTTCTGACCATTCACCCCACCTATCATCAATGTTTAAAATCAGAGTTCTACCTCACCTGTCATGCAAAGTGGACAATCAGATAAATTACCTCACGTTATGCCTACTCTTCTCTACACAAAAGTATTTCATGGCCAGCCTTGAGTTTCACTCTAATGTAGTAGCCATCCACAGCTGGTTGGTGCCAGCATATCTTGTAGACCTATTTGTAAGCCATGTCTGCGCTTTTTCTTGCTCTCTTAATTTGTCAATGGAAACTCCCCATGAGACCAGAGCGTAGGCTGCAGAGGTGATGAAATAGCAGAATTGGGATTCTGAGCTACCTGCTCATGCAATATGCTTATATCTACCTTCCCTTCTCAGGCCAGTTTTCTATACATCATTTTCATTTATTTAAAAATGTTGCTATTACATCTACATTTATGATTTCATGGATGTTTAGTTCAGTTTTTGATTGGTAGTCTAGTTCTTGACAAGGAGCTCATGTTATATAATCACTTGTGGGTCCATTGTTAGAAAGTCAGTCTCTACCAGGGCTCAGTAGCAAAGCAAATGTTGCCTTGAAAGTGTAAGAGAATTGTCAGCAGAAATAAAGGCTTTATTCTAAGCCCTAGGTGTATGTTCTCTAATTCCCTTTAGTGGGATGGCAAGAGAACCCATAAAGCATACATATTTTTTATGGCCAGTGCTTGAGACAAATTTATTAAATTCCAAATCCTGAGTGAGTTCATCTATTTTAATAAATTCATCTTCATCCAATCTTGTATTTTGTTTTCCTTTGTCTAGTACTCTTATAATATCTTCTGCCATATGTTTCCTAGATACCTAAGAATTAAAATTGGCAAAACTCCTTTAGTTTAATAGTTTTCTCCTCCTGAGCAGGTCTTCCCCTTCTCTCTCTCAGCTATGCTAAGATTTAGTTATCTTTATGCACTAGGAGGCAATGAGCTCTAGTGGGGATAGGTCCTGAGAAGAATTAGCATCTCTTAAGGAAGCACCTCTATGGGAAGAGGCATTAAAACATTTTTATGCAAAAGAAGATTCTTACAGTTTCCTAAGTAAAAACAAGGAAGATTTGAGGACTGGAGGTTCAATGTCTCAGACTCATCCCTTTATCTTCAAACGTTCTCATCTCACATCTCAGATCCCACTGCTTCATAACCAGTGCCCTTACTTTAGCACAGAAAATATGATAGGACTGAGCACTTGTTTTGGCCTTGTAACCTTGTGACACTTAAAAGCAGTCCACAGATTTAATCCTCAGCCAGGTTGGCCCTTAATTACAGGAAATAAGACCTCCTGTTAAAGTCATTGTAGAGGCTTTCAGATTCTTCATGATGCATTGAGACAAGCATTCAAGGTGGTCAGTTTGTCTACATTTGTGCAATGAACATTGAAATTTTTTGTACCATGTAGTATTTCACAGACAATAAAATGTGTAGTATTTCAAGGACAATAAAAAACAGTCAGACATTCCATAAACTTTATGGTCACTATTGCCACCTGTAATGGTTTAAAATATGTCCACAAATTCTTAGCCTCTTTAAAAGGTAAAACATAATCCCACTCTACCCCTCCCCGGTTGAGTGTAGGTTAAACTTAGCTACTTACTTCTAATGTTCAGAATCAGCTGGAGGCAATGGTTTGTGACTTCTATATCATATACTTCCACAAAAAGCATGTGGCTTCCCACTTACCCTCGACATGCAAGGAGAAACCAGTTTCATGTCAATACTTAGCCAGCCCCTATGAAGAAGCCTACATGGTAAGGAGCTGAGTCCTCTTGCCAACAGCCAGCAAGAAACTTACAAAGGTGGGACATCTTCGAAGCAGATTTCTTAGCCTCAGTTAAACTGACAGATGGCTGCAGCCCCAGCAGACATTTCAACTGTAACCTCATTGAAGTCTGTAAGTCAGAAATACCTAAAATACCAGGTAAGACACTCCTGACTCCCTACCCTATAGAAACTGTAAGATAATTAGTGTTTATTACTTGAAGCCACTAAGTTTTGGCAGTTATTTGTTATGCAGTGATGAGTAACTAACACACCCATGAAGTGAATAAATATCACAGGATATTGACCTCTGAGTGTTTCATTCTTCCCTCCATCTCATGTCACTACCCAGAGAAACTTCAGCAGTCTTGATATTACTGTGTGAGCTCATCAAATATATGAGCAACACAATCCCAGAATCCCACTTAGGAAGTCAGTTTCCTAGGACTACTCTTGGTAACAAATTCTGCATCAGTCATTTATAAAGAAAGAAGAACATGGCTAACCCAGAGGAGCAATGAATGAAGCATAAGACTACTTATAGCATTGTGAAAAGAGTTAAGGGAACAGAGAAGAAACAGTAAAGAATCCAGAAACAAGAAACTGTAGAAATGTGTTATTTGTGCAGAACCTAGAGAGAGCTATAGTTGAGATCCAAATGGCCTGTGGCCTCAGAAAGCAAGGAAGGGAGAAGAGCAAATACCCTGACCTCTTTCTCCTTTTACCTTCTCATGTATTTCTGCTATCTCTCATTGGCCAAACTCAACTGGAAACCAGACGGTAAGGGTTCCTTGGTGATGTAGACAGTAAAGCCTGCCTCAGGCCACAGAGCAGATGAGAAGAGGAATGAATGTCTCAGTCTGTTCAGGCTGCTGTAACAGAAATTCCATGGGCAGGGCCGTGTGCGGTGGCTCACCCCTGTAATCCCAGCACTTTGGGAGGCTGAGATGGGTGGATGGAGAGGTCAGGAGATGGAGACCATCCTGGCTAACACAGTGAAACCCTAGCTCTACTAAAAATTCAAAAAATTAGCCTAGCATGGTGGCAGGTACCTGTAGTCCCAGCTACTCAGGAGGCTGAGAAAGGAGAATGGCGTGAACCTGGGAGGCGGAGCTTGCAGTGAACCGAGATCACGCCACTGCACTCCAGCCTGGGCAACAAAGGGAGACTCGGTCTCAAAAACAAAACAAAACAAAACAAAAAACAAAAACAAAAACAAAAAAAACTCCATGGGCAGGGTGGCTTGTAAACAATTGACTTATCATCATTCTAGAGGCTGAGAAGTCTAAGATCAAGAAGCCAGCCGATTCTCTGCTTGGTGAGGGCTCATTCTTCACAGACAGCACTTTCTGGCTCTGTCCTCATATGATGGAAGGGGCAAGGCAACTCGGGTGTCTTTTACAGCAGCATTCATTCCATTCATGAGGGCTTCATCCTCATGACCTAATCATCTCCCAAAGACCACACCTTACAATAGTTCCACATAAAGTGTTAGGTTTCAACATATGAATTTGGGGAAACACAAACTTTCAGACCACAGCTGTGAAGAGTGGATCTAGAGGAAAGAATTGAATTTTTTTTTAAAAAAAGAAGCAAATGGTTTAAACTACTCACCAAATCATCAGTCAGTGATTGCTTATAAACCATCCTATAATAGAAAGCATGCTTTCAAAATTATTTGCTATAACGTAAGTCACTTAATATTCCCATTCCTCAATGGAGACTATAAAATGAGGAGGGAAAGGCTGTTTAGCATCTCTGACAGAGATTTTCCAGATGGTGGTAGCTATAGCTCTAAATTTCAGCTAGGGCAAAAAAAGTAAGATAAATTCATTTCCTTTTGGTCAATTTATGCTCATTTCTCACTCACTCAAGAGAACAGATCACAAGTTGAAAAGAAATATTAAATAATTAGTACCCCCAAATTCTTAGAATTTTATTCTTATTCATTAGTTTTGCACAACAGTTACAAGCATTACTTAAGCCATCTAGCTATACAAAGTTAAAATCCTTGAAACCTTCTCAACTTTTATTGGAACTGAAGGAATTAAGCTTTATTTCTTATAAAATATTCTTATCCTCTCCTTTGGAATGGTATTTTCATCCCCCATAAAAGGCTTGGAAGTTTCTAACTCATGTTTTCTGAAGAAGTAGCTTAGCAACTGGTATGCCCTAGACATGGGTGGCCCTTCTCATTCTCCCCAGCTCCTTGCAAGCCCTACTTCGTACATAAACCATTATTAAATCATCCCAAGAGAGAAATGAGACTCTGAAACATCAAAAAACCCTTTTCATCCAGAATATACTTTTGTATCATGACACACAATGTGTTTCATTGCCTAAAGGAACAAAAAGGAAGCAAAGACTGAACAGAGTGACTTAAACACGCTCATTGTCTGATTAAAGGACTGTTAGGCTGCAATTTCTTCATTTGCTACACTAACACCAGATGGTAAGCTGAAGTGTTCAGAATATCTAAAATCTGTAGATAACTGATGAATAGTCATACTTTTTAGCTGATAACAGAAATGTTTAATAGGAAGGCTGACCCTGAGAAAACCCAAAATGACAAATTTTGCTTTTGATGTCTCTGCTGGTTTTAGAATTCAATCCTTTTCAGTATTGGCCCTAAAAATGTTCATACCTTTCTTTGCTTAGTGGGATATCCAGATATCTCTGTTGCCTTTAGATCCTCAAAATATTCCTAACCTTAATCATATTAAAATTTCTATGAGTTATGAATTTACGTTGGGTAATGTGATTGCTGCAGCCCCTGACTTCAAGGACTTCACAGTAGGAAAGACAGACAAGAAGCAATAAAAATGCAATGGTATAAGAAAGGTGAAAGCTGTGTTCAGAGAGGAGTATAGGCATAGAGAAGAGAAAAGAACTGGAGATACTCACAAAATAGGTGATGCTTGAACAGGATCTTGAAAAATACATAATAGCCATAATGTCCAGCATTTTTAAGTAACAAGATATCATTAAATTTATTTAATATACATTATCATTTGTTCTTCACAGCAACCCTATGTGGTAGATATTGACATATGTATGTTGTAGATGATAAAACAGAAGTTTAGTGTTGACTTAGCATCTTTCCCAAAGTGAGAAAACTAATATTTAGAATTGAGGAGCTGTGTGGAGGGAGGAATGTGTTCTAAAGAAACAAAAAAAAAGGAAGAAAGTGTGATAGGAAATGGAGTCTGAATGGAGAACTTTTTATGTTCCCTAGACCTTGAACTTAGTTACGATAGGGAGAGACAAATCTCAAATTAGAAATCAACTGAATTTGCCCTAGGGTCTAACTTGAGATGTGTGTTGCAGATGGGAATGTTGTCCAAAATGGAGAAAAGAAATGTAGTGTTTTTTTTTTTTTTTTTTTGTCAGTCCTTGAACTCTACAGAACACTCCACCCATCAACCACAGAAATACATTCTTCTCATCTGCACATGGAACACACTCCAAGATCAGCCATATGTTCAGACATAAAGCATGTCTCAATAAATTTTTAAAAATGGAATTCATACCAACCATACTCTCAGACCAAAATGGAATAAAAATAAAAATCAATACCAAAAAGATAGCTCAAAACCACACAATTACATGGAAATTAAACAAATTTCTCCTGAATTACTTTTGAGTAAACAATAAAATTAAGGCAAAAATAAAAGAATTCATTGAGGTAAATGAAAACAAAGACACAACTCACCAAAAAACTCTGAGATGCAGCAAAAGCAGTGTTTAGAGGAAAGTTTATACTGCTAAACACTTACTTCAAAAAGTCAGAAAGATCTCAAATTAAAGTAAGAGGTAAAGTAAAGTAGTAGGCATGGTGGCTCACTCCTGTAATCCCAGCACTTTGGGAGGCCAAGGTGGGCAATCACTTGAAGTCAGGAGTTTGAGACCAGCCTGGCCAACATAGTGAAACCCCATCTCTACTGAAAATACAAAAATTAGTCAGGCATGGTGGTGCACGCCTGTAATCCCAGCTACTTGGGAGGCTGAGGTAGGAGAATCACTTGAATCCGGGAAGCAGAGGTTGCAGTGAGCTGAGATTGCATCACTGCACTCCAGCCTGGGCAACAGAGCGAGACTCTGTCCGAAATAATAATAATAATAATAATAATAATAATAATAATAATAATAACAACAACAACATTACACATAAAGGAAATTGAAAAATAGAAAAATGATCTTCAAAGATAGCAGAATAAAAGAAAAAATTAGAAAAAAAGAAATAACAAACATCAGAGCAGAACTGAGTAAAATTGAGATAAAAAAATCCATACAAAGAATTAATGGAGCCAAAAGTTGATTTGTTTGAAGGAATAAACAAGATTGATAGATAGTTAGATAGATTAGCAAATAAAAAAGAGAGAAGATCCAAATAAGCACAATAGGAAATGGCAACAATGACAAAAATCACAACCAATCCCACAAAAATAAAAAAGATCATCAGAGACTATTATGAACACCTTTATGCATATAAACTAGAAAATCTAGAGAAAAATGGATAAATTCCTGGAAACACAAAACCTCCCAAGATTGAATCATGAAGAAATTGAAACCCTGATCAAGTAAATGTTGAGTTCTGAAACTGAGTAAGTAATAAAAAACCTGTTTACAGCCCTGGATCAGATGGATTAACAGCCAAATTCTATCAGACATAACAAAGAAGAGTTAGTACTATGTCTACTGAAACGATTCCAAAAAAATGGAAGCAGAGAGACTCCTCCCTAACTTATTCTACAAAGCCAGGATCATCCTGATACCAAAACCTGATAAAGACACACTGTAAAAAGAAAACTGCAGGTGAATATCTTTGATGAACGCAGACACAAAAATCCTCAACAAAACACTACCAAACTGAATCTAACAGCACATCAAAAGTCAATTCACAACTATCAGTTAGGCTTGATTCCTAGGATGCAAGGTTGGTTCAACATATGCAAATCAATATATGTGATTCACCACACAAAGATAATTAAAAACAAAATCCATGCTAGTTACTTAATAAATGTTGATTAACTGATGAAATGTGATGAGCTACTAGCATCAATAGCTGTATTCTCTTTCAGAAGAGAAAATATTCTTTTTTAGCCTTGTCACTATTCTAACTGAAATTCAATTATCCTTATCTCATATTTGCTATAGTAACTATAACTAATAGTTACTGTAGTTTAAAGGCACAGAAAGATTATTATAAATAATTAAGTACAAATGATACGGAAGTATTTTCTTCCATGACTCTGAATAAGCTGCACATTTTTTAATGAGTTGCAGAAATTATTGTACGTAAAATATGTATTGCACAACCAAAATATGAAAAGGTAAATTATGCAGGAATGTAGAAAAATTGTAAAATTTCCTACACTAAATACCTAAACACCCTTATACAATATGAATATTTATGCATTTGTCTTTTAAACGTTTTGTGCATGTGTGTAAGTGGACACATGGTTTCTGAAGAGAATCACATCTATTTTGTTTCTCTTTGAAAGTTGTAGTCAGTATACAAACAAAAAGCAAACAAACTAAAAATATTCCATATTTTAGATAAACTTTGATCTTCAATTCATGGAGTATTGTTTCTCTTTATTCTATGGCCTTTGGTCAAATATAATATATAGATTATGTAAGTGGGTAAAATCAATAATAATATATTGAAGTTACAAAGGGCAATATTTTGATACTGAATATAGAGTCCTTTGCTGGCAGAAAACATAAGAATTTTACGAGATTATAATAAATGATAACATTTTCAACCTCAGTAACTGGTTATCTCTTCCAGGATCCCAACTAAAATTAACCCAGGAGTCCAATAGAGAGAAAAAGTCAAAATTGTGGCTGGATATATATATATAAAATATTATAAATTATATATATGTTTATAATATATATAAATGTATATATAAATAATATATAAAATTATATATAAATAATATATAATATATAAAGTTGAAGAGGCTTATAAAATAAAAAGACATATATATATAATGAATGCTTTAAGTAAGTGTTGGAACTAGCACACATTTTGTAGCACTGAAAAGGGTTAATAAAAAAAATTTCTGTGTACTGTTAAGTGGCTCCTTTAACTGAATAATATTGGTATGCTATATATTTTAGATCAACTACTGAAATTGCTTTACTCTACTCTTAATCCTTACATTAATTAAAATAGAAAAAGATATTAAAAGAAAGATCTGAGAGTCCATCCCCATGTTTAAAATGTTATGACCTTGACACAAATTCTGAAACTAATACAATAAATGTAATAAAGTAAGTGATCAAAAGTGTGGCAAAAGCAATAAAGGTTAAAATATTAACTCCAGAGTCAATACTCTAAAAGATGAAAAACAATGGAAAGCCATGGAGACTGTGGACATGTTTGAGAAGTTGCTGATGGAAGCTTTGTTACTAATATAATGACTTCAATGAAGTACTATTTTTGCTATTAAGAGCTATTACTTCATAATTTAATGGACAGTGATGTGGTTAGTAAATGAAGTCAGCATCAGTGTTAATAATACTTTCAAATTTACCTACTTTAAAAAAATTGTATTTTTTTCCTCTATGTACCCATCTGAACCTATCTAAAAATATTGAAAGTCATATCTTTTCTATAACACTCTTTCGGGTCAGTGACATCTCAGTTAACTATCCACTAGGGAATTGGAGATTTGTTTAATGGATTTTTTAATCCAGATGCAACATACCTGCCTATATCACATAATTACAGTCCTTCTAGCAGATCTCTCATTATTTAATCATAAGATGTTTAGCAGCTTAATTGTAACAAATTTCCAATCTAAAGCTAATTAGCAAGTACATGTTAGAAGTTGAAGAGGCTTATAAAATAAGAAGACATTTCTTCTTCATGATGTCAGCACCATGAGCCAAATCTGCTGGGCTCCTGTCCTTCCGCCTCCTTATGTCCTGCTCTGGCTTTCCCTCTTTCATCTCCAGGAGATGGGCTGGTGCTTCTCAATACTCAACCTAAATGGGACACTTAGTTCCAGTTCCTAAATTCTCCATGAAGATTCTTTCTGATGGATTTAAATCAAGGAATACAAGCTGTTTCTCAATAGCCATGGAAAGTAAATCAGGGTAACATATTAAGACTGATAACTTCAGTTCTAGCTACATCCATTAATATCATCAACCACAATAGATGATTTAAAATGTCTAGGGGATGAAGAAAGAAACTAGAAAAAATAAAGTCTTGCCATGGAGTCCTGTGACCATTTAATAAACGTTGGCTGAATGAAGTAAGATCATTTACTGTATAAAGTATAATGGTGCCTATTATTTTTCATTGGACATGCATTTAAAATGAGCCACTGAGCCAATAAAATGATACTCATATTAATATAATTACAAGTAATTACAGAAAGATCCATCTAACAAGTAAAAAGAAAACTAGTTTTATTATAATTTTAGTTGAAAATTCTCCCATTTGATAAGAATATTTGAAACTTTCTGATTTCTATAGAAATTTGTTTCTGAACATATTAATCTGATTCAATAACATAAATTCAGTTTTTGCACAGTCTCTTAGTCAAGATTTTAAGGTTACATTAATATTCATTATTTTATAACAACTAATTGCTTGTCCGGCAACCGAGACACAAGGCCTTGGGAAGAGATTTATCAAGAAGTAGATAAAATAAGGAAATTTGAAAAATCTATTTTAAGGATGCAAAGGATCACAAATTCTCCACCAACTGCCCAAAACGGCTAGAGGTTCCTGGGGGTGTCCACGGCTGAGCAGACCTGCTGAGTCGTTGCTTGCTTATCTCCTAACACTGGAGCCAAGCATCATCTGCTATCCCAGATACTTGTGAAATGCAGGTACTCATTTGCCTCTCTGGCTTAAGACCTAAAAAAGAAGCAGGTGCAGTTGTCTGGCTTATTTTACTCCGGTTATATCATCATCAGAGTTCCCCATTATCTGTTTATCACTTGGACAATGAAAGAAGACAGAAAATGAATGCAAGTGAGAGAAAATCCCCCTTTTCCCAGCCAAACAAATGAGTTCAAGCCCCTGACTTCATGCCTCCTTTCCCACAGATCCCACACTGAACTCAAGGGAACTTTCAAGAATATGCACAGGGATTAAAGAAGGAGAGACTAGTGGAAGGTAAACCCAGGTATGATGCAGTGTATGGAAGGTGGGATGGGAGGGGGCAGAGAAAGAGTGTGTGAGATAGAAGGAGACACAGAGAAGCAGAGAGGGATGGTGAGAGAGAGAGAGAGAGGAGAGAGAGATAGAAAAGGGCAGAGAGACAGAACGGGGAGACAGAGAGAGAGAGAAACAGAGACAGAGACAAACAGAAGGACAGTGCTGTGTGCTAAAATGCATACATGTTCTCAAGCTCTTTAGACGAAAGACTATTCCAACCTATTACCATTCCTAAATAGAAAGGCACAATTGGCGAGGGAAAAGGCATGAGGGAAAGAGATTTGCTGATAAAATATGTTTGGCTTTGTGTTTACCACCACTGTTTATTGCATTGATTATATTTTAATTAGAAAGGCATATACACATTTTGACAAAGTCAAACAAAGAGTTTACAAATAAAGACAGTAAATCTCCATGCTTCTTGGACCTCCAATTCCACCCCTCAAAGTAAATACTCTTAACTATTGGATGAGTCTAGTTCTAGTATTTTTTTATATGCTAGTAAAACTTGGGTGGCTAAATTCTGATGAGTATCAGCACAGCAGACAGAGAATGGGAGGAGAAATGCAAAGAAAAACATATGTTTCCAACTCTGTGCCAGATATATTAGATACATGAGGTGAGAGACCTCATTAATCTTGTTCTGATAAACCTCAAGCCTCAGAGCACCATCCAGGATAGAGTCACTACTTTAAAAATATTCGCGAAGAGAAGGAGAGATGGTAAGGAGGAAAGAAAGGAAAAAGGAAGGAATGAGAGGAGAAAAGAGAAAAAATCTGAAATGTTAAATTCTACCACAGCCTGATTGAACGAGTTTTATAATGCTGATTTTGCAGATTAAAACAGTGAGGCTTTGAGAAGTTAAGTAATTAGCCCAGAAGTCCATGCTGTTGCTACTGAAACAAGCTGCCCGTGGTAGGTACAAAGTGCTATTTAAGGAAGACCTGTTCTGGTGAGCTGCCATGAGGGAAGTGACATGC
The DNA here is from genome assembly GCF_000001405.40 of Homo sapiens. Taxonomy (NCBI): domain Eukaryota; kingdom Metazoa; phylum Chordata; class Mammalia; order Primates; family Hominidae; genus Homo; species Homo sapiens. The sequence continues at coordinate 73,627,022 of NC_000018.10, forward strand.
AGACTTCAGGAAGACAAGTCATCTGAAGTTAAGTCTACAAGGCAAAGAAGGGATCTGTTCCAGGGTATTGCCCATTACAGAGCTTCATGTATTCCCATGCGACAGACCCCACAGGCCAAAACACATTTGTCTGACTCAGTATTAAGCTTTGTCAATTGCTCAGACTTTCCCTTAGACTATTATATTACATGAAAGATATGATGCCTTGAAGCAAAGATATTAAAATACAAAAAGAAAGATAAAATAGAAGCATAAAAAGGTAAAATACAGTGTCACATTGTTGTACCAGTTGAGTCATTAAGCAAAAAAAATTGTGAAAATTATATTACATATTTTAATTTTACAATTAAATAACTGATTCATCAGGGTTCTACCAAGATGACACTAATTTATTCAGTTTATTTTCAGAAATTTATTCAGTATACTTTCAGTTCATTTTCAAAATAAAACAAAAGCTGGAAACTCACCAATAACCTAGATGACCATGTTTGCAAATACATCTGACCATAATAATTTAGAGAAAGCTGTGACTTGGTTATAGTACATTTATAGTAAGTTTTAAAATCAGGTAGGGTAACTCCTCCAATTTATTATTTTTCAAAATTCTTTTTAAAATTTAAGCCCCATTGCATTTTCCTATAACACTCAAAATTATCTTGTCAATTTTATAGAAAAAAGCCTGCTAGCATTTTGCAAGGGGGTAATGAATCTATAGATCAATTTGCTGTATTACAAATATTAACTCTTCCAATGCATGATGATGGTGAATTACTCCAATTATTTAGGTCTTCTTGAATTTCTCTGAGGAACATTTTCGAATTTTCAGTATGGTATGTCTTATACTTCTTTTATTCAGTTTATTACTAAGAAACTAATTATTTCATGCTATTGTGAGTAGAATGGTTTTCCTAACTTAATTTTCAGATCATTTGTTGATAGCATAAATGCAATTCATTTTTGAATACTGATCTTATATCCTGAGACTTTGCAAAATATTCTGTTAATTTGAGAAGTTTTATATGTGTGCATTCCTTAGAAATTTCTTTTTTTTCTTTCTTTTTTTAATTATTATTATTATTATTATTATTATTATTATTATTATACTTTAAGTTTTAGGGTACATGTGCACAATGTGCAGGTTAGTTACATATGTATACATGTGCCATGCCGGTGTGCTGCACCCATTAACTCATCATTTAGCATTAGGTATATCTCCTAATGCTATCCCTCCCCCCTCCCCCCACCCCACAACAGGCCCCAGAGTGTGATGTTCCCCTTCCTGTGTCCATGTGTTCTCATTGTTCAATTCCCATCTATGAGTGAGAACATGCGGTGTTTGGTTTTTTGTCCTTGTGATAGTTTACTGAGAATGATGATTTCCAGTTTCATCCATGTCCCTACAGAGGACATGAACTCATCATTTTTTATGGCTGCATAGTATTCCATGGTGTATATGTGCCACATTTTCTTAATCCAGTCTATCATTGTTGGATATTTGGGTTGGTTCCAAGTCTTTGCTATTGTGAATAATGCCGCAATAAACATACGTGTGCATGTGTCTTTATAGCAGCATGATTTATAGTCCTTTGGGTATATACCCAGTAATGGGATGGCTGGGTCAAATGGTATTTCTAGTTCTAGATCCCTGAGGAATTGCCACACTGATTTCCACAAGGGTTGAACTAGTTTACAGTCCCACCAACAGTGTAAAAGTGTTCCTATTTCTCCACATCCTCTCCAGCACCTGTTGTTTCCTGACTTTTTAATGATTGCCATTCTAACTGGTGTGAGATGGTATCTCATTGTGGTTTTGATTTGCATTTCCCTGATGGCCAGTGATGGTGAGCATTTTTTCATGTGTCTTTTGGCTGCATAAATGTCTTCTTTTGAGAAGTGTCTGTTCATATCCTTTGCCCACTTTTTGATGGGGTTGTTTGTTTTTTTCTTGTAAATTTGTTTGAGTTCATTGTAGATTCTGGATATTAGCCCTTTGTCAGATGAGTAGGTTGTGAAAATTTTCTCCCATTTTGGAGGTTGCCTGTTCACTCTGATAGTAGTTTCTCTTGCTGTGCAGAAGCTCTTTAGTTTAATTAGATCCCATTTGTTAATTTTGGCTTTTGTTGCCATTGCTTTTGGTGTTTTAGACATGAAGTCCTTGCCCATGCCTATGTCCTGAATGGTAATGCCTAGGTTTTCTTCTATGGTTTTTATGGTTTTAGGTCTAACGTTTAAGTCTTTAATCCATCTTGAATTAATTTTTGTAATTGATAGACCGCTAGCAAGACTAATAAAGAAAAAAAGAGAGAAGAATCAAATAGATGCAGTAAAAAATGATAAAGGGGATATCACCACCGATCCCACAGAAATACAAACTACCATCAGAGAATACTACAAACACCTCTATGCAAATAAACTAGAAAATCTAGAAGAAATGGATAAATTCCTCGACACACACACCCTCCCAAGACTAAACCAGGAAGAAGTTGAATCTCTGAATAGACCAATAACAGGATCTGAAATTGTGGCAATAATCAATAGCTTACCAACAAAAAAGAGTCCAGGACCAGACGGATTCACAGCTGAATTCTACCAGATGTACAAGGAGGAACTGGTACCATTCCTTCTGAAAATATCCCAATCAATAGAAAAAGAGGGAATCCTCCCTAACTCATTTTATGAGGCCAGCATCATCCTGATACCAAAGCCAGGCAGAGACACAACAACAAAAGAGAATTTTAGATCAATATCCTTGATGAACACTGATGCAAAAATCCTCAATAAAATACTGGCAAACCGAATCCAGCAGCACATCAAAAAGCTTATTCACCATGATCAAGTGGGCTTCATCCCTGGGATGCAAGGCTGGTTCAATATATGCAAATCAATAAATGTAATCCAGCATATAAACAGAACCAAAGAAAAAAACCACGATTATCTCAATAGATGCAGAAAAGGCCTTTGACAAAATTCAACAACCTTCATGCTAAAAACTCTCAATAAATTAGGTATTGATGGGACATATCTCAAAATAATAAGAGCTATCTATGACAAACCCACAGCCAATATCATACTGAATGGGCAAAAACTGGAAGCATTCCCTTTGAAAACTGGCACAAGACACGGATGCCCTCTCTCACCACTCCTATTCAACATAGTGTTAGAAGTTCTGGCCAGGGCAATTAGGCAGGAGAAGGAAATAAAGGGTATTCAATTAGGAAAAGAGGAAGTCAAATTGTCCCTGTTTGCAGACGACATGATTGTATATCTAGAAAATCCCATTGTCTCAGCCCAAAATCTCCTTAAGCTGATAAACAACTTCAGCAAAGTCTCAGGACACAAAATCAATGTACAAAAATCACAAGCATTCTTATACACCAATAACAGACAAACAGAGAGCCAAATCATGAGTGAACTCCCATTCACAATTGCTTCAAAGAGAATAAAATACCTAGGAATCCAACTTACAAGGGATGTGAAGGACCTCTTCAAGGAGAACTACAAACCACTGCTCAAGGAAATAAAAGAGGATACAAACAAATGGAAGAACATTCCATGCTCATGGGTAGGAAGAATCAATATCGTGAAGATGGCCATACTGCCCAAGGTAATTTGTAGATTCAATGCCATCCCCATCAAGCTACCAATGACTTTCTTCACAGAATTGGAAAAAACTAAGGTTCATATGGAACCAAAAAAGAGCCTGCATCGCCAAGTCAATCCTAAGCCAAAGGAACAAAGCTGGAGGCATCACGCTACCTGACTTCAATCTATACTACAAGGCTACAGTAATCAAAACAGCATGGTACTGGTACCAAAACAGAGATATAGATCAATGGAACAGAACAGAGCCCTCAGAAATAATGCCGCATATCTACAACTATCTGATCTTTGACAAACCTGAGAAAAACAAGCAATGGGGAAAGGATTCCCTATTTAATAAATGGTGCTGGGAAAACTGGCTAGCCATATGTAGAAAGCTGAAACTGGATCCCTTCCTTACACCTTATACAAAAATTAATTCAAGATGGATTAAAGACTTAAACGTTAGAAATTTCTACATACAAGGCCATACCATCTGCAAATGTAGACACATTTACGTCTTTCTTTACAGTCACTATTCTGTTTGTTTCTTTTTCTTGCATAGACTAAAAACTCTAATAAAATTTTGAATAGAAATGTGGGCATCTTTCTTCTTTCCCAACCTCAGGGTGAGACCATTCAGCCTTTCACCATTATGAATAACGTTAGCTATAAGTTTGGGGCAGATGGTTTTTATAACTTGAGAAACTTTCTATTTTTATTGTCTTTGAGAGTTTTTATCAGGAAAAGAGATTGAATTTTGTCACATGATGTTTCTGGACCTTGGTGCTATGTGATGAGACTGCATCTTACTTAAACTTTGGCAGTAGCTGACTTCCTCTGAGACCACCGCAGCAGGGGAAGAGGAGATATCATCTCATGGTTTCCAGGTTTCCCGCTCTGTCTCTGTTGACTCCCAGGTTGAGTGGGGTGGGGGAGGCTCCTTGTTACTGCTGGGTGGGGATGTGATTTTCAGCTTCCCTCTAGGCCTCACCTGACACTTCCTCTGCTGGGAAGGGTGGGAGTACCTTGTGGTGCTCCCCTATTGCCTCCAGTGGCACCATGGAAGGAGAGCCCTGGCCCCCAGCCACACTTCTGTGTACCAGGCTGGAGGGGTTGGGGTGCTTTGTTACAGTCTCAGAACGTCTTGATTCCCCACTCAGCATTGGCTGGTATGGGCAGGTGGGGCTGTGATGTTTGACTGGATTAGAGCAGTTATTGTATAAAGTTTTCTGTTGTGTTAGGACGTCTCTTTCCAGATCCTTTTATTGACAGAGTCTGGCTTTGAAGAGGCTTTTTTAAATCAATTAATTTATTTTTACCATGCTCACTGACATCTCAAGGTTGCCAGCTGCTTCAGCCCCAACTTGGCATAAAAAAGGCAAAAAGAAAAGCCAAGGAACTCACCTTGCGCTATTTCTCAAGATCTCCTGCCAGCCTGCCTTCTCTTCACCTTTTACAATTTTCTCATGTTTGTTTTACAGATGATGTTCAGGGATTTTAGTTATACTTAGTGGGAGGAGTAAAGAAAAGTACAAATTTTAAAAAGTACATCTACTTCCTATATAACATTTTCTAATTATGAAATAATTGTTTTATCTTAGTAAGATTTCTGGTCTTAAAGGTATATTTTGAGATACTAATTTAAAGTGCCCAGGTCTCTTATGGTTACTGTGTACTTGGTGTATCTTTTCCATCCTTTATGTTCAACCTATTTTTGTCCTTGCATCTAATGTGAGTTGCTTGTAAATGTATCCATCATACAGTTGGACCTGACTTTTTATTTGGTTTGACAATCTCTGTCCTTTGAATGAAAAGTGTAGTCTATTCACATTTACTATAATTATTAATGTTGCTGGGTTTATATCTGAAATTTTGCTATTTGTTTCTTTACGTCTGATATCTTTTTTCATTCCTCTGCCCTCATTTGCTGTCATTTTTGTGCAAAATAAATACTTTTTAGTAGGCCATTTTAAATGCACTGTTGGGGTCTTTTAAGCTACTTTTTGTGTTATTTTCTTAATGGTTGCTCAAGGGGTTATCATATATATCTTAGATTATTACAATCTATTTCAGATAATTACTTAATTTTGGTAAAATGCTGCAGGTTTGCTCCAATATGGTTTTATTTTCTACCCTTTCCTGTGTCCAATTATTATCACTTATATCATATAAATACTTGTTATAAACCCCCAAATACTCTTAATGTTATTGTTTTAAAAATTATTTTTCATTTTATTTATTTATTTATTTATTTATTTATTTATTTATTTATTTATTGAGACGCAGTTTCACTCTTGTTGCCCAGGCTGGAGTGCAATGGTGTGATCTCGGCTCACTGCAACCTCAGCCTCCCAGGTTCAAGTGATTCTCCTGCCTCAGCCCACGGAGGAGCTGGGATTACAGGCATGCGCCACCACGCCCAGCTAATTTTTTATTTTTTAGTAGAGACGGGGTTTCTCCATGTTGGTCAGGCTGGTCTCAAACTCCCGACCTCAGGTGATCCGCCCGCCGTGGCCTCCCAAAGTGCTAGGATTACAGGTGTGAAAAAAAAATTTAATTAAAAAAAAGGAGAAATTACACATTCACAAACCCACATGCACATGTATACATGTATTTTCAGTTGTCCTCATACACAGTAGTTGTGTTCCATAATATCACTGCAAACAATCAATTAGTGAATACTGAACTGTTACTTCTAGGGAAAATTATGATTATGTTTCTGTGAAACTCTGGTCCCAACACTTTAGGCAACCAATCAATATTTGATCTTGTTTTATGTGTGTTTCTGTTTAAACACACCTTATTTAATATACTGTATATTGTTGATTCATTAAGATTGAACTTATAGCCAATGACACTATAACTCATACATGAATGAAGCTGACGTAATATATGTATTTTCTCTGTAAGGCATACCACAGCCTTCTTATACATAGGAATGCTAGACAGTACTTCATCACTATGTTTGAGGGCCATTGTCAGCAACAAAATCACCAAGAAAAGGACAAAAATATGGTACTCAGTAGACCATAAAAAGGATACTTGCTTATGGTATTACAGTGAAATAAAGCAGAATATTGCCTTGGCCTGAACTCTGGTGAAGACTGTGTGCACTGAGTGACTTTGATTTTGTACTGCTCTGTGTATGTCTGTGAATGACCACAAAAGCCCTGAGTATTGATTTTGGGGTTGTAAATAAATTTTAGTGAGTATGTGAATTCACAAATACAGAATCCATAAAACCTTAGGATTCATACACACACACACAATATTTTCTATTTAAATACATACTTTTCAATGGTGATCTTCATTACTTTCTGTGTATCTGAGATACTATCTAGTGTTATTGATGTTTCCTTTCATCCCGTATCTCCTTCATCAAATACCTTTATGCACTTTTACTTATGTCATTATGAAACTCCTATTATGTACATGTTGACACACAAAATGGTGTCTTGTAGGTCTGAGTGTTTATTTGTCTTTAATAATTTTTTCTCTGTTCTTCAGATTGGACTATTTCCAATGATCTTCAAGGGAAAGTATTTTTTTTTCTACCATCCCAAGTTGCTGTTGAGCCTCCCTTGTGATTTTTTAACTTTAATTGTATTTTTCAACTCTAGAGCTTCTATTTATTTCTTTTTTATAGTTTCTCCTTTTCTGTTGAGAGTTCACATTTATTGATTTCATATTTACTTTTTATTGATTATCATATTTTATTTAACATTTAATTATAGTTTCTTTTAATTTGTACATAGTTGTACTAGTAAATGCTTGCCTGATTTTCAGCACATCTCAAATATTTTTGTTGAAAGCTCAACATTTTACTTAATACACAATACTCAATATTTATCTTTATGTTTCTGAGATTTGTGGGCTTTTTTCCCTCTTCTTTTTTTCCTCTGTGGAATCTATCTCCCTTGCTCCCTTGAGTATGTGGCTACTGAGGACTATGTTAATGTTTTTCAATCTTTATTTTCTTACCTTAGCTTCCTAGTGATTGTTTCTATATATCATAATTTATAGCTCAGCCAATGATTTGGGCACACGCTGTGCTCAAACACTTCTAACTATAAGGATTTCACCCTTTGCTTACCAATCTGTGTGGAGGGCATAGAGTGGATTCAAGGTTCAATGATTTTTCGTCTCCCTTGGCTTTTATTTTTCACCTGGCCCTCTCCTGTCAAGCACATTCACTTGTGATGTATAAAGAGCCTAATTGGCCCTTCCACGGCTCTCTCATTTCCAGAATCTTCCACATTCTATTTTTGGGTAGTGTATCATTTACCCCAACAGATACTACAATCTCAGGCTAGCAAAGTGGTGGGTTTGCCCTGCTTGTTTTCAGTGGTATTACCCATTTTTTAGTTAACAGTGCCGCAAAGTTTATTTCCTTGCTCCAAACTGAGTCAGCTCCCTTTGCCTGCAAAGCTGCTGCTTTTCTGGCTGAACTTATGCTGGTAAAACTTTTTTTCACTTACTGATTTGTGGAGAAGGGGGAAACAATCCCAGGCAGAAAGACAATAGACTACTGCTGTTCTTACTCAAATCTCTACCGTGGATATTTTTTCAAGAAGAAAGATGATCAATTTGTTGTCTGTCTTTAGTCAATTTACAGAGCCCTGAAATTGTTGTATGAGACAATTGTATATGATTTTGTTCTTTTTTGTGTAAAGAGAATTAACCTACCACTTTATCCCTTGATAGCCAGAAGTCTCTCCTTCAATCATTATATAACATAAATTTTACATACATGGAAAACAAGGTTAGAGAAAGAAGTAATTTAACAGATTTTGGTTGGAATTTTACTTCTCCTAGTTCTCTGTGCTGTGTTCATTTCACCAAAGCTTGCTGCCATCTCAAAATGGTGTATTATCCTGTTTTCCCCCTCAACTTACTAGAAAGGCTGATTTATTTTATGTGTTCCAGTGACCACAAATTTATATTTCTAAAAAGTAAGAAATATACCATAGCATGCCATACTAGTGTCTTAAAATCAAAAATAAATACTTTCTTTAGAGTAATTGGGTGATTTTTCTTTAAAAATAAACATATAAAACAGCACATGAAGCATTTTATCGTCTAATTCAATATTTTGCCTTGGATTGGCTGCTTTTCCAAAAGAATACTGATTTCTCAATGTCATTTTTTTCTAGTTTCTCAGCTGCAGACTTCAAGTATTGCATTAGGTGCTGACTACATAGTAATAATCCGCTTGATAGCATCTGTGGTTCACACTGAAATTGTATCCAGAATCAGACATTATTTCTTTACCTGATTTAAGCAAAAATAAGCCTAGCTAGGTTTCATGCATTGTGTATCGGTATAAATAAATAATACACCTTCTCAATGAACCTCTTCTTACTTATCAGGCAGCCAGATAAACAGAAAAAGGTGCCATGACCCCAGCTGATATGTCAATCTCCTTATTTATACGTGGAGAGGAAATAAATTGTACTCCTTTCAACAGTCAATGTCAAATTTGATCAGTTCCGACTCCAGCTAAGCACTGAATATCAGATAACTTCTCTAACTGAACATTTATATTAGAAGAGGTTACCTGAACAGATGAATGTTATACATAGTAAAAATGTATATATTGTATTTGGGTGGGGAAAATATAGGACTCATTTTTATTTCAAACTAAGAACATTTTGATTCTTTTGGGCTGTTTGGGTATTATAACATTCATTACAATCATTGTGTTCTATATTCAGGGTGAGTTACAAATGACGAGCTTTTTGCATCTCCCTTTTGTGAGAAAATGAGGTCTATTTCCCTATCCCTTGACTGTGGGCTGGCCCTGTGACAAGCAGAACGTAGCATGAGTGATATTGTGTGACTGACAAGCATTGGACACAAAAGGTCTTCCAGTTTATAATTTCACCCTCTGTTAATGCTGTCTTCCATTGTGTGAACAAGTCCAGGCTGGGTTCCATGAAGATGACACACCAAGTAGAAAAACAGGCCTCTTAGGGGAGACATTCCATCAGTCTCAGCCATTTCAGATATCAGCGTTAGGCCCCAAGTGTCAGTGACACCCTCCAGAAGCAGCTACACCTCCTTTAGACCCTAACTGACCACAGTGAGCCTGGGCCACTCTACAGGGAGCAAGAAATAGATCCTCTTGAGCCCAGACTAATTTGTCAACTAAGAACTGTGAGCGACAAAATGCTAGTGGTTTTGGGTCAGGTTTTGGAGTCATTTATCCCACAGAAATGGATAACTAATATGATTTTTTCTTAGAATAAATTCAAACACGCTTGTCAAATGCTTTGAACATTCAAACAAATACACACACACACACACACACACTCCTACTACAATCACCACAAGAAACAACAACAATAACTTAAAATTTAACCATGATTCATGCTTATAATGTGTAGTCAACATCCCTTAGTTCAGATTCAAAACTTGGAAATTTAGGTGTCAGAAATTTAGAGTAACAAGTAACAACCTTCTAAAAAATGACTGGGATGCACTTAAATTCTCTTTAAAATGAGTCAAATATCTCCTAAGCAGATATTTTAAAGGGGATAACTTTGTATAATAAAAAGGCCTCAGGCCTTGAAGTAAAATAAACCCAGCTGAGACACCAGCATTGCCACTCACTAGCTTTGAGAGCTTGCTTCTACTAGGCCTGCTACTTAATATCCCTATCCCCTTATTTGTCAAAATGAAGATAAATGTACCTACTTCAGAGGGTTAGTGTAAGATGTAAAGATGTGATATACAGAATATACCTAACACTGTATCACACGCTAGTAAATATTACTTTCCTTCCCTGACCCTGATATTTACTCATAGGGCTGAGAAAATATTGGCAACTCTCTCAACATAATCCATTGTAAGTACACACTTCAAAGAGCTGAGGAAAGAAGGTGAGTATTTATATAAAATGTGTAAATGAATATAAAACATAATATAGAGATACATACATGTAAATAAATTAAAAACAAAATATGTAAACCTATAAAATGTACAAATGAATATTGATTACATGATAGCTCGCAACTTTTTAGCAATACCTGGAAATAATGAATATATTAGACTAATGAAAGTGTTTACTGTTAAAAACAGCTCAGGAACAGCAGATGGTACGGCTATAATTTGGATCCTAATCCAAGGCCTTCTCAAATCACAGCAGGAATCAGGTAAACTGATCAAGATTTTCCATAAGACACACAAGAGGAATGGGGGATAAGGAAATCCCGCAGCACACCAACAAGTTCCATACCCGCTGATATATCTGTCTGTGCTTCTAATTTGTGTTCTTTCCTTTGCCAAATTTCAGGTATCTCTTGGGCATTTGTCTAAGGAAAAAGCAGTACCCCCTGTGTTGAAGGTGACTTCTTCAGTGTAATGAGACTGCTTTGAAAACCAAACACCCGGGAAGAATGTGGAGTACGTGTCTGAACGATGCCAAGATGCCTCCTTGACACCACGCTCTGTATTTCTAGGCAGTTGTGCCAATCAATTGTTCTTGAATATTTTTCACTAATTTTAAAATCTAGATGCTGATCTATTTTATAGAATTAAGGAAACATGAAGGTCTGGATTTTTTATAAAAATTTACATTTATACAAGGGGACTCAAATTACATAGAAATGCTCAGCATACAATTTTGCAGAGGATCAAAATGGTAGAGGTCTTCCAGTGTTATATTTTTATAATACATTTCTCAGGAATTTTAATAAACATCATTAATAATCTGCAAAAAAACTGCAGTCAAAAATCCATTGAATAAACTTTATATAAAAAAGTACATTACAGAAATGAGATTTTTACAAATATTTAACAGCCCTTCTTACTTCAACACTAAACTCTGCAAATTATCCTTAGCTTTTAAAATGTTTTCACATATACTCTAGACATATAGCCAGACATTCATGTTAATTTATGCATATTGTAAAATGCAAAAAATACTAATAAGCATGAAAATTGCCATGAAGATAAATGGGAAATATATTTTATAATGGGAATGTAGATGTATCACAAGTTGATAAATGTGTTACCTATTTAAACATCCAGTTTGAGCACAGAAAGGCTCGCATAGATATTGCACAATTTACATATTAAAACAATTTATCTCCCCAAAATATTGGTGTGTACTTTATAAATTATCATTTACAAAGAAATTATATATTCTTCCCTGCTGAATTATCAATATATTCACAGCAAATGCTTTATAAGTAGTCAGATAGTCAGTTATTTCATCTTAATCACTGATACCCCTTTTTACTATTCTTGTTGCCTTTAAAACCACAAAGAAGATTAAGTACAGCTTCCTGCATTCCTTTCATGGGAATATTATGTTTTAGAGTCTGTTCACTGGTTAGGAATCCAGATAATAGCATTTGAAGCACAATCAAAAAAAGCATATAGCTGTTTATTTGTAGCTCTAATAAAACATCTGCCTGCTCTTTTTAAATTAGTAATTTCCTACTTAATGTACAGTTCATACAATATTTTAGACACATTTAAACTTAAAAGTAAATACCAATGCAGCATCACTGTTTTAAGATGCTTCATAAATATGTTGCAGATTTCTATTTTAAATGCATGTCAGGTTATGCCTCCAGGCTACGTAAAGAAAAGATACTGAATTTCTTATAGTTGAAGAGTGGAAGAAAGAAAATATCCAACTTTTCTTTGCCCACCTTGGATGTGGTTTCTCTTATTGTTTCTCTCTCTCTCAGATATTCCCAGTAAATCTTAATTTTCTTTCTTTGCCAATGAAACCCCTCCTTTGTAAATTTCAAAATAACTGGAAGAAAAATTTGGAATGTTCTCAGTACAAAGAAATAATAAATGTTTGAGGGGGATGGATATTCCAACTACCCTATTTGATCACTACACTTTTTTTGTTTGTTTTGTTTTTGAGATAGAGTCTCACTCTGTCACCTAGGCTGGAGTGCAGTGGTGCGATCTTGGATCTTGGTTCACTGCAACCTCTGCCTCCCAGATTCAAGCATTTCTCCTGCCTCAGCCTCCAAGTAGTTTGGACTACAGGCACATGCAACCAGCTCACTACACATTTTAGGAATGTAACAAAATATTACGTGTACCCCAAAAGTACAACATTACATATAGAGTAAAAATTATTTAAACAGCAAAATCGATGTGACTGATCCAGTGTCTGTATCTCCTAGGCATGATGATCTCCAAAGTGTGCAGGTGATTTATATAGTTCAGAGCAAAACTCTCAAGGTGACCCACTGAGATACAGGGAGGAAATATTAAGCCTCTACTCATTTCATCTGAAGCGTAAGGTACCCAGGAAGCTTCACTACTACATGAAGCACAGTTTGACTGGGGCATATCCGCTTGGTTCTTGTGTCACCTGGGCTCAGACCGCTCCTGGTGCAGCATGTCCCAAGGGAAGAATGCGAGTGCCCACCGCAAGGGGCTGCTCGCTGGCTCTGTTGCTGCACTTGTCTGTTTCCTTAAAGTTTACAGTTTAGGTGCATCCATGTAAGAGGATTTAAGAGGTTGTGCAATTTAATTTCAGCCAAATCAATCCCTACAAAGCAATTATTAGTTAAAGAAGATTCCTGAAAAGGAATCATAAAAGGTAAGACTAAAAGATTTCTGAAAAGAAACCATAAAAACGTAAGGCTAAAAGTGGATGCCCAGGCAGGGCTGATAGATCCTCCACCAGGAGGGACACATGCAGCTCACAGACCAGAGCCTACTCCCACCAATATGGTATCCATTCCAAAATCTGGGCACTGTTGGGATTGGTTATTAGAGATGTTATGACGTAAAAAAGACAGAACTTGATCCACTACAGTTAATGAGAAACTTCATCAGCTTCACACTGAACTAAGTGGCAATCTTGTCTTCATCAGATCTGCTACGGAATCAACCAAACACTTATTATCACTAATAGAAACATGGATTTACGCCCAAGATTATAAACAGTAATAGGGCCCTAAGTGTATATTATGCTGTGAGTTACTATTGTCGTATGATTGTAGGAATCATCACATTTATCACACAGAGCTTGTGCTGTGATTATTAAAAATAGGCACACAGAGCATGAAGACAATTATCTATGACTTTTTGGCAATGCTTACAAAATTTTGTTAAATCTTTATGTTAAATATCTACAAGTGCCATTTGTGGTTTGCTAACATTATTATCATCCTATATTCATATCACTTGTAAATATTTTTAAATGTATAATCAAAAGGAACATATGATTTTTTTTTTTTTTTTGAGACGGAGTCTTGCTCTGTCACCAGGCTGGAGTGCAGTGATGCAATCTCAGCTCACTGCAACCTCTGCCTCCCGGGTTCAAGCAATTCCCCTGCCTCAGCCTCTCAAGTAGCTGGGACTACAGGCACATGCCACCATGCCCAGTTAATTTTTTCTATTTTAGTAGAGACGGGGTTTGACCATATTGACCAAGACAGTCTCGATCTCCTGACCTCGTGATCCACCTGCCTCAGCCTCCCAAAGTGCTGGGATTACAGGCGTGAGTCCCTGTGCCCAGTCAGAACTTAGGATTCTTTTAAAATATTTGGAACACTGTTCTATGTCATTGATGAGGAAACAACTTTGATGTAAACCAGGTGACCTTGTTAAGAATCAAGATTCCTGGCCTACCCTTAGAGAATTCTGGTACAAATCATCAGACGATCCCATTCTGAGAAACATTTTTATTGAACAAACTCCTAATTTGTCCCTTTCTTTCTCTCCTAGTTACAGCATCTTTGTTTTCAAGAAGAATTCAAAAGAAAAATGCATCTAGTGGTGCATTATTCCAACGGCTGTTGCCATTTTTCTATTGGAAGTCACAGAAGTAAGGAAGGGGTACGATAAAGAAAGGCATGCTGGCAGAGACCTAACCAGGGTGATTGGAATGGAAGAAACACAAACAATTTGGCTTCCCCAAACCGTGCTCTCTGAAGGAAACTCTCACCATTACAGGAGCAGATGGCTCTTCCCATGGCTCCCATCACTCTGTAGATGTAAAACTTGGTTGAGAATCTCATGACTAGATAACAATCATTTTCAAATGGTAGAAAGCCAGCATACGCAGAAGCGTGCACAATAATTCAAAGTCATATTTGGTTCTGGCTGCTTTCCTTTGGAAGATTGCTTTTTTCCATGTGTATTAGAAAATACTTAAATATGAGGGTTGTTTTTATTTTTTTAAAGATAATATTTAGTTTTAAAAGGTTAATTGATGGCCATTACTGGAACATCGAAGAGTCCTGCTCCATTTTATGCCACCTGTCTCTGCCAAAATGGCAATGGCCTTGGGCAATTATGTGAAATCATAGAGTTTCATGTTGAAATTGAAAAATAATTTATAGATTTGAAAAATATAGTTACGGCATTTAGTCCAACTAGGAAACTAAATTTAGAATCAATTGCACAGCCAATTGAAATAAAGCAGGATTATAAAACATAAGCTATTATGATAAAAAAAGGCTAACGTTTGCTCAACTCAGCTTTATTGTATAATCATTTTCTGGCATCAGACTTCCCAGAAAAGGCTGCATGAGCTGGGCAAGTCACTGGGCCTTGGTTTGCTTATTTTTATGTTGATAATAATAATAAAACACTCAACCCACAAAATTGTTGTAAAGATAAAAATGAAGTCGTGTTTATGAAAGTATTCTGAAGTATGTATGTTTAAAGCCCTATAGAAATATTACTTTTACATATACATAAAATGAGAAGATTGAAATTTTTTACATTTAAAAAATAATTTTGAATGCTATAGATCTGTTATAGCTCTATTACAGAAATCATTGAACTTAAAATTAAGAGACTTGCATATTAATAACCAACATACATTTTGCTAACTATGGAACTCTATGTAATTAACATTCTTAGAGTTCTCATTTATAAATATTTCCTTCCTAAATTACAAATATATAATTGGCAGTAAACCTTATTATACGTTATTCAAATTTCTTGAAGTTCTCCAATGCTCCTCATTATTTTTAAAATTATTCTTTAAAAAACATTGGGGAAACTACCCAGGACATTAGAGTAGGTGAAGACTTCTTGAGCAATACCCCACAGGCACGAGCAACCAAAGCAAAAAGGACAAATGGTATGACATCAAGTTAAAAGGTTTCATGAAAAAATGCTCATCATCACTGGCCATCAGAGAAATGCAAATCAAAACCACAATGAGATACCATCTCACACCAGTTAGAATGGCGATCATTAAAAAGTCAGGAAACAACAGGTGCTGGAGAGGATGTGGAGAAATAGGAACACTTTTACACTGTTGGTGGGACTGTAAACTAATTCAACCATTGTGGAAGTCAGTGTGGCGATTCCTCAGGGATCTAGAACTAGAAATACCATTTGACCCAGGCATCCCATTACTGGGTATATACCCAAAGGATTATAAATCATGCTGCTATAAAGACACATGCACAAGTATGTTTACTGCGGCACTACTCACAATAGCAAAGACTTGGAACCAACCCAAATGTCCAACAACGATAGACTGGATTAAGAAAATGTGGCACATATACACCATGGAATACTATGCAGCCATAAAAAATGAAGACTTCATGTCCTTTATAGGGACATGGATGAAACTGGAAACCATCATTCTCAGCAAACTATCGCAAGGACAAAAAACCAAACACCGCATGTTCTCACTCATAGGTGGGAATTGAACAATGAGAACACATGGACACAGGAAGGGGAACATCACACTCTGGGGACTGTTGTGGGGTGGGCGGAGGGGGGAGGGATAGCATTAGGAGATATACCTAATGCTAAATGATGAGTTAATGGGTGCAGCACACCAACATGGCACATGTATACATATGTAACAAACCTGCACATTGTGCACGTGTACCCTAAAACTTAAAGTATAATAATAATAAAATAAATTAAAAAGATTTCTGCACAGCAAATGAAAAAATCCACAAAGTGAAGAGACAATCCACAGAATGGATGAAAATGTTTGCAAACTATCCATCTGACAAGGGATTAATAGCCAGAATATATAAGGAGCTCAAACAGCTCTATAGGAAAAAATTGAATAATATGATTTAAAAATGGGCAAAAATCTGAATAGACACTTCTCAAAAGAAGACATAAAAATGGCCAACAGGTGTAGGAAAAGGTGTTCAATGTCACTGATCATCAGAGAAATATAAATCAAAACGACAGTGAGATATCATCTCACCCCAGTTAAAATGGCTTTTATCCAAAAGTCAGGCAATAACAAATGCTGAAGAGGATGTGGAGAAATGGAGAAAAGGAAACCCTGGTACACTTTTGTTGGGAATATAAATTTTTGCAACCACTATGGAGAACAGTTTGGAGGTTTCTCAAGAAAAACTAAAAATAGAGCTAGCATATGATCCAGTGATCCCTCCCCTAGGTATATACTCAAAAGAAACAAAATCAGTATATCGAAGAGATGTCTACACTCCCACATTTATTGCAGCGCTATTCACAATAGCCAAGATTTAGAAGCAACCTGAATGTCCATCAATAGATGAATGGATAAAGAAAATGTAGTACTTATATACATAATGGATTACTATTCAGCCATAAAAATAAATGAGATCCTGTCATTTGCAGCAACACGGATGAAACTGGAGGTCATTATGTTAAGTGAAATAAGCCAGGCACAGAGAGACAAACATCACATGTTCTCACTTATTTGTGGGATCTAAAAATCAAAACAATTAAATTCTTGGAGACAGAAAGTAGAGGGATGGTTGCCAGAGGCTGGAAAGGGTTGTCAGGAAGGTGGAGGTGGTAGTAATGGGTACCAAAAAGATAGAAAAATAAGACCTAATATATGCTAGTACAACAGGTGCTAGTAAAAAATAATTTCATTATTTTTATATTTCGTTAAAATAATTTAATTATTTTAAAATATGTGATGAAATTATTTTTATTTTGTATAGTAAAAAATAATCTCATTATACATTTTAAAATAATGAAGACTATAATTGGATTGTTTTTAACACAAAGGATAAATGCTCGAGGTGATGGATACCCCATTTACCCCGTTCTGACTACTATGCACTGTGTGACTGTATCAAAATATCTCATGAAATCCTATAAATATATACAGCTACTATGGACCCAAAATTTTTTAAAAAATAAAACTCATGTAACCCATAAATATGTACACCTACTATAAAAAAAATAAGAAAATTAAATAATTATTTAAATGTGACATTTAAAGAATGTAACATTTTTACATTGCTTTCATACATTGTTTCATACATTTCCTACATTGCTTTCATAATTGCATTAAGAAGCTTTATCCCAAGAACATGAATAGATTAATGTATAATGAAAACATGAGATCTTTGATCAAGAATATTATTTTAACAAATGGTGATTATTTGCTCAGAACAAAGGGTTCTTAAATTTATTCACACCCAGTTATGAAGATAAGGCTTTAAGGACACTGTGTCATGGCAAAATTTGCAACTTTTTTTGGCAGAGCAAATTTTGGATCTACCAACATTCTATCATACATTTTATATCTAAGTAACATCTAAGTCTAAGTCATCATAATTCCTCTGTGCATTCTTCTGTGTTCACCTGTTCTGCATCAGAAATTGCATGCATATTGTTCTCAGGGTTACTCCGAAATATGTGCTATAAAGATCAACACTGATGTCCCACAGTAAGTGTAAGACACAACATGTGCACAGCACAGACACATGGGAGAGAGTAACTGGAATCTTTGTCAGCTCCACTGCTGAAGCACTTTTGTCTCTAGTTACTAAAGGAAGAAAGAGAATCATAGACAAGTTGTTTATCATGAGACTGAAAAGGAAGCCACTACTAAGGAGTGTTAGAATCTAAAATGTGACTCATGCTTTTTACATTGCTTTCTCTTCCACCAAAAAAAAAAGTTATTTTGTAATCAGAATCCACCTTTTGTTTGATTTTGTGCATTCTTAGGCAATTCCATCTATTTCGTATATATTTAACTAATGCATTCATACCAGAGCTTTGTGTCTTTTTTTTGGTAATAGAATTTGTCTAGTAAAATATTTGGCTCTTGTTTAGAGTATTTTATTTATAGTAAAGAAAAGCCTTGTGAGGGATTGCAGTACCATGTAATTCATAAACTGCATTAGCATTAGTTCAAAGAGAGAACTGCTACTTCAGAAGCCAATATTCCATGATGTTAAAATTAGTTTGTAGCATTTGGAGAAGAAACAAACAGGTTACAAAACATTCTTATATCAAAAATAATGCATATTACAGTCAGCTCACTATACACAAGGTGGTGGAGACAAAAGTTAGGATCTTGGCGCCAAGATCCTAGGTGCCCCACAGGATTAAAGGGAAAATAAATCTTTAATTAAAGTGTCATTGGGGTTAATAATTTCTCTGTGTGGACCAATAACTAGAGAATGAAGAAATTCACCCCCCAAAAATTGAGTTGGACCTAATGGGCCATCCAAGAGGCAGCTGTGGAGCCCCTCTGCACATATCACACATCCTGTCTCTTAATCTCCGATACCCATCCACAGCTGCATATGATGGTTCACAGTGTAAGATGAAAGTGCATTAGTTGTCTGATGATTTACGATGACTTCCATTAACTAATTCAAAATAAATTGAAAACACCAAACCGTTAAATTGATACACTAAAGTAGATCATTGTTTCTGGGTCCAAAAGTTGAGTTAACATTTTTTTCTCTTGCCCAAATTATTCTGTGTTTATTTTCTCTAAACCCAGAACACGACTGCTCTGCATCTTTATTTTAGTTCTTCTTTTGCCATGAAAACTGAAATATGATGCCCATTGCTTCCTCCTGCTATTTCCCAATTGCTCTGAGCTAGATGTTGCGACCGGCCTTCAGGAAGCTGGCTTCCTGGTACACTTTTTCCCTATAAATCTGCCCAGACAATGTTCTTTCTCCATGCACTTTCCTGTCCCAACAATCCACACCTTAACACATGAGCTCAAAAACACACCATAAACCACCCCAAGTCTTCTCTTGTGTCACATTTGGAGCAGGTGTGTTCCATACACCTCTCTCAGCCATTGACATTACAGCGTCCATTTAGTACCATACTCAGACCCAACTCTGACATGCTGTCATTTCACATCTTTGTTCACCCAAAGATCTCCAAACCAGCTGTACTATTTAAATCATAACACACTTTGAAGCTGAACAATATTCACAGTTTTTATCCTGTTTCCTTCATTGTTTCTACTGCACTTTTTTCTCCAATAGCCACTTCTTTCTTCTCTACGATCAAATCAATCAGGCACTTGGATGACATTCCTACAACTTCCATCACCTTTTCCTACCCAGGATGTGAATCACAGCAAAAAGTCCCTGGACATCATCCCAATACTTAAATTACTAATGCCTTCAAAGCTTTGTCTTTTTCTCCTTAAGACATTTTCAAAAGCAGATAAAAATTCCTCTCTCTTTCTGAATGACTCTACCCACTGAATTGTTTCTGATGACGGTGTTGTTTTACCTTCAGGTGCTCAGACACATGGGACAAATGATTACAGGTATTACCATGCTATTACTGTGCCTACTTTATACCAAGTAAGGCGTGCATTTACCCAGAGTCCCAGAGGCAACTACAAAGAAATGATAAAAATCCAGGCTCCTTGCCTCCCAGCTCTCTGACAGCCTTGTAGGATGTGCTCTATTTGTTTCTACAAAAGGCACACACCTTATTTCATAAATAACTATAAAAATCAAAACGTTGGTGCTAGTAGTGGGAGTAGTGGGCAGATATAGGTTTCACTTGTCCTTTTTCTAAAATTACCATATTTGAGGACTTTATTTAAATAATTTCTGGGCCTCAGTATATTTTTCTGCAAGATAAGCAAGTCAGCTCAGATTGTCTCAAGAGACCTTTCTGCAAACAGCCTATCTGTATATGTCTGGTTCCTTACATTTGCAGTCAAAATCTCAAGCAAGATCAGAACATTAGCAGCACAGATGGCCAGGGTTAGCCACGTCATGTCTTACCATTAAGCAGAGTGAAATCCACTGGTTCATATGGAA
The DNA here is from genome assembly GCF_000001405.40 of Homo sapiens. Lineage (NCBI taxonomy): Eukaryota > Metazoa > Chordata > Mammalia > Primates > Hominidae > Homo > Homo sapiens. The sequence goes on from NC_000018.10 coordinate 73,647,607, forward strand.
GTAGATCTCCATTATGTGGCCGTAGTGTCTTGCTTGACAAATGGAATGTGGTTTCAAATCACAGGACACATTTCCTGCATATCACTGGTCTTCAACCCGGACTTCATCTTGAGTCACTGGGGGAGCTTTTACAGAATCCTGATACGTGGAATCTCGTCCCAGTTCAATTCAGTAAGAATTTCTTATGTGTATTTTAGAAGGTTCACAGGTAATTTTTGTGGAGCCAAGGTTGGTAACCGGTGTCACATACTCTACAAGTATTCTGGAGTGAGGCTCACCCCAGTCTCCTCTGCTCCTGTGGACCAGCTCAGAGAAAAGCAAGTAAGTCTCCCTCACCTCCTGCCCATGGGCCAGTCCCTCACTTGGAGCCCACAGTGGACATCAGCAGCCCTGCTTGCTCTTTCATGTGGAGCTATGGAAACTAAGATCCTCTTATACGTCTTCCGAAAGCTCCAGGGCATGCGGAGAGTAATGTCCCATCTTCTTCCTGGTACAATGTTCCACGGCTCCTTTTCATCTTCCCCTTTTGGACTATACCAGTATTCCAGTATTCCAGACCTTTTAGAAGTCTCTAACCAGAAGCAGCTGCCAATTTATGGAAACACAAATGTCCCCATACTCCAGGAGACACATGCTCTTCTAGACATTTATGCCAAGGCAGACCTGTTAGCTCAGCAGCCTTCTCATAGAGCAAAAAGATGCCAGCCTCCCATTTTGGCAGGTGAACTTATATTCTCTAGGGTAATTCTCCTGGTGTGGTTCAAAATATTCTTTCTTCTTCCCCCTAAAGCTAGGAGAGGAAAATGCATTCCTAAGCAAACTTCTCTCTGTATCTATTTATTTTTAATTGACAAATTTTATATATACATATATACACATTATATATTATATATAATATATAATATTTCTATTAAATATATATTTATCATGTACAGCATGTTGTTTGGAAATATGTATACATTATGAAATAGCTAAATTGAGCTAATTAACATGTGTTACCTCACATGTATCATTTTTGTGGTGAGAACATGTAAAATCTATTATCTTGGTAATTTTTAAGAATGCAACACATTCTTATTAGCTATAATCGCCATGTTGTACAAGAGATCTCTTGAACTTAGTCCTCCTAACTGAAATTTTATACCCTTTGACCAACGTCTCCTCACCCCTGGGGCCCCCAGCCCCTGGTAATCTCCTTTCTACTCTCTACTCCAATGAGTTCAATGTTCAAGGAGTCCTAAGGCTCACTCAGCTCTCTCTCCTTCCCTCAAGTTCTCTGCCCATAAGGATGTGTTTGCAGTGCCTGTGGCTGCCTCTGAATGAGCTTTAAGGAGTAGCTGGCCCCATTTTTTTAGCTCTCTTAAGGATATAGGAATACTAAATGCCTTCTATTTCTCCAGTTTTGATTCTAGATGCTAATTCTGAGGAAAGAGGAACACCACCCTCAACATCCTGTTAAACATAAAGAGCTCTTTTATAAAACTGATGCTTTTCACTATAACATTGATTTTATTAGAGTTGCTGTAAAATCTTGCCTAAGACCTGCCCACCTTTGTGTTATTTTACACTACCGTAATCTAGAAAAGGAAGAGAATTTAGATGATAGTTCATGCCCTTATTTTAGAGGCATAAACTATCATCTAGTTCATGATACTTGATGAGATTCAAAACGGAGAAATAATTTGCCAAAATTATATAGTGGCAGAAATGGGAGCAGTTCACAAATATGGGTCTCCCAACACAAGGCTCAGCACACTCCCCATAACACAGAATGAAGTGGTCTTGAGCCCATACATATCAGGAGAACTTTCTTGTAATCAGAGAAAATAATGTTTTATCAGATTCTAAATAATTTATGAGGCTCTGCTGGGTGTGTCTTTCAAGTTCTCTTAGGAAATGGTTACTTCTGATTTTGGAAAAAAGTACCATGTGTTAATGTTAAAAACAGACACAACTAATTGTAACTCATATGGCAGTCTTTACAATATCTGTCTGTTTTGATGTAGAAAAAAGAAGAAACAAAATTTCCCCTCTGAGTAAATTTTTTCACATATGTATAGAAGATTTGCCTGTATTCAAATATGTGTTTTGGTATTTTCTTTAGCTACGTCCATGAAAAAAATCAGTATAATAACTTCTAATAATCAAGTAACATTAAACTTTTTCTACTTTTTGTCACTTAGTCTTATATAATTTGTACATTTAGAGCTAATCACTATTAAAACTTTTTATTTTAAACAAGAAATCTATCATGTTTTTGTAAGTCATATATCAACCTGTTTTCACCAAAAGTGTTGCAAAATAATTGACTATGTTAGCAAAAGTGTAAATCTGATAACAGCACTTCTTTTCAGGTAGAAATGCAGCAACCATATTGATTGCTTGTGTTTACATCACACGATGCTAAATTCAATACTTAGCACTCAAAGCAGGAGCATCAGATGAGAGCAAAGGGGAATATATGGGCCAAGTTGCTTTCTCTTCCATGAAAGTCTCCCTTTTAAATGAATGACAGGATGTAACCTGTGGAACCAGATGGTCTTCCATTTCACAGAATTCTGCTCACCTTCCAAGCATTAGCAAGCAGGTGACAAAACTGAGTATGATTTAAACCTTCATATTTAAGATGAAAAGAATGTCATCAGAAATATGGTGTGCAAAACATATGTGACGTAAGTTTTAGAAAATAGACACCTGATGAGCACTCATGCACATGGAATTATGTAAATATAAAAATAACTTTAAATATCCTCAGTTTAGTTTAAATAGTCATTGCAACAGTTGTTTTTTAAAATATCCCAATAGATGGGAAATGCAGAACCCTCTCTTCTTGGCAAAAGCTGATTTTGCAACAATTCTTTAAGGATAGAGTCCAGGATTTTAATTGTCTGTGTATTAGTTGGACATCTATCACTGTGAGGTCAGCAAAGGGCTTCTGGTTCTTTTAACGCACTGGCTTAATTTGGAAGGCAGTTCACATATGTTTTCTCTAAGGGGTATTACAGGTTGAGCCTACGTCTAATTACATTTACCAATGGAATTCAGTACTTTATTACAGTCAATATTTTATATTAAGAATAATATTTTTAATCATAAAAGTATTCTAAAGCATATTCATTCATCAAATCACGATTGAGCAACTTCCCTATTGGGCACTGTTTGATGATGATGGTATGTAAAGATGAATAAAATGTGGCCACCTGCCCTCAAGAAGCTTAGAATTTAGTGGTAAAAACAGAAACAGAGCGAGTGATACCACTGCTGTGGTGGAGTCCAAGGGTCATAGAGCTCAGAAATGAGAACTGTTCATATGAAGAATTAGGGGGCATGTGTCTGCACATACAGAAGTTCCTCTTTGTCTGTGGGGGGATACGTTCCAAGACCCCCAGAGGATGCCTGAAACCACAGATAATATATCCAATATATACTGTGTTTTTTCCTGTACATATGTACCTATGGTCAAGTTTAATTTATTAAAGTAGACAAAGTAAGAGATTAACAACAATAACAATAAAATAGAATAATTATAGCAATATGTTGTAGAAAGAAAAACGTTATGTGAATGTGGTCTTCTCTCCCTCTCTCTCTCAATATGTTGCTGCACTGTACTCACTTATTTTTGGATGACAATTGACTGGGTAACTGAAACCACGGAAAGCTAAACGGCAGATAAGGGGAGACTATCCCCAAGAATTTCATCAGTTAAAGGACGGAAGTACGGGTTGGCACCCCAAGAAAAGGAGGTAGTTTCAAGTGGAGGTATTTGGGGGTTGAGTAGCTTCGGCATCGTTCTAGCAGAAAGTAAATTAAAAGAGAGATACTGTAGCAGAAGAGGAAGGGCAGTGAGTACTGGATTTCCCAGAAGAGAGAGGGAGCAGAGGCCAAGGGGAACGCCTGAGGATACAAAGACTCATGCAGACACAGACAGGTGTGGGGATGGAGAGCAGGGCAGCTGCCGGAGTTTTACGCCACAGGCAAAAGACGAAAGCGGAGGTGGGAACGCTGTCCTAGGAAGGGGAAACAGATCCGGAGTGGGAGACAAGAAGAAAAGATGAAGGTGCAAAACAGTGACTTTCGGGAGTGGGTGAAAAAGGTCCCTGTGATGTGATGCAGGTCAGCAGCCCTGAGAGCTGACCTCATCTTGGAGAGCAAAGGAGAGAAAGTGACTGCTCATGTAAAAGCATCAGTTATGTCCCTTACAGCCTATCCAATGGACTTGCTTTATTCATTTCTTATTTGTCAGTAGTACTCAGCATTTTTGACTACCCCTGCTCTCTTGAAAGACTTCTTTCTTCCATGAAACCACATTCTCTTACCTAATTGCTCACTTCTCAGTCTGTCACTCCACTGTCCAATCTCTGAAATGTTAATGCTCCTTAAAGCCCGCCACTGAATGCTTTCTAAATCCACTCTTGTCCTGTGAGCTTTCATCCACTCCAGTAGCTTCCCGTTCCACCCAAACACAGATAACGCCCAAATGGGCAGCTCCTGGCGAACTCTGCTCCCAGTTATCCAACTAGCTACTTGATATCTCCCTTCGTGAATGTCTCACAGGAGTCTCAGATAAAGCACGTGCCCTTTCAGGTGTTTTTCTTAACATCTGATTCTCTGCCAATCGTCTGTATCTCGTTAAATTTTAATTTCATCAAACCTGTTGCTCATGGTAAAAACCTTGTAATTACCATTGGTTTGTTCTAATCCTTTTCTTCCTATATCCAAACTAGGTGATTATCAACTAAAATTCCAAAACGCATTATTACCCCTCCTTTTTTTTCTATGTCCACAGCTGTCACCCTATTCCACTTGGAATTCTATGGAAGCTGTAATTTCCTGCAAGGGCTTTCTGAATTCCCCTCCTGACTTTCCTCATTTTAATTGAATTATACCTCTCCTCCGCTAGGGAAAATAGCCTTTACGTATAAGACCCCAGACCCTTAACTTGGCCTGCAACATCCTGTGAGACTCCAGCACCACTGCCTCAGGATCATCTCACAAAAACAGCCATGTCCTTACCTATTCTTTGGCCACATCAGTCTTTTAAGTTCTTCAAAGGTGCCATATCATTTGTCTCTTCAGAGCCTTGCACTTTTGATCCTTCTGTGGGGAACACTCTTCCCTCTACCTGCCTGGCTCTCTCCTATGTATACTGCAGTTCCCAGCTCATGTTTTCTTCCTAATGTGTATCTTTCCTAATATAAATTGTATATATGAAATCTTTCCTCTATGCTTGCTCTTACTATCTCTCATTTGTGTGATTTTATGTTTGTTTCCTCAACTAGGTTGTCAGGAATGCATCTGTTCTGCCTACTGTGGGAGCTCCAGTCCTGACACACAATTCCTGGCACGTGGTGGGTGCCCAGGAATATGTTAAAGAGGAAGAAAAGAAGTAGAGAGAGAGGAGGAGGAAAAAGCAGAGACGGGAAGAAAAACATCCGTAAATATTTTAGGGAAGATACGAAGCTTGGCTTCAATCAACTATGCAAAGCAAAACTAAACAAACAACAACAACAAACAAAGAAACAAACAAAACCAGAGCCTATTCCAAGGTGAGGGTCTAGGAACCCTACATGAATCAAAGCTACAGAGAGGTTAACATAAGCAAAAGGAAAAATAAAAAATAAGGGGCTACACAAAGACAAGAAGTAATTTCCCACATAAATTAGAGGTCTTTCATTACTCATTAGACCTGATTATTCCACGGTCTTTCAGAATACCAGGGAAACATAGTGACACAGCAACCACAAATGAGAGTGTCGGGCTAATAATAACATGCATTATTGTATTTCTTCTGGTTTATAAGAAGCTAGGAAATATGATTTTGTTATGGTTCACTGGGGAGATATTACTAAGTCACCACCAGTTGGCATGGTGTGATTATAGAGACAGAACATGTCTGTTCATGACAAGTGAAGTGTGTGACCCAGGAAAACATTAGAATTTATTGGATTAGGACATTTCAGATGCTTTGAGTTGTCTGAGCCAGGGCTAAACCTACCTCCAGATTGATAGTTACATCCTGCGATCCATAATAAACCCAGACACCATCACCTCTTGGGATGAGGCTCCAGGTTTACCAGTCTTCTGATCTGATAGGTCATTAGAGATGCAATTCAAAAAACTTCTGGTCTAAAGACAGGAGGAAGAAAGAAAAAACAAGTGCATGTGAGTAAGGCTAATTAAAGGATTTAAACATGTGGAATTTTTCTTTCACCATGAAAACAATTAAAAAGCAAAATTGGACCCAGTGCGGATAAAAAGAGTTAACTGTACTTAGCTTAACATTTACATTTCTCAAAAGATAAAATGTGAGATTCCTCACTTGATCCTTCTGTTTTTTCCATCACATGGACTGTGTTCTCTGACGTGATTTCATGCCTTATTGACTCTCCCAGGGGAGAGCTTCCACCCAGAGTGAGAGCTGTGGAGAAGGGGCTGTCACTCTCCATCATAGCATTTAGCTATTAATACAGACACATCTACATTTTCTCCCATTTAAAGAGAGTCTGAAAATCAGGTAAAGGCTGACATTTCAAGAAGATGTGTTATCCAAAATAAAAATCTGATTCTCTCAGACTCACATTATTAGATCGGGTTGGTGACGGCCATTCCTGTTATCATGATTGAGGGAAATACTCAGGTGGAATTTGGCAATATTTCATGAAATTTCTTCCCAGATTAGGAAGTTTTGGAAATGGAGGCTCCTGTTATTTTAAATAGGAAATATCTTCACATCCAAAAAATAAAACAGAAAAATGGAGACTTTGACTTTGACATTTGGAATCAAGCTTATCTCCACATTTACGCCACAGTTTATACCCATTGGCATATCACTGCACACATTTCTCTGCATTTTTACCTTTAGAAAGCATTTTAAAAGCCTAATCTTGCAATCTTGGACTGCCTGACACGGGACTTCTTAGGTCAGATGATGTATTAGTCTGTTCTCAAGCTGCTAATAAAGACATATCCAAGACTGGGTAATTTATAAAGGAAAGAGGTTTAATTGACTCACAGTTCAGCATGGCTGGGGAGGCCTTAGGAAACTTACAATCATTGTGGAAGGGGAAGCAAACACATCCCCCTTCACATGGCGGCAGCAAGGAGAAGTGCAGAGCAAAAGGAGGAAAAGTGTCTTATAAAACCATCAGATCTTATGAGAACTCACTATCATGATAACAGGATGGGGGAAACCTCCCCCATGATTCAATTATCTCCAACTGATCCCGCCCAGGACATGTGGGGATTACGGGAACTACAATTCAAGATGAGATTTAGGTGGGGACACAGCCAAACCATATCAGATGATACACAAACCTTTATTTGATTAAGGGGCTTGTATTAGGGTCTAATCAGGAAAACAGAATTCGTTGTTCCTGTTTCAACAAAGACAACATAACATAGAAAAGGGAATTTGATGCATAAAGATGATGATATGGTGCACAGATGAACAACATGAGGTTGCTCCCACTCTGAAGGCTACAGAGAGAAGGGAAGAGTCAGGCAGTGCCGCTGGACCCCCAGAGAGAAGGGAGAAGCAGGACAGGTCTCTCCAAGGGGGGAGATGGGGCTACAGAGGACATTCGGGCCACAGTCGAATTGCCACCTGACACAGAGGGACAGGGAAAATCATCCTCTCACCTCCAATGCTCTCACTGGAAGAAATCCGCCAAAACCAGCCCAGAAAGAGCAGGAAGGAGTGAGTTCCTGATCGGCACAATACAGAGTGGGCATATTTCATTGACAAAAGGCACATTGACCAAATATGTACAGCACCTCCATACTGGTCACAATGTGGTTCTGAAATATTTATACACAAAATGTTAGAAATAATTATATCTGTAGCTATAGTGCAAAATTTTAATAAACATTTCTCAAAAATCGGCATAGCAACCAGAGTAAGAGAAGGAAAAACATAAAGGCTTGAGTAACCTACTTTGTTTTAACAAATATATTCACAAAACTGTACATGCTAAACTGAATATCCCAAGTAGTCAATTATTCATGATCTATGTAAGCAAATTCAACATTTATTAAGCCATGAAAGAATTACTAAATTTCAAACAGTAGTAATCAAATCAATCACATTCACAGGTTATGATCTCCATGGAGAGTATAAAGAGAAGTTTGAAAACACCTTTTGAACTAATTCTTGAATTTTTAAAAAGTGAAAATTATAGTCTATTCAGGATTAAATAAAAATGATAGAATTCGGCTGGGTGCTGTGGCTCACGCCTGTAATCCCAGCACTTTGAGAGGCCAAGGCAGGCAGATTATCTGAGGTCAGGAGTTCAAGACCAGCCTGGCCAATATTGCGAAACCCCATCTCTACTAAAAAATACAAAAATCAGCCGGGCATGGTGGTGGGTGCCTGTAATCCCAGCTATTTGGGAGGCTGAGGCAGGGAGAATTGCTGGAACCCGGGAGGTAAAGGTTGGAGTGAGCCAAGATAGAACCACTGCACTCCAGCCTGGGTGACAGAGCAAGACTCTGTCTCACAAAAACAAAAACAAAAACAAAAAATCACAGAGAATTCAAGTTATGAGCTCATAGAAGAAAATATAAGAAAATATTTACAACCTCAGGTACTAACATTGATAACATCAAATTCCTGTAATAGAAAACAGGAAATGCTGCAAATAAAATTACTGGTCATTCATTTCTAGATGTATTTCATAAAAGACACAAAAATAATCAATTATAAAAAGTAACATAGAGTCAAAGAAGATTTCAGTATAAAGTAATAAAATTTTAAAAAACAGCAGTATTGATCAAAAACTCATCTTTGAAACAAGAATAAACACTCATTAATTCTGATTAGAGAAAGTGAGAGAATGTATGAATAAATATTATAATAGTGAAACAAAGCCAGAACTAAAGATGCAAGAAACTTTCTCAAAGGAATAAAAAAGTTTTTATTACAAAATAAAAAAAAAATCAAATCAATGGTTCCTTAGAAGAGTATATATTACAATTACCTTATATTTATATTTCTTACAAATTGAAAACTTAATTTTCAATTTTTACAAGTTTCCCTTGAAAACTTGATAAATGCAACTTTTTTCCCCTGGTAAATTCTACCAAACCTTTAAGGAGTAAATATTTCCTATATTATTTGAATTACTCTAAAACATATTGTCTTAGTTCACTAGGGCTGTCATAGCAAAATACCATAGACTGAGTGAGTTATACAACAGAAATTTACTTCTCAGTTTTATAAGCTGGGAAGTCTGAGATCAAAGTTCTAGCTGATGTGGTTTCTGGTGAGAGCTATCTTTCTGGCCTATAGATGGTCACCTACTTGTCCTCACATGACCTTTTCTCAATGGTCAACTGCAGAGAGAGACAGAGAGAACTGCTGTCTGGTCTCTCTTCATTTAAGGTTGCCAGTCTGCTTGGATCACAGCCCCACCCTTATGACCTGATTAAACCTAATTACTTTCAAATACAGGCATACTGGGGATTAGGGTTTCAACAAGTAAATGTGTGGAGCAGGGTGACAGGACAAATATTCAGTCCATGCATGCTTAAAAAGAACAGCACATTTTTTCAACTCATTCTATAAAAAATCTAACTTAGAAACATAAATGCAAAAATTATTCAATTAAATATTAGCAAATTAACTCCAGTATTACAATAAAAGATTAATGCAAGTAGGATTTATCTCAGGAATAAAAGAATTGTTCAATATTAAGAAATGTGCAACTATAGACTGTGATAAAATGATGCTTTACATTTTCCCAAAATAGAAAGCTTCTTAATCCTTATACAGTAACAGATACGTGTTTGTAGATACATGAGAGAAATAAAGGCTTTTCTTGACTGCTGAATACCGCATGCCTTTGAGTCTGCGCAGCTGTTTAAGGTGAGTGTCTTCGGTACTTGCTTTACTGTAAGGCTTTTGGGCCTTCGGTAGAGACATTTCATTTCTGCTGACATTACCTGTGGGTAAATACTTTCATCTGTTATCAGCACTTGGCTGCTATTGTTCCTCTTAAATGCTTAAATTGCACTTATTACGTATAGGTGATGAATTTAGTAGCTTGGCATATTAGTTATAAAGCAAGAAGCTGTAATTTCTAATAAAAGAAGTCAAAGGCCAACTAATTGCAGAATAAATAACCTAGCAACAACTAAATTTATAGGGAATTTAATTGAGATTTCAAATTAAAATGGAACGTAATATTAAATAGAAAGTGTCACTTTCAAGGTGATTGGAATTTTCCCTATATACAAAATATATTTTTCTATTAAAGATCAAGAATATTTATTTATTCTTTATCTCTGCAGGCGAGTCCCCAGTCCAGGCATTAGCCAGCTTCAGCCTGGATTACTTCAGGATCTTCCATACTACAAATCTACCACTCACTCATGCTTTTTATCACTGCGAAATGCTGCCTGCTTATTTTTTCTTTTGGGTATGTCATTCATTTTAAATCAATGACACTTTTCCTTGGGAAATCTTTTCTAAATCTACTTAGCACTTTTTCTTCACACAAACATTATTTTTCCAAAAATGGAATAATAACTTTAGTCTACAAAAAAAAATTAGTTTTTCTTCATTTTTCTCCTTTTCATCCAAAATAAAATGATTTTGGAAAACTAGAGATATCAAATGGAGAAACAATGTGTCAGTTATTTGCACAAGTCACAAAAGAATTGTGTATTTTGTTTAAAACAATTCAAAGAAAATCAACTTAAAGTTAAGCTGACCTGTGAACCAATGATGGAAAGAGGCTTGGTAAAACTATTATCTCAATGATAGTGTACAATGAGGAGAGAGCCATTTAGAAACCTCATGTTAGAGGAAATATTAAATATAAATGGGATTCGACAGATTCATCCACACAACAGATCCTTATTAAGAGCTATGTTTTTGACACAGTGTTCTAGGAACATCAGGCAGAACACTGAACAAGACAGACATAAATTTTGTTCTTGTGAAGAGGACAGTATACTAGGGGAAGAACAACATTTCACAAATTATTACAGGTAAATGGAGTATTTAAATAAAAATGTCATTGTTAGTAGGGGCAGCATATTATAGACAGACCTAATATTGTTGAAGAGTTCAAAGCATCTCAGCTTTGCAACCTAACCTGTAGGATTTGGGGTGAATCATTTATATTTCCTGATGTTTATTTCCTTATCCATAATTGAGATGAATATCTTACAGTGTTCTGATGACATTTAAATGACATTACAATGTCAAATCACCTAACAGTACCTGATATGTGGTAATATTAATAGCTAAAATTTGCTAAGTGAGCACTGTATACCTAGCAAAATTTTATGTATCCAATATCAAGTTCTCAAACAACCTATGGGTTTAGGTTATGCTATTCTTTTTTCCCTTCCTCACAATTTATGAAGGAATAAACTGAGACACAGAGAGTTAAGTGGTTTTCCCAAATTCTCAGATGTAGTAGGCGGAGGGTCGAGGGTAGGCAGTCTGATTCCGAATCTAAGCTCAGAATCCTAATCTGTGTTGCAATAGCCCCAACTTTACCCAGGGAGCAGGAGAAGCTAAGCCTCACTCAAGGTCAACGTGAAGTCCTCAGTGGGAACCCAGGTGTCTGGTATCAAAACAGCACATTAATTTAGTTGCTTGTCCTAAAAAGATGCTCTGATACTGTATTGAACTTTAAAGTCTCTGATCCCTTAATGACTGTAAGTTGAGACAATCAGTTTATGAGTTTATCTGTCTGATTTGTTTTTGGAGGTGACTACTTCCTTGTTGATTGTCGTTATTGTAGTTCTAACTGTGAAAACAAGCATCTGTTTATGTTGTCGACATCTTTTAGTTCTGGGAGTGACGCTGGAGACATTGTTGAAATAACACAAAGGTAAATATTTCAGACCCAGGTGTTGTTTGTACCATCTGGAGAGGGTTATCCCCACCAGTCCTTCACTTGTGAACAAGGGAAGAAAACCTGGCAACCTCCTTGCTTAGGAACATATGTTTTGGCCAGAGGATGTGAAAAGTTTAATGAGCAGAGAGAGAGCTTCTACGTGGGCATCCTCTTACGGCAGAAGTGTTTGGACCCACAGAATTTGGACCAGGTTCTGAACACAGAGCAAAGGAACCAGGGGCCCTCGCTGCAGTGATGGAAAGGGTCTCTCTCTGTGCTGTCGAATACGGCAGCCACTCATGAGATGTGGCTGTTGAGCACCTGAAATATGGCCATAGTGATTAAGGAACTGATTTTTACAATTTGATTTAATTGCATGACTTTAAATAGAACATGTGGCAAATGCTATCCATACTAGACAGCACAGGTCTAGACAGCAGTTCCCATAATTTCAAACTTTTATGTGCTGGGGGATAAGAAAAAGGGATTGGGGAAGGACTCCCCAGCCCTGAGAACTGGCCCGGTATCTGGCCTGTTGGGTGATAGCAAGGCCAGAGGTTCTTAGGCACGCTCAGTTCATCGCTTCCTTCCTGTTTGAGTTTGTTTGTTTGTTTGTTTTTGTTTTTTGTTTGTTTCTCATAGTGCTCCAGAAGCTGAAAGAAGCACATAACCACTCCACATGTTAAGTAGTCAGGTCCAAACAATGTGATGGTTTTAACGGAATTCTCAGCAAGACATTGCTGATCTTGCCCCCAAAATTTAAATTATGCCAAGGTGGTCTTGAGAATGTACTTTGGAGCCCAGAGATGCCTCTACACACCGTTTCGGAACCGTGAAGCCAGGCCATGGGTCTTCCTACTGAACACGAGCAATTTCACAGAATGTCAGCATCAGACAGGTCACTCCATGACTGTTGGAACAAAAATAAAACCTGGATACCAAGCTCCCACTGAGTAACCAAACATTTCTCCTTCCTGGCCAGTGTGAGCACTACCATTGATGACACCTCAAGACCTACTTCAGTGCTCCTTCCTCCTAAGTAAAAAGTGTTTAGAAAATTGTCATCAGCCGTGCTTTCTGGCAGCACCCAATTCCAAATTAAACCTCATTTCCTTAGAGTCTCCATTCCTTAATGTCTTATTTTCACCCCAAATCAGAAGCCCAAACTGTATACAAGCCCACCCTAACACTCCCTTACTGAGACATCCCATGATTGTCTATGGCATGCAAGTTAATACACCTACATTTGTTTGACTACAGGTAAAACATAGTTGTGTTCCTGATGGTTTGTGGACACTGGGATTTATCGGGATGGACTGTAAAACTTCACATAGAATGACAGTTTATGCAAGAATCATGTTGTGTTTTACCAAAGGGATGATGGTTCCCTTTGTAACTTCACTTTTAGAGAGCTCTATCTGTCCCCGTGTAAACCAAGAACCATTGCTTCAGTCTTTTGCAACAGTCTAGTATAACAGTAGATTGAAAAAAAAAAGTTCACCTCTTTTATGTTTTCTGAAATAACAAACACTTTCTTAAATAAAATCATTGTTCAATTACCTCCTCCAGTCAGTTATTCTAAAAGTCTGTACATACAAACAGATGATGGCCAGATCACATACAAAAACAGAATCTAACCCACGATCTGCAGCAACTGTACTAGGGAAACTACTCATTTCCTAGAGGAACCAACCCAGGAAGCCAGCCTACTACCTGTCAGTCAGGCCACACTAGCAACTTATCCAGGAAGCCAAATAAGACCCCCTGTAACATGGCCCCAAATGGCCATGACTTGATTAATAACTGACAGGTTCCCTAATTTTTGACCCTATTTTTAATGTAGGACCCACCAGGAAAAGTCAGATACGTACTTTTAACCAATCACATAGGATTCCCCACCTCTACTCAGCCCACCAACAGCTTCCCCAGGCCAACAGCCTCCAATCACAGCACACCTGAAGCCTTCCCTGATTTCTGCTGTAAAACTTTCCACTCTTCTGCCTGCCTTTGAGTCTCTGCCAAAGCATAAATGATGGCGCTGACTCCCTTGCTATAGCAAACTCTGAATAAATAGCCTTTGTCCATGCTCGTTTGGTTGCTCTTGGTTTATTTCCACAACTATATTTAAAATCCTACTGCATATTTCTAAACTACCCTCAAGGAAGTTTGCACCAATTTATATACCCATTAATGTGCTTGAGATTTCTGTTTCCTCAAAGCCTCACTAAATCTTAGGTAATATCAATCTTTTTAATCTGGCTGATCTGTTAATAGGCAATGGCTCATGCTTTTATGTACATTTATTTGATTGCACAGATGTAAATCATCTATTCTTGTATTTGGCCTATTTTATGGGAAGGCAAGAACGTTCAGTCCACCTTCTAACTCTATAATTACTATCTATAATTTCTACTGAATTCTTACCTATAATTTTCTACTGTATGTCCCAGAAGAAATTCTGCTGAGAGTTTTACTTCTTAAGAGTTATACCTAGAGCAGGAAATTCCCATCAAGAAAATGTGTAATGCTAGACCTAGGAAGTGGAAACCATGTCCATAAAAGAGATCTGAGTTGCAATCCTATGGAGCGTGTGAATGCCAAATCTGGATAGATCCAATGAACATCTTGGAACTGTAAGCAATGAAACAGGAATTCAGAGAAAGGAGACAGGATGGAACAAATGCAAGAAGGAATTAATCAGGATTGGCTGGGTATGGCAGATTGTTAAGCAGTGCTTTGAATGATGTTTAAGTCTTGCTTCTTATCTTTATGGGCTACAGGACATCACTGCATGGTAAAGTGGGCAATTCTGAGTTTCAGTAACTTAAGTCTAATGCACATATGAGCTCCAATATGCACAGGTATCTATGTAGAATCAGGTACTAAGAGTGCTTCAACACAGGACATGATGGAGAGTACAAAGAGGTTTCACTTCAAATCACACACTAGAGGAGGAGATACATTTTGATTGTTTGTAAAACTATTACATTTTTAAGTTGGTTCTGATTTCACATTATGGTTTCAACTGATGAAAGGAAATTATCTTCTTGCAGATTCTGCTTATCTTTTGTGATCTGCACCGTTCTAACCTACATTCTCTGCTCGGTGTGTTTTGGAACGCTGTTTTGCACAGCTTCAGCTTGCTTACTTGCTTTGCATTCCTCTTTGAAGTGACCACAAAATCCTGCATCAAGGGTCTCTGCCAGCATCAACATTTTCTCTTCTCTGCTCTGTAGTGATGATGGACACTTTGCATGCTGGGGCTGAAGGAGGGACTGACTCCCTTCGGCAAGCCTGCTATGTCCTCTTCTCATTCCCCTTTCATTCTGCCACTGTTCTGGTAGTAGCAGTCCTCTTTAATCCTTTAAGATTGAATGGAGCTGGTCATTCCAGGACATAGTTCTAAATGCAAGGTGCCCTGGATAGGACTATTTTCCAAAGGCACAGATGTCAGAGAATTGTAGCCTTCTTTCTTTCTTTCTTTCTTTTTTTTTTTTGAGATGGAGTTTCACTCTTGTTACCCAGCCTGGAGTGCAATGGCATGATCTCAGCTCATCACAACCTCCTCCTCCCAAGTTCAAGCGATTCTCCTGCCTCAGCCTCCCGAGTAGCTGGGATTACAGGCATGCACCACCACGCCCAGCTAATTTTGTATTTTTTGTAGAGAGGGGCGTTTCTCCCTGTTGGTCAGGCTGGTCTCGAACTCCCAACCTCAGGTGATCCGCCCACCTCGGCCTCCCAAAGCGCTGGGATTACAGGTGTGAGCCACTGCACCTGGCTGAATTACAGCTTTTACTCTTATGGATTTTCCCCCAGTTTTATCATGACAGCATTTTGAATCAGTATATATTTGTGTATCTGTATTTACATTTGCGTACCTTCCCACACTGTTAGAAAAATTCACTGATCAAAGTTTTTTGGTGCCTGTATTAGCTCTGACCCTTTCAAGGGTGGATGCCCGTAAAGCACTGCAAGAGTCATCATACATAAAAATGGGATGAGTCTTGCCCTTGAAACTGTGAGTGTGATATTCGCACCACCATCATCCCCTCCTCAAAAATTTAAAGGTCAGTGGATGCTTTTGACCAGCCAAATTTTTATTTTTGGGCTTCGGAGACTTCCAGCAAACGTCTCTAAGGAACAAAGGGGAATAAACTCAAACCCTTCTTCCCAGGGGGATTCTATGCCCTGTTGTTGATGTTATTGCCAACTTGTTAATAGATGGAAGTAAACTCTCCTTAGGGACTCTGAGTTTGCATGCTTGCCAATCCAAAACCTGGACCAGCTTTTGGCACCTACCACACTCGCCTGGGGTTATGCAGCTACTAAAAGTTGAAACCACAAGCACACAATGACAAATCTTGCAACTCTAAGCTTATTTGAAGGAATAATTCCCTGTCTCTTGGGTTTTCCTCCCCTCCTCCTCTTGGAGAATACCCTCAGGCTCTTTTAATGCCATATTTTTATATGTTATGAGTATATTCAAGGTCTTCTTTCTATAGAGCCAGACCCTTTTTCACAAGTAGAAAGTTAGAGTGAAACTGTTGCCTAAAGGAAGCAAACACAACAGTAAATCTTAGATGTGTGAAATCCCAACAATGTGAAGCAGGGAAAGGAATAGATGCTGTATGTGCAGGTAACCCAGCAAAAGAAAAAAGTGGCCGGGCGCGGTGGCTCATGCCTGTAATCCCAGCACTTTGGGAGGCAGAGGCAGGCGGATCACGAGGTCAGGAGATCGAGACCACCATGGCTAAAAAGGTGAAATCCCGTCTCTACTAAAAAAAAAAAAAAAAAAATACAAAAAATTAGCCAGGCATGGTGGCGGGCACCTGTAGTCCCAGCTACTTGGGAGGCTGAGGCAGGAGAATTGTGTGAACCCAGGATGCGGAGCTTGCAGTGAGCTGAGATCACACCACTGCACTCCAGCCTGGGTGACAGAGTGAGAGTGAGCCTCCATCTTAAAAAAAAAAAAAAAGAAAAGAAAAAGAAAAAAGGAAGGTTTTTGTGTGTGTATGCATTTGTGTACCATAGATTCAAAATGATTACTTAATACCCTGTCAAGAAAGTGAATTTAACAAATCAATAAATTATGAGTAGGATTAATTAAACTGGCATCGTAATTAAGGCACAATATGTTACAGAGGCTTATGAACGCTTGAGTTTCACAGCAGACCTGTCAGTGGGATCCCGAATCATTTATTTGCTTCTTGTTCTTTCTAGACACAGGAGTCTTTTGCTTTACCATATCTAGAAGGTAGATAATTCAGTTAAGGCTGATGAGGCATTAACTGTCATTTTCATTAAGACATAACTAAATTTGGCTAATAAATCACTTTCAACATTATAATTTAAACAATGAGAACAAAAACCAATATCTGCTTATTAAGAAATATCTATATATATCTATATATATAATTCATTTGGTGATTTATGACTGAGTTCCTTAGAGAGGTTTACAAATTCATCCACTGTCCTTGAATCACAGAGTTTGCTTTTGGCTTTCTCATTTAGCTGAAAGGGACTGAAAAGCTCAACTGGCATTTAAGGGCCTAGGTGGTCACATTTTTCAACAGATTTGTAGGACAGTAAGTTATTGTACTTAAGGTCAATAGGACTTTATGCTCATCTAGAGCACTGTGAAACTGGAGATTTCAAGCTACACTGTACAGAAAAGAAGCAGCTTTGTTTGGGAAGGGATCACAAGCTGGTTTCCTATGGGGATGGAGCACTGGCTGGTTTTCCTTGGATCAGAGCTGCGTTTGATGCAGCTGTAATGAAGAATACCTGACACCTCATTTAAAGTGATCGTATATCCATACTCTGATATATATATATATGTGTGTGTGTGTGTGTGTGTGTATATATATATATGTGTGTGTATATATATATATAGTTTAAGTTCTAGGGTGCCTGTGCACAACGTGCAGGTTTGTTACATAGGTATACCTGTGCCGTGTTTGTTTGCTGCACCTATCAACTTATCATTTACATTAGGTATTTCTCCTAATGCTATCCCTCTCCCAGTCCCCAAACCCCCCCGACAAGCCCCGGTGTGTGATGTTCCCCACCCTGTGTCCAAGTATTCACATTCTTCAACTCCCACTTATGAGTGAGAACATGTGGTGTTTGGTTTTCTGTCCTTGTGATAGTTGGCTTAGAATGATGGTTTCCAGCTTCATCCATGTTCCTGCAAGGGACATGAACTCATCCTTTTTTAGGGCTGCATAGTATTCCATGGTGTATATGTGCCACATTTTCTTAATCCAGTCCATCACTGATGGACATTTGGGTTGGTTCCAAGTCTTTGCTATTGTAATTAGTGCCGCAGTAAACACACATGTGCATGTGTCTTTATAGTAGCATGATTTATGATCCTTTGGGTATATACCCAGTAATGGGATCGCTGGGTCAAATGGTATTTCTAGTTCTAGATCCCTGAGGAATCGCCACACTGTCTTCCACAATGGTTGAACATAATTGACACTCCAACCAACAGTGTAAAAGTGTTCCTATTTCTCCACATCCTCTCCAGCACCTGTTGTTTCCTGACTTTTTAATGATCACCACTCTAACTGGCGTGAGATGGTATCTCATTGTGGTTTTGATTTGCATTTCTCTGATGGCCAGTGACGGTGAACATTTTTTTCATGTGTCTGTTGGCTGAATAAATTTCTTCTTTTGAGAAGTGTCTGTTCATATTCTTTGTCCACTTTTTGATGGAGTTGTTTGTTTTTTTTCTTGTAAATTTAAGTTCTTTGTAGATTCTGGATATTAGCCCTTTGTCAGATGGGTAGATTGCAGATATTTTTTCCCATTCCATAGGTTGCCTATTCACTCTAATGATAGTTTCTTTTGCTGTGCAGAAGTTCTTTAGTTTAATTACATCCCATTTGTCTATTTTGGCTTTTGTTGCCATTGCTTTTGGTGTTTTAGTCATGAAGCCTTTGCCCGTGCCTATGTCCTAAATGGTATTGCCTAGGTTTTCTTCTAGGGTTTTCATGGTGTTAGGTTTTACATTTTGCATGTCCTAGACATGCTGAATCTATTTTATTTTTACAATTGCAATAACCATTCTTTCTATTTGCAATTTACTTTGTAGAAGTAAAGGTTCCTTGAATTTGGGAAATTTAACTTTGTTAAAATGTTCTGATGAGTTCTTAAAGAATTATATAACTATTTTTGGAAATTAATTCAAAGAACATAGTGAATAATTAAGAATGTGGTTCAAGCCAGATGTGTGGCTCACATCTGTAATCCCAATGCTTTGGGAGGCCAAGGAAGGAGGATCATTTGAGGCCATGAGTTAGAGACCAAACTGGGCAAATAGCAAGACTCTCTCTCTACAAAAAATTCAAAAATAAATATCAGTCTCAGCTACTCAGAGGGCTGAGGCAGAAGGATTGCTTGAGCCCAGGGGTTTCAGGTTGCAGTGAGCTGTGATCAGGCCACTGCACTTCAGCCTGGGCAACAGAGAGAGACCCTGTCTCAAAATAAATAAATAAATAAATAAATAAATAAATAAATAAATAAATAAAGTGGTTCATTCAACGTTCTAGAAATATCTCATAGATATAAGCAGAAAAATAGACTATCTCTGATATCAGAGATAAAAAATGATCAAAATAAATGTCACTTATACTTATTTGTGAGGAGGGAACTTCTATAATTTATTAAGAAACTAAATTACCTGAAAGAACTCCCTCAACAATGTTACTAAGACAGGCTGGTTAAAGAAAAACCTCACACACTGCCCAAAATAAGCCAAAAAATGATTCAGCAAGTTTAATGCCAAAGACTATAAATGATTTTACATAATTTAATGAAATTTAAATACAGTGAAAGGGTAAAGCTTTCTAACACAAATACCTATTTCAACATTTGAAGCTACTGAGTGAGAAAAAAAATGCAATGACCTTGCTTAGACGTTTATCTTCATAAGATTTTTCTGCTCATTGAATGGGTGATTATTATGTATGTATACTGTTAAGACAAATTCAACTTAGGAAAGTATTTGGTATTTTAGCATTTTCCTCAGTGCATATAAAGAAAAACTTTGGATATTAGACAAATCTCTGATTTTCCCTGTTTTGAATATTATACATGGTCTATTCTCATCTCTTCCTTTTTCTTTCTCAATTTCTGCATACATTAAGAAAATGAGGTAATCAATGAACTGTATTCCTGTAAAATAATGATAGAATAAAATATAAAATTCCTGATAAAATAATGGACAAATTGCAAGGACATGAACTTCTGCCACTAGCCAGCTCTGCCGCTGAACTGCCCTTTGAAAAGAAATCAGGAAGAGAGAGAGATGGATGAGTTTTTCCATTATGGAACATAGAAAAATGTTATTTCAGTGTAGTAAAGACATATATTTTACTACCAATTAACTACAAAACAATCATGTTTTTATTGTTTAAAAACAATTTATTTACAGGTATGTAAATAAAAACAAGGTAAGAAAAAAGTCACCCGTCATCCACCCTCCCAGAGAAAACCACTTCTGTATATAAAAATACAAAAATGCTGCCTGGGCTGTTTTATGTCTTATCTTTGTATTTAATAGTGTATCGTGAATATCCTGCCAAGTCAGAAAATGTATTTCTATCCCCACATTTTCATGGGCATATTGTACAACTGTGCCATGCTTCTTTAACCAGTCATCTGTTTGATCATTTTCATTTTTGCCTAACATAAAAAGATTGCAGTGCTCTCCTTGTAGCTGCTTTGTTGTATAAACATCTTCAATTATTTCCTTGGGATAGTTTCCTAAAAGCAGAATTGCTGAGTCAAGGGGTATAGGTGTTTGATAAATATTGACAAATTGCTTTCACAAAGTTTGTGCAAACTTAGATGCCTACTAGCAGTACAAAAGATTCCCATTTCCCCACATCGTTCTTGACATTATTATTGTATTCTTATTAATCTGCACCATTTTGTGGACAAAATGTATCTGTTACATTTAATTCTTATTTCTTAAAAGTAAGCTTGAACAATTGTATGTATGTATTAGGCATTTGTGTTTAAAAGGATCGTGTAGCATGCATTTGGATGACTGTCTTCTGAAAGATCATGCAGCATATGTTTGGATGGTTGTTTTTTAATTATGTAGCATATATTTGAAATGTCTGTGGAACACTAAAGATCTATTTTCCACCAAATAATTAGATAATAAACAGGCTATAATTTTATTAGGTGACCAAATAATGCTAAAATATAAATATTTAATTTCGGCAGCAAAAACACAGACACAAACTACTCATGTTTAGCAGCTTGAAGTATTTGTTTATGAAGCAGAAAAATGTATGAGCCGGTGAGCAAAATGTATAATTATTCTCCTTATTAAATGGATTTATAAATTGATTGATGAAGATAGATCCATCAAAGAGAATTGCTGAAAGGTTGGACTGTTCTGGTCTTGTAATATTACTGTCTATCTTCTAGGGAAGTTTCATATTCTAGGAACTGTTTTTCAGGATTCTTCACCAATTGAAAGCTGCCACATACAAAAAATGGCAGGTTGAGATAAGGTAACTCAAGGCGGCACCTGGAGAACAGAGGCTGCTGAGGAAATCATCGCATCATCAGCTACCAGAGCCTCCGAGAGAGCCCGGCCCTTCTCACCAGAGAGGGGATGGCAGGGCCTGCCTGGACCACCTCCACCTCAGGGAAGGAGGATAGGAGGGGATGGAGAAAGGGAAAGGTTGAGGAATTGTGACAAAAAGAGTAGAACCAATAACATGAAACTGTCTCAGTGAAACACACAGAGGGGCTAAAACCCCATTGTTATGTCTTTAAAGTTTATTTAATTAACATGAATTTTGTCCTGTATAATTTTTATAGAAAATATTCAACAAGGAAAAAATAAACACCTTTTTTCTAAGTATCGCGTAGCAGATCTTTGTATTAAGTGAAACTATAGGAACAAAAATGTGAAGGTAGAATGCCAAAGGAAAATAAATGGATGCCTTGGAAGAAAATCCTGTTACACAATCCCACAAGGCAATTACAGAAGGCCCGGGCTGGCTTTGCGCGTTTGTTTGTTTGCCTTGGCTAACACTGCCAGTACACCAGGAATTCAGGGGGGTTTGGATCACTCTGTGGATTCCATCAGGGTACCCGGAGAGAGGGTTTCTCAGATCTAGAAGTTTTAAAAACAAAAGCTAGAGTAAAGCTCAATCAGATTATTTGATGGCCTGGAAATTTGTGGACCTTTATAAAGAATATGAGCCTGCAGTTTTATGACACATTCAGAATACTTTCACATATGTGAATTGTCAGTGAGGCATTTGATCATCACTTCACAGTTGGAGAAACTGAGGCACGGCATTGCCAGATGATTTAGCAGAGCTGTGGTTTTAATGACAAAGCTGGGACTCAAATTCAGATATGATGATGCCCCCAATGCAGTTTTATTTTCATTACAACTTAATCAATCCACATTCAATTAGAAGTAGCGTGTAGTAAATTTCAATTTTGTTTTTCTTCTTACTGTCTTTTCTTCCATCCTCAACCACTTTGGAAGTCTATTAGTGTGCACGTTTTTTGAACATCTTGATTTTCTCACTGGTTAACTGGCAGGAGTTTGCTTTTATCCACCCTCAATTATTTGGAAGCAAAGAAATGGATTTTGACCTTCAGGAATTTTCTAAGGTGTCATGTACAAAAGCCCCAGGCTGGCACTTTTTTTTTTTTTTTTGTCATTCTCCTCAGAGGTAGAGGTGAAATTAATGTAGCTCCTGGCTATATTAGGTGACTAATGGAAGAAATCAATTCAGAAAATAAGATGTGTCTCATTTGTGAATTCCAAAGATAAGAACATAGTCCTTTATGATTAATGTTAGCTAGGTGCAATGCATCATTTCCTGAATGACATAAATCACATTTAATTGAAATAAAATGGAATCTCTATCATCCCAGTAAAGCATAAAGATATCAATATGTTCCTGTTTTAACAGAAAAAAAATCAATTTCCATTTGTATAGATATTTCCCAATTACAGTAATAATTACTATATATGAATGAATCTGGGGAGACTCTTTTTAACTAATAAGACAATGTGATGAGGTGATGAAGAAAGGAGCTAGAGAAGTATGTGGGGAGATCTCTGGAGGGCCTTCCCTGTGTGAGGGAAAAAGCATGGGTTCAGTTTCCAGATGCTGAGAGGGAGATGCTTCTAAGGGCGTCATTAGACATGCATTGGAAATACCGACCCAGAGCTCAGAATCAAAATCTCAGCAGGAGACACAAAGTCGCAACACTCTGGGTATTAGTCATTGTGGTTACAGGTGTGTATGAGTTTGCTTAGGAAAAGAGTCATATAAGAAAAGGTGGCTTGGAACCGAAACTGGAACACCAATGTTCAAAGAACTGACTGAGAAGGACATTCTACCATAAGACACATGCACACGTATGTTTATTGCAGCACTATTTACAATAGCAAAGACTTGGAACCAACCCAAATGCCCATCAATGATAGACTGGATAAAGAAAATGTGGCACATAACACCATGGAATACTGTGCAGCCATAAAAAAGAAGGAATTCATGCCCTTTGCAAGGACATGGATGAAGCTGGAACCCATCATTCTCAGCAAACTAACACAGGAACAGAAAACCAAACACTGCATGTTCTCGCTCATAAGTGGGAGCTGAACAACGAGAACACATGGACACAGGGAGGGAAAAATCACACACCAGGGCCTGTTGGGCGGTGAAAGGCAAAGGGAGGGAGAGCATTAGGACAAATACCTAATGCATGCGAGGTTTAAAACCTAAATGACGGGTTGATAGGTACAGCAAACTACCATGGCACATGTTTACCTGTGTAACAAACCTGCATGTTTTGCATATGTTTCTGAGAACTTAAAGTAAAATAAAAAATAAAAATAAAAAAATAAAAGTGAGGGCCGGGCGCGGTGGCTCACGCCTGTAATCCCGGCACTTTGGGAGGCTGAGGCGGGCGGATCACGAGGTCAGGAGATCCAGACCATCCTGGCTAACACGGTGAAACCCCGTCTCTACTAAAAATACAAAAAAAAATAGCTGGGCGTGGTGGCGGGCGCCTGTAGTCCCAGCTGCTCGGGAGGCTGAGGCAGGAGAATGGCGTGAATCTGGGAGGCAGAGCTTGCAGTGAGCTGAGATCGAGCCACTGCACTCCAGCCTGGGCCACAGAGCAAGACTCCGTTTCAAATAAATAAATAAATAAATAAATAAATAAATAAATAAATAAATAAAAGCGAGACATTAATAACTCTCCCTGGACATTATAAAGATCACACTATCTAGCTTTATCTAATCAGAGTCAAACCTGATGTCAATGGAGAATAAGGAATGCCCAGCTGAGAGAGAGAGAGAGAGAGAGAGAGAGAGGTGGAGGAGAAGGGGAGGCAGAGGGAATACAGTGTCAAAAGGAGGAGAGCGTTCAGCTGTGCTGAAGATGATGAAAAAGCCAAGTCAGAAAGTCACCCACTGACTTTGTGGAACCAGGTGTTATTTGGGCCCATGGAAGCAGCAGATTCAGTTGAGTAGAGGTGCAGAGCCAGAGGAGATGGAAGTGAGACCACGAACTGTTACATAAGAGTATTTCTTTAAAAAGGTTGGACTCTGATTAGATGAAACTAGATAGTGTGATCCTTATAATCTCCCAATAGAATTATTCTTGTTTCATTTCATTTTTAACATAGGAGAAACTAAATCACATTTCTATAGGGATGGGAAGACTAAATAGGGAGAGAAAAGCTGAAAATAGAAAGTAAAAATAATCAGTAGAGTAAGTTTATTAAGAAAGCATGAATAGAGTTATTCCTAGAGGAGGTATTGTTTTCCATTGTTTACCAATAGAAGCAGCACAATAGATGGGGAGAAGATGGGTGCCAAATATTTAGATTTATTTATACATGCAGGAAATTTGACAGAACTTCTATCTAATAAGTTCTTTTTTCATGTTAAGTAACAAGAGCAGTGATCTACTGAGATTCAAGGTGGAGGAGGGAAGGTTAGAGGTTAGAAAGTTTTTAACAGTTGAAATGACTATTTCAGAGAGTGAGAGAGCAAACCAACCAGAGACAGCTAGACAAGCCAGGCAGTTTTGAGGGCGTCTGTCCTTTTTAGTGCCTATGAATTATACAGGTGTCAATTTGCCAGGTGGTGTAAATATAAACCCAATGTTCCCTATAAGAAAAATTTTAATTACTAAGGGAAGCAGAAGTTAGCAAAAGTTCATGACCTGGGGCTGAAGAAGGAATTTTGGAATTTGATAAAGTTGGCTAAAAGAAAAAAAAAATCTGACAAATTGAAATAAGTTCAAAGTTAAATCATTTTTGCGTTACTGACAAAACAACATGAATGAAAATAAAGGCCAGTTCTCAAGTTGTAAGAAAATCCAGAAACAAAAGGAAATAGCAGTTCCTAACACCATACTGGTGCTGGGGACCAAAATCCAATTTACCGCATGGTGGAAGAGCTTGTGTTTAATAGATATAAACGGACATTTATATAGCCAGATGAAAGTATAAGTAAGCACCGTCCTCCTCCACTTGACATTAACCTGGACTCTTCCAATCACTTGCTTTCTCTATCCATGCCCTTTAAGATCTCTGGCTGGGCAGGAATGGGAGGCTCTATATAGAATTCTGCCACCTAACAAATTATACCCCCACCTACTCTGCCCCTTCCTCAGATACTTTAAACTCAATTTCAAACATCGTATCATTTTGTCCTTGAATATTACTGTTGTATCTTCAAAAAATAAGGACTCAAATAAACAAGCAAAATATTATTATCCTTCCAAAATTAATATTAACTCATTCCATAATCCTGCTAAATATCCAGGCAGTATATAAATTTTTCCAAGTGGAAAAATTAATTTTATATTGTTCGCTTGGGTCAACAGCCAAATAAAGATAATTATCTGATGTCTTTTTTCAAACCATAGTAACACCTCTTTTTTTCTGTTTTACTTCGTTTTGTTTTGCAATTGCTCACAACTTATGTGTTGAAGAAACCAGATTGTTCTGTAGAATTTCCATCAGCCTGGACTCTACTCATTGCATCACTGTGGTGTTACCTAAAACATTTCCCTTCTTTCTGTATTTCCAGTAAATTGGTAGATTGGAACAAACACTTGGTCAGATTCAGGTTGGATTCTTTGGCAATGATACTTCATAGATAGCATAGTGTACATCCACTGGGTACACAAAATGTTTAGTTGTTTTCCTTTTCATGAAGTTAGGTGGTATTGACAATCTTTGCGTGGATTTATTAATTTCATTAGTGGACTGCAAATAAGTGATATTCCAATTTCTTCTTCATTGTTATGTAGAATCATCCCATACAGAGAAATCCCTACTCATGAACCATTTAATTGCACTAAGTTACAATTTACATAGAAAAAAAGTGATGTGCTTTAACCAACTACAATCATAATCCTTACCGACGGTCCATTGACATGACCTTGGCGGTACTGACCCTGATAGCCATTGATAGCTCTGATTCCTGGAACAACAACCCGTTCCAGGCTCATTCTGTACATTTTCTCCCAAGTCCTGGAATTTATAATTTTTTAAAGATCTCCTGGCCCCTTTATGTGGGAAATATTTAAAGACTACAATCTGGGCACTGGGAGTTTATAAATTTTTGACCAATGTGCCTGTTTAATTGATGTTTTTCTAAAGATTTTAACCACCTTTGATTTTTTTCCTTCTTTTTGCCCTTCATTGTGACAGTATGACAGCTCTTCCAAAAGCGCACAGATATTTTCTTTCACTCGGGAACCAGTGATGCAGTCAGTCTGACCCACTGAGAAGGTTCAAGGAAGCTGTCACATGGCACCAAAGCACTATTGCAACTTTTAGAATAAAATTCCCCAGCTGTGTTTCTGAAGTAGCGCTGTCCTCTTCAGTCATCCTGTGCCTGTTGGGTGAGGGTTAGGAGTAATAATTGGCAGTGACTGCTGCTCTGCTCATGCCCTCAGTCACCTTTTCATACAACTGTAGGCTACTCTAAACTGCCAGGAGGTGCTGGGTTGGTGGGAGGCTAGCAAGCCCTCCCTGGGACTCTACTTCCCAACTCCCCCCGCAGTCCTGAGCCCAATTGGCAGAGAGGTAACCAGGCATCATCACATCAGCCTAATCAAGAGTTTTAAACATACTTAAAAGGGTTTGACTTCCAGATTCTTGGGCAAGATTTCATCAGTAGTAACAGAGCCATTCTGGCTTGAGTGAAACTCTAGCCACGTCACAACAATTAATCTTTATGGTTCAGAGGACAAGAAAACTTTTACTCTCCTGAAGGTTTGCAGAAGAAAGACAACGTGTGGGTTGAAGATACTAATAATCCTTTAAAAGTAGCTACAATGAATACCTCACCCTTATTATCCCTCCCAGAAATAAAAAACTGAAATAAAATGACTGAAATTTGTTTATTTAAAAAGAAAACTCCCTCATTTCAGTCATTTATTTCTGGGAGTTTCTTTCATGCTTCTTTTGATGAATAATTCAGTGTATTTCTTGACAGTAGATTAATATATAAGTTTGTTTGAGAGACGTTTGTATAAAAGAGTGATTGAGCCATAAAAATCATTTAATTATTTTAATATAAAGTTAAAAGTTTAAATTGGAAGACATAGCCTACATTTATCTGCCCTCACCGAGAGCTTATTTCTCAGCCATTAGAACCCATATCTCGAGTGAAACTGTGTTTCTTGTTACCTCTGGCAGATGAATGCCCATTCCATTGGATACTCCTTAGTTCTTATTCTCCTCACCTGTCCATGACTGATGAGACTTAACCCTTCATCCTTTCTTGAGTCTCTTTTAGAATTAGCAACCCCACAGTTTTCTGAGTCTTTCTACGTCATCTACATAATAATCTTCTTCCTTGCATATATATCCCATTTCTACCCCTCAAGTCTCAGTGTTCACCCATGTCTTCATCTTTGGTCTTTCTTTTCTTCTGTATCTCAAAGATAATGAGTCACCTTTGACTATACAGGCCTGTCTTCTCTGTTCCCTGTAGCACTAAATGACTGGGCACCATACCTGGCTGTTCACCCAGAAAGTGGCAGTCTCCTGGTTTCCCTCCTCTTCCTGAAACTCCTTTTAACTCCTCTTTTTATATTTATCCCCACTGCCCTTGGGAAAAATCGTGTTTTTCCCACCATGTCTGGATTTACTGCAACAGCTTCCTTACGAGTTCCTCAGCCTCTCACCCTGCCAACCTAATCAAGGCCATCCAATAATAGCCACTATCATGCCTGGCTCTTTAAGTTTTTATTAAGTGAAATTAAAATTTCAGCTCCTAAGCCACATGAACCACACTTCAAGTGCCCCGTAGCCACACGTGGTAAATGGCTACTGCATTGGACACTGCACATTTATGACATTTTCATCATCACAGAAATTTCTATTAGGTAGCACTGTTTCAATTACTTATAAAATTTTAATTTATGCTCCACAGCTAACTAAATAAAATTTCCTTCCTCATTATCTAACACCTAGAGATCTCTCAAAGCCATTTCAGCCTGCAGAAAGCCTTCCCTACCCCTGGGAGGAACACATGGGCTTCTCTTTATCACGGGCCTAATTAAAAGTGCAACAAACATTTGTCTATTTCTTCCACAAGGGCGTAACCTTGAGGACAAGAATTAAGCTGGTATCTCCAGGTGGTGGTACATGCATCTAATCTTCTATTCATGAATTCCACAAACATTTATTGAGCATTCCTAAGTACCGTACAGCGCTAGGTATACAATAAGTTAAAACTCTCAAGTGTTTACATGCTACTTCATGTCCCATAAGTGTTTGTTGACTCCATAAGTAAACCTTGAATATGATTCCAGAGGGTCAACATCATGTAAATCAACTGACATATTTGCCGAAGTAATATGTTTGGCAGTCCTGTCATAAATAGACTGTTAGATTATACTAACCATAAGTTTACCAGATAGAGATTTCTTTGCTTTCATTTTCTGAAAGAGCAGATTTTGAGGGGAATGCTCATTCAGTTGACTATAATCTTCAGGAATGTAAAGTCTATCTTCCTCTTGCCCAAAATTGTATCCCACACCTAGCAAAGTACCAAGAAGGTAACAGGTCTTCAATAAACCAAGCTGAGTAAATGTTAAATGCACACAGTTAACAGTTCTGTTTCCTGAGTTCTTTAATCATAAATCAAAAATATCCCTGAAAAGTTTTTCTCCTGATGGAAGCCAGATATCCTAAAAGTTTTGTTTTTGAAATTAAAAGCATTTATTTGGTATTTGAAAAAGACAGAACTTTGGGGAAAATTTGAAAGAAAAATTGTATGTGAACAAAGTAAAAATAAAATGCACTTTTGTTAAATTTATTAGAATCCCTGTGTGGGAAAAAATGCCAATTACGTTATCTATTTTATTAAAATTGGATCGTTTTCACTATAATATTCTTCTTTTGTTATGTACCCTTGGAGAAAAGAACAAACTATAATAGTATCAATAGTTGAATAGTGATAAGGAAGAGACATAAAGCAGGCCGAATTGCATGATGCCTCCCTGTAGACTCATTTGAGGGACATGCAGAGAGTGTTCCCATCAATTTAAAAGATTTCAAGGGATGAAAATTTGATAGAAGATTATTGAACAAGTGTCCTATATCATTGCTTTAAGTATTAATTCTCATAAAAGAGTTGAAAGCATGTGCTTTAAACTGAAAAGCTTCATTGGTCATAACTGACAACATAAAACTGAATACATTGTTTAAATGATAAATCCAGTCCACTGAGACATCCAAAACTCAATTTTTCCAGTGGAACTTACAAACTTCAAATGATTTTTTTTTTTACTTAATTTAAAATAATCTAAAAATAAATTTTTCTTCCATTTGATTGAAATAGCGAATCATTAAATTTTATATCATAGTGTTACATCTTATTCATTAATCATAAACAAAGATTTATGACATTATCAACGTCATTAATATGACAAGTTCTAAATGTTACTGGAATATGATAGGCTCTTAAGTTATTTAAGCATCTTTATGTTGTCTATAGAATCTCAACTTTTCTTTGTATTTTTCTGTGCTTTGTTGGTTTCAAATGATTCCACTCTTATTTACTGTCTACCATTTCTTCAATATTTAGACCAAACACTATTTCTTTGGCAAACTTTCACAATGTTTTGAAATTTATAAACTAGGGGAGTCAACAAGAATGTGAGAAATTTATTGTTACTTGGCCTGTGTCCAAACCTCTTTACTACTGCATTCTGTTCAAGTATGGCAGACTATGTTAGCAAATAATGAATTCAGAAAAAAACTGCATGGACCATATAGTTTCAATTGATTTAGTTCCAAAATAATGCCTTAAAATTATTATTAAAATCAAAAGTATATGACAGAATATAAGCAAATTAATTTTTTCTTTTTTAATTAAATAAAAGGAAAACAATCTGTTAAAATATGCAGTTGTACATATGGTTACCAAAATCTATGATCAAGTTGCTTTTTGTCAAATATACACACAGATATAGATACAGGTACAGGAAAATGCGCGTGCACACACACACACACACACACACACACACACAATATTAGGAACATGAAAATATATCTGTCTCTGCTTCCCAAACTAGGCTTCCCATAATCTTGGGATCTACAATGCTGCATCATTCCATGTTATGTAAATCAGTGTACTATTTATGTCAATGCAAATATACCACAAAGTAGAATGTAATATTTTCCCATACTCCCTTGCACTTAGCAATTACCTGACAAATATTCAAGAGTTATCAATTAGTCAAATAATTCAATTTAAGGGAAAATATTTGGAGCTGGCTACTATTTATGTCAATGCAAATACACCACAGAGTAGAATGTAATCTTTTCCCATACTCCCTTGCACTTAGCAATTACCTGACAAATATTCAAGAGTTACCAATTAGTTGAATAATTCAATTTAAGGGAAAATATTTGGAGCTGGCTACAAGCCAGATTATAGCTTAGATATGAAAGCACTAAGTCACATCTGCCTTTAAAAATATTTTAAGAGAGTTTAAGAGACATCATGGTGTTTGACTCATTCTATGTGACTATTTCACCTTCATTTACTGAGCAACACTTTCCCAAAAAACAATTATCTCCAAATTACATATACCGGTCTCACTTTCAAAGGTTTACGCTGTGAAAGAATACGTTACAAATCTAGAATCACAATAAAGAGCTCACATACACCATAAAAATTACAACTGGAAATATTGGTATATCAAAGGAAAATAAACCCCTCCATTTTATCAACTGAACTATTCTCAAAATGGCAAAAGCAAGTGACTAGAAGTATAAATCCTACTCAGCAAATTTATTAGGTAAAATAAAATGATAATGCAAAGTAAAATGAAGACTCATTGTTTGGTAGAGTTGAACGAGTTACTAGTGAGAATTCAAGATAGGGCAATTGCTACTAAAATGTTTACCAGCATTTAACAATAACAAACTTTCATGTAGTAATTAACATGTGTGAGCCTTCTTTTAAGTACATATATCTCTTCATTTCATCTTCACAGTAATTATCTCAGTGAGTACCATTACCATCCCATTTTACAGAGAAGGAAAATTAGACAGAAAAATGCAAGATAACTTTTGTAAAGCTGAGCTAGAATTTAAATTCAGTAGCTGTGGGTGCAGAATCTGAGGGCCTAATCTTTATACTATTCATCCCCTTTATCAGCAAGAAACATCTACTAATATAAGAAAAGATATTGTCTACCCACATTTATATCACACATATTTGCTTAAATTACTTTACAATTACAACTTGCTTTTGAATTTTTAAAAATGTGTAAGTTGTATTATGTACATTTGTATGGAAACTCTAGTAAATAGAGTATCACATAATTTAATAGGTCAATGTTGGTTTGGGATTCAACTTCCATATATGAGGGAACAAAGACAAACAGCTCTGTGGCTTCACTGAAGTCATTAAGAAATAGCATTAGAAATGGGACTCAAATCCCCTGGTAGCCAATGCACAGTCTTATATTATTTTTCCATATGAGCAGTTAACATAGAAGCCCTCGAATTTCCTTATGCTATTCCACTGGTTGACCTAGGACTGCCTTATTTATCTCAGAAGGTTTAGCACAAATAAACTGAGGAAATATATAAGTTATAAACTTGCAATGCAATTGTGAAGTAGTATTGTCATTCTCATTATTGATGTTATAAAAGAACCCTGGACAATACACAAAAAGGAAGAGTGTCTCTCTCTCTCTCTCTCTCTCTTATCTAGATGAACTGAAAAGACACGGCATTGCAAAGAACAAGATATTTTTCTGAACATTTAAAAATAAATGTGTTAAATATTAGAAAATAGGGCCATTGTAAACCTGTACGAATATATTGGCTAGGTGCCTGAGACAAGCCCTCTTTCTAGCACGGCAGTGTTTAATGAACACAGCGTCGGTACCTTCTGCCATACTTTTCTCACTATACTTCATTCTTTTTAAAATATTTGTTTTGTGTCTTTGTGAATATCCTTTTTTAATTCTTCTACCTGTCTGATCCAAGGTAAAACTTGGCAAAATATCCAATATGTCAGTTTTTCTTGATGTGAGTAATCATGCTGGCTCAGAGACAACCACAAAACCACATGCGATAAGAGGCCTCTCTTTACACAGCAGCATCTCCTTGTAAAATGGAAAAAGAAACATGAATATTTCACCCATCACTAGGCGCTTCTACCGAGAGCTCATCTATCACCTCTTGGCAGCAACGTTTGACCATTCGTGTCTTTTGGGATCACTGCTGACTGATTTTTGAGTAATTCTACATCTGGCCTCAATGAGGCATTTACTAGGAAATACATTCAATAAGATGACATACATATTTGCTGAAATCTTGCACCATTAATTGAATTGCAAAGTGAAAAAATACAACTAAAACTGTGTATTTTCATTAGATAATTATCCACTATTTGTAACAGCCTTGTTCATTTTTCTTGTGACTTATTTTCCTGGTTTTCTCCCCCATGGGCCAGATGTCAAGATGCTACTGTCTCAAATGACTCAGATATCCTTTGCTGATTTGTGCTTGACTGGGTTTTTCTTTGCTTACGCCATGCTCATTTTACAGATGAAAGGAGGGGAGTGTGATGCCTATGAGTACAAAGCGACCCTAACGCAGGGAATTCATTGCTGCAAATGAACCTTCATAAATCTGATACAGTAATGGGGTGACACTTCCTTCAGATACCAAAACACAAAGAAAACAAATTATCTCAAGGTAATATAGAAAGCAACACAGCTTTAAATTATTTATCCTATATTGCTAAATGTCAATACAATTCAATGAATGAAAATGTTCAGTTTTGATAAAAATTACAAATAGCATTCACATCTTAGATCATTTTACATCTCACAACCCCAAAGCCTCTACAAAGCAACTAACTTTAATCAATACAGCCATTGTAACCACTAGTGGCAAGACTCAACATTTAATTCTACAAGTTGATTAGCATGATCAATGTGACTGTCTCTTTTGTGAGATGATTCTTGTCTTACTTGAGGATCCTATTTGATTGTGGGGTGGAGAATGGATTAAAATGTAAAGGTTCAAGTTTTAGTGTCTTTCATATGAATATACTCATTTCTTTTTTTTTTTCTTTTCTTTTCTTTTTGAGACAGAGTCTCACTCTATCTCCCAGGGTGGAGTGCAGTGGCACAATCTCAGCCCACTGCAACCTCCGCCTCCTGGGTTCAAGCAATTCTTCCACCTCAGCCTCTCGAATAGCTGGGATTAGAGGTGCACACCACCACATCCAGCTAATTTTTGTATTTTTAGTAGAGATGGGGTTTCATCATGTTGGCCAGGCTAGTCTTAAACTCCTGACATCAGTGATCCTCCCGCCTTGACCTCGCAAAGTGCTGGGATTACAGGTGTGAATCACCGCGCCTGGCAGATTATAGTCATTTCTGAAATAATAGTCAAATTAAGTGTCCAAAGTTTATTACCAAGGTGCTTTCCCTTTTCAAATACTTGCCCTTCCCTCTCTGCCCACCCCACCCCAATGAGACCAAACATTCTGGGCCTAAGACATAGCCACTTCCTGGCACCTGGCACAGGAGACAGCTATAGGGTCTCCTGTGGGATCAGCTCAACCCCCACAACCACAGCACCTCTATACAGTGACAAGTTTACATACTCTCAGTGAAATGGTGCACGATGCTTCGTCTGCTGTGACTCTCATCCTGTCCTGGGTCTTTCTGGTTATATAGTTCTGTGTAATAAACCACCCTAAACTTAGTGTTGTAAGGTGACAACTATTGTACTATGCTCATGGATTCTGTGGGCCAGAAATTTAGAGAGTTTTGTTCCAACTCCATGATGCCTAAGGCTTCACGAGGCTCATGATTTTAGGATCACTCCGGGAGCGTCAAACAACTGCCGACTGTTCTCACCTGGAAGCGTTTTTGCTCACATCTGGTTCCTGAGCTGGGTGAGGTGCAGTAAAGCCTCGGCATGTCCAGGACTCTTGATCATGGGGCCTGGGGGTGTCTGCAGAGTCAAGTGCTCCAAAAGAACCTGGAGGAAGCTGCAGGGCCTTTTATGACCTGGCCAAAAAAGTCACAGTACCATGTCCATGACATATTATTGGTTACAAGTGAGTCACTTATGCCAGTCAAGGTTCAGAGGAGAGGAATTAGACTCTATCAGTCTCTGTGGAGCAAACAAGGTCACCTCACACTTAGAACATGTGGGAGGGAAGGTACCCGTGTCTGGAAAAACACAACCTCATGTGTCCCTCGTGGGCATGTCACCTATCCCTGAAGTTCATGGCTGGTGATGGTCTGGGTCAATCAAAGGCAGAGTTCTGCCCTATTGCAGCCACTTGACCTGTATATGATTCCTATGTGTTGGATAGGACACTGTAAAGTCAGTATTTATGTTTTAATGTTGATTTCAGATATGTAACTGTCAGATTTCCACCATCCATTGAGTATAGATTCAATTCATTATTCTTTCCTTTTTGTGCTACACCTGCTTCTACCTAAAACCATTTTGTTCTGGAAGACACACATATAGAATATTTACAATGAGAAAACAAGACAATATCACAGAACTATTAAGGAGAGTAATCTACAACAATTGCATGAGACTAAACATTCAGAGCCTCAGGCACAGCCACTGTCTGGCACCTGGGAAAGATGATACACCTGAAGTTCCTCTCATGGGATCAGCTCACCCCCACCACCCACCCACAAAACTAACCCCATTGTGGGTCTACAGCCTCAGTCCAGTTGACTTTCTCATTCCCTCTGGGACATACGGAAAATTAAGGATTGCTTTCTGCCGCTGATAGCTACAGGATTTTCCCTAAGTGTTGGAGGTTTTCACCCTTTTCCTAATCACTTTTCTCAGCCATTTCTAAAGGACTGCTTAAAAGTTTAATATTATCAAGTACATTTTCCTATTATGTAGTTTTGTGGGGTGTTTGTTTGTTTGTTTGTTTGAGATGGAGTCTCACTCTGTCACCCAGGCTGGAGTGCAGTGGCACGATCTTAGCTCACTGCAACCTCTGCCTCCTGGGTTCAAGCGATTCTCCTGCCTCAGCCTCCTGAATAGCTAGGATTACAGGTATGCACCACCATGCCCAGCTAATTTTTGTATTTTTAGTAGAGACGGGGTTTCACCATGTCGTTCAGGCTGGTCTTAAACTTGACCTTGTGATCCGCCCTCCTCGGCCTCCAAAGTGCTAAGATTATAGGTGTGAGCCACTGTGCTCAGCCATAATTTTGTTTTATTAAATGTGACATACGCATATGGAATATAAATCATTTGTCAGTTATCCATTCCATTCTTTTGATATTTGTGATTTCCTGATCATATTCCCTTTTACTCAACAACAGGAGATCCACCAGAAAGCAGAGATTATTACACTCTATCCCTTTCTTCTCTGGATCAGGGGTCAACTATAACATCAAAAATAGATACAGATATGTAATTTTATATGGATATGGATGTATAGATGTTTCTCAATAATAAACCATCTGTAATGGACTGATTGCAAAAATGGCCCTGAATTTTCACCTTTTTCTATATTTATTCCATTTGCAAAGTTACATGTTAGCTCCTCTCATCAAGAAGTAGAGGGTGTTGCCCAACTCTTGTGTCTGGGCTGAGCTGTGGCTTGCTCTAACCAATAGAATGCAGCAGAGGTGACTTGGCTTATTATCAGAGTAGGCCTCCCAGGCCTCAAGTGTTTCCACTTCTTCCCTCAGACCCCTGCCTCCACTGTAGGAAAAGCCGAGACTAGCCTATCACAAGATGAAAGACCACAGAGCAGAAAAAAATCATCCCAACCAAAGCTACCCCAGGCCAGCCTGCCCCAGGCCAATCCACCAGCTGATGCAAGAGCTAGCCCAGCTGCAATCAGTTAGGCGTGGCCCAGGCCAGCAGAAGGGCTCAGTCATCCCTTAGTGCATGAGCAAAATTAATGCTTATAGTTGTTAGCCACTGAAAAGCATGCTCAGTTGTCTTATAGTGTTTTGTGGCTAAAAATAACTGACACATTATCAGAAAACTCTCTATGGAAACACGCACCGGAAGCTTCACATTGCTCATGTTCAGGTGCCCAGCAGCCAAAATGTCTTAGTAGGTGCGTCTCTGACTCTACTCCATTGTTCCCCAAACACGTCACTGTTTCTAGATGCAGCCACCATCTTTTCAGGACAGGTCACACAGTGACTTCACTTTTGCCAATCAGTTGTCAATCTTCATATCTCCTGATTGAGTCCATGAGACAAGAAGGGCACTTGTATCTGCTGAGGGAATTCAAAATCTGTCATGAATGTGCAGTAATATCTGGAAAAATGAATGTTTCCCTCCACATCCTAATGGCTTATCACTGCATAGAAGCACAGTGCTTTCCGAAAGATTCAATATCATGCCTATGTTCAAGAGTGATAGTACACAGGCCAGAAAAGTCAAGAACAAGTTCTTTTCCCTTCTTGTAATGAGAAGACTGATGTAGACAAAGAGGATGAGTTTTGCAGTATTTAATTAGGATTCACAATAATTGCTTATGTTGAGCCCTTTGAACATGGGGAATTAAGATTGCAGAATACTTTTTAAAAAATCCCTCTTTTTGTATCTGTGGTAATATGAAGTTTCTTAAGGGTATTCATTTAACAATGACAAATGCATATAGGTAAGAATGAGGTTGCAGGTAAATTTATGGTATCAATGTCATGGAGAAATTAATAGGATTTACTACACAACAGGATTTCTTATAGAGCTGTTTTGAACATATGAATGATGCATATGTAGTAGGATTGATTTTTAGCTCTTGGCTTTCAAAATCTTTACCATGAAAGACTTGCAGCAGTGGCATTGATTCTTTCATGAGGTAAATATAGCAGGTGATTAAGTCTGTGACTCACCCTGGAGGCACTGTAGAAGAAGACTTTCTTTTTCCTTGTTTTAAATATCTTAGTTGACTTGCAGTTCATTTTCACAAAACAAGTAAAAAAATCCCTTCTGATTATGTATTCATATTAAGTACCATTTTAAAGTGCAGATCCACTAACAGCAAGCTTCTATTGCAACTTGATATTGAGACACTAAGGGGGAAAGGAAGGTTACAGAAAGAGTCTTTGGATTTAGGATACTTTACAAAAATGTTGTTATCACCTTTTCCCTAAGAGAAGGGCATTACTTTTTGTAACTAGTTGTTAAGTAGTATTGTCCTTAAGAGTTAGCACCCATATAAGAATATAAGAAAAGTAAAAAGCTGGTGAGTAGCTAAAATCCACTAACTCAGTTTTAAGAGGCTTGTAAGTTTTTCCCAAACTCTTTGCAACCAGTGGTGCTGTGAGTACTATTGTTGTTAGTGGTGCTGCTATTAATGTTATCATCATTACTTCCTTTGATTAGATAGCAAATCTATGTTATGACACAGAATTCAAAACCCTAAAACCGTGAAAATGTACTTAATTTTCTCATTGTGTTGAATTTATTCCCTAAAGGAGATATAATGTGTTCTTAAAACAGCAATTGAAAGCAGCAAAAAAATAAAATTAAAAAACAGTAAGAGACAAAGTGTTTGATAACAGTGTGCATTCAACTGTCTTGTTTATACTCCTGATGGGTATAAGATGAGATTTGCATGTTGTGTTTATTGACCTTGAGGTACCTGGAATGGGGCAGCAATGTCTGGAAGGTGTGCAAAATAGTCTCTGCTGTGGCTGGAGCAGAATCCCGTGGAGGGAAGGAGCCTTCGGGCCATCGTTAGTCGTGAAATTTGCTGTTGTGAGAAGGAGAAATTACCAAGGCAAGTGATGACGAAAGTGAATGCTGATACAAGGGAATCCAGACAGCCACTGA
Organism: Homo sapiens; assembly: GCF_000001405.40. Lineage (NCBI taxonomy): Eukaryota > Metazoa > Chordata > Mammalia > Primates > Hominidae > Homo > Homo sapiens. Next base: position 73,685,809 of record NC_000018.10, read on the forward strand.
ATCCTAAAATTAAGTCTGGAAGAGCTTCATTAGTTCTTCATAAGATGTGATGGAACTGAACATTATCCATATACATTAATGAAGTAAAGTTGGAGAGTTGAACAAAGGTGACAGAATGTGCTGGAAACAACTGGAAATCTTTACACTTAGAGACCCCAAGGTAAAGCATCCTCAAGAAACAGGCTGAAATATTTGGAGTAATATAAGTCAAGGTTGATAAGTGTGTGAAGAGGTTCAGAGGATAACTTTATTACAAGGCTGCTGAACAGTTTTAAAATAGTTTGAAATCCTCTTTAATAGAGTGTGCGATGATATGAAAATTTTCTGCCCTATAATATATAGAGTATGAGACTTTCTAAAATCAAATATTTGCATTTAAATTGAGTAAATTTATATATACTCCAATTTATCAAATAGGAGACATGAGTGACAGATTCCATTTTTACACAGCCTGTCCACCCTTTGTTTTTATATTCCATATGTCTTCATATCACATTTTGTTCTTCAGTATATTTCCAGAAAGAAACATTTTTTCTGCTGCTCTGAAGTAGACCCTCTTTATTCCTCGTGCCTCCCCATTCTCCAGCAGGGCCTGTCTCCAACCTGAGAGAACAAAGATGGCGGGTACTGTCCCTTCCAGCCTCTCCTCCAGCAAGGCACACTATGGGGCCCAATCCTGCCAGAAAGGTTTTAAGGGAGATATCAGATAATTTTTTCCTTATTCATAGAAAGTATCAAAGGACAAAAATGCCCCTGTCTTCATGAGATGCCCGGCTATCTCCATGTGACACCTGGAACACTGCATCCCTCTTGTAACCAGAGCAGAGGTGAACATGTTGATGCTGCAGAGAGGGAAGGAAAATACAACTCCTGAGTCCTAAACAACATTGTTGAACTCCTGCCCTGAGTCTGAAACCACCCTGGCTCCAGACCATTGATAATGTGAGATGACAACGTCGGTCCTGGGGAAGCCGCTTATTCATGTTGCATTCAGTTTCTGGCAGCAGAAACCCCTAACTGTCCCATCCCACCACCTTTCAGAATTACCAAAGAATCCAAATCACACCTGGATGCACCCCCAGGAGCTGTGAAAATCCAGGGCCCAATGGTGGTTACACCCCGTTCAAGCTAATGGGTTGAGTCGCATCTGCCCTGACTCTGGCGTGGTGTGAAACCCATCCTCTCTTCAGGCCTTCATCAGACCTGCCCTGCAGCCTCAGCACCTGCCAAGCACCAGCTTCCTTAAATCCTGGGGAGCCCCATTGACTTTCTACATTCAGGATGTGGTGGCTGTAATGAGCTTAGATGAGTCCCTGGCCTAAGACAAAGATGTTGGACAGAACTCAGAAAATGTACCACTTGATGTTTATGCTGTGGCTTTGCTTCTCAAATCCCACAGCATAAGTTACAGAAATGGACTTTGGTTTTTTTTAAGTTTGATGTTTATTTGCCAAATCCTGTGGGGATACAAAAGATGCATCTAGTGAAAAATAATAAGAGGTAACCTTTATTTCTGTGTGTAGGTAATATTCTAAGCCCATTTTGTATATTAATACCTCTGATGTCTATATTGTTGTTGTGATTCCATTTGTAAGTTTGTAAGTGAGAAAGCTGAGTTATAGAGAGGTGAAGTAACTTGACCAAGGTTACACAGTTAGGAATGTGCCACGTGACTGCTCAAATCCAGGTCACCTGGACCTCGAGTGCATGTGATACGTTGCTGTGCCATCTCCCCCCAGAGACCCTAACGATACAAAAGCAGCATGTGACTAAGCACCAAAAGGAGTATTTCAGAAAAATGAATGACATAAACTTTCAATTTCTGGACATGTTCATACGGAGAAAAGAAAACCCAACTGACAGGTTTATGGCAGAGATGTCTTCTACCTCGTAAGAAAAGTTAACTGAAATGCTCTCAAATACCATTCACAGTCATGTTCTTCAGGGCTATGAAAAACCCAGACAAGGCTGGCATTGCAGGATAGAACATTGTAGAAGGGCTTCATGGAGCAGCAGAACTTTGCATACACTGGACAGAGAGTGAGGATGTGTGAGGAAGATGATGGGAGTGGAGCAGGAGGGGGCTTCCATCAGCTATGTTCAAAGATGTCCCTGTGTTCTGGTTTATATGCCCATCATTCCATACGCCCCATGTGGATTTGGCTGACTTGCCCACACGGGGAGGCATCCCCTTTTCCCCCCAGTTCATGTGTTTTACTCCTCTAGATAAATATTTAGTTAACAGGAGAAAACCTTTGTGGGCAAAGTCAATTTCTTATCAAGGGTCAAAAGTCTTAAAATAGAATCAGAAGGTACATAAAACTGTTCTTACTCTTTATCCATCATTATTATGTACCAGAAGCTCTGATGGAGTGAAGATAAATATGTGAAGAACCAATCCATGTTCAATAACAGAATTTGGGGCAAGTAGGACAGGATCCGGAGGCACTGTGTTTGTGATGAGTGGAACCGTGCAGCGGTTTCTGGAAGCACATTGAGATGGATTCTGCTGATAAGGGATTCCATCGACTGGTCATTTGATGCATGGAACAAAACACTCACTAGTCTGAGCACCCAACCACACTGTAAACCAAAAGTGTCTAAGAGAGGTCTCAGTCAATTCACAAATTTATTTTGCCAAGGTTAAGGACATGCCTGGAAGACACACACACACACACACACACACACACACACAAACATGGAATCACAGAAACAGTCTGGTCTGTGCCTTTCTCCAAAGATGAGTTTGAGGGCTTCACTATCTAAAGGGGAAAAGTAGGCTGGAGGCGAAGGTGAGAGGATATGGTGGTCCACGTGTGGCAAGAGAAAAGAAGCAGGTAGGGAACTAGTCAATTACAACTCCTCTTGTACTCCGTAAAACTGACACTTTAATGAGATAAAATGAACGTTGAGTAGATAGCCGTGGCGATACTAACCTGTTGTCTGCTTGGGAACAAAGGGAAAGGCGGTTTCTTGCATGACTTAGCTTTCAGCTTCATTTTTTCCTTTTGGCATAGTGAGTTGAGGTCCTGAGTTTTTATTTTCCTTTCACAAAGCTAAGTCATTTTGGTTCGGCTGACAGTGCTATGTAACCTGACACCTTTAGCGAGCAGTCCCCTCATAGGCTTGACCCCACTGTTTTAGAGAAGTCTTGAAAAGTTCACAGTGCCTGCCAGGCAGTACCATTTGAGGCATTTAGTCAGTACATTTTGAATACATGAATAGCTGCCTGGCTATGAATGCACAATGTAATAAGCACTCTGTTACCAAACAACCATGTCAAGCATGTCTCCCATATATTGGACAATATATTGGAGACTTCTCTAAATGGTCAAGTGAGTCATGGTTGTTTGGTAATACAGTGCTTATTATATGAGTGAGGAACGTGACTCAGTACAATTATGACAAGAAATGCAATGGACTATGCTAAATGGAATTTGTAACGCTCATGAAAAGTGCTTTGGAATTTTAATGTGTGATTAAAGCATCTACTATTAACATTATTCCACAAAGAGCTTTACCTCTAACAATACATTCCTTGGTTGTCTGTCACTGGGTCTCTGTGCTTGACAGAGTTGAAAATGTTGCCTGTTTGCTGTCACACAGACATTGTCTCAGTATCACTTCCTAAAATGCATATTTGAATTTAGGATTCCAGCAAACACGGAAGGCACCGGTGGTTAAAGTGCCTCCATTTAGAAAATATGCTAAAAACAGCAGCTGGAAGTGCTCATCTGTCCAGGCTGAAGGCTGGCTTTCAAGATATGCTTTCAAGCAGTGCCACGAGGAGCAGCCTGGGCTGTCATTGGAGTTGCTGTCAGCGCGAAGCCTTGGTGTTGCAGGGCCTCTGCCATATGGAGCATCAAACCTTGGATCTGAATGATGATACAACCTGACTTTGCTGACAATCTCAGGCTATGTAAAAAACAGACTATAAAACATGTAGTCAAAATGCCATGTGTTTGAATAACACTTTACAGTTTTCAATACGCATTCATAGCCAAACAGCTATCCATTTATTCAAAATGCAGCGACTAATGCCTGGCAGGTGCTTTGAGCTGTTCAGAACTCCACAGCGGAAGCCAGAGCCTCGCCCTCAGGTGCTTACACTCTAGCAGGGGTCAGCCAGAAAGTCACCCTGTGAGGAGCTCTTTGGACCATGCAGCCACAGCCTCGGAGGCTAGAATCGATTCTAATTTCTACATATAGATAATTTTTTTAAAAAAATAGCAACACTGTGTGGTAGATGTACCTGACAGAAATAACTCAAGAAACTAGGGTTGCCACATGGAGGTTGCTGAGGGGAGGGTGCCACGTGAGGGTGCTATATAAACTGCATGCTTTTTACAAGTGCTTATCATTCTCCTCTCCAGCCTGCCGCTGCTGGACCATCACTGTATGTAAGTTCCCCCAAATAAAACCCATGTTTTATTCAGAATAATAATAATAAAGGCTAGAATCAACACTTTGGGGCACTGGGTAGGGGTGCTCCATCAGACAGGGCGAGAAAGACTCTCTTGTGAGCAGTGTCTGAGCTGGGACCTCAGAGACAGGAAGACAAGGAGAAAAGCATCCAGGCGGTAGGAAAAATAGGAGTTAAGATGACAGGGGCAGGAGCCCATTGTTTGGAGTCCCAGAGGAGGTCAGTGTGGCAGGAGCCCTGCTGAGCAGCTGGCGGGGGCAGTGAGGAGAGTCAAGAAATAAAAGGGCTGAAAAGGAACCAGGTTATGTATGCAGCTAATAAGGGTGTTAAATTTTATTGCAAATAAAATGGCAAGATGTTGAAGGATTTTAAACAGGAGAATGAAATGAATAGATTTGAAATGTAAAAGAGTCATTTTAGCATCACGTTCTGATGATGTTTATTCTAATCAAAACTGTGGAAGGAAATTTATTGTTGACTCTACTGAGTACACGAGGAAACTGATGCTCAGAGAGGATAGTGTCTTGTCCTAGGAACTTCAAGGAGTGAGGGAGAGCATCAGTCCCCAGGTCTCCTCATGCAGAGCTTCCTGCTCGTTTTTTTCCACTACAGTTGCCTCCTTTATATCTGCCTGTAGCCAAGTTATGTGGAACAAAATCAAATGTCAAATAGGAACATTTTCTTTAAATGTCTACATACCTAAAATTATTTCGGATTATACTTGTGGCGTTAGGTTGAGCTGATGAGAAATGAAAGTGTGGCTGAAAATGCATTTAGAGATTTACTCTAGAATAAGAATAATGAAAATGCTTGAAATAAAGATTTAATCTGATTGACTGAAATAAGTTACATGTGACCAGGCTAATAGGCTACATTTAAACATTCCACTTTAAAACATTTTTTAAATTCTTTTCATGAAGTCATCTGTCTGAGACTTCCCCACTACAGCCCAGAACATCCCTCCTTAGAAGCTCACTCCACGTTTTATGACACTTACCTTCACATCATCTTGGAGCATCTGTCAGAGGCGTCTGAACCAGGGCGTCTCCATCTTGAATAGGGGCTGGGTCAGATGAGGCTGAGAGCTGCTGGGCTGCATTGCCAGGAAATCAGGCATTCTTAGTCACAGGATATTTGCAGTCACGGAAACAAGTTAATATGTTTACAAAACCGACCCGGTGTTACAGTGGGTGGCTAGTCAGACAGTGAGCAGGGCAGGAGAGCTGCCCCCTTCCCACACCAGGAGTATCAGGCAGCCATCTGGTGATGGTCAGGCAGTTGTTAAACTTTCTCTCTAAAGTAATAATTGGTCACAGCCGGTGCCAGGGAAAGCCCATCTCCCAATAGATAGAAACACCTGAAACTAGTGATCGTCTTCCCAATAACATCTCGGGGGTTGGGCGAGTGGGCTTAAGCATGTGCACTAAGAGGCAAAATGGTGCAGTTTAACTGGTGTGTGACCTTCTAGGAACACTCAACTGGTAGGGGAAGAACGCCTCAAATGAGCATGGGTACAACTTCAGTAAACACACTGCCCATGCGGTCCCTCCCAGGCGCTGGCAGGCCAACGAGCATGCAGACAGCCCACCCCGAGGGAAGACTGAGGGGAGAAGGGACACAACACCCCTCCCAAGTCCTGGCAGGCCAACCCGCATGCAGACAGCCCACCCCGAGGGAAGACTACGGGGAGAACGGACGCAACACCCTGGAATCATGCCAACATATAAACCCCAAGCTCAAACTGTGCACTTGTTCTCTCAAGTCGCCCACTCAGCCCTCTTCCAAGTGCACTTTACTTCCTTTCATTCCTGCTCTAGTGCTTTTTAATAAACATTTACTCCTTCTCTAAAACTTGCCTCTCACTCTGCCTTATGCCCCTTGGCTGAATTCTTTCTTCAGAGAAGGCGAGGATTGAGGTTGCTGCAGACCCATATGGATTTGCTGCCGCTAACACCAGGATTTAACAGATCCAGGAGATAACAGACCCAGAAAATGTCCTGATGTCCCAATATCCTAAGAACAAGAACATTCTTAGTTTAAGAATAAGTTTTGCTTTAAAGATAATAATATAGATTCTTGTGGAAGAGAGTAGTTATGCAAAGATTAACAATCCTTCATCACAAGCCCTTGTAGCAGAGCACACCTCCCCCATGTTTTTTTTTGTTGTTTTGCTGTTTTATATATAAATGAGCATTGTACCTAAGGTGGATGTGTTCCTTCTTTTCCTTCTGGGAACACCATGCTCTGTCTAAGGTGGATGTGTTCCTTCTTTTCCTTCTGGGAACACCATGCTCTGTCTAAGGTGGATGTGTTCCTTCTCTTCCTTCTGGGAACACCATGCTCTGTTTAAGGTGGATGTGTTCCTTCTCTTCCTTCTGGGAACACCATGCTCTGTTTAAGGTGGATGTGTTCCTTCTCTTCCTTCTGGGAACACCATGCTCTGTCTATGGAGTAGGCTTTCTTTTATTCCTTTACTTTCTTAATAAACTTGCTTTCACTTTACTCGGTAGATTTGTCCTGAATTCTTTTCTTGTGCAAGATCCAAAACCCTCTCTTAGGGTCTAGATTGGGACCCCTTTCTGGTAACACACCTGCTATGAAGAAAAAAACTCAATTAATATTTTTATAATTAATGTCATTGCTCTAAATGCATCGAAAACATAAAGAAATAAGAGTTGTTGACATGTTAGGATAGTGTTAGAAATTGCTAAGTTATTGTCCAGAAAAAAGGGAATAATTGAAAAAAATAAAAATTAGAAAAGTAGGTCCTGAAGCACATTAAGCATTTAACAAATCATATAATTGAGAATGAAGGTAAGCCTTCATCTCTGGTGGTATGAATGTCTAGATACCTTGACTATCCTGTGGCTAAAAACAACTAAAAATGTTGGATAAAATGAAAAATATATGTAAATGCCTTTAACCTCCTGTCAACAAAATTAAATAATACGTATTAGAAGACTGAAACACAATGAAAGTATGACTTCATAGAAACAAGCACAGCAAGGAAACCAACTTTTCCCTTGAAGATATTTATGGACTGGGATACACTGAAACTTTGGTTTGTCAGCCTGTGGGTTGGGAAAGTCAGGAGACAAGCCCAGGCTTGCTCAGTGTTGGGGGGGTAAAATAGAAGACCTCTCTGCAAATAAACCTAAGCTCAGAAAGGGGTAGTCTTGACTGTGAAGAGAATGTTAGAGCAATGGTCTGGCTTGAACCAGGGTACAGAGTAGAGAGTTGAAAAATAGAGACTCTTCAGTCTTACCAGGAATTCTGGGAAAAAAAAAAACAGAAGAAGAAGAAGAAGAAAAATAAAGACTCAGGAAGAGTTAGAACAGCTATACAGTTCCATAATCACATTTGAAATTTTATCAATAGGTCAACTCTTTCTCCAAAGAAACCACCAGGCCCAGTTTACAGAAAGTTCCATCAAAGGACTCAATGCATCTTTCATAAATGATTTTAAGGTGTAGAAAGAGACTACCACAAATGTGTTCAGTGTAAGTTTATCATACTGACACTGACAAGCGCAGTACAGTACAACCTCCATTGTGATCATAGATACAAAACCAGAAACAAAGTTACAAAGCAAATCCAGCAATGTGACAAGAGGATAATACAGTAGGAGATGTTTGTTTGTTTATTTATTTTTATTTATTTATTTATTTATTTATTTATTTTTTGAGAAGAAGTCTCACTCTGTAGCCCAGGCTGGAGTGCAATGGCACAATCTCGGCTCACTGCAACCTCCACCTCCTGGGTTCAAGTGATTCTCCTGTCTCAGCCTCCCGAGTAGTTGAGATTATAGGTGCGTGCCACCACATCCAATTAATTTTTGTATTTTTAGTGGAGACAGGGTTTTGCCACGTTGGCCAGGCTGGTCTCAAACACCTGACCTCAGGTGATCCACCCACCTCGTCCTCCCAAAGTGCTGGGATTACAGGCATGAGCCACCATGCCCAGCCTCAGTAGGAGATGTTTAATAGAAGAATTAATAGAAAATCAATTAATGAATTATACTACATGAACATATAAAAGGAATTAAATTCCACGATTATCTCATTAGATACGGAAAAATTATTGAGACAATTCAATGTCCATTCATGACAAAAATGTACAGAAAACTGGGGAAAAATGACTTTCTGAAGGTGATAATTATACAGCAATTATAATGCTCAGTGATTACCTAATTACAGTCAGGAACAAGTCACGAATTGCTTTAATAGCAGTTCTAGTCACTCTTCTCCTGAAGGAGCTTGCCAGTTCATTGAAGCAAGAAAAAAATGTATAAATATTTGAAAAACAAAATTAAAGTCATTGTTATTTACATATAATGGGTATTGAAAGCAATAAGTGAAACTATAAATTGGAATCAAAATCACTATGTAAAATCTACACATAAGTAATAAGAAAATGTAATTTAAAAGATACCAATTACAGTAAATATCAGTTATTAATTTCCTAAAATCAATCTTAAAATATACAAAAATTTATGGGAAAAATGTTGAAATTTTAATAAAATGCAGTCATGCACCACATAACTACATTTTAGTCAATGATGGACCTCATATTACAATGGTAGTTCCATAAGATTATAATGGAGCTGAAGAATTGCTATGGCCTGGTGATTTGTGTCCCAGTTGCCTACAGTACTTGGTAACATGCTGCACAGGTTTATAGCCTAGGAGCAATAGGCTATACCATACAGCCTAGGTGTGTAGGAGGCTATACCATCTAGGTTTGTGTAAGTAAGCACTCTTTATGATATTCACACAATGATGAAATTGCCTAACAATACATTTCTCAGAATCTATTCATGTCATGAAATGATGCATGACTATATATTAAAGAACAAAAAATGAAAAGGAGAATTACATCCAACTAACAGATTTTAACACTCAACGTCCTAAAGATATCAATTCTGTACACATTTATATACCTATACCCCCCAAAAGGAAAGCCTTTGTCTCTTTTTTCCCTATCTCTGTAGACACAGGGACAGAGAGAAAAATATAAACAAGTAGGCCTTGCTAAGATCCCCCCAGCTTGTTACCATTAGATCATACCTCTGGACCAGTCATACTTTTTCATAGTTATCCACTTCTTCATCAAACTTGGTAGCAAAATACACAGTCTTCTCTGTTTCTTTGGGTCTTCATTTCCTATGAAGTCTCTCATTTCACATAAAAATTATATGACATAAGAATCTGTATGCTTTTTTTGTTATTAATCTCTCAATTGTTGTAGGTGTTTTCACCATGAACCTAATGATGGGCAAGGGAAGAAATCTTTTCTCCCCTGCACACTCAAGAAGAGATTGAGGCACACCTCAAGAAATGAAAGGACAAAGTGCATACCTCACCTTATATTTAAAACATGATGATGAAAACACACTAGTGTTGTGCTTCTTCAGACTCCAGGTTCTTTTCACTTAAGCCTATTCTATGCAGGATACCGGCAACTGGGGATAGGCAGAAAGAAACATTCAGCCTGGTTCTTACAAACATGCCTATGTGGCTGATTTAGTTCATCCACAAAGAAGAATGCAATTGACTCTCCTTCTCCAGAATGACATTATCAGCACATACAGTCAAGTGCCTGGGTAAGAAAACAAATGTACCTGCAACAAAGGTGTAAAATGTTAAAAGATTAAACAGATGAAGAAAATCCACATTGTCAAACACACAGTATTCAAAGCACTTGGCGTAATTTTTCTCGATCTTACCTTTAAGTAAGTTTGCTTTAAAATTACTTAATGTGGCATTCTCCATCACACAATTACAGTCTTCATAGGTTCATTCATTTGTTCATCTGTTCAATGAGTATGCATTCAGGCAGTGTTCTATTAAGTTTGGACATTCTTGTCTCACCATGAGTAAGCAGATTTAGAACTAATTATCCTATTTGTTTATATCTCAGGAAGTATAGTCTTAAAATACTGATTTTAGGAAATGTTTTCCAAGATCCATATGCCAGTAACGAAGTAAAGCTTGAGAAAACTTTGTGCTCTTCACTGAAGTCTTTTAGCCATCCTGGATTGTGGTATGTGTAACGAAGAGCTTGAATGGGCATAGAGGCCTTGGGAGGAGGCCCTAAGCACTGGCTTCCACCTATCTGCTAAGGCAGTTTGCATTTCACTCCAGCAACCCTGATTGTCATAGGGAGGACTCTCCACCTAGAACCAGAATGCCTAGAATTCAAGTCATGCTTCCTTACTTACTAGCTTAGGGAATTACTCAGAATTTATATTTCCGTACTTATACATAAGGGATAAAAATATCTACCTGACAAGGTTTACTAAGAATTAAGTGACACATTTTACCTAAGAGCCCTCTGAAATGAAAAAGATGTATAACGAGTATAAGTTACTACCAGGGCAAGGTAGTAAGTAAGTAGCCGCGGGCGGGGGGGATAGAAATATTTTGAGAGCCATTCCCCTTGACTTATAGGATAGTCAAGAAACTAAATATAGTGAAAACAAAAACTGAAGTTTAAAATGTGGGCACATCAAGAAATTTTAGCTGTGGTCCATTGTAGACATGTAGGATTTATAAGAGCATTACAAAGGGTTAAGAAAATCTGAGTACCCATGGCCAAATTAGCAAAGAGAGATATAGTAGGCGTACTCAGCATTATCCTGAGAAAAATAATGCAGTAGGAACCCTGATTTCAAGCCAAAGTCAGCTGTTTTGTGGAAGCTGCAGTAGTGATTTTGGCTAGAGATTTTTTCAAATACAATCTCCAGAGGGAATAGTGATATTATTCTGGTTTAGATCCAAATACCAAAAAAAAAGCACATTTTAAAATATTACAAACAATTTGAAATCTCAGGCAGGGTTTCACAGCAGCAGCAGAATTGGCCCTATGCAGTAGCTATTTATAAGTGGCAAGGCCCTTTTTCTGTATTTCGAGGGCGCAGAACAAGGTAATAGCCCCCATCGTGATGTTGTGTGAGTGAAACGCTTAGACTTTGATGGAAAATGCAAACAAGACAACTTTTCTATGTGTTCAAAGATTAGAAGGAATTCAACTTTTTTAATTAAAAATTTTATGGAGGTAATTATAGATTTATGTGCAGCTTTAAGAAATCATACAAAAGAGATCCTATGTACATTTTACCTAATTTGCCTGGTATTAACGTTTTGTAAAAACTATAGTCTAATATCACAACTAAGATATTGACATTGATACAATTCACCAGCCTTATTCAGATTTCTCCAGTTTAACTTATACTCATGCTGTGTGAGTGTGTGTAATTTCGTTTGATTTTATCACATGTATATGTTTATGTATCCACCAGCACAATCTAAACTAAACATTCCGTCACCATGAATATCCCTTATCAACATAAGGGATATGTTCACACCCAGTTCCAAACCCCTAGCAACCACTATTTTACCAGCATTTCTAAAATTTTTGTCAAGAATGTTTTATTAATTAAATCATACGGAATGCAACTTTTTGGGATTGGATTATTTTACTCAGCATGATTACCTGGAGATTCATCTAAATTGTTTTAAGTATCTATAATATATTCCTTCTTATTGCCCTGTAATATTCCATGACATGTATGTAACACAAGCTGTTTAACCGTTCATCTGTTGAAGGACATCTGGGCTGATTCCGATTTGGAGTTATTACAGATAAAGCCACTATTAACATTTTTGTGTAGGTAGTTGTGTAAACATACATTTTAACTTATAGGGTAAATGCTTATGAGTGTAATTGTGCTGGATGGTGTGGTTATTATGTGCTTAGATTTTTAAGAAACTGTCAAATTATTTTCCAGAGTGGCCAAACCGTTTTACGTTCTCACCAGTAATGTATGAGAGATCCAGTTTCTCCTTCTTACCAGCATTGGGTGTTGCCACAATTTTTTTCTTAATTTAGCCATTCTGATAAATGTACATTATTATTTCATTGTGGTATTAACTTGCATTTCCCTGATAGCTAAGAATATTTAACATATTTTCATATGTTCATTTGTCGTGTGTAGATCCTCCTCAGTAAAATGTCTGTTCATGGCTCTTGCCCATTTTTTAATTGAATTATTTGATTTTTAGTCTTGAGTTTTGAGAGTTTATTTATATATTCCAGATACTAGTTCACTATATGATGCATAATTAATTTGTAATAATAATTACAAATCATTTTTATTTATAGCTTCTCTCACTATATGATGTATAATTTATAATAATAATTACAAATCATTTTTCCTTATTTATAGCTTCTCTTTTCATTCTCTTCACATGAATTTTCACAAATAGACAAGTCCAATTTGTCAATGTGTGAAGGACAATTTGTTAATTATTCCTTTTATGGCTCTTACTTTTCATGTCAATCATATGAACTCTTTGTCTTGCCCTATATCTCAAAAATTTTCCATGTCTTTTCCTCAAAAGTTTTATAGTTTTATATCTTACATTTACTTTCATTGTCCGATTTGAATTTTTTTTATATAATGTGAGTTTTTTATTGAGGTTCTTTCTTTGTTTCTTTATTGCCTTTGAATTTCCAATTGCTGCAGCACACTTTGCCCAAAAACTCTGCTTCCTCCAGGGAATTTCATTTGCACCTTTGTCAAAAATCTGTTAAGCCTATTTTTTTTCAGTCTATTTTTGGGTTCTTCTCTCTATTCTGTTGATCTATAGGTGTGCCCCTCATCCAGTGACATACTTCATGCCACACTGTCTTGATTACTGTAGCTTTAGTAGGTCTTGAGATAGTGGATAATTGTTTTTGTTACTTTATTCTTCTTTTCCAAGATCATTTTTGCTTTTCTGCGGTATAAGTTTATCTATATTCACACAATACCTTGCTGGAATTTTTCAGAGGAATTGTATTAATACTATAGATCCTTTTGGGGACAATTAATGTCTTTACCGTGTTGATCACTTTAGAAAAAATGAACAACCTTGCTATGGGGAGTCATCTAATCCAGGAACACAGTGTGTTTTCAGTTTATTTATGTGTTACTTAATCTCTTTCATCAACTTATAATTTTCATCATACAGATTCTGCATATGTATTGTTTAGTGTGTACTTAGCACAGAAAGTGTGCATTCTGGGGGGTGGTTGCAAGTTGTGTTTCTTTAATTTTTATTTTCACATGTTTATTGTGAGTATATAAAAATGTGATTGATTTTTGTTTCTTATCATGTATCTGCAACCTTGTTGAACTCCCTTAGTTCTAGGATTTTATGTTTCATAGATTTCTTGGAATTTTCTACATAGATAATCATGTCCTATGTGCATAGAGATTTATTTCTTTCTACTCAGTCTCCATGTCCTTAATTCTTAGTCTTTCGTAAGTATGTATAATTTTAGCTGTAGGATTTTGTAGACATTCTTTATCAAGTTGGGGTAATTCCCCTCCATTCCTACCTGGCTTAGAGGTTTTATCAAGAGTAAGTATTAGATTATATAAAATCCCGTTAATTAACTTTTCTGCACAACTTGTATGATCAAATATTCTTTTCCTTTTATTTTGTTGATGTGCATTTTCATTATATTTTGAATGGTATAGATGGTCACCATAGATTATCACTATTATTGTTCGTCTGTATCACCAGCCAGAGATAGTTTTGTCTCCACTGTGAAGTTATTTGTTGTTTTCCTCCTTTCTATTCTGTGCTTTTTAAAAGAAAGTCCCCATGTGGAGCCCTCACTTAGGGAGTGGTGAGTTATTTTCCACCTCCTTGAGGGCAGAGTTTCTACATAAATTATTTAGAATTCTGCCTGAGATATTTGTCTGTTTTCCTCATTTATCCATTTATTCTATCATTTATTTCAGTATGGACCTATGGATATTTATTTTATATTTCGGGTTATAATTCAATGCTTTAATATGTTGCCAAATTCAACTTTGGCCACTGGAAGCTCTTGCAGGTAACCCCTTTGTCCCTTTGACATGCCCACATCATTTTTTTCTTCTCTTCCTTATTTTCTAGCACTACAAGATGCTCCAAGCTCATTGTATTTATATGTTCTCATGCTGCTAATAAAGACATACCTGAGACTGGGTAATTTATAAGGAAAAAGAGGTTTAACAGACTCAGTTCCACATGGCTGGGGAGGCCTCACAAGCATGGTAGAAGACCAAGGAAGAGCAGAGGCATGTCTTACATGGTGGTGGGCAAAAGAGAGCTAGTGCAGAACTCCCATTTGTAAAACCATGAGATCTCATGAGACTTTTTCACTATCACGAGAACAGTACAGGAAAGACCCGCCCCCATGATTCAATTACCTCCCACCAGGCTCCTGCACTGACACCAGGGAATTATGGGAGCTGCAATTGAAGATGAGATTTGAGCCAAACCATATCACTCATCTTGTATATCCCCTTGCCCAATTCTCGAATTAGCCATTTCTCCAAGGAGCCCTGTTTTCACTTATTGAAGAACAGTATTAGAAGCCCAAATCTGGGAATTCAGTGTGCTAATTGCTACTGGGTGTCATTACTTCCAGGTCTTCTCAACTGACAAAGCAAAGAGATAGGTGTGTTTATACTAACTGGTATATGCACACGCAAGTAGAAACACATGTCCATATGTAATCATCTTTATCTATATCAAGCTAAATATGAGTTCATACTAATATCTCCAACTCTAATCCACTGCCACATGGACCATTGTAGCCTTCTCCCCTTGCTTATCCACTTCAATAGTGAGAAACCTGGCTCCCACCATGGTATTAGAAATGTTAATCCACACCCTTTTGGGAGACAGCACTATCAAATCAACTAGAGTGCTTGCCTGCAGTCTCTATTTCCTTGAGTGTTATAGATCCACTTATTTACAAAGCTACTTAGGTCAGCATCTTTCTTCATCTTCTTCAGTGAGATTGTTTTATATATTTGCAATACAGTTAGATTCTTTTGTTGTATTCTACATTCCATCCTGGGATTCCCTTAAATTCCTGAACAATAATATTTTTTGTGTAGATTAATACTAACTCTTCGTGCTATAAAATTCTGTGAGTTTTGATAAATGCATAGTGTCATTTATCCAGCATTATAGTATCATACAGAATAGTTTCACCACTATAAACATCTTCTCTGATTTACCTATTCAACTCCCTCCAGTACTCCCAAAGTAATGGCATCTATAAGTTCTTACCATTTATCATATATGACATTTTGCATTTTGAAAAATGTAATATAATTGCAATCACAATCTATTTAGCTTTCCCAGACTGGCTTCTTTCACTCAACAATATATATTTGAGATTTATTTATGTCTGTTGTGACTTGACAGCTCATTCCTTTTTGTCATTGAATTATATTTCACTGCATGATGTACCACTGATGGTTTATCATTTCACCTATTGATGAACATCTTTGTTTCTTCAAGTTGTTGGTGATTATAAATAAAGTTGTTATGAACATTTTTGCGTGGACATAGTTTACAAATCAATAAATACCTAGGAACACAATTGCTAAATCTTATGGTAAGACTGTATTTTTCTTGAAATGAAACTCTCAAATTGTCTTCCAAAGTGGCTGTACCATTTTGCACTCCCCTAGCAATGTATGAGAGTTTCTGTTGTTGCATGTCCTCTCCAACAATTGCTATTTTTGATGTATTAGATTATAGCCATTGAAGTTGGTATAAAGAGATTCTTCATTGTTGTTTTTTCAATTTTCTAATAATAGATGATGCATCTTTCATCTTCTTTGGTGATATGTCAGTTTATATCTTTAACCATTTTTAGAACTTCGTTTTGTTGGCTTATTATTGAGTTTTAAGAGGTCTTTATTCACTTGGGATCCAACTCCTTTACCACATATAAGTTTTGTAAGTATGTTCTCCCATCTGCAGCTTGTCTTTTTATTCTTTTAACAGAATCTTTCACAGAGCAGATTCTTAAAATTTTAATAAAGCCCAACTTATTTTTCTTTCATGGTTCATGCTTTTCTCACTGTATCTAAAACCTATTACCAAATCCGGGGTCACCTATATTTTTTTATTTCTCTTATTCTAGAAAAAATGAAAGACTATTTTCTCCACACTTATTCTTTGCCTGATGCCCTTCCTTTCCTTATGTAGGTCTGAGTTTCTGGCTTGTATTATTTTCCTTTTCCCTGAAGAATATTTAAGATTTCCTGCAGGGTAAGTCTGTAAACAAATTCTCTCACTTTCTCTGTGAGAACATGTTTATTTCAGTTTCACTTTTTGAAAATAATTTACACTGGAGATAGGATTGTAGTTTTTTGTATTTTTTCAACATTTTTATTACTGTCCACACTGCCTGCTTGCATGGTTTCTGGGGAGAAGTCTGCTATACTTCTTACTCTTGTTCTTCCTGTAACTGGAGGGGCCAGAGGTTTCAGATTCCTCTGGGGTCCTTGTTTCTGTATCCCCTGTTGACTTATCTTGCCTAATTATTTATGCTTGAAGTCTTGCGAGTCTTTGAGCTGTCAGCACTATGATGACCTGAGCCCTGTGAGTGTGGTGGTAAGGAGTGGGATAGGGAAGATGTTCTATAATCTTCCAATTCAGTCGTTAGTGGGCCAGTGTCTCTGGGCTGTTACAGCCCCACATGTTTCTTCTTGTATGGCCACTTCCTGCTTTGTTGAGCCAGGAAGGCTAGAGAGGCTAGAATGGGATAAATGCCCTTCTCCCAAGTGGGACAATACTGTGGTCAAGACTTCACTTGGAGGGCAGGCCTTTACTCTGAAGGATGCTCCATGTGCAGTTCACAGTGATTGTTCTTCCTCTCCCCTGCCGGTGACATAAAGGGCCCTCTCCCAGCTCTTTACTGTCACAGTCTCATGGGGTTTCTGGAGGCAAATAAAACCCACTAAAATGTGGAGTCCTCCCAAGACTTCAGTCCCTAGGAGTTTCTCACTCTTATGCTCATTCACACTCCACTTCTAGCAATTCATCAGAATGACCACATCAGTGTTCTGGCCAGTTAATAGCTCCAGCAGCTTCTGCACCAGGTAAGCAGATCTCATTTGTGGCTCCCTCAATGCACCTGTCTTTCCAGACTTTGAGATGGTAGTTTGCCCTGTGACCTCAATTCTATTGGGTTTCAAGAAAAGTAATTGTTTTTCAGTTTGTTCAGCTATATCGTGGAGTAAAGACCTGAAAGTTTGCAGCTGCCTAAGAAGACAATAATTTATTCAAGTTTTAGGCTAGGTGAGTATGATTTATAGTTTTACAGTAAAGTCCATGGGGACAGAGTTCACCTATGTTTTGTTCATCATCTTGTAAGTAGTAGCTACCACAGTGCCCTCAGATGGACTAAACTGTAAACAAGCTTATTCCTGACTTTAGACCCTGACCTTTCTTTCCTTAGAGCATTTACTTTTAGAAAATTTGTAAATCCTCTGCACCTTTGAGATATAAATTTTTGTAGACTCCTCTTCCCAGGTTTATGACCCAGAACCATCTCTCTCAAGGACTTGGAAACCATCCCTTTCAAATGTAATCATCATGGATGATACAGCCACTATCTCCCGAACTGTATGGACGTGTGGCAGCCTAACTTTGGAGGGTGCTAATTAGCAAGCACAGCTACCCTATTCACCAGAGAAAAACATTTGCAAACTCAAGATAACTCAACATTCTGAACACATACTATGTTTAACCTTAATATCCTCCATCACTTTTTCAGTAGTTTTCCCAGCACTTGAAAACCCTTTTGCCTTTTGTTTCAATGGGGTTGACTTCAGACTGCATTCTAGTTTCTCTCCTCTATTGCAAGAGCATTGAATAAAGTTTTCCATACTCATTTAACTTTGTCCAGTGCAATTTTGCTTTGACATAGGTCTAAAATCATTCCACCACACTATGTTTTCCTGGTTACTAGAATAAATTATTACTTTGACTACATTATTTATATAAAAGAAATTTGGGGAATTAGTCACCTCCAACTCAATTAATTTAGATCAATGATTAAATCTCTACATATGACAAAATATTATGTATTTGAATTTATTTTTAAGTAAAGTTTATATCTGTATATTAATTGAGGTGGAGTATCATATATTATTAACTGAAATTACATTTTCCTGTTTATGCAATATGGTAGTATCAGCTTCTTAGTTTAAGGAGATTTTAAAAATCACCTTTCCATAGAAGTATTTTTATATTTCCAAAATTTTAACCACCACACTAATGTGGAAACACGAAAAATTGATATGTAAAATAATCAAAACACTTAAGTTACTATAACAAAAGAGTAAGTTGGTTTGAGATTATATTCATGGATTGTAAACATACCTCTCAGGTATGATTTTTTAAAATAAATGCAGCTAATTTATAAAACTGGAACACTTTTTTGGGGGGGAATGAGAAGAGAAAAAAATGGAGCGAAAGCATTGTTGAGACAGAAATCACAGTGAAAAAGAAAATAGGACAGAATAAAACAGAAACAAAATAAATGAGCTTGACTGTAAGAGATCAACAAAGTAATACGGAAAAAATGAAAATACAAATAGGATCACATCTACGGAAGTCATATAAAAAATAGACAGAAAATCAATCTTTTCATGGGAATTATTTTCTTCATTTTGTTAACTCTAGAGAAAATGAAATTTGTTTGTTTAACAAATTATTCCTCGTTTTTGCAGCTCTAGGCATAAAAGTGCTATAGCAATGCTATACATCATTGAAAAACATTTACAGACTCTAAAGTACTTCCACATAAACTGCCTCATTTAATATCATAATAAAGGTATAAATTAAGCATCCTTAATATTACCCTCATCTGACGTGTAGAAACCAATGTCCAGAGGAGTGTTCCTGTCTTCAAATTGTCAAACATGGTTGTTAAAATGACATTTTTGTATATGATTAAGGTCTTCTGACATTAAACTCACACCTATTTCCTTCTATCAGGCGCTTTCAAATCTGTTTGTACATCAAAATGTCATATAATACTTTAAAAGATATCCAGGACCCACTTTGGCACCTAAATTGTAAAAGTTATTCTGGCAATCCGTATGTACAGTCAAATTTAAGAAACACTGTGTACATACCACTATGTAATGGTAAGACCTGATTGTACATGCCTACAAGATGTTTAAAATTGATTAAACATAAAATTGGGAATTGACAATTTCTGTTATATGTTAGTCTAATTTTTATAAAGGGAAGACATTGGGGCTTTTCATATATTAAGTTTTAAGTTAACAAAACATCATAAATTAGCTTTTGGCCTACACTACCCCTAAACATGTGAAAGCTGGGGTGTCAAAACTCTTCAGCCCTCTGTTACACATCAGTATTTTGTGCACCATCTATAGGGGACCATTTTTTCAAAATTTTAAGTAAACATATGCTTAGTTACAGTAATTACACTTCGATGTATAGCTGAACCTGTAGAAATATCATATGTACAAGGTGCCTTTAGTTAGGATAAAACCAAAACAGCCACAAAGAGAGACTCAAAAATACCATGGCTTAAAAAATAGAAATGTAAATCAATCTCTCTTCCCCCCCTTTCTCTCTCCAGTTCTCCCTCTCTTTCCCCCTTTCTCCCTCTCTCACTCTCTCTCATGGAATAATCTCAAGGTCAAAGGATCAGTACAGATCAAGGAAATCCATCATCCTCCACATGGGTTTTCCATCTCTGGGTCTAAGTGAGATCATGCATACCAATTTGCTCCTATGGCAAGTGTACACAGCAAACACTGGCTAAGGCCTTGTGCTTTGGAAATATCCATCCATTTATCCACTGGTAGGAAGAAAAGGCATCTAGTCACTTTTGCCTCCCAAATGAAGTTCAGGAAACCAATAAGGACGTGCTGAAAGGATAGGCTCCAGATGATGCTCTTCCTCCCAGGGTGTGGGGTCAGAGACTAGATGGTGGCCCTGTCTGGAAGGTGCATAATACTTGACGAGAAGACCAGGGTGGAGATTTTGCCTGTCTCACCAGTGTTTCTAGTGTTTCACGTTTCTACCAAACATGTTTGTATGTGTGCATGTCTGTGTGTGTGTGTGTGTGTGTGTGTGTGTGTGTGTGTGTGTAACCTCCAGCCCTGCATTTTCACCAGCTGTCATGCATCTAAGAGTTTAAAGAGGAGCTGGAGGAGTTAAAAAGTGAATCACATCCATGAATCCATTAAAAAAAAGTGTGTGGGGGTGTGTATGTGTGTGTGCACATGCATGAGAGATAGAGACGGGGAAATATTGGGCCTTTAGTTTTATGAAACTCAAGCACTAGTAGTAAAGTAAATATGGTTTCAGGAGGATTTGCCTAAATTCTGGAGAAAGATGATGACTTTTATTTAAAATCCTTTTTCACTAGAGATTGCTTCTATAGAAGAAATTTTGGGTTTGCTGAAAACAGTATGCATATGTATAGTAAGGTATAAAGTTTTGTTGTGAGGAGTTTTAGATATAGCAGCAAAGAAATGATCTATGAAAGAAATAGTTAATGACTGGACTTAATTAAAATTAAAAAATTCCACCCTGGTAGAGACACTGTCAAGAGAATGAAAAGACAACCTACAGACTGGGAGAAAATATTTGCAAACAATGTATTAGTTTGTTGTAAGAGTAATTGCAGTTTTTGCCATTACTTTCAATGTGTACTATTTGATCAAGGACTAGTATCCAAAAATTACAAAGAACTCTTAAACCCAACAACAAGAAAACAAAAGCCCAGTTAAAAACTGTGCCAACTGCCTGAACAGACATCTCACTAAATAAGATATACAGATGGCAAAGAAATAAATGAGAAGAGGCCTTAATTTGCATTTCTTCATGTGTCATCAAGGAAATGCAAACTGAGGTGACAATGAGACACCATAACATACCTATTAAAATGGCCAAAATTCAGAACACTGAATGCTGGTGAGGATGTGGAGCAATAGGAACTCCCATTCATTTTCGGAGAGAATGCAAAATGGCACCACCACTTTGAAAGACAGTTTGGCTATTTCTCATGAAACTAAACATAGGCTTATCACAAGATCCAGTAATCACACTTCTTGGTATTTACCCAAAGGAGGTTAAAACTATGTCCATACAAAAGCATGCACATGGATGTTTACAGAAGGCTGATTCATAATTCTCAAACTTGGAAGCAACAAGAATGTCCTTCAGTAGGCAAGTGGATAAAGTGTGGTATATTCAGCCAATAGAATATTATTCAGTACTAAAACAAAATGATCTTTCAAAACATGAAGAAACACAGAGGAACCTTAAATTTGTATTACTAAATGAAAGAAGTCAATCTGAAAATGCTACATACTCTGTGGTTTCAACTACATGGCATGCAGAAAACGTCAAAACTATGGAGACAGTAGAAAGACCAGTGGTTCTCAGGGGTTAGAGGGAAGGGAGAGATGAACAGGTGGAAAACAGGGGACTTTTAGTAGTTTTTAGTGAAACTTACTCTGTATGATACTATTATAGGGAATACATGTCATTACATATATGTTCAAACCCATAGAATGTATAACACCCAGCATGAATCGAAATGTAAACTGTGGGCTTTGGGTAATAGTGATGTGTATTAGTCTGTTCTCACATTGCTATAAAGAAATACCTGATACTGGGTAATTTATAAAGGAAAGAGGTTTAATTGGCTCACAGTTCAATAGGCTGTACAGGAAGCATGATGCTGGCATTCCACTTGGCTTCTGAGGAGGCCTCAGGAAACTTCCAATCATGGCAGAATGCAAAGAAGGAATAGTCATCTTACATGGCCAGAGCAGGAAGAGAGAGGGAGGGGGTAGGTGACACACTTTTAAACAATCAGATCTTTTGAGAATGAACTCACTGTCATGAGGACAGTACCAAGGTGGGTAGTGCTAAACCATTCAGGAGAAACCGCCCCCATGATCCAATCACCTGCACCAGGCCCCACCTCCAACATTGAGAATTATAATTTGACATTAGATTTAGGTGTGGACACAAATCCAAACGATATTATTCCGTGTCAGTGCAGGTTCATTAGTGTTGATGGTCATACCCTCTGGCGGAAGATGTTGCTCATGGGGGAGGCTGTCTGTATGTGGAGACGTTAGGTACATGGTAACTCCCTGTACTTATTGCTGAATTTTGTTCTAAACCTAAAAGTGCTCTAAACAAATAAAATCTATTACAGACAGTAATTGTGGGTAAATAGGCATTGTGAGGGAAGGTGATTATGACATATAGTTTGGTGGGGTATGAAAATGCTTGTGGGGAACGTTAAATTAAGTAGCTGGCAAACAGGGATGAGAATGGAGAGGGCAGCCATGTATACTGGGGGACTGCAGTGTGTGGTAGTGGTAGGCTGGTTAGTCTGTGTTCCACAAGGTGCAAGTCCTGGTTTGTAATATGGCCAGCTTCCAAGGTGTAAACATTCCCACTATGGCTGATTTCGAGCTACCAATCTTGCCATTTCTGAACACAGAATAGGGAACGGATGTGCGCAACTGACTCTTGCAAACCAGGATGAGTTGACTCCAACACACTGCAGTGTGTGATGCAAAACCTCTCCTTAAATCTGCATCTCAATTTTCATTGCTCATTCAAGTTTTGGAATGGGATTCCTTGGAAGGCATAGGAGCGAGAGCAGAGTTAACAGGAAGTTGACAGGCAGCCAGTGCAATCTGCCCAAGTGGGCCAGTCACATGGCGGTCACAGCAGAGGAGGACTTAGCGCTAAAGCACTTTCATCTTGAGTTATGATTGCTTCAAAAATAAAAATCTAGCATTGTCAAAACACTTTACTTTCATCACCCACAAAAAATGTTTCTTGTTAGAAGAAAAATAGATGTACTGTTTTTATAGTAGGCTGTTTTATGATGTCAAAAATAATAAACCACATACAAAAATAAAATAAAATGAAATTCTACCCTTTGGTTTTAACTTGCAAATTCCTTTGTCACAAACTTTCAACTTTTCAGTCAGTTAACAAGTTTGAAAAATAATATAGTTAAAAATTAGAATGAAACCTAAGTCTGTTAAAAATGACAATTATACATTGTAAGAATGCATAATTTACATTTTGAAAGCTATGGATTAGATTGATCAAATAATAATTTTATCTTATATCTTTATCATTTATAGATATTATAATATTTATTTTGCAGTCATTTATATACTGATGTCCACTCTAAGATATAGTATTCTAATTGTTTTGTAAATAGAAGTTATTTAATTGATTACATGGATGTAGACTGAAGTTTAAAATGTAGAAAATTTTTATATAGTTGAGTAAATCCTGATGACATGACAGAGTAAGAAAAGATCAACAGCTTGTAAGTAAAGCTATTTTGTTAAATTCCAGAATCTTCACATGCCTGAAATTAACCTCAGAGAAAGAGACATGGAGTCCAGATATTTTCCCTTTTTTTTCTTTTTCTTAAACTTGATGGCAAGAACAGATTTTTAAAATTATTCTTAATATCATAGTGTGTCTCTAAGTGACATAAAAGAAAACCCAGAGTAAGGCATCTAATACCAGCTGTACCTAGAACCGCATGCTACTGACAATAATAAGTCTAATAATTTCCACTTCTCTACTACCTACTACATGCCAATAAATGCAGTTCAATTCTCATGAAAGATTAGACTATCCTTGATGTCTCCATCCCTGTTTTTGACTTCATTGTGATCATTCACCTTTATCACATTATCACACCACTCTGATAACTCTGACGAGAGTTAGCACTGATGTCTTACTATGAAATTCAATCCAGGTTTCTACTTTTCAATGGCTCTTTCCTTCATTTGATAGCGATGTTTGTCTGAAATGTTTTTTCTTGGTTTCTGATCTCCTCCTACCCAGCATCTACTTCTTTGGTCTCCTTTGCAGGTTATGTAAAAGTTCTTGTTCCTTTGCCAGGGGTGCTCCTAAGTGTTCCACCATTGATCTACTTCCCCTCTCTATACACCGGCACTCCATGGACATTCTAACTTTACTTTCTAATGAAAATGAGTTGTTGAGAATCAGAAATACGTTGAATAGAAAATTGCTTTGTTTTCCAATAAGGACAAAATAAGCTTAATGGTCTCTGAAAACAAGAAATAAAGAGACAAATAATTGCTTCATCTTGTTGAGGGTAGTCATCTCTGAAATTGGATAAAATAAAACAAGGAATCAGCTGGTCCTTACGATTATTATCATGTTGAAAATTAACAAAAGAATATTAACAAAGAAGTGGAATACGCAGAGCCTATGGAAGCCAATCTCTTTATTTCAGACATAAATATTCTCTGTAAATTCATTGATTCATGCTAATATTATTTTTTAATATTGAAATTAGCTCTAATATGTCTGTGAACTACCCAACATTCACATTGAACTACTAATTAATTATAGCCTGACTAGGAACACCTAGGGATTTACTCCCATAGAAAAAACTAAAATGATGAAAAATAATTTTTTGGTAAATATTGCTTTAATAACTGCAACGATATCCAACTACAATGAAGAGAATTAATGTTAGTGAACTTGAGATACACAAATTATTTTCAGTATTGAAGTTCATTTGTGGGTCTGCTTGAAAGTACTGCTGTCACTGATAAGAAAAAAAGCTTTATACTACTTGAGAGAATATATTTGAAAATTTTAATATTAATGGTTGATACATTTAGCAAATATTAAAAATTACAACTGGAAGAAATTCCGAACAGTGTTTTAGAAAGCAAAATATCTTCCACATTTCTATAGGATATTCACAAGAAAAACTGTTCAACTCATCATACAGACTTAATATTTCTTTGACAAAACACAATGTTCTTTTACTAAGTAATAGAAGCTCAGGTTGCATTATGTTCATTTGTTTTATACCGAAGTCTTCCAAACAAGTTTAAAAGCACTATCTGAAAAGGAAGTATGTCTTCTCTTTATTTTTATAGCCCACCATATTCACTACAATAATATCTAGTACAATGCTTCAGGCATTGAATAGTTTACTAGCAAAAAAAATGTAAATTCGACTTTTGCTTTGTATTTTGTGAGTTGTATACCCAGAAAGGCCTCCTGAGTTTAACTCGAATAAACCCTTAAAAATTTTAATGAGAACAAATTAGTTTTACAAATGCACATACAGATTGAACATAAAATCAACTGTCTTTGGGACATCATGTCCACAGACACATAATTAATTATAGCCATGAAATACAATATAAATAATGCACATTCACATTTTTCACATTTTGAAATGAAAGTGCAGACATATTTAATTCATTTTACCTGACAACCCAGAACCGTCCAAATCAAATACAGGCCTTGTTATTACAGAGCAATCAAGTCTCTAATTAGGGCTGGCATTTCACCCATATCTTCCTGTCATTACCATGGCAGCTTGTGCTTTTGACAGCCTCAGAAAAAGCTGGGTGGGAAAAAAAAAACCAGGGAGGAAAATGACTATTTTTATAAACGGAAGAACTTCTACAGTAGAAGTGTAATTAAACCAAAAAGTTCTTTAAATTATGCAAATTTCAAAAGACAAACTTATATAGACAACCACAAACAAGTAAAAAGATGTTAAAGGGGAATTGTGCACTTTCCTTTAATCAAAGCACGAGGGTCAGAGCCAGTAATCTTTTAAAATTATTATTTACTTATTTATTTTATTTATTTATTTATTTATCTATTGAGATGGAGTCTCGCTCTGTTGCCCATGCTGGAGTGTAGTGGCAGGAATCTCGTCTCACTGCAGACTCTGCCTCCAGGGTTCAAGCAATTCTCCTGCCTCAGCCTCTCGAGTAGCTGGTTTGACAGGCATGCACCACCACACCTGGCTAATTTTTGTATTTTTAGTAGAGACGGGGTTTCACCAAGTTGGCCAGGCTGGTCTTGAGCTCCTGACCTCAGGTGCTCCCCGCCCCTCAGCCCCCCATAGTGCTGGGATTACAGGCGTGAGCCACTGTGCCCGGCCTTAATTATTATTTTTATGAACAAATGTCCAACCCTATTTTCCCAAATTAGAGGTCTCTTCTAAACTCTGCCCTGTATTTCCAGTTTCCCCCTAAATATCTTAATTTATGTATTTATTTTACACCTAAAATTCAGCATGCCAAAACTGCTATTACTCTGGCTACTCCTAAGTCAACCTCTAGTGTTCCCTTGTTCAAGAAATGGCACCCAACTTCCTCCCACACAACTACTCTTGAAACTTTAAACTCAATTGGATTGATCCACTCAGTCATCAATCCAAGGATATCCCAGCTCTCCAATACCGCACTCTAATTGTTCCCTATATCTCGTCTGCTGGCACTGCTCTATCACACGTTCTTGTTAGCTCTTCTCTGGATGATGCAAGGGCCTCTCAAATACCCAAACTGAAGCTGAAGTTCCATCCAGCCCACCCTGCAGTCACCTCACTGAAAACGCAATCTGTCTCCCACAAACTGTTGATTCTTCTTGTGCCCTAAAGAAAAAAGAAAGGAAAACCTAAACTGTCCTGGGTATAGAAAACCAAGTTAAGTTCTATTTAATGAAAGGAAAAAGTGAGGAGGGTTCCAAGCCTGGAGGAAAAATAACAAAGTTCAATGCAATGTTTCCAAAACTAATTTGACCACAAAATCTTTTTTTTTTCCAAGTAGACATACCAGTATTTAGAGCAAGATGGATTGGGATAGGATGGTATATATATTTACTCTGAGATCTATAACTTGAGAAGCTTCTCTTGATTCATGTATCAGTAGAATTTGGGATATGTCTAGAAGAAAGAAAGGGGAGGATTTCAACAGGCAAATTAGGGGAGAAGGCAGTTCTAGAGAAAAACACTAAGAATTTAGACAGGGAGAAGTATGCATGTTTTAAGGAAGTATTATTTGCCAACAAGGATATTCATTACTTTTGTGACTGATTTTTTCATATTGCAAATTCTTTTCTAATTGCAGATAATAGGAATTGCACTTTGGAGGACCTGGACCAAATCTTTCCTGCTGAATGCATATCGGCCCCTTTGGGCAGTTCACCGTCACTAGTGCAGGTAGGAGCTGAGATAACTGAAGCCAATATGAGATATTTCCCTTTGGTATGACTTGGAAACTTATTTCATGACATGAAACAAGAACAGCTTGACATTGCCATGATGATGCAGCCATTAAGAAAAGATCAAAATATGAAATCATTTTTCAAATACCAAACAATATGCACAGCTGTCATTTCTCACCCTCCATCTCTAATCCTAACTAACCCTAAGGTGATCTAGACCCAGGGGAATCGGAAACAGAAATCGGGTGTGGCAGAATGTGTTTCTCACAGTGCTTGGTACTTCCTTAAAGCTGAAATTATTTTTGTATTAAGTCAAACTCAAAATGGCTCCACATCCAATGATAGAGCCATTCACATTAAATTTACTGTCCCAAAGCAGAGGTTTCCCAATGTATTACTTCGTTCCCATGTTGCTAATAAATGCATGCCCAAGACTGGGTAATTTATAAAGAAAACAGGTTGGATTGACTCAGTTCAGCATGGCTAAGGAGGCCTCAGGAAACTTACAATCATGGCAGAGGGGGAAGCAAACATGTCCTTCTTCACATAGCGATGGTGGTAGTCAGAAGCAAAGGGTAGTGGGGGAGCCCCTTATGAAACCATCAGATCTCATGAGAACTTACTATCACGAGAAGAGCATGGAGGTAACCATCCCCATGATTCAATTACCCCCCACCGGGTCTCATGACACATTGGGATTATGGGAACTACAGTTCACTATGAGATTTGGGAGGGGACACAGCCAAACCCTATCACCAAATGTTAATTATTCTTAGTTCTTAAAGTGCCCCATTTTATCTTGGGGGTGAACATGATATTAGTTACAACCAACCAAAAGACTGCCAAGTCTGAGGCACTGTGCTCAATTCTGTGTGTATATCACCTCATTTAATCTTCTCAATGGCTTGTATTTGACAAATGAGGACTGAAGCACAGAATGTCGCACAATTTGCCCATGGTCTTGTATGTCGGAAATCATGGGGTTAAGACAGAACCTGACTTCAGAGCTCCTGCCCTTAACCACATAGAGATAATATTCTCTATCTGTGTCCTGTAAACACTTGACTAAATCCTTCCACATCTCTAAGCCCAAACTTTCATTAATAAAACAAGGCTTATTTTGCCTGCACAAGATATCACAATAATATGCCCTCAGTACAATATCAATGCAAAGCCTAGTAATAACAAAAAATTGAACCAGATATAGTAAGGAACTGCCAGCCTTGGTAACACAATTTTATCTCATGCTTAGCTCCACTGATGCTGGGTTGCACACGTGGGAAGCTGAGGATGATGTCTGTGTAAAATGGCTGCACACTAATACTGTCTAGTAATTCCTCTGCAATATCCTAATATGTAGAAATGTCAAACTTGATTTTCATAGCGCCTGATCAGTTCTACTGCTGGTAAAACAGAAATATAGTCCATATTTTTTCTCTAACTTTGAGATTCATTTAATATAACCGTTCTGCCTGCCTTTCATGTCTCTTTATGTTTCTGGCTGAACAGCTGCTAAACATCATGGCCTCAAACGTGTTAGCTTCAATTGAATTACAGCAGGAGGAACACTTGAAGCAAAGAGGAATCAGCTAGGACAGCAGGGAGAAATTTCCTACAGCGTAAGACACACAAATTCTAAGAAATTCTTAAGGTCAAGTATCGCCTTCAGAGTGAGAGAAGATCTCTAATTTCTATGACTGAGTCTGCAACTGTTTTGATTTTGTAGGGGGCGAGGAACCTGGTGTCATCTGTCACCTGACTGCCCAGCTCTGTATCATGGTCCAGGGAACCACTCTGAATTTGAAGAGAACATTCCTCACCAAAGTCCTCCTCAGTTTTTATTTATTTACTTGTGTGTTTTTTTTTCTTGTCTGTCTGCTTGTTTATTTTCCTCCAAAACCAGAAAATTTAACCTAAAACTCTAAGACTGGTGAAGAATGTGCTGACAACCATAGCAGATAAATATGTGCATGCTTAGAATGCTCTCCATATACTTAAATACTTGAAAAATAAAAGAAGAGCAAACATGCAGGAAAAGTAAATAGCTTGAAACTAGACGAACATTTCAGCAAGGTCAACATGTTAGTTAGTGTCTATCTAATACCGTTTGTTTAATAGACAAGAGCTTGACGGAGCACTGTGGTGTGCTGGTGCCTCACTTCACTTCGTCTTTCTTATCTGCCAACGGAGACATGCCTGTTTCAAAACATCGCTGCTATTTCAAAATAATCAGCAGCAGGACACGCCGCTCATCCAGATGCCTGGTGGTGTTTGCTTGTCGGTCAAGAGTCATTTGTGAAGAAACGCTGTAATGCCAAGGACGAGGATGTGAGCAGAGCCAGCCGCACACCGAACTGTGATCCAGCCGCTCCCTCCCACAGGAACGTCCCGCATCAAACGCGGAGGCGCTGCCATTGGTGACTGTTGAATACAGTAATTCCTGACATTTTAACCTCGCTTATCCAAATGCCCACATTTCCGTTGGATGAGGTGGTATGGGAGTATCTTTAGCTGCATGTTGCCATAATTAAGGCCTCTGGCAAACGCTAGACATTAGCACGCGGAGCACCAGTGAGGAAGATGGAGTGAGGAAGATGGAGCTGCATCATTTCCTCATAGCTGGCTCGAGTTTCAAATTCCCTTATTGTGTCTATTATTCTCCATAAGCCTTTATACGCTTCATTACTTTAGACCCTTTTAATACTGCCTGTAATACAAGGTTAAATCTAGCTTTTCAGGCCACATTAAATCTTATTTTAAACACCCTGTTGTTAGAAGTCATGGATCACCATTATACTAGACCATTCACAGCATTATAGTTAAGGTTTGAGTTGCAGCTTCTGTTGGGAGAAAAAAAAAAAGCTCTATTAATTAAGGACTTGTAAACGAGTTATAGAAAATTCCTTCAAACTAAACATTGATATAAAAGTTCTCTCACAAAACTAGGGAAGATTTGGAAATTAAAATGTTGCAAGGGGACTATCATTGTGTTAGTCTGCTCAGGCTGCCATAACAAAATACCATAGACAGGGCAGCTTAAACAGCAGCAATTTCTTTCTCACAATTCTGGAGTCTAGGAAGTCCAAGACCAGGGTGCCAGGAAGGTAGTTTCATCCTGAGACCTCTTTTCTTGGCTCAAAGGAGCCTGCCGTTTCACTGTGTTTTCTCCAGACCTCTTGTTTTTGCACACCTGAAGAGGGAGGGAGAGAGAGAGAGAGAAAGAGAGAGAGAGAGAAAGCTCTCTCCTGTCCCTGCCCATCAGACCATCATGGCGTCATCTGACTCTAGTCACTTCCCAAAGATTCCATCTCCAAATACCATTACGTTTTGGAATAAGGGATTCAACCTGTGAATATTGGGAGGGACATAGGCGTTCAGTCTATAACAATTGTATAATAGTTCTCTACTACAAATTGCTTCATATAGATTTTTTTTAAACCTTGGACTTCTGGATGTAGTTGCAGCAGATGTTAAGGTACCTGATAGACCTATTTCATTATCGGTTGCGCTCCAATGTGGGGGTGGGGGACAAGATCTGATCCAAGTGCAGGCTTTGGAGGGGAGAAGCAAGGAGATTCACTGATTGTAGAGAATTTAAAGCCAACAATTAGCAGACTGCCTGCTTTTTATTAACATCATGAAATGGCAATTCTAAATAAGGTCAGTGATAAGTTATACCTCCCTTAGGAGAAAAAAATGATCTAAGTTTTAAATGTGATTACTACTGAATTTTAAAAACTCATGTATAAGCTACAAATTAACATATTTTTATTATTCTTCTTTAGTAAACATGATGGTCTACCTGGAAGTTAAATTTAGGGACTTTCCAGTTAAATGATCATTTTCTGACACTGGAGGAATGACAGTAAGTTCTTATTTATTTATTTATTTATATTATTCTTATTAATTTTTTTGAGACAGTCTCACTCTGTCACCCAGGCTGGAATGCAGTGGTGTGATCTTGACTCACTGCAACCTCTGCCTCCCAGGCTCAACCAATTCTCATGCCTCAGCCTCCCAAGTAGCTGGGATTACAGGCACGTACCACCACACCTGGCTAATTTTTGTTTTTAGTAGAGAAAACATGTTTCACCATGTTGGCCAGGCTGGTCTCAAACTCCTGACGTCAAGTGATCCGCCTGCCTTGGCCTCCCAAAGGAGATTAAGTTCTTAGTAGCTCAGAATGGTACGAGCTTCCTGTGGATGCGTTTTATGGACTCTCTGCTGCCTCACCATCTAGTGCTGCATTTCAACAGTGTATTTAAGAACACAGTGTAGTGATGGGAAAGACTAAGAAACTGCATTTGTGTTGCTTCATTGTTGTCATTCTGTATGACCACTTGAAAATTTTTGTGTTTAAATTTTAATACACTGAAATAGAGTACTAATTGTGAGATGTGATATTTTTGTTTGATAAGTACAAATTCTAGTACAAACATAAAACATGCAGACAACATGTGACTGGATTTGAATATTAACTTTAAAATTGAAAGTGAGTGTTGTTTTATGATTCTTCTTTTTTTCATCTTAAAACTAAAGAATGAAGAAAGAAAACAAAATCTTTCATCAACAGCATGATTTAGTAGCCAGATTGCTATATGGAGGAAGTAAGTATCAGGAAATGATTCACTCTGGGTGTCTAAGGCACTAGGAATGTCATTGTCATCAGTGTTTTTCAAATTATTGAATGTGACAAGGTGAATCTCTTTCACTAAAGGAAAAAAGACACAGGCTTCAGGCTAGCTTGATTCTCATCGCAATGAACTGACCTAAAGACCTGAGAGTCTTCCTGCTAATACAGTTGTCACTGAATTTCCAAACAGATTTCTGTTAATGAGACATTTCTCCATAGCAGGAAAACCTACCTTGTAGCAATTTAGCCCTTTATGTGATCTGGATGTGGATATCTTAATATCTTGTCCTTTCTACCTAAAACACTCTCAGAATCCAACTCATGCAAGGATCAATCCAACACCTTAGGAGCCCAATCAAGGGGTCTGGCAAGGAACTGAATGTCCTAGGCAACATGTAAATGGTTTAGTGTCCTCAGGCATCCAGATCGCCTTCTCTATAATGAGGATAGTGACAGTTGTCATTACCAGGGTTACAACTGCAGGAAAGCTTAGCGAAGATTTCTCTAAACTGACACTGAGTCCTTAAAACTAAGCACATGTTTGCATAAGTATCAAACTGCACATTTTATGAAAAGTGTAAATATGAAAGAAACATGAGCCCTCACTCCTTTGTCTGGTTATTCAAATGATTGGGATAACTCATGTTTAGCACAGTAAGATTTTATTCCTGGAAAGAGCAAGAGTTAAAAACAAAATGGCAGTCCTGTAAAGATTAAAGCTGATAAAAAGATGTGAGACAGATACAAATCCCTTCAACTTTCAAAACCCTAAATGTTAAGCGCTACGACACAACCGTACCTTAGGAAATGTGAAGGTTAGAATGAAGATTGTAAACATGCCTTTTTATATACAAACATTTATGCATACAATCATTCATATAAATACCCATATCTTACGACATGTTTATGCGTGTGCATGAATACTCGGGAATACAGAAAAACTGATATATGGACACCATGATTTCTTTATTAGACTGTCTTCAGAATGCTTCCTTACATGCTTCTGAAAAGATCAGGGTTTTTGTTTGTTTGTTTGTTTGTTTGTTTGTTTTAGACAGGGTCTCACTCTGTTACCTAGGCTGGAGTGCAGTGGCGCGATCATAGCTCACTGCAGCCTCGAACTCCCCACGCTCAAACAATCTTCCCACCTCAGCCTCTAAAGTAGCTGAGACTGCAAGTGTGCACCTCCACACCTGACTTGTTTTCATATTTTTTGTAGAAGTAGGGTTTCGCCATGTTGCCCAGGCTGATCTCAAACTGCAGGACTCAAGGGATCCTCCTGCCTTGTCCTCCCAATGTGCTGGGTGGCATGAGCCTCTGCATCTGCCCGATCAGTTGTATTTAAAAGATACTTTGTTTGTAAAGCTGCCCCTAACTTCCATGTGGGAAGGGTGGGTATAAATTGTTGTGTGTTATGGTAGTATACACATACTAAGCTTCCTCCTGCATTCGAGACTATTGATTGTGTCTTCCTCCATGAACCCATCTTCCTTTGTTAATTCTTCTCTTCTTTGTTCTTCATTGTGGGCTCCTCCTGCTTTTCCTTCTTCTTAAACACTTTTTCCTGAAAGTTTCACAGTCTTGCTCTTCTTCTCAGCTAGTGTCGCACACTCTTTTCTGGAAATACTTTCATAGTTTTAGCTATCAACCCTATGCTAGCTAAACCTTTCTCTCCAACCTTGATCTTTCCACTAAATTTTAGATGTATATACACACACACACACAAACATATGTAATATACACATGCATATATAAATATACACATATCATATGTGTACACATGTATTATATATAATATATACATGCACATATAAATATATACACATACATATATAATACATATGTGTTCATATGTGTACATATATACCGTATAATACATATGTGACATAAACATGTATATACATACACATGTAAATATAGACACTTATGGACACCTGCACTAGAAGTCAGTTGAAACCAGACTCATCATCTTTCCTCTGTATTTATTCTTCTGGTGTTTTGTTTCTCAGTTTCCTGTACCAGGGACCCATCCACCTCCCAGGGCAGAAATCTGGGACTCATGCCAAAGAACTCTCCTTCTTCCCCCTGCACCAACTCAATCACTGCACCTTAATACTTCAGCTCACCAACAGTCTCCAATGCCTTTCACTCTTTTCCCTTCCCACTACAACTGTCCTCATTCCATCTTTGCATATCTCATGGACGATTGCAGTAGCTCAGTAACAGATCTTCTTGCCTCCCATCTTGTGCTCCTCAAACTCAAGTCACAAACACTCTGGAAGTATCTGACTACATGCAAATTGGTCATGGTAGTCTCTTGACTAACACTCTTAATTCTCATTGTCCAAAGCAACATTTCTTACAGAGGCAGTACCTGCATGTGTGGAAATGGATGTGTGGGTCTGGGGCTGTCACAGTGATGGGCAGAAGGCTATGGCCGTGAGCAGTGAGGCCAAGGATGCAGATGTTCTGGGATGTGTGGGATGGCCCCACACACTTTGCCCGTCAACCCAAAGCACTCATACAGTTTTAATGTACACTGATTTTTCCAGGAATGCATCTACCTTGCATTGTGCTTTATTCTAAAGGTGGCAAATGTTATTGATCATTTCAGAAAATTGCATCACTGTAATATTCCCATGCATCTGAGTCATCAACGTGGCACATGTCAGTCTGCATTTGAAGTTGTCACACTTATTATTCTATGTTTAATTTAAACTTCTTATCATTTTATCATATTCCTTAATGAGGTTATATACAAACATTTACCTCCTTAAATAGACATCATTTTATTATAAATTAATTTTTCTGTTATATTTCTTCATATTATAGTAAAAAGATTATATAAATGCTTAAATTTAAGTTACAGATAGATAGGTTATATGATCTGCAGATTTCAAGACAGTAAAAAGAGAATTATTAAACATTTAAGTAGAAGGAAATGTCTGGTAGGGATGAGAACCTCTGTCTTGCAGGATAATGCCCCAGCCCATTAAGAGTAGATTGGACCCTGAATAAGCTGCCACCTACCTATCTGTCCAGACTCACCTCCTGCCAATAGCCAGGCAATCTCCTTTGATTCGTAATTAAACTCCGGTAATACTGACTGCTAACAATTCTCCAACACAAAATGTATCTTTTATTACCTGCCTTCACTGAATGCTTTTAATGTTGCCTGGAAGACGTTTTCTCCACTCTTTCCCTTGGCCAGCTTCCATACCACCAGTGAGAGTCACCTCAGCAGAATGTCCAGGAGTTTTGCACATACAACCTTCTCATACCTGGTCCTGCAAGCTACAGTCTAGATCCCCGATGGAAATCCAGAAAATAGCTGTGGATTCCTACGTTGAAGCATAAACACACCATGAAAATATTCTGTTTAAAATGTCACCTTTCTCATAGATTGTAAATGCGTCTAGGGTGAAGCCTGCCTCATAGTCTGTGCTGTATGTCATACTTAACTTTAGTAGGGCATCAGTGCATGATAAACTGATCGTCCATTCATCAGATATATCAGAGTGCATGTGCTTATCTTTCCAATATACGGTGAGCCCTTTGGGAGTGGTGCCTGTGTTATGGATCTTGTGATCACTGGTGCCTGGTGCAGGGCCTCACAGGGGGCAGATACGCATGCGCTGAATACAGGCAAGGGTGTGTGTGTGAATGAGTAAACAAGTGAGCAAATGTGAACTGTCATTAGGAAAAACATAATGACCATGAAGAATCTCTCATGTGATAAGGTGAGGGTTGTGGCAATCTCCTCAGCAACGTTCCGATTGGCAAAACCCATCCTACAAGATCCAGCCATGGCCCTTCGGAAGCTTGGAAGAAAGGATGCAACATGGCACAAGCTGAGGATGCATGCAGAGCCCCTCACTTCAGCTCTCTACGAATACAAGCAGCCTGAGCCTACTCAAAGAGAAACATTCATATTTGCAAACAGTCCCATCAGTACTGTCTATGCTATACTTCACATTAACTGTCAAGACAAATGTAACCATAAAATGCATGAACTGTTTTTGTACTGAAGGTGACCCTTGCAAGGCCTGGAAGTTTGAGCTGCTTCAAGTATGTGGCACCACGACTCCAAGAAAGTCCTGTGTGTGAAACAAAGATTCAGTGAAGGGGGAGTCAGAAGAAAGACATTGCAAGCAAGGAGATGTACAAGTGAATATGATGTGCCCAAATGAAAGCCACCCAGTGAGCAACCACAGAGAATGAGGAACCACTCACACAAGACTGTCTAAGTGGGAGACAACAACTGTGCACACATAACACTCAAGATCATCAATTCAAATAATTAACAACAAAAAAATCTGTATACCTTGTTGCCACTTGACTATTAGCTAATCTATTTACAGCAGCATCCTTATAAGGCCAAAATTAAACTTTGATATGGTCAGTTACCCAAAAACTCATCCACAGACAAACAAAAAACAATCGTTGACTCAAAGGAGCCATGTATAAGTCTGAGTATTGATTAGAAAAAATGAAAAGTGCCACTGTAAGGACAACATCTAAGAATAATTTTCCCCCAATTGTGGATGAGTAATATTGGCTTTATAATGAGAAAGTCTAATTGAGTGTTTTATTTGAGTATCATGCTGGTCAGACCATACCACTGATAGGTGACATTTTCTCATTGCAATCCAGCATTTTATTTTCAGGAATTATGTAAATATAGACTAAAGTGCAAGAACCACTTAAAATAACTTGTAATCAAATAGTACTCCTGAGATTAGTAGAGATTATGTGCATTGTATTAGATCATTTTCATGCTGCTAATAAAGACATACTGGAGACTGGGTAATTTATAAATAAAAGGAGGTTTAACAGACTCATAGTTCCACAAGGCTGGGAGGCCTCACAGTCATGGTGGAAGGCAAATGAGGAGCAAAGTCACGTCTTACATGGCAGCAGGCAAGAGAGCATGTGCAGGGGAATTCCCCTTTATAAAATCATCAGATCTCGTGAGTCTTATTCACTATCATGAGAACAACATGGGAAAGACCCGCCCCCATTATTCAATTATCTCTCACCAGGTCCCTCCCACGATGTGCGGGAATTATGAAACCTACAATTCAAGATGAGATGTGGGAATTATGAAAGCTAAAATTCAAGGACACAGCCAAACCATATCATGCACCATGCACTGAAATTCCACTCACATAGTATAATACACACATATCCAGAGAAATAGTTATTATTAGGGAAATTTTTGGTAAAGTTAACAACATTGACCTTAATTTTTTTTTGTTTTTTTTTATTCTTTTTTTTTTTTGAGATGGAGTCTGGTTCTGTTGCCAGGCTGGAGTGCAGTGGCACAATCTCAGCTCACCGCAACCTCTGCCTCCCGGGTTCAAGTGATTCCCCTGCCTCAGCCTCCTGAATAGCTGGGACCACAGACACACACCACCACGCTCAGCTAATTTTTTTTTTTTTTTGTATTTTTAGTAGAGACAGGGTTTTACCATGTTGGCCAGGTTGGTCTCGATCTCCTGACTTCGTGATCTGCCTGCCTCAGCCTTCCAAAGTCCTTAATTTAAAGAAAAAAAAAAAAAGCAAGAATAAATCCAAGGACAATAGATTTGATTCAAGACACAAAGAAGACTGACAGCTCCAAGGAAGTGAGGTCAAACAAGAAGCATTTAGGAGTGTTAATTGAATAGAAGTCATTTTGCTTTACATTAATTTGAAGATATGGTACAAAAAATCTAATGTGAAGAAACTGGAGAAATAAAATCAAACAGTCTAAAAAGTTTCTGAAGTATTGTCTTAAAGTCAACACAGAAAAATCAAACAAAAACCAAATCGCCTTTTCAGTCTTTTGAAATTGCATATAGAAACAGTGTCATTTTACACTGCTTGAATGTTTAAAACATTCCAAATAAGAAATAACAATGATTTTTAGCAGTTTTTCTACTGAACTACAGTCTGTTTCATGTGGATAATTTGTTTCCAAGGTAGACAGTCATCAGAAAATGTAAGAGAATGGGAAAAGAGCCATAAAAAACTCCTTGGAATTCTCAAATGGATCCATAGAATACGGTAGCCTACTTGGGTCAAAGGTATCAAAGCCATAGCTGGCTAATGAAAGGAGATGGATAAAGACAGTTGGATATCCTCTCTGAGGTTACCTAGTGTTATGAGATTATTGTGTCCTGCTGCCAGAATTATATGGTGAAGCCCTCACTCACAGCACCTCAGAATGTGACTGACTGTATTTGGAGATAAAGCCTTTAAAGAGGTCATTAAGGTAAGCTCAAATCATATAGATGGGCCCTAGCCCAGTGTCCATGTGAGAATAGGAGATTGCGGCGCACACATGCTTGTGCACAGAGGAAAGACCACAGCAAGGTGGTCCTCACAGCAACGTGAAGACACAGCAAGAAGGCGTCCACGTGCAGCCCAAGGAGAGAGGCCTCAGAAGAAACCATCCCTGCCCACACACGGATCTCAGACTTCGGGCTGCCAAAACTGTAAGAAAATACATTTCTTTTGTTTCAGCCACACCGTCTGTGATCTTTGTTATTGCAACCCCATTAAACTAATACACCTAGTTTGGCAAATTTGGGCAGATCAGAAGTTAATGAAACTTGTGAAACAATGCTAAGCATAAATTTGGTATAATGTGCAATATATTAGCTATGACCCAAAATATTAATAGAATGCCCTCATTTAAAAATTCCTAGAACTACTGAAGACTCAAAAAGGCATGGATATTTTACACATACTTTTTTTGTCTTCATACATACATACCCATTCCCAGATTCTATGCTGTCTAAAATCTAAACTGTCAAGGCAAAATTCTGACAGTTCCCTGCCTACCCCAGGGATAAATGTCTGAATATCTAGGAGAGGCCTGGAGCCCAGCCCAGAGGAAATAAAAACAATAGCTATCACTATGTGACAGACCATAAAAGGCACTTAATATATGTTCTTTCACATAACACTTTTCTACCAACCCAAAATAAGAAAATATAAACCTCATCAGAACCAAAGCCAAATAATTCTTCAAAAGATGTTATTCTGCATATATTGGGTTAAATAAAACGTATTGCTAAAATTCACTTCACTTGTTTCTTTTTTAGTTCTTTAACGTGTCCACTGGGATATTCACAATTAACTATATGTGGCTTGCATTGTATTTCTATTGGATAGTGCTGATCTAGAGAACTGGGCTTCAGGTGCAGGTTGAAAGAAGGGATTTGATAGGAAGAGAAAAGGAGACACTGCTGGAAGGAAGATTTTCCTTGAGTCTAAACAAGAAGCAGAAGCATGAAAGGAAAAGAAGGAGGGAGTTAATCATGGAGTATGGACATTTATTCTGGGAAAGTTGCCCATGAATGGAGAGGACCAGCTGTCCTGAAATTAAGAGTGAGTGGATCTGGCAAAGCTCATTGTTTGTGCACCCATGGACTGGGTAGGGGCCCATAGATCACCCAGCATTCACTTGTTCAAAGACTTTCCTAAGCTGTCCCCAGACACTATACCAACCATATTTCCCTTTGGCATCTAGTGGTGACTTTATTGCCAGCTTCAAACATATCAGCCATTTATGGCCCAGCAAAAGGAATACTTACTTGTATTGCAAAACTTGGCTCAGGCTTCTCGCCACCAGGACACACATAATCTTATGAAAAGGGTGATAAAGTCCTAGAAGACTATTTAGTTGGTGATAAAGAAGTTATTCACACACCTACCAATGGAAGATGAGAGCTAAGAAAGTCAGCTATCCCGAATTGGTGAGTCGCAGCTTTACAGTCTTCAAGAACCACAACTCATTTATACCACAAGTATGTTGACGTAATTTTCAGCTTACCGAACATATGAAAATTTCCCTCTCTCTCTAATAAATACCCTCCAAAGCCCAGAAATTTGGCTTTGCTACTGACACCCCTTTGTTAAACCACTACTGAAAGGTAAAAGAGTATAACCTCACAAAGCTGCAATTATCTGGAATTTGAATATGCTTCCCCCACTCTACACATATTCCTTTCTCCTCTAAGGCCATCCATGCTTTTCCTGAAGCCTAGGACCACAATTAGTGTTGACCTTTCTCTATTAGTTCTCAGTCTCTACTTCAACAAATAATGCCAACATGTTTTCCAAATAGTTTTATTGAGGTATAACTGATATACAAAGAATTGCACATACGATTTGATGAAATTTGTAGATCTCCTGTTAAGTGATCTTACCAAAGACAAAAAACAAAGAGATACAAAAAAGCCTTGGAAGGTGTTAGAAAGGTCAGCTTATTAACACAGACTAGGAATCCCCTGTCTCTTTTCCTGGCAGAAAACTATTTTAGTTCCAACAACTCTTTACCTTTTACAGGAAACACTCTTTGCTCTTTCCCTAAAAAATAAAATAAAATACCTGTCAATCTAGCTGACATTTGCTTTGACAGCACTTAAGTAGCTGAGCCACATGCCAGCATTCTCACTTTCATCTTATTCAGGACAGCAAAAGGTTAATTCTGCATCTGATTCTAATCTGCAGAGCAGGATTCCTCAACCTTGCTATTGTTAATTTAGGGCCAGATAATTCTCTATTAGGGAAGCTTCTTAGTGCATTCAAGGGTGCTGAACAGCCTCTATCCACTAGATTTTGGTAGAGTCTCCTGATTTACAAAATCAAAAATGCCTCCAAACATTGGCCAATCCCCTAAGTAACGAAATTGCCACCCAGTTGAGAATTACTGCTATAAATGACCAGGAAGGTACTGTACACCATATTATACCGTAAGATGGAAGGTATTTGGTTTTTTGCACCAGGATATGAAAAAAAGACATGAAATAGGTGAAATGCAAGAGGTCAGTAAGTGGCAAAGCAATGGTACATTATCATGTAGATATTCCACTTTTTATCACAACTCTATCAAGGAAAATTGTAAGATTGGAAAAACTGATAACCTCATATTGGCAAATCAGGTGACTTTGACCCCACTGGAGCTAAATAAAGAATGAAATTAGATATATCATTGCCCTCACCAAGTCCATATGTTTAAAAAAATAAAGAACTAAAACACACACTCTCAATCCATAATCCAATTGGATCAGCACTGTTTATACATTCATGCCCATGCCTTATAATTTAAATGCACTTAAAGTTTCAAAGACTTAAATGTACAGCCATTTATTTATAGTACTTTATTTATAGTACGGAAATAAAAAAGCATTGCAAACACTGCTTCTAGTTCATAATTTTAAATGGATTGCAAAGTTTTAAAATCTGGGCAAAAGTCTCAGATTACTAGTGCCAGGGTGCAGAAAGCCTTTGTGTTCTCTGCGGGCGACTTTGTATAGAGCTCATTGTCTCCTTCCTCTTTAAAGAACATGGAAGAATACATTCTCCTAGCTCTTGCAAGTCCCCAGCACCACTGCCTGTTTGGCTTGCCTTGCCCATAGGAAAATCTTTCATCATTTTTCTCCATTGTACCAGGTTCTTACTAACATCTAGTTGAAAGGCATAATTTACAATTTCAGAATATGAGATCCAAATGATGTGTCTAAAGTACTGGAAGCTTATGATCGGGACAAGCTACATAATTTGTGTGGCCCAGTGCAAAATGAAACATATGGCCCCTTGTTCAAAAATTATTAAAAATTTCAAGAGAGTCCCAGCAGAGCGTTAAACCAAGCATGAGACCCTCTCTAGAGCAGGAGATCTCCAGGCTGCACAGGTCTCAGGCACTGCTTATGACACTGGATTGGCTCTGCCATCAATTTGCTATGTAGCCTTGGGGAGGTCCCCTAAACTCTGCACATTTCCCCAACCCAAAACAAACACAGAAAATTGTGCCTTCTTAACCCAAGAATGAAGGGTGTCAAGGAAATCATTGACTTCAATCCTCTCATTTTTGGAAAGATCTATCCCAGGCTAATCTAGGAGATTTATGTGCATATATTCAAATCATTATTATTTCTGCCCTCATACACATCTACCTGACTTATATTAACTTGCTTCCTGAATAAAGGAAGAATTAAGTAGGGTGTCTCTACACTATAGATATATTACACCCATGAAGTAATGAGTGCAATTTTCATAGGTCACAGAGGAAAATCCAGTCTCATTATTGTGCAGTGGTGCATAGACAAATACCATTAGTTTTCATAGTCAAGGATTTCTTCACCTGTGAGAGTTTTTATCACAGAGAAAAATATGACTGAGGGTTGAGAGGGCACCCTGTCATGTCATGTGGCTCTGTTGTAGAGACTGCTTTTAAAATGTGTAGTTGCAGCCATTGGCCAAACCCAGAGTGCTGTGTCAGCCTGTGGAGTGGCTGTGGACAGTATTAGAATTTAGAAAGCATCTTTCCGTAAAGGACAGAAGGAACCATAAGCACCTGAAGTCTCTCTTTACTGTTTGGCATACAATCCTTAAATAGGACTTCAGAACTAGAATTTGGAACTGCTGCAAAGTCTCTTAGAACCCTAAATTTGGATACTGTCTGTCGGCTTGGGCTACCATAATGAAAAACCATAGGTTGGATGGCTTAAACACCAGACATTTACTTCCCACAGCTCTGGAGGCTGGAAGTCTGAAATCAGGGTGCCAGTATGTTTGGGTCCTGGTGTGGGCTCCCTTTCTGCTTGCTCTGTCTTCACAGGCTGGAAAGAACATGCTCTGGTGTCTCTTCTTATAAGAACACTAATCCGTGATGAAGCCAGGCCTTAATGACCTCATCTAAACCTGACCACCTCCCAAAGGCTCCATCTCTTAATATCATCCCATTGGGGTTAGGATTTCAGAGTATGAATCTGGTGGAGTGAGGGAAGCAAGCATTCACTCCATAACAGACATGATGCCTGTAACACTTTGGGAGGAGTTGTACAGGACAGCGGGCATGAGCAACAGGCATGGGCATGCTATTAAACTCATACTATCCCTTGTAAATGGAATTCTAAGCAAGCAAACACAGTATAGCTGAGGGAAGAGGCAGAGGCCTGTGCTGAACTTCATCAGAAAGGATGGCAGGAGGCTGCTAAGATTGCAGCAGCCAATGTGCTACCTAAGCCAACCCAGACAGTTTGAAAACCTTCCTTCACGAGCCAGCTTTGGCAGAGGGGAGAGGGAACTGAGCCACTGACTTTAGCTGTCCCCTTCTTGTGGTACTGAAAAGTAATGTGGAGCTAGCTGTCTTCCTAGAGACCTAGTCACTGCTCAAAGCGGAACATCTCAGGCAGAGTCTCCAGCAGCCACACATGGGAGGCTAAACCTTAGCTGTGGGTCAATTGGTCATCAAAAGATACTCTTGAGAGAAGAGATTCAGGTCTTCTATCCACTCAATGTATCTGAGAGTCAATATTATTGGTCTTTTGTTATATCCCCATTTGCCCCCAGGAAACTGGTGGAGGTGCAGACTTGGTGAATCCTGAGGGGGAAACTGGGTGCCTGAGGCCAGCTAGAATTTCAGTAAGAGGGAAAGTGGGTATATTTGCATTTCTTGTTCCAACCATCTTCGGCATGTTCTTTTTTGTTTTTCTAACACTGTTTAGGCTAGGAAGAAATTGTTTCCATTTACTGTCGGTTGATAAAGGAGAATCATGTTATAAAAAGCATGCTTTGACCAGGCATGTGTCACAGTAACTGGCCTGAACAAGAACTGCTGCATCTCAAAGCTTTAATCCACTCTCTATAGAGGGCAATGCACACAAACTCATCCTCAACTTTTGTGAAGGCTGCAGATGACTGGAGATGCTGCTGCTTTATGGCAGTGTTCCAGCTTTTACTATACTATGAAACACACCTCTCTAGAATTAAAATCTCTTAGAAAATTGTAAATTTGCCACTTATTCTGTGAATAACA
This sequence comes from Homo sapiens, assembly GCF_000001405.40. Classification (NCBI taxonomy): domain Eukaryota; kingdom Metazoa; phylum Chordata; class Mammalia; order Primates; family Hominidae; genus Homo; species Homo sapiens. The sequence goes on from NC_000018.10 coordinate 73,729,572, forward strand.
ACATATGAAGTTATAAAAGAACCACAACATCACAAAATATTGAAACTGAAGGAGACCTAAAATTCTGCCTCTTTTAATATATTGTATCTCTTTATTTTGTGGAAAGGAAAAGAAGCCCCCAAAAGGCCAGTGGGCTTTGCAGGATCTCACAAACATTAAATGTCAGAGCAGGTGATCAAAACCCATATATCCCTCCAGTCCAATAAACTTTCCAAATCTGAAGAGCCAAGTCCCTAAATATTGTAAGTAATTTTAATGCAGAAGTATTGGCTTTCATGTTTCCAAATCAGTGCTTTCCTGAATCTCTTTATTTCAATAAATAAAATCGATTTTAAAAACTGATTTTGATACAATTTTAGTCTTACTCTTTTCATGTGGAAATATGAAATTTTGAAAGAGAAATTGAATTCTCCTCTCCAAGCCTTCACCTCCCATTCATACCTCAACACACTGCAATGCGATTTCACCTCCACCCCTCCACTAAAGTTGTTCTAGCTAAGCTCATCAGGGAGGGACCCTCTAATTGCTCAATTTAGTACACATATCTTTATTTTTGAAACTCCCTACCCTATGAAAGCCATTACACCACACCCTTCTAGATCTCTTTGAAACTTTGTAGTCATCCCTTCCCTGCTTCATAGTGACAGACATGAAAGTGGCCCCAGAGTCCCCACCTTCTGGTGTATAATTTCCTCCCTGCTGAATGTGGAAAGTACTTTTGATTTGCTTATAACCAATAGAATACATCATGGTCACAGGACATGTGTGAGCGTGTGTATGTGATTACACTACATACAATAGTAACACCCTTCCTACCAGGAGGTCCTCTCTTCCTTGCTGGCTGTAATGAAGGAGGATCCCATGATGGGGAGGCCACATGTCAAGGAACTTCAGGTGTCCTCTAGGATTTGAAGGTGGCTTCCATCAAGAAACTGAGGCCCTCAGTCCAGCAGTCTGCAAAATAATGGAATACTGCTAACAACCACATGAGTTCCCGTAAAATTTTTCCCCAGTCAAGCTTCAGATGAGATCACAGCCCTGCTTAACACCTTGATTCCATTGATTACAACCTTGGGAGATTCTCAAAGCAGAGGACCCAGCTAACAAGGCACTGACTCCTGACCTGCGTTACAGTATGTTGTAACAGATAATTAAGCATCCCATCTAGGCTTTTTTCCCCCCTTTCTTGGTATACTTTGAGGTTTTGTGAAAGGAGTATTGGCTCTTTTACTCTATACAACTCTCCTTGGTGAGTTCATCTGATGGCATTTTAACTACCCAAATGCTGATGATTTCTGAATTTTTATTTATAATCCAAATCCCATTGTGGGCTTCAGATGGATACAGCTGCTACCTACTCCTGTTCTCCAGAGCCAACATCAATTCAGTGTTCTTGAACCCCATTCACCACCTGCCCACTCTCTTCCTATCCTTTATAGCTCTCTCAGTGACCCTATACCAAAACCCAAGTGAAAAACTTGAACTTACTCCAGACTCTTCCCCTTCTTTCCCTTTGGTCTCAAGGTCATGCCAATTTTCCTTCTCAGTGTCTTCCAAATCTCTCACTCTCTCATTCCCACTATCATGGTCTTAATACAGGTTCTCATCATTTCTCACCTCCTCACCATTGTTTCTATTTTAATAGCCTCCAGTCTGAACAATATGATCCCTTGTATACAGCACATCACAGGCTCCCTCTGCACAGTGCAGGAGGCCCCCACATCTCAGCTCTGTGCTGCTTCAGCCTCATTCAACACCCCTAACAGCCTATGAGCCTGTGAAAACTTGGGGCTCACCAGATGCAGGAAAGCTCCAGGTTTTGCTCCTTGTGTCTCTCCTCTCCCTTCTTGCCTTTATCTCATCAACTCCTTTTCACTTAAGAAAGCCCCTGGGCCTCCCCGGGTGTGCAGATGTCTCCCTGGATACCCCCATAATACCAGCCTACCCTCACCTCATGTGGTCACAGTTGGTTTCCATTTTTCCACCTGGACACACAGAGTGCCTCACACGCCTGCAATGTATATCAACGCTGTGCTTCCACCATCTGACCTAACACCAGATGGAAACAAGGACCGTGTTTCTTTGCTGTGGTATCACACCATGTAAAATCATGCCTGGAACACCATGGATACTCAACAAACATTTGTTTAATAAATGGACATTACAAACCATATTTTTTAACTAAATGCTAAAAACATCCCATTTGTACCATGAGAGAAATGCTTGCAACTTAATTTAACAGTGTCAGGTTAGGCAAATGGAGTATGAAATGAAAAACACCAAAGAAGTTGTATTTTTAATTAAAATTAAAGTTTTCAATGAGTATTAATGAGCACATTTGGGGGCTCCTTATTTTGTTTCAATTCCATTTGTAGATAGTTATAATGCAGGTTTCAACTTTCTGTTAGATTTTCAAGAAATTGTAAAAGGAAATTATAATAGAACAGCAATTTTATGTCACCGAAAAGCTCACAGTCTTTATGATACCTGCTCATTCTTCCAGTTCAAGCTTAAAAAAAGGAAAGCTATTTTACCAAAGAACAGTTACGAAATGGATTTCATATCATTGTCCTATACTTTACCACTATTGATAATCACACATAAAAATACCTTCTAGTAATAAGAAAGATAAAAGTAACAAAAGATTTTGTGTGAAGGACAATTACTCTTCTAAGTTTTTCCCAGAATAAATGCAGTCCTTCTAATGCTTCCATCTTCTCCATTCAGGCGTTAGAATAAGAAAGTAGTCAACGATCAAATAACTTTTCATTTCCTTTCAATTCTCTTTTTACATTTCTTCTGGCACTCTTCACACAATGGCCGGCTACACTCTAGAGATTACAGATGATGACAAAGTGGACAAATTAGCTTAGAATAAAAGTAAAGCTTGTACTTTTCTCTGAAGCAGTCACTTAAAAGCAAATGCAATTTTGATGAGAGAGTTGTTCGGATCTAATAATTCAATTCCAGAAATTCAAGAAATTGTAAGAATGATGCACTCAACAAAGCTTGTTGAATAAATCCACTTTAAAAAAATCATTTTTAAAATCCTTGTAAGTTCTCCACACATGAGTTTTCAGTATTATATTCTGGGCCTGAAAAACTCTTTATAAATTCAGTGTCAAGAACACCTCCTAGAAAATAAAGAATGGGTTCAAGGAAGAAATTTAAGCATCTGTTAGAATGCTTGCAGACCCAGCTTCAGGACACAGGAAAAGCAATGCAACTGACGGAAACTTCCATAGAAGAAAAGCCACTGAGAAATAAGGGCTTTAAGAGCAGTGGTTGTTACGTTTTCATTTATGTAGGAGACAAAATATGCAGTGGTCCCAGGCAGGTCTGGAGCAAATTTGGCCTAAGACTTATCTAAGAAGTAGGAAATCAGTTCTAGAGAAAAAAAAAATTTTAGTAGTATTTTAATAGCCAGGCTTCAAACACTGTACAGCAGAAATAAATTATAGAAGGAAAACCTACACCAAGAAAAACTCAGAGTAAAATATTTTCTAATCCTGTGGAAAACAAGCTTTAGTTTGGAAATAAATGGGTTAAACAGGTTAAGATACTTTGTGTGTAAATTTATGTCTGCCAAGATTACTAAGAATATCACTTTATTTTTACAGATAACCATGTTAATAAATTTTGTACTTTTATATCTACAAAATTGTATTTTTGTCACTTTATTTGGCTAAAGCTTTTTGTTATTGTTGTTTTTTACTGCACTGTAAAAAGTGGGAGCTCATTTTGTTTGTTTGAAACCATACTTTTTTTTTACTATTAAAAGAAACCCTCATGAGAACTGGGAATTACTCTTCAAACTACAGCAGACAGACTTTTAGGGTAAAATGGAGTCATTTATCTGCGCCTAAGCATATGTGCATACATGTGGATGAGTGTGAGTTTCAATACTTTGCTTACACACAGAGACTCTGTTCTTATTATAGGTACACTCATCTTTCCTAGTTATTTTCTTCTTACTCACAAGTAGCCAAGTTTCCACTCCAGTTTGGAAGTATTTGGCAATAGTAAACAAGCCAGGAACAAGACACACTTACCTATTTAATATGACTACACATATTTACTAGGAAAATTGGACGCAAGTAAATGATTCAAGAATAAAGCCACATGGCAAGAAAGTGTCCTGGGGAGGGTGTCATTCGGGTCCAGCCAGCCGAAGGCTCACCTGAAGACAGGTCACTGGGGGATGTGAGCATCCTCACCTTAGGGGAACCCAGCCTGGTTCCACAAAGCCACAGATCTGGGTGGCACCAGAATGGCTGTTAAACTCAGCCAAAAGTAAGGTCTATTGTGGTGATGCTGTCAATTAAGACTCTTTTCCCAAAATAATTTGGTAAAATAGAAATGAATGCAAATCAGTCTCATCTAGCAGCTAACTATTAGACAGTTTTACCACCCACTCTAGTGCACCGCTATTTCAGAACTCGGCGGCAGAGGGAGGTGGTTGGAGGATTACATAACACTAATTTTGTAGCTAGGCTGTAATTCGTGAAGTTTCTATGTTCATCCTAGAGACTCATTTCCATAGTCAGCTCATAAGAATGCAACATAGTGGGCCATAAACAATGAGGTGATATGATTACTTCTTAAGAAAACAAAGAGAGACTTCCAATTACTTTTCTACATTTTGCTTTCTGCAAAGTTACATTCTATCATTTAAGAAAATGCATACTGAATCTGCCATCACATCATTAAATGACACCAGTGGCAATTAGAATGCAGCCTGACCTTGCCAAACTGTTGGCGTCTGCAACTCAAAAACTCCTGGTATTTTCTACATCAGGTTTGCTATCACCCAAGCTCTGCCCTCTCCTCCATACATAATCTCATAAGTACCTGTCTTTAGTTGCAGAAGGACATGTTTACTCTCTTCCAAATGCCCAAAAGCAGGTTGTCAGAATTTTTAACTACCTTGCAATCCACATATTCGACCTTGAGTTCCTTGGAGGAGGAACTCTATCTTGAACCTCTTTGTAGGCACTTTGAGTATTTAATAGTCTAGTTTATTCTAGTGAACAAATGCCACTGTGAACTAATGATGGAAAAAATTCAAATAAGAGTAAAGACTGGCCTACTTGTTTATAAAACTTTCAAGATGTCAATGAACATATTGACACCAGCCAAGTAACCAAATGTATATAGGATAAAGTTACTTTCCTACCACAAAGGCCAAAAACTTAACACCTACTTCAGAAATTCCAGAGTCAGGTACAAAATCCAGGTACATGGCTTGCAATTCATGTATTTGCCATTTTTAAGCACGAGGGATCCTGCAGTAAATAAGACCAACAAGATACCTCTTGGATCATATCTTTGAAAATTGTGGCTGGCAAGGCATAAATGCTTAAGGGGATGGATACCGCATTCTCCATGATATGAGTATTTCACTTTGAATGCCTGTATCAAAACATCTCATGCACCCAATAAATATATACAACTACTATGTACCCACAAAATTAAAAATTCTAAAATTTTAAATAAACAAAATATGGGTAACTGTCAGCTCAAAGTTAAAAAAAAAAAAAGGAAAGAAGGAAAAATAAAGGAAATTGGTGGCAGGAAGAGAAACAGAAAACAGAAAAAAATTCTCCGAAAAAATTATGTAATGACAGAGAGTGACAGCTCTAACGAAGATGATGAAAAGGTAGAGCAAGGAACTAAGATGGACAAGGAAGCGTGTAGAGAGTTAGGGAAAGCCTTGCAGCATGTGACTTTCTGATCCAGATAGAGGGCCGGAGCAAGATCTGGGAGGAGCTGGGAGAAACCTTGAGTGTTGAGGAGCAGCAAAAATCCCTTTGGATGAATCCCTTTGTATCCACTTGGGTGTTTAATATTCTAGGTCATTATAATGAAGAAATACCACTGCAAACTAATGGTGGAACATTCAAATAGGAGCAAAGCCTAACCTGCTTGTTAACAAACATTTCAAAGCCCCTGAAAAAAGAGCATGCCTGGGATCTCCAGGACCACCTGCAGGACCCATGGAGCCATGCAGGCCAAGAGAAAGTGTCAGTGGCAAAAGAGGCAGTCATGGGGACATGCCAGGGCAAGCTCATGCAGGGCCTTGCAAACCCGGGTAAAAAATTCAGATTTTGTTTTTCTAAGTGTCAGGAAAAGCCACTGGAGGTTTTGAGCAGGAGATGGATACCACAGGATCTACAGAATTCTAATGAGAGAGGGTCACAGCTTGATCTAAGGTAATTACTGGGCAGATGGCAGAAAGAAGTCTGATCTAGAACATGTTTTGAAGGTAACTCCAACAGGATTTACTGGTGCTTGAATCTGTTGTGCGGGGGAAATAAAATCTCCAAGCTTCGAGGTATGAAAACTGCATTAAGCGTGGTACTGCTTTCTGAGGCAGAACAAAGTGGAGAAGGTGCAAGCTGTGGAGGAGAGGGTGATGGAGAATAAATTCCAAGTTGTGATCCAGACGTGTCAGCTGTGAGATGCTAAGTTGGCAGCCTGACATGTGGAGGAGAGGGAGAATGGCAGCATGAAAGGAGCTGGAGATATAAGTTTGCGTTTCATGAGTAGACAGATGACATCTAAAGCTCTGGGACCACAGCTAGAGAGGAGGCCAAGTGTGGCTGCCTTTGAGAATTCTGATCTTTGCGGAGTGGGAAGGGGAGGAAGGGTCATCAAAAACTGAACAGTGAGAACTACCAGGCAGAGAGGAAGCAAGAAATCAAGGGAGTTGTGGTTCCTGGAAGCAAAGCCAAGAAAATGTCCCAAGAAGGAAGGAACAGTGCACGGTGTCCAAGCCTGCAGAGAGACTAAGTAAAAGAAACTGTGGCTTGTCATCATGTACAATGGTGATTTTAGTGGGAGTAGGGAAGAAAGTCCGCATTTGAAGGTGATCTAAGTACTCTCTCACATAGTTTGCATTTTAAAACTTTCAGTACCCAGGGCCTGTAGATTGAGTATACATTTATACATCACACCTCTTAGACCAACCATGAAAAGAGAATTCAGGAACAGGACGTCCATGGAGATGCAAGTATTAGTAGGGCTCACTGAGTGTCAGATGTCTCTATATACAAAGGAGTCAACTGCATCCTGGGGAACTCTGAGAGGAATCTAGTATTCTTAAAAAGAAGGGAGGATGAACAAAGAAGGAAAAGTTATTATTTAATTCTACATTTCAATAATTCAGATTAAAGGGGATGAGAACAGGATTTGATCATTAGACAGTCATGGATCTGAATATGCAAGATGATCTCTATATTTTATATCTGTGTACAGCACTTTCTATGTGTCCTTAATACATATATTTGATGGTTATAACCTGACAAGAAAGTAGTTAAAGTAGGGAAATGCTCTGCGGTGATTTATAGCACTCAGGCAAAAAGTGCTGCGGCATTTTCCTAGATCTTCCTTAAGGCAAACAGTGACAACAGCAGAGGCCATTTTTTAACTTTTTATTTAGTTTTTTTCTATAGACTCGCAGATGGTTGTAAAGAAATGTGCCAGGAAGTCCTGCCCACTCTTCGCTCAGCTTCCCTCCACGCAAATACCTAGCATAACTATAGCGCAATACCAAGGTCAAGAAACTGACATGGATACAATCCACAGAGCTCATTCAGATCTCACCGTCTATACATGCACTCATTTGTGTCTGTGTCTGTGCAATTTTATCACGTGAATATCCTCGTGTAATGACTATCACAATTAAGATACTCCCTCTTGTCAACACAAGACCCTCTCTTTTTACCAGTTTATAGCCCCACTTCTCCTACCATCCCTAACTCCTGGAAACCACTATGTTCTCTGTCTCTATTTGTTATTTCATGAATTCATGTTATTTCATGAATGCTACATCAATCTGACTATACAGTATTTATCCTTTTGAGATTGGCTTTTTCTACTCAGCATAAATGTCTTGCCATTCATCTAAGTCGTTGCATGCATGGAGAGTTTTTCATTGCTGAGTAGTATTCCATGATACTCAGGTACCACAGTTCATTTAACCATTCACCTACTGAAGGAGAAGTGAGTCATTTCCAAGTTTTGGCTATTATGAACAAAGCTGATACAAACATTTGTGTACAAGTTCCTGCACAAAAATAAATATTTGTATCTCCAGAATAGACGCCCCAAAGTGTAACTTCTAGGTCACAGGGTAAATCAATTTTTCATTTTGAAATGAACTGTGGATGCAGAAACAATTTTGAATATTATCTCACTAGATAGAAGCTGGTTTTGTGGTATACCATTTGCTTTTTCTTTCCTCTTAAATATTTCTTCCCAACACCTACTATCCTAAATAGGCTGCCCTTCCTCGACTCTGGCTTTTATCATTGAGAGAGCTTATAGTCTTGCTGCCTCCAGGCTTTCCTTGCTCTAACAGTCTAGAACAATGATCTAGAAATTAACTTCCAGGGGAAGGAATGGTGTCAACCCATCAGTCCCTGATGTGGCTTTAGGAACCACTTCCACCCCAGTCCTGCTGCTTGCTCTCTACATTGGAACCACACAGAGTTGCTTAATTATTTAACAGGCAGTGTTTTCTCTCACCACTATGTTATTGTATAATATTCTTTCTTCCCCACATATTTCTTTTGTGCCACTGATTTGACCAACTAAACACATGGACAAGTGGCAACATGTGCTCACATGAACAGTTCAAAAGCATGTTTGTAAGCTAAGAAAGAGGAACAAGAAGCCAATATTCTTAGATGGCATTAAAGAAATAGGGAGAGTAAGTATTTATCATTTGAAATCAAATCCTCAACTGTCAGTCAACAACCTTCTCTGATTTCCTAAATCTGGGTCAGGTGACTCCTCTGTGTCTCATGGAGACACATAGAATGGTGCTTATTACAGTTGACTATAAGTGCCTCAGTATCTTTCACTAGACCTGCACCCTTCAACGTGGTAGCTGCTACCCACATGTAACTACTGAAAACCTGATATTTGGACTAGCCACTAGTCAAAATTGAGATGTACTGGAAGTGTGAAATGTACACTATATTTTGAAGATTTAGAACCAAGAAAGAGAAATATTTTCATGATACCAGTTTTTGAATATATAGGGATATATATGCTTTAAATTAATTTCAGCTTTTTCTTTATAGCTTTTTAATGTGGCTATAAGGAAATTTAAAATTACATGTGTGGCTCATAATATATTCCTACTGCACACACTACATTAGATTATTGCCTCTCCACGGATATATATACTTTTCTTTACCAGTTTATGTTCTGCACCCAGAATAGTGCCTGAATGTTGAAAGAAAGTAAGAAAACAAAGACAGAAGAAAAGAGGGCAGGAAGGCAGGCAAGAAGGAAGAAAGGAAGAAAAAATTCTAGGTTGATGAGATTTCTAAAACTAGGAATGATTCGACATATATAATATTAAGTTGCCAAGTGCAGAATAAGAGATTCTTCACTTTTCTCTTACTTTTCTGCCACAACTAAATTGACAAGTGGTTGACTTAGGAAATTGAACTTAGAGAGGCTGATCATTTTGCATCGTATCCCTGGGAAAATTCAGAAATAATTTCTTTTATGAAAGGCTTTAGTAAACTGCATTAGAGAGCTAAATTGTGAAAATCTACCAAGCACTTTTATCCAGTTTGGTCAGAAGTTGTCCTCACATGTAGCCGAGTGCCTATCTGGATGTGAAACCGCAGCTGCTGGGAGCTCTGAAGTCGACCCCACATCCTGCCCAAGATAGATGCCAATGGATTACTTGAATGCCAGAGATGGGTTTTCTTCCATTGTTCCTACCTTCCCTGTGTTATTTTTAAATAATAATGAACCCAGATGACTCATGCACAGCCTTGCAGGAAAGGAACAAACCTAAGTGGCATTAATGTATGGTTTGCAGACTCAACTTTTGAGAAAAATCAGCCCACCTTGCTTCTGTGTCTCTTTAGAAGACTTTCTTTCCACCTCTGTCTTCAAGTCTAGTGAAGGACTCTACCACATCTGGCCATCAGCAGGGACAGGTGAGGGAGACACACACCACTTTCTCTTTAATTTTTATTTGGCTTTAAGAAAGTCCTTAAATGAGGATGTCCCCCCCATATTTACTCTTTGTATTTCTTTAGCCGCGTCTAAGAATACCTGCTTCTTGTTCCTCTTTCTTACCTTTAAACATGCTTTTGAACTGTTCACATGAGCACATATTGCCACCTGTCCATGTCTTTGCTACCTGTGGCCAAGGTTGCCATGTGTTCACCAAAACCTGTTTCCTTTTCACCTGGGCTAGAAAATAATTCTTGAATTTGTAGTTAGATGTAGCCATTAGTCTTTGCCAATCAAACACAGGCCACTTCCATATCTGGCTCATATGAACCTTCCCAAGTCATCTTCCATCCTCCATCCTTCCATGAGCAGAGGACCCAGCAGGGAACTCTGAGGCCCTAGGGGTGGCAGAGCTATGAGATGCAGGAGCCTGGTGTTCTGAAGCGCTGCCCAGATGACCACTAGCTGAACAATCACACTGCACAGTTGTGTAAATCCAGCCCTCCAATAATTGGGAAGAAAGCCCACATTCTTGCTGAGCCTCTACTCTAGAGGAAGTGGATGAAAGAGTTCTGATGTGTCGATTACTGTTGACTGACATTAGTAGGAATCCAAGAAAGACAAAAGCACCAATGAGGATTGGCTGGCTTTCCGGCAGAGATCAGAGGAAAGAGCCGGGCATGGTAGGAAAAGCCACCTGCAAAGAGGAAGAGCTAAGGTGCACACTGGGCTTGAGCCACAAGGGCCCAGCAAAACTTTTCAGTGAAACAAGGGATCTCAGCAAAGGTTGAATTAGAAGTGTCACCAAAGTCTATTATTTCAAATTAAGCTGTCATTACACTGAGGAGTCATGGGGCCAAAAAAGCCACAGAACAAATCGGGCTTGATGATTATGTGTAGAAACAAATGCTGGGTATGGTTATTAAAGCATGGGGAATTAACTAGAAGCAAATCCATGAGATACCTACTGAATTCTGAGAAAATGTTACGGACCAAGAAACTTTAAATCCAGTTCTTACTCTTTTTGCTTTTTGATGCTTAAAACAAGTTTTAGGCCCCAAAACTCACCTGATCAGAAGGAAACAATACTATGGGGTTGGTGCAGAAGTAATTACTTTTAGTGGCAAAGACTGCAGTTACTTTTGCATCAACCTAGAATCTCTACAATCTTAGAGAGAACATACCATCCTCACTTAGATGTGGCCATGGGGAATAAGAGGCAAAGGATATAAAATAAGAGAGAGGGAGCTCACCCTAGAGAGCAGAGTCAGGGCCTTAACAAGTCCTCTTGCTCCTGTGTAGGACAGGGGCTGCATAACACCTTGTTTAGAGGATTTCACAATGGTTGGAGACTAGGGCTTCTCTATGTATTCTATTTTTCCTTTTCCAAATAAAAGTTTTACCATCCCATATGTACCAATACACACGGGTGTGGAAGCAAGGCCCACACATCATCAAAAGATCCTGGCTTTGGCCCTCAATGCTATGAGTGGGATCTGGAGCTGTGTACACTGGGAGGTGGGGGTGTATCCTACTGTGGTCAGAAGACTGGAGTGTATGTTCTGGCTAACACAGTAGACCATGGCTGACACTTCGATGTGTTCACAACATCATTTTCCTTCTCCTACTGAGCACATGACTCGTCTGTGGGTCCCAGTCCCTTACAGGCAGGTGTAGCCATGTAATAGTTCCAGTCAGAGACTGTAGGCAGAAGTACTGGTTTTTTCTTTTAGGACTGACCCATAAAATCCTCCCACAGTGATCCTCCTCTCTCTCTCTCTCTCTCTTTTTCTCATCTGCATCCAAAGCATCAGAATCAACAGAGGACCCCAGAGCTTGAGGAGACACAGGTAGAAGATGCTTGAGTCCCTGAATCACCACATGAAAGGCTGCTTGCTGAATACCCACATTGTCTCGTTACGTGAAAAAGAAAGAAACTTCTATGTTAATCCACTCAGATTTGGGGATATTTTACTATAACAGTCGGACTACCCTAGCTAATAAAAACCACTTTATCAAATATAACAAAGGCAATAGGAAAAGATATTGTGTAGTTGAATTCTACTCTAAAATTTTATAAGTATAAAACACCTGAGTGTTCTCAGGAATCTGGAAACCAATAGAAGGGCAATTTGGTCCCTTGAAGCTTTTCCAAAGGTCTGTAATTTGTGGAAAAGTTGAGTAAGCACCCATTCCATGACAAATTTTCTGATAGTCACAGAATACAAGAGGGTCCCTATCCTCAAGGTGTTCACAATCTAGTAAAAGCCACTTTATGTCCACATAGAGAACTAAATTTATTATGCAGGTATTTTCACTTCCAAAATCTCTGTCATAATAGCAGACAAGGATACAAGGTTAAGAAAATTTCTTTTCCAAAAACATAAGCAAGTTGCAAACTAAACTTGCTGAAATTTCAAACCCTTTCACATTCTCTCAATATCATCTTGCAAAGTAGACAATAAATGGTCAAAGGACAAACACCAGAAAGAAGAGAAAGAGAGTCTACATACGAAAATTATCAGCTCAGTAAATAACGTTGATTTCTTTTCCAGCTGGCCCTTCCCAGGATATTAGTCAATCGCATACTAAAGTGATTACAAAGCTCTAGAACTGCATAGAATTTTAAGGATGATACAAAAGGGTTAAGTGGCTAGACCAAGTCTGCTAGGCTAAAAAATGACGCAGATAAGATGAAAAGCCAAGCTAATTCCAAAATTTGCATTTCCATTAGAATGGTTGTAATCCTATCATCTCTTTGTGCTAGTGAAACTATTAGCAATATTCATACCATCTTGAGCAATTATCATCAAGAAAACCAATTCTTATTTCCTACTCTCCTTAGGCAAATCATAGACCCAAACTCTGTATGCATGTAGAAAATCCTAATCTTTTTTATTCCAGTGCCTCACATCAGAGTAAATAAAGAATCTTATGTCAGCTGCTTAGTCTACATTTTAATCAACCCAGAGATTTTCCCATGCCCTGATTGCAAATACTGTATTTCAGCTCCCTGCACATTTGAACATCCTATTCCATTTTATATTCTGCTGCAGATTTTGTTCCATGACTTCAAAATCCTAATTCAAGTATTTTCAAATAGAAAAGAGCAAGGAAATGTTCTAGGCAGAAGCATTAACCTGTGGACACAAATAACTGTTTTCACTGAAGCCAGAGGTGATGTAAGAATGTTACCATCCTCTTGCAGAAAGAATAAGAAATAGTGAAATGCAAAGGGGTAGAAAGCCTAGCAGGGATTGGGTTGGGGTGCGGGTTTGTTTACAAGTGGGCTTTTCACTTGCAGGTGAAATGTTTTCACTTATTGTCCATCAGAAGAATGAGGAGTGCTTTTACACTGGGAAGGAAATCTGGAACAAAGGCAGAAAAGTTGCCTTAAAGCCGTGTTAAACATGGCTATTTGAAATTTTAGGGTGTAAACGCACAGAGAAATATATAGAGTTGTTAGTGCCCTTGATTAACTTAAAAAGTTAATATTATACATGACAAAAGCAGCCCACATCCTGTTTTATCTTCTTCTGCATCCAAGCCACAGAAGGAAACCAAACAGGGAACACAGCCTGCGGGACCTCAGAGACTGAGCCTGCTGTCAGGGCAAATGTGTGATTCTGGAGTCCAACATGCCTCTGTACAACACTGGGCCTCAGCTTCTTCCCTACAAACTGAGAGACCTAGAATTGATGCTTATGGTCAGGGTTTGTTTCAGTTCTAATGTTCCATGATTCAGTACCAATTTATTCTTTCTAAATTCAGGAATTGCATATTTTAGTTATTTCTTATTAATTTTTTGGAATACACATTCAATGGATATTCTAAACTGTTTTGTTTTCTCTTATTTTAACAGCATGCTCTTTCTCCCTGGGATCTAAAAGTGTCTTGATTACTAATTAATTTGGCTTCCAGTTAGTTATAAATGAGGAAGCTGCTTTTGTTTGATCCTTGGAATTGGGGTCCCATTGTGTTGGCAGAGCCAAGATTTCGCCTGCCCTTCCCACCTTCGCCTCAGCCCTCACACCCCATCACTTGCAGCTGTTTTCTGTCTCTGGTGTCCTACATCTTTGCCTTGGATAATTCTTACCCTGGGCCCCAACTCTCCAATTTCCGGCTCCCCATCCCACCTCCCACATACACTTATTCACCTCAGCCCACTAAACACAGCCCCTCCATCCACCCACCCCTATTCTATTGCTGACATGGAAATGAAAATTAAAATCTGAAAACTTTCCTTTCCAAACCTGTGCCATTCTCTCCTCCCACCGTCTTCTAACCTGAACTAACACAATTTTCCCGTGATAGCACCACCTTCCTCAAAACCCTTTCCAATATAATTTCCTCCGCAGTGTCCCAAGCTCATGACCTAAGGGAGGGACCCAGAGCACTGGTATTTCCAGATCATGATTTCACCGCCATCACTCTACAAAACAATTCTAGTTGAAAGTCAACACCATCCAGTTCAACAATCCAGTGTGCACCCCCACATTACACAACCCCACCGTCATCAGCCATCTGTCATTCAAAAGTCTCTGCTGCAGATGTCTGTAGGGGCAGAGAGAGGAAGCTTCCCTTCTGCCCTCTGAAGGGTCCCTGAAATAAATTCCTAATAGATCAGCAGGAGAAAAAGGTATACAAATGTATTAACATTCATGGGAGCATCACATGGAAGATAAGTGATAGCCAATAACCCAATGCGATTTGGAAGCTTATATAGACTTCTTCATAGAGGAGAGGGAAATGGAGGCAACCTAGGGAGAGTAAATGGTCTAGAAATAAAAATAAGAATTAAAAAAAGCATCCTTAAAGAATAGGTACTACCCTGACTAGTTGAGCTGTTAATTTCCAGTCTCTTCTAAGTTAGACTATGATTCCTGATGCCTACAACTCTTCCTCAATAGATAACGATGCCCAGGGAGTGTTTTCATGACAATTGGCTTCCTTCTAAAGAATCTGCCTTTAATCAGATGAGGGAAATTCAGGAAAAGCCCTCCGTGCATTTGCTGTTTTCCAAATGCCTTCGGTTTGAGGTAATCAACAAATGCAGCATAATTTAAGACACTATTTTCTGGATTCCTTCATGCTCATAGTTAACTTCTCATAAGATTCACAAAGGGCATTCATGGAAAATTCCAAACAAGGCTCTCAAATGAAAGGACCTGATAATCTGTGTTTTCAACTATTGCTGATATGATTCTTATGATCAGGTAAAAAATATTGTTACTGCCTTTTGTAATAGCCTTAAAAACATACAGATTAGCTGCTACATATTAGCTATTCAGCCTATAGCAAGTTCTATAAAAATGTTCTAAATTCCTTAATATTTAAAATAGGAAAAAAAAAAAAACCTAAAGTCTTTTTTTAAAACCTGCTGGACATAGTGGTGTGTCCCTGTAATCCCAGCTACTTGGGAGTCTGAGGCAGGAGAATTTCTTGGGTCCAGGAGTTCTGGGCTGTAGTGAGCTATGTGGCTGAGGTGTCTGCACTAAGTTTGGCATTAACACAGTGACCTCCAGCAGCAGAGGACCAGCAGGCTGCCTAAGGAGGGATGAACCATTTAAGGATGAAAATAGAGCAAGTCAAACTCCTGTGCTAATCAGTAGTGGGATTATGCATGCGAATAGCCACCACACTCCAGCCTGGGCAACAGAGAGAGACTCAATCTCCTAAAAATAAAAATAATAAATAAATAAATAAGAGTTAATATTAGTGTCCTCATCAGTCTAATGAGAGAATTAATATTCTACAAATCGCTCATCATGACGCCTGATAACTAATCATGACCACCGCTCCCATCCCCCAACTGCTAGTCATTATCACATTCAAGAAGGTCTCAACAAAGGCCTCAGAAGCCACAGTGATCCTCTCCTTACAGCCCGGTCTTTGGCCTTTTCGACTCTAAAGACTCGAACCTCCAATCTCTTTCAGTTTCAGAGGTCCAACTTTGACCCTTGTGAGGCAGACACTAAAGATTTAAGAAAGAGAATTACTAAGAGGCAATCAGGTTAAGTAATGAAAAGGACACTGTTTATAGTCAGCAGACGTGCATTTGAAATACTGGCTTTGCAAATTAAAGCCAGTTGCCTTAGACAACGTTTAGGTTTTTATGTCCCAGTTTCCTCAACTGTACAATGGTGGTAAGTTTGCTTCAATAAGTTGTAAGAATTAAGTCAGATATTTATATATAGTATGCATCAGGCATTAAGAATATGGTAGCTAGGATATTGCTGATGGACTTGATGACACAGGAGTGTTGGGGAAACATAATTAAAAAGAAAATGTCCTCTCAAACCAGAAACCCTCTCCACAAAGGTGAAAAAGAAAGAAAATAACTTCATTATTTAATCAGCATCTAACTGTAATGCAATGTGCATCACAGGCAATCTTCTAAGAGATTGCAAAGACAGAAGGAAATTTCACCCTTTTATGTAACTAAGCAGACACAATCTATTCCATGCATGCTCTCGAGATAAGCAGTAACTAGCCTTTGAGTAAGAAAACTAGACAGCACCACTTATCACAAATAGCTCATCCTATATTCAATTGGGATGAATCTACTTGAGATGATCATGTGTGAGCTAACTGCTTCATGCCAAGGGGAAAAATATCTCCTATCTTTATGAGAGGAGATAGTTTTGGAGCAAGCACCCACCTAAGTTAAGATTCCACCCTCCCAAAGACACTGGGAGATGAGGGCTATCTTCCTTCCTGATCACATTACAAAGGGATGTTCCCAGTCCCCTGAGAAAAAACATTCCCAGGCCCTAAAACTGACAAAAGGCTTATTTAGTTTTTTAAAAGGTTTACAGGCATTTCCAAGAGACACAGAGAGAATTCACAAGTTTTCTAAAGTCAATGGTCCAACACAAAGGAGGAGCTAAGTCTCTTCCTTTATTTTCAATGTGGGAGAATTAGGCCTCCTATTTTAAAATTTGTATTTGCCCATACAATAGGTGAGCTTCAAAAAGAAGAGAAGACTTCTAAGAGGAAAGGAGATACAAAGAAACTCAGAACAACAGGAGGCATGTTGGTCCCTCACCAGTCTCATGGCCTGAAACACATCAGCATACCAGCATACCAAAGTTATAATAGGTGGAGGGAATACCTGCAGGAAATTAAGAGAATAAGAATTAAGCAAAATGAAAATTGTTTGTAGAATCACCATGGAGAAAATGCCAGGGAACAGTATTCAGTAATAGTTGGTACTCAGGTCCTTGTTCCAAGCATCAGGCCATGCTGCTGATGCCGTGGTAGACAAGAGGAACACAGTCGCTTCCTCACAGCAGCTTACAGTCTGAGAGAAAAGACATCACAGTGAAACTATGGCAATGCATTTGCTGGGGAACCATTTGACCAAGCTGCCTCAGCTGCTCTGAACAAGGTATAGACCAAGATTTTCCAACCCGCAGCCCAGGAAGGCTTTGAATGTGGCTCAACACAAATTTGTAAATTTTCTTAAAACATTATGGTATTTTTTGTGTGATTTTTTTTAAAGCTCATCAGGTATCATTAGTGTTCGTGTATTTTATGTGTGGCCCAAGACAATTCTTCCTCTAGTGTGGCCCAGGGAATTCAAAATTTGGACACCCCTAGTGTAGACATTAACGATGGATTGCACAAAAGATTCAGGTTGGATTAGACCTTGAAAACCTATAGAAGGATACAAAAACAACTAAGCTTTTGTATTTTTAGACATTTCTTTCTTCGCCACTATCAAGTCTGATGCCACAGAGAAAGCATAAAGATAAAAAACATCAAAAACCCACTCCAACTGGATATTGAACCCAATTCATTTTTCTACTACCAACCATAAACCTATTTTTTTGTCCTCTCATGAATGATTCAGTAATATGCTACTTAGGTAGTAGAAAGTAGATGGAATCTTTCACGGTATTTCTACAAGACAATTAAGGTTTGAATCATACCCTTGCCCAAGTTGGGCTATTCTTCATCTTCTTTGTTTAAAAAATTCATGTCAATTGATTAAACTATGCTGACTATTCAAGGCAACTAAAATTAATTGTAATACTATAGGGCCACAGTCACCTGCATTCTTGGATAACTGGATATTTGACTTTGTTCTTCTAATCTGTTGTGTTTGCAAGAGATTCCAAAATGCCCACAAGCCTTACAAGTTTCTAGATTCCTTATTGTACCTTCAATCATGACAACATTGAATCACTGGCTTGCTTCACTTTGTTCCCTTCTAGCTTCTGGTGAAGAAATCAGAAAGCAATAAATAAAAGAAGAGCTTAAAGAGCTGAAGACATTTCCCTAACATGCCAGACTCTAGGTGTTGCCTCAGCCTTCAAATCCAGAATTTGAGCTCTGACTATTACATGAAGGAGCAGGACAGACAGAGGAGATACTGTGACCTGGAACTACACACCAATCCCTTGGCAAGAGCCACAGTGATGTTATCCCCCCATTAAAGATCCCTGGTGCGGATCAACCTCCCTCCTTCTGATCAGAGCAGAAGGCAAAGCTTCACTTGTTTGTCCTTGCTTTTGCCTTTGGTTCCTAAAGTTTCATTGACAAATGTGTTGTCTAAAAACTTTCTCCTCCCACCCCAATAACTGAATGTTATTGAAAACATGCTCATTTTCTCTTCATTACATTTACCAAAAATATACTCTTCAAAATAAGCACTTTGTATTAAAAAGACACGATTTTGAAATCACGCTATGTTAGTGGGAACACTAAATCAGAATTCAGTGTTTTAGCCTAAGTTTTAACATTAACTCCTTATTTGATCTTGAGTAATTTTATTTAATTTCTCTGTCATGATTTTCTGACTTCTAAGGTTTCTGTCAATCTGATACTAGGTTGTAAATTTTGACTTATGAAGCTGAAAGTTCTGTGAGGGCTAGGACTGCTCCTTTTTATAATATAATATTTTATTTTATATAATATTTGTATTTATATCATTTGTCCTTTCAATTACCTCAACCTACACATAGGAAATGTGCAGTCTACATTTTTGAATGAGGTAAGGCAGGCTAGCTGCAGAGATCAACTGAGTGAATGGATTTGAGATCACTTTGAACATCATAAATTGATTTATACCTATTAGGTCTTATTCTGAAGAGTATCACTGTGACATTTCAGGAGAGCACATTACCTTGGAACTAGCCGATGGACCAGCACACCAAAATGTCTAAGGGGTACATTGTTATAAAAGAGAATCTATTTCTGCACACTGATGCACTTGTTAAAATGTGTTCACAAAGACAATTAAAATGGAAGATATGTGAAATGATTTTCTCTCGTTCAAAAGTTATGCCAACTTTCCATTCTCAAAGGTCACATGAATCAAGATGCTGTGTGCCAGCACATTCTCATTAGTATGCACTCGAAGTCCAAGCACCATTAGTGGCATTTGGGCACAGATTGCTCACTGATCGCTTTCAACAAGCTGCATGTTGGGAATGTGAGCCTCTCTATTTTGTTACATTTCCTTTTATCTTTGGGAGAGTTGCATTTCATCCAGCATTTTAAGAACAATTCTTTTACGGACTTGCCTCCAAAATTAGATTCCTATAATCCTATTTCTTTTTTTCTATTGAATTGCTGTTGTCTAGATTAAAAATTCACATAACTAAGATGTTTGCCAAAAAAGAGCTCAAATTTCTAATAATTAGAAAACGGAAACAGAATTATTAGTGCCAGATTAAAAAAATGCAACCTGATTTTATAACAGAGTTTGTTCAGCCTATGCATTTTAAAGGAATTTTACAATGGTGCTCCAATTTGTAGCCTAGTACATAACTAATCTAAGATTTTTCATCCAGAACAGATGGTGGGAAAGCATTCCTTTGACTTAGTTTACCACTGTCCAGTGCCTTGTTATAATTCCACGCACAGTGAATGCTTGAGAAATATATGAACAGCATGAAGATGCTCTCTGCATTTACTTCAAGCACATGCTGGGACATGCAACGAAATCATGTGTCTTTGAATGCTACAGCCAGACTTATATTTTAGATACATTCTTACAGAATGAGTGATGTAGTGATCTCTAAATAGAAAGAGAAATGGGAATGTGATTTGAAAGATCAGGATAAAAACAGTTTTTAAAAATTTGTTCCTGCACTCAAAGAGAAGGAAACAAAATAAACTGAGGATAGTGACTTAATACACATTTAATACCATCTTTATTTCTAGATGGAACAGATTGAATGTTCTATTCATACGCTAAAACAAATTTAAAAGCAGTATAATTCTGTATTCAATAAATAGATAGCAGGTCATATTAAAACTATACTGAATTTTCATACAGGAAAAGAATAAACATATATAGAAACAGAAAAAAAATGTGTAAATACATGGACCCAGAGAGAACTGACAAGTGTTACAGGAATAAAAATCTAACTGATCTTTTGGATTTTAAAGACAAAGACTCTGAATATGAGGTCACGTTTATAAAACCACAAGCCAAGGTATAGATATCACTCTTTTATTTTGAGAACGGATATTTCGATATCCAGATTCTCCTGTGTCCCACATGAATTTGTTGATGAAAACGGAGGAAGGTGGCTTTCCCCAGAGTCCCTCCAGTTCCCTAACATGCAACTTTTAGTGAGTATTTTCCTGGATCAGTGGAAATGTCTAAATGAGCTCAGAAAAGTCTTCAGGCCAGAAGACTCATGGACTTGCTCCATACTGGGAGATGACTAGAATTTTGATGAGTCAGATTTCAAGGACTCGTGGCTTACGATGCTTTTCTTATGGCTTTTCTACCCTAAACGTTTCTTTCTATTTGACGTCATAAAAGATATCTGAAGTGTATTAAGCAATTTTGCTGCAATAACAAACAGCCCCCAAAATCTCAGTAGTTTATTTCTCACTCATGGCTCTGTGGTTCAGCTGGAGGCCATGATCCATGGTAAAGGCAGGATTCGGGTCTATTCCGTGTATACGACATCCCGCGATCCAGGACACGTGAGAAGTGGATACCCAGGACATACTCTTCTCATGCAGGGGAAATGAGCACAGAAGGCCAAACCAAATCACACAAGCACATTTAGAGCATCCACCCTGTGCCTCACTGTCACACCCATTCCCATTCCAGTGAAGGTTGCATGGCCAGGCCAACATCACCGAGGCAGGAAAACCTGCTCCTCCTACATGAAGGAGGACTGAATATTTGCTGAAAAAAAATACAATCAAGCATAAAGTGGTTCTAAAGAGCGTGCTGATATTCTTTATATCATCTTGCTGTAAATTAATAAAAAATGCCTTATGCTTTATTTCACACTGCTGCCCACTCTTCTGGGCCACAGCAACTGTGGAGTCACCCTTGACATGGGTTTGCAGAAAGCCAAGGTTCAGAGACAAGCTCAGTTCTTCTGTTGTCCCACTTAATGCTTAAGGCATCCCAATGAGGCAAGCATTGTAACCCACATTGCACACTGACCTCTGAAATCGCTCACCAGTTAGAGAGTGCTATGTGAACACAGGGCAGAGTCAGATCCACACCCAGGCCTATCTGACTCCAGCACCTTTTCTGTGAATCCCTCCACTCTGCTTCCCTGATTCCATCATACTGTCTTTATGCTGTACTACAAGTTAGAGCACATCACCTCTTGCATCTGTTATAATTAAGTAAAAGACCCTAACTTGTTCTCAGAACACAGATTCATGCACCTACTCAGAGACATAAAGCATCAATTTAAATATTTAGTGATAAACAGGGTGACTAAACCAGCAAAAGATGCCAGAAAACTAAATCTGCCTCTACCAAAACTCCAAAATACAATATTTACTACCTCTGTCTTTGTTTTCTGCACTCCAATTTTCTGCCTGAAATACAAGACTAGCAAAGAGTCTCAGGACTAAATTTGGCCGGGTTGCACTTTCTGAGATTATGAAGTTGCAGGGAATCGAAGCTGCCATTCATAATCATTAGTTACAGAATTCTTTCTCTGCGGGTCAGGACAGAATCATATTTCGTCGTTCCCTCGCCTCTGCTGTATTGGAAGAAGTGATAGCCAGGTCACAGAGAAAGTCCTTTTTATTCATTTTGTCCAGATCTAGAAAGTACTGAGTCTCTGTAAATCAGTGGTTTTATTAACGGTGGAATCCTTTCTTCAAATGATATTTTATAACATGCATCTTTTCCAGAATCTTTATATGCAGAACAGAAAACCCTTTACTCTGATGGGAGTTGCCCTGGTAAAGAAAGGGGCAGGACTGGCTCGCCCTTTCCATCATCGTCTTTCTACCCTGCTGCTTTCTCTACAGGAGCCCAGGTAACCCATGATCTAGGTAAGAAAAAGGTCACATCTCAAATAGGCCTGAGTTTTTATTGCAAAAGCCTCATGAACTGGATGTTACTTCCCCAGGGGGCCATCAACATCCATGCATGCACCTGTGTGTCGCACAACTACTCACGTCTTTCCCTTTACCTGTAATGATCTTCAAGTCCTGGTGACTTCTACACAGCCTTACAAGTTCAGACCGAAGGTTTTGAGCTCAGAAGAGGAAAATAATTTCTTCTTCACCTATCTTGTGCACACCAATGTCAGGGCATTTCACAATATGCTATAGTTAATTCCATCCTGTTCATGTCCACTATTAAACATTTTCTTGAGAGTTACACTGGTTTCTCATTCAGCAACATATCCTCAACAATTTGTATAGTATCTAGCACAGAGCAGCCTAAGTTTTATCTCATTTATCTGAATTGAACAAAGCACATGTACTGAAATGCAAGTGTTACATTTGGAGCTATCCAATGTCCCTGTCGATTTATCTATGGCAAGACATGTAACCCCATTTTTCCATGAAGGAAATACCAATTCGTGTTCTGTTGAAATTTAATTTGCTAGTAAAAATTGATTAAGAATTCTTCTAATACTAAGGATTACAGAAACAATGGGAAAATGTTGTCAGCCAGACTTTGGAGCCATTTGAAGTTACAATATGTCTTGGTCTACTCAGCATTTAATTAGTCATTCTGTCTGTCTTAACTTAAAAAGTGGAGCAGGTATTTGCTTAATTCAATAGGCTTTACAAGGACTTCTTTTTAATTTGTCCCTTTGCTTTTAAATTGTTTAGAGTCTTATTTTCAGGACAGGCTCCCTTTAATCAACAGACGGTGCAGAGCAGCGGCAAGAAAACAGAATCATCAGGAGAGAGAAGTTACTTCAATTTCCTTGTAAATGAGTCATGTAAGGCTGACATCATAGTGACAAATGCAAACTTACTTCAGAAAACACCATCATGGGTAATGTTCCTGAGGTGGTGGTGGCTGGTCAAGGGAGCTCAGGCGGCAGGTCTGCCAGACTCGGTAGAAAGTAAGGAAACACCCCCTCATTCTAGGGGTACACCCATTTACTGTGAATGAATGACCTGAAGAAGACAATCTGGAAACTCTTAGACTTCTGGAAGCTACTTTTAGCTTGGGGAGGATATACACAATATCCACAGGTTCCCATGTTCTCCATTGGATACTGATGCAAATAGTGGAACACTGTTGCTCTAAGGAGAAGCCCTTGTGTGGAATGCAGTCACATGCTGCATGACAACATGTCTGTCAACAATGGAGCACATATAAGATTGGAATCCTATAACGTTATAATAAAGCTGAAAAATTCCTACTGTCTAGTGATGTCATAGCCATCCTCATATCATAGTGTGAGGCATTACTCACATGTTTGTGGTGGTGCTGGTGTAAACAAACCTATTGCACAGCCAGTCGTATAAAAGTCTAGCACATGCAATTATGTACAGAACATAATACTTGATAATAAACTACTGTGTTACTGGTTTATGTGTTACTATATGATACTTTTTATTATCTTTTAATTTTAGAGTGCACTTCTACTTCTAAAAAAAGAAGTTAACTGTAAAACAACCTCAGGCTGGTCCTTCAGGAGGTATTCCAGAAGAAGGAATTATCATATAAGAGATGGCAACTCCATGCATGTTACTGCCCCTGAAGACTTTCCAGTGGGACAAGACGTGGAGGTGAAAGAGAGCAATATTGATGACCCTGACCCTGTGCAGACCTAGGTTAATGTGTGTGTTTGTGGCTTAGTTGTAATGAAGAAAAGCTTTTAAAAAATTAAATTTTAGTAAAAAAATGCTTATAGAATAAACATAAAAGGAAACAAAGTTATTTTGTACAACTGTGCAATGTTTTTGTTTCCTGCTAAGTGTTATTACAAAAGAATCGGAATGGTTGAAAAATATTTAAATGTTTACAAAGTAAAAAGTTACAGTAAGCTAAGGTTAATTTGTTATTGAAGAAAGAAAAAAAATATATATATATATATATATATATATATATATATATATATATATATTTTTTTTTTTTTTTTGAGACAGAGTCTTTCTCTGTTGCCCAGGCTGGAGTGCAGTGGTGCGATCTCGGCTCACTGCAAGCTCCACCTCCCGGGTTAACACCCATTCTCCTGCCTCAGCCTCCGGAGTAGCTGGAACTACAGGCGCCTGCCACCATGCCCCTGGCTAATTTTTTTTTTGTATTTTTAGTAGAGATGGGGTTTCACCATGTTAGCCAGGATGGTCTCGATCTCCTGACCTCGTGATCCACCTGCCTCAGCCTCCCAAAGTGCTGGGATTACAGGCGTGAGCCACCATGCCTGGCTGAAAAATATTTTTAATAAATGTGGTATAGCCTAAGCCTACAGTAGTGCATAGTAGTATCCTAGGCTTTCACATTCACTCAGCACTCATTTATTGACCACCCATGCAGATTCCAGCCCTGCAAGCTCCATTCATGGTAAGTGTCCTAGGCAAGTGTACCATTAAAAAATAACAATAATTATATATATATACATACATATATATATATGTATTCAATCGTCTGTTTTTACTAAGCCTTTTCTATGTTTAAATATGTTTAAATACATAAATATCATTGGGTGGCAATTGCCTACAGCATTCAGCACAGTACATGCTTTATAGGTTTATAGCCAAGGAGCAATAGGCTACACCAGGCAGCCTAGGTATGTATAGGCTATACTATCTAGGTGTGTGTAAGTGCACTCTGTGATGTTTCTGCAGTGATGAAATTGCCTAATGAAGTATTTGTCAGAATGTATCCTCACTGCTAAACAACTTATGACCATTGTTAGAATATTTGTTCTTCTTGGCTGGGCGCAGTGGCTCACGCCTATAATCCCAGCAATTTGGGAGGTAGAGGCAGGTGGATCACGAGGTCAGGAGATCGAGACCATCCTGGCTAACATGGTGAAACCACGTCTCTAATAAAAAATACAAAAAATTAGCCGGGCATGGTGGCAGGCGCCTGTGGTCCCAGCTACTCGGGAGGCTGAGGCAGGAGAATGGCATGAACCCAGGAGGCAGAGCTTGCAATGAGCCAAGATCGCACCACTGCACTCCAGCCTGGGTGACAGAGCCAGATTCCATCTCAAAAAAAAAAAAAAGAAAGAAAGAAAGAATATGAACAGATATTCATAGTGCAAACTATGTTTTAAATTTCTGAATAAAGAAATTCTATGCCATCCTATGGTGTATAAAGTCCAACTCTGCAGAAGACTGGCACCTGCACAGACATTTTTTACAACCATGAATTACATAAATGCTTACCTCTGACCTCCAAAAGAAAGTACATTTGAATACAAAAACAGGGCATCTTAGTCCAAAAGACTAAAGGAAGAGTGAGCCCACTAGGACGGCATCTCAGTGCCTCAACAACCTGATGCCCCCAGACCAAGTACCCCCGTACCCCTTGGAACTGCAGCAAATGCAATGACAGCAGTCACAGGAGCTAACTGAGCAGTTACAGAACTAGGTCATCCAGGAAAATCTGCAGTAATCTCCTTTGGCATCAGAAGTAATCTGGTGGATTCAGGGTGGGGGACCATGGACATAATCTGGGCAGAGCATTTTCATGCTGTTTTCTATGATGTCATGTCACTCCCCATTCTAAACCCCCAGTGTCTCCTAGGATAAAATCTAAAATCCTGATCGCAACTCCGAGTCCCTGCAGGCATCTCCAGTCTCACCTGCTCTCCCTTCCTCCTTCATCTCCTCTCCGGTCCTCCCACACACCCTTCCTTGACTGACTGCCCTACTCATCTTCTGCTCCCAGCAGAAAGGACGCGTCTTCAGAGTCACCTTCATCTCCGCAGCCCTCACCTAACTCAGGACCCCTCTTTGATTCTCTCATGCACCCCCTACTCTCCTTGATTGCCTCTCATATGTGATTCTTTGTTCACGGCTGTCTCCCATCAGTACTGGGAACTTCTTGAAAACAAGGCCAATGCCTGTTATTTTTTTTACCACTGTATTTCCAAGTCTAGCATTCCACCCGGAAAGCAGCAGAAACATATGCACTTTTTAAATTTAATTAATTTAATTTAATTTAATAAATTATGTTTTTAAATGTGATAGTCATTTTTTAATTTAATAAATCAAGGAATAAGTTATATACCATGAATAGAAAGAAAAAAGAATGTAGTCACTTCTGAAATCTGGACAACATGTCTGATCGTGCGCAGTCATCAGCACTATTGCGAAAAATCCTTTTAAAAAGTGTGAGCTACATGTCACTTAACTACTGACTTAAAAGGATGCACGTGTGTTACCCATCCATCAGGTCTGGATTGCGCCGAGTGCTCACCTCTGTGTCCTTGGCCTCGATGACAGCACAAAAGCATTCGAACAATATACAGTGTTTGTTAACCCTAAGTGCTCCCACTCATTGAATAGCCACTGTTTGCCAAGTGAGAATACACATGCTCACATTTCACAGAGAAGGAAACTGAGACCCAGAGGTGTGAAATGACTTTCTCAAGACTGTAATGCTAACACATTGTAACACCAGAAACTTAGGACACCATGTCCATGCTGTGTCATTCATTCTTCACTAGTTTATTGATTCAGCAAATATGAATCACTGGCTGCATGCAAGACACTCTGCTAGACATCGGAGATCCCGCTGTGAACAAGCGTCACAACGGCCCTGCTTCCATGGAGCTTGGGTCGCAGCAGATGAAGAACAAAAGTAAACAACCGAGTACAGGTAAGTCCATCTGTCCATAAGGGCTGTAGGAAATAAGTCCTCCGTGATATGATGGTGAAGGGCAGGTGGGGAGATGGCATCTCCGGCCGGGCACCAGGGAAAGGTACTTGGGGCCGCGGTATCTAGCCTGAGATGTGAGCGACAAGAGTGAGTCAGCGGGGGCTCTGGGTCTGCAGCAAGCCTCCAGGGTGAGGAGCAGCAAGTGCAGACACCACTACAGCCCAGAAAGGTGAGTGCGAGGGGCTCGGCCCATCAGGGAGAGGGCGTGGGGTGCGGGGGTAGTGGAGCTGGAGACCCTGGGCCGAGCTCCCAGTGCAAGGTAAGGTGCAGCGGCGCTGGGGCTGAGTGCTTAGGGACCTAAGTCAGAGAAGAACACAGCGCTGCTAAAGCTCACACAGTGCACTCACTCAGGACTGCAGGGAGAAGCGGGGGAAATACTAAGGTACATTAGGGTCCAGAAGAGAGACGGTGTGACTTGACTTAGGCAGCAGGCAAGAGGAGGAGCGGAGAGCAGAGGCAGAGGCAGAGGCAGAGGCAGACAGGACTAGGGGGAAATGTGTCCAGAAGGACTCATGCCTTCACCTTCAGGGAGCCACAGGCTGGGGGCAGGAGGGTTGGGAAGCAGCAATCAGGCTGTCACTGACCTCATGAAGATGGACAGCCCATTGCAGGTGAGTCTCTGATTGTGGGCACCTTCTTATAAAAAGAGAAAGCCAAAATAGGAATACAAGGTTTGTATTTTGCCAAGACATTTTTATAACAAATATTTGGGAAGGCCTTGATCTTGGAACTAATGAAGCTTCTTAACTGTACAAAATTAGTTTTATTAAATCTTAATAAATGATGCTCATTTTGGTGTTTGTGTGTGTGTTTGTGTGTGCGTACGTGCGTGCGTGCATGTGTGTGTGTGTGAGTGTGTTTGAGACAGAGTCTGGCTCTGTCGCCCAGGCTGGAGTGCAGTGGCTCAATCATTTCATTGCAACCTCTGTCTCCCAGGTTCAAGCAATTCTCCTGTCTTAGCCTCCCGAGTAGCTGGGACTACAGGCATGTGCCACCATGCCCGGCTAATTTTTGTATTTTCGGTAGAGATGGGGTTTCACCATGTTGGCCAGGCTGGTCTCGAACTCCTGACCTCAAGTGATCCACCCACCTCGGCCTCCCAAAGTGCTGGCATTACAGGCATGAGTCACTGTGCCTGGCAGCTCATTTTTGTTATTTCTCGGTTGACCAGTGAAATAACATGAAACCTTCTACATGTAACCGGACGTTCCTCAAAGGGGCTCTTCTTTCTGTGGATGCTGGTAGTTGATGCATCCCTCGCTCTCCTAGCCAAGGTCTGTCCCAGAGTTCCCAGATGCATATGCAAAGAGAGCAGCCTCGTCCACTGGGTTGTCTCACAGGTGCCTTTAAATCATGTCCAAACCCAAATATCTCCTACAAAATTTTCTCCTCGAGCGTTTCATGTCTTAGTCAATAGCCCTCCCTTCCATCCAGGTCACTTCAGAAATAAGTGAGCCCTGGGGGGGTTGGAGGGACTTACTTCCTCACCACCACTGTCCCCAGCTAATCCAGGGACAAATCCTATGGATTTTGTTCCCACCAGCTAAGCACACCTACCCCACCCTCCGTTGCCACCATCCCGGCTCAGGCCACTGTCATCTCTCACTGGATGATAGCCACACCATCTTAACTGGCATCAGTGCCTACAATGTTGCCATGGTGAAATCCACTTTTGACAGCACCCTTATTTCTTTTAAATATTAGCTACTGCTATTACATATTTTTAAAATGATACTGGGGATTAATACGCCCTGGATGAGCTTATCCACTCCTGCCCTGCAAGCTTCACAAGGAACACCTGAGCTTTAGAAAAATAACTAAATGGATGCAGTATTGACAAAGGCCAATGTGGAAATATTAATATTTGAAGAGGTTTCTAAAAGGAATATTGCTACCATTATTATTCCCTTCAAAGACAGAGAGATTGTAAATTCAGTTGAACAATAATGCAGTGCTTACTCATTACGCAGTCACTGTTTTAACAGTTACAAAGAAAAATAAGACACATTTCCTAACTTCTGTAAGTCCAGAATTTGGAGGAAACACACTCATACTCACATATAATAGAAGACATGCTGTGATTAATGCCAAAATATAATAATGCCTCAAGTGTCGAGCAGGAGGTGTGATTTAAGTTAGATGTAGAAGAATAAACAGGAATCACCATCTTGTACAACACATCAGAAAACTAAACTTTGTTTCTTTTTTTTTTTTGAGACAGTCTCTCTCTGTTGCCCATGCTAAAATGTGGTGGTGCGATCTCACCTCACTGCAACCTCTGCCTCCTGGGTTCAAGAGATTCTCATGTCTCAGCCTCTCAAGTAGCTGAGATTACAGGCACATGCCACCATGCTGGGCTAATTTTTGTATTTTTAGTAGAGACGGGGTTTCACCACATTGGCCAGGCTGGTCTCAAACTCCTGACCTCAAATGATCCACCCTCCTTGACCACCTAAAATGCTGGGATTACAGGTATGAGCCACCATGCCAGGCCTAAACTGTTTTTGAAGCATTAGCAAAAGTATCTCCTCCTGGACTGTTCAGAAAGGGACCCCTTGGGTATCTGCACAGGCTTAAGAATCTAGAAATGAGTAGACCCAGGAAATCTATTCTTAATGCCTAGGAGACCATTCGGGTGAGCAGAGTAGCCCTGGGAAACCCAAATTTTCTCATGCAGACGGTGAGGTCTCCACCCAGCTATCAAGGTGGCTGGCACTGGATCTGCTACTACCAGAGAGGTCACGTCACTCTGTAAGAAGAAGGCATGAGGGCAAACTCGCTCCAAAGAGCAGCAGGTGACCCAGACAACTGCACAAGCAGACCAGTGCAGTGTCCCATCACTCCTGCCTCAACCCAAAGGAGCCGCTACAGCAGCACACCCCAGTCTCCCAGGGCCAGCCTCCCTCGGATTCCAGGGAACAGCCTCTAGGTAGTGCAGGGCGATTTTCTCTGCATGGTAACCCCAGGCCACCTTTGTCCTGCAGCCAATTATCTTACAGATCCCTCTGCCAGATGGAAACAGCTCTCCCGTACTTGCTGAGAAACAACCACCTTTGTGTGAAAGGAAGGAGGCTGGTTTGCACAAAGAAAGCAGCTGTTGGATCAAGAAACTCTTGTCACCCACACACCTGTTCTTCCCCACTGATATCACACTCTCTATGCATTAATGGCCTGCCAGATCTTATTACAGATAAGGGCTATTTATTCTCAGAAAGATGTTTGAGATAGCCCAGAAAACAGACAAAAGGGAAAAATGCCTTCTTGGTCATGATGGACCTAGTCAGCTTCATAGGTTTCCTGCCGGATTATTTCCAGGCAGCCCTTTCTGTAAGACTGGCCACCACAGTTGGCTCCCCTCCAGCTCCGCAGTGAAACAGGGAGATGCTCTGCTCCCACCTCTTGCTATTTGTCTGATTCAAGACACTACAGCATCGCACATCTGGGCAGACTGGAGCAACTGGCAGACAAATAAACTCCTGGCCCCAGGGAGAAGCTGGCACCCCAGCCCCTCACTGGCCAGCTCACCTCTCCCCACCCTGAGGGATGGCCCTAGGCCACTGCTGACTCAGGACTCAGTTGTGTACCCAAAGCATCTCTGTGACATCCCCACTGTTTTCTCTTGCAGGAAGCATTGTCACCTGATGCCTCAACACAAACTGCCCTGGATGGTGCCAGCTGGAGAAAGTGCACGCAAGCAGCAGTGGGCTTTGCCTGTGGCCAAGAGTCTCCTCCTCATTGTCCTGTAAGTTGAGACACCACTGTGCCTCTCATGGTTCAAATGGAAAGCACACACACACCCTCGCAAACATACACCAGTAGGTGGGAAACTCATCCCCCTCTAGCTGCCCTTGCATTGGATGACTTCCTGTTGAGCAAGACAGCCCTGATGTTCCCCTCAACTTGATTTCGCTTTAGACAGGTTTCTTCCCACCTTGAGGTCCTGACCTCCCTCTTCTTAAAGCCTTCCTTCAATTTGTCATTGTTAAAGACTCTTCATTGTCTTGCCCCTTGACAATGTAAATCTTTTTCAAAGCCTCCTGCCAGTTTTACAACCCAGGATGGTCTTTCTGGATGATCCGGAAGGCATGGCTTTAAAACGTAATCAGCAGGGAATAGAACTCTATCTCATCACTTCTGTGGGAGAGTAGGAACTAACTTTAGTGGGCACCTTACTCCAAGTTGTAAAACTATTTCTTATCCGAAAGAAATGAGAAAATTTGATTTTCCTTTAGGTAAGGCCAAGGAGCAAACACAGTTGGCCTAAGATGCCCCTTGCCAGCTCTGCACCTCTCCAGCCACTTGCTTCGGTGGAGCTGAGTTCAATTTCAACTCCAGCCTTTCTGCTCTCTTGCAGTAGACTTGACTAAAGTCTTCCTGGCATGCTTAACTATGACCAGTGCAATTTTGGCTTAGACGCTATGCAAGATTTTGGAACTTGAGATATGCTCTGTAACGTCTGTGAAGAACAAAAAGGAGCACTTATGTTGCAAAATGAATTGCGTTTGGTTTGCATGAAACAAGCAAAAAAGAGAAACTCTTTAAAGCAGCATTTGATATTTCTAATCAATGAAACCTATTGAAAAATGTGTACATACTTTTAAAATGGCTCCGAAGTTGTGAAATGAACACACAGGATCATGAACTGGTTCCTTGGTCTAGCTTGGATTCTAGAGGACATAGTTTGCCAGATCCTGTAAGGGGGCACCCTAGGACACTTTGGGGTCTTGGTCTAAATTGATATGATTTTGGGAGTACTCACTGTAGCTCTTCCAACATGCCTGTAAAGCAGTTATGAGAGTGCATAAAAAGATGAAAACTAAATGCACATTCACAAAACAAATAAATGCAAAACAAAAGCCAGCCCTTAACCTGAGTTAATCTGCTATCTTAATCAGAGAAATTTCCATTAACTCCAATGAAAATGAAAATGGATGAAAGAAAGAGTAAAATGAGTGAGCAGTGCTGGCTTTCCCATATGGAATACAAACAGACACTGTGTCCACCCTCCAGATCTGCCTTTGGCTCAGAAGCAGTGTCCACACCAGCCCGAGGCAGGGCAGCTACACTTCCTGAGGGGCCCTACCCCTTAGGCATCTAAAGCTTTGCAGCCCACTCACTCCCTTGTGTGTCATTGCCCTTGTGTGTCTATCCACATTCAGAAGCCACTTTTCCCTGTGGGCCAGGGCTGGAGCGAGAGGCACTCTGTTCTGAAGGTGTGGTCATCAAGGTGAAACCCTGTGGGCAGGAACAGAGAGGAGAGGGGCTCTGTGGATGATTCAAGAGGCTTTTACTTGTGAAGAGAGATTTCTGAGGGGCAATTCATCTGCTGGCTGGTTCTCTGAGCCAGTGGGGCCCTCACCAGAGGACTCATGGAACAGGCCAGAGAGCACGGTGGGCCTGGGCGCTGTGTACCTCCTGTCCCTGAGAGGCCCCCCAAGCTGAGCCCAGAGAAAGAATGGGTCAAAGCATGCACAGATCTCCAAGGCATGAAGTCCCGTACATTGAAAGAAGAGGGAGGTGCAGATGAAGACACGCTCACACACATTTCCATACATGTGCTGTATGTTATTTGGGAAAGAACTGTAAGGAGTTGCTGATAATTGGGATGTGAAGAAGGAGGTAAGGGAGTCAATGTCCGTGATCCAGGAGGTGCCTCCTGGTTTCTTAGTTTCTCTCTTACCCCCTCCTGTCCCTCCCCTCTCCTACTCCCCCTTCCTCTCTCTCTTTATCTCCCTCTCTCTCGTTCCTTCTCTTCAAAGATAAAGGTGTTCTTATCCCCCTTCCCCCACAGATCTGCTCCTCTTTCCCATCCTGTTCCTCTTCCGGCTTTCACTATGCATTCATGCTTCTTTGGCTGATATTAACTCCATGTTAATTTCCACTCAAATTACCACTACAGAGTAATTCTCTTCTCTCCATCTCTTTCCAGCAACTTTCTCAGGAAGGTATTTTAATTAGTCACTGACCAGCCAATGGACTGAAGAATCTTAGAGCCAGTTCCAAGCCCTGGTCAAATGAACCATGGCCTGGCTGGGTCTCAAGACTAAGTCATAGATACAGATGCTTTTACAGAAGCTGGGGATGATGCATTTCTCTAGAATCGATTAAATTGATCAAGAACATGCCGACAAAGTTATGTGCTGAGGGCCAGAATTATTCATTATTCCACAATTTTCACAGGTCCAGTACCACGCAACAGGGTTAGAATGAGACCTTGCTTTGTCATACAGAGCCACACCCCTCAGATCAGGAGTCCCCAACCTCTGGGCCACAGACTGGTACTGGTCAATGGCCTGTTAGGAACTGGGCCGCACAGCAGGAGGTGAAAGGCAGGCAAGTGAGCATTACTGCCTGAGTTTCACCTCCTGTCAGATCAGCTGGGACATTTGATTCTCAGAGGAGCACGAACTGTGTTGTGAACTGAGCATGCAAGGGACCTATGCTGCGAGCTCCTTATGAGACTCTAACTAATGCCTGATGATCTAAGGTGGAACAGTTTCATCCCAAAACCATCCCCCCACCACCCACCACAAAACCAGTCCCTGATGCTGAATGTTTGAGGGCTGATGCCTTAGATGATGAGGCTGGAGAGAACCTCTGAGCCTCAGGCCTCTGCCCAGCTGACATTCATGAGACAAGACAAGAGGAGGAGATCCTCAAGGGGCACAGGATGAGAACACACCACCCACAAACTATTCTTGGAATACACTTGGAAATAGACTATAACAAGAGTCAGGGTACAGAAAATTAGGATGAGAGTCAGGAAAATGTCTCTGAAAACATGACATGTATGCTGACACCTAAGCATAGGAATATGCTACTGATGTCAGAAACGTAAGAGAAACACATGGATAGACAAGAGTTGGAAGAAGCTTGGCATCTCTGAGGAAATGAAATATGGCATCTACAGCAGAGGGGGAAGCAAGAGACACAGTGACTTGAGGGCCGCAGTAAGTGATTTAGGGAAACTGGGCTGCCACATGAAGGTGGGGACTTAGGGGGCTGGAGGTTAGAAAAGGAGGCACTTGAAGGATTGTTTTGCCATCCAGATGAAAATCCATGTGACCTAGACCAAGGGGATGGCAGTGCGAATGGACAGAGATGAGGAGCTCTAATAAATACAAAAAATAAATGGTTTGATTTAGAATTAAAAGCACTTGCTAATTGCTTGAATGTGGAGGGTAAGGTAATAAGAGGAATCAGACACCATACTTTATTTTATACTAAGACACAAACTTTTCCCAACTTTGACACCTCTGAAGTGGGGAATGCAGTGGAAATCACTGTCGGGAGGACTGGAGGCAGTCAGCAAGGGGCTGCTGTTGCCCGTGTATGCAAAGCACAGCCTGCAGAATGGTTTCACCCACCAGGAAGAGACATCCTGAGACAACGGTGGGGCATCCACTCATCTGCCCCATCACTGTTCTTGATGGTGGTATTGTCTGTACAAATAATGATCTGGAGTCTAAGAAATCCAAAAGCATAGAACTCAATGTGAAAAATATTTAGGAAAACTTTAGATTTATTTTACTTATGTTTTATTCATATGTATAAACACATGAAAAAAAGCTAATATATGATTTTAAAAAGCTGTCTCTTAAGAGATCCAAATAGACTTTAATAAGTATAAAATGAAATTCTAACTGGTAAGATTTGTTTTAGTCACAGTTTGATAGGTAGCATTTTTCTTCCTTCTCACTAGTACATAAACAATGATATATTTTAACAGTGATGGTAACTTACATTCAATGAAATAAGGTAAGTCTTAAGTCACATGGGTATATGATCAAGTCATTTACCAAAGTGTAAGAGAGATAAAAAGACACACACTGAAACACACACACATAGAGAAAGAGAGAGAGAGATTGATTTTAGAGCACTGAAAGAGATACAAAGTATCCCTATTCATTTTATGAAGCTACCATTACTCTAACACAAAAACCTAAAATTGACACAAAGGAAAATGAGACTGTAGTTCTCTTTTTTATTTATGTGATATATGCAAAGACTCTAAATAAAATACTTGCAAACCTAGGTCAATATAACATTAAAAAACATTACCCTGTGACTACGAAAAAATGTAAGGACAATAGAACATTAGGAAATACATAAATACAATGAATCATATTCAAAGATTAAGACACTTAGGAAAATATGATAAAATTAAAAATCTACTCCTGAAAAAACCTCTTGGGAAACCAGAAATTATAAGATGCTTCCTTAGACTAACTATAATGAATAAGCACTAGTATTTAAAATGCCTTTTGATGTTCCAGCCCGTGTAACAACACCTGAAACAACAGGAACTAGAATGATCAGAACAAGGGGGACAAATGGCCGCTTTACTCACAGGCACCGATTCTGCATCTTAACAAGGAAGAGGGGAGGGGGACAAGGAAAGGAAAAAAAATAAGTATCTATTGAGGCTGATAATGTGTAAAATATGCGAATTTAACCATTTTATATATACTTATGTCATTCAATCCTCCCAACAATGCTACAAAATATATTAAAAATAAACTCAGAATATACAAAATTTCAGTTATGCCACTTAAGCCAGGAAAATAGGCCAAAATCCTTTCTTATATATTGTCAATAAACAATTCAAAATATAAGTGTTAAAATAATTAATTTACAATAACAACTTAAAAATAAAATACCTTTGAATGATCCTAACAAAAAATAAATTAGTCATTAGGAACATTTTTTAAATATAGAACTCTACTGAGAGATTAAAATAATATTTGAATAAAAATAGAAACATACTGTGATACTTAATGAAAGTGCAACATATTGGAAGGATAAGAACTACTTCAAAAATTAATGTATATATTAATTTTCATACTAATCAAAATAACAATATGATATTTACAGAATATGATGGAGGAATTATCAAGATGTGAAAAAAGCACACATATAACAGCAAAAAATATTTTTAAATTAGAATGCGAGGACAATGTTTCTATCTCATCCTAAGTATTTTTAACATTATAATAATTAAACACAAAGTCACTGGTAGATAAATACCATAAAATCAGTCGCTCAGAAAGAGAATTGAGGTAAATGCATTGATTTTTTTAAAAAAAATTAACAAATAGCTGTGCATGACTATAAGCCAGATGCCATACTTGTCATGAGTATACATCAGAACACACAACAGATATGGTTCCACCCCATGAGTCTCTCATTCAGTTGAGGAAGATAGATAATAAACGAGAAAAGAATGACAATTTTTCATTTTTAATTTAAGTGTAACACCAAAGAAAATGACTGAGACAAATCTCGATCAATTTAGAGATTTATTTTGCCAAGGTTGAAGATGTGCCTGGGAAAAAGGGACATAAGCCTCAGTAGGATCTGCGACCGGTACTTTTGATATGGCTTTAACACATGGTGTTATCTGGAGGTGGCCATGACCCTTGGTACACCTGGTGACAAGGAGAAGATGGCGGGAATTGCCATATTGAGTGAACCCAGTTTCTAATGGCCTGCATTTGCATATCAAAGCTTGCGGGCTCCGCCCTTCAAGCTGCCTTTTCTGTTAGAAAAGAGATGGTTCAGGGGTTGTTCTTTATTACAGGGAAATTTCTACCAAGAACTTGTACCCTTACTATCTGTCTAAAAATTATTTCTTATATTGTATTACTTTTTTCAAAGAGGATTTTGAGGCTTCAATGTAAAGGAGAAAAAGTGGGCAGGAGAGGAAAGGAGGAAAGAAAAAACCAGGGAGGGTAGATAAAAGAGAGAAGCGGTCACATTCTTTTGAGGTTTTGATCAGCATTCACTAAATCCAAGCTTTACATGTGAAAGTGGGGGTAGAGACATTCATCTTGCACTCAGTGAAGCTGCATTTCTACATAAGATGAAGAAAACCTCAAGAAGAGGAGGCCGTCAAATAGGCATTTGTCTCAGGTGAGCCGAGGATGGCTTCTAGTCCTGTCTTAGACCCATGCCTGTGAAGATATGCTGTTAATTGATATTGTCAGGGTGAAATTCAGTGGAACTCTGTTTTAGGGTAGAAATTCCTTGGGGTCCAAGGAATTTCCTTGGGAGCAAGTTGGAAGCGAGGCCCCTGGGGATCTCTGTGGCCCTCTGTCTTCGCAGCTATGTATTTAGGATCAAAGTGGGAGGCGGTTTTGCATGACTCGGTTTCCAAGCTTAACATTTCCCTTGGCATAGTGAGTTTGGGGTCCTGAGTCTGTTTTTTGTTTTTGTTTTTTTTTTTTCATACAAGCTATTAAGTAAAAAAACAGGGGACAGGAAGCAAATGTCATGGGTTGGAGAAAGAGCATGTTCTAGATTGGGTGGTCAAGGAGAGTCTCACTGAGAAAGTGACGTTTAAACAAAGGCTGAAAGGAAGGAAAAGGCAGTGATGTACAGACAGGAAGCAGGCGTGTTGCAGGTGGAGGAACAGCATCCCAGCGGCTTTTTGGTGGGTACCATGTGGTGCATTTGAGGAAGGAAACAAAAACCGGTGCTGAGAACACATGTGCAAGACGGTGGACATGTCAGGAGGTGGTTGCTGTCAAAGTTACCACAAACTTAGCGACTTAGTGCAACACACATTGATGATCTTACTGTTTTAAGTATAAATCAGCTCTTCCTGGGCTAAAATCAAAGTGTCTTTGGGGCTGCATTCCTTTCTGGAAGCTTTAGGGAAAAATGTGCTTCCTTGACTTTTTGAGCTCCTGGAGGCCAGCTGCATTCGTTGGCTCCTGGCCCTTCCTGCATCCTCAGAGCCCACAAAGGAGGGGGTAGGGAGTGTCTTTCTCTTGTCACTTCACTCCAACACTCCTACCCTCTCTTCCACATTTAACGACCCCTGTGATCACATTGGGACCACTCCAGTAATCCAGGATGATTACATTGATGATCCCAATTAAAGTTGTCTGCAACTTTCATTCCTTTTTCCACGTAAAGTAACACATATTCACAGACTCTAGGGATGAGGATGTGGACATCCTGGTTGGGGTTGGGGGTTGCATTATTTTGCCTGCCACAATACTGAATGTCATTCTATCCATTCAAGGCAGATTTAACGTCTCTTCTTTTTTTACTTCTTTATCTAGGATATCAAGGTATTATCATTTTTTCTTTTAAATGTTGATGTTTACACATTTCCTAAATTGTAGAGAAAGGTGTTTTCTCAAATAAAGGCATCAATCGGTTTGCAAGGTAAGAAAAAGGGATGAATTCAGGATAAACTAAAAAATGTCAGGGGCATGCCCTATTTACAAAGTTTCTTTGGAATACTGTCTTTTGGTTATCATTAGCTGTCTGTTTGGAGATTTGACTCAGCTTCACTACATCAGGAATTCTTCTAAAGGCAAAATGAAAGTGGGAGGGCTAGGGCTATGTTCTTCTGTCTGTCTGTCTACCTGTCTGTCTGTCTGTCTGTTTTAAGCTGGACAAAACACATACACAAGCACTTGTATCTTCCCAACCTATTTCCTCTTTTTGAAGTAGCTTCAATCCCAGCCTGTTGATTACCAAGCAAAAAATAGTAGGTGTCTGGCAGGAAGAATTCTGTGCCCACCAGTGGTTTACACAACTGGCAACAGTTGGCAGTTGGAAAGCAGCCAAGAAAAAGTGACGTGAGTGCCACTAACCGACCCTGCTAGACAGTGGCACAGAGCAGCATTAGAGCCACCTCAAGACAACGCCCCTGTGTCCCAGCCCCAGCTAAAGCATGGCAGACAAGCAAGACAGCAATGGAACGAAACGTGCTTGAAGTGCTGGCCACAGGCCTGGTTTATGGAGCCACATGAGGACCCAGTGAAGCTCACCCAAGACAAATCGATGTCTGTCAATGCAGTGCCCACAGACAGCACCAGGACAGCATGCCCAGGCAGAAGCTCTGGCGGCAGTGCTGGCTTCATTTTTCTCAAATTTCTGGACAAAGACACCCTCCAATTTTGAGCTCCAACTCCTGGACTCAATTCCTGGCCTAAAAAGGCAGGAATCATAAGGAATTTCATCCATTTTCAAATATCTTGTTCATAATGTCCTAGGTACTAATTTATTAGGAGAGTTTGCTTTTCCTTTCTTATGCTTTTTGGTTACCTAGTCTGTTTAGCTTTGTCTCTCTTTCTTGCGGAGCTAGCTAGAGAGAGGTCTTAAAAGCAGTAAGTGGTAATGACTGTAATAGATTGAGCTGCAACTATCTGCCTGGCTTTCATATGCATTGCATTTTACTCTCCCAATAATAATCTGCTTAAGCCAGACCAGGACAGTGGTGATGAATTAGAAGGAGTGCTGTGAAATCTCAGGCTTCATACCCCATCTCACCATGCTGCATTTGTATTTATTACGCCTGTAAATGGCCGGAGTATTCTTGCATTTTAAACACAGCCTTACTCTTGAACTAAACCTCACCCCAAGCCATCTTTGCATTGAGATCGTCTCTACACATGCTATCCTCTCTACTGGAACAGAGTGCCAAAGAATTTTATTAAATGGACCAACTCTGGCAGAAACTACCAAACAGAAAATGGCAAAGGATACCCTTAGCTTAATAAAATGTATTTTAAAGCACGGTTACTATTTACTTGATAGATGATTTAAATAAAACTTTTGTTTATTAAGTGGATATATTTTTTGAAAATTTAACTGGATATTTCAAATATTTCAACTGTAATAAATAAATACAGAAAAATCTGTGACTAAAGTTGTTCCAAGCAAAATCCATGTTTTCGATTTCATAACTATCTTAAAAATGCCACATCAGGCCATGTACAGTGGCTCACACCTGTCATCCCAGCACACTGGCAGGCCGAGGTGGGCAGATCACGAGGTCAGGAGATCGAGACCATCCTGGCCAACATGGTGAAACCCCATCTCTAAAAATACAAAAATTAGCTGGGCATGGTGGCACATGCTTATAGTCCCAGCTACTTGGGAGGCTGAGGCAGGAGAATAGCTTGAACATGAGAGGGAGAGGTTGCGGTGAGCCAAGATCACGCCACTGCACTCCAGCCTGGCAACAGAGCAAGACTCTGTCAAAAAAAAAAAAAAAAAAAAGCCACATCATTAAGATGCCTGACCTGATTAGTGAATTACCAGATTGATTTTACAAAAAAAAAAAAAAGTTAAACCTAACTGTGGCTATTTTCTGTACACAGAATTGATGTTTATCTAAATATTTTTCTTGAAGCAGTCATGTGTTTAAACATGAATGAATTCATGAGTTTGGATTCCTCCACCACAAAGTCACAAAGTACTTACTGCCTAAACCATATCTGTGGGTATGAAAACCTTTTCTGTTGCTGTATTTGATCGATCCTCTGAAAGGTAGTGAGTAGAGGTGAGTATAGCCTTTATATCACAAATCAAAAATTTATTTTCAAGGAAGAAACATGACCAGATGTCTCAGGGAATTTAGGCAAAATTAATTAATAGACAGCAACAATTTTCAAATTCCTTTATAGCTATGCCCACCAGTGTTATGGACATAGCTATCAAGGAATCAGTGGCTGACCACTGCTGAGATTTTGTCCTGGTCTAGACACTGAGGCAATTCCTTATCATAAGTTAACTCATGAAATTCTCGCCACAACCCCAGGAGTGGGTTTTGTGGTCCTTGTTTTACCAATAGGGAAATCCCTGCTGGAAGACAGGAGGAAGATGGGTGTAGGGAGGAGTCACCTATCCATTGCAATCCAGTGTCAGAAGTGCCATCCAGGGACCACACCACTTCAGTAATCCTCCAAAAACCCTGGTGGACAGAAGAGCTGCCAGAAGACTAGAGATGGCAGATGGGTCCAGATAGGGAGAAATAACACAGTTCAGAAACTACAGGTCAGGAAGATGGGTGCTGACACTCAACAAAGTTTTTGGAGCGATTTTTAACAGAGTGTTACAAAGTTTAAAAGGTGTTTACTAGAAACCACAGTGATTTATTTAGTAAAATCATTTTTAAATAGTTTACTACATTGGAAAATATGGAGACTATCAAAGAAACTATGTAAATTGATTTCAGCAAGACATTTGGCCAAGTTCTTTATATTATTGGATCTTATGAGGAAATGTGGTTTGGAAAAATATGTGAGTAGATTTATACCTGGCTGAATAAATAAAGGTATGGAAAATTATTCTAATCAACCTGTCGAGGAAGCTCCAGAGAGAAGTTGCTAGTAGGATAAAGATACAGGAATCTTATTAAGTGTCTTTTAATATAAATCCTTGTTAAACTTGCAGCTGACACAGGCTAGGATAGATGGCAAATGCCTCAAATGACACAACCAGGATTCAAAACAATCTTTATAGACATAAATGACGGATTGAAACCAGTAACGTGACATTTAATAAGGATATGTGAAATCTTCTTATATATGATGGGAAGGACTTGAACAAACATTAATTTCAGTTGGAAAAAAATCTATTTTGTTTTAGTTTACCGTAAGCTCAAAATGAATAAACAATATGTCACAATAATGTTAGTATCCTCCAAAAAACAATATCAAAAAAAGGTAGCAAAACTTTACTATGACAAATGCTATTTCCATTGCATCTGGATTATTCCATTCTAATTTGAAATACCTATTTTAAGAGCAATATCAATCAACAAGTAGATTTTCTCAGGAGATTGTGCTGATGAAAGTTCTGGAAACCCTCCCACAAGAAGGATGGTGGAAATGGGGATGAAACATGTTAGTTGCCTTCAAATATTAGAAGAATTGCCTTCCTCACTCTTGTTGCTGAGCTCAATTTTATCGCCTTCATTTCTCAGCCTGATAACTTCCTCTAGGAAGCTTAACTTGGTCCCAGTCTCTTCCTACACAAATTGGAGATTAGGTTAGGGACCCCTCCTCGGTGCTCTCAAAGCACAATGTCCTTTCCCTCGGCAGGTGCTTTTGAGACTGCATTCTGATTGCCTGAGATGCCCTCACACACACTGGACCACATAAGCTCTGTGAAGACAGAGGCCCAGGTCTCCCTCTCTCATCCAGTGCAGTGAAATGCTTATACCAATGAATATTCTATTTTTCAAGAGAAGACAAATCTAAGACCAAGTAGGAAAGTAGCACGAAAGAAAAAAAAAAGCTCAAATTAAAGAATTTTCTCTGTTCTTTGCCTGCCCTCCTAGACTGAGACACCCTGCCTCCTCTGACCTTTTGGGCTCAGCTCTGTCAAGGCTCTGTACCTGCCTACATTACGAATGAAAATGGGTTTGGCTCTTGGGACCCCAGCTCCAGACAGACCTAGTGTGATACTGTTGCGTGCTGCACCCTGGACAATTTATAAATTAATGAGAGAATTTTTCTTTTTTTCTTGAGGCAATTCCTTAGAGGAATATGTGTTCTGTCTGAATGACTGGCACTTCACATTCTGAATCTAAATGCTTCTCTAGGTATTGAAATTTAAAAGGATTAGTGAACCCATTTACAAAATGCTGTATTTGGCATGTCAAAAATAAAAGAATATTATTTGTTAAGAACTAATAGTTTCTTTCAAAAACGCACACTTCCACTTTGTAAAAACCTTTAGGGCTAACAAAGAATACTAATGAAGTGTGTGGATCAGAGAATGATTTATTCAGAATTTTAGATTATCCTGTAAGGTTAGAATCCAACAGAAATTATTTACATATGTAATCTCTTAACCTATATTAACATAATAATGAGAATGCATTTTATCAGTAGTTTATGCTTCCCAAACACATCTGGGATGTACCTAAGTCTCTCATGTGAGGGTTCTCTTCCAAATTTAACTTGTAAAGAGATACATGTATATGTATGTGTGTATTTGTTTGTTTTTTAATTTATTTTTTGAGACAGAGTCTCACTCACTCTGTTCCCCAGGCTGAAGTGCAGTGGTGTGATCTAGGCTCACTGCAACCTCCACCTCCTGGGTTCAAGCGATTCTTCTGCCTCATCCTCCCAAGTAGTTGGGATTATAGGCACCTACCGCTGCACTGAGCTAATTTTTCATATTTTTAGTAGAGACAGGGTTTTGCCATGTTGACCAGCTGGTCTTGAACTCCTGACCTCAAGTGATCCACTCGCCTCAGCCTCCCAAAGTGCTGGTATTACAGGCGTAAACCACTGTGCCCTCTCCCTGCTCCCATGTATTTATGTATATTAACATCAGTCAAAATTCCCCATCTCAAAAAAAAAACTTCTTAGTAAAAATATGCTTCGTCCATTTCCTTTCCATTTGCTTGAAATGTAAAGAATTCATTTTGTACTGGACCCCCAAAGGCAACTGGGAGAAGCGCATTTGAGAGATTCCATTTGGGGTGATCCTGCAGGTCACACAAGCATCGGTGCTGTCATTTCTGACTCAAATGTCCTCTTCATGGCAGCCAGCCAACTTCCCTACAAAGGTCACTCTTGGGCAGGGATTGGGAAGCATTAAAGAGCTTTAAAAAAGAGAAGATAATTAAAAAATATCCAGTTCATTTTATAAAAGCCTACTAAAGTCTAATAATAAAATGTCTAGATTATAAATTGTGGGATTATCTTTTGCAGCAAACTGTATTCCAAACAATATAAGGAAAATAAACTGCTTTATCTGCATTTAATCTCTACACAATATAAACTTTTCAATTATCCTGAAAGTACACAGGGATTAATTTTTTTATCTGAAAAAAATGCATTCTCTGACTGAACTATGCTCATAAAATGCTGTGCTATGTTTCGTCTTTAAAAATTAGGTCAAAATTTATTTGCTAAGAATGTTAACCCATTAATGACGGAGACCCTACAGTATCCCAATATCCTATCACTGTCACAGAAAATGTGACATTTTAATTAACTGTAATGTTCTGAGAGTCAGGGTTCACTTGATGGTCATCTGCGTTTAATTTGAGTTCAAATTGTGTGAACCTCCCTGTAGTGCTCCTGTTGGTATTATTAAAGGTGATCACATATTAAGGGAGTTTGGGGAGTTATTTGTAATGTCTCTTCTCAGTGTGAGAGCTTTTATTTCTCATACATTCAAAAGGCACTCAAAAGGTTGGAAAAGAAAGGCCCTACCAAAACGTTCAACTCATGCTGCTTGTCCAGGTCATTTACAGGCAGAATATGTAGACTTCTGCTGAAACTGTGCAACAGCCATGAAACACAAGAGTTGGACAGGAAAACACTTGCAAGGCTGCGTTTCAAAGGACTACCATATAGGCCTTCTTAATTCTGCAGCTCCTGCAGGAATCCCCCAGCACACAGGATGATACCATGGGAAACATTTTTTCTAAGTGAATGGGTATTCTTTAGAATACTCATTGTGGAAGCTATACCGTTACCCAAATGAGGCTGCTATTGTTCCACATATATTTAAAAATTAGCTCAGAAGAATATCGTTATGGAACAGCACACAAACCACATAATAAAAACATCAGGTTCATGACTTTTATTTGCTCAGTTTTACAAATCCAAAACAATTCTGTTTGGCTTGATTGTTCTCATTATTCAGTACAGTTGGTTTTATTGTGATCCCTCTTGTGTCTTTCCAGACCTCAAATTCCCTCTCCGATGGTGAATTTTTACTGTCTCTAAAAATATTCAAAAAAGAGTGTCAACAATCTGAGGGTCATCCCAGAAACTCCATGTCATGTTCTGAACCGAAACCTCTCCAGAGAAGCATGCCGCCACCCAAGGTGATTGTTTATAAAGGGACATTGCTTAGTTTGATGTGCAATTATAAGAGATAATTAAGAAACTAATTTGCCCAAATCTATAAAGGTAAATAAGTTGCAATATTGAGTGAGATTGGATGGAACTTCTATAATTTCTAATGTTACCTAATATAGTTTATACCGTATCCCTAATGAGTTTGTTTTCCAATAGTACGGTGAGTAGATGATCCCAGCCACATAATGATACTTAATTATTTTGGAGACCAATGCCTAAGATATTTGACATTATTGGAAAGAAAGT
Source organism: Homo sapiens (assembly GCF_000001405.40). Taxonomy (NCBI): domain Eukaryota; kingdom Metazoa; phylum Chordata; class Mammalia; order Primates; family Hominidae; genus Homo; species Homo sapiens. The sequence goes on from NC_000018.10 coordinate 73,774,515, forward strand.
GCAGTTTCAGAATTTTCTCTGGCTTAGTGCACCAGTATTTCAGTTCTAACAAAAGTGGTGAGATAAAGCAAACCAACAAGGAACGGGTAGATTCCACAAGGGTAGAACAGAACTTCATCAAAACCTTCTTTTCTCATAGATTAATAAATCAGACTGTACAGAGTTGTCAAAATATCCTCTTTCACTGTTTCAAGCTGCCCTATCTGGGAAATTATTCATTATTATTATGATGGGTTCTTAAATTATCCACATCTTTATTTCTGATTAGAAGTGAAGAAAAACTAAACTGCAAATGAAAGCAGAATTAGGTTTCAAAAAAAGAAGTTGGAAGATGCAAGGAAAGAGAAGCCGTTTTTTCCATGTTGGAAAGAGGAGTAGAGCAACTGCTGTAAGTGGCATGATTGAGAGGCGCGTGTGTGAGAATACACGCCTCCCCCCGGGGCCGCCGCTGTCTGGTTCCACATCCCGTGCCGTTGGATTTAGAGCCTTCAGGTCGCCCTGCTTGCTCCTGGCAAACACCCGACCCTGCAGTGCCATCTAGGTAGGAAATGTTCCCACACAGCAACTCATTCTGCTTCCAGTCTCAGCTGCCGCTCTGCTGGCTCCTACCACAGTCTTGGCAGTCATGTCCTAAAACTATTTTTATATACCGTATCACTTTTCGCGAATTTGTTTTTGAGGAAAAGTGCATACCTGGTGCTGAAGTTTGATCTGGCCAATAAATCATACCATATCTATGTGGGAATTTGGCTAGTAAACCCGGGAAGTGTACTAGCAATCCAGGAAAGAGCCTGAATAGGCTAGGGAGGTTCGTTGTGGGAGAAGGAATAAAGAAGAGATCAGGAGAAGGCACAAGGGTCCCCTCCCTGGGTCCTGGTGTGGATTGTGCAAATGTGTCCACCTGCTGAAAATGCATCACACTTCACACAATTCACTTACCCTTTTTTTGTATATAGGGTATATTTCTCCTTAAATATGTTCTATGGTATCAGCATTTTCAAATATTTAGTAATAACAAAAGATAGGAACTCTCCTCCAAGAGAAAACTAAAGAGTTCCATTATAAAATATTAAAGAAGACTTATGGAAATACAATTATATCATGCTCTTGGCTGGGAATACTCAATATTGTAAAGATATCAAGTCACCCCAAATTCATTTGTACATTCAATACAGTTCCAGTCAATATTCCAAGCCATCGTGTGCACGTCTGTGTGTGTGTGTGTGTTTATGACTTGATCAGGCAATATTTTATTCATTGGGAAAAAAAGGTAATAAAAATCCAAGACTGTTTTGAAGAAACAGAAAAACAAGAAGGTGGCCTTGCTGTCCCATATCGAGATTGGTCAACAGCATGTGATACTGCTGCAGAATGGAAGAGAAGCAGGGCTCTGCCTCAGTCCCAACCCTACATGGTCATTTGATAGAGGTTTGAGAGGTTTCACTTCAGAACAGTTTGGTAAATGATAGATTTTCAATAAGTCCATCATTAAATTAATGTATGATGCTGCTGTGGTTTGAATGTGTAACCCTTTCTGTAGAGATTTAATAACCAAAGTAACAATATTAAGAGGTGGGACCCAAGGAGGTGATCAGGGCACGAAGGTTCTGCCCCAGCACATAGATTAATGCTGTTATTGTGGGAGTAGGTTCATTATCAATGAGACGTGTTCCTTATAAAAGGAGGAGTCCAGACCCCTCCTGCCGCCCTCTCACCCTCTCTTTGCCCTTCTGCCATGGGATGATGCAGCAAGAAGGCCCTTGCCAAATACCAGCTCCTTGATCTTGAACTTTCCAGCCTCCAGACCTGTGAGCCAATAAACGTCTGTTCTTTATAAATTACCCAGCCCACGTATTCTGTTAAAGCAACACACCATGTACGAAAAGACATACTGTAATGTTTAAAAATGCATATAAAAAATAATTTTTTTTACAATTTACCCAGAAATTAACTCCAGATTGAGTATTGATCTTATATGAAAAGCAAAACATTAAAGCTTTTAGAAGATAGTATGTGAGGATTTCCTCACTATAACTTCTACCCAGGAAAAGATTTCTTAAACAAGATCTAAAAAGAAGCCACTAAATATAAAAGAAAAACATGATATGTTTTACTACATAAAAATCAAGAAATCCTGTTCCTCGAAAAAATCTCAAATGAGTGAAAAGATGAGAGGCTTACAGGTGGAGAAACTGAGTTCCAAGAAGTTAAATAAGTTGCTTAAAATCACACAGCAGTAAAAGATGAGACAAAGAGGCAAACCCAGCTCTCCAGCATTTCTGCTTTTCGCCCACACCTCAGAACTGTCACGAAGTTCCCTTTAAAAGAGCTGGGTTGTAACATTGGGTCCATCACATTTCACTATGTTTATTTAAAATCTACTGAGTGCTAGCAGCCTTAGAAATGGCGTTCTAATAAACTCAGCATCATGTTCAGACAGCTGATTCCTCAATTCCTTAGAAATTGATCCAACACGGCCGGGCGCGGTGGCTCACGCCTGTAATCCCAGCACTTTGGGAGGCCGAGGCGGGTGGATCATGAGGTCAGGAGATCGAGACCATCCTGGCTAACAAGGTGAAACCCCGTCTCTACTAAAAATACAAAAAATTAGCCGGGCGCGGTGGCGGGCGCCTGTAGTCCCAGCTACTCGGGAGGCTGAGGCAGGAGAATGGCGTGAACCCGGGAAGCGGAGCTTGCAGTGAGCCGAGCTCGCACCACTGCAGTCCGCAGTCCGACCTGGGCGACAGAGCGAGACTCCGTCTCAAAAAAAAAAAAAAAAAAAAAAAAAAAAAAAGAAATTGATCCAACACTATTTTCTTAAAACTCTCAAGATAGGCTTGTGCCACTGGTCCACAATGGCATACATAACATGTTTCTAAACTCTCATAAAAATTATTTTCTTCATTTTCAGTCAGGAGGCACTAAGATTGAAATTCATTTAAATTTGATAAAGGAAGCCAATTTTTATCACCCTAGACTGTATCTTACAACATTCAGTACAGGGAGCACTATTTCCTGCATTAACCTTCAGTCAATGCAATCTTCACATCCTGAGAAAGCCCATATCCACCACAAGAAATTATATTCGTTACAAATGCACTGACATGCTAAGGCAGATCTTTAAAACCAGCAACTCTGCAAACATACTGCAAGGGGAAAGAGGAAGAAAATGGGAAGAAAAAGAAGGTTGTGAGTTAATTCTTAATGGAGCAAGACTCTTATTCTTTGGGCATATTTTTTAAATTGTATAACAATACCAAACATGTTCAAGCAGAGACAATCAGTTTTATTCACAAAGATAACCCATAAATCAGTTACAGTGTGTTTGGAGGAGTCAGTGAGGGAGTGCTTCAGGAATCAGCCTTTATTGTCTGTGCCTGACTCTGCCTGAAGTTAGTAATAATATGGAAAGGCCTTTTGTGCATGTGAAAGAAAATGAACATCTTGATTACTAACCAATGCATGTCTACCTTGGAGATGCCTAGGATTAGATTTAACACAAAGATAATATCAGAATACAATGGAATTCATGTAGAGGGGCAAAAAGATAGTTAAGTAGGAAAGAATTTAAGAAAAAAAATGCAACAGAAATGATGACATCAGACTTTTGGATACATTTTTACAGTCTGAATTTCGAAAGGAGTGTTTCCTCTGCAGCTTTATGAAAAACATATTGTGCAAATGTTGATATAACAAGGGACAATTTTATTAACGGTGACACCAGAAGTAATTCTGGAACTTCTGTTTCCTGACAAGATGAGTACATACTTACCCCACTCCCTTTTCCAGGAAAGTAGGTAGATATCATACCACTTTCTCCATGTGTATTCAATTTGGGTGTTTCCAGCAGCAGAGTTGAGTTGTTGAGTTACATGTATATATTTCTGATTTCGAGCTGGACACTTAGGTTTATGAAAACCTGTCTACCCCAGGGCTTAGTGTTTAGATACAATGAGACATGATTGTCAGATATGAGAAGCTGGGGACAACGGAAGCCAGATTGCAGAGCTACAACAGGGTCCCTCAATATAAAATTTTGTGACAAGTCAAGAAACCTTTGGCATATAAGATCGGGAGTTATTCCTGGGTACAGCGATACCAGGCTTTTCCCAACCCATTCATTTGGCAGAATATTTCTAGACATGGGGTAATGAGGTGACTGTGTCACTGCGGGACACACCATGATTAAATGTAATACAGAAGGAAGGATTCTTCTCCCATCATGGAAGTGTTGTGGCTTGGGAGGATCATTGAATACGTTACACAGGAAAAAGGGCAGCAGTAGCATCCAGGGTGGGAGAAAGAGTTGGCTGGATCAAAGCGGTGATCGTGCACTAGACCAGTTGGTTGACCTGAGCACCAACTACTGCCCAGTGTTCCTGCAAAGTTCAAACTCCCATGGCAACGCTGGTGGCAGAAGCACCTGCAGCAACCCAGACCATCAAGTCTGGGTCACTTATTTGAAATGTGACTTTGTGTGATGTTTAAAACTTGGGCTTAGCTAGCCATACCTAGTGGTACATGAAAGAGCTACATTATGAGATGCTCAATACTTTAGAGCTCAAACCAGAACCTTCTGTACCACAAATGATCATAATGCCAAAGGGCATTTCTACTTTCCAAGAGAGATTAACCAATAAGTGACAAGGGGGTAATTTCTCAAAGAAAATGAGCTTAAAGCTTGGGACAGAGTGCTTCTAAATACAGATATGAGTCTCAAAGGATGCTCATGGCACATAAAACACAGGACTTTTCACAGTCGGGGATGGGGGAGGTCGGGTCTCAGGAAATCAAATTTTGAATACCTGTGTTCACCAACTGGTGAAGCCGAGAACTTCAGGGTCAGCAGGTTGGGGAAAGCATGCTATTTATGTGTGGTGAGCCCATTTTCACTAGGGAACCCTCCCATCCCTAGGGCAGAACAGAGACACCAGGACACCTTGCCATTCTTCTCACAGAAAATGGCCACAGATACGTGTGTTCCAGAGGCTGCCCCAAGCACCTGGCTTTCTGTCTCTGACCATCCACTGGCATCTGCAGACTTCTGCATGTTACTGCTTTTCCTCCCTCCAAAACAAGAAATTTGTGGACAGATTGTTATTGCCCTCCAATAGTAGATGTATAGACACACAACTCTTCTTATTTCACATACAAGAAGTGCTTTTTAGAACCAACACTATTCAAAAATAAAAAGTGCTTTTTGAATATTAGAGAGAAAGAGACAGAGAGAGACAGAGAGAATATGAACTCTTCTGTTCTCAGTAAATCTCAAAATAGAAAAGCAACCTTACCCAAGTTTACCATCTGCTGGCTGGTGACCCACACATAAACAGATGGCATTATTGTTCTTGCGTCTGGAATCCAGTAGATATTCACATCACAAGAGCTATGGGCACTCCAGGTAGAGGAGATAAATACAGGCTGTCTACTGGTCCCCTCCTGTTCAGAATCTTTGCCTTCCAGTGAACATAGAACATTTGATGGAGAAAGTAAAACTTACCCATATATATTCTGCACATGTTTTATGGGCGAAATTATAGACTCTAATTTGAAGTAATAAAAATCCAACCTTTTCTGAAAGGTCTAAATTCAACAAGGCTGATGAGAGAAGTATAGTCTTGCAGAGGAAAAAAATCAATCTGACGAGCAATAAAAGCTTTGCCACAGAATATCTATCTAGATTATTATTTAATTAAAAATAGAATTTGCTTTAAACTACAGACTCTTTTGTTCATTCCAGTGATCATTTGAAGTCTGAATGCAGGAATCTTCTTATTCTCCCAAGTTCTTTACACTCCCCTCCCCCTTTTCGGCATTTCATTAAAATCCCTGAGGCATTTGACGCTCCCTCTGCACCTGCCTGACAAACCAACCCTACCCAGGACAAAGGGTCTTCAGGAACACCTCCTGGAGTTGCAGACCTTCTTTTTCCATTACAACAAAACTTCTCTCTCCTCTAGGCCCACATGGTGGTTAAGCCCAAACTGATACGCGGTTTACAATAGAGCATTCCTGATGTGTAATGGCGACGTGGGTTAATTGCTTAGAGAGTATTTGTTTGTATTTTTCTTGAACATTATTGTTCAATGTGCGCCAATGACTCTGAAGTCACTCAGTCTGCCCTCAGATTCCACACAGGTATAGGACCTCAGCATTTGATCAGGCAGTCGTTTCTTCATGTTAGGCTGCCAGGTGTTAGAAATATTGGGTTGATAACTTATTTTTTATTAATATTTGTTTTATTTATGGTATTACTTACAAGTAATTGTAAACATTAAATAGTTAAAGAGCCCTAAGAAGATTATAACAACAACAAGAAAGCAGCATTCTTTGTCTCCTGAGTGTCCACTTTATTCTTTTCTCCCGGAGGAAACCACATTCAGCATTTTCTGCTGTTACCTCCTCTGATATTTCCAAATGACATATATATATACAAAAATTATTTTTTTCCATAATTGTATACAGTATCAACACAACATTTCATAAATTGTGGATTTTAGTGTATTTGGATGCTCTTTTTTCTCTTTAAACTTTCAATATAATTTTATTTTTAATTAACCCAAAATTAATACTTATATTGTTATATACACATAATGATGTATTGCCAGTCAAAATGTTTATATTTTCATTTTTATGCCACTTTTGTTTTGCCTACATTTTGCCTACATTGCCTACATTTAATATGGGTATCATTTTATCTTTTTTAATTTTTTTGAATATTTACTGTCGACATCCTGTGACACTATTCTTTCACATGATCAAATGTATCAGAATATTCATCAATTCCATTTTCTTTCCATTTCTCCCATTGACTTCAATCTGGACTGGCTGCTTTCTGGGCAGCTGCACGGCTGTTGACCTGAAATTTGCTTTGCTCTCATTAACAATTCCATTTCCATCTCTTCTATGTTGTATTCTCTGTTCCCTAGAGCCCACATCTATCTCTTTCTTAGATTTTCCACCCTTTGTTTGGTTGAAATACATCTTCCAGCAGCTTCCTGAGAAAAGATGCACAAAAAGTAAATTCTTGACATTTTTTACACCTCAACGTTTTTTTATTCCATCCTCAGTCCTGAAAGGCAATTTATTTAAGTCTGGAAGTTTAGGTTGAAGATAAGAATTTTGAAACTGTTCTTACTTTATCTCCTAGATTCCAGTGTTACTTTTAAGAAATCAGATGTCTTTCATTTCCAGGGTTTTTGACCTGTCTCTCTCCTCTGGAAGTTTTTCAGACCTTTTTCTAATCATTGTTCTGAAATATATAGTAATATGACCTGGGATGGCTCTTTTACTCATTGTGCTGGACATTTATTGAGTTATTTCATTATGGAAATAAGCTATCTTTGATTCTAGGAAATATTCTATTACTTGTTTGATAATTTTTTGTATAATTTTCTGTTTACTCTTTCTGGAGCTCCTCTTAGATATTTGGACCACCTGTATTGAACCTCCATTTCTCTTACCTTTTCTCTCCAATGTCTCTTTCTATTTCTTTTTACTCTAAAACCTGAACACTTTTATTGAATATTACATTTAGGCTTTTCCAAATTTTTAAGAGTTCTCCTTTGTTGTTTGAATGTTCAAAAAACATCTTCTTTCTTCATGAATGGATTATCTTTTTCATCTTTCCAAGGGCATTAATTATGATCTTTCTGAAAATTGTTTGTCTCACAATGTTCTGAGTTTCTTTTTCCGTTGATTTGGTTTTTGATTTAGACATTTTCTTCCATCACCCCTTGCATATCTGACGATCCTTGTTTTTCTTTTTATACTTAAAGATGGAGCACCAACATGCTGACTGGAAGTTGCTGGGGCAGGCAGAGTTGTAGGTCAGTGGACAACTGTGTGGCACACAGGAGTGACTTTTATTAGGGACAAGTCATCAATATCTAAGACTTTTCTCTGGAATGTTTCATCCTCTCCAGAGGAGGATGTCCCTACCTCTTACCTAGAGAAGCATCATCCGACTATTTTCTGGCACTGGGTGGAGAAAGAAAATGCAGACTGTACTTAATGCCCCCATTGTCCTTCGGTTCTTCTCACCAACCCACAGCTATTCCTGAGATGACTGTGGGATCACCACACCCTCCATGACCCTGCTTGCCACGTGCCTCTTTCCAAGGCTGGGATGGCAACCAGCTTGTTACTGTAACACCCACCCACACGGCCACCTGACATGTACAGTTCGTTTTAAGTTTCATCAATGGTAGATCTTGTGTTTTCTGTTTCTGTTTCTTTCTTTTTTTTTTCTTTGACAGTCTCGCTCTTGTCACCCAGGTTGGAGTGCAGTGGCATGATCTTGGCTCACTGCAAGCTCTGCCTCCCAAGTTCAAGCTATTCTTGTGCTTCAGCCTCCTAAGTACAGGCATGCATCATCACACCTGGTTATTTTTTATTTATGTATTTTTATTTTTTGTAGAAATAGGGTTTCGCTATGTTGGCCAGGATGGTCTCAAACTCATGGCCTCAAGTGATCTGCTCTCCTCCTCAGCCTTCCAGAGTGCTGGGATTACAGGCGTGAGCCACTGCACCCAGCCCTGTTTTGTTTCTTCTTGTATTTTGGAATGATTTTTGAGAAAAGAAAAGAAAGATAAAAAATATCTTTACTGTACCACATTGAAACCTTAAGGCAACGTAATTTTTATTTACGTTTGTCTTTTTAAGTCAGTATAAAATTTGTTATTAATCATAACCTACTACCTTTTTCTTCTCCTAAAGAAGCAAATACATGGCCTTCTTGGTGTAAATATTGATTACATCTAAGTATTCAAAGGTTCAGGGCTATACATCATTTTATTAATTGGAGCTAAAGGAAAAATTCCTTAAGTAACACCTGTTCCCAGGCCAGCTTGTTACCATCAAATTAAAAAATATAATATTTATCTAGTGGATGTTTCCATAAAGAACATTCAGAAAATTTCTGACTGACCTTTAAACCTGTGTGAAAAATTTGGGTCTAGTTTTACTGGAATGTCTGTTTTAAAATGGCTCATTTATTTAACAATAATTCCATTTTCCACTCCCATCACCGAGCAGCCCTGGCTCTTTATATCTGTGATGTGTGAAAGTGTGACTTCTGCTGAGTGAAGGCTGGAGCTCCCATCACAGGCGCGGAGTAACATTGTAACCAAATGAGTGACAATATCTAAAGTTCACAGTTTAGAGCTGTGTTCCTCTGTGAGAATTTCAGACTCCTGACAAATAGTTTTTAATCATGAATTTTATTTGAAAGTCTAGGATATAATCAGATTTGTACTTTAGATCATAATATACATTTTTTAGAAGAGATTATTTTTAAATCCTAAATCTCCCATGCACCTCTAATTCATGTAACAGCAATGCCACACTATGGCCAGGAAAAAACACTCAAAAAAAGTGATGTTGAGGAGAAATGGAGAGATGGAGTCACTGCAGCGAGTTCAATACAGCTTCTCAAGCTTTACTGCAGGAATCATAACAAAGTAATTTATATTTCAGCTTTTCACACACACAAAAAAAAAAATAAAATAAAAGTTTTCTAAGCTCTCTCCTTTCAGCCAGAAATCTATGCGACTCCAAACATGGAAAATATTTTAACTGAGAAAAATTTGCTATTCTTTACTTGTTTTAAGATAAATTAAAATACTTTGGTAGCCATGCAATTATTCTTGAGATTTCCCTCAGTAATTAAGCAAAATATAGGCTTTAAATGAAATGATGTAAAGGTAATAAACAGTGTATTATAAATGTGAACTCATTACATTTTCAGTGTGTCTATCCATTTAAGATGTGAAAAATATATGTTATGAGATAAATGAATAATAGCTATGTCAAGGAGTCATAACATAATCAAATATATTTCAAAATGAGAAATTCAAATGTGTATTATAATCTGTATCCTAAAAACATCTACTAAGGCTATTCCTTTAATATATAGTTTCTATTTTGTTCCCCTTCTACTTTTATTCTACTTTTTTATTGTCTTCTAGGCAAGGGCAAGTGCTGGCAGGATCAGCTCAACTGCGGGCAGAGCAAGAGGAGCCTAAACTCACAACCTCCTCCCAAGGACTTAACACTATTTGTCAGTTCTCAGGACTATGAGCCTTCCAAAAGAAAACATTAGGCCATTGTCACTTTCAAACACAATATCCCCATATTTTGGAGGAAATGGGGCAAGCAGGTAAATATGGAGCCTTTGGGGAAAAAAAAGGAAAGAGAAGAGAATGTATTAACTATGGGGTATTAAAATATAGAAATCCACATTTTTACCCTGCTTCCTAAGAGATTCCGGTACAGATGGCATGAAAACCATGTATTAGTTCATTCTCACACTGCTATAAAGAAATACTTGAGACTGGGTGATTTATAAAGAAAAGAGGTTTAATTGGCTCATGGTTCTGCCAGATGGACAGGAAGCATGGCTGGGGAGGCCTCAGGAAACTGACAATCATGGCTGAAGGGGAAGGGGAAGCAGGCACATCTTACACGGCCATAGCAGGAGGAAGAGCGGCGGGGACGGGGGGAGGTGCTACATGCTTTTAAACACTCGTATCTCAAGGGAACATTTACCGCAAGAACAGCAAGCACCAGGGATGGTTGCTAAACCATCTGAAACTGCCGCCTGATCCAACCACCTCCCAGCAGGCCCCACTCCCAGCACCGGGAATCACAATTTGACATGAGATTTGAGTGGAAACACAGATCCAAACCATATCTTACCAATTTTGAAAAATACTGGAAGATGGGAAATATGGAATTAAAGAAACATAAGATGAAAGAAAAGAGTTTGAAGTGATGAAAGATGGAATGAGGCAGCTGGACACATGGGTTAAGAGGAGGAAAAGTAGGAAAGGAGGAGGGGAAAAATAGACATTTGATGTGGTAGAAAAAAAAACAGATGGAAATGGAGATGTCATAATAAAAATAAAATTCAATGTTTCACAATGCTTTTTGGCCCAGCATACCTGCTCTTTATTTATTATGCAACATTTTGACCTAAGCATTGTATTACCGACCTAGAAGATATTAAACTGTATCTACTGACTAACCACACAAATGCTTGACCCATAACCCATTCTCTAAGCAGTTTTCTCTTGTGTAATAATCTTCTCTACTGAAATATAAACAATTTTTTAATTCTAATGGAATTAATGGCAAGTGAACAAAAGAAACATCAAATTATAAAAACTTTAGCATTGCTAAGTGCAATTGTTAAAATGACTTTATCTTGATATTGATAGCTGTTATTTTTTATATTTAGTTTTAATATGTAAATCTCTAGTGATTTCTACAACCATAGAATATGAGGGTTAATGCTGAAGAATGCCAGCCCCACTGCCCAGCCTGCAATAGCACTCAACAGCACAAGCATCTGAGCCCAAGCTGAGCACAGCACATCCACACATCTCAGATGCCTCCCCTGAACCCCTAGGTGCTCTCCCTGCACCCAAAAGACTAGCCCAGATACTGCCTGTCAACCACAGAGAGACACACAGATTTTGATTCCCCAGCAGGAAACATTATGATGGCAATTAGATGTGTCAACTTGGCTAGGCCATGGTACCCAGATATTTGGCCAATCACCAGTCTGGATACTGTTGTGAATGTATTTTTTAAAATAAAATGAACTTTTAGTTCAGTAGAATTTGATGAAGGTAATTTCAAGTTACCTTCATCCAATCAATTGAAAGTCTTAAGATAGAAAGATGGAGGTCCCCTGAGGAAGAAGGAATTCTGCCAGCAGACAGTCTTCAGGCTGGAGCTGCAACACCAGCTCTCCCTGGGTCTCCTGACTTCTAGTCGGCTGGATTTTGGATTTGCCAACCCCCATAATCGTGTAAGTCAATTTCTTAAAATAAATCTCTGTGTGTCTATTTGTATAAACATGCCCATCCTGTTGGTTCTGTTTCTCTGAAGAATTCTGACTCCTACAGAGATGCTGGTTTTCAGCTCTATACACCTGCCTGCTCCATTCCTGAGCATCTTCCATTAGGGCCAACCAGCTGCACTGGGTTCACTTCCCTGCATGGCTGTAAAATTTGCTCTTGATGCTCAAACATTGGTTCTAAAGTCTTATTTTAAATGAGAGCTTAGAAACTTTTCAATCCAATCCTGTCATTTTTATTTGAATGAATGCTCACTCAGAGATGAATGCACCTGCCAGGGTCTTGCTAGAAGAACCTGGCGGAGGAGCAGTGAGAATCCCCTCCCTAGCTCTGAGGTCTTTCTGTTCCTTTGTGTTGTCCAGTTCTTCTTTTCTCACGTCTGCCTTGCTTCCACATGACATGTTAAGCTTTCATGCTCTTTCAAACTCTAGTTAACCATACAAAGGCACCAGGTTAATCAGATGAATGTTTTAGATATTGGGTTACTAATCCTAATAGCTTGCTGGTAATATTTAGGGACATAGGGGAAAATCAGGGGCTCTCTCCACTGCAAACATGAAAAATCTTATTATAAAGAAACATGGGGCCAGGCATGGAGGTTCACACCTGTAATCCCAGCATTTTGGTAGACCGACGTGGGTGGATCACTTAAGTACAGGAGTTCGAGACAAGTCTTGTCAACATGGTGAAACCACACCTCCACTAAAAATACAAAAACTAGCCAGATGTGGTAGCACATGTCTGTAGTCCCAGCTCCTTGGGAGGCTGAGACAAGGGTATCACTTGAACTGAGGAAGCAAAGGTTGCAGTGAGCTGAGATCACACTGCTGCACTCCAGCCTGGGTGACAGAGCAAGACTCCATCTCAAAAAAAAAAAAAAAAAAAAAGGAATCATAGTTACTGTCTGGTTTAGATTGGTCTCCCCAAAATCAGAACTTGACTTTTGATTTATGTAAAAGTAATTTATTCGAATGTGTCCCCAGGAAGAATCATTGAGAGTCGGGGAGGAAAAACTAGACCAGGAAGAAAGGTAGGCCTAGCAGTGCTGTGATGGCAAGAAATTCCCTTGGAGGGTGACCTTAGCTTAGTAGCAAAGAAGCCCTAAAGACAGAGCCCCCTCATACCTGTGACTCATCTCTCTCAGGGCAGGGAATCTGGCATAGAGATACCTCCATGCACATCAGTCCTTAGTTGAGGAGGGTGTAATTAAATTCTCAGTATCTGCCAGAACTCTATTCATGTGGTAGTATCCTTCAAAGAGCTGCAAGAGACAGCTGCTGAGAATTAAAGGACAGAAGAAGCGACGTGCACAAAAGTGAAAAAGGCATCCTGACGTGAGGGTATGAAGGTGAGCCCCTGCAGATTCAGCTTCACTCTCTGATGACTAGATCAGAGCAGACTTAGACAGTGCCTGGAAAAGGACACAGAGTCCCCTGGCCAAGTCCAGACTACCCTGATTGGGGAAAAAACACATATGCCACAAGAGTTTGCCCATCTGAGATGAATTATCAATCTGGAGTGATAGCAAAAAGGAGAGTCGGAATGACAAGACTGTCAGGGTTCCTCCGTGCCGGTCCTGAATTACTAACTCACCTGAGAAGTTTACCATCTTGGGGCAGAGATGGAGACATCAGCTTGACAACTCATGCCTCTGCAACAATTCAGTCAAATCTTACCCTCACTCTGTTCTCACCAAGCAGCCTCTGAATTCCAATGTGGCCTCTTAAGGGGTTCTGCCTAAAGTGACAGAATATATAAACCAACCAAAAAAGACTTTCAGTCATCTTCACAGGAATATTTACCTTCAAAAGAAAGGAAATTTGCATTCTCATTTTAACCATTAATCTATATAAGTGTGGTCAATGCATGTCTGCCCCTGAAGACTTGGCCCTTTCCCTAGGCTGGAGGGCTTTGAACTTGACACCCCACATTGACTTTAGGTTGTCAGCAATGTCCCATCATTGGGGCAAGTTCAGCCAACTCTTGTTTCTGCAGGAACTCATCAAATAGTCCCAATATTCTTGTTGGAGTTTGAACTGTGATGACCTTTTCTCAAGTTAGGAAACAATTAAGGAATTGATGCAGGAATTGGGGAACAAAAGGTCTATTTTTGGCAATGCTGGATTGGAGAATAAAGCTCAGCTTAGGTGCCAAAACGGATGTTGGCCACTACGCTGGAGGTGAACTCACCATCTCAGGTATAGAAGGCACATGGGGAGTGCCTGTGGGTGTAGGGTCAGCCCTGTGGGGCATATGGAAAAGAAATGAGAACAACTTCATTGTGCAGTTGGGCTCCCAAGGAAAGAGAGGGGCACTGTTCTGTGGTGGGCAGGTCTACAAAAACCTACTCCCGAAGTCCAAGGAAGCTGAGAGGCCAAAGAAAGAGGCTAAAAAATTCAATTTCTCAGAAAGAAACATTTAATAGGAACTTATAAACAGCAGCCACTTCCATGTCTCAGACGGCAGCGAAACAAGATGTTGGATCCCTGCACTACTATCCCCCCTGGCCCAGGGCGTATACAGCACAGGAAGGTATAGTGACTCGGAAGAGATCTGAGAGACAATTGCTCCAAGACAGGACTTATGGTAGCATCAAGGTTGTTTTAACCTATGGTCAGGATTTACAGTAACTACCTTTTCTTACACATGGAACAATAAGCTGGAAACCTTAAAGGAATTCCTGGAACTGGGGCTAATCAGAAGACAATACGGTAGATTAGCAACCAAGATGGAGCTGCTTTCGCCTCCACAGGCACAGTGAACCAACAATTAAATCAGTCACTCATTGTCTGATGAGGAAAAAACAGGGAGGGGATGGAGAAAAGAAGCATTGGAGGTCTCCCCAATGCTTCCCAAAGAAGCACAAAAACTCATTTTATGGTTCAAGGCAAAATAGGAAAGAGAGAGAGAAAAACATATAGTACCCTCTGTAATGCCAGCACTTTGGGAGGCTGAGGCAGGCAGATCACCTGAGGTCAGGAGTTTGAGACCAGCTGCCCAACATGGTGAAACCCGGTCTTTACTAAACATACAAAATATTAGCCTGGCATGATGGCGTGCACCTGTAATCTCAGCTACTCGGGAGGCTAAGGTGGGAGAATCACTTGAACCTGGGAGGTGGAGCTTGCAGTGAGCCGAGGTTGTGCCACTGCACTCCAGCCTGGGCAACAAGAGTGAAACTCCGTCTCAAAAAAACAATAAAATAAAATAAAAAATTATATATATATATATATATATATATATATATATATATATATATATATATATATATATATATATGTATATAAAATACCCATGACATAGTAGTTGTCAGTCTGGCAAACTTTCTGTATGTACTAATTTACAAGGAAAACACCCAATACTATTTTTGTATTAGTAAGCTTTTCTTTAATTTAATGATTTAGAAGATAATTTGTATCTGTGATGTCTCTTAGAGGCCTGATAATCATTCATAGCAATGTCTATATTCTATAATTCTAAAAACTATAAACCTCAACTTTATGGTTTCTACAATTCTTAGAACTTTATGATTCTAAATCTTTATTGAAATCTTTACAAGTTCTAAATCATTACCAGTAAAAAACAATTCTCTGGATATAATTTAAGAGTCTGTGTGTGGCAGAAGGGAATCTCTGATTTCTAAAAATAAAAAGTTAGCTGAAAAATTCTAATCACATATGTGTTTCTTTCCTTCTGGTTCAGACAAGTAGAAGTGCAAAGCCTTACCTTTATATTCCAATTGAGAAAAACTAGGTATCAATTTAGCTCAAGTTATAAATTGTAGTCTGGAAATAAAGCTAGATGTCCTGTTCTGGATACAGCACTAAAGCCTGTCATAGCTCACACACCCAGTGTTGCAGAAGACAAAGACCAGCAGTAAGTAGGAGAAGCCAAAAAGAGAGATCAGGTTAAAGACAAAAGTCAGCTATTCTTCAATGCAGTTACTACACTAGATAGCAATAAAAACAGACTGTAAAAAAGAAGAAAGAAGATGGTTTAGCCCAAGCTTGAGCTTTGGAAACATTTCTCACAAGGCCCCAACCATTTCTCTTGACCTATCCTATTAGAGAGGGATTAATTAAGAGAGAAGCCTTCTTCTTACATTCCAAGAAAAAAAATTAAAAATGCCATCAGGGTAATCCTTAACATCTCTAGCTGGTGCCTGTGAAGACAGTCATTCATTCATTCACTCATTCATTTATAACATCCTATGAATTAAGCTTTATAAAGCAAGAGTAAACTTCAGAGGAAAGCAAAACATTCATTTTCAAGGCAGAGTTAATCCCAAGAAAAATAATCAAACCCATGGGGACTGCCTTCAACGCCCCATCTCTGGCATGACTTTCAGGACAAAGGTGCCTCTGTTCCACCAGCCAACAACCTCTGTTTTGCAACCTCTCCACTGTCAAAACTTGTTTTAGGAGATGATCTGATGAATACATTCTCATTAATGTAATGCATAGTAAGACTAGGCAGTGAGTAAAGCTACATGCATTAACATAGCCATGAGTGTTTGCATTCTAACCAGGGGAAAAGCCTCAAGCAAAAGAAAGAAATCACAGTGGCATTTCAGAAACCAGGTAGAGCAGTAAAGATTTAGCATGAGAGAAATTCTAAGAAAACCTCAAAACAAAGTTTATAGACACATACTCAACCTGGAGGATATAGATAATGTACATCAATAAAGCCATTGTCCATGTAAACCACGGGGCATGGTATGGGTTTCTCTAACCGCTGCCTTCCTAAAGGTCAAAAAATAACTCTGAGCCCATAAGGCACTGCTATTCCCCATCAAGAACCTCTCTTCTCAACAAAGCACCTCACAATGACTGTTGCCCTAATAGCCATTGTAATTTATTCCTAGCATGAGAAGAACATCTGCAATCGATTATGTGCAGACATTTCAGTGATGTTAATGTGGTCAAAAATAACCAAAAGGCATATAAACAGATGAAGACCTGCTATTTTCATTTCAAATAGGGATTTGATTCTTGGAGAACCACTAAACAGCAACAACCACAAGGGTTTGTATTTATGTGGACCAATTATAGACTCATTTGTAGAAATTGGGAAATGGAAAAGATGGGCCAGCACGTGAATTGCTTTGCATAATGATAGTAATTTTTGTAAAGGTGGAGGAGGAGAGGCTGGGGAGAGAAGATTTGGTATCAATCTTGAAATAACTATCACCTCTCACTTTAAAAGCCTTGAAACTCAGTGGCATAACCGGCTATTGAAATTTTGCCCTCCATGCTAGATTTTGAGTAATATCCCCTTTAACCTTCTCAGGATTGATGAACCAATGTGACTATGTATGCAGATAAATGTTCAGAAGTTGTGAGAAATCACTTCACCTTGCATACAATGGCAATCCCAGGAGACCTACCCGGTGCCATGCAGTTAATCACAGCATCTTACCACAACTGGCTGGATTTCTAATGGCAGTTCTCACACTCTATTTGAGGACTCCTCCTCTTTTTATTATTTGGGGGAATTGGATTAGAAGGATGTCAAGAGTCACATTTTCAGCTGATTTAAGAGTTTGTGGAATAAGTCACTAGGAAGGACAAGATGATTGAGGATTAAGGCAATATTTTTGATAAGTTACAGCTATAAAACCTCACTGCAACCCAAACAACCCTAGAGGAATGGAATAGGAAAATGAGAAGGATTCAAAATTAAGTCTACTTCAGATTCTTTGAGACACCAGGTTTCCCAGACCCTATTCCCATCTTAGAATGACAAGAATCAATGGTCAGAAAAATTGCCTTTATTGCTAAAGAATGCTTAACCCAACCTGTGAAATTATCTGTATTATCTATTTGAATTATTAAGGTCTTCAGGCTTGGATGAGAAAAGTCGTATCTCTGTTGATATACTGACTTCCTTTCCTTTCCGGTTCAACAAATAAGAATCTCAGTCTCTTAAACATGAGCATGAAGCTTGTGTTTATATAAGATAAAGGTCATTATTTAATAAAGATCATCCCAAGATCCTCTCCCTCTGAACAAAAGGCACAGGAAGTCATTCATCACATTCTGTACATAATACAGGAATTCTCTTAATAATTGCTTACATCAAATATTGATCATCAAATTCTCTCCTCCTTTTCCTCTACTTCTTCCCCTGTGGACCATCTTTCTCGAAATGGTCCTGTGCCTCATTCTCTCTGTATATGAGCATCCACCCCAGGTGTGCATCCTCTGTTAGCATTAGGCTTGCTCTCCTGTTCTTGATTCACCTTCCATAACAGCGTCCACTTCATCCTGTGGGTATTCATTTTTTATTGCTGCTGTACCATAGAAGCTACAAACGTGGCAACTTAAAATAGTGCAAATTTCTTATCTTCCAGCTTCTGTGGGTCAGAAGTCTGGGCAGGTTTAGCTGAGTCTTTGCCTAAAGGTCTCACGATGTTCTCTGAATTAGAATCAGATTCCAAGTTCAGTTGGGCTGTTGGCCAAATTTAGTTTTTTGCAGCTGTAAGACTGAGGTCTCTATTTCCATGCCGGCTGTCAGCCAGGGGTCCATGTTTGCTCCTAGAGGATGTGGCTCTCTCTAGCAGTGGTAGGGTGAAGCCCTCTGACACTTCAAGTCCCCCCAACTTCCCTTCTCTGGCATCTCTCTGACTGCAGAGCTCATGTGATTAGGTTACAACCACCTGGAGAAAGCAGGATACTCTCCCTATTTTCACAGCCTTTATCACATCTGTAAAGTCCTTTTTTGCCATGAAGCATAATGTATGCACAGTGCCCTGAGATTAGAGTGTGATCATTTCAGAAGGTCATCCTGTCGACCAGAATCCACCCTCTGGACACAAAGACTCATGTCCTTCCAAGCTATTAAATACCTAAGGTCCCCAAAGGTCTCACCCCCTTACAACATAAATTTGATGTCCAAAATCTTATCTAACTCTTCACAGCTCCAAAGTCCCCATATCATCAGATAAGTGGTTTTGTCAACCCGCTTCCTTGTAGCAGAACTTTGGAGTCCAACAGTTTTCTTTCATTTCATACTTTCTCTGTCCCTTTCAGGACATTCTGGAAATGTTTCTGCTGATCAAAAAACCTCTCAAGAACCTTTTAAATTTTGCATGAAGTTCACAGAGATCCCCTTCATTAGAAAGAAGTCTATGCTCATGAATCATTTTGAGATAATACCTCTCTATTTTTGGCTTCTCCCGAGACAGTTGAAGAGCAACATTCTTAAGTTTCTCCAGGCCCTCGGGTTTGATTGAAGAGATCTGTGAGTCACCCTCTTATCTTTTCAAAGAGCTTTTTGCGAGGCTGAACACTCTGGTCTTTTCATGCTCCTAAAGTTTAAGGGGAAGATTGTGTGGCCATGAAATCAGCTTTTCCCAGGGTCCAGGGGTAAATCCATGGACATCTTTGGGGGCCATTCTGCCTTCCAGGAAATGTCTCGCTGTTTATTAGACTTCAGACTAATTTAATTATTTGGTTCCCCAATAGAAAAACAGTAATTGCTATAGTTAAATATTTGCCCTTTCCAAAACTCATGTTGAAATTTAATTGCCATTGTAACAGGATTAAGAAGGGGACCTTTCAAAAGGAATTAGGCCACAGGGGATCCTGGGCTGCCCTTATTAAAAAGGCAAGCTCAGCTTCCTCTTGCTCTATCTCATGCTCTCGCCTTCCACCATGGGAAGAGGCAGCTAAAAGGACCTTGCCAGATGCCAGTACCTTGATATTAGAACTCCCAGCCCCCAGAACTGTGAGCCAATAAATGTCTGTTCATTATAAATTGCCTAGTCTCAGGTATTCTATTACAGCACCACAAAATGGACTAAGACAATAATGAAATAACACAACTTTTCAGTCATCTTTCAATCTCAAGATGGATAGGATAAGAAAAAATCAAAATAGAAGTAATTAAATCTTCACTTAATGAAGATTACTACAGAGTTGAGAGCAGGGTGATAAAGGGCAAAGCTGGCACCATAATCTCTTGGAAACTTTTCCAAATCCCAAATGTTATGCCCTCACTGATTGACTGGATCCAAATCTCTGGATGGGAAGAGTTGAGAATTCACATTTTAAATAATATCTTCAAAAAATCCTGATGCATGTCAAAGAAAATAACTCAAAAATATGATTAATAAAATAATAAAATAAAAATTATTAGAGGAATTAAAATTTTATGCTAGAAAACATTAAAGCAGTGATATACAGATTGTTAGTAATCATGAGAAAACATTATAAACATATTTTGTCATAAGGAAATTGCAAATTAAAACAACAACATAATACCATTATATTCCTATTAGAATGGTTGAATTATTTTTTAAAACTGTCAATACCAAGTGCTGGCAGGGATGTAGAACAGCAGAAACTCTCATTCATTGCTGGTGAAAATTAAAAATGGTACAGCCATGTTGGAAGACACCTGGCTTCACAACCAGCATGCAGATGAAGCTCAGCTGTGATAGTTTCGCAGCTTCTTGCAAAACTAAACATAGTCTTACCATACAATCCAGAAATCCTGCTCCTTAGTGTTTACATAATTGACTTAAAAACCTAGGTCCACACAAAACCTGCATGTGAAGCTTGATCATAGCCTAAAACTGGAAACAACCAAAATGTCCATCAATAAAGAATAAACAAAATATTGTTTAACCACACAATGGAATATTATTTAGCAACAAAAAGGCACTAACTACTGATACACATTACAGCATGGATCAATCTCAAAAACATGATCTTGAGCAATAGAAGCCAGACACCAGAAAAGTACATGATTTCATTTACATGAAGCTTCAGAAAAAGCAAAATGAATCAAAACTTTTATGAATCAGATCACTGATGGCCTGGAATGGGGGTTACAGGATTATTTTCAAGCGGTCATGGGCGATTTTTTTGAAGTGACAGAAATGTTCTCCATCTTGATATGGGGTGGTGGTGAAGTAAATTGACCTATTTTTCCAAATTCACCCAACCACAGACTTAAAGTGGAAACATTTTATTTTATGTAAGTTATATTTCAGTAAAGCTGAAGGAAAGACAAAAATTCCATGACAGCTAAAGTGAATGAAGAGTCAAATAATTCTGTTTCAGTCCTCTTTCCGTACTCTGAAAACCTTTGGTCTGAATGGCAATTTGACCATTATCTGGCCATTTGTCTTGAGTGTGGTGGTATCGCATTGCGTCTCTTTAGAATAGTAAAGAGGCTGGGAAACTTTCAATCTTAATTTAAAATCCCAGTATGCCACACAGATAATCTCTATTCTCCTTTCCACAACTAAGCCTGGTCAATACCTGGAAGATCTTTTAGGGAACCAATATCAATAATTCCAAAGGGAATTGCTATCATGGATAGCTAGTGAAATAGCTTCCCAGAAGCAATTTATACGTCTTTATTTTTCTGCTTGGAGCCTTCCATTCTGAAGGAAGTTTCTACCTCATATGATTCTTATGATTTATTTGATACTGGTGGTGGCTACCATTCTCCCAGTTTTAGCGTCATTTGATTTTCTAAACAATTAGAACTGAAAATAATTTACCCCAAATCCTAGGTGTTTTGTCCAACAACATCGTCCTCCTTTATTGACCTTTATAACTCTAGATATTTGGAAGAATAAATACTTTTATGAATATTTCCATACCGTGTAAATTAAGTCACCATGTGAATTCAGTTTTTATGTATCACCTAGAATGTAACGCATGGCCTCCTGCTTTTTGTGCGGCCTTTTTCCACTGGTCTCAGCCTCTGTTAACTCCCAGGCAACTGTCTCCTATCATATGAACTCACTGTTGCCCATTTAGAAACAGTCAATACCGACTGTCTTTAAAAGTCTTTTTTTTCCAGGCCGGGCACGGTGGCTCACGCCTGTAATCCCAGCACTTTGGGAGGCCGAAGCGGGCAGATTACGAGTTCAGGAAATCGAGACCATCCTGGCTAACACAGTGAAATCCCGTCTCTACTAAAAATACAAAAAAAAAAAAAAAAAATCAGCCAGGCATGGTGGTGGGTGCCTGTAGTCCCAGCCACTCGGGAGGCTGTGGCAGGAGAATGGCATGAAGGCGGGAGGCGGAGCTTGCAGTGAGCCGAGATCGCGCCACTGCACTTCAGCCTGGGCAACAGAGCGAGACTCCGTCTCAAAAAAAAAAAAAAAAAAAGTCTTTTTTTCCAAGGTAGATGTGTGTGTGTGTGTTTAACTTCCAGCTGCTATAAAGTAATAATGTAGGAGCATTTTGTGACATCTAATATAGTTTATAGCAGTGCTTTCAAGTACATACACAATGCAAGACACTTTTGTAATTTTAAACATTCTCATAGCTACATTATAAAAAGTAAAAAGGAAAGAAGTGAAATTTCAATAATACACTTATTTAAACGAATATATTCAATGTATTATCATTCAACATGCAATCAATATAAAAATTATTAGTAAGATATTTCACACACTTTTTTATGTGGTAAGTCTTGGAAATGCAATGTGTATTTCAAACGTAAGGCACATCTCAGCTCTCAGTTCAGACTAGCCATATGTCCAGAGCTCCACAGCAGCATGTGGCTAATGACTATCCTGATGGGTGGTGTGGCTCTATAGGGATGGGTTTCTTTAAATAAACTGAAATTTGGGCTTTACCAGGAACCGACTTGTATGGCCCAGGGCCAAATCAGGTAGAGTCTATGCAGGTCACAAAATAGGCACCTTTCCCTTTATTAAATCAAATTTCATTATTTAAGGAGAACTGAGAACTGTTTGTAAATGCTCTCCTGGAGGTGGGTAAAGATCTAAAATCTTTTAAGAATCCAATTTTAGATACACAAATCTGCTTATGTTTCTGGGGTAATGGTCTGGAAATGGAAAAAAAAGCGTTGTAACACAGGTCAGGGCGAGAAGTGAGAAGACTGGAGGGAGTGGAAATTAGAAGAGGAAGACCATGGGTAGCTATGTAAGTCATGGCAACTGCTGAGAGCTTCTGCAAATAGTATGTCTTCGAGTTACATTAGCTTGAGTGTTCTCAACCTTGCAAGGGATGAAAAAATAATCTTATCAAAACCTGATATGCTGTGGAGATACTCCACCCTAAAGTGGGAGGACCATATTTGCCCACTCTGTAGGTGTGTGCTGTGCATAGCGACTTTCTTCCAAAGAGCATCAAAAGGAAAGAGGGAAAGCAGCTTTACAGAAAACAAACCTGATGAACATGTACTCAGCCGGGTGATCAAGGTCAACATCAACAGCCAGAAATCATTTTGCTAGCATGAACCCTTGATATGACGCAATAATGGAAATGGCATTTTACCACAATGGTCTTCCTCTTGAAAACCCATAACCCCAGTCTAATAATGATAAAAGCAATCTGACAAATTTCAATAGAGGGACATTCTACAATATACTGCACCAGTACCCCTCAAAGCTGTCAAGGTCATCAAAAACAAGACATGTCTGAGAAACTGTCACAACCAAGAAGACCCTAAGGAGACATGACGAGAAAATGTGATGTGGTGTCCATCCTGAATGAATCCGGGAACAGATTTTTAAAAAGAAAAAATAAAAAGGTAAAAACTAAGGAAATCTGAATAAAGTGTGCATTGCAGTTAATAATGTATTAATATTGGTTCATTAATCATAACAAATGTATCATACTAATACGAGATGTCAATAATAGGAGAAAATCTATTGGGGTATTGTATATGGAATCTTCTACTATCTGCTCAACTTTTCTGTTAAGTCTAAAACTATTCTTAAAAATAAAGTCTACTGGTAAAATATCTTTTTAAAAAAGTATGATATGCATGATGCACATCTTACCAAAAGTGAAAATACTTCTTCAAACATCTTAACTTTCCATAGCATCCTCAATACCTGGCCAAATTCCAGGGTTACCTCAAGACATTGATGAACTGTCACTCTTGATCTCTGCATAGGGCCATTTCAGATGGATGGATTCCGAAAATTTTCTGCTGATCAGAGGCCAGCTTCCTACTGCTTTTAGGACAGCTGCTGTGAGCTCTAGTATTTACTGTGAAGAAGGTACCAAAAGGTCAGTTCCAGGAGCCCCAGCTGGTGCAGAAGCCACCTGACAAGAAGTGGAGGCCAGGAGTCTGCTCCCAAGACCGCCTAGGCTGAAAAGTATGGAGAGGACAGCAAACACACCTGGCTCCACAACCAGCATGCAGGTGAAGCTCAGCTGTGAATAGAACTTTCTGGAGATTCTACAACTTTAAAGTCAACACTCCTTTTCCCATTACTTTTTTTTACTCATTTATCAGGCTCTACTACATGATTTACTAGGACTGTTATAGAACCAGCTCTTTTGATTAAATACTTTTGGTAAGTGCCTATAGTAGAATCTATAATATTGACAAGTGTCTAATTATACATTCTATGAGAAGACCTTGCTCACACAAACTGTCGAAACACGAGCTCTCCTTCAGGCAAATAAGCTGGGTGCTCACATGTGAACCAGAGTTCACTGATGGAAAAAACGTGCCCAGTTATCTAGCTTCCATGATGCTGTTGGGCTTTCTTGACCCACCTTCTCATCTCAGTTACTTTTGAGACTCCTATTTTAGCAATAAACTAATTTCACCTTCATTTATCCTATGCCATTTTCGATTGACAGCTATTGCTACCAATTCTTTTCAGCTTTTTCCTGGCTCAAAGCTAATCGGTCCATCATCTAAGATAATACATTCTAAAATTATACGTGTACTTTTCACATCCAATAAAGTTCAACTCATTATATAATTAGACTACTTTCTATACTTTCTAATTAATTAACTGGGAGGATAGTGATGAAGAAGAACCAAGGCAGTAGGAAAGAAGATCTTCACCTCACTGACCATGGTGGGGGCTTGCCAGCTACAGATGCAGACTTAAGAATTCGAGAAGTCACTTAAAATAACTTGTCTCAAGGTCTTGGATCCTAGACAATGTAGAAAAAAATGAAAACAGCCACTTTGACAATTACCTCTTCTGTATCTCTACCTGAAATGCTGATGACATAAGAGCTGAAATGGAACAGCTATAGTAACGATCTAATTAAACAAGGAAAATGTACCCATCATGAGTACCATTATTGTGCTGTGATGGGACAGGGAACTCACTCTTAGATGCTTGCCAGGCATTTCTCCTTCCTACATGCACTATTCAGAACAAGCACTAGGTAAAAAGAAGAGCTGTGATTTTTCCTTTAAGAAATGCAACAAAATCTAGGAGCCCTTTACCCTCAATCCCTACCCACTACTGTGCCGAACATCTAATACTCACACCTAAGTTATCAACACCCTCCTCCCAATCATCACAACTGAACCAATAACATTCCATCAGAGATCCTTGAAGCTACACTCTGATAGTCATTTTAGTGAATCTTTACTTTTGTGCCATTGAAGAGATGACATTTTGAGGCCAATCTTATCTTCTTGAAATAGAGCCAGGCTGCTCACATTACAGCATGTTCTCCTGAGCACTATTAAGCAAACACAGCAGAATCCTTCCACGCAGGTTACTCTCCAAAGTGTTAAAAGTCACCTCAGCATTTCCATTGGCAGAGTAAAAAAGCTCAGAACCTTGTCCCTTGGCATTGCCTTTGATTCCAAGAAGAAATTAGATGTGCAGGAAAAATTCAATGGCCATATTGCAGATTGAAAGAAATCCCAAAGAAACTCATGAGAGAAGACGATGTAAGAACTATTCACAGACTTCTATCAAGCTAGTCTCATGCTGTCCAAAACCAGCAGGATTTGGAGGTTCTAATCTCAATAAACGCATTACTAGAGCTGAGAGAGGAAAGTAACCCAGTTCTTGAACTGGCCAAAGAATTGGAAGATGGATGATTATGCCTTGCTTGTTTATTAACTACATAGTTGTTTTAATTCCCCTTCTAGCTTTCATGGTGAAATTCTGAAGAGAAGCAAATGATCATCTGGAGAGTAAAGGAATAACAGCTAACATTTAATGAATTGCTACTATGTGAACTCACTTTTGTTAACTCATTTAATTCTCGTAACAACCATGCTAGTATTATCTCCATTGTACAGACCAGGAAACTGAAACATAGAGAGGTCAGCAAGCTGCTCAAAAGCACACACCAGTGTATGCAGAGCTGGGATTTGAACTCAGGCAATCTGACTCTATATGAAATGATTTTATGCTATTATTATTAACCTCCACCTGGAATTCACCATGGACAGAAGGTCTGGAAATAGAGGAAGAGCCACAGCTTAGAAAGCCGCTGGAAACTGCCTGGGTAGCTGCAGCAGCAGAGTCGGCAGCTGCAGCAGCAGAGGCAGCAGCTGGACGGGGTGAGCTGGTGCCACATGGGGGTCAGCACACCTAGTCTTTCAAGATAGCCTTCCTGGTTATGGGAAGTCAGGACATGAGGGTCCCCTATCCCTAAATATGGTGAGATAGTTTCCCTTCCATTTTCCTCTCTCTGCAAAACAGGAAAAATTTAAAAGATTAAATGGAGGGATAACTATTTTGCTTTTAAACTATTCACACCAATACATACTGCTAATATCTTTCTTTCTCTAATCCTCTCTCTCCCCTTCTATCTCTCTTCTTCCCCACCTCCCTGTCTCTCTCCCTCCTCCCCTCCCTTTCTCTCTCCTTTCCTCTGATATGGTTTGGCTGTGTCCCCACCGAAATCTCATCTTGAATTGTAGTTCCCATGATCTCCACATGTTGTGGGAGGGACCCAGTGGGAGTTAATTGAATCATGGGGGGTGGATTTTCCTGTGCTGTTCTCATGATAGTAAATAAGTTTCATGAGATCTGATGGTTTTATAAAAGGCAGTTCCCCTGCATTTCTCCTTGCTGTCACCATGCAGAGAAGGATGTGTTTGCTTCCCCTTCTGCCATGATTGTAAGTTTCCTGAGGCCTCCCCAGCCACGCTGAACTGTGAGTCAATTAAACCTCTTTTCGTTATAAATTACCCAGTCTCGGGTATGTCTTTATTAGCAGCATGAGAACAGACTAACACACTCTCTTTCTGTGTCATTTGCATGTATAAAACAGTATTGAAATTCACATCATTATTCAACATTACCTTTTACCAATTCAAACTCCACTCTGTTATTCAACCAATTTTTCTTCATAACTAACTCTGGAAAACTGAGGCAATAAAAACATATTTGTTTATCTTTTAACCTTCAATAATGTGTTTTATAATGCATCGTTTGCTTAATACTTAAAAAGCTATTATGCCTTGGATGAGACTGGAGAAGATTCTGATCACACAAAATGTAGCATTACTAGTAAATTATTTATTTCCACACTATGTACACTACCAGAGTTTTAGATCATTTCATTGCTTCCCACCAAATTTCCTCTGAATCTCAAGGTTTCTATCTTTAACAAATAGTAACAGTATGCTCAAATCAATCAATCAATATCTATCTCTCACCCACGTTTTTAAGTTACCCTTCACCTCTGTAGAACTAATGTGATTATTTTTGTTGATTGCACAAATAAAGGTAAAATATTCTCACTATTCCTGCAAATATTGTCAGTATACATAATACCAGAATTAAGCTCTTTCCCCAGGATTACACTCCTTAGAGGAAGGCAGGAGAAAAGGGTGAGAAGAGACCAGAGTGTGTTTCTTTTCCTGAGAATCACATATGCCTTACCCCCTCAATCAAGCACAAAGCATAGTTTGAGGGCCACCGCCCATCTGAGTTCCAGCCTGAACACTTACTATGGATATCAGCACCAAACCTAGGTTCTGGGCACAGGGCATCTCCACACAGTCTGCACATGTAAACTGATATCCGTAATCAGTGGATGTAATCAGGTCTCTACTCTTAGCTCTTTATTACGGGAATAACACTGTCCAGTGATTATTGATTACCTTCTCAACTTCAGCATTATTTAAACTATTGCTTTAGATATATTACACCTTCAACTTCTAATGCAATTTCCAGGTATATGTAACTTAATTAGCAAATATTATAAGTCAATTCTAGGATTTATATTTAAAAACAGGAAAAGTAGATTATTGTTAATAACTATAATGAAGCATAAGTCTATATTAAACTCTTCCTTAATAGGAATTGGGCATTAGGTAATAGATGCTTTATTTCAGTATTTATAACAGAAAATACATTACCAGTTTATGATTATTTTTATTGTTTTGCGCATTTTGAAATTTTAGATTTGTGATCTTTCTGTCTTTTTAGTCTATAAAGTTATCAACTCAGATAAGGTTCATGTACCGAGAATGTGTAAATTATGAAAGAATATTAAATATTTATTAAGATCTTAATGCTTCTGAAATTATACATTTTTTTATCCTAAGTATTTAAAATAGGAAGGCTTCTTTTTCATTTTCACTTGATACTGAAAAATATCTATCTACCATCTGTGTCTTAATCGCCAAAGATAAAACTGGGTCCCCATCAGTAAGACTGAACTTTCTACTGAAATCTGAATCAGCACTCTGGAATAAATCCACCTGGTTCATTGTGAGCCATGGGAACAGGTGGCAGCAGGTTGTAGCTGCAGAAACCAGAGCCAAAGAAGTAAAACAAGGCAGGGGATGATAGAGAAGAGAAGTATCAGAAATATCGGCATGGAAATCCTGGCCAGAAACTGATAAAAAATGCAGATCCTGGAGCCAAGAACCCATTGAGCCACATTAAGTGTAAGTGAGGAAGAAAAAAACCAGCTGATTCAACAACAAACATTAACTGGGCAATATTACATGCCTTATCGGTACTGGGGATTCAGCAATGGCTGCAACATTTTCTTAGGTAGAACCAGATCAGATTGCTAGGAGTGGAGAACATCTGAGCAAGTGGTAGCCCAGAGGTAGATAGGATTCAGATTATCAACGATCCAAAGGTTAAAGCTTCCTTAAGCAACCAAACTCAAACCCAACAGTTAATGCACAAGTTGTATCAACAGCCCATGAGACCTGGTCTAAATTGAAAACCACCTTAAATCTGGGCTCCCTTATCATAATGAAGAGGTGCGTTGGAAGTTGAGAAGGCTGTGTATCTCGGGTCCAGGGATTTCCCACGGTTTCAGTGAGGCTGACTGGGTGATGCATCCTGAGGCAGGGTTCTAGCCTCTAGCTGACCTTAAACCAAGGCTATTTTGCATCGGAAGGAAAACCCTGATAGCAGCTCTCACAGAGTCAGGGTAAAATATCCAAACTATAGAAACAGTAAATGTATCAGTTAGAAGAAGGAAAAGGTATTCCTTTTTTCCTGAAATTTCAAAACTTATCTATGCAAATGATCCACAATGCTAAGGGCTTCCTCTGGGGACGGTTGTCTTGGAAAGTAGGCCAGCAAGCAGACTTGCATTGTGACTGACGGAGATGCTATGGTTTACTGAAGATAAATGTTCATTTTTCCTGAAAACGAGGGTTCAAAGAAGCCTCCTGGAAAAGGTGATCCTTAGAATTTAGAAAAACAACTAAGCCCTCCCCTACATCACAGTATATTAATACTCTCTCTGGATATTTCTCACTCCCTGCCTCTTAGGTCTAGAATATTCTACCAAGATATGCTCTATACAGAAGAGAGGGCAAGGTTTCTTTACAATGCAGGACACAGGGAGCACCCAAACACACCCATGGCAGGGCACCCATGTACCAAAGCCTTGGCAACTCACCAAATACTTAACATTTTCATAAAGAGGAACCCCTGGCTCCACCCAGCATGGAAAAACAATACCAGAGTTTACATACAGCCATGGCAGGAGAAATATGGACTTTGAAAGCCAAACTCACAACTGATTTGGGAAATAACCACATAAGTGTCTTTACCCCACAAAGATCTCAATGATGTTTCCATATTCTTTTTTAAATTTTATTTTTCCATAAGTTATTGGGGTACAGGTGGTGTTTGGATACATGAGTATGTTCTTTGGTGGAGATTTGTGAGAACCTGGTGCACCTACCACCCAAGTAGTATACACTGCATCATATTTGTTGTCTTTTATCCCTCACCCCCCACCTCCCACTCTTCCCCTTAAGTCCCCAAAGTCCACTGTATCATTTTTATGCCTTTGCATCCTCATAGCTTAGCTACCACATATCAGTGAGAACATATGATGTTTGGTTTTCCATTCCTGAGTTATTTCACTTAGAATAATATTCTCTAACCTCATCCAGGTCATTGCAAATGCTGTGAATCCATTCCTTTTAATGGCTGAGTAGTATTCCATCATATATATATATATGCCAGAGTTTCTTTATTCACTTGTTGATTGATAGACTTTTGGGCGGGTTTTATGACTTTTCTATTGTGAATTATGCTGCTATACACATGCATGTGCAAGTATCTTTTTCAAATAATGACTTCTTTTCCTCTGGGTAGATACCCAGTTGTGGGATTACTGGATCAAATGGTAGTTCTACTTTTAGTTCTTTAAGGAATCTCCACACCATAGCATAATTCTTAAGAGTTAAAACTCTGAAGAGTCATTGTACCTATGTAACTCACAGTCCTCTTCTATTTTGTCTAAATTGTTAATAAAATAAAATTTTGAGCACAGAAATTTCTAGTATCTTCCACAATTAAAATTAATACATAAAAGAGAGGCTGGGTGTGGTGACTCATGCCTGTAATCCCAGTACTTTAGGAGGCTGATGCAGGTGGATCACTTGAGGTACGGAGCTCCAGACCAGCCTGGTCAACATGGGGAAACACTGTCTCTACTAAAGATACAAAAATTAGCTGGGCATGGTGGCATGCACCTATAATCCCAGCACTTTGGGATGCCAAGGCAGGTGGATCACCTGAAGACAGAAGTTCGAGACCAGCCTGGCCAACATGGTGAAACCCCGTCTCTGCAAAATTACAAAAATTACAAAAATACAAAAATTAGCCTGGCATGGTGGCCCGAGCCTGTAATCTCAGCTACTTGGGAGGCTGAGGCAGGAGAATCTCTTGAACCTGGGAAGCAGAGGTTGCAGTGAGCCAAGAACACGTCATTGCACTCCAGCCTGGGTGACAAAACAAGACTTCATCTCAAGCAAATAATAATAATTAATTAAATTAATACATAAAACATATTTGTGGAAATAACCAGTGACACATATGACAATGGCATATCTTTTTTCTTCATGAAGATTTCTTTTTAAATCTGAGAAACTGTTCTTTTTCCTTTTTAATTTTAATAATACGATTTGGTCTTCAACCTGTATTTTCATGTTTTCATTTGAAAAGGAAATACTGGAATGTATTACCAATGTGCATCCTCACACTCTGTGCTCTTTTGACAATGCAACACAACTAGCAAAGTAGACTTTGTCCCTCTTGTCATTTTGCCACTCCAGTTTTCAGGAGCTAAGCACCAAGGATGACTTCTGAGTCAGACAGTCACTGTGCCCATCTAAATGACATCCAAAGAGTGTCCCAGACACGTCCCATGACTTTAACGTGATAATACATTTTGAGGTATGCTACTGCGGTGAGGTATAAACTAGTCAATATTTTCTAGAAAATTAACAATAATATTCCACTGGGTTGCACCTCAGAAGGGACTTGATTTTACTTTCTCAAATTTCACCCAAATTTTAAAAAAGAACAGTATATTCATTGCTTCAATATCTGCTGATTGCCTACTATGTGCTGCGCAGTGTTCTAAGCACTCATGATAGAGCCGTGAGCAAACACAGTTAAGGTCTGTCACTTATGATATCTAAATCATAGCAGAAGGAAACATACTATAAACAAGTAAACCAAGATGTCTTCAGTCATGACAGGTGCGATGAAGGATAACATGAAGTAGAAAATGCAAGAGTGATGGGGGATGGCCACTTCAGAGAGGATGTCAAGAATGTTTCTCTTAGTGGGTGGAGTCTGAACTAAGACCTGAATGATAAAAGGAAGCAACCATGTGAAAATACACAGAATGCTATTGTAGACAGAGCAAACAGCAGGAGGGAAGGTAGTGAGGTGAGAAAAGGTAAAAAAAGTCAAGGTATGCGGGGAAGAAAGTGTGGCTTGAACACAATGAGTACAGGGAACTACGAGAGGAGATAAAGCTAAAGACCAAAGGTAAAACCACAAAGATTTTTGGATTATTTTTCTGTCTGGATTATGTAGAGCCATTGGAGAATTTAGTCCAAAGAGATTTTGATATTACTATATTATATATCAAATGCTTATATAGGCACTGTTCTGAGAACTTTATTATGGCTTTATTTTTTGGCAGCATAATTATCCCTTTTTGGCATTATAGCATATGTGTGTTTGTTTACTTTGTGTTTCCCACATCAGTAAGCAATTTCCATGAAGGCACAGGTTGTTGCCTTTCTACAACACTGCCGTATTACCACTGTCTATAACAGCACCTCACACATAGCAGACACTCAGTAAATATTTCAGGAAAAATGAATGAAGGAATGACTGTTAAAGACCTGAGATGGGAGAATTTTTTTTTTTTTTTTTTGAGATAGAGTTTCACTCTCTCGCCCAGGCTGGAGTGCAATGGCATGATCTTGGCTCACTGCAACCTCCATCTCCCAGGTTCAAGCAATTCTCCTGCCTCAGCCTCCTGAGTAGCTGGAATTACAGGCATGTACCACCAGGTCCAGCTAATTTTGTATTTTTAGTAGAGATGGGGATTCCCCATATTGGTCAGGCTGGTCTCGAACACCTGACCTCAGGTGATCTGCTTGCCTCAGCCTCCCCAAGTGCTGGGATTGGGGGAATTTTAAGAGATAAAAATCCAGTGTCTGTTTTGACTATGATTAGCATGAGATATCTTATTACACACGACCATGAAGATGTCAAGTAAGCAATTGGTTATACGAGTTTGTAGCTCAGAGAAATCAAGACCAGAGAAATAAATGTTGGAACTATTCCCATACATCCATGGGACTTAGTGAGATAGTTGAAAGAATTAAAAGGATAATTCAGGTAATAACAAAATAGTAGCATTATTTATCAAGTGCTTATGAGAGGCCAGAAACTTTTCTGGAAAGACAAAACACTTCCCTTGGCTTCAATCAGATCTCTCTTCTCATTTTTGTTTTTAATTTCTTAAAGTCATGTCTTACAAGCCAGAAGAGGTCACTGCTTAAAAATAATTTGAATGGAAAATTTCCAAAATAATTATCTCCATTCTAAAGGAAATGAAAGTTTTCACTTCTTGAGAACATAAAAGAAACTATACTTTTTAATGTCATAATAAATATAATAATGGCCTTAAGTCTGCCTTTGGGAGCAGCAAAAACAGACAATGGCAGAATTCATTAATAACTGTCCCCTTCTGGGTCAGAGGCTACATCCGTGCATTAAATGAAAATTTCATATCATGGGATTTTTAACACTCTTTGCTGACCTCAATTCTCTTCCATTTTCATGTGTCGATCTGGCTGAAAATCTTTTCCTATGAGCTGTGTATTTTCTGTCTTTACTTTCATAGTAAAAATAACTTTTACTGCCATTTCCCACAATTCTGAGGAAGAACACAAGCACAGTTTCTAATAACTTGAGGAAGTACTTGAATGATGCCCAAGGCCATTCAGTGAATAAAAGGAATTAGGGAGTTTAAGAGCCTGCTTTATATGATCAGTATAATCTTATTGCTACTTTTTATAACAATCCAGCAAGCTATATAAACTTTATATATCTTCTATTACCATCCAATGTGTTTTCACAGACTCGCAAACTCAAGTGAGTAATCTACAGAGAGAAACACCAGAGAGGAGTTAGAAACATTGACTCCCATGTAGGTGGTTGGTTCTCCTTCAGTTAGGTTACATAGTAGATCAGAGAGTATTTCTATGCCCATTCCTGGTTCAGGAAGGTTCTGGAATCTGGGACCCATCTGGAGTCAGTCCAGATGTTTAACGGTTTCATGGCATTTTGCCAAGCATTTGCTATGCTAGATTATTTTTAAACATTTAGAAACTCCCTGGTTCTCCTGCCCCCACTTGACACTACTTGTCCCTGAAAAATTAAGATCAGTGCGCCTTTTATGCTTACAAATTGACCTTAAGTGGACAATACATTAGATAACCATGCCACTAACTACTAACATGGGTTCGTTTGTGTTCACTTTAGCTTGGACATATTTTACTTGAACACTAAGCAAGGCTTGCCAACGCTGGAAAGGGAATTATCTACCATCACAGACTTCAACAAATTGAACTTCATTTATGGGGTTTCCTTGAGGGCAGGAAAATATCTGGTTTCCCTAATAATGTAAGAAGTACATATTTCTCTTGGTCGAATAGAATCTTTC
The DNA here is from genome assembly GCF_000001405.40 of Homo sapiens. Lineage (NCBI taxonomy): Eukaryota > Metazoa > Chordata > Mammalia > Primates > Hominidae > Homo > Homo sapiens. The sequence continues at coordinate 73,808,557 of NC_000018.10, forward strand.
GCGTTCACTGCCTTTCTTGAAAAGTCACAGCATGCTCCCCAGCCCCTAGCTCATCTCTGGTTTCTAAAATCTGCGTGCATTTGTATTTATAAATGAAATGTCATGGCCCATTGTGGCTTCTCCACTGGATGAATATCATAAATACTCAGTTCTTAAAAAGATGGTGTTTGTTTTTCAAACCGGTGGTTAGGAATCAATAGCCTAAGAATTAAAACAAATCTAGAAGCTTATTCAACCAAAAAAATATTAGGTTGGAAGCAGAGGGTCAAGGCAAACACAACCTAGCTGCGTATTACTCCTTGGAGGATGTTGTCCATTGCCAAATATTCGCTGTGACACCATAATTTTCAGTGAGGCTTTCTCTGTAAGATAACAATTAGAATGGGAAAGATACACTTTAAGGAAGGGGGCCTCCTCTCTACACATGGCATACACAGTATGTATTGCTGCCCTTGGCAATGCCCTTGTTATAATGACAACTTTGCTTTTATTTATAATGCATTTCATCTTTTTTCTGTAAGTTATTCATCATAAATCCTCTTAGACATAGTAATGATAGAGTGACAACAGCAAGAACTAACCTTTATAGAATGCTTCCTGTGTACCAGGCACCACTCTGAGCTCTGACACCCTGGGCGACCACCACCTTGATTATCACCAATCTACAGATGAAGAAGCGGAGGCCTCCGGACATCCTGTGCCTTGCCAGTGCTCACACAGCTAATGGGTGCAGAACAGGAAGCAGACCAGGCATCCTGGCTCCAGCAAGCCACTCAACAGCTCTGCTGTTATTCCATGCTTACTTTCCCCTACCTCCCTCCCCAAATTTACTTTCATCTACAAAATAACATAACAATAATGACAACAACAACAACAAAAGAAAAATGGAAATAAATGCCTAATGATGCCATTGTCCTCTGGCAGCCATGAAGGTGCTTGGACTCCAGGCTCTTCCCATCCAGTGGGCTACAGGACTCTTAGCCACATTCACCATGGAGGCCTCTGTCAGCTATAAATTATATGTCTACAAAATTCACAAGGAGCATATGAGCAATACTTGGGAAGTTGCTTTTGGAAAAAGCGTGAACCTCTGAAAGGTGCACTGAGGCATCCCCCAGAAATAGCATTATGTCCCCTTTAAAAGCTAAAAAAAATCACTCCTTCTAATATTGTTATGTTCTTATCTGACTGTGGAGGAGAATCAATGACAGGAAAGAGAGAAAATAGAGTATTTAAAGTCCCCTGTGACATTTTCCAAAGGACTCTGAAGAGCAAGTATTATAAAGGAAGAGGAGAAATGATATTATTGGCAACATTGAGTTTTGGAAGTGCTTTGGATTAGGTCTTCAAGATTTATGGGGGAAAAATGGTTTAAATGAAAGTGCTATGAGCTGACCCTTCTGTATAAAGTCCTAGACTAAAGATAAATTAATTAGTTTCAAAGTCTATCCATTTAGTTACAATGTAAGTAGTATAATATATAGTATAACTTTAGTGTAAATATAGTATAAGTAGTATATGAGGGTTTTTTAAAACTGTAAGAGAGAGATATATATATTGTCTGTAGAGCTTCATAAACATGAGTGTAAGATCTAGTTGATGAAGGTGTTTCACTTACATTTTGCCATGGTGTTAAGTACAACTATCATCTTACCTTCCTCTTACCACTCTTTGGTAATACTTAGATGACTTCAATAAAACACACTTATAAACACAACCCAGATTCCACCCACTGATGAAAATGAAGTTTCCTTCACCCTAACAATGAAATGGAAAGCTTTACAAAAACAGCTGAATATGATCAGGACTGGAAATACATTTTCAGAATAAGTTCTTATTTTCATCATAACAGCAATGACTTGAAAATAGCCATTTTAAAATGGAAAATGTATTAATGTCTAAATTTATATCTCTGGAGCCATAAAAACAGTATATCTTTTCATAATATTGTGGTTTGTAGTCCACACAATAATGATGTTAAGGTCGCACCATAAACTACATTGAAAATCAATACCATAAACCTTGATAATTTAATTTACTCAACAGATAGATGTATTTTTAAAGGATTAATCACAAAATTTTTTGTACATCAAAAGTGTGACATTTTTAGTGCCTAAATTATTAGTAAATAAAAGTCAACATCTTCCTCATTTTGGCATACATATAAATTCCTTAAGAATAACTCCCATATCATCTGGAAAACAGATCCAGTTCTTCCTCCAAGAGACTTGGGCCCTGTAAAGAACAAGACAGATCTGACAGGTCTATTCCATCAGGACCTCTTGAGTCGAATATCAGCCAGAGGGTCAGCCACATAATCCCATGCCCTGAAGAAACCCTCGGGCATGAACACTTGCTAGCTATGATTTATAAACTGCTCTCACATGGACAAGAACTTCAGGAGCCCAATTTCTCAATCACACAAACTGGGGCTAAAAATGTGGTGTTTCTCTTATTTGTAGGGTTTTGGTCAGGTTGAAGTGGAATAATATCCCTAAGGCTGTCTTCAAATTATAAAACTCCATTTGCTAACTATTTATATTATAATCACCATCGACTGGAAAAGAACTCATATATTTTTAAATCTCCCTATTCCCAAATGAGTGTTCCTGATGAGGTTGATTTTAGAGCAAGATTTAATAATAAAAAGGAAAGAACCCTAAAGATTTAGAGGTTATAAACACTTTTGTATAATTTTTAAAATATTTTTATAGCCATATATTATTATTTGATTTTACAGATGAGAACACTGAGGTTCAATCAGCGTTTTAAAATGGCCTAAGAAGACTCAATAAAAGCAGCAGCAAATTCCCTGTGTTTCTTCTGCTCTACACTGAGCAAATTTGACAATATCACATATCATTGCATTTCATTTGGATTGAGTGGGTAGGAAAGAAACCCTGACCACTTGTGACTCTCAAGCATGAAAACCGCAGAAGGGTTGCCTCCCATAGGGTAAGCTGGCCCGAGACCACTGGGGGCTGGGAGGTGGTCCCATGCATCCCTTCACTCTTGCTCCGTGCACCTCTGAGTTCATATATGAGATTCCTCCACTCAGAACTTAGTGAATACTCAACAAATGTTTGTTAAATACATCTAGCATTTTGAGAGCAGGGGTAATTTCATACATTTTTCTCTGTGATTTGTTATACCTGACAGGAATGAGAAATCACTTAAAGGAAAACTAATGTTAAGGTTCCTTTGAGACTAATTTTTTCATCAACAAAGTAGAGATAATAACACTGGATGGCAAGATACTGTGAACAGGGAGTGTGGAGGATGAGGGGAGTTTTATCACTGTTGTTCTGTGTCTTGCCTTATTATTTTAGAGTTGCTAGGTGGGTTTTTTTCTAAGAAAAAAAGACGAAGTCTGCAAATTGCCAAGGCAGAATCTATTTCTTTAAACCTTATTATTCTGGAGTGTAATTTTTATTCTCATTATCAGGAGAAAACAGCACCAACTGAAAAGGTTTTCTTTAATCATTCAATTCATTGCAACATTCCCTCAAAGGAAAAAAGTCAATAATAATGTTCAAATGTAGCAATTGCAGAGAAGTAAAATACAAAAGTACTTTTGCTCCTTGTTCACTTAAGTAGAGTGCTTCGTTTTTCTTCTGAAAAACAATCTTTTTTCCCAAATTTTGCTTTGACAAGCATCCTCAAGATGAACAGAATAAAGCACGCAATCAACTAGAACCCAGTTTCAAATTTCCGCATATCTTTATTTTAAGATAACCCTCCTGATTAGAGACTTGGCAGCGGTAAGGCGCAGAGTGAATGGAAAATGCAAAGTTTAAACTCATTCAAAGGTTTAAGACGGCAGTTTTGTTTTTTAGAGACCTATGGAAAAGAGAGGGGGAGGGCTTTTTAACAGAATAAAGAAAGAAAATTTGCCAAAGTCCCTAAGAATTCCCAGAAAGGCCAGATATATGTGGATATCATAAAAGTCTATGAGACTCCTTTTTCTTTTTTTTTTTTTTGAGACTGAGTCTCGCTCTGTTGCCCCGGCTGGAGTGCAGTGGTGCGATCTTGGCTCACTGCCACCTCCGCCTCCCGGGTTTAAGTGATTCTCCCGCCTCCGCCTCCGGAGTAGCTGGGATGCGCCACCACGCCCAGCTAATTTTTGTATTTTTAGTACAGACTAATTTTAGGGCTTCACCATGTTGGCCAGGATGGTCTCCATCTCTTTAAAAGTGAATGAGGAACTTCCTTGAGAGGAGACGCTGCACTGATTTTATGGAGACTCAACTTCTGACCACTGGGATGGGCCATTCCCTTCTAGCTGGGGCTGTTTTAACTGCTCCCTTCGAGGGCAGGCATCAGCTGAGTTTGGTCCGGATTTCCTTTCTGGTTTTTGGTTCTTGCGAAAGTGCTTTTCTTGTGTAAATAGTTGTTAAATTGGTGTCCTTGCTGGAGAGACGATCTGTGTAGCATTCTGTTCCACCATCTTGCTTTGCCTCCCACCTCAGCATTGCTTTTAATGGCCTCGGTGGCAGCTGTGATTTTATCCCTGCCACGTGAGATGGATATTAAACGTCTACAAGGGAAAGAAAGTATCCACAGCATAAAACTCGGGAATCAATTCCAGTTTTGCCACTTACTAGCTGTGTGAACTTGGCCATAAGTGACCCTACCATTATAGGGGGTCACTTCTTAAGAAGGTTGTTTTAAAATAAAAAAAATTGTAGGGCCAGGCGTGGTGGCTCACGCCTGTAATCCCAGCAGCTTGGGAGGCCGAGGCGGGCAGATCATCTGAGGTCAGGAGTTCGAGACTAGCCTGGCCAACATGATGAAACTCCATCTCTACTAAAAATACAAAAATAGCTGGGCGTGGTGGCGGGCACCTACTGTAGTCCCAGCTAACCGGGAGACTGAGACAGGAGAATCGCTTGAACCCGGGAAGCAGAGGTTGCAGTGAGCCGAGATTGTGCCACTGCCCTTCAGCATAGCTGACAGAGTGAGACTCCATCTCAAAAAATAAAATAAAATAAAATAAAATTGTAGGAAAAATGCAAAAAAAGTTCTTAGTACAGGACTTTGTGTACAGTAAGTGCTCAGTAGGTGGGGACTAGGGTGGTGCAAGTGGGTTTGTCTTGATTACTGAAGTTTTTTGACAAACCCCCACCCCACACACGCTACTTTTGTGTCCAAGGCAAATGCTTGACTATCCTCGCCCTAGTGCCAGTACTGGGGCTAATAGATACTGGCTATTATTCTTATTAGTATTTAGGAAGTTTATTTTGCACCTTCTTGTGTCCCCAACACCTGAGGCAGACCTCCCAGCAGGTAGTTAGAAGGATGGTGAATGAGGATGATAACACGCAGCTTTGCTACTCAAAAATATTAATAAAATTATATTGTTTTAAAAACCTGGTTCAGGTATTGCTAACTCTAACTAAACGAGCTTCAGAGAAAAAGATGTTATATCATGCATTCATTCACTTCTATATTATAAAATACAGATGAAGGTAGATTTTTAACTCCAAATTATACAAAAACCAAACAATATTCAGAATTGGAATTTGTATGGCTTTGGGATACATGGATCATGGATTGAGGTTAGAATATTATACAAACTCTATTTGGTTAATTAATATAGGTTTGAAATGGTACATGGTGAAATGAAAATACATTCTATAAAAATATTTGATTAATACTATAATTTATCTATGTTAATATTAACCATTCACATTTCTCGTTACTCCTCCATTGTATTATAAAGACCATAATAACTGAAAAGAGAGAAAATTTTTTGATATTTCTAAACCTTAGAAATATGTTTCTTCAGAAAAAATATATCAGTTATCCTTTTTTTACATCTACTTCAATTTTTGCAAAGAAAGCGATTTTGACATGGAAAATATACAGAAAAAAAACTGCCTAAAAGATTGCAAGTTATTGTTAACATAAAAAGTATGAAGGAAAAAGTATCTTTTCTGTTTCTATTTTTGGCCCCTATGCCATGTGAACTGATTTTCTTCAGCAGAGATTCTGGATACCTATTTGCATTTTAGATAACATATTTTCTTTGCTATTCTTTTCCTTTCTCCCATGCCAATATACCCCCCTGATGACTAATAATCAAAAATATTTCCTAATAGGAAAGATTTAATTTGTAATAAAATCTATGGAAAAGGCTGTGCAAATGAAAATCAGTGTAAAACAAAAAAGAGCCTTTTTAAAGAGATAATAAATATTTGAAACCATATTTCTTACAAAATAGGTCACAAAATGCCACTAAACTTGCTCTATGACTCTAATAAATTGGCGCATGCCTTTGGAAAATGAAGACAGCAATGCTCATTAAAAGTACAGATAAGACAAATATGGACTAGCATTTTCTATTGCAACACTGGATGGTTTTTGTTGTTTATTATTTATTCATAGTAAGCAGGGGATAGAGTGTAAACTGACCTCACCTGGGACCTCACATGGCTTAAAATGTCAGGGACATGGTATGTTTCTCATTACAGGGAATAAGGAGTTGCAGATTGTGTTAGTCGGGGTTCTCCAGAGAGACAGGACCAATAGGATACAGACAGAAAGAGACAGAAAGAGATTTATTATGAGGAATTTGTTCACATGATTATGGAGCTTGAGAAGTTCCACAGTCTGCCGTCTGCAAGTTGGAGGCCCAGGAAATCCCATGGTATAAGTTCCAGTCCAAGTCCAAATGCCCAACAACGAGGTGTGCCACTATCTGAGGGCCAGAGGAAATGGATGCCTCCACTCAAGCAGACATCAGGTTCTTCCTCCCTCTCCCTTTTGTCGTATTAAGGTCCTCAATGGATTGGAGGGTGCCCGCTCACACTGGTGAATGGGTGGGCATCAACCCACTTCTTTACCCAGTCTACTGATTAAAATGCTAATCTCTTCCAGAAACACCCTCACAGACATGCCCAGAAATACTGTTTTACCAGCTATCTGGGCACCCCTTAAGCCCAGTCAAGTTGACACATAAAGTAACCATGTAGATTATTTCCACTCCTAATACAAAGAAAGCAAAAGACCAATAGCATAAAATTTAGAAAAGCAAAAGTAGTTAAAAGCTTTATAGCTTAAAGCAAACATATTTTGATGACATTCAAAGCCAAGCCATTTAAATTAAAAAAAAAAAAAAAACACTCCTTCTTTGACCCTTCCAATCTGTTTTAAAGAAGTGAATACTCCTCCACATTATGTGTGAGTGTTGAAGAGTAGGCTCCTAGTGCTTGGGCCTACTGCAAAGTGGTCCTGGCCCAAGAACTAAGGGATTTCTCAGAATGAACATGTCCAAATTCTTTTACCTGGGCAACAATCCTTCAGGTTTTTTGAGTCAGGTCATCTTCATAGAACTTCCATGACACATTTTATTTCAAACATAAGAAAATTTTAATCATCCATTTTACATATATAACTTTCTTTTTAATAGAAAGTAAAATTTAATAGAACCTTAAGATTTTATGTTTTATAAATTTATATACAGTCAAGTTACTTTCCTTATTTTTAAAACTATATTAGGCAGGCTAGTACCTCATCAGAAATATGTCCAAGTGTTTCCCCATTATCTATAGAGAGCAATGTACTATTGGAGCATATTGAATGCAATCCTCATATTCCAACATTGGCAACCCAGGACTAGAGATACACATAAACAGAAAATGCCAAGATTAGTAACCATACTGACACTTCAGAACTGGTCGTGTGTGTGTGTGTGTGTGTGTGTGTATGTGTAGAGATATAAATTCCATACTCCAAAAAAGTGACTATTTTGGTTATTTTATTCTTGCTGTTTCAGATGTCTACGTCTTATATACGTACAGACATATTTATACATACATTTCATAAGTCAAGGTCATGCACATGATCACAAACTGGCTTGTTGGGACACTGACCAAGGCACCTGAAATGCATTAGCTTAAACCATAAGAAATCGCTCTTTATAAAAAATTATGGTAAGGACATTTAATATGACCCCCTTCACAACTTTTAAGTGAAAAATCCAATATTGTTACAATAGGCAGAGTGTTGTACAGCAGATCTCTAGAATTATTATCTTGTAGAACTGAAACTTTGTACCCGTGGAACTTCAACTCACCATTTCCCTTTCCTCCTACCTTCTACCCTGTGGCAACCACAGTTCTACACAGCTTTTATGAGTCTCGTCTTTTAATTTAATTTAATTTTGAGACAGGGTCTTGCTCTGTTGCCCAGGCTTCAGTGCAGTGACACGAGCACAACTCACTGGGTTCCAGTGATTCTCCTGCCTTTGCCTCCTGAGTAGCTGAGACTACAGACATGTTCCACCAAACCTGGCGAATTTTTTAACTGTTTTAGTAGAGATGGGGTCTCACTATGTTGCCCAGGCTGGTCTCGAACTCCTGGACTCAAGTAGTCCTCCCACCTTGGCCTCTCAAAGTGCTGGGATTACAGGTAGGAGCCACCACACCCAGCTAAGTCTCACCTTTTTAGATTCCACATGCAAATAAGATCATGTGATATTTATTTTTAATGCCTTTTGAGTAAATACCACATAGTGTAACTGCTGGATCATATGGTAAGGCTGTGTTTTGTTTTGTAGGAAACCATAAAACTCTCTTCCAAAGTGGCTGTACCATTTTGCATTCCCACCACCAATGAACGAGAGTTCCTGCTGCCCCATATCCTTGCCAGCACTTGGTGGTGTCAGCGTTTTGGATTTTGGCCATTCTAATAGTGACATTGTGATATCTCACTGTTGTTTTAATTTGCACTTCCCCGATGACATATGATGGGAAGCATCTCATGTGCTCATTTGCCATCCATATATCTTCTTGGTGAGGTGTCTACTCAGTTCTTTGGCCCATTTTTTAATTGAGTGTTTGTTTTCTTATTGCTGAGTTTTAAGTGTTCTTTGTATATTTGAAAAACAATTATTTATCAGATATGTCTTTTGCAAATATTTTTCCCAGTCTGTGATTTGTCTTTTTATTCCCTCAACAGTATCTTGTAATAGTCACCCTAACAAGTGTGAGGTGATAAATTATTGTAATGAAAGAAATTAAAGAAGACACAAATAAATAGAAAGGCTTTCTGTGTTCATGAACTGAAAGAATTGACATTTGTTAAAATGTCTATTCTCCCCAAAGTGATCTATGAATTTCATGCAATGTCTATGAAAAGCTTAATAATAATTTTGCAGAAATAGGACAAACAATTCCAAAATTCATACAAAATTACAAAAGACATCAGATAGCCAAAGCAATCTTGAGCAAAAAGAACAAAGCTGAAGGCATCACACTGCCTGATATCAAAATATACTACAAAGCTATAATAATCAGAACAGCATGTTACTGACATAAAAATGGTTAATGTAGACCAATGGAACAGGATAGAGTGCTCAGAAATAAGCCCATACATTTACAGTCAACTGCTCTTGAGTAATAGTGCCAAGAACATACAATAAGGAAAGGACAGTCTCTTCAACAAATGGTGTTGGGAAAATTGGATATCCACATGCAAAAAAGTAAAACTGCGCCCTTACACCATAAACAAAAATCAACTCAAAATGGACTAAGGAATTAAACCTAAAACCCAAATGTATAAAACTCCTAGGAGAAAACAAAGGGGAAAAAATTCATGGAACTGGTCTAGGCAATGAACTCTTGAATGTAACACCAAAAGCACATGCAGCAAAAGTAAAAATGGACAAACGGGTTTACATCAAACTATAAAGCTTCTTTACCACAAAGAAAACAATTAGTCAGGTGAAGAGACAACCCATGGATTGGGAGAAAACATTTGCACACTATATATCTGATAAGAAGTTAATATCTAAAATATGTAAGGAACTCCAACAACTCACTTAGCAAAGAAAACAAATAATTCAATTTAAAAATGGGCCAAGAGCTTGAATAGACATTTCTCAAAAGAAGACATGCAAATGGCCAACTGGTATATGAAAACATGTTCCACATCACTAATTATCAGGGAAATGCAAATCACTAACATCTTAGGTATAATACAGTTAGCTTCTAATCTCTTAAAGTGTGAGGAATAGAACACAAAAATCTGACTCATTTGTGGTGATCAAGTTTCTATGATAATGTTTTTCAGTAGTCATTTCTATTCAACTCTACTTTTCTCAAGCAATTACTGGATTACAGATGTTCTTTTTTCCTGACATCTCCAATCTATTAGTGTCTCTACCCTAGATAGTCTTCAGGCCTGCCTTCAATGCTAAGAAGTACAGATTGTAGATTTGTTCCTTAAACTGTCAGGATCTTCCTTCACACGAACACAAAACCTGTTACACATGGTCTATTGGTTTGAGAACATCTTCATCATAGCTCATTCACTGGATAACAGAACAGGTAAAGGCATAATGGGTAAAGGCATAATGTTTTCCTGAAGTTCAAACTAAAAATATGAAGTAATCCAATTTGAGGCTTTAGGAAGATAATGGTTTCTCTACTGTATTTAGCCAATATTAATGACAAAATGTCTAACGGGAGCTTACATAATTTATGCACCCTTAAATGTCAGGGAACATTTCTGAGAATATGGCTTGAACAATGTATTGAGAAAGAAAACAATGTGGGTTGTGGTTTATTTTTACCATAGAGAACATTATGCCTCTACTGTAGATATACAAATAATTAAAAATCACCACTACCATGTAATATAAATTTTGTTCAACAAATTACTTAGCTTCTGTCCAGATATATCATCAACCTTCCATCCAAGACCACTACTCTCATTTTCACTTTCAAAACCATCTGACCTTGCCAAAATGCCAGGCACCTTGCTGTATAGACACATTAAGCCGATGCTAGCAATACTAAATTGAGAAGAACTGAGAATTCATTCATGAACCCAAAAGATTATCAACCTAAGAAAGAAACATTCAAAACTTTGTGTAATGGCTGTCTAATGCATTTCAATAAGCCTTCCCTGTTTCACTGTTGAAAGAGTTGTGAGGTTTGCAAGGGCTAACATTTTATGTGTATTTAACAACCTCACAATTTTATATTAAATGAATAAATGTCTTATACATCAGTCTAATCAGATTGTTAACATTGTTTGACTGCTTAGTTGGGGACAAGAACGTTCTGTGAAATATGCTTCTTTATTCAGACAGTAACCCAGCTAGGAAAACTGGGAGAACTCTCCCAACTCCCTTTAGAATTCTAGTGACATCAAAATTAGAAGAAGATGAGGACAAAAGGAGAAAGAAACTTCACTTTTGAATATAAATGCAAAAGTAGTAACTTACACATTAGCAACAGAGTCTAGCAATTCATTTTTCTTTAATCGACTTGCAGGGATTGTCAGAGGAAAGCAAGGATAGCTTATTAGAAAATGTGTTAATGAAATTTATCACATTAACAGATGAAAGGAGAAAAACCATATGATCACCTTTCAATAGATGCAGAAAATATTTGATAAAATTCAACACTCAATCTTCTTAGTAAACTAAAATAAAATGAGAATATCTTATCTTCAAATAGCAAATGAAGCATAAATATTAGGCTGGTGTAAAAGTAACTGCAGTTTTCACCATTACTTTCAATGGCAAAAACTGCATTTACGTTTGCACCAACCTAATAGCACATCTAATCATGAAAGGTGAGATATAATCTTTTTAAAGTCAAGAAGAGGGTAAGCATGTCCACTAACATCCCTTCTATTCAACAATATAGTAATTCACAAAAGTGAGATTTCTGGATTAAAAAGCATGTACATATGCATTTATAATTGTGATATATATTGCCAATTAGCCTTCATAGATGTTGAATAATTTTACACTTTTTTTCAGCACTGTATGAAAGGATCTCTCTCCCCATATTCTTACCAATACAGCAGATTGTCAAATTGTAAAATTTTTGAGTGAAAAATGATATAATAGGGCATTTGAGGCATTTTAAAAATCTATTTTAGAATTCTTCTAAACATGTGAGATGTAACTAATATAGAGTACATCACTCAGCAACTTCATGTGCAGCCCCAGCTTAGCTCCTGATGGTTACTGGGGAGTACACATCACCTGGGATGTCTGGCTCAGCTGATCCAACCCCATAGGCTATCTGCCTGAAACTACATGCCAGACTTCAAACAAGACCCCACAGGGGAACAAAAAAATCACACTCAATTCGGGCCAGTAAATCCACAGACACACTAGAGATAATTGTTGCTCAAAGCACTGAGACATTGGTCATTTAATTATGCAGCAATACATAGCCAAAACACCCCTAGCATGATTAATCAAGGAAAAAAAACCCACTTTGCTAGCATTAGAAATTAAAAAAGACATTATTCCTAGGTATTTTATTCTCTTTGAAGCAATTGTGAGTGGGAGTTCACTTATGATTTGGCTATCTGTTTGTCTGTTATTGGTATATAAGAATGCTTGTGATTTTTGCACATTGATTTTGTATCCTGAGACTTTGCTGAAGTTGCTTATCAGTTTAAGGAGATTTCGGGCTGAGACGATGGGGTTTTCTAGATATACAATCATGTCATCTGCAAACAGGGACAATTTGACTTCCTCTTTTCCTAATTGAATACCCTTTATTTCCTTCTCCTGCCTGATTGCCCTGGCCAGAACTTCCAACACTATGTTGAATAGGAGTGGTGAGAGAGGGCATCCCTGTCTTGTGCCAGTTTTCAAAGGGAAAGCTTCCAGTTTTTGCCCATTCAGTATGATATTGGCTGTGGGTTTGTCATAAATAGCTCTAATACGTCCCATCAATACCTCATTTATTGAGAGTTTTTAGCATGAAGGGCTGTTGAATTTTGTTGAAGGCCTTTTCTGCATCTATTGAGATAATCATGTGGCTTTTGTCTTTGGTTCTGTTTATATGCTGGATTACGTTTATTGATTTGCATATGTTGAACCAGCCTTACATCCCAGGGATGAAGCCCACTTGATCATGGTGGATAAGCTTTTTATGTGCTGCTGGATTTGGTTTGCCAGTATTTTATTGAGGATTTTTGCATCGATGTTCATCAGGGATATTGATCTAAAATTCTCTTTTTTTGTTGTATCTCTGCCAGGCTTTGGTATCAGGATGATGCTGGCCTCATAAAGTGAGTTAGGGAGGATTCCCCCTTTTTCTATTGGTTGGAATAGTTTCAGAAGGAATGGTACCAGCTCCTCCTTGTACCTCTGGTAGAATTTGGCTGTGAATCCGTCTGGTCCTGGACTTTTTTTAGTTGGTAAGCTGTTAATTATTGCCTCAATTTCAGAGCCTGTTATTGGTCTATTAAGAGATTCAACTTCTTCCTGGTTTAGTCTTGGGATGTGAAGGAACTCTTCAAGGAGAACTACAAACCACTGTTCAACGAAATAAAAGAGGACACAAACAAATGGAAGAACATTCAATGCTCATGGGTAGGAAGAATCAATATCGTGAAAATGGCCATACTGCCCAAGATAATTTATAGATTCAATGCCATCCCCATCAAGCTACCAATGACTTTCTTCACAGAATTGGAAAAAATTACTTTTAAGTTCATATGGGACCAAAAAAGAGCCCTCATTGCCAAGTCAGTCCTAAGCCAAAAGAACAAAGCTGGAGGCATCATGCTACCTGACTTCAAACTATACTACGAGACTACAGTAACCAAAACAGCGTGGTACTGATACCAAAACAGAGATATAGACCAATGGAACAGAACAGAGCCCTCAGAAATAATACCGCACATCTACAACTATCCGATCTTTGACAAACCTGACAAAAACAAGAAATGGGGAAAGGATTCCCTATTTAACAAGTGGTGCTGGGAAAACTGGCTGGCCATATGTAGAAAGCTGAAACTGGATCCCTTCCTTACACCTTATACAAAAATTAATTCATGATGGATTAAAGACTTACATGTTAGACCTAAAACCATAAAAACCCTAGAAGAAAACCCAGGCAATACCATTCAGGACATAGGCATGGGCAAGGACTTCATGTCTAAAACACCAAAAGCAATGGCAACAAAAGACAAAATTGACAAATGGGATCTAATTAAACTAAAGAGCTTCTGCACAGCAAAAGAAACTACCATCAGAGTGAACAGGCAGCCTACAAAATGGGAGAAAATTTTTGCAATCTACTCATCTGACAAATGGCTAATATCCAGAATCTACAAAGAACTCAAACAAATTTACAAGAAAAAAACAAACAACCCCATCAAAAAGTGGGCAAAGGATATGAACAGACACTCTCAAAAGAAGACATTTATGCAGCCAAAAGACACATGAAAAAGTGCTCATCATCACCGGCCATCAGAGAAATGCAAATCAAAACCACAATGAGATATCATCTCACACCAGTTAGAATGGCGATCATTAAAAAGTCAGGAAACAACAGATGCTGGAGAGGGTGTGGAGAAATAGGAACTCTTTTACACTGTTGGTGGGACTGTAAACTAGTTCAACCACTGTGGAAGTCAGTGTGGCGATTCCTCAGGGATCTAGAACTAGAAATACCATTTGACCCAGCCATCCCATTACTGGGTATATACCCAAAGGAATATAAATCATGCTGCTATAAAGACACATGCAAACATATGTTTGTTGTGGCACTACTCACAATAGCAAAGACTTGGAACCAACCCAAATGTCCAACAATGATAGACTGGATTAAGAAAATGTGGCACATATACACCATGGAATACTATGCAGCCATAAAAATGATAAGTTCATGTCCTTTGTAGGGACATGGATGAAGCTGGAAACCATCATTCTCAGCAAACTATCGCAAGGACAAAAAACCAAGCACCGCATGTTCTCACTCATAGATGGGAATTGAACAATGAGAACACATGGACACAGGAAGGGGAACATCACACACCAGGGCCTGTTGTGGGGTGGGGGGAGTGGGGAGGGATAGCATTAGGAGATATACCTAAAGTAAATGATGAGTTAATGGGTGCAGCTCACCAACATGGCACATGTATACGTATGTAACAAACCTGCACATTGTGCACATGTACCCTAGAACTTAAAGTATATTAAAATATATATATATATTTAAAAAAAGAGAAAAAAAGACATTATTACAAACCCTGCAGATAATAAAAAGAAAATGAAAGGATAGTATAAATATCTTTGTGGTAATAAATTTTCAAATTCAGATGAAATGAACAAATTCCTTGAAAAGCATAGTTTTCTGAATGACCCAACAAAAAACAGAAAAGCCAGGTTAAGTATTGAATAAATTAAATCTACAATTAAAATCCTTCCTACAAAAACAGCTTTCTAGGTCTAGATGGTTTCAAAGACAAATTATTTTAAAAGTTCAGAGAATAAATAATGTCAATCTTAAACTCTTCTAGAAAACAGAAAAAAAAAGAAATATTTGACTGATTTTATAAGGACAAAATACCAAAATCTGGCAAGAATATTAAAAGAAAGGAAAATTACAACCAAGTTATCTTATAACTATGAACACAAAATATCCTAAAGAAAATATTAGCAAATAGAATTCAGTAATATATAAAGGCTTTACCACAATTCAATGGAGAAATAAAAACCTGTCCAATAAATTATACAGAGTCAATTTGATATTGATGTAGGAAAAAAAATAACATTGAATTATACCTCACATATACACTGAAGTTCATTCAAGAGCACTGAGTCTATTAGACCACCAGAAAAGATACCAAATGTCCACTTGAAATGGATCATAAACTTAAATGTAAAAGCTAAAAGAATCAAGTGCCTACGGGAAGCATTAGTAAAGATCGTCATAATTTGGGGCTCAAAATGATTCATGAAGCAGCATATGAAAATCACTCACCATATAACAAAACAATGAAACTAACCTTTATTGCAAATGAGGACTTCTGTTTATATATTCTAAAAGGCTCATATGAAAAATATAAAAAGAACTTCTACAAATCAATAAGAAGTAGGTACAATTTCTGCTTTAAAAAGTGGTTTCAAAAACCTTGAACAGATTTTTCCAAATGAGGATATCAAAATTGTTAATAAACACAAAAGACACTGGGGACTCCAAAAGCAGGGAGAGAAGGAGGGAGAAAGGGGTTGAAAAGCTACCTATTGGGTGCAATGTTCACTATTCAGGTGGTGGGTTCAAAAGAAGCCCAACCCCAGCATTATCAATATGCCCATATAACAAGCTTGCACTTGTACCACCTGATTCTAAAGGAATAAAATAAAATCAGAAAAAAATGTGAATAAACATAAAATAGTGTTCAACATCATTACACATCAGAGAAATGCAAACTAAAACCACAATGAAATACCAATGCACACCCACTTAGAATGGCTACAATTAGAGACTGTCAACAGCAAATGTTGAAAATGATATGGCACAATTGGAACATTGGTGACTGTAAATTGATACAACTCTGGGAGACATTCTTCACAGGTCTCTCATTTCTACATATTTTGTGAGTGAGACTCTAACTGCCCTCTATTCCAAAGGATCTTTTCTGGGATGTGTGTGTAGTAAGCAGCCTTGGAAGTAGCGTCTCCTTCCTGAGCAAAGGGCAGACATGCTTCTTATCCAGCAAAAGAAATCTGGGTTTCCTAAACTATTCAGCTACAAAAGAGAATGAAAAGCTTCCTATGCACTCAAATGGAAAGAGCTCCAGGAAAAATAGTTAAGTGAGAAAAGCAAGGTGCAGAACAGTATGGATAAATGCTACTTGTGTTTAAGAAAGGGAAAATAAGAATATCTTTTTCTATTTGCACTACTTGTACATACAGAGAAACAAAGAATAATCAATAAGAAGTGGTTGCCTTATGGAGAGAAGAGAGCAGATGAGGCAGGGATGGGAATGAGACTTCATGGTATAATGCATTTTGCAGCATTATTACAATCTTCAAACCATATGAATGTGTTACCTACTCAATAAATTAAGTTTTTAAAAGTAGCACTGGCTTTGATTACTGTCTGTATAAAAGATAAAATAAAATTAGATTTTTATCTCATATCATACCCCCAAATAAAATAAAATCTGTAGAAAGCCAACTTTAAACTTTGAAAGGAAATATAGCAGAGCATTTTTATAATACAGCAGGGATTTCTTGAAAATATATAGAAACAAATCAAATATGAAGGAAAAATTACATGAAATTAAAACATATGTAAATAAAAAGACACCATAAATAAACTGAAAAGAAAACCACAGACTGTGAGATGATATTTGTAATGTGAATAAACTACAAAATAGTCTTACACAGAGTTCTTAAAGACCTAATTCAAACCAATAAGAAATAGACAAACAACCCAAGAGAAAAACAGGCAAAATATGAACAAACAATTTAGAAAAAAAAAGAAACTTGCATGACCAATGAACATATGGAGAAAAAGATGATAGTGGTGAAGTGGAAAGTGCAAGATAAAACAAAAATGAGTCACATAAGATGCCTATAAGGTAAAAATCAAAACTGTGATGACTGAAAATATTGATTAAGATGTGAAAAATGGAATTCTTACACTTTGTAAAATGGTACAAACTGTTTTGGGCAACTTAACACATCTAGCAAAGTTGAAGTTACACATAACTTATAGCCCGGCAATTCTATTTCTGTGGGTCTAACGTAGAATAATTCTCAGCGGGGTGTTAAAGAGACCCCTCTACTCCAAAAATATATATATTTAAAAAAAACTATAACCCAGTATGCTATGGGAATGAATAAACTGTGGTCTATTCATTCAACAAAACATTGCTCAACAGTTAAATAAATGTACAAGTATCAACATGGATTAATCTTAAACACATTTTTGGACCAGAAAAGAAGCAGCAAGTTGCAAAAGGCCACGTAAGACATGATATTGTTTAAGTGAAAATTGCAAACATATTAGTTTGCATGAAAGCCATATGGGCACATAAATGTGTAATAAATATAGCAAATCAGAAGGAGACTTAATACACGCCAACTTCTTTGAGTAGCTGCTGTTGGGGTAAAGCAATCCAATAAGATTTATTCACCCATTTAACAAAAATGAAGTATTTGTTCTAGGTATGGGGGATGCGGTGGTAAACAGGACAAACTCATAAAGCTTTATTCCAGGGCAGTAGATGTGGGTGAGACAGATGGTAAACTAATGAATGTATAATGTGAAGCTGGTTGTCCATGAGGACAGTGGAAGGCTGAGCAGCAGGGGAGGCGGCAGAGGAGGTCCTTCGAAGCTCTCTGGGAGCACAAGCCTCTGAGCAGGGATCTGGGTGAGGGGAGCAAGGGGCTCTGTGAAGACCCAGGGACCAGATTCCAGGCAGAAGCCCTCAGAGCAGAAGTGGGATTGAAGGGCTCCAAGAGCAGAATAAAGACCAGTGTAGCCAGACTGGGGAGAGGGGAGGCCCCATCTCACATGGGTTGCTTCTGAATGTGATGTGGGGCAGTGGCCTGCTATGATGGTCTTTTAAAAAGCACTAGAACTGTTGAATGAAATCCTGATGCCAGGAGGGCCAGGGTGGAATTGGGGAGCCCACTGAGGCTGTGGCAGGAGTCTGGGAAGAGTCTGAGAGGGGTGATGAGGCAGGGAGGTGGCAGATTTGGGAGAAACGTAGGAGGCAGAGATACAAGGACCAGCAGAAGGGAACAGAGGAGCAAGGAGAGACCTGCTTACAGCTGAGCCATCGGGGAGAGCTGGTGCCTTCTGCTGAAGTAGGATGAACATGTCTTGGGGGGAAATCAAGACTTCTGCTTTTTAAAGTTAAGTGATCAGGGGTGGGTGGCAGAGTCTCGACCTAATCTGAAACGTTTGATTTCTTCACTAAAAATTAGGCAAATAGGGTGAAATATTAAAATGTGTTAATAATCTCAGCTGTGGGAACATGGGTATCAGAAACTCTAGTATGTTAGGAATATTTCATGTTTAACAAAAAGAATGGCTAACACCAGAACAATTATACCCTATCAATGACCAGCTGACTTTGTCTTATAGCTACATAAACTACACCTGTCCATAGGTGCATTAATTGTAATGCTTTTTCTATTGAGGTAGGAGGAGGAGGAAAAAAGGAAGAGAAGGGGAGAGGAGGACCAAGAAGAGGAGAAGAGAGGGTGGGAGCAAGAGGAGGAGGGGGGAGAGGAGGAAGAGGAGGAGGAAGAAGGGGAGGAGCAAGAGAAGGACCAAGAGGAGATGGAGGAAAAGGAGGAGGAGAGGGAGGAGCAAGAGAAGGATGGAGAGGAGAAGGAGGAAGAGGAGGAGAGGGTGAAGAAAGAGGAGGAGGAGAGGAAGAAGAGGAGGAGATGGAGGAGGAAGAAGAGTGCCAGCCTGATATTGTTTAAGTGATATTTTCACTTAAACAATATCATGTCTTACGTGACCTTTTGCAACTTGCTGCTTCTTTTCTGGTGTCCTGGAGTCAGCAGTCTGAAGCCACCGCTAAGTGGATTAAAGCTGATAGGCAGCAACTCTACATGTGCTTCTCAGTGCTAATGGGCAAGCTTTATCACTGAACCTTCCTACATTCCCATGTCAGAAATCACAACGCCACATAGCCCTCTGCTCATGGCGCCTGCAGATTCCTTATGGAAGTGCTCATAACCCTTGTCTGTAAAACCACACTTGGTTTACTTTCATATTCACGAAGAGGAAGGTTGTGTAACAAACATAAGGTTAAATGTGTGCAGTGCCTATGTTTTGAGTTCAGTGTACTTGGGCAAGCTACTCGACCTCTGCATGCTCCAGCCTTCTCATCTGGAGCGGCAGTGCCGATCTTGTAGGCTTATGATTAGAATGGGTGCACCTAAAGCTTTCAACATCGTGCCAGTCACAAAGTGAGCATTCAGTAAAAGTCAGCCACCACTACTATCATTAATGAAACTGCACTCATTACAGGCTTCTTGTAGCCAACAACAGGCTTAATAAAACAGAAGAATTATGAGGTAATAGGACCAAAGCATGCCACAAAGATCCCTGGAGAAAATAGATCACGTGTGACCATATCACAATATTTCCACAGCAGAAGGGGCCTGAACTTGGATTCTTGCTTTGGCTCCGTCCACTCTGCGCTCTTGAAAAAGTCACTAGAGAGTTCCCTGAATCAGCTGTTTCATCTGAAAAGGAAGATACTATCTCTCCCATCTCTTCTCGAGGCTACGCGGATG
Source organism: Homo sapiens (assembly GCF_000001405.40). Classification (NCBI taxonomy): domain Eukaryota; kingdom Metazoa; phylum Chordata; class Mammalia; order Primates; family Hominidae; genus Homo; species Homo sapiens. Next base: position 73,828,595 of record NC_000018.10, read on the forward strand.
AAGAGATCATGGCTTTTACAGCTTTAGCGGAGCGAGTGAGAGATCAGGATTGACTGTCTCTGCTGTGGGAAGGCTTCTGAGTTTGCCGTGGAACATGGACAATTGTACCAGAAGGGCCTCAGGAGCCCTCCACAGCCAGGGGATCTCAGCCCTGAAGTGGGGTCAGCAGCCCAGGTTCAATTCCTTTTCTCCCACTGAAATCCCAAAGTAAGATTACAAGATCCCTTAGCTTCTCCTATCTCCCCAACTCCCTGTGTCTTCTGTCTCTCTCTCCCTCTCCCCACCGCCCCCTGCAAAATAAACATATAATTCTCAATGTTAGTGCCGATACTACAAGAAACCTGCAGCCACCTCTGTGATACGACATGAGCCAAATCTTTATAAATATGAGATTTGGGGTAACTTATTAAGTATTTCTAAAATCTGTTTCTTCCCCAAAATGGGAAAAGTGAAACTTAATGTATAGAACAGTTGGACATCTTAAATATACTAGTTGGGTGGAACATCTCGTGTTGCGCTGAATGTATAAAATGCTTAAGAAATGTTTGTTCCCTTCTCCTGAAAGACCACCTAAATACTCCTCTAAAGTCTCACACCATATTCTCTAATCAGGGATTCATCTTTTCTTTAGGTTGGGTAACACATCTCTGAGAATACCTCATTAAAACCACAATGAACACCAGTATACACCCACTGGGATAGCCAAATTAAAGAGAACGCACCACCGCCGAGTGCTGACAGCGACATGAAGCAACCGGAACACTGGTAAGTGTGAACTGACAGAACCGTTGAGAGATTCTTCTCGAGAGAAGCAGAAGCCAATAGCTGCATTTGCCCTCTTCACCTTCACCCTGTTCCTCAAATTACTTTCTATTATAGTTTTTGCAAGCTGCTGGGAGCCAAAGCTGAAGAAAATAAGGTTTGATGCTTTTATGATGGGAGAAACAGGTGCTTTAAGATTGAGCAAAAATGCTCAGATCACACAGAGACCTCAAAACTGCAAATGGGAAAAAGCTGGGGTTAAAGACCTGAATGATGCCTCTGCTGCCTAAATGGGGAAAACATTAGCAGGTACAGGTCTGGGCACTGGCGTCAAAATGGAGGCGATGGTGAAGACTCTCACCGGCTTGTGGCCCGCACTTTCTGGTCGTGTCCTCACACGGCCTTTCCTCTGTAAGCATGGAGAAGGAGCTCTGGTGTCTCTTCCTCTTCTTAGAAGGACATCAGTGCTATGGGATTAGGGCCCCAGCCTTGTGACCTCATTGAACCTTCTTATAAAGACGTCAGCCCTAGGGGACTAGGGCCCCAGCCTGTGACCTCCTTGAATCTTCTTATAAGAATGTCAGCACTATGGAATTAGGGCCCCAGCATTGTGACCTTGTTGAAACTTCTTATAAGGATGTCAGCCCTATGTGATTAGGGCCCCAGCCTCATGACCTCATTGAACCTTCCTTGTCCTCTTGAGGGCCGTATCTCCAAATACGACTGCATTGGGGGTTAGGACATTAGCATATGAATAACGCTGGGGGGACACCATTGAGTATACAACAGAGAGATGTATTGAAAATGCAGCAAGAGAGAAAAACAAAAATGGAGTGACTGCCAGAGCCTCCAGACCCTCACACTAGACTGTAATTGTTTGAAATTGTGAGAATCCAAGGGAAGATAGTGTCTTTGGGTGCTCCAGCTGCTTCCACACAAGCAAAGCTCAAGACCAGGGCCTGCATGCTGGAAGTCTGTGTTTGGAAGTGACCTCAGGAAACAGGAGAGGGAAACTGGCAAGCATGAAACAGAAAACGAGTGAAAGGAATTGAAATCTGCAGTACTGAGCTGGTCACGACAGCGGACATCTGGGCTCAGTCCCATTGGGTCCCTCTGTAGAATGTGCCTACAAGAAGGGACCGTTTCTCCATGGGCTTCAAGTCCCCACTGGCGAGGGGTTACACTATAGTGTGGTCATTCCCCTGCAATTCCAAGTTTGCTCAAGTGTTTCGTGCCTTGCAGTCAGAGAGCACCTGGAGCAGAGAGAAACACACAGCACAGCTGAGCTGAGGAGCTCTCGGGTTATGTCTGAGGAGGCTGGTGATTGCAAAAATGACAGGGGTAAAGGGTGGACCGGGAGTGTCAGGCACAGGTGGTATCTGACACAGTTCACAGCGTGTCCTACTCAGATCCAGACAATGTTCAACACAAGGGCCTCAAGTTTGCAGTTGGTCGCATTCTCTAAAAAGACCAAATGTAGGAGGGTTAGGGTTAGACAAACTATAGTGCCCACGGCTGTCCCAGGCCCCGGGCTATCTCCTACCCCACCCCATCTTCTGTATCCCTTCATACCAGGCCAGCACTTTGGCAGACTGCGTTACTTCCTTTGTATGGTGACCCAGGCCCTCATCCCCAAGGGGCCTGAGTGCTTGGTTGCTGAGCCCTTATCAGGCCATGGTTGCTACCTTTTGCCATTTACAGTCATGATCAAACTGGAAGTATCAAGAGATAGGTGCCCGACCAGCCCTTCCCCCCTGCATTGCACAACTGCAATCCTGGCAGCAGTGGTCAGCAGAGTGGGCCATGGCCCCCAAACTTGGAACTAACACCAGCATGAGGACCTCAAAATGACCAAGTGGTGTTTACTTTTTCAAGTTCACAAGACCCTTCAATGTGTCCTGGGCAGAGCATTTCTCCCCATCCCACTGCTTCTCCAAGAACAAGGACTTTTATTCCAAGACACCCTAAGCTGGAGTTGGAGGACAAATTCCACCAGTGGGTCACAGGTCCTGAACTCATGTATTCCTGCTACTGGGACATGGCCATTTAGGGCCTATACCACCTACAGGAAGCAGCTCTCCAAACCACAGGGCCTCAGGGCTGAGTACCCTTGAAGGTAAACCTTTAATCGGCCATCCCCGCATTCTGCTTAGAAGGGATGCAGTGCGTGATAAAAGCTTAGGGCACAGCTGCTTGGTACACCAAGTGGTCAAACACCCTCTTGGCATTGCCTTGACCTCAACATGGGTCCTTTGGTCAGAAGCAACACTGTGTGGGATCTATGCTGGTGGGTGAGGCATCCTTCATGCCATTTGATGAGGGTGCTGGCAGAGACAGAAGGCAGGGTAAGAAAATGACAGTTACCTCAACTGGGTAAAGGGGATCTCCTGCACACTCCGGTGCCAGTGGATGGCTGGTGGTCGAGAGAAGGTGCCGTGTCAGGCTTTGCTGATGACAGTGCGGTCTCACAGCCGTGGTGCTCACTGAATTGATGACAGGCTGGTCTTCTAGCCATGGTGCTAGCTGAATCAGCCATGGTGACAGGGAGCCTGTACTTCCGGCCACTGCCTAGCCTCTGTGCCCATCACCTTGGCCACTCCATCCATGGGTCCACTGCTCAAGCACTGGGAGCCCAGAACAGAGGCTGGTGACACCCACAGGACACTCACCCTGCACAATAAGCACTGGGCCACCATAGCCCTCTCTGGCAGCTTTAGCATTTCATGAAGATGCTCACGTGTTCCCGCTACCATGACCTCTCACCTGCCTCTTCCCCAAACTTCTCTGTGTCCACTCTCCCCTTCTGGGCCCCTCCCAAAGAGCCAAGGCATTCTGCACAGGCCAGACATCCACGTGCAGAGCCATGCCTCAAGCATTTTCACTATCTTCAAAGTGAATGACCAAGATCACCTTGCTACTGCCCACTGGGATGGGTTCCCCTCGTCACTTTCCTTTGGAGGCTCCTGAGCCAGGCTGGAGTGTGGTGGTGGCACTGCATTTTTTTCTGCCAATCATGTGTCATGCCCACCCATCTGGGAACCAAACTGGAATCTTTCCTCCTCTGTATATGGTCATGGGAAACCCCCGTGTGGTGACAGCTCTAAGTTGAAGTGCTGGTATTACAGAGGTAAAGAGTGAGAAGGCTGAGCTACATGCTCATGCAACTGACAGGACTTCCAGACCTCTCAGAGTGACCCCAAGTGATCTCCAGTGAACCATGTTCAGTGTAGGGTGGTTTGATGGTACACCTGCCAGACCTGATGACTGAACGAATCCAATAATACCTACAACATGATGTGATGGGCACCTCCTGATGGAATGGAGCTGATAATACCCAGACTGTGATGGGTACCTCCTGGCCAGGTGGAAATGATAATACCCAGACTGTGATGGGCACCTCCTGATGGAATGGAACTGATAATACCCAGACTGTGATGGGCACCTCCTGGCCAGGTGGAGCTGATAATACCCATATTGTGATGGGCACCTCCTGATGGAATGGAGCTGATAATACCCAGATTGTGATGTGCACCTCCTGCTGGAATGGAGCTGATGATACCCAGACTGTGATGGGCACCTCCTGATGGAATGGAGCTGATGATACCCAGATTGTGACGGGCACCTCCTGATGGAATGGAGCTGATAATACCCAGATTGTCATGGGCGCCTCCAGACATATTTAGGGCCCAGCTGCTCTGGGCTTTTCAAATGGTAAGTAAGGTTCTCTGCTACCCAAGGTAATGACTTGCTCCAGAATTCTAGGGGTCTGCCCTGACTCTTGTACTGGGGGCTTGGCAGACTTCTACTGAGCACCCTTATCCACCAGAGATGCCTCCAGACCCATCAGACTTGCTGAGTCATACACTGTGATCAACAGAGCAATTTCCACTGCGGCAGGACCTGCTGCATAGCTCTATTTTGTTCTGGGAATCTTTCAAAACTGGAAGCATTTGGGTTACTAGATTAATAGGTTGAAGCAATACTCTGCTTCCAAATGCCAAAGAGCCTTCTCAAGCAAGGGGACTCTTAATAGTAGGGAAGGGGAATGCAAGAACTTGCCATTTATCTGAAAGAGGATGAGACGGTATGCTCCAAACCACTGGCACCTAAACCTTCACCGGTGTGGCAAACACAAATCACAGTCTGACTCTTCATGGGGTGTGTATTCCACCTCATGGCATTTGTGTGCACTTGGGGTATTCCAGGGTTTTTAAAGACACCAGTGCCTAACCCTCCCACCAGGCTTTCCTTATTGTTTTATCAAAGGGAGTGTCCTCTGAGCTTTCCCAAGGAACATAACTCTGGTGATAGAATTTCTGCTCTCCCACATCTCTGCCACTCTGTGCCTTCTGATCCTTCTTATCACTATGCCAAGGCAGTTTGAGACTCCCTGGCTCACTTACTGTAGTGCATCCTTGGGACTGGGTTTTGAGGGGCTTCTGGTATAACAGCACCCCCAGACCTGTTCCCAGTGTCCCTGCAAAGATGCTGAAGCACAAGTCAAGCTACAGTGCTCTCATGTCCATCGGTTCTCTCCTCCCTGCCTTATTTTCTTCCCATAATCCTGCAACACCCTCAAGATTTCCTCCCACACATGTTCCTATGGTTCTCGGTGGTACAGCCATGCCATGCAATGCTTTGAGTGGTTACTGTTTTCCTGGTGCAGAAACTGATTTCCTCACTTCTACATCATGACCTTGGATGCAGGGCTTGGATACTGGGCTATTGGCAATGTGGGAGGTAGAGCCGATCTTAAGGACGGCAAGCCCCTCACACACCTGCCTCAAGTAATGTCCTGCAAGGTCTCCAGGTAAGTGGAGTAGGAGGTAGCTGTTTCTGCTGGGACAGAAACACCTCATGGGCACGTGTTTGATCTGGTCCCTGATGTGGACAGCATGGGTTCATTCCCACTGGGTCCTTCTAAAGAATAATATGCCTCAGAATTTTCCAGAAAAGGAGAGCATCTTCTCACCAGCCCATATTCTATTTGTGAACTGTGCCACATGAGGTGTGGACTTAGGAGGGCTTAGGAGACCATAAGGCTTTAAGATTGTCACCCACTCAAATATTCCAATCCCAAGTCTCAGAATACCGCTTTATTTTTTCCTATCAGGAAGCGAACTTTGACATGGGAATGAGTTCAGTCTCCTTTACCATTAAATCCTGAGTCTGGTTTTCAGCAGAGTCGGCCGTGCAGCCCAGGTGATAAAGGTCTCCAGGGGTTCTTAATTTTGTCTCAACATTGAAATTACATGAGGGCCTTTAAAAAGCTGTTGCTTGGGTCACACTTCTAGACGTTTTGAATTAATTGGTCAGGGATATCACTTGGACCTCAGATTATGTGACTCTAATGTGAAACCAAAGATGAGAATGAATGTTTTTAACACTGCCTTAGAAGCCCTCTGATTGTCATAGTCAGCTTTCCATTGATGATTATCTAACCTGAGCCTGTCATTTTTCTCCAGGCTACTCAAGAGCCATTAACAAAAGCCAGGCAGCTTCACAACCCCTGCAGTTACCATCACTCCGCCGCCTTCCCAGGGTCACTGGCTCAGGGTAACCAAAGTTTGATCTTGCACCTGCACCTCTCCGGCACCACCACCAGTGGAAGGTCTAAACCACTGGGAAACCCTGAATAACAAGGGCTCTTACACCCCAACTGTCCACAGCAATAAGGCCCTTGTCTCCGTCATCCCAGTGAGTGATTGGTTCTGGCACAACACCCTGAGGGCCACTTTTTCCTCATCTTTTCCAGAAAGCAAAGCAAGAGACAAACCTTGGTGCAGAAACTTTTATGACATGTGATCTCAGGAACAAAAGTGGGGACTGGGAAGAATAGTACAGGGAAAAAGGGAGAAGACACACAAAGGCACGTGTTCGAGCTGGTCCCTCATGTGGAAAGCATGGGCTCAATCCCCCTGGGGCCTTCTAGAGAATAATGTGCCTCAGAATTTTCCAGAGAAGGGGAGCACCTTCTCACCAGCACAGATTCCATTTGTGAACTGTGCCCCCAAGGTGTGCACCCTCACACTGCCAGGTTTACAGGTGAGTCCAGGTGGGAGCCCCTCACACCACAGGGTTTACAGGTGAGTCCAAGTGGGAACCCCCCCCAACCCCTGCAGGACTGCAGATGAACCCCAAGCCTTAATATTCCATAAGTCCTGGAATAGAAAGAAAGACATATTTTATAAACCATGTGAAATGCAATCAGGTTATAGCTGTGTGAACTAGTTTGCAGAGAGATGAAAAGAGTAAAAGGTGGGCAGGAAGGGTGTAAGGAGGGCACATGCAGTGGAATACCAAAGTCATGAAGATTAGAAAGAGGAAACCAAAGAAAGGCCACCCATCACTTTCCAGCAGCACCCCATTTTGCTCATGGAAGGCCATTTCGTGGAGTTGGATCTCATAGCCTGTTAGGATGTTCCAGGAACACTGGACTCCCTTGTTCCTAATTCCTTGCTTGCCAACTAATCATCTGAACATAGCTAGGCTTCCCTATGACTCAGCTTCAGGAGTATGTCCCAGAGAAGATGTCATTTTCCTGTCCCTGTGGCAATTATAGCCTTCATTATAAATTAATTAGGGTAATAGGATTTGATACATAAGGCTCTTATCAACTATGAGACCGAGTCAGCAGTCCAGAGGCTGATACAAAAATGCAATTGAGTTTTGAGACTGAAATACTTTTGTTGTAGGTAGGGAGAGTAGCAGAAAAAAAAACTTTAAAGGGCCGAGTTCCTAAGGTTCTAATGAGTGGGAGCAGACGGTCAGTAAATTGCACCGCTATTCGACTTTATTCATGCCCGTGGACTGCGGAATCCTGGAATACCATAAATTACAAAATCTATATATAGTGACTCATTTTGTCACTAGCTAAAGTCTCCTCTGACCTCTGAAGGCCAGACCCAAGAGGCAGCATTGTGTGTGTGTGTGTGTGTGTGTTAAGAACACTTAACATGGGATCTACTCTCTTAACAAAAATTTAAGTGCACAAATGCTTTAAGGCACAGTGTTGTACAGCAGATCTCTAGAACGTATTCATCTTGTGTAACTAGAACTTTACACCTATTGAATAGCAACTCCCCAGTACTGCCTTCTTGAAGCCCCTGCCAACCACCCTTCTACTCCCTGTTTCTGGGAGTCTGATATTTTAGACACCTAACGTAAGTGAAACCACACAGTCATTGCCCTTCTGTGACTGGCTCACTTCACTTAGCATAATGTCCTCAAGGTTGTCAAACATGGCAGGATTTTTTTGAGGTTGGATAACATTCCATTATGTTTACAGAGCATATTTTCCTTATCCATATTCCCTTGTTGATGGACACTTTGCTTGTTTCCATATCTTGGCTATTTTGAATAATGCTGCAGTGAACATGGAAGTGTTGCTATCTCTTTGAGATCCAAATTTTAATTCTTTTGGATACATATCCAGAAGTGGGATTGCTGGAGCATAAGGTAGTTCTGATTTTAGTTTGTTGGGAACCTCCATACTGTCTTCCATCGTGGCTGTGCCATTTTACTTTCCCACCCATAGTGTACAAAAAGGATTCCAGTTTCTCCACATCCTTGTCTATACTTATATATATATTTTTTGATAATAGCTATTCTAACGATGTGTGAGGGGATATTTCATGGTGGTTTTGATTTCCCTAATGATCGGTGACATTAAGCACTCTTTCATAGACAGGTTGGCCATGTGTATGTCTTCTTTGCATAAATGTCTATTCGAGTCCTGGGCCTATTTTTTAATCTGGTCATTTGGGCTTTTTATATTGAGTTAGGTTTTAACCCTTTATCAGATGTATTGTTTGCAAATATTTCCTCTCATTCCATAGGTTGCTTTTCACTGTGTTGTTTCCTTTGCCGTGCAGAAGCTTTTTAGTTCAATGCAGCCTCATTTTGCCTTTGTTGCCTATGCTTTTGAAGTCATAGCCAAGAAATGATTGCCAGGAGCAGTATGATGAAGCTTCTTCCCTATGTTTTATCCTAGGAGTTTTACAGTTTCATGTCTTATGCTTAAGTTTGGAATCCATTTTAAGTCAATTTTTTTGTGATTTTTGCATGTGGATATCTGTTTTTTCCAGTACCATTTGTTGAAGACTGATGAGAGTGCTTGAAAGTTAGTAAAGCGACCTCTCCTTGCCTGCATGTGAATCTTTTAATCAGTATGTTTATACCCTGAAGATGTACAAAAATAAAAGTAAGAAGTAGTCAAGACTTACCATGTGCAAAATACACATAAAAGAAGGAAGAGAAACTCAAGAGCAGAGGAGAACAAAGAAAAACACATGCAATTAGGTGAACAGGTGAGTGTGGACAACAGAATGTTGGGGAGTCAGATTCTTCTTTATCTTTCCAGTTCCAATGCCTTAGTGCACCTGCCTTAGGGGTATGACTGTAATTCATATAATAGCCACGAAGTTTCAGATCCCCTTGCTCCCTGTGGTCAGGGTTCCTCCAGTTTCCACCATTAAAGAGTGACCAGTATGTGGGGATCTGATTTCCCAAGATCAGATCCTGGATTAAGGATCCTTGGTAAGTGCGGCTGCTCTGTCACTATTATGGAAAAAGTTCCATTTGCCAGGAAAATAACCATGCCCCTTTGCCATTTACAAGCATCTTACACTTTGGGGTGTTTTGGTATAGAAGGCTATTTAATCAAGCACTTCTGTTGCATTTAGGATGTGAAGTAATAAACAACAACTGTGATTATTTAACTGCTGTAGTGGAACTGAATCAGTTTAATTAATCACAAAAGACATTTCCTGCAAGTAAGCCTCAAAAGCAAAGAGATTATTGTGATTATACAAAATAGGGGAAACCAGAGATTGTTGCTATTAACTTCTTTGGGAGTGGTTTGAAAGCCCTAGTTATTTAATGTGCATATTTCAGGAATATACTAAAGGCAATCAGTGATGTAAAGCTGGTAGTGATGAGTGCAGATCATAAGACTTTTCATCAGGGTAGAGATTTTCTTACTCTTACTCCATAATTCAAAATCAAGAGTAGAGATGAGTCATCCTGGGGAGCATCTTGAGAAAATGCTGATGGTTTGGTAAACTGATGGAGAATGAGGACAAGGGAAAAGAGAATCTCTCACTGTCAAGGTATTATTTAGGAAAGTATCTCATAGGAAGACAGCATGAGACTGGCCTTAGAGGTAGAATTCACAGATAAACTTGAATTTTGGGGAAAAAAAGCAGTTATCTGTTGTTTATCTGAATTTATCAGATTTAACCTGGTGTCCTGTATTTTTATTTATTTATTTTTTTGTCATACCTGAAAACCCTACTTAGAGGTCACTGCATCTAACTGAATGACTACATTTACTGAAAGAGTTTATATAATGCTTATTTCAGCAAGTTCCAGAAATAGCACCTGTCACAAAACAACAAGCAGAGAAATATCCCATGTCCCTGATGAAGTAAGCGAAGGGACCCCACTCAAGTTACCTAACCATCTAGTGTCTCTCTTGGTGGGAACATCTTATAGTTAGGGTAAGTAGGCAATCTCCTGAGTTGAGAGGCATGAGAGATGTTTTCTTCCTATTCCTGGACTTCATACTCTAACTTCCATAAATGCAACCATAATTGCAAAAAGTTACACCTAGAGAATCTGGCCACATACCCCATAAGAGAAAAGCAGGGAAATCACAAAAAAGAACTCAAGGCCTCCTGGTGCAGCTCATAGGCTGAGAAAAAGAAAGAAAGTTGGGTGCAAGGAGAAAAGTAATGCACCTCCATGATATCAGCAAAAGAAAGATCAGGCTGCAGAAAGTGCAGAAGAAAACGCTCTCCGTGAAGGTAGAATGAACAGTCTGCTGCAGAACAATGTAGAGGGAACATGGATCCCCCTCTCCCTTCAGTCTCCTAAGAAAAGAGAGTTGGAGGATAACGATGAGTCTCTGTGTCTCTCTCCCATCTTTCCAGGGAGACCCTAGGACTCCCAATGTGGGAGTCACAATCAGTCCGGTGATCATGGTTATGAACCACTGAGATGTCTACCAGGTTAAGTGAAGGAAAGCAATGCAGCCAAAGCACCAAAAGTGAATGTTGGGGCCCCAACTACGAAACCTCACTACATGATCAGGGAATTGGTGAAGGTATTTGGAGACAGTCTACCAGAACTCATGATGAAAGCCAGTGGCGGCTGATGTTTACGCTGGTTTAATTTAATCAACTTCTGCTCCAGGAAATTGCTCAACAAACGTTGCAAATAGACTCTTTGCCATAAAACCCCAGTACTTGTTAAGGAATCCTGTAGCCACTGAACTCAAACCCAGCCCCTCTCTGACACTCTACAAGCAATACCAGGTCTCCTTCTGGCACGCTCTTTGCAGCCTGGAGAATCCAAATATTGCTGAGCATCCTGGACTGGAGACTGGACCACCTATCCCCACTGCCCCCACCCTTTCCTTGCCCTGGTAGGGCCAGGTGCCCAGTGGTGCTGGATGGGTGAAACAACTAGTCTTAATACAGTCACAGCAGGGTGGGGGAAGGGAAATATAAATTATCTAAAGATAGATAGCTAAGTTTTATTTATTTGATGAAAGAAAAACATAAAATGTGCCTATAGGTGAAAGTATAACAAATGACCAATACTCTGGACCTTATATAGAAAAAGGCAGGACAGTTGGCAGCTAGGTTTCTTGAGCCTTGACTTGCAATTTATCAAAAGGATCATTCTTGACAAGTCTGGGATCCTTTGGCCCTCTCCACTCCCTAGAAAGGTGTTGCTATAGCCCTGGCCACTATTAAATGAGGTGCACTCTCCCTTCTTCTGCATGTGCTGGTGAATGCCACACATCCAGGAAGACCAGGCTCCTTGGACCACACCAACTAGAAGTGAGGTCTCCACAACCCGTGCAGGTCAACATAGCTGACCAGCTGGCATGGCCCACTAGAGACACACTATCTCGAACCTGCTAGATGCAAATTGCTAGGTGCATAAATCTGTTAGGCCAGAGATGCTTGGGACAGTTGCCGCATCTGTGCAGCAGATTTGGGGAAAATTAGGACAGAAGTAACCCTAAGAAATGATTGCAGCAATTGCAGTAGCATTAAAATGCTGAGTGCACTGCACAGCCTTCCCTTCCTTCTGAATGTGGTCATTATGTAACTAATGGTCTAATTAGGAGAGTCATGTAAGCCCAGCATTGTGCCCTCCTGGCGGCAAGCACTGTGGATTTCCAAAGCCATGGCTTTCGGAGGCTATCTCTGTTTTAATGCAGAGAAAGAGTAGCACAGAGTTGAGGCAGAGAAGTCAGAGGGGAGCTCAGAGCATCAGATGCATTTCAGTGACAATCCCTGTAACCTTGAAAGAGTCAGCAAATCCCTGTGTCCCTCACACCAGATTGCAGCAGGGCCTTGAGTCAATAAGCTATGAAGTTAGCGATGCGTCCTCCTGGGAAGGTGGCGAGCGAGGCATCCATCATGTTCCCTCTTTCAGCCTGTTCCAAGGAGAGAGCCTCTGAGAGCCGTGGAAACCATTTCCCGGGCCCATTAGGCTCTGGCCCTGTGGTGCAGTAGCAGCTGTCACCTCGTGCCAGCCAAGGCTCACCAAGTGGAGGCCGAGGGAAAGGTGGGTGCACAAATACCTGCCAGGAAGAGAAGCAGGACTCTGCCTGGGAATGCAAGGGGACAAAGCAGCTTCTCTGCTCTGCGATATAAAAGAGCTTAAACTCAGCTTCTCAGGGTTTCTGCAGGACATCGCAGAGGTTCACACATCATTCAGTGAGGCTCAGGACATTCCTGTGGTGTTTAGACAGTAACCTGCAGATGGAACCCACTTTGTTTTAAAAAAATACATATTCACGGATTTTTTTTAAAAAAGAAGAAGTCACTGGCAAGGAAAACATACAAAATCAAGAGGAAAAGCATATTTTATGTTTTCTCTTTGGCCCCATTTCTTGGAGATAACAGTTACCACTTTTGTGTGTTTTTCCAAGTTTTTCTATGCTGCTCAAGCACACACACATACACAAACACATATCTATCTATCTATCTATCTATCTATCTATCTATATATAGATATAATTGATAAATCCTTTTTATGCAAATGACACCACATCGTAAATACTATTCTGGTTAGAAAGAATGAATAAGACCTACTATTTGATAGCACAATGGGGTGACTATAGTCAATAATAACTGTACATTATAAAATAAAGGGTGTAATTTGATTGTTTGCAACTCAATGGATAAATGCTTGAAAGAGTAGATGACCCATTCTTCACGATGTGCCTGTTCACATTGCATTCCTGTATTGAAACGTCTCATGTACATCATAAATATATACACCTACTATACACTCACAAAAATTAAAAGTAAAAATAAATGAATACTATTCTGCAATTTTTTCAGTTAATATTTCTTGAACGTTGTTCAAGATGTATCACTGTATGGACAATATACCAGTAAATATAAATAAACAGAATTGATCTGTTTGAATTACTGCACTATTTTGCATTATTATGGATACACTCACAGAACCAGTCCCCTAGTGGTGAACAATCAGGTTGTTTATAGGCTTCCTTTTTATTGCAAACAATGCTGTAATTAAAAAAAAATCTTCACATATATACTGCTAACTATTTGTGCAAGCATGTGTGCTGGTTAAATTCCTAGTCCTGGAATTACTAGATTAAAGGAGATATGTATTTTAAATGTTGTACTATTGGACAAACTGCTGTCCACAGAGGTCACACCTATTCTTGCCTACACTTCTGATGCTGATTGAGCTCCCTGTTTAAGGGATGGCTCTTCCGCAGTGAATGCAAAAGGTCTATATCAATAAAATGTAAAATAAAAGCATTGAGAAAGCTCACAAACAAACCTATTCTAACCAGTAATGCTTGGCTAAGTACCTGATTTAAAGCTTAGATCAGTCAAGCTCTTAACAGAAGTAATCCAAATAAAAATGTGACAGTTTGCAAGTAGAGCTGGGGAAGGAGAAGGAGCCTGTGGAGAAGGTTCCTGTAGTTAAATTTCACAGTGTGTGTTCCACTGGGCTCCTGGTGAAATTTTATGTTTTATCTTTCAGTGGTTGTATGCCACCGGCTAGGTGGCTCAATCATTTTACACCAGTAAAGATACTTATTTAACAGGAGAACAATGCTATACACTCAATATGTACTGAGCATCACAAATATTCTCAGGCCTTTCATTGCTTCCATTACCAGGGAGATAATATCTAGCATAAAAAGTTTTTACAATCTTAAGTTTAAAACCAGACAGGATAGAGACCTCATGGGGAAGGTTGTTTCCTACAGGTGAATGAAGACAATACAGAGTGCTTTGGGGTTTTTATTCTTTCATTCTCTTTTGTAACTTTTTTATTTGCCCTTAGAAAAGCAGGAACTGCTCTAAACTAAAAAATAAAATGAAACTCATGCCTACATTTGAATCAAATCTCTCCCTCCCTAATGTTTAACTAGAAACATAATTGATTTTGTGCTGAACAGATAGGAGGTTGTCAAGCTGATATTTCATTCCCAAGATCTCTATCAAAGTTGTCCAAAAAAAGCAAACAGTCATTATTTATCCCCAAACCCATTAAGCGACCCCATTATTTATTTCCTCGGCCATTTACGAAGCTGCATGCGCATGCTTTCTTCAGCTGCACCACCTAGCGGGTCACGCAAGCAATTGCAGCCCGGGTTGTTCTCTGGAGCCAGTCTCCACAGCAGGAAAAGAAAACTTTATCAGTGTTATAATTAACCACATCATTTATTTAACTTTGATAAATATTTAATAATAAAATTTTTAAGCTCAAGTTAAAGGAATACCACCCTGAAGATGCATTTGTATTTCCCTTGGAGAGAAGAGAAATGTTATTGTCAAGATGGCAGGAAAAAAACTGCCTTAAGCCTGTGTGGTAACCAAAGTTCCCAAAAGAATCAATCAAGAATGTCATCAGAAAATGACTATAAGATAGTCGGCATGGTAACTGGGATATTGAGGCAGTTCTTCGTTATCTGTGTTCATATTCATTTAGAACTCAGGAATCATCGTCCCCAGCAAGCAGGGGGAAATGCTAATTAATAAAATGCTGTCCAAACACGATGCATTCTCTAACCACCATCGTTCATGCTAGCCCTGCAAATGATGATGACTGGATAATTGCTCTGGTTTCTAATGATATTATTGCTGCTATTCCACAGCCAATCGTGTTCCCCATTCTCAGAGCATCACAAAATAGAAGTTTGATCAATGCAAACCACATGGAAGAAGCAACAGGCTGCGTTCTGCTTAGAAGTCCTAACGCAGAGCATCCCAGATGAGATGGGAGCTCTAAGCACACAGGCAATCAAGCGTGCACAGCAGACGCTAATGACTCCCATAAACGGCAGTTCAATCAAATGCTTTATTTCTGCCTGGAATAAACTCATCCATGATTTGCAAATCAAACTTTACCCAAAAGTATTTCTACCTGGTGCAGCAAGACCTTCACTCTCCTGCCCGGGGGAAAGCAACATCCTGGTCAACACAGGAATGCCCCTTGAGCCATGGTAAACAGGTGCCTGGAATCTGCCTCCAAATCCCCACACTAAGGGTGAACCAATAGAAATTCCAGGTAAAAGGTAAATGGAAATTATCTTCCATGGCTTAGGTTTTTGCACAGATGAATCACGGCATAAATAACACAGTCAAAATAAACCCAGAATCCATTTTGACAGAAAAAAATATTCCTATTTCCAAAAGATGCACACCAGAAGCCAAAAACTGCTAAAACTCTATCCTATTTCATTAGGTCACTGCTGCTCACTACCATGACAAGCACGCACAGGCTAGGTACGGGACCGGATGGAGGGAGCTTGTGTATGTTTGCCAAAATGTTTGTGGACCTGCCTCCACTAAATGGGGAAAAAAAAAAGAGATTGGATTAGAAGATTCTTAGACAAACACGTGTAGGAAGAGACCACATTGATATTTTTTGTATTATTTAAACTGGAGCTTCTGCGGGCTCAGGTGACTAAGTATCCTTATCTATAAGTAAAATAGTCAGACAACAAGAGGACATCCCTCAGATACACCCTGGATCATTGGATCTGTTAGTTCTTGCTGCCATAACAAATGCTACAGACTGAGAGGCTGAAGCCACAGAAATTTATTTTCTCACAGCTCTGGAGGCTGGAAGTCTGAGATCAAAAGGTTGGCAGAGTCGCTTTCTCCTGAAGCCTCTCTCGTTGGCTGGTGGATGGCCATCTTCTCTCTGTGTCCTCACATGGCCCTTCCTCTGTGCACGTCTGTGTCCCTTCTCCTCTTCTTATAAGGACACCAGTCATTTGGAGTAGAGCCTACTCATAGGACCTCATTTTAACTTAACCACAGCTTGAAAGACCTTATCTTCAAATTCAGTCACAATCTGAGGTGCTTGGGGGTTAGGACTTAAATTTGGAGGTGGGGGGACAAAATTCAGCCCATGAAGTCACTTCTGTGCCCTGGGAGGTTGGGAAATGGGGGAAGCTAATTGAAGAAACTGTGAGGAGAGGATTCCTCCCTAGAAAGTGAGGAGTGGGGGCAAAGACCCTCCTTCCAAAGAGGGTCCCAGGCAGAAGGCTGCTAGAGTCTGGGTGGAGGCTGTTAGCGCACCCCACTCCTCAGCGTGATGGAGGGAGGAGCATGATGACAGTGTGCTGACAGGGCACCAAGCAGCCCGGGAGAAAGCTGAGGGTCTCTAGACCCCACAGGAGCCGGGGATCCCCCTGCTGATAGGACCAAGACTCCCCCAACTCTCCCCACCCTACCCCTTGTCAAGAAAATAAACTAAAGACAAAATCTTCTCCCAACCTGGGTATCCTCTCTACGAAAGTGCTAGAAAAAAAAAACAAAAACAAATAAACAAACAAAAAAACACTTTTATTATTGAGTAAGCATTAAGCCAGAAAGTGATGTGTCTTGCTAGCAATCCCTAGAAGATTAGAGAGACAGAAAGAAATCTTACCCATTGATATAGCCAGGCAGACACAACCCATTCCATGCATGTTATGCAGATAAATGATAACCAGTCCTCAAGTAAGAGGATTTGACAGCACAGTTTGTCACACAGCTCACAGTAACTTTACCTGGCAATGGGGGTGAACATCCCTATTAGCTCAGTTGGCTTTATGCAGAGGAGAAACAAACTTGACATATCTTTAGAATGTCAAGTAGTTTTGCAGCTTGAGCCAGATACCAACTGAAGTTACGTTCATACGGTCCTGAGAAAGTAGGAGACGGCGGCTCATTATATCCCTTTTTGCTAACATTTCAAAGAGGTAGCTCCCCGTTCCCTAAGAAAGACATTCCTGGGTCATAAAGCTGACAAAAGACCATCTAGTCTCCAAAATAGTGTATATACATTTCAAAGAGAGGAGAAAGTTCTTAGAATTGCATGTTTTCTAAGATAAAATATTTAAAAAATGGGTGGGGAGAATTAAACCTTTTATTTTTAATTTGTGTCTGTCCTGGCACCTTTAAACAAGGCTGTGCCAAGTCCCTGGAGGAGACAGTGGTGCTGCAGCTCTCACTGTTCAGGTGTTCAGTCCTGGCCATGGACACTGTGCCCAGGTGTTGGAGGGTCAGGATCAGCAGGAGTGCAGCCCCTCTGTGCCCCATAGAGAGCTCCTGTGGTTGTGAAGCTGAAGAACTCTGAACAGGAATGGAAGAATTGAACTGCTCAGTAATCATTCTGATGTTTAGAGAAACGACTGAAGTGTTTAAACACCCCAGATTTAAGCTAATCAATCCAGGGACGCTGGATGAAAGAGAATTTATGGAGATGGTTTGGGCATTGTTTTATCCTAGCTTTAAACAAGTTAGGGGCTGGGCGTGGTGGCTCACGCCTGTAATCCCAGCACTTTGGGAGGCCGAGGCGGGCGGATCACGAGGTCAGGAGATGGAGACCATCCTGGCTAACACGGTGAAACCCCATCTCTACTAAAAATACAAAAAAATAGCCGGGCGCGGTGACAGGTGCCTGTAGTCCCAGCTACTCGGGAGGCTGAGGCAGGAGAATGGCGTGAACCCGGGAGGCGGAGTTTGCAGTGAGCCGAGATCGCGCCACCGCACTCCAGCCTGGGCAACAGAGCGAGACTCCGTCTCAAAACAAACAAACAAACAAACAAGCAAACAAAAAACAAGCAGGGTGGTCCAGGTTGCGGTGAGTCAGCCTGGACCTTGCCTGCTCAGTGCTCTCCAGGGGGCACCTGCGGTCAGCCAGTCATCCAAGTATGTGCCTGCACAGCTCCTTCCTCCCCAGACACAGAACAAGAGGTAAGATGATAGAGAAAAGAGGGCAACAGCCGCAGCCTCCTCAACGATATCAGAGATTGATAAATGAGATGTGTTCAACAAAGAAACTGGGTGGGAATTTTGTATTGTTTTGAAATTGAAGAGGCAGCTTTTGTGGATTACAAACCCAGCTTTCAATATAAGCTGGTGGGATGCATATATTGGCATTTAATGCTACATCTCATTTTCCAAACAAAAGCCCAGACCCTAAATATCTCTTGCCAGTTTTTGAGGGTGTATCAAATAGAAATCACAACTTCCCATTTATTTTGTGAAATGCATGAAAAATGTTTGAAAACAAGGAGATCGTAAGCTCCTAAGAACACAGACAGAAAACATGTGCTTGCCCTTCCCCCAGCCAGGTTTCCAGCTGTTTGTCTTAGAATCTACTTAGTGTGTTAAGGCAAAGACCCCTGAAGACCTCACACTACAGCCGGGAGTGAGGCCCTGAAAGACCTGGCCAAGAGCAGGGGCCTCACATCAGCTGGCCACGGGCTCAGACCCCAACTCAGTGACCCCAACTCAGTGACCCCATGGCCCAGGTCTCAGTGGCTTACCTGTTCTCAGGCACCATGATCTCAACTGCAAATCTGATGTCAACACAAACTATGAATTGTTAGAAGGACTAACCAAAATTACATAAAATATTATCTATTAATATTATACGAATTATCGAAAATATAATAGAAAAGTGCCTGGCAAGTAGTAAGCACTCAATAAGTAAACAGTGGATGTGACTGAAATGGCAAATATCCAATCATATGATAAAATTCCAGTGTGATCACATTAAAGACATAGGCTAATGTGTGTGTGTGTGTGTGTGTCTTAGTTTTTAACAAAAAAAGTTTAAAAATAAAAAATACAAAAATTAAATTAAAAATACAAAAAAGTTTACAAAATAGAATATAATGAAGGAAAATATTTTTATTTTCTTATACACAATCTGTAGACTGTTTCTGTGTTTTAAGAAAAGTGTTGTCACAAAAGACTCAAAAGTTAAAAAAATTAAAAGTTTATAAAGTAAAAACTTATAGTAAGCTAAGGTTAATTTGTTACTAAAAAAACTGTTTAATAAATTTAGTGTATCCAAGTGTACAGTGTTTATAAGTCTACAGTAGTGGACAGTAATGTCCTAGGCCTTCACATTTACTCACCATTTACTCATTTATTGACTTACCCAGGGCAATTTCTAGTCCTTCAAACTCCATTCACAGTAAGTGCCCTAGACAGGTGTACCTTTTTTGTTGTTGTTGTTATTTTACCATATTTTTACTGAAGCTTTTCTACATTTAGCTATGTTTAGATTCACAAATACTTAACAAAGGGGTGTTGCAGACACCTCCAGGACCCTTCTCACAGCTCTGTCTCCTGGCATGGTCCACTCTGATGCCCAGTGTCTCTACCAAACTAAATTATTAACTATTTAGACGATCGTCCTTACATAGGCATAAATTATTAACTATTTAGACAATTGTCCTTACATAGGCATAAATGAAGAGCTTCATGTTTATGACAAGAGAAACCCTGAGCACTAATTGCATGTATAAAAGCTCGATGTATTACCCAACAGAGTTACTCTCTTTTCGCCCTCTTTCGTGGTCTTTAATGTGAGATGCAGGTGACCCCTGAAGCAATTCACATCATCTAGAGCCAAGCTTGTCCAACCCATGGCCTGTGGGATGCATGGGGCCTAGGACAGCTTTGAATGCGGCCCAACACAAATTCATAAACTTCCTTAAAACATTATGAGTTTTTTTTTTCACAATTTTTTTTTAGCTCATCAGTTATCACTAGAGTTAGTGTATTTTATGTGTGGCCCAAGACGATTCTTCTTCTTCCAATGTGGCCCAGGGAAGCCAAAAGATTGGACACCCCTGAGATTCTAGAGCCATTTCTTTCCAAAGGCTGCTGAGCTGACAAGGGAGTCAGCGACCTGACCTTACTGCTAGGGCCAGCTCTTCAAAGTCACAAAGAGAGGAAAGCATTTTGGATGATTTATTCTGAAATTCTAAATTGCTACAAATAAGGTAACATCCAAGAAAATGTTCCTACAACACAATGTCCTTGGGCCACACTCAGCTCTGGCTTAGAGGACAATGGAAGTGGAGCTTGCACCCAGCTCTCAGGCTTCCTGTTTTGTGATCAAGTGTCTAAGACAACAGAAGAAATCAGGCCAAGGAACAATTGAAGAACCAGTGATGAAAATAATTAAGGTTCTTGGGGAAGAAGAACTCAGTTATCAAGGGACATGAGTCAGAAGTGAGCTGAAGCCAAAAAAAAAAAAATGTTTGCTTTGGGCATTACTGAAATACTTGCTTACCTCAGGAAAGTTCTCTTTTCAAAGAACATCTTGAATCTGTAAAAATTTGAGCAATAAGGAAATACAATAAAGAGTGAGTTTTACAGGGAACTCTACTCAATAGCATCAGTCATTAAAGCTTAAGAAAGAAGTCACTATGGGAGTAGAAAGGTTAATCAGCGGAGTGTCCACAAAACAGAGGTTTTTGTCCTGGCTTTGCTGTGTATTACTAGCTGAGTGATCTGATAAAAACCACTGAGCAAATCTGGGCCTCATTTTTACCTAGAAGAAAAGGTGAAAACCCACAACACCTTGCAGAGTTTATCCTCAGTGGAAAAATAGATTTTTAGGATCTTTCTGCAGATCCAGCTAGCTGAAATGGAGGGTGTTGCAGCTCACTGCAGACTGAATGGGTAAAGTAAGTAGAGCAAAACAAGCAAGTGAGCATGCGCACCTATTTTTCTTTTGATAACCTATTCCAATTGACAGCCACTTGAGATGCCCTGTACATTTGAATTGCTCTAATATGAAGTATTTTGTTAATATATTTGCAATAAATTATGTGAAGAGAGAAAAGGAGGAAGAAAGAGATAGAGGGAAAGAAGGGGAGAGGGAGGAGGAAGAGAATCAAAGAAGCAGCTGTTCTGCTTTATTTCCTGAGCCTAGAATCACCCCGCCCCCTTGAAAAGGCCTTTGCCAGAATATATTTTAGCCTCATATAATCCACATTTTTCTTATTTGCTTCAAACTGGTAGAGTTAACTGTAATCAAACAGGTCATCCCTCGGAATATCATGATCTGGAAGCATTTTCCCTCCAGGTCATGAAGGTCAGCTGCCTGCAGGTTGTGCAGGCTGCAAGGACTTATCCCAGACCAGCCTAAGATGTGAGCAGACCTTTGCAAAGATCAAATATGGCACAAATGACTTGTCCTGTTTGTTTGTTGCTATTGTTATTGTTGCTGCTTAATCTAGCTCTAATTTAATTGGGTCATCTCTTCAAGCCATAGAGTGATGATCTTGCTAAGATTCTTCTTCTGCCATTTAGGAAAAGGCAAATTTCACCAGGTAGGCTTTTAAGAGTCTCTTATGTAAACTTAAGTTTAAAATAGAAGTTAAATGAAAGCAAATGGTCTATATATCTAAAATCCTTTCCCCAAACTCAGTTCTGACCGGAAGACCAAGGGCAATATGCAGATGCCAGTGATCACATCTTGGCTCACATGGTTCAAGGTCAAGTGGTACGTCCTGCTTCTGGCGGGATTATATGTAGACCACAGTGCTGTGTTCTGTGCTGCTGTAAGAGGGCTGCTCACAGCTCAGGCTGGTCTGGGAAAAGTCCCTCCAGCCTGCTCAACCTGCCAGCAGGTGAACTTTATGATTCTTTAGTTCAAAAGAAGTATTCTTGAAATATGATGGGCAGAGACCTGGGGGTAGTTGTCTTAATAAAGTGCCCCAGAAGCAGGTGCTGCAAGAAAACCCCTCTGAAAATTTTTTTTTCAAAGAGTCAGGCATGAGGCCTAAAGGAAGATAAAATTAGTCTCCATGAGCAAAAGCTGGCTAAACAGAGGTTAAAATGTAAAGCTTAAAGCATATGACTTTTGACATAAAATTTCTGCTAATAATTTATAGAGAGTCATTATGGGCTGAAAGGCTGTGCAAATTAGTTGTTTTCAAAGGAAATTTTCTTTGAAGTTCGAATGATTGCAAACTGATTAATATGATCCCTTACACATTTTTCTTACTATTAATTCTCCTTAGATCTTCCCCCTGAAATTAGGTTTTGAAAGACCATTAACTCTCTCGGATCACAGGCATCCTCCAATCTGAATTGATCATCAGTCAGAACCCAGAAGTTTTAGAACATGGAAGTCGAGTCAGCATATTGATGAGAAAACAACTTCAAGCCTTGAAAAGGCCTTTCAGAGCTTCAAGCAAGCAAATCGCAATGACCTCAGCAGTACATAGAAAGGATCCTGAGTGCTGTTACAAAGTAAACTGGCTCTCATCAGCGGGTCAGACCAAGCTCAGATATGAAAATATGACACTCTTGCACACAGCACCTCCCAGCGTCGGCAAAAATGGATAGAACTGAGATTTTGAAATAACTTCTCCAGTGTGAACTTCCCAGGTTTCTTTAAGAAATAAAAAATAAAAATGCTTTCAACAAAAGCATATTGAGCTCCAGAAGTTTCAGAGTATAATATTAATCAGAAATTAAATGCCAGCATAAGTTTCCCAGGGAAATTTGGAAGCAACCCAAGCAGGTTGACATTTAATTTCATACACAAAGGCCTTATTCCAAATGTTGCAAAGCTCATCACAATGTCAGTGCATGGTGACGGGGTGGGGTTGGGGGGTGCCAGAAGATGCAGAAGAAGAGAGCAAGAAATTCTCAAAACGCTCAGGAAGGAATGCCGACAACAACCACGTGAAGCACTGGCACAAATTTTAGTACAAAGTTTCCATCAGCACCGCTTTCCTAAAATGTGTAGTTTTAGAACAAATCTGTAGGATATCTAAGCCATATGAGGAAACTGAGGCTCAGAAAGATCAAAAGGCTGCCCCAAACCATATGACCGCGGTGGGAGGGAGGGAGGACTATCCAGCTCAGAGTGCAGGTCCTCCTCCCCGTTCTGGGCCATGGCACTATGTGCAAGCTCAGGGCGGGGCAGCCTCCGATAGCAGATGTTTGGCCGTGGCATAATGGGAAGAACGTTGAATCCAGAATTCTACTGCCAGGATTCAGTCGGCTGAGCTGCCACCTATCAACTTAGCACTCAAGCAAAGCACTTATCTTCTGAGTTGTAAGCAGGAATGGGCAAATAGTTGATGGGTGGATCAAAACAAAAACACACCCTTGGCACAGGGCAGACACTCAGCAAATTTAAGGTTAATAAAATCCTCATGTCCTCGTAGTAAAGCACATTTTGGCATTAGGCACGGAAATGGGCAAGATGTCATTTGAAAAAGACCCTTTCTTCAAAATGTCCTCTAAGCGAAGGTCATCAGTGAAGTTCAAGGACGAGGAGGTTCAGGGAGTGAGAAAAGAAATAACGTCTCCAAAGTCACACAGGCAGCTGGGAAAACCCCGGATTCAAATGCAGGCAGGATGGCTCCAGAGCCCACGCTCTCTACCGTAATATGCAGCAAACAATATCCAAAACATTAAGATAACCATGCACACCCTGGTACTCATGTCTAACTTTCCTATAATGATTTTACTTTTAAACTTAACTATAAATGGAGATTTGGGAGGGGGAAGAGAGTTTTGATTGGAAGTGAATGGGAGAAATAGTAAAATGTGATGCAGTTTTGAAGTCTCTGACTCACTAGATATTCTTGGACATCTCCTAGGGTTAAGCAGTTCGAATATTGTCTGGCACCTTTTGCTGTGAAAAACAATTGAGGGGCTGCCCCTGGGGTTAGGAAGGAAGAGGCAGCTGCAGACAGTGGAGCAGTGAAGGTTAGTTGCCATCAGCAGGGTCCTTTCACCTGGCATCATGGTTAATTTCACATGGCAATTTGATCGGGCCCCTGGATATGAAATCAACAATCATCAACTGATCGGGCATCAAAAAGGCATTTTCCTTAGGTCCAACTTGCCTGAGGCTCTTTTTCTTTTCTTTCTTTTTTTTTGAGATGGAGTCTTGCTCTGTTGCCCAAGCTGGAGTGCAGTGGCGCAATCTCGGCTCACTGCAGCCTCCGCCTCCCGGGTTCAAGCGATTCTCCTGCCTCAGCCTCCTGAGTAGCTGAGATTACAGGTGCACAGCACCACACCCAGCTAATTTTCGTATTTTTAGTAGAGACAGGGGTTTCACCACATTGGTCAGGCTGGTCTCGAACTCCTGACCTCGTGATCCACCCATTTTAGCCTCCCAAAGTTCTGGGATTACAGGAGTGAGCCACCGCGCCTGGCCGGCTCTTTTTTAAATTGATCTCTAGCTGGTAGAGTGGACACCTCCCCTGATAGCTAAATTCCAGGCTCCCCACACCCTCTCTACAGGGCAGCCCTGTCCTCGTCACCTGAGACTCACCTGGTGTTTGTCATTTCCCACCAATCCCAGGCTCCACCATGACCCTCACAGCTGGCGTCCCTCAGAACTGCCAGCCCTGCCCAGCAACTAATCCATAACCCAGAGCTGAGCTTGCAAGTGACAGTTTCAAAGAAAAAAAAAAAAAACATTTTTCTGTCCACATGTCTAGAAAAAAAAATCAATTCGTTTCATTTTCGGTATAGTTACCTATCTCAAAGCTCTGTTGGAAAATCCAGTCATTTTTACAGCAGAACTTTGAAGAAATGCCAGGTGGAAATGTGAGTTGGTAAAAATGTGTCCCTTAACTGTAGCGCATTCCTCTTCCTACAGGTTCCCAATTCATTTTGTGTTGTCTCTAAGCCTCTCTTTAGAGCAGTCTCCAGGGACAGGCCCCACACAAACGCACCATTAACTGCTACATACATGCACACGCCACTCACTTATCCTTAGTTGGTTGTTCCCTCCAGTTATTTTAGCTTCTCCCTCTGTCTGTGTCAGGGTTTCAGACAGAAAATTTACAGCTAATACAAATCTGTGAAGAAAGAATTCCCTTTATTGAGAGCAACCTTATTATTTTCTCTTGTTGACAGAGGCATTACTTCAGTTCCCTAAAGATGCTGTCCAGGGAAACATTTGGCCCTCCAGCCTACTGCATGGGACATACCCAGCAATTCCAACAGCAGACAGAATGGCTCACCCTGTCCTGCCTTGCAGCAAATAAATCCTGAGCCTAAATATAAAATTAGTATTGATCTGATACCATTGAACTTACTTCTTCCATTTAGGAGAGAAGAAAACTTGTTCCACAAGGTGGGTGGTGCTCTGTTCCACTCTAGTGAGAGAGCAAAGCTTAGCAAGTGCAGCGAGATATTTTATCTTCTATTTTCTGAATAAAAATAGCATGGGGGCTCTGTGTTTCTTCCAGATCTATCTCTTCTAGATACAATGGAGGAATGAACCTTCTTGATTTGCCTCTGAGGGACCACCTGGGGGTGCAGCTCAAGAGGGCATTTGGAAGGGGCTCAGTATCACAGGCTGATTTGCAGCCAAGGGAACAAATTACATCAGCAGGCAGGTGACAGGCACCATAGCACCATACAGCTCATTTTCCAAGTGGGGATGCATTTGTTTTTTAACCTAGGAGTAGGGGTGAGAGGAGTATGATGGATTCCTTTTATCAATCTTTCTTTAGTCTTTCCCTATCTTATAAATTTATTTGGATTTCCCAATGATATACTTAATATCAGTTGCCAGGCTCACAAAATTACAGAAAAAAAATTAAAACAAAAAATGTAACACCTGTTATAAGTTGAATTATGTCCCCTCAAAAGAGATATGTTGGGTCCTAACCCTCGATACATCAGAATGTGACCTTATTTGGAGATAGGGCTTTAGAGAGTTAATCAAGTTAAAATAATGCCGTTAGGGTGAGCCCTAATCCAATATGACGGTGTCCTTATAAGAAGGAGAAATTTGGACAGACACACACACGGGAAAATGCCACGCGAAGATGAAGGCAGAGTTAGAGTAATGCTTCTACAAGCCAAAGAAGGCCAAAGGTTGCTGACAACCCCAGAAGCTGGGAGAGGGGCCTGGAACAGATTCCCCTGCACAGCCTCAGAAGGAACCAGCCCTGCCAACACCTTGACCCTTGACTTCTCACTCCTGAACTGTGAGACTATACACTTCTGTTGCCAGTGTGTGGTACTTACTGAAGCTGTAGCAAGTTATACAGTGCCTGCCATAAAATAAAAAGAATTGCCCTAAGAATGTACATTCTCAGTGGGACAGATAGATAGAGTAAGGGGCAATGCATCTTATTCATTCATTTGTTGAGAGTTTATTTTGAGTTCCAGCAGTGTCTAGGACATCAGAGCCCTGCATGCTCATGGAGCTTTCAATCAGTCATGGAAGACAATTATGGACCGTGCAGTTACAGGAGGGCCCAATCTGTGAAGGAAAAATGCAGGGCACCTTGGAAATATTTACCAGGGTTTGCATATGTCGAGATGAAAAGCACAACTTGTTCTCAAAGTGGTCTTTCAGTGGATGGCCAGCCATTGTGAGGTCGTTGGGACATAATGAAATCCAGTTGCTGAAGAGACATCTGTCCTGCAGGCTGTCCAGCACCCAAGCTCCTCTCCTGGTTGAAAGTATTGCGAAGGTTGGTAGGGAGCTGAAGAAAGAAAGATGTTTCCCCTCCTTGACACCCAGTAGCTGCCAGGCAGCCAGGGAGCTCCTTGCTCAGGACTGAGTCCCTGAGAGTGGCTCAAAGGCACAGGGTAAACTACAAATGATGGCTCCAGCTGCATTGCAGATAAGAGCTTAGGGGTGGCCACCTCAGAATGAGTGCCACGCCCCAGCCAGCCTCTGGCAGGAGCTTGTCTGTGCTGCATCACCTTTTCAGGCCTGGTCCTCAGGTCCTTCTTCAACTGTGGGAACTACCAGACAGCCTCTTAACAAATCACTTTCCTTATTGCAAATAAATATGGCTGGTATTTAATTATTATGCATGGATTCGGTTGCACCAACTGTTAAACATTGAACTAGTTCTACATACATTGGTTAAAATACCCCAAATCACCATAAGGCACACCCCACAAGTACTGCTGCCACTTTTGCTGACAAAGTCCTCATTACTGTCCAAAAAACATGGAAAGACCCTCCCCCAGAGATTCTCCAGGTTATGGATTTTTTTCTTACTGGTCAGTGTTTGTGTATTCTCATTGGTAAACATTTTTACTATTTACCCTGATTTGCAACCAGCAATGTTGATTCATACCATTCCCAAGGTGATGTGTGCGAGAATGTGCATGAGTGTTCTAGCACTTTCTCCAGCATATTTTGTATAGAAATGAATGTGCATTTATTTTGACCCTTTTGTAAACAAGATAGAGACCCATCCCTAGGGGTCACTACAGAATGTATCATTTCCATCCTTGCAAGTCAAGAATTCACAGTCGAAGTCACTGTAGCCCTGGCCAAAATAGAACCCCCAAACTAGTGCAATTCTGGTCATCACTAGTTGTATTAGTCCATTCTCTCGTTGCTATAAAGAAGTACCCTAGACTGAGTAATTTATAAAGAAGAGAGATTTAATTGGCACACAGTTCTGCAGGCTGTAGAGGAAGCACGATGCTGGCATCTTCTTGGCTTCTGGGGAGGCCTCAGGAAACTTACAATCATGGCAGAAGGCAAAGGGGGAGCCAGAACTTCACATGGCCAGAGCAACACAGAGAGAGAAGGGAGGAGGTGCTACATATAAGACATCCCTTCCATGATCCAATCACCTCCCACTAGGCCCCACCTCCAACACAATGGAATACAATTAAAAATGAGATTTGGGTGGGAAGAAGATCCAAACCACATCACCAGGATTCAGTTAACCATCCCCCTCCAAGTTGAGTGGAAGCCATGGTGTGATAGCCTGAGGTTTAATGTAAAAAATCCAGAGCTCAGTTTCTAGCTACGCCATTTGCTGTCTATGAGATGTGAGTAAGTCTTGTTTACTTCTAGACCCAGAAAATAGAGATTACAATGCTTATCATAACAAAGTGACAACCAGGATTCAGTGAAATAGCAACATGAAAGCATTAAAAAATAAACCAGAAAAATACAAAATATTATGTTAACACAATGGGTGTTTTTGTTTTACTTTGATTGCAGCTTTTTTTTTAGATCAGGTCTTGCTCTGTCACCCAGGCTGGAGTGCAGTGGCATGATCTCAGCTCTCTGCAACTTCCACCTCCCAGGTTCAAGCAATTCTCCCACCTCAGCCTCCCAAGTAGTGGGAACTACAGGCATGTGCCACCACACCCGGCTAACTTTTGTATTTTTAGTAGAGACAGGATTTCACCATGTTGGCCAGGCTGGTCTCAAACTCCTGACGTCAGGTGATCCACCCGCCTCGGCCTCCCAAAGTACTAGGATTACAGGCATGAGCCACCGTGCCCAGTGACTGCAGCTCTTTTTAAAGTGGATCTTTTGAAATTGCTCAAATTTGAAATTGTATTGGCAAACTGCTATGCTAACAATCCCAAAATTTTAGTTGCTTGCAATATCAAGGCTTATTTCTCATTCAGAGGTTGATATCTTGTTCATACTGTACAAGAGCTGTGGGTCCCCTGTGGCATGTGTCTCCTTACCCCAGAGAGCAACCTGTGTGTTAGTCACACCCATCCTCTGGCAGAGCTAACAGCAATGGCATTGAAGCTTCAGCCCTGACCTAGCTTATGCTATATCCACCGCATTCCATTGGCCAAAGAAGTCAAGTGGCCAAACCCAGCAGAGGGACAGAGAACTGCCCCCTCCAGGGCAGTGCTCACAGTCACGCGGCAACAAGTAGGACAGGACGCCCTCCAATAGGTAGGGGCCCGAGGAGTTGGAGACCACAGTACAATCTATTGCGGAAACACTGCTCTCAGTGATTCCTTCCTGCTTTGTGAATATGCAGCTGAAAGGCCTTCCCAATGTCCTCACACACTTACCACCTCCACCACCCCAACTCTGGTCCATCAAACAGAAATTCCAATGACAATTCATCTGAGTTGCTCAGTGCTTGGTCCTTGCCTTCCTTAAAATCATAGGTCTCTCTGATTTTCCAGATTAAATAAGAGAAAACAAGGCTTATATAGATGTACATGAACCCTGCTTTATTTACCTCAATGCCTGAACCCAGAGGGATGAGGATGGAGAAGGGAAAGATAAATTGTCTCTTCCATTCAAACATTAGAGTGGTCTGAAGAATTCTGGAACATTCCCAAGGCATTCCTTAATTTTGACATATGGCTTTGCCCTGATTAAGGCATTTTACTTATACAACATTCGGTGAGTCCTGGTCAGGCAGGTACTTGGCACTAGGGCTACAAAGAAGAATGACATAACTTTAGGAGGCCGAGGCAGGCAGATCGCTTGAGGTCAGGAGTTCAAGATCAGCCTGGCCAACATGGTAAAACCCCATCTCTACTGAAAAAACACAAAAATTAGCCGAGTGTGGTGGTGCGTGCCTGTAATCCTAGCTACTCAGGAGAGTGAGGCAGAAGAATCACTTGAACCTGAGAGGCAGAGGTTGCAGTGAGCTGTGATTGCACCACTGCACTCCAACCTGGGTGACAGAGTGAGACTGTGTCTCAAAAAAAAAAAGAGAGAGAGAAATGACATAGAACCTTCCCTCTGAAAACTCAGTCTTGAGACAAAGCAAATGGTCAAATGAGCATTTGAGATGCATTAACATGGATGACATAATGAAGACACTGACCAGGTGCTACAGGGGGAAAGAGAGGACCACCCACTCATGCCAGGTCCACCCAGGACATTATGCCCACACCAAGAGTTGGAGGGCAAATAGCATGGTGTTGGGAAAGGAGGTGCCATCTTCTGCCTCCTTCTCCAAACACCCACTGCGGCAGCCACACCAACCATGCAACAAGACTGCTTACACCCTGGGGTCTTTGCTTGTGTTTTTCCTCCATTGTTTATCCTGTCAGAAATGACTTTCTCCACCTGCTATAATTATAATCATTTTTTTGAAGTCCAATGCAAATACTTGGCCAGTGTGTACAGAGAAAGAACAGAATTTTAAGTTTCCTCAAATGGAGGTTTATTCAAAAAATTAATATTTCCTGATCAGTTGAGATTTGTGCTGACATTCTCATGGGAATGAGTTAGCAATCAGCTTTAATTATAGCTTGCTTCCTAGAATTGCTCCTGTAAGTGGCCAGTTTGCAGTGATTAGGCTGGCTATGCCAACACCAGGGAAGGGAGGTCTCAGTGAAAACATGTGGAGGACTGGGCCCTCTCTCCTGTGCTGCTCTAGATACTGTGGACACATTTCATGAGGCAGGTGGGGTGGTCTTACTAGTAATTAATGAAAACCCAGTGGCTGAGTTGATATTGGCCTTTAAAATGATTTATCTTTGACAGTCTTCACTAGCTTGAAGTACTTTGGTATATTTTCTCCTGCTTTATAAATGAAGATTATAGGGGGCTGAATAATGTTCCCCCAAAATTCATGTCCACCCAGAACTTCAGAATGTGATCTTATTTGGAAATAGCGTCTTTGCAGATGGAATTGGTTAAGATTAAGTTACACTAGATTTGAGTGGGCCCTACGTCCAATGACTGGTGTCATCATAAGGAAAAGGGGAGGGAGAGTCAGGGGGGCATGCAGGGAAGAAGGCCATGTGAGGACAGAGGCCAGGATGGGAGTGAACAGCTGCGGGCCAGAGAGTGTCCAGATCTACTGGGGGTCATCTGACACTGGATGAGACAAGGGCAGAGTCTTCCCTAATCCTTCGAAAGCAGCACAGCCCTTTCAACCCCTTTATATCAGAATTGTGGCCTCCAGAACTATGGGAGAATAGATTTATGTTGCTTTAAAAAAAAAATGGTTTCCTAGACCAGGCGCAGTGGCTCAGTCCTATAATCCTAGCACTTTGGGGCTCGAGGTGAGTCGATTGCTTGACCGCAGGAGTTCGAGACCAGCCTGGGTGACATGGCGAAACCCCATCTCTACTAAAACACAAAAAATCAACAGAGCGTGCTGGTACACGCCATGGTACCAGCTACTCAGGAGGATAAGGTGGGAGGTTCGCTTGAGCCCGGGAGGTCAATCTGCAGTGAGCTGAGATTGCACCACTACACTCCAACCTGGGAGGCAGAGTGAGACCCTATCTCAAAACAAAACAAAACAAAACAAAACAAAATGCTGCTTCCTGATGAATTTCTGAAGTTGCCGTCTGTCATTCCATTATGTACCCTATGCCCAATGCCCCACCTCCTCCACTATGAGGTCCTCTTTCAGGAGGCCAGTGCTCTCACTATTACCAAGAAGCCATAAATAAGTCTTCCAAATTCTTCCCAATGGTCTGGGGCAGCATCAGTTAAAACCTAAACAATTGGATGGAGAAGCATGACGTAATAGCCCACCCCTTATTTCCATAAAGAGTCCTTTTCAAAGCTCCCAAGTCATCCTAGGAAACACTGAGTGTGTGATGCATGTGCTAGATCCCTGCATTTGTCTTGAATATGAAAAAAGGAGATGGTTATTTCAGGATGTAGAATATGATTTTCCTCAGAAACACGTGCCAGTCACTCTATAGCCCTATAATTTCAAGCAATCGAAAGTTATAATTAAGTGTCTGCACTTCCAACTCCAAGGGAGGAAAGTACACAGAGTCCTTGATTGAGCAGTGCAAGCCAGCAAGACGAACCTTCGGCTGCATTAAGCAGCTGAGCAGCGTGGTTGTGAGAGCCCCGGTCCAGAAATCGAAAGAACAGACAATCCATTCTGTCCCCACCTTCATAGCTCCTTGATCATGAGCAAGGCAATCCATCTCCTGCAGGCTCCGTTTTCTTATAAAAAAGGATTATTTTGAGGATTAGGTTTGAAAAGAGCAGGTAGATTTTTTGGTAAAAACATAAGCATTCCAGTACATGCTTTATTTTTACACTGTGTATAAAGCAACAATTTATGCAACATTTTCAGAGGCATTAACCCATCCAGTCTTCTCAGCAACCACAGGAGAACAGCCCAATTAATTCCATTTTACACACAAAAAAACTAAAGCTCAGATAAATGATGTCACTTGCCCAAAGTCGAATAGGGGATGAATGGAAGAGAAGAAATCAAATCTAACTGCTTCTGCTTCACATTTCATGTTTTCCGAGCCCCATGCTGCTTCTCCTCCAATCAGGTATTTTTGTTGTTATTCTTGTTACTAATCCACTGGAGAGTGGGGACAGCCAGTGCACTGGGAGCTGCTGGCCACCGCAGGGTCCATCCCCACAGTGAGACCACAGGAGCTCATTTCCTGCAGCCATCGTTCCCACAGTAACCTACCCAAAGAAATGAAGTCTTAGTGTACTGCTAATGAATGGAACCTGAGAGTTCACTGGGAAAGCATCATTCTAACAAGAAACCCTGTGAAATAAGCACTCACCCTGGGAGCAGGGGTGTGGTGATGTAGCAGTGACGACCTTGGAGGTGGTGATTGTCCAGAGAGTGGGTGCGCTCGGTGGTAGTGAAGGAGCTGGTATGGCTGGACCAGTTCTTTAGACAGAATACCCCAGGATCACAGAGGTATACATCACCCAGCTCGGCTACTTGGCTGGGATCGTTTCCTCCGATCACTCAGCTCGTTTGCTCTAATTGTTTGCTCATCAAGCAACCTTTAGCTCTGCAATTTGGTCTCTTGAGTGAATTCCGGAAGGGGGCCTTGCAAATGTCAGATCATTTTATCCCTGATTAAAACCCTTCAGCGTGCCCCCACAACCCTACAGAGGAAGCTCTCTCATCTAGCTTTCAAAGCTGTTATAATAAAATACTTTCTTGATTTCCAGGCTTGTATCTTGCCACCCCCTGGCCCCTGGAATCTATGCTCTAGACATACACTGAACTTTGCACAGTTCCTCCAAACACAGCATGTTCTCTCACCTCCAGGACTTTGAGTACACTCTTCTCTTTGCCAGGAATACCTTCCCTACTCTCCTTTCCCCCAGTTGCTCCCAACTGGAACTCATCTCAGCTCTCCAAAACCTTCTCTGAGTATCCATTCCCCAGGAAGGCTGGACTATGGCCCCTCGTCCACACTCCCACAGCCCCTGGACTTAAAGGTCATTGCACTTACAACATTTCCTGTTTATTTGTCCCTCTCCTCCACCAGAATGTCAGTGATTTGAAGACAGGAAGGTCTCACACATCATTGTATCCCCAACAGAGTTTGACACCTGATGCACAGCAGACACTCTGTAAGTATTCCATAGGTAGTTACAGAATAAGTTTCAGGTCCTGAACCAGATACTGCTCCTACTGTAATTTAACAACTGGTAGTGCCTCGGATCCCGGTCTTTTGAGACAATCAAGTTTCTGACATTGCCTAACTCGAGAGCCTTGCAGGAGCCTGGCAAAGACACAGACACCAAAATGTGAGGCCTGTTCCCAAGCACCCATGGCTGAGGTTCTAACTGAAACCATTGCAACAAGAGGAAATCAGAAACACTGAAGCCACAGCTGTCAGATGCCTCTGAAACCACAACAGTAATATCACATTCAAGGTAAAAATAATTCGGGAAGAAATGGCACTTAGATAGAACCATATAAGTAGAGCGAGTATGAGGGAGGGAGGCTTCGGGTTTAGAGCAAGCTCTGGCTACCATTTGCATCTTGTGGTTTTGTGGAATTTTTTTTTTTTTTTTTTTGAGACAGTGTCTTGCTCTGTCTCCAGGCTGGAGTGCAGTGACGTGATTTCTGCTCACTGCAACCTCCACCCCCTGGGTTCAAGCAATTCTCCTGCCTCAGCCTCCCAAGTAGCTGGGACTACAGGCGCCCGCCACCACGCCTGGCTTATTTTTTGTATTTTTAGTAGAGATGGGGCTTCACCATGTTAGCCAGAATGGTCTCGATCTCCTGACCTCGTGATGTGCTGGGATTACAGGGATAAACCACCACGCCTGGCCGTTTTTATGGATCTTAACAGCCATTAGCCTCTGTGGGAGATGAGAGACTCAGCTCAGGGAGGTCTGGCACCAGTTCGGAATCCATCTGTCTCCTGGTTAACCCCAAGACCCTCACAAGCCTTTGTCTCTTCAGAAAAAAACTGAAAGCAGCACAGTACCTTCAACCTAACTTGATTTTCAGATTCACAGTACTCCTGGATCAATTTGCAAGATCTTCTACCAAAAAGATTTTTAGCGATGTGCTCTATAAGTTGCCTTTTTA
Organism: Homo sapiens; assembly: GCF_000001405.40. Lineage (NCBI taxonomy): Eukaryota > Metazoa > Chordata > Mammalia > Primates > Hominidae > Homo > Homo sapiens. The sequence goes on from NC_000018.10 coordinate 73,862,685, forward strand.
GTTTGAGGTATTGGTGTAACTTTAAAAATCGACTGCAGCCATGATTTTGCTTAAGAAGACAAAAAAGCCCTCTACAAAACAGTTCAAGAAGTTTCTACTTATTTAAATCAACCTTTAACCCTGGGAAAGAGCATAAGCAACCTAGAAAGAGGGAAATGATAGTGATTACCGCCACGCACTAACATAACTGATTTACCCAGGGCTGATTCTGCACAAGGCATTCGGCAAGGCATCGTTTCATTCAGTCTCCTCCACAACACAGCAGTGTGAGTGTCATGATTACTCCATTCTACAGCCGAGGAGGCACAGCTTAGAGGTTCACTGTCCTCCCCAAGGTTATAGGGCTGGTAAGTGGGACTGAAACGTGAGATGTGAACTCCAGCCAGTCCCAGGACCACACAGCTGGGAGAGGAGTAGCACTGCCCTCCCCAGCAAGGCTCCTGCCTCAGACCAGTGTCTTGGCCTTCACACTACTCATGTACCCAGAGCAAAATGTCCATATCCCTTTCTCATTAAAGACAGACCAGTGTCTTGGCCTTCACACTACTCACGTACCCAGAGCAAAATGTCCATATCCCTTTCTCATTAAAGAAACTTGCTCTGCCAAATATATACATATGAACACATATGTGCATACATACATGCATACTTGTGTGTGTGTGCGCTTGAGTATATATACATGTGTGTATTTATTTTGTTAATTTTATCTCATTTTTATAATAGAGTTATATCTATTATAAATATATAAATATTTAAATTATTACAATTTATATGTTAAAGATAATATATTAAATGTATTGAATATTGGATATGATTTAATACAATAAGGAAATTATATGTGTATTTATGTATATTTATTATTTTGTATTACACTTTATACATTATGTTATTTTAATAAACTACAGGCTGGAACAAGACATCAAGCCTATGGGTAAGTGTAAAGGTCAGCTGTTGGAATCAAAATTTATCTGGAAGAAAATGTGACTAAAAAGAGACATTATATAAAGAACTGGAGTTCTACTGTGCTCAAGATCAGTCAGCAGGGTGATGATGAGGTTGGGAGACTGAATATGATATTCAGAAAGCAAGCCAGGAGGCCAACCTAGCCTGGGCCGGTCAGCCCCATGCGGAGCATCTGGATGCCACAGCACGTGAGGGCGAGAGGAGACCCTCAAACCGAGGCACACTTGAGGCTGGCCATCAGGACTGCGGTGAGTCCAGAAACTGTTTGACACAGTGAGTGACTGTAAGAAGAGTTATTCTATACCAATAATTCAATAGGGACATTGTTAAAATATAGAATTGTGAGGAAATTTTATGTATGGGTTTATGAAAAAACAAAAGTGTGTAAAGGGAAGTTTAGCAAAATGCTAAATAACCTGCTGGAAATATTTTCAACCAAACTCCCTATTTTGAAGACTCTTCTTTTAGTAAGGACTAATCTGATGTCAGACCTTTTAAGAACAGTAATGATGTCAGACATTTTAAGAACAGTCATAAGATATTCTGTACCCAAAGTTCTTTGAAGTCAGGACTGCAAGGTCATTGATGTAAGCAGCAGACCTACAAATTACTCACCCCCAAAAGTGCCCGTGCCACATAGAGCATCTCCATGTTCAGGAAGCATGTGGGCATCCCAGAGGGTGTATGGGAAAGCCATTAAGAAAACAAACTACTTTTCCCAAGGACTCCTTCCTGAAGCAATGACTGAATTTGTATTTGAATATAACTTGCTTTTTCCCCAGCAAGAGCATGATGGCGTTGTGTGTGTGCCTGAGAGAGAGAGAAAGAGAGAGAGAGAGAGCGCACCAGTGAGGATGATCTGAATTTACCATCTCTTCCTGAAAACTCACTTCCATTATGCTGTCCTCTTGATGAGAAATGTCACCATCTGCTCAATTTCTTTGTAGAAATCTGACAGTCACCCTTGATCCCTCCATCTCCCTTGCCGCTCCCATGTACAATTAATGATAAATCTCTCCCAGTTCACTCCCCTAAATGCCACTCCAAATTTTGACCTCTTAAACCTGCACTGCCAGGACCTTAGTTTAGGCTTTTCAGCACTTCCCACCTGGGTTCCTACAGCAGCCTTCTAATGGATCCCTACCTTCAAAATTGAGCCCCTTTCCCTCCATCCTCCTCTCTGCCACCAAAGTAATTTTTCTAAAAGGCAAATCCAAGCACATCCCAACTCTCATTAAAATCCTTTGGAAGTTCCCTGTACAACCCAAACCCAGCTCCTTACAGGGCACGAAGGGCCCTTTCTGACCCAAACCCATCCACCCACCTTCGCATCACCGCTCACCCTCCGACCTGCAGAAGCAGAAGCTCCACCCACACCCTGCCCTCCTGAAGCTCTCGCCACACCACGTGCCACTCCACATCCCCAAGTTGGCAAGCTCGCGTCTTCTTCCAGCTGTGCCATCTCCACACCTCTTTGCTCAACCAACTCCTTATAATGTACTCCACGTATGCACCTCTATGCTTAGCCCTTTCTCTAGATTTCTAGGCTCTCAACAAGTAAATGACAATGAGTAATTGAAGACTTGGGTCTAATTGTACTACGGAGGTTAGAACTAGGTGTGTGGATATCTGGAGAGGTGTAAAGAAATAAATTTGAAAGAAAGGACATCTCCCGAGGAAACCCATCAGCCAGGGAGAGTGAGAAGAGGGTCCAAGGCAGCGGACTGGGAATGCCTACGTTAAAGAGCCAGCCATAAAGGATGGCTCTCCCAAGTTGAATAGAAATCGAATTGAGAAGGTGTCATAAATTCCGAAATCAGGAGTCCCTAAGTGACCTTTCAAAAATGAGTTTCAATAGTGGAGGTAACAGTTTTTAATCTTTTCCCTCTCTTCTTTTGAAAATATCATTATTGGCCAGGCATGGTGGCTCACGCCTGCATTCCCAGCACTTTGGGAGGCCGAGGTGGGCAGATCACGAGGTCAGGGGTTTGAGACCAGCCTGGCTAACATGGTGAAACCCCGTCTCTACTAAAAATACAAAAAATTAGCCGGGTGTAGGGGCAAGTGCCTGCAGTCCCAGCTACTCAGGAGGCAGAGGCAGGAGAATCAGTTGAACCCGGGAGGCCGAGGTTGCAGTGAGCCTAGACTGTGCCATTGCACTCCAGCTTAGGCGACAGAGCAAGTCTCTGTCTCAAACAAAGAAACAAACAAAATTCATTATTAATGTCCCTTGAGTCTCTGAGCTTTTCATTTCCACTATTGTCCATATGTTATTGAAACCTACCACCACAGATATTCCCATACAAGTACACAGGACTTAATTCTTGTAAATCTGTCATAACTAGAGACAAATCGCCTCCTTGGACAATTTGGGATAGTTTACTCAAAGATAGCCTTCCTAATTATCAAGACTATATACAATTCCCGTTTTATCATAGACAATGCCAGCTTTTCCCTACCACTGAAACATTTCTTAGTTGTCAATTACATACACATGATTTCTTGAGCTGATTTTTTTTCCTTTTTTTTTTTTTTGGCTATTGCCTGAATAGTTGAAACTTTTTCTTGTCCTCTAAATAAAATGCTAGTGAAGACTTGCTAACCACATCTTACCTTGCCATGGTTTGAATTCATATTCCTATTCTAAACTTTCCAAATTTGCAGTCACTTTTCCAAGATAACTGTTTCTTCCCATTTACGTCTACAATTAATTAGAGCACTGTATCTCCCAGGTTTACTCTTTCCATTTGAAGATAATGAATCGTATTTTTCAAATTTTTTCCAACTAGGTGGAGTCACCACTGAGCTTCTCTGGCAGGCTTTGCCCCGTCTTCAGCTAGTTCTTCAGGAGTAAGCTGAAGCATAGCACACATGTAGTATTTTTATAAATTTGAATTGTCAAAACTATGTGCCTTGGACTCATACCATTGACTTGTTGAGGATGCCCCAGCCCACGTGATTTTGCTGGACCATGCCTCATGTATGGTATGATACCAGCTCTCCATATATCTTCCCTTGGTAAAGGTCCTTGGGTTGAAAGCCACCTCTCTTAAATCAATACAAAATAACTTTTTCCCTTTTGTCTCCTTTTCTCATGCCTGCTCCCATCGTTCTAGCTCTGCTCCTTGGGTTTTCTTTTCTTCTTCTTCTTCTTTTTTTTTTTTTAATTTGAGACAGAATCTTGGTCTGTCTCCCAGGCTGGAGCGTAGTGGCACGATCTTGGCTCACTGCAACCTCCGCCTCCCAGGTTCAAGCAATTCTCCTGCCTCAGCCACCTGACTAGCTGGGATTACAGGCACACGCCATCACACCCAGCTAATTTTTTATATTTTTGGTAGAGACAGGGTTTCACCATGTTGGCCAGGTTGGTCTCGAACTCCTGACCTCAAGTGATCCACTTGCTTCGGCATCCCAGAGTGCTGGGATTACAGGCGTGAGGCACCGTGCCCGTCCAGATTTTCTTCATAGTCACTGAAGTAGACAGTCTAGGGGTCTGAGTCTTTGCATCCCAAGTCTGCTGGTTATCCTCTTCTCCCAAGCTCTTCACAACTGGCCTATTCCCACCCTCGCCTTGGTGTCTGGCTGCTCCTCACACTGTCCTGGGTTTTCTGGATTGCTTCTAGGGTCCGTAGACAACTCTCTCCCTCATGTCACCTGGTTTTCAGTCACACCACAGGATGGCTATTATTCCAGGCTTACATCCCCTCCCTTAAGATAAACTTTCCCCACTGGGTAACTCCAGGGATGTGAAACCCAGTTTTCTTTTACAAATTTTAAATTGAACTCTCAGGGGGTTTTTGCAAGATGCTGCCAAACTGGCTTGTGGAAACTAGACTCTTTAAAAACTGCTTGAAATTCAGAGTTTCCTCCATATGGTTGTTCATTGCCTCAAACTATTTTTCAGCAGAGGCATTTTTCTTACATGAATACAAATATCAAACACTTTAATGGGAACATTAAATCTGGCTTCACTTGGTTCTCCCAACTGCCACAGGTCTTTCGTTGAACACCCTGACAGGCACACTACTTCTTTAGTTGCCTTTTTGTAAGGATCTTGTTTATAAAAATCTATGATATTAAAGGGTTTCTTTTCCCCTTGAGTTATATGGCCAAGGGTAATTTATACTTAATTATTTTGATTCAGGTTGAAAGACTATGGAATTCAGAAATCATCAAGTTTCATTATCTGTTGTCAAGAGGAACAGCAGCTGTGAATTCTAGAGTGAATGGCTATGTGGGCCGTGAGGGGTGAGGTTTGTCAAAATATCAGATGGGTTTTATATTCTTTTATTCCTTTTGGTTGTGTTTCTAAGAATAAATACTATTCTCATTTTCTTTTGGAGTAAGTGTCTCATCATTTTTCTTTTTAAATTTACACTATGACCATACAAATCTTATAATTCCAAAATATTAACAGCATCACCTCTAATTCAATATTAAATGAAAAGTCATAATTACTGGAAGGAAAACTAAAACCTCTTAGATTTCTAATGAGAATAGAATGCTAGAGGAGTTTGCTTAAAGAAGATTTTTGAAAGCAGGTAGCCATGATCAGCTCCCTATACAGCCCCAAGGAAAGACTCTTGAGCCCCAGATAGCGCCTAAGGGGAGCAGTTTAACCCCCACACCTCAGGGTCTACATCAAAAGGGGATGCTGTGCTTCGCTCTCCAGCAAGCTGCTCCAGGAGACGATATGCAAATAACAAAGTCACAAAGAACCAGTGCTGTGACAAGTGAAATGTGTCACATGCCCTTCACTCAAAATCATGAACTATAAACTTGATCAAGACCTAACTCGTTAAAAAAAATTTAATAGACCTTTGAAGTCCCACTTCAGGCTGCTGCTTCAGAATCTCTGTTTACATCCCATTCTTTCTCCTCCTTCTCAATCCACATCTTCCTACCTCTTGCTTTCTACTGAATTCCTACCTCCTCTTGCTAAAGCCATGAGTTCATCAACTCTGGAGTTAAATTTTCTGGCATAAAACCCCACTGTACAGTAACTGACCATACTGCCAATGTAGAAATGTCTCAAGAACATGTCCCTTGAGACGTGGAGCTCCTAAAACAACAGTCCTAGGAGGCATCAACTGTAGGTGTGGGTAGATCTGGAGCCACTCAGTGAAGAAACTGATCCTGGAGTCACCCTGACAACCTTAGTATAACTGGGGGCACTGCTTTTTTCATGAACCATGTAAAAAAGTGAGTGCACGGCCAGGCATGGTGGCTCACACCTGTAATCCCAGCATTTTGGGAGGCCGAGGCAGGTGGATCACTTGAGGTCGGGAGTTCGAGGCCAGTGTGACCAACATGGAGAAACCCCGTCTCTACTAAAAATACAAAATTAGCTGCACATGGTGGCACATGCCTGTAATCCCAGCTACTCGGGAGGGCAGAGGCAGGAGAATCGCTTGAACCTGGGAGGCAGAGCTTGTGGTGAGCCGAGATCGTGCCATTGTACTCTAGCCTGGGCAACAAGAGCGAAACTCCATCTCAAATAAAAAAAAAAAAAAAAAAAAAAAAAAAGTGAGTGCATGCTTTTTTAAGCCATTAACTTTAGAGCTACGAATATGGTGGACATGTTTTCCTCTTTTCCCCTCTCCTACTTTGCCAGCTTGACATGATGGTTGAAGTAAACCCATCCAGTAAATCCTGATGTGTGGCAAGAATGAATGTGTGTGACTTTTACAGCTGTCAGAATTTAATGCTGTTCAGCAAATGCAGTCTGGTTTTTCAGGTGTAGTCGTGATTACAGACAGCCTTGTCAGATCGCTTGCATTATGTCCTTTTAGAATTGCTACCTCCATCAAATCTGATCTTCTTTCACTTCAGCCTATCACAGAGTCAGCTATGCAAATGCACATAAATACATGACACTTTCCATGGTCTCCTAGCAAAGACAGTAATACAGAAAAGCTGCCCCCTCAAACATTAGAATAATGCAATTCCTATTTAGAAGACAAACTACAATTGTTAATAGCACTAAAAATAAATCAGAATGCATGAAAGTGGATATACTGCGAGCAGACAGATGGCAATCATCCATTCAAAGGAAATTCTCAGGGATTCATTAATTGTCTGGAGAAGGAAGATCGTGTCATAATCGGGCCAGAATCTTGTTTGAAAAAGAGATACACATACATCCAAATCAGATCTATCAATATCATTGTATTTCATGGCTTCTATTGGTAGGTGCTATTTAATTGATTCTTTATATGCAACAGTCAGACTTATAACTCAGGAAAGTGTCTCAGTGTTTGCCTTTTGACTGAATGTTCACGTTATTTGCTGCCAGAAGCTTTGCACATTGTCATGGGGAAAAGTCAGTCTTCACGCTATTTGACATTAACATAAACTCCTAAGTGTAAGTTTCATTTTCCATCAAGAAAGAATAGACCATGAACATTTTTCACGCAAGAGGCCATACCTTCTACTCCTTTCGTAAGTCGCCCCTGGATAAAACGCAGTCCTCTATCTGCAGAGGCACTTGATAAATGTCACCGACGAATTCATTCGCCGTCAGGTGACAACAGTGAGAATAGAGACCAAATGACAATAGGGAACAGGAGATGGCAGTGGGGTGAGGGTGAGAAGGGATAAGGTTTCAGATGCTCTTATTCTCTGACTTGCTGTAAATATCATCTCATTGATCATAATGCCACTTAGAGTTGCAGAATGAACTACTTCGAACGGCCCCTGATTGGCTAATTGTATAATTTTATTCCAACGGAGACCCTCTGGTTCAACACTGAGGCACACTGGAGTATTCGTTGAGAGCTAAACATCTTAACCACCTTGAAATGTAACCATTTGCCTACTACTTCACAGGGCGCAACTGACAAGTCCTTCATGGCCAGTAACACCAGATGCAGAGCCAGAAAACAAGACGTCAAGTCCCAACTTGCTCACTTAGCCGACCTTTGGCAAGTCATCGTCTCACCCAGTCTCTGTTTCCTTTTTTGTGTAAATGAATGAGATTGTAATTATCCTAGATCACAGCAAAGAACGGGTGTGAGGATCAATGTGTGGCACTGTCAATATGGACACAGGCCACAAAGTGCTATGAAATGTACAAGCTTATTGTTAGCTTGCTATGTGTGTGCACGCACATACACACATGCACACCTACATGCATTGCAATAACAGCAAGTTCAGCAGGGTCATTCACATGGAAGGGAAGAAGCATCCACTGGGCCCGGAGGCAGGGAGGAACTTACTGGCAGGAGCAACAAGTCAAGCCCCAGTGGGAGGTGACGGTGGCCTCTAGAGAAGTATATGGAAACACTATGGTTTCAGGAATGAGCACATAAAGTGTATTCATGGAGGAGAACGAATTAATTTTAGAGTTTTAGGTATTTTTAGTTTTTGCAAAATAGAGGCAGAAAGAAGAAACAGGTGGGTAAGAGGAGAAGAACACTGTGATGTGAAAGAGGGAGACAAGAGTCTGGCGAAGGCAGAGGCAATAGGAAAGGAATGAAGAAGGAGGGAGAGGAGCAGAGAAGCATGTTAGTAAAAGGCCCTAGGGGCAAAGGCTTAGAGATAAAAATGTGTACTCGATCAAAAGCACAAATGCATCAAGACGGTCTCAAGAGGTGAGCAAAAGGAATTTCCAGAGAAGGATTAAAAGAAGTAAACTAAAAATCAATTGTAAAAGCATTCAAAGGGCACAAAACAGAGAAATGAAACAGATACCCTTATATTTTCATTGCTCTTTATAGATTTCAAAGTGATATGACTTCATCTATGAGGTAGTATTAGAGTGAATATTATTATATCGTTGTTTTGATTTTATAAAATTGGAAACCCAGGTGACTTTCCCAAGGTCGCATGTCTAGTACACTGCAGAATTACGACTCAGGGCCCAAGTTTCTTGGAGTTCATACTACATCATACTGCCTGCCAACAGTGCAGAGAAAACTGTCGTAAACAGAAGGAAAACCACATTCAGAAGATAAAATGCCTTGCCTTCCTTTCCTCCCTTTTTATTGAAGCATGCTTAGCTAAAACTTCTAACAACTAAAGGAAATATATATATTCTTTCTATAACTAAATACAATTGACACAAGTTGATAAAAAAGGAAAAGGGAAACAAAACATTGTTAGAATTATTTCTTGTGCCCATAATCTTTATGCAGTTAAGTTTATTTTATAGTGATAAAGAATATCAACTGTTGGTAAAGCACATTAAATATTCCTAGAACTTGCCTATGCATAATAGCTCTGAGGGATCTGCCAGGGCTCAGATGAGATGCTGAATAATGATGGCACATTGTGCCAGGCACCCTTGCTGAAAATAAATCACCATGCACAGTCCTAATCGGGGAATGTCATACAAGGCTTTGACAAAACAGTACTCACTCTCATAATTTGGGCCCCATCAATAAACTTGCAACATGTCAAAGGTAAGTACTCGTCAACTGAAGATGGGTAGGAAATATTTTGCATTTTTTAGGGTTCTTGTAATACATACATCATATGCCCATCTCTGATTTTAAACTGGTGTCATGAAGTTTCCATGAAGGATGAGGACAGAGACAGTCTCCCTTGAAAAAGGGGAAAGTAATTCTATGTAGCCTCAAGAGACTAAAACTTCTCATAAACCAACACAATTATCAAATAGATGCATCGTGGTTTTCTTCATGTTTCCGATGTCAAAGCTATTAAAGGATTTCTTGATTAGAACCATGGGTACATGAAACTCAATTGGAATGCACTTAGGTCTTGCATTTTATACCCGGGAGCAAGGCTCAGTGGATCAACCTCTATGTATTAAGAGCTGTAATCAAAGGAAACCTCCTTACTTAAAAGTTTTGCCTTGGCATCATAAGACTAAATAGAAGCATACTGTTTGGATTTATGATTATATTTTCCAAACGAAATCCAGAAGTATTTATTGTGCCTTTTTATGTGCAAAGTGCTATGCACTGTAAGTGATACAGAAAGTGAAAGATTTCATCTCTATTCTCCAAATACTCAGAAGCTTGTTAGAAAAGTCATTTAGCTAATGGAAGGTTAAGATATAAGATTTTTAAAAAGTGAGATGGGATGAAAAGAGTTAGGGTCATATCACTAATAGGTATATGTTTAATGAGTGTGCACTTAACTTTTTCCATTCTCAGCTTTTTCCACTCTGAAGTATGGCTGCTGGGAGCTGTAAGTGGCATGCAGCATCTGGCAGAGGGCTTGCTGTAGGAGACCCTCCATGAGTGGAAAGCATTTTTATTATTACCCTTCTTTTATTCTAATACTGGTAATATTAACTTCTGCTCAATTATGTGCCTTCTCAATAGAACCCCAGTTGTAAAGCATGGTCTCCATGTTCTTCTTTCAATACTAATTTTTGGAGAGAAGAGTAATTACTAAAGGAAAGAAAGGCATGAAATCTGATTAGATTGCCCTTTCCACACTCACAAAGCTGTGTTCCCTGTGCCCCAAGCCCGGGGTCATGAAACTACTGCCCTTCCAGTTCAGGTTGTGTCCCTTAACCCATTAGCCATAGATTAGAAAGTACACGTACATATACATATACACACACATACATATAAGACACTTTTATACATACACACACAATGATATACACACACATGTATGTATGTATAAAAGTGCCTTGTATACTGCAAAACTTCAAATATGAGGTGCAGTTGTTGCTGTTATTACAGAAAATCAGCCTGGCATACTCTGGTGGAGTTCCAGCTCTTCCCTGTACGAGCTGTGTGAAATGGGGAAAGTTGCTTCCACTTCGAAGATCTTGCATCTCCCTTAGACAATTTTTGGCTGATAATGCAGTTGTAAGAAAGAAATAGCAAAATGTTTGCAAAGCATTTAGCATAATGTCTAGCATAAAGTGGGTTTTCTGTTTCATTTTTTTCTTTCCTCTTATAGGTCCCACAGATTTTTGATTATTGACTTCCCTTCTAATTGTCAGCAGCCTTTCAGACAGTTTAGGATGGGTGTCATCTTTTCTAACTGTGGCTGTTTTTAAACAGAAAGACAAGGGGTATGTGTAGTATGTCTCCCTTTCATGTTTAGGCATCTTTATCACATCAGAGCTAGAAGCTGTTGCCTTTCCTACCTGCCATAGAGATGGAACTTGCTTTCTTGCCTTATCCTGCTCTCTGGATAATGGATACTGAGAGCACGCACGTGGAGTTAGGTGCCGTGCCTGGTTCTAAGACATCAGGAGTGCCTATGACAATCTGGGAACTTCCACAGTGTTCTTGAAGGTGTATTTCAAATGCCAAGAACACAGAAAAAGATAAGAACCTCAGAGGGGACCCCTGAAATGATACATCAGAAGTCCCCCTCCTAATGGAATGTATGTTGGAAGGGTAAAAGGTTTAGGGTAAATTAATGGGTTCTGAAAAGATAGAGTGATATGGAAAAACACACCTACTTATATAAATGCCAGGAACTTCTGACCCTCTGAGTTGAATGTGAGATGTGGTAGCTCTTCCTTTGATGCTATGATGCACCATAAGGTCAAAGATAATCCCCAAGATGCTGAAACCCATTGTGATCTCCACCTACTCTTTACTCTCTGTTACCCCACCATATAGGGCAGCCATGGCTCTGAAAGGTGGCAGGGGAGGAAGAAAATTAGAAATTAATCATTGATGTGTCAATAATGGTGTTTCATAAGACAGAAAGACAGCCTACTGTTCAGTGCCCCAGTGACTATCATTGTTCATAGGTATCCTGATGCTGATTCTGAAACTTTCAGGATTTTGAAGGGCAGTCAGTCAAAGACACTTGGGGAAGATCTGGCACCATCCCTAATTCCTGTTTTCCAGATGCAGAGACCTGGTCTCAACTTCATCAGGAAACTTCATTCCTAATTACACACTAAATCAACTCAATCCACTAAAATGTACAAGTGATTCCTGAAAAAATAATTTGCCTTGGAAATATTACATACATCATATGTACAATTTTACAGACAAGCGTACATTGTAAATAGACTTATACAATCCCCCAAAACAAAATCTTGTTTTGGGAATAAACACTCTTGGCATAATTTAGTTGAGGTATGAAAATTTCACCCAGTGTTTCATTCTGTACTTTGTAATCATCGGCCATCCGTTTCTTACTGGGTAATTACTACTGTGTTTGTCTCTTATCATTACCAGCAAAGTCCCTATTCTTTAATTGGATATTAAACACGGAGCCACAGTCCATGGAAAGTAGAAATGCTTTTCATAATGCTGGTCAGCTGGAGCTCCAGCATGTTAATTTCTGGCACAGAATTTGAGGTTTGATGGAAACTGTAAAAGAGATCTTTGTGTTTAGTTAAATTGAGGAATTTGTAAGACTGGGACATCTGAAGTTTGCCTGCAGCAATGGACATTCAGCTGCCTCTCTGAGTTGGAATACAGCTCCACATGGCTGCAGGCATCCTCTAAAGTCCATCTCAACAACTCCAAGCATAATTTGGGTTTCTATGCAGACCAACAAGATTGGGATACAGAAAGGAGACAGAAGCAAAACTGATTTAAAAACAATGCAACTATTACATTCTATGTAATCGTTATAGTGAACTTATTTCTAAAACCTGATTTGGATGTGGCCACAGTGCTCAAATGAGGTCCTGGATTTGTATCTAGTGAAGTGGTAACAAGGAAAGACCTACAGAGACAGCATTCATATGCCCTCAAAAGAAATGAAGCGTTCTTAATTGCCAGGTAGCTCAGTGAACGGTGGAAGGCAATGAAACAAAACCAGCCCCACAGAATTAATGAGGCAAAATGGATCCCATCACAGTCTTGAGTGCTATTCACCACTTCCTCCCTCCGCAGGGCCACGGTGGGAGTTTCAGGAACAGAAATTTGCCTCGGGCTCATAGGAGACTGAAAGCTCTATCCAAAGTACCCCGGGCATAGACAGGGTCCTCGGGAGCTGAAGTCCTCGCGGTGCTAAGGATGCTCTGACCCAGGAAGAGGGGTAATAGATTTTACTCGGCTTTTCTCCACTTTTACCTAGTTTACCAGCAATTCTCACATCATTCACGACCCAGAAGATTCTTATTCCAATTTTGCACATCTCAAACCATGGCCAGAAGCATTCCAATGAAAACACAAAATTTCCTTGGGAGCTGTCAACTTAAACCTGCCTGGCAGGGAGCACAAGTTCCATGGGATGTTAATTGTCATTACTCAGGGACAGAAATTAAGGTTGCAGGATATAAGCTGATGAGAGAAAAGACCTTATCTGTCTTATTCACAGCTGTATCCCTGGGTCTAGAAGACATGGCAGACCCTCAATTGAAAATCTGTTGAATTAATCAGTAAAAATAGTAATGAACAAAAGTAGGAAAAGCACTAGAAGATAATTACATAACATGAAACAAGTTTCTTTGCTGTTGAGTTTTCTAAGCCTATTAATTACTAAGGTATACAGAAAATCTTTAAGCTGATATCTAGTTGGCACATTTCCCAAATATAATATATGAAACCTTTTCTCTCATATCATCTGATGGGACTAGTGTTAAACAGAGCATGTTAAATTAATCTTATTTAAACTCTGAGAACTGTTGTTCTCTAGGCAAAATACACATGCCAATTTTTAAGGCGTAATTTTTTTATTTCAGTAGCTTTTGGGGTGCAAGTGGTTTTTGGCTACATGAATGAATCATACGGTGGTGAATTCAGAGATTTTAGTGCACTTGCCACCCGATTAGTTTACACTGTACCTAAGGTGAAGTTTTTTATCCCTGTCCCCTCCACCATCACTTTTCTGAGCCTCCATTATATCACCCTATATGCCTTTGCATCCTCATAGCTTAGCTACCAATTGTAAGTGAGATCACACGATATTTGGTTTCCATTCCTGAGTTACTACACTTAGAATAATGGCCTCCAGCTCCATCCAAGTTGCTGCAAAATACATCATATCATTCCTTTTTATGGCTGAATAGTATTCCGTGATATATGTAGACCACATTTTCTTTACCCATCCAGTCAATGGGCATTTAGGTTGGTTCCACATCTTTGCAATTGTGAATTGTGCTGCTGTAAACATACAAGTGCAAGTGTCTTTTTCATATAATGACTTCTTTTCCTTTGGGTAGATATCCAGTAATGGGAATGCTGGATTGAATGATAGATCTACTTTTAGCTCTTTAAGGAATCTCCATACTGATTTTCATAGAGGTTGTACTAATTTACATTCCCACTAGCAGTGTATAAGTGTTCCCTTTCCTACATCCTCGCTAACATCTGTTGTTTTTTGACTTTTTAATAATGGTCATTCTTGCAGAAGTAAGGTGGTATCTCGTTGTTTTAATTTGCATTTCCCTGATGATTAGTGATGTTGAGCATTTTTTAATATGTTTGTTGGCTATTTGCATATCTTCTTTTGAGAAGTGTCTATTCATGACCTTTGCCCATTTTTTAATGAGATTATTTGTTTTTTTCTTGGGGATTTGTTTGAGTTCCTCAGAGATTCTGGATGCTAGTCCTTTGTCAGATGAACAAGCCATTTTTTTTAATTGAGATGGAGTCTCACTTTGTTGCCCAGGCTGGAGTGCAGTGGCTTGAAATTGGCTCACTCTAACCTCTGCCTCTTGGGTTCAAGCAATTCTTCCCGCCCCAGCCTCCCAGTAGCTGGGATTAAAGGCACATGCCACTATGCCCAGCTAATTTTTGTATTTTTAGTAGAGACGGGGTTTTGCCATGTTGGCCAGGCTGGTCTTGAACTCCTCACTTCAGGTGATCCACCCACCTTGGCGCCCCAAAGTGCTGGGATTACAGGCATGAGCCACCATGCCCAGCCGAACATGCCATTTTTAACAGTACCTTGCAGCAGTGATGGTTAGCTCTAATGCAACATATTTCACAAATAATATCCTAAAATGCTAAGATGTACATATGCAGTTCACTGTAGAACTGTGTGTGTGTCTGTGTGTGTGTGTGTGTAGAGACTATAGTGGACTGTGTTACAAGTGTAATAAACTGTATCTGTGTATCTATATTTATATCTCTATCTCTACATGTATATATGGCCTGAGTTGTACCACTTTGCCAGCTAGAGCTGGTGGAGCCGACTGTACACTCCACCGTTGGCATAGCCTAATGAGCGTCTCCCGTGCTATTCTGAGTTGAACATAGATGGTAAACATGTGTCACTTTCTCTTCTGGGGTTTCTCATTCTGGTGACTATTTTGTTTTCTGGCCAACAGTTTTGGCCTATGTTGGCTGATGGGGAAGTACAGGTAACAATATCATAACTTTCACCAAGAAACAAAGGAAAGGTATCATGCTGGCTGTTCAAAGGCATGCTTTGGCCAGGGCTCAAGGAGTCTTCGAGGACATAGTCAAAGAGGAAAAATAAAAAGGCAATGGCCAGCAAGCGGTTAAGGATGGGAAAGTCTTTGGGCTTTGTGACTGGTGTCTGAACGCCACTCAGCCTGGCATTGATGTGGTTGGCCGTACTATGATCACGGCCGTGGCATGCCTTGAGAGGAACTGAACCAGAGCCACATAGTCTGGAGTTCTGAGGCCTAGTGTTGTGGTTTTTGCATATACAGAGGCACATAAGATCTTGATTCATATTTTATGTATCTCTGTGAGATGAGGAATTCTAAGTGTTCCTTACCCCACAGAGGGTAACCTTGGATAAGACAGTAATGTTGTTGCCACTGGTGAGACCACAAGGCCAGACCACTGCCAATGCTTCAAGAGTCTCTGCAAATGTGCAAATAGGGCTGGTGTTGGCCAGGACAAACTCTGCCTCTGACTGAAGCCGGCCAATTGTGTTATGCTGTCCTTGACCAGGGATACTTCAGTCAGGGTGTAGATGACGCCCTGGTCAGCAGCTCTCCAGCAGGATCTGTCAAGTATGGTGGTGGTGCTACCAGAATTGTTCAGATGTTGAGGCTGATGACACCACACACACACCAAGAGTACGTGGAAAAATGGATCACTTACACCATGGGACTTAGAGCAGGGCCAGCTCCCATGTGGGCCCAGAATGGCTTGAGCAAAGGGAGGGCCACATGGCTTTGATTTTTATTGCGGTTGGGGCAGGGGCAGAGTGAGGGTTCCCTCTCATCACTGACAGCTCTATTAACTCATTTGTATCATTATGGGACCAGAGTAATAGAAAATTTGAAAATCCATTGACATTTAATAAAGTCCTGAAACAAAGATAAAAATTTATCATGTAAAATGAGCAGAAAGACAGTGGAAGATACAGTTGAAAGGTACTCATCACCCTGCAGGTTCTGCAGCTGTCTTTGGATAGTCAGCCCAAATGTCCAGTTGTCACTGAAATAAAATCATCTGACTCCAGCCTCCCAAGCAAGACACCTGAGATGCTGATACACTGACTCGGTACTAAACGGTTCCTTCCACAGCACAACCCACAACCCCATAATGCATTAATTACAGAGGATAATGTTCTGGTGGAGCTACCTCTGGCCAGTGGCATACCCAAAGACTCACCCATGGGAAATCCCACAAGAGAGAGCACTGCCCTAGAGCTGTTGACCGGGGCAAGGGCAAGAGTATGTGGACAGGTGAATGGAAGATCAGTGTCAGGTGAATGGAAGAGCAGTGTCAAGTCCAAGGAAAATCATACCTCCCCATTACCTATAGCTATCAAATTGCTGGACTCCAAGTGAAAACTTAGGCCTACTAAGTCAAAGATGGCTCAAAAGGAATTAGAAGCCAATCTTTCTGCAATGCTGCTCTTGTACATATGGTGCCCTGCTCCCTTTTAAAATGTCAAAGTTAGTATTTTGAGGAACCTTCACAGTGTTTTCTATAATGACTGCACTAATGTACATTCCCACTAATGGTGTGCAAATGTCCCTTTTCTGTACATCCTCACCAACACTTGTTATCTTTTGTCCTTTTGATAATAGCCATTCTGACAGGCTTCAGATGGTATCTCATTGTGGTTTTAATTTACATTTCTCTGACGATAAGTCATGCTGAGCATTTTTTCATATACTTGTTGGTCATTTGTAGGTCTTTTTTTGAACAATCCCACTCCTGGGTATATACCCAAAAGAAATGAAACCAGTATGTCAAAGAGATGTCTGCTCTCCTGTGTTTATTGCAGCATTGTTTACAACAGCCAGGATATGGAATCAACCTAAGTGTCCATCAGTGAATGAATGGATTTAAATGTGGTCTATATATACAATCAACTAGTAGTGAGCCTTTAAAGAAGGAAATCTTGTCATTTGTGACAACACAGATGAACCAGGAGGACATTATGATAAGTGAAATAAGCCAGCTGCAGAAAAACAAATACCACATGATCTCACTCATGTGGAATCTGACGAAGTTGAACTCATAGAAGCAGAGAACAGAATGGTGGTTACCAGGGGCTGGATTGGTTAGCTGGGTGGAGGAGATAAAGAAATGCTGGTCAAAGGATATATAATTACAGTTAGACAGTAGAAATAAGTTCAAGAGGTCTATCGTACAGTATAGTGACTATAATTAATGATGATATATTCTTGAAAAATGCAAAGATAATGCATATTACATGTTCTCACCACAAAAATGATAACTATGTAAGGCAATGCATTTGTTAGCTAGATTTAACTATTCCACAAGGCCTATACACTTCAAAACATTACATTTTACAATATAATTTTGTCAACTTAAATATATAAAACATCTTACAACCATTTAGCTGGGAGGCATTAAGATTAAGAGATAAAGAGCAACTAGATCTGCAACAATATTTGTGCTTTATACAAAATATGTAAGCATAAAACAGAGTAACGGAATTATTAATATTAAAGACTTCAATAATATCACATCTTGATAAAATGTAAAAGCAATAAACATAGCAAACTATGTTATGCCCTTTTATACACACGAATGGTCTAACCAGTCAGTGCTTTAAAGAAGCCATGCCCATTTCCGCAATGCACACCAGGAACCACACAGAATTACCCTTTTTCTTGGTCTTAGTTCTTAACTGCTTTCTTCAGCTACTTCCTGTGCTTCATTTCCTCCAAGGCCAAAGGTCAGAGGCAAAAACAAAAGCACAAACACAGCCCAAGTTAGGAGGTAAGCCCACAAAAATTTTTTTATGATCCAGCCCTGCCTGGCACTAAGAGGGCATGTGATTCAAGAGATGAAGTAAAATTACTAAAATTCCACCTAAAAAGACAACTGTGCCAACAACACAAGACAGCATTTTCACAGCCCAACTTGTGCATGGAAGGTAAGCAGGACTGTGGGACCTTGGAAGAGAGAGAAAAACAGAGCAGTGATCAGAATGGAAGAGATGTGTGTGACTTTGCAGAAAATAAGATGATAGGAAGAAGGAAGCGTTCCAGGTAGAAGATATAGATTTGGGAAAGGAGCAGAAGCAGGAATGATCTTCAGCCAGTAGAGGAGAGAACAAGCATGTGACCAGGTTAGGAAAGAGGGCTCTTCTGAGGGGAAGGAAAGATGAATAACTGGGCAAAGGCAGATTAGGAGAATTCTGGATGTCTAACAGAAGAGAAAGGGCGCCATCCTGGGCAGGGGAGTTCCAGGATGTAGAAAAACTCTAAGGACATCATCCTTGAAATCTGAGAAACAGTCCTGATCCCCAGTGGACTAAACAAGCCCCTTTGGCCTAGAAGACCCTAAAAGCTGAGAAAAGGTTAATTAAGTTACTGGATGAGGCATAACGGAAGCCGGTTATACCTCAGTATGCCTCTCTTTTTATTAACCTCTAACCAAAATTCTTAACTAAGGAGTAAGCAGAAAACAGCTCTGGAAAGCAAGAAAGAGATGACCCATTCCTTTACTGCGTTTAGCCAATTGTCTGAGGCCATGACTGGAGTCCTCCTTCCTCTTAACAATTTTGATGTGACAGCTCACCAGTTTCATAATGCAGCCCTTCCTAAAAGCTGACTGCCATCTCCAGACAAGCTCTGGCCAGAGCTTGCAGAGGATGTACAATGAGGTTTTTCATGTCCTCTGCTTTATCTTTTGATGTCAGAGGGCCAAAAGCTCCACCCTTGGATCATGCCAAAGCAAACTTTTTTGAACATGTGGTCCATAAAGAGGCAAATAGCTCAATGGTGCATGTGCATTTTTCTCCTTTCACAAATATTCATGACTCCTCCTATAACTGATTAAACATGTATGTGTAGCCAACCCACTCAACAGGAATTCCTGTCTTATCCTTCCCTCCCTCGAAGTGCTTGCTTTCACCTTCTGCCAGAGGCTACACTTCTCAGCCTGCAGGCTACAACCCTTTATGAAAAATAAAGCTCTTCTTTTCACATTTATAAGCTTTGTGATTCTTCAGTTGACACATAGAGCTGCAATCTCTCACAAGTAAAGGGGAGTGTTGAGACTCCTCAGGAATTAGGAGAGGAAGACCAGAGATTGGCCTCTCCAACTCTTTCCAGACGAGCCTTAGGGTACTTGATACTGTGCTCCAGGGTAGATGCTTGGGATAAAATGGCCAGTGAGAAATATTTAAATATCAATTGTGTCCTTGCTGATAGTTTTATTAAAATCTTCACACTTCTGGTATTTCAACAGGAAACAAAAAGGCCACTGCTAAGCTCTCAGAAAGAACAGGAAAAGGTAGACAAGGAAAAGACCATGTTGCTAATGAAAACCCTGGCCTGGAGCAGAAGAAGCACCTGAAAGAAGTCATGTGGGGCTGCTGTATCCCCTGCAGGAGGCTGCTCTGCTTTTAGAAATGGCTGTGTGGGTGGTGCTGCTGGAGCCAAAGCAGCAAGGCTCTGGCTCATATGCACTGGTCATCATTGCCCAAATGCTCCCAGACACTGGATTTCACCTGCTTAGAGGCCTGCCTCTTAGCAACCCTTCCCCTCAACTACCAGGATCTCCTGTCAGCAACTAAATACACTAAAATCTCTTCATTCTTAAACAAATCAAAACAAAACATGTCCACCACAGCCATGATGAGGAATAAAATATCCACACAAATCTATAAGAATGTATTTTATGTATTAGCAACTTAATTGAAAACATGCAAAATTTATTGTTTAGAAAATTAAGATTTTTATATAAGTGTTCAGTTCCCAGATTCAAAATAATTTCTGATAATGTGGTCCTAGATGGCTTCCAAAAAACAGGATTAGGAAGTGGAGAACACTTTAAAAACTAAAAACTACTACTTCTACTGTATTACTAAGTTATTATATGTATTAATGTTGTTATCTCCACTGTTTATAGAAGGAAATTACAGTTTTCTTTATTGTCATTTTGTCTCATTTCTACATCATTAGTGGTGCTAGAGATAAAATTCAAGGTCATAAAAATGCAAATTACTAATAAATAAAACTAAATAATGCAAATTAAGATGAGATAGTATTTTTCCCCATCAGAGTGTGATGAAAAATACATTCTCATACCTAGTTTGTGGAAGTAAGTTTGGTTAAACCATGTTGAAAAGTACTTAGGCAACTTATATCAAGAGTCTTAAAATTATTCATTTCCTTTAAAAACCATTAATTCTACTTTTAAGAATCTCTCCTCTGTAATCCCAGTATTTTAGGGGGTCAAGCTGGGCAGGCCATTTGAAGTCAGGAGTTTGAGACCAGCCTGACCAAAATGGTGAAACCCTGTCTCTACTAAAAAATACAAAACAATGGGTGTGGTGGCATATGCCTATAGTCCCAGCTACTCATGAGGCTGAGGCCAGAGAATTGAACCAGGAAGGCAGACGTTGTAGTGAGCTGAAATCATGCCACTGCACTCCAGCCTGGGCAAGAGAGTGAAACTCTATCTCAAAAAAAAAAAAAGTACAGACTAAAATATGTGATTATACGACATCTTATATAATGGATTATTCTGTTATTAAAACTTTTCTTGAAGAATATTAAATGTTTGTAAACTCATGTTGTCTCATGCAACATTTGGGGCATACTTATGCTACACACACACACACACACAGAGAGAGAGAGAGAGAGAGAGAGAGAGAGAGAGAGAGATTGCTTATGTGAAATTCAAATTTAATTGGGCATCCTGTATTTTATCAGGCAACTCTACACCGAACTCTCCAGAGACCCCCATGCTGCCTAAGGCAATGCCTTAGGTTGGGTGTGGACCCCTCTGGAGGCCAGGCAGCAGCAAGACTCCATATTGAAGCAACCACTGGCTTCCACAGTGCCACCTTGCCTGGCTTTCCTTCTATCTCTCTGGCCTCGCTCCATTACCTCACAAGTGTTCCACAGCCTGGCATGCTCTCTTGGGAAAGCACTTTCAACATAGGAGCAGCATTTGTTTTAATGACTTTACTTTCTTATATGTTTTATCAATTCTCAAATTCAAACCTATAGCCCCAAACTCCCTGAACTGAGGCATTTGCTGGGGGAATGGAGAGAAAGGGAGGGATTTATGAGAAAATAGAATTTGATAGGGTTCTATTAGAGTTAATAGAACTTGTGTAGGGATAATAGAACTTGACACACTGTGGGTGTGAGAGTTGAGGGAGCAGAGGAGGTTTAGAGGAGGTTTCAGGCATGGGACCTGGTGGGTCAGAGTGCCAGGTACTGATGAAGGCACTGCAGGGAGTGAGGGCACAGGTGCCGTGGGAAAGGTGAGTTTGACTTGGTGAATTCCAGGGGCCTGGCAGCCATCCCAGTGAGGAGGTTAAATAGAAACCATATGGGTGCCACACGTGCCTGGGCTCCTACTCTGCCTCCTCTCTCTACTGTTCTAACCACCATTTCCACCAACAACACCTGCTCCACCTTGAATTGCACTCCCACTTCAAGAGTCAGGGCAAATATGTCACCTTCTCTGGGAACCCTTTCTTGACCCCTTCCCAATCTCACATGCCACCCTGCACGATCATACACTGTTTATTTGTGTGTGAGCCACCACACGGTGAGATCCCTCCAGTCAGGAAGACACTCTGATTCAGCTTTATATCCTCAGCACCAACCACTACACCTTCTGCAAAGTGGAACTCTCAGCAAATGTTCCTGGAACTGAACTAGTCTATTACCTGTAAGACACTATGCTAAGAGCTATGAAAGATGCAAAAATGTAAAAGACACAGTCAATTTACAGACTCTGTGGGGATATAAAGCTTGAACATTTAATAACTCCACTTGTATCTTTGTAGTTATTCTTATGAAAATACAATCTAGCTTGATACTGGTAGAGAATATGTAAAGTAAATAGGAACAAGCTCAATTGTTTGACATTGAGAAAAAACTGGCAAGCCAGTGGAGAACATATGCATACAATTTTCTGTAATTTTTATAATATCAAGCAAGTTCTTATGATGCAGTAAACACAATTCTCTCTTAATATCAATCTTAATATAACAACTGGGGTCCTCCCAAGGAACAGAGAGCATCTCCAAATTAAAATGACTCAAGGAGAATTTAATTAAAAAATTTTACAAAGACAATGGTAAGAATGGCAAACCACAAGGGAATGTGGAGCAACCCAGTTACCCTGGGCAGGCAACTGCAGAGCCCTGTTCCCTGCAGAGCCTGAGGGAAGGTGCAGGATTGAGGGACCCCATCAGACCCATTGTGCAGAAGCTGGCTGGGGGATGCCCTGGATGTCATCCAGCGGTTCTCAAACTTTTTGGTCTTAGGACTCCCTTCACATTCACCAAAATTATTCAGAATGTGGCTGGGTGTCGTAGCTCACGCCTATAAACCCAGCACTTTGGGAGGCTGAGGGGGGTGGATCACCCAAGGTCAGGAATTGACTAGCCCAGCCAACATGGTGAAACGTTGTCTCTACTAAAAATATAAAAATCAGCCAGGCATGGTTGCGGGCACCTGTAATCCCAGCTACTTGAGAGGCTGAGGCAAGAGAATCACTTGAACCCAGGAGGTGGAGGTTGCAGTGAGCCAAGATTGCACCACTGCACTCCAGCCTGGTAGATACAACAAGACTCCATCTCAAAAAAAAAAAAAAATTCAGAATGCCAAACAACTCTTTATGTGTGACTTACAGCTATCAAGATTTACCATGTTAGTAATTAAAGCTTAGAGGTTTTGTTTTTCTAATTTTTTGCTTTTATTATTAACTGACACATAATAATTGTACCTATTTACAGGGTACAGTGTGATATTTCAATATATATTCAATACCATATTTCAATACTGAGTGTAGTGTTCAAATCCGGGTGACTTGCTTACTCCTCACCTTATCATTTATTTGTGTTGGGAACATTAGCAATTGAAAATATATAATAAATTGTTACTGTAGTCCCCTTACGGTGCCGTAGAATGCTAGAAGGCACTTCTCTCTAGCTTTACTGTTATATCCATTAACCAACCTCTTGCTATCTTCCCCCAGCCTTTCCCACCCCTAGTGATCACTATTCTACTCTAAAACTGAGAAGTTTTTATAATGTTCATACATTTATTTAAAATAACAATAATAAACCCACTCCCTGTTAAGCATAATTAACATTAACATATTAAAGAAATGACTATTTTCAGAATAAATAGTGAGGAGAGTGGCATTGATTTACATTTGGCAAATGTGTTCAATGCCTGAGGCCTGGCTTAACATAAAAGGCCTGTATCCTCAGATCTGCGGCATCCCGTCTGCTGCAATATCATCTCGCCTCTGAAAAGCTCCACCACACGCTCATGAAAGGGGAGGAGTGCAAAGGGGGGAATCATGTCTTGCCATCACTGTGAAATTCGTGTTGACCTTGCAGACTCCTCCAAGGGTCTCAGTGATGACACCGATGACTGCAGCTATCAGACCCAAGGTCCTCAGGCAAGGACTGTGCAGCTCATCTCAGCGTCCTGGGTACATAGGTCCCATAGTAGTATCCAAAACATACTTGCTAAATAAATGGGTGTTTTAGCAGTTAAAAGAATTTTGCATAAAAACAAATAAATATCATTTTATCTAATTAAAAAAAAAATTAGGACGGCTGGGCACGGTTGTGGCTCACGCCTGTAATCCCAGCAATTTGGGAGGTGGAGGTGGGTGGATCACATGAGGTCAGGAGTTTGAGACCAGCCTGGCGAACATGGCAAAACCCCGTCTCCACAAAGATTACAAAACTTAGCCAGGCATGGTGGCGGTCGCCTGTAATCCCAGCTACTTGGGAGGCTGAGGCAGGAGAATTGCTTGAACCCGGGAGGCAGAGGTTGCAGTGAGCCAAGATCACACCACTGCATTCCAGCCTAGGTGATAGAGCGAGACTCTGTCTCAAAAATAAATAAATGAATAAAAATTTAAAAATAGGACCAAAATTATAACTACAAGCTTATGTAATGCTCTTGCAATTGTTCTGCTCACTCATTTGTCCTTAAGGAGCCATCAACAAAAACAAACCATGTCCACCCATGAGTAGTGACCAGGGCTTTAAACATGTCTTCCTTCAAGATACCGAACAGAGGATGGGGTGTCTGGGGGTGCTGAGTCACACACAAGACAAAAGCACTGGGATAGAAGGAGATTGGATTCTAACTCAGCTCTGCCAGGAGCCAGCTCTGTAACTGGAAGAAAGTCAGGCCTGAAATTTCATTTTCTCATCTATAAAATCAAGCAGCTGAGCTGTGTGCTGCTGTGACCTCTCTGACCTCCCCTATCATGTGGTTCTGATTTCTACCCACTAGGTAAATGGCCACCTTCATAGTCGCTTGGAAGCACATCGCCTTAACCCTCCAAAATGCCTGCTCTCAGCTACACCAGGAATCTAACATGGTGATTTTTGTTGAACAGAGCACCTGTCTGGGAAAAAAAATTGTCTGTTTTTCAAATGCTTGCTTGACCTCCTTCAAAATTATATATTGAAGACAAAAGAGAAATATGCCTTTCATAGCCAAAAAATACTTTTTTTTTTCATTTGAGTATATCTCAAGAGGGTCCTATTTGAAAACCTGGGCAATGGCAGCATTCCTTTCCTGCTACATTCAAATGCCATTTTGAAGAGAGTAAAAAGATGACCAGCTGAGTTAGGAGAATTCTATTTCTACTTATGAAAAGCCAATCATAAAAGCAATAGTCAATCACAAGTATCTTCAACGAATTCAAATTTGTAGCAACTACATCGCTTATACTTTGCAAAATAAAATAAACTTCAATAGGAAGAATAGTCATTACCCATACTTGCATCAGAGTCTTAATGATGAAAACATGTAATTATTTAATGGACTAATAACTACATGGAAAGAAGTGGTGTGGGTCGTGTACCAGCTTGGGCTGGAGAGACAGTGTTCCCAGTATGAACCCTGTAACCAGAGGGCACGCTCCCACCCAATAATGGCCAACTTTTACAAGAAGCTGCACGACCATTGGCAGAAATTGCCCAGGGCTCTGTCCATTCCCCTAACATGTCTGACTGTCCTTCCCTCATTGCTCTTGTTCTGATTTTGTATCTCTGGTCTGAGCTTGGCATCCCACGTAGGAATCCTGCCTCCTGTATCACCCAATTTGTGTTTGTATCTGGACTCCCAGGCACTGGAGTCTCCCACAGCTCTGACTTGGCCTTCCTTTTTTGTTTCTGCATCCATCCTGTCTGAGATATCAACCCTCCACTCTAGCTTTCACCCTGAAAGCCAACCTCTGATCCTATCTGCTCAGCCAGGGCACAGCCAGGCCACCCACAGTTAATCCTCAGAGGTCAGAGGAGATCTGTTTCCTACCCATCTCCTGTTATGAACCAGCCTTGTGATGTTTGGCAAGTCCCAGTTTCTCTGCGCATTAACTTTGCTATCCGCAAAATGGTAATGATAATACACAAAATGATGGCAAAGATAAAATGGGTAATTGCTAAAGTGGCTTGCAGCGTGCAAAGCACTATACAAACTTTAACTTCGTGTTTTTCCTTTGTTAAAAAGTGCTCCCAGATCAAACTTTTCCTTCGTTTCCTAATTAAGTTTGATAATCGCCCTCTTGTCTAAGGAACTGAATATCTGGAAAACACTTTCACCTTGTCACTCAGGGGTCTGTGCATCTTTCCTGCCTGACACAGCCAGGAATGGTGGCCAGTGAGTGTCCTGTGTGACTTTGAACATCAGCTCCAGCAGCCTTGGGAAACTGGGGTAGCTCCAGGGTCACTCAAGGCCCTTGCAGACAACCCTCTAGCAAGCAGGGATTTGATGATGGATATATTCCTACCCCAGGTCACAATTCTAGAGCCACAGTGGACGAGGCCAGTAACGAGCCCTTCTCAGCACAAACTCTGCCAAGCGCCAAGATCCGCCAGACTGGGCATTGCAGGCAGCAGCAGTACCAGAAAGTCTTCAGCCATCAGGAGTTCTGCCCTTGCCTCGGGCCTGTCCTGACTGATTAAGAGGTAGACAATCTTTCTCTGCATAAGAGAAAGAATGCTTTTCAGACTAGGGGAAAACATTCCCTTAGAGTCAACTATTTTCTAACTACTGCCACGCTGAGGCCGTTTAGAAGTCCCTAACACTATTTGTACACACTTACTGCTGTTCACTGTCACTATTAGAGAAGGTGAATTAGCCCATTTGCCGAGTTTCATAGAAAAAGAAACTTTGATTTAGTTGTGTTAAAGAGCTGGGACTATGGCCATTTAGGAGTCAAAGTGCTGGAGCCCCCATCCTCCACTTGGACATGCACCCTGGGGTCACAGCTCCTGTGTGCACTGCCGGTTTTAAGAGAATCTATTAAGGTAGAAGTTTCATAACCTGCAAGTCTTTAAAAGCTGAAACCACTGAACCTGTGCCAAGAGATACGAGACCTCAAGCCCCGAAAATGTTCCCACTTCAGCACCTGAATGTCAGCAGAAAAATCAGCTCCTAAACTCTTGCATATTGTTGGCGAACCTATAATATGCACACTTCTTTGGGAAGGAAATGATGGAGTCAAAACACATAAAGGTATACCATAATTCTCCTTCAAATGCCTCCCAGGGATAAAGCCCCAAATCCTAGAAAGGATACTAAGGGAACTCCTGCTTTCCTAGCTTGGAATTGCGTGGAAGACAGTCGGGCTGACATGAGTTTCCATGTTCTTCCTGACCCAGGAATCACAGGCTGCTTCAACCTGTCTCCTTCTCCTCTCCTATAAATCCTGCAAATAATACAACAGTTAAGTTTACATTTCAGCTCAGAGTCTAGTGGGATCTTTTTACATTTTTTTGTTTTATTTTTTATTTATTTATTTATTTTGAGACGAGATTTTGCTCTGTCATCCAGACTTGTATGCAGTCGTGCAACGACAGGTCACTGCAGCCTTGACCTCCAGGGCTCAAGTGATCATTCTCCTACCTCAGCCTCCTGAGTAGCTGAAACTACAGGCATGTGCCATCCTACCCAGCTATTTTTTTTTAATTTTTTATTTTTAGTACACAAAAGATCTCACTATGTTTCCCAGGCTGTTCTCAAACTCCTGGGCTCAAGCAATCCTCCTACCGTGGCCTCCCAAAGTGCTGGGATTGCAGGCATGAACAACTATGCCTGGCTGATTTTTTTTAATGAATTATTTCCTTGTGAAGTTTGGGAAGATATACTAAAATGCAAAATGACTATAGATGCATATATATATATATATATATATATATAGAGAGAGAGAGAGAGAGAGAGAGAGAGAGAGAGTGGTATCTAATCCTAGAAATGATTGGTAATGACAATGTAAGTAAGATTGCAATTTGCAATTTTCAGGACAAAAATCCACGGTGAGACCAGGTGTGGTGGCTCACACCCTGTAATCCCAGCACTTCGGGAGGCCGAGGCAGGTGGATCGCTTTGAGCCCAGGAGTCTGAGAGCAGCCTGGCTAACATGGTAAAATCCCATCTCTACAAAAATTAAAAAAAAAAAATATGGGTGAGGTGAATGTTCTTCTAGTAAAAATACAGTTAGAACAACGTATAGAGTTTCAGTAGAGAAACTATATTATGTTCAAGTTAAGCATCATCTATTGTATAGATTGAAACTAATTAAAATAACTTCATTAATTATGCTGCCATTTAAAGAAAACATAGGGATTTTGATTTGCAGTAGAAAAAGAGGTCATGTCTGCTGTATGAGTTAGCTGTAAATTTTTACACACACGTAAGTGACATTATTGGCATTCTGGATAAGAAAAGCCGGACTGTGTTGAACACCTCCCTGGTGCCAGGCACTGTGCCATGCACCCCAGGGAATACAATGGTGGGGAAGGCATCAGCGCCACCCCTCCAGACCAGGATAGACCCCGGGAAAAGACAGAAAAGGCAGAAAGAAGAGTGCCCGTGAGAAACACAAGCAGTGTGTTCTGAGATAAAAGAAGAGAAAGCAGTGAAATAACCTGACTCAGGTGTGGTCGGACAATGTGTCAAATAAGGAAAAGGCTGAAACGGGCCTCATAGAGAGAAAGGGCAGGGAGGCAGGACCCGGCAGAGGAAGAGTGGTGCAAAGACCCACGGGTGTAAAAATGGGCCGCATGTGCAGGCAGCCCAAGACGTTTGCTTGGCTGGAGTTTAGCTCACGTGAAGTCAACAAGAGCCAGGCCTGAAGGTTGGTGGGCAGGGTTTCTACAGAGGCCTCGCGACTGAAGGACCCTCAGAAAACCCATGCCAGTTGCCTTGGGCTGTTCTTCAAACGCCAGTGCCTGATTTGCTTTCTCACTAAGTCTACTCAGTGAGAGTAGAGTCTTCCTGTCTTAATACTTGTGATAAACCAGCACCGTGCAGTTACCAGTGATAGAAAAATATGAAATGAAGGGTAATGTTAATTAGGTTAAAGCTTTATGTTCACGTGCATACGGTGAATCCCTTCTTTTGACTATGAAAAAAGACACAAAGTTTGTTCAGAGGAAATTAAAGAGTTGTTCCCCATTAAGCAAATATCTCAGGAATGTCCGCTTACCAGGGCCCACCCAGGGCAGCGAGAGATACTGTGCCACTCTGAGCCCAAGCAGCAAAATGAGCACTGATACAGTGGTGCCTGCCTTCCCAATCCATCCTCACCGAACCAGGGCAGTGTCCCGATTCAGGAAGGAGTTCCTCCATGTTGAGGTGAGCCCATATTAGTAAGAAACAAGATCAGAGAAGACCCCGCTTGCCTGTGTGATGTTTGATCAGTTATGGCCTTGCTGCTTCTCCCAGGCCCCAAGCAGCAGGAAAAAAGACACAAGAAAGTAATCTCCATAGAGAGGAAGTAGTGGCCCCAGTCCCGCATCTCCAGATGAGCCCTGCAGGTGGCGAAGAGCCGGGACTATCCCTGCAGATGTCCCTCCTGCCAGCCAAGGCTGGCTTTCTCGGGGGGCGCCGTGAGCCAGTCTTTGAGGATGTGGCCCAGGCCAGACTGTCCACCCTGCAGCAAGGAGGGTGCCTGGAGTGGTGTGGCCTGTGCCTGAAGCCACTTGCTTTCAGCATCAATGCGCTTTACCCATTTTTCTTTTTCTTTCATCCTTCCTGTTCTTTCTAGAAGGAGGGTTTGGAGGTCTACTCCTGTGAGCTCCCAAACTGTGGGATAGGAAGTGCTGTTTTCTGACCAGCCCCTTGTCTCAGTTCTGAGGACCTAGACAAAGTGTTGTTACCTGAGGAAGGCGACAATACTTGGAAGAGGGGTAGGGGGCGCTGGCTGGCAGGGCTCTAGAATGCTGCCTTCTAAGACTTGCATTTGCTCGTATGCCATCCCTCACGAGCCAGGTGACACTTCAGACCCAGGGCCCGCAGGATGTGCATGAGTTATTTTAGAGCAGAGGCGGTGCATGTGCACTGAGCCACCCACCTCCACGTGCGCCTGTGATGAATGGCACACATTCCTGAGAAACCTGAGAAACCGGGATGAAGACAATGAAAGCAAACCCCCTGCCGTGGCTTCCAAATGATCAGAGAGGAAAGGCTCTGTGGGACCCAGCCTGCGTCCCCCTCACACACGCATTTCTCTTTCACCTAAAAATAAATGTTTAATAATAAAAGGGAAAGATAGAATATAATTTAGGCACCTTTAGCACAGAGAAATAGTTGTAAAGCATCCTATAATTTTAAACCAAGATGCAAAGAAATAAATAAGTGTTTAATTTCAGACATTCCAAGACACAACTGTATTTAGGAGTTGTGAGTAAGAATCTGTGATAATTATCTTATTCAAAACCAGCTGGGGAGAGCAATCTATGTCTGCACACCAGAATTCCTCTCCACAACTTTCTAAGAATAACACACCTCAAGCTCCATAAACCATGATTTATAAAACCAGCGTGAAACCAGCTCAGTGGCAAATAGAGATTTTACAGGAAGAGGCTGACACCACCACATTGATACTTCACTGAAAAAAATCAAAAGATTTCTGAATTATCTGCTTCTCGATACATAAATTCAGTGGATCCCATGGCAGATGACTCCTTAATTGGGACGCCCTTCCTAATAAGGTCATCTCATATGTTCGCTTAATGTTTCATATTTCAAGAAACAATTCTCTTTAAACTTCTGTTTGAGTCTATAATGTATAAACTGTGAAGATGAGGCTATTTACTGGAATTATCTCCCATTTTTCATCAACATAGAAAGGAAAACTAAAAGGGAAATAGATGAGCTGGGAACACCAAAATTAATATGAAGTGGATGGAAATTGTGTGAGAGGTGAAGTAGATTATGTGTACAACCGCACGTCAGGAGAAAGAAGTCAATTCTGATTATTAATGTATTGGAAGTTAATTCAAGAGAGAAATTTGCGTAATTCAGGCCCACACAACAATGTTGTTGGGAAGAAGAACAGAGACTTATGGAGCTCTGGGAGACTCCGAAACCACAGAAGGGGCTTTGTCACCCTGTGCCAAGAAACAGGTCCTAGGAGTGGCCGTCCACTGCAGAAGAGCAAGAGCCCGGGAGTCTACAGAGCTGTGGTGGGAGAAGCACCGTGTCTGATATTGGTCTCTGGTGGTGGAAGAGTGTGATCATAATGAGAGCACTAGCTGCCCTGACACCTGCACAGCCTTCAGAAACACCAGCTCGGCTCATTTTCAGCCCACCGTGGCAGGCGGCATCACTGCAGCCACCCTACGAGGGGTGCAGGGAGCCAAGACTGACACAGGTTGGGTGGCTGGAAGAATGCGGTGGGATTTAGACCCAGGTATATCAAGCACTAACATCACTATTGTGTAAAACTTGGCTAACCTATATGTCTAAAACTCTGGCTTTTTAGAAGTGTGGGGTGTATATACACACACATGCACACACACTAGGAGACAATGGAATATTATTTAGCCTTAAAAAAGAAGAAAATCCTGTCATCCACCACAACACGAATGGCCCTGGAGGACATTATGCCACTCGAGGAACAGAAGGACAGGTACTGCATGATCCCACTTACATGAGGAACCTAAAGTATCTAAAATAGTCAACCTTGTAGGACCAGGGCTGGGGGATGAGGGAGATTGGGAGTTGCTCATCAGTAGGTCATAAATTCTCAGGTAAGCAGGACGCAAGAGCTCTGCTGGGTCACACTGTACCTATAGGCAACAATAGTGTCTGTGCACTTAAAAATGTATTCAGAGCATAGATCTCACCTTAAGTATTCTTACCACAATAAAATAAAATTAAACGTGTCAGGTGTGATTCATGTTTGTGAATGAATCAGTAGAAACTTTGTGGCAGGGTCTCTGCCCCATGATTCTGAGGTGAAGTCATGCAGCCTTAGTACACTGCTCTCTGCTGAGGTCATTTAGCCACGTGGCCCTGCCCCTGGCTTCAGCAAGAAACCATCTTTAGGCATTTTTGCCACTCCAGGAAACAAGAGGGACATGGTTTAAAGGTGGCTCTATAAGAAGCTAAGTCTACAAAAAAAAAATTAAAAATTAGGTGAGCATGGTGGCATGCCTGTGGACCCAGCTACTCAGGAGGCTGAGATGGAAAGATCGCTTGAGCCCAGGAGGTCAAGGTTGCAATGAGCCGCGACTGTGCCACTGCACTCCAGCCTGGATGACAGAGCAAGACCCTGTCTTAGGTTTGCCAGCATTGTCCGCAGAGTGAAATCAGTTCCTGCCCTGCCCTGCCCACTCTAAACCAACACTTGTTTTACTAGGCATAGAAAAATTAGATCTTGACCCCTATGTCTTCAACCCTCACAAACTAGGCCAAAGGGGAGGAAAGTGAGGCTCCAGAGATTTGTGACTTGCCCAAAGCCACCAGACATTAGGGTGAGAATCTGTTCTTTTTATTTGTTTCCCTGTTACTGGAAATTACGGCTGAAAAGGTGTTGGTCATTGTTTCAACTCTGCAAAACCGTAGTAACTAAATAATCTTCCTGATAGCGAATCATTTAGGCTTCTTATATTTCCTAATTCCTCTAAGTCTCTTTTCCCCTCACACCTACAGCAGGGTCAAATGCACCAGAAGAGAGCAATTCATCAATGCAAAGGGTCTGATTATTTCATGCAGGGGGCATGCTTCCCACAGCAGACTAAGTCTCTGGGTTTTACTGTGTGAATGCGGCCTGCATTGAACAGGGGGCTGGGGAGCGCAGCCAGGATGGTCCGTGCACATTTTAGGTTGGAGAGACCCAGCTTAGAATGTGACATTCTCCTACAAAGCTTTACTGAGAATCTATCACATAAAAAAATGTGTGTAAAGGTCAGTGCTTGGCATAGAGCAAGTGCAGGCTGAATGTTTGCTATTATTATTACCAGCTCCAGAAGGTAAAGATGAGAATAGGACAGGGAAAGACCAGCATTTTACATCTCTAAACATATTTATTGAATGCCTGCTATGTGGCAGCCAGTATTCTAGAAGCTCTGCGTGACACACACACACACACACACACACAGGGTCCCTGTGTTCACACAGTCACTTGGTGGGCAGGGCAGGGGGAGATCTGGAATTAAGTTCCACCCAGATGTGCAGGAGGGCTGGGATGTGAGACTCTGGACAGGTCACCGGTCCTCTCAGGGCCTCAGTTGCCTAGCTCTGAAATCGAGATAAGGCATCTGCTCCCCGGGCTTTGTCAGGAAAATAAAGGAAATAAAAAGACACCTAATGCAATGTGTAGAGCATATTAGGCATTCTTTATCATTTTTTTTGTATTTTCCTTATTGTCACTGTTAGCATTCATTCACCATTTTAACAGGAACAAATTCTAGCAGCTTCCCAAGGGTAGGTTTTGACAAGGGAAGAGAGTGAGTCCAGAATAGTAAATACATTTGTCTCCTCACACTTTCAACTTAAAAAAAAAAAAAGAGCTCCCTTGTTTACTTACCCAGCATTGACACTAGATTGACCCCATAGTTAACACTATTCAAATCCAGGAACACAGACTCCCTGTTCACTGAGCCACTTGAAAACTAGTCCTGCATTCAGGTAACACTCCCAGCATTTGGCCTTCCGCAATGCTGCAATGTAAGCCAAGCCCAGGTGCAATGTTGACCCACTGATGAGTCAATGAGGATTAAATTCCTTGGTGAGTGGCAAAAAGGAAGAGTGACCCCTCATTTTCTCTGACTTCCCATTTGCCTGATCGACAAATTGCCCACACTCTAGAGTAAGAACAGCTTCGCATTCCAAATTTCAGAGGGCCTTTCTCAAAGCACAGGTGAGAAGAGGTATCCCTAACAGGACGGAGTATCTTTGGCTCACCAGTAACATGCATTGTAGTTTTGTTTTTGAACTGAAAAAAAGGGCCCTACATAATAGTACTCTAAATTGTACCCCTGTTAAGTGTGAAAGGAAATTTGAAATAAGGTGAATGGGACTGATGAGTTCAGCCTGTGAGTTCAGATGAATTCATGTTTTTTTCTCAATTTGGTTATTTGTTAATTTTGCATAAGCCACAGCCTGTTCAGGGAGAAGGGGTGCAACACCCAACTCAAAGTTGAGCCCTGAGGGAGCTGATCTCACCCCGCACTGGGCTGGCAGGGCCCACGGCAGGGTTGCTGCCAGCTACAGACCCAGGGTTCCCAGCTGAAAGGTGAAGAGGCTACAGGGTGGCTGGTTCACTCATTCACTCTCTCATTCCACAGATAATTCCAGGAGAGCCAGGAGAGACCACAACGGCTCTCACTGCCATAAGAAAGACACTGCAATCCTTTAGAGCTTTGAGAACGTAGAGCTTAGCAGTGAGATGAAAATACTTGCTTCTTGCTCTCTAAACCCTTTCCCAGCATCACCTTGGCACCTCTGCACTCACCCAGGCCCCATCCATATCCTGGGAAGCCATTGTTTGGGAGACCCAGGGTGATCCCATTAGGAGAGGCATTTGGGGGCAATATTTATTAACATGCATAGGACATCTTAACTAAGAAAAAAATAGTGCATGCATCCTAAAAGGGGGTTTCCACGTCTGTCCCTTATCTCTAACAAAGCACTCATCACGTCACGCTGTAATGATTTGCATGTGTCCTTGTGCCCTTGTGTCATTACATACCTTGGGGAATCCTTGTGGGGAGGAAACAAGATGAATCTTGTTATGCTAAGTGCCCAGCAAAAAGCTAATCACCTGATAGGACCTAAGTCATTTCTAGATTATGTGATTGATGATGATGTACATGGTTGCAGGTGCAGCTCTTGTAGCCACTCCCTCAGGGCTTCCAATTTTGTTTAGCTCATAAGGTTAAACAAAGATTATTTTAAACATTTATTCTTTAAAATCACAGATGCTATGACATAACCTGGATATATGTCTTCCAAAAACTGGTTATAAGATTAATACCTAAAGAGTAGTTTACCAGCCACACGGGGTGACTCAAGCCTGTAATCCTAGTACTTTGGGAGGCTGAGGCAGAAGGGTTGCTTGGGCACAGGAGTTCAAGACAAGCCTAGGCAACATAGCAAGGCCCCATCCTAACAAAATAACTAAAAAATTAGCCAGGTGTGATGACACACATCTGTAGTCCCAGCTACCCTGGAAGTTGAAGCAGGAGGATTGCTTGAGTCCAGGAGGTCGAGGTTGCAACGAGCTATGATCATGCCACTGTACTCCAGCCTGGGCAACAGAGTGAGATCCTGTCTCTTAAAAAAAAAAAAAAAAAAAAAAAGGAGAGAGTAAGTTACCCTCTACATTTATTTTCTAATATAAAGTGATTAACCTCAATTAAGGACTTTTCATGTTTCCAGTCATCTTCCCTTTCCTAAATTCTTGCCAATTTCATTTGCAGCTGTGTCATTCCTACTCTAATAGTTTCTCCCATGGTGTTCTGTGAACTCCCTCTTAGTTCACAGAGTTAGAGACCTCTGGGCTTTACCTCCCAGTCTCACAGCCCACCTTTCCCTGCAGCCGTTACTACAGTAACCAGCTTCTTGCAGGTGTTAATAGAGTGGCAAATGCTCTTCACCCCACCTGACCTGCACACATCTTGCTTTCTGAAAAGGTAAGACAAGCTGGGAACCTGCTCATGCACATGGCAAATAGGACAGAGGAGTGTTAACTCCCCAGGGCTGAGCTCTTGACCAATGGCAGCTGGAAGCCAGTGGATCCATGATCCCTTGTTATATATTCCAGGCAGATCAACTGAGGCGCTTCCTACAAGACTCCTCAGACAGATCCAGCTCCAGTTGTCCAACAGTGACCAGCTTGGTAAAACAAACTTAGAGTGGCCTTCCCACCTTCCAGGTTTTACTACCCCGTCCCCACTTCTGTTCCCAGGAATCATTTTCTA
Organism: Homo sapiens; assembly: GCF_000001405.40. Taxonomy (NCBI): domain Eukaryota; kingdom Metazoa; phylum Chordata; class Mammalia; order Primates; family Hominidae; genus Homo; species Homo sapiens. The sequence continues at coordinate 73,898,112 of NC_000018.10, forward strand.
TAATTAGCACCCCATATGCAAGCCCTGGTCTCAGCTTTGCTTTCTGTGGAGAACCCAGGCAGAGACATCCAGCAGAGTGAGCTGGGTCTCACCAGCGGTTTACGCCAACAGGACACAAGTTTTCAGTGCCTTCCTTTTATTTAACAATCTCACGGCAATTTTTCAAAAATAAAACTCCATTGTAATATCCCTAGGGTACTTTCTCAAGCTTTTCTTTTCTCTACTGTTTCTCATGCATCTACAGTCCAGTTATGACAAAGGGAAAGAACTATATTGCTACTATTAAGTAGGAAAATTGAGGGCTAGGAAGAGAGAAAGTAAGTTTAGTAGATGATGGAGCAGAAGATCTTACAATTTAGACATGAAAAATAAAAGAAGTCAAGAATTAAAAAGCAACACCAAACCACAGGCCTTTCAATTTCCCTGTTGGCTGATTCCTATCTATTAGAGGAGGGATAATAAGTAGCAGGGAAGGCAAAGAAAGGAATAGTCCAATATCTTCTGCTCATCTCAGGGCTCAGCATGGAATGAATGCTCTCTAGTGCACTGGAAATGGACTTGCAAACCCTTCTACAGTGCATAAATTATTTCTTCTTAGTTAAGATGCCCTATGCATGTTAATAAATATTCCCCAAAATGCTTCTTCTAAAAAAAGAAAAACAAAAACAAAAACATAACAAAACACTGACATTACTCTGGGCCTCCAAAACTATATAGCTTCCCAGGGAGAAGAAACAAAGGCAGATAATCAAAGAGAAAGTTAAGATGGAGTCAAATGGATGCAAAAATATTGGGCAAGAGAGTCAACATTGGTGAATAATGTCTGAATCAACAACAGAATAAAAACTGAAGAGCAAGAAAGCATTCCCATCTTAAATCCCTTTTTGGACTTGAAGAGCCTTCACGTTGGAGCTAAATAGGAATCTCATCAAATCTCTGAAGTAGAAACAAGTGGGAGTCACAAAGCATGAAGCAGTGAATGAGCCCTGTGGGTGCCAGGTCAGAAGGTGGGCTCATTCCAGGCATACACCACATCCCAGGTGGGTCCACCCAGCCTGCATCTGCCAGGACTATCTGAGGTTGTCATGCTCTGATCCAAAGGGATTGCTGGTTATTATTATCCAGTGTGGAAACAAGCTCTCGAAGCCACAAGTTCAAGACTAGCCCCTCCAATGTAAAGGAAACTAAACAGATAGTCATTTTCTGTGTTTAAAAAACTAATGTCCCAAATAAACTTTTAAAATGAGGTAGTTTTGCGAAAGCCAGAACTTTCTTACTCTTCATTATAAACATGTTTTCTCCATCTTTTTCAGGACTTTTTATGAAACAGGGTCAATAGATGTTACACTTTTCAATAAACATGTTTTCTCCATCTTTTTCTGAACACTTTTTTGAAACCAGGTCAACAGACATGGATTTATTGCTCACAAAACAATTATATGTTCTAAATATAAAGAATGGCATGGCAATAAAGAAGCAGCAGGTTGATCTAATTGAATCTCTGCTGTTTATGCAACTCTTAGTTCTAAAATTGAAAAAAAAAAAAAAGAAAACCAGTTACAATCCATGTATTCCCTATAAATCCAAGGAAAACAGAACTGTTTTGTAACATACAACTAGGTCCCATATGTAGACATTAATTTTTTTTCCTTTCTTGTACTCAAACTCCATAAATGGTACTGTACTATAAAGAATTAAGAAGAATAAGTGATAATATTTCTCTATCACCAATTTTCGTAATTAAACTGGCAATCAGAAAAATTTTTAAAAATTCATATATCATTTTACTCTACTGCCATTTTTACTATACAAGTATGCTTTGATGATGGTCAAGAAAATTATATAAGGTCTTTCTCAAATTATATACGGCCTGAGGTCTTTCCCAAATGGTGATACTGTTATAAATTTACACAATAGTAATTTTTGTTTTTTCAAGTGTTTTCCATCTACTAACTCTGGTTTTCTTATAACTGAAGGTATTTTTCAAAATTATCTTTATCCTGGGACCTGATCACCCACACAGAAATCCCAGCTTTCTAAAGGACAGTCTTTGATTTCAACACTCAGAATCTGATGTTTTAATTAAACAACAGGAAATATAAACAAGCTCCTTAATGTGATTTTCCTTATTCAAGAATACGATGGCAGAATCCATCAGCAGGGAGACACCTGACACCTAAGATTTAGTGCATACTGACATGGATCATGCACCGTGCTGAGACAGATAGAACAAAAACAACTAAGAATTTTATAGCAAAAAAAAAAAAAAAGACATAAACACTCAGCTATAATGAAAATGTGATGACTATTATGTAATAAAAATTCATTTTTTAATGCTCTGAGTCTTTAATCTGATTGGCTGAAAATGCTTAGGCACAAAATTCCAAGTGCCAGTAGCTAAAGGGGTGTTTAATACTGATTCACAGAAGTTCAGCTATTTCTGTGCAATATAACATCTTTTCCTGAGCCACGTCAGCATTGTGACAAAAGCTGGAGGAGACACACTCATCCCCTGGGGCTCAGGGTAGGGCCCTCGGGTCAGGGAGAGCTGACACTCAGCACACAGGAAGACCCGTGCTTCTTGGAAACAGGAGTTACAGACCAACCGGTATTCAACTATACAAGTGAAAGATTATTCAGGAATATATTTGCTCTGGACAAAGAAAAGATTAATAGACAACATGGAGCTGAAATTATAAAGGAAACGCAGCTAGCCTTAGACTGAAGTGGATGGTTTTCAGTAGTTTTGTAGGTCGGAGGATTTGAAAAGTAGCATGAGAAACCCATGACAGTGCCAGTCTCTTTTGAGCACCTACTATATACCAGTTGTTTTCTAAGAGATGAGGCCACTCCATCTTCATAAACATACACACAGATAGACAGACAGACAGACATGCTCATGTGTTGACTACATCTATGATGATGCCTTGGTTAACTGAGTAAATATCTACATATCTCTCTCATTCTACAGTACAGTTTCAGTCCATTTTAATCAATTTTTGATCATCTTTACAATGTCCCTAGTTAAGTAATCTCCTTTAGTCTCTGTTTTAGCCAGTTTTGAGAACACTGTAAAAATAAATTAGAATGAACAATAAAGGTGCTTGTGCTTGGGTATCAGGAAGTAGCAGCTGATGACTCCTGAAGTTCCCCAAGCTCCTTTTGCTTTTTCTTTAAGAGACGCATCTCGTCTTGCCCACGCTGGTCTATTACAGGTGTGAGCCACTGCGCCCGGCCTCCGTTTGCTTTTAACTGTCGAGGGTTCTTTGTCTACGTCCTCGGCTAACTTTCATGTGTCCTTGGGAAGCTCAGTGAGTCTCACTTCAAAATCTGGTTATTGACATATCAATGAAGTTTTAAAATATTAAAATCAACTTATATTCAATATAGGAAATATCTGATCAAAAGTCATTCCTCATACTAATAACCTAAAATTGTGGGATATGATGAAATTGCTGTCATATTTTTAACTAAAGCAGGGAAAGCACACAATATGCCATTTCCTCTGAAAGTGGTTATTGGTTTCCTAGAGGGCAGCTGGTGCCTTTCAACGCCCAAAAAATAAATGACAGAGCACCTTTGATGCCGTTCCTGCGATTTGTCCCTTTGTCCTGTGATGCATGTATGTGCAAGCCAGAAGCCCCCAGGAAATCCACAAGCACTGGCAGGGGAGTAGACGCTGCTGCCATCAGCAGGCTTGAATAAAAGATACAAATATGAATGTCAAAACCCTGATAATAGGGCATCACCAACTTCATTATGCTGCCTGACCAAGGGCTTCTGTCTAAAAATCAATCCAATATTGATAACAGGGTGCAGGCAGGAAAGCAATTTCAGAGGTGACAGGCTATTTTTTTAACCAGAGACAGTTTCACGCAAATATCAGAATACCAGAGGTCTTGGTGGTCTAAACCCATGATTATCTTTCCAGAAAGATGTAGATTCTCTTTTTTTTTTCAAAATGACAAAAGCTTTCCGCTGGATATATACATTGAAAATAATCGTGGTAAAATTTTTGAGCAGTGCATAAAAGTTTAAATAAGCACAAGTCACCTAAAATAACCCCATTCTGAAAGAACCATCATTAGCACTTAGTAAACATATTTTATATATCTCTCTCTAAACACAAACACACACACACAAAAGATTATATTTAATATGACAATTTTGTTTGGATTGTTTTTTCTCTCAGCTGGGTTGTTTGTGTTTTAAAGAAAAAATAGAACATGGTTTGCAAATGTTTTTTAAACCATCATTTTTCTATTTACATTGTTTATGTGATATCTTTTTTTATAGCTCTAGATTTCTTGTCTTCCTTAAAAAAAAGGTCCTCAGTTAGTTATTTAGTTTATCTTTTTAGATTTAAGTGGTATTGTTTTTAATTAAGGTCTTGAATTAAATTTTATTTTTGTATGTGAGGTAAGAGACCTATTTTATTTTCTTCCTGATGAATTTATATTTGAGCTACCATTATTTAGTAAAGAAGTTTTTTGTGATTGAACTTAAATACTAATAATTGTCACATATTAAATTACTAAATATCTGGGTTATTTATGGTTTTCTGTAACTTTCATGCTATTTGAGCTTGCCTGGTATGTTTTAGTATTTGGTATTGTTTTCTCATCTATTCTCAAATACTTATCTTCTATAGGAAGTTTTTATATAATTAAAGTGTAATTCTAATTAGGATTTAATTATCATTACTATAAAAATTTTAGAGGATTTTATTTGATTTTGTTATTAAATAATTTTATCCAAGGTTATAATATATCTTTGTACTTGAGCAAAACATTGCTATCCTTCAAAAAATTTATAATTATTTTTCATATATTATAGATTCTTTATTAAAGCAATTACTGAATATTTCATAGCTTTTATCATTGTGAATTAAATTGTTCACATTTTTATGTTTAGCTGGTAATTACTAATAGATAGAAAACTATTAATTTATATTTATAATCTTATTTAAGTCAAGCATTCTAGATTTTCTTTATATAAAATCCTATCTGCAGCCAAATAAAATATTTCATTTATTTCCCACTATTCAAAGAAGGTGGACCTCCTCTTCCAACTCAGAATGGACCCTGGTCCCCACCTTCTCCTGCAAGAGCAGCTAAACTCAGATTCAGTTCAGAGAGACTTATTCCCTCTGGCTGAGGTCACTATGTGTCCCGCAGGTGAAGATCCCCACAACTACACCAAAATCCACAGATGCAAGGCAACTGGGCTCACCCAGAAATGACCAGGAATATCTGTCCATCCAGTCTTCTTGGCTCCAAACAGCTTGTGTATTCTCCCACCTACAAAGCTACTTTCTTATGCTCAACCTCTAGCAAGAGAGATGCATAGAATCTCTCTACTGGAATGGAATACATGGCATGTCCAATAGATGCCTTGGGCCCATCATAGCTCTTCATGGTGAGAATTTGGGTGACTGCATGTCTCTCTCCTTTACAGATGCTGCTCTTTGAGTTTTCCTTTTTATCAGCGAGTCTATTTCTTAGCCAATGCCACGTGATGTGGAATTCACCCTGACCTCCTCTGTAATAGAAAATTGATCATCAAGGATCCTACCATGAGGTGCTTTATTTTCCAACCTTTGTAACAATTGTTTCCTTTGTTTTACCTTTGAAATTTAATAGAAGCCCCAAAGCAATTTGAATAATGATACCATGTAATTTTGTCCCTGATTGATTTTACATTTTGCTTATTGACAATTATTGTTGCAGAAAGCCTTCAACATATATAAGTAGTTTTCATTTATTTGTATCTTACTCAGTGTTTTTATTGGCTGCTGAAATGTACCAAATACTTTTTTATTCCTCATGATATGACCATATTGGTTTTCTCCTCCACTTTTTGCTGTAATTTATTATGTTGATATATTTCCTAATATGGAACCATCCTTGCATTCTTCAAGTGATCTCAATTTGGTCATCGTATGTTATTATTTTTATTGTGTTTGTCAACATTCAAAAAAATTTCATATCTCTATTTATAAGTGAGATTGGTCTGCACTATTTTCTTTGTACTACCTCTATGTGTTTCAGGATTTTTTTTACAGGCTTTAAAAGATAGATTGGAAGTCTTTCCACCTTTAAATAGAATCCAGGCTAATATAAATAACTTTGAAATTATCTATCTCTTAAGTGCTACATAGAACTCAGATGTGAAATTATCAATTCCTGGGATTTCTAAGTAATATATTTAATTATATTTCTAATATCTTCTAAAATCTATATTAATTTCTTACATTTGTTAGTCCAACATTTGAATTTATTATTTACTACAAAATTACCAATTTTCCCTAGGTTTCCAAATTTGTGGTCAAGGAATCCACATAGTAATCTGTTATAATTATTTTCATTTCTTCTGTTTCTCCTTCCTATTTCTTAATTTTGTATAATTTTGATCTTTTTCTTTAAAGGCCTTTTGTATTTTATTGGTCCTTTCAAAAAACAAGATTTTTAATTTTATTTTTCTCAGAAAGTTTAACTCTTATCTTTGTTAATTCTGTTCATCTACTTTCCTTTGTTAGCTTTGTTCTATTATAATTTTTCAAATAACCATAAATTTCTATATTTATAGCCTGTCATCTTTATTAATCAAAGCATATAGGACCAATATTTTTACTGTATCCCACATATATTTATGTGACATGCTCTTTTAATTTTTTTCTAAATTTATCCATTGATTTTATGTTGAGTATATTTCATAATTTTATTATTAATAATTTTATTTGATTATAATCAGAGAATTCACTCTCCAAATCATCTTGATTATTTTGATAAGATTTTCCTGCACTCAGTGTATGACCAAATTTTTAATGTTTTTATATATATAAGGAAGAAAACAAGTCTATATTCTTAATCAAAAGATTAAACTAGATATTCAAATTTGTTGACTATTGTATTCAATTTCATTCTGGTCTGAGTAATTTTTTACCTACTAAACCTGAAATTGAGAGAAATACATTAAATCTTCTGTTTTAATCAATTCTTATTGCAATCTAAAAGATCTTTATTATTTAAGTATTATGCTGATTAATGTGTGTAAGTTTGTGACATTTCTTTTTTATGAATAGGTATGTTAAGACTGTATAATGTTCCTCTTTGTTTAGTACTTTTATCCAAAATTTTTACCCTATTTAATATTAACATTTTACTCATCCTTTTTTCTTTCTGTTTATGTAGATTTTCTCATTCTCTTATTTCTAATATTTGACTTTATTCCTCCTATCTTATATTAATTTTACTTTCTGATTTTCTTCTGCTGTTTTGATCAAGTAAAAATTGAAGTCCTAATTCCTTACTAATTTCAAAAATTCCCTTATCTATTGGCACTTTTCTACAAGTTTAATGTCATAAAACTCATAATCAAACAACAACATTTCTTCTGCATTATATGAAAAACAGCCATCAAACATTTTTCTCCACTAGACAGTCTTTCCTCCCATCTTTTTCTTCCCTTTCTATATATAAGATAATATTTTTGGAATATTTTTACTTCCCCCTTTCCTAAATGAGAACTTTGAAATACCTTTTCTTCCTTCTATTCCATCACTTTCAACACCAAATCCTAAGTTTTGATCATGCAATTTAGTGTTTTTAATACTTTTATATTTAGACTATTACTAATTTTTATTTTTATTATATTACAGTTTCTTCTTTTTCAGAATCCTTATTTAGCACATCAAGATCTAGTCACATTTTGTAGTTCATTTAGATTTAAATAACTGGATATAGCTATAGCAGGACTTGTTACTAACTTCTCATTTTAATCTTCCCCCACACTGAAATCTCTGTAGTAATTTGTTTATTGCTTAATGAGAGTCTATTTTTTAACTATTGTCTACAGGTGAGCTTTATGGTTGATATAATCTCTGAAATCTGAATGTTAGTAAATTTGTAAATTTATTTTAACTGAATGATATCTTGGATGCATGTGGGATCCTTTTAACAGGAGCTTTTTCTTAGAATTCTGTAGATATTATCTGATGAACTTCCAGAGCTGCAGGTGAACAATTTCTAGTTTTTCTTTTCTTCTTCATAAGTAAGTAACCTGTTCATTCTGTCATAACATATGAAAATTTCCTCTTTATTCTTGGGCATCAGAAATGTAACTAGAATAGGTTCAGGTGTGTGTCCTTTTCATCAGTCTTGGATGGATCTCAGTAAGGCATTTTCCTCTGCAAACTCCAATTATACTTTGACTTAGAGAAATATGCTGCTATTATTTTTTCAGTTATTGCGTTTCCTTCAGAAAGTCTTTCCATAACAAAAATTATTCATGTGTTACATTTTCAGGATCTATCCTTTTTATCTTTTCATATTTTTGTTCTGTGTCTTGAGGTATTTCTTCCTCTTAATCCTCCCAGCAGTAATTCTGTGCTCAATAGTGCTTACATTTTTTCAATATCGTGTTTTTAATTCTGAAAGTCTTTTGTGCTGTAATAAATCTCCTTATATGCTCTAATTATTTCTGTAATTTCACTTGTCATCCATTCTTTCTTTCCCTTGCTACTGCTTATTTGTGAGTTTATTTGTACTCACTGGGGTTCAGATGACGCTTCTATGAAACATTAAACAAGAGCAATCCCTCCTCTAATAGGGTGTGTGCACACACAGAGAAACATGTCTTCCCAGCCAGCAGGTAAGCTTCAGCTCCTTCCATTCAACAGGTAAGCTTCAGTACCAAGAGGAAGTAGCTCTCCCTGCCGGCCTCCGTAGCCTTAAAAAGAGTGGATAGAAGAAGCCCAGCCCACACTCAGCAATTTGGCATTCTAGAAGTGTAGCAGATCTTTCTACGAATTCTTACACATGAGCAAGCTCTACCCATCTTCTCAGAGACCCACAGATCTTCCAAAGCCAAGAGTTTCCATCATCCACCAACCCTCATTTCAGGGAGCTCTGTTTTTTTCATCTGCAGGCCAAAAATGAGCATATCTGGGTCCTGGCAGGACCTGAGTCTCACTCATATTTTCGGGGCCTTTTCTTGTGATGATGGCAGGTCACTTGACGAGGAAAAGATGGTCAATAATGAATAGTTGGCAAAGGAAAAGATCAGGAATACATTCAAACTGACATCTTCCCAGAATGCTCGAGGCGTCTGCTTCCACACATACTATCTTACTCCACAATTAGAGGCAGGTAGAGAACTGAGAAAAAGCACAATGAGGCTCAGAAATGTAGCAAGTAAGTGTTAAACTGAAGAAGGAACATTTAGAAAGACTTAAGAAATGATAAACACTGCATAATTTATCTGAGCAATCAGGGTAGAACATGTATTAGGTTGGTACAAAACTAATTGTGGGTTTTGCAATTGTTAATAAAAGTAAAATGGCAAAAACCTCAATTACTTTTGCATCCACCTACTAAAAAAGTTGTAAACCTTGCATTATTGTCAATTTTTTATTCCAATAATTTAGTTTTAATCTCTGAATATGACAGAGGTATTTTTACATGTCATGCCTCAACTCTGTAGCAGATTTTATTCAGTACTTTTTATATTGCAGGTGGTTTCTAATTTAGACCTACAAAGTTACTTAATTTTCTGAAATGCTAAAACTTGGCTGGTAATTGCTAACATGACACTTCTAAGTGATCTAATTGTAAACAGACAGAAAAATCAGGACTATTATCAGAGTTCTTGTTTTGGCTCAGAGACCATATTTCACCCTGCAATTTCATCCATCATGTCCATAAAATGTTTTCTTATGAGAGGGAGGAGTCAACATTTACCTATAATTGTCTAGCACCCTTTGATTTTTATCAGGAATTGAAAGATGGGTCATTTGTCATGAAGCATACCCAGAAATTTAAGTAATTTGAGATTCCTAGCATTTTAAGCTTCCAACTGGCACTTCTGCATAACTATAGAATAAAAGCCTAGATATACTGGTTGCAAATGACACTGTATAACTTTGAATCAAATATGTTGCAGCCTTAGAGGACAACAGCTTGCACAAGTGGCCTGTCTCAGCATCCACTATCAGGACAGCAAGGGGAGCTGCTTTTCAGCCTCTAGCAATCAAATAGACATAAAATTTTTTTCAGATGTTCATTGAAATTGGAAAAAGTCTAGAATATTTGAATTGTTCTCAAAAGAACAGGGTTCCCTCTTGATTAGAAAAGAAATCTGAAAGTGGAGGCTGAAGCAGGATGATGCAACCACCTAAGCTCAAACTGCAGCAATAGAGTCAGAGTAGAAGAAAATGTAGTTAATCAAGTGAGGAGCTGAGGATGAGGTTATAATTTCACCAGAAACCTAGTGACGTGACGAGTGTGATGGAGGTCCTGAACAAGGGCGAAGGCAAGGTGTCTTGCAGCTTGGCTGAGAGCTAAAGTCCAGGGAAGCACAGAACAGGCTGTGGCTTGGGGAAGCACCATGGAGAGCTCCAGCTGCGCTTTCCTTCCAAGCCAGCATGCACTGTCTTTGCCAGCAAAGCCACTGAGAATTCTTTCTCTTTCTTTTCTTTCTTTCTTTTTTCTTTCATTTCCTTTCTTTCTTTCCTTTCTTTCTTTTTTTCTTTCTTTCCTTTCTTTCTTTCATCTTTCTTCCTTTTTTTCTTTTTTTTTTTTTTCAGAGGCTCATTCTGTCGCCCAGGCTGGAATGCACTGGCGCTATCTCAGCTCACTGAAACCTCCACCTCCCGGGTTCACGCAAGCCACTGGGAATTCTTTCTGAGGCCTCTCAGGAGCACAAGCTGGTCCACAGTGAAGCCTTACTCCTACTCCACCAGAAGTTCTCCGTTCACAGTGGGATGGCTGACTTTTAGACCTGAACGTGATGCCAAAGATTCTTCCTCCCCTTGCCAATGCCAGTTGCCTCCAGGGCTCACTCCCTGGCTAGGGCCATGTCATGGGTCTCTGTATGAGCCCCATGTCCTTAATTTAAACAACAAAGAGGATCATCCAACAATGAATTTGTAGAAAATTCTTATAAATTACAGAAAGTTTAGGAAATTGAAGGAATCACAACTGTGAACAACAAATTATTTTTCTTCCTTTAAAATAAGCTGTCTAAAGCAAAGAGGTGTTCTCTTCACCTTACAATCCAGGACCTTTTAAATACCCTAATTTTCTGTGCAGAAGCAGCAAGTCCGCAATCTCTAGGAGGGAAAAGGGCATTAGGAAGCCCAGGTAGCTCCCCTGAGAAGTGTCAGACCCAATTGTTATCCCCCACCCTAATCTGCTGGAATCCCAAGGCCTTGACTGCATTGCCTCATCGAGCACAGGGGCTAATCATGGCTGAACCTTAAAACAGGTAGGAGCCTGTGCCACTGAGGGGTCTTGTCCTAAGCCTGATGTTCCTGCCCTAAGTCCTTTATTCTGTGTGCTGCAGTAAACATGTTACTTCCCAGATACCACCGTACCACCAGGGTTACTACATGCTATTTCCTCTATTTGAATAACTCCTTCCTTAGCCCCATTTTCACCTTTCCCAGGCTGACTATTACTCAGCTTAGAAGTGACTTCCTACACCTACTATGTACCCACAAAAATTAAAATTAAAAAAAAATTTAAAAAGAAGTGAATTCCTCCAGGAAAGCTGTCTTTATAGGAGTCCCTCTTATTGGTTCTCTATTTTACCATAGAGTAGTTTTTATTACATATAGTATGTAGTTGCTATTTTAATGGTCAGTCTCTCCCACTAGACTATACACTCCTTGAAAGTAAGAATTATAACCTATTTTCTGCTGTCTTCTAAGGACTTTCCATTGTACCTGGCCAATAGGTGTTCACATTTACTGAAGGAATGAACTTCTCTGTCCATCAAGTGTAGCCTTTCCGCCTGATATCATCAGAATTTTATTACTTTGTATACATTACCAATAGTCCACAGGCAGGAAACATCAATGAATTTGGCTTAGAGTGAAAATGTATTATTTGGGATGTAACCATAGTCAATGAGGCATATTTGTTTCTGTGGTAGTTGGATACCATCATACAGAGATTTTCTCCAACTACAGCACATTCTATTGCTGTGAACATCCCTACCCTGAATGCATTTCTTCATACCACATTGCCCCTTTAAGTGTTCTCACAAAGGTCTTTGGAACTGTTACATACTGTAAGCAAAATCAAGAAAGCCCTGAAAAAATCTCTAAACATAATGGATCTGTCAGGACAGATCAACTTTGGAAGGGTGATGTTTTGTGTTCTTAAGGGCTTTCTGTTTGTTTTTATTTAACGAACGACTTTCATTTTAGATTTATTGTAACACAAATTATTGCCCTCAATTGCAGGGCATTCTTTACTTGAAACACACTGTTACATTAAATGTTTTGCAAGATCTGCCATGATGCACTGTATCATCTCATTCATCCAAGGATTTATTTCAACCTTCAACCCACTTGTAGGCGTAGGTACCCTTTTTCAGAAACTCTGTGATGCACACATCAGCAATCCTGAGGCCATTGTTGTTTGTCTCTTTAGCCTCCACCCCATCCTCAGAGGCTGACAAACTCTCTGAGAGTTTAATAACACACAGGTTATTAAACAGAGAAAACTAAATGGCATGTTGTAAGTTGCTGAACTTTAATGGGGCATTTCTTTCCATTACAAGTGAGAATACATAAAAAGCCAAGAATCAGGACTAGAGAGAAGAGGACACCTATAAAGTAGTTTTATTTTTATTAAATGGCCTAACTGAAGATGGTTGCAGTCATTATAGGCTTAGTTTAAAATGAGCATTACCGTAAACTGACGTCCAAAAGAAGGTAAGATTGAATGAGTAGTGAGTTTAAAATGATACTCATGTAACCTTGATACTGAAGTTTGTAAAACATAAATCAAACAGCCTTTTTTTTTCTAAATTCTCTGAGAAAGAAGACCTCAGTCCTCTTTTTCTCAATTCTCTGAGAAAATGATCCCAGTATTAGGATGAATTTCCTGCCTATGAATGAATTATCTAACTTGTAGGAATAATAATCAGCTTTTGTGAGACTTCTGTAATACTTACAGCCTCATTAAGTAATAACATTTAGTCTTGTCTGACTCTCCCTGTATTCTGGTACTTTGTAGATATAGGAGAAAAAAAGTAATATATTTTCCTCACTTATCACAAGGGTTATGGCTGACACCCCAATAAAGAAAGATTAACAAGAAAAATGCTTAACAAATTTGTTTAACCAGTTTTACATGACACAAGAGTCCTCAGAAATGAAGAAATAAAATCCAAAGAAAACTGTGCTTTTGTGCATAGGTTTGATGGAGTGGACAGTCATCTAGAAGTACGACTGGACAAAAAAGGGTGTGATCTAATGGTAACAAACTTGGGGTGGGGGACATAGCAAGGCCTGCCTGGTCAATTCCTCTTGGTCTCCAGGTATAGGGCAGGACACCTGTCACAAGAGGGTCTTATGACCTGTCTTCAGGGGAGGTAGGTCAGAGAACTTCTTCATGGCCAGTTCTCACACGGAAATGTTGGGGAGGCCGGGCGCAGTGGCTCACACCTGTAATCCCAGAACTTTGGGAGGCCAAGGTGGGTGGATCACAAGGTCAGGAGATCGAGACCATCCCGGCTAACACGGTGAAACCCTGTCTCTACTAAAAATACAAAAAGAATAGCCGGGCATGGTGGTGGGTGCCTGTAGTCCCAGCTACTCAGGAGGCTGAGGCAGGAGAATGGCGTGAACCCAGGATGCGGAGCTTGCAGTGAGCCAAGAGCGCGCCATTGCACTCCAGCCTGGGTGACAGAGCAAGACTCCATCTCAAAAAAAAAAAAAAAGAAAGAAATACTGGGGAAGGTCACAGTGACCCTTTGGCTTCTGCAGTTTTCTCAATTTCTCACAATATGCCAAGGTGCCATATTTTGAGGTACCAGGTTCTGAGCCCCAACACAGATAAAATGATGCATAATAACGAGAGAACCTAAACCCCAAATAAACTCCTACTTGGCCTAGTCTTTTGGGGATGACTCAGAGGATATACCCAGTGCAACATGTCTCTGCACAAGAGTCCCCAGTGGACCCACCCAATCCAATCTTCTAAGTCACCGCCTATCCAAGTCACTGCCTTCCCTGTAGCCAGGGTGGTCTCTTCAAACTGCAATCCGGCTGTGCAACCTTCATGCTCACAACACACGGCCCATCAGATAGAGACAAAACTTCAGCACAGCCTAGGAGGCCTTCCATGCTGTGCCTTGCATGCCTGCTCAGCAGCCCCACCTCACAATCCTCCCCCTACTCTCTGCACATACTCTCGGGCCCTCTCCCATCCCTGAAGTTTGCATACACTCTGCCATGAGACTGCTGCACATGCTGTTCTTCTTTCCGCGCTCTGTTTGTGCACCTCTGTCTGTCCAATTCCAACTCATGCTCTGTTTCTCAGCTTTAGTCATTGCCACATCAGAGAATCCTGCCCTACTTCTTCTGACCAGGTGACATAGCCCCATCATAAAGTCTCACAAAATCACGTGGTACTTGTCGTCGTCGTAATTTTACTATGTTTGTGTGGCTGTTTGATTATCTGTCTTGCCCATTAAACCATGAACCGCAAGGGGCTGTGGAGTATATATATATATATATATATGTGTGTGTGTAGATAGATACAAAGTTTCAAAAAAAGAAAATGATTTTTATTGTTAAGTAACTAAAAACGAATTTATAGATTATCAACTATATATATATACATATATATATACTTTCAAGTATATATATATACTTGAAACACACTGTTAGATTAAATGCTTTGCAAGATCTGCCATGATGCACTGTATCATCTCATTCATCCAAGGATTTATTTCAACCTGTGACCCACTCGTAGGTGTAGGTACCATTTTTCAGAAACTCTGTGATGCACACATCACCAATCCCGAGGCCATTGTTGTTTGTCTCTTTAGCCTCCATGCCATCCTCAGAGGCTGACAAAAATATATATATATATATGTATATATATAGTTGATAATCACTGAATATCCAACACTTAGCATGTAGTAGGTGCTCAATGAATCTTATGTTGAATATTTATTGTGTAAAGGAAGAAAGGGAAACAAGAAAGAAGGAAGTAATAGAGGAAGAATGGAAGGGAGAGAGGAAAAGGAGGGAAGGAAGAACATAGATTTGGGGTAAATAAACAAGTATGTGCTGGTGTGTTATGCAATGAAGTTATATTTAGGGCATAACTGATGCCTGATGCCTGCTAGAGGGAAAGTTAAATATTCTAAGTCCTGTGCATCAGCACAGGGCATCAGGCATCTCAGAAGTCAGGTTTCTACCTGCTTAAGTATTCTTCTACAAGGTAAGAAGGAGGTACATTCCTTCAATGACAGTGGAATCAATACAAACTGAGCAATGAGGTTTTCACTAAACTTTTTGAGGGTGGGTCTCATGCATTTCTTTTTTGTTTTGTTTTGTTTTGGTTTGGTTTGGTTTTGAGACAGGGTCTTGCTCTGTCACCCAGGTTGGAGTGCAGTGGCATGATCATGGCTCACTCCAGGCTTGACCTCCTGGACTCAAGGGATCCTCCCACCTCAGCCTTTCAAGTAGCTGGGACTATAGGTGCTTGCCAACATGCCCGGCTAATTTATTTTTTCTTTTTAAATACAAGATCTCCCGATGTTTCCAAGGCTGGTCTCAAATTTTGGACTCAAGCAATCTCCCCGCCTCGGCCGCCCAAAGTGCAGGGATTACAGACGTAAGCCACCACACCCGGCCTTCATGCATTTCTGAGAAACAAGCTAGGGTGCCTTTCTCTCCAGATCCTGGAAGCTCTGCTTTAAGAAACAAATCTCTCCCAAATATGTTATCCTAGCAAGTCAATCCCTGGCCACAACCTCTTCCCCGTCTCTCTCAGGTCTTTCTTCATCTCGAGTCTTCATGCCTTTGTGCTTTGTTGATAAGCCTCTCAATCAGTGTTACTGGCCAGCATTGAGCACTTTCACCCAGCCCCTCCTGGAAGCCAAAGAGATGATACCTATGGTATAGCAGCTTATATTATAGAATCAATTTCCTTATCAATAAACCATGGAAAACAACAGTACACATTAGACTGTATGATCACCTGTCAAGTTCTGTGATGAAAATAAATCAATGCACACAAATCTCTTAGAAGAGTGCTCACATAACAAGTGCTCAATAAATGTTAGCTATTTATTTATTTACATGGACTTCAAAAATCACTGAGAAAGTTCCTGCCTCCCCATGGGGAGCCTGGTTTCTTTTCTCAGCTCAGGCTGAACACTGACCGCAATGCGCTCAATTTAGACCCCTCTGTGGTGTGGCTTTCCATTCTTTTCCTAGCATCACACGGGATAAAATTGGTTCCATCTTACATAACCTTACACACCTTCCTCCCAGGGGCATACACTCAAGCAAGTCAACTCCTTTAGCTTTTTTCTGAATCTCTGCTTCAGAGTGGATGCATCGTGTTCTTCATTTCTTCAGTGCCCCCAGTGTGCGGGGAGAGGGAATTTTCCTTAACCTCCGAAACGCCCCATTTGTGGTATATTTCTTTCTCTGCCAGATGCTGTGTACTCTCTGAAGCCAAGTGTTCTGCCCTCATTATTGGGCCTCAGCACTTTCAGGTGCTCAGCGCAGGATTGGTACAGAACGAATGGATCTGTGAATACAAATATTACAAGGGTTTCCATTTTCCCAGCTTTCTTCATTTAGTCTCTACATTTTTAAAATGTCTGCTCTTCAGGACAAATGTCCTCAAGCACTCTTTGTGATGAATTTTCTCCTGAAAATAGGCTGCCCCACTAAACTTACAATGTGGGCCAAAAAATTCACTTTCAAATGCATGTTCCTGGCCTGTGCAGTTCCTTCATACATAAGCTCCCCCAACCCCATGATTTGACACAAGCCCTTACTTCTGGTATCCAGCTGAAGAAGTCCATGGCAAATTAAATTCAAGTCATTTCCTGTGAAGAATTTCTTTCTGTTGCCTATAAATGTGAAGAAAGGGTGTAGATACTTTCAAAAAAAAAAAAAAGAGAGAGTGATTTTTATTCTTAAGTAACTAAAAAGGAATTTATAAACTAGAATTTTAAAATACATTACAAATACTACTTCCATCCTTGTTATACAGTCTTTATAATCATCAAGGGGAGAATATCGATTTAAACAGGCAGATTCATCAATAAATAGGCAACAATTGTTTCTAAATAATGTACCTTTGCAATTATAAATGGGATCATATATATGAGCTGAGTATATGGGGCTTGGAGTAAATACTCAATAAGTGCACAGTATTTACTGGTGCTTAGTAAATACCATATGAATAACTAAATAAAATGAATGAAGGTTCAAATGTTGCATGGTGTTAAAGTATCATACGTTATATATTCATTTTGTGTAAGAAAGTATTGTAAAATGGGAAAAGTGTTTCTTAAAATTGTGTATATACTTTAGAACAGAAAATACATATTTGCCTACATAAGATTTGCGATATTTCAGAAGGATTTGCAATAACCTACATTTTAAAGCTTAGTACAAGCCATTTGACAAAAATAGATAAGGCCAGCTTCTTCCTAAATGCAAACGATAAAACAAAGGCCAGGGAAAGAATAATCACGAGTGTTACATCAGTTTATTAATTATTTGTACTCTATAAAGCCAATGGCTAATCATATTCGAAGAGTATAAATCACAGATGCAGCCTATATTGATAGGAATCATACCTTCTAGAGAGCTTTCTATAGGGTCACTGTGATAGGGCCACTATTTCATATTCAAATGTTAAGAAACACATATACAAAAATGAGGGGGGAGATATGAGATTGATTGAGAAGTGGTCTCAGAACAGCGATCAAATAGCCAAACAACAAATGAAGAGTGCATCAGTAGCAACACAGATATTAGTAACAAAGAGAAAAATCTGGGCAACAAATTGGGGTAAAGACACAATGAACATGAAGTTGCACACAGAGCTCAGGAGGTCAGGTCAGGTCAGGATGCCAGAACTCATCTTGTTATCAGAAGCAGCCCTCAGAACCATTTCTTAGGTTGGTGCAAAAGTAATGACAAAACCACCATTACTTTTGCACCAACCTAATATTTTTACCCAAATGAGATACATAAATAAAGATATATGGAATGAATTAGATAATAATGCTATACAATACCTTTTTGGGAAATTAAAAAACAATAGTTAAAATCACAAGATAAAGTCAAATGCATTTGAAAATATGTCACTAAAAAAAGCAAGAATGTTTATCCCAGCAAAAAAAAATAGATTAGATATAGACAGATAGATAGATAGATAGATAGACAGATAGATAGATTACATTAAATTAACTTCAGCAGTTGCAACAGTCTTTTAAATTCTCAGAATTCCTGGGAAGCAAGATTTCTAGTAAGTTCCTTTCCGAAGTATAAATAGACTTATATTTTATAGTCTGGAAACAAGAGAGAACTCCCTTTTAGGTATTCATTTATTTAGGTAATCACTCAGCAAGAACCTCATTTAGTGCCTATTAAAGAACTGTTTTGTTATGGAAGCTTCTGAGGCCCACGACTGTATGCTTCAGTTTCTTTGTACATATGGTGCTGTGTAATGAGGAGAAAAAAAAAACGTTTTAGCAACAACTATTTTACAAGCATCATAAATTTTAGGTCTTATGGTAACATTTGAGCTTTGTGCTCCAAATCACCACTTACACCTGCGGGTTGTGTTGCTGTTTTTTTAATAATTTAAAAGAACGTACAGAGGGGAAACTTGCAGAATAGTGGCATGAGGATCATGTACCTCCCTCCCAACAAAACAATTATAGTTAGTGAAATTTATTTCCTAAAAATTTAATCTCTGTAAATGTCTTCAGGGCATACAGCTTATAGAAAAACATGTATTCAAGAAAATCTAGTAAAACTCTTCATAAGAACAGCCAGGTTTCGCATTTGAGCTACACCCAGCTCAGCAAGGTGGAAACTCCACCCCTGAAGGGCACTGCCGGGACCACAGGGTTCACTGCCTGCTGGGGTCCCCTGCAGTATCTCAAAGCAAATCCTCAAATGCACACAGCAAAAACTTGCAGAATGGGAGAGAGAAACACAAAATTCAACAATAGTAGTTGGAGACTTTAACATCCCCTTTTTGGTAATAGATGGGATAACTATGTGGAAGATCTGCAAGGAAAGTGAAGACTTGAACATACTGCAAACTAAACCATTGTTGGGTGGAGTGTGCTAACACCCACAGCACACAACAGAATAAGTATTCTTCCTAAGTGCGCATGAAACATTCTCCAGGCTAAGCCATATAGTAGGCCATATGACAATCCTCAGAAAATTTAAGGGATTAGAGTCAGACAAATTATGTTCTCTGACCACATTGGAATGAAATTAGATATAAAAGAAATATAGGAAACTCAGAAATAAGTGAAAATGAAACTCACTTTTTGGGGTGATGAAAATGTTCAAAACCGACCATAGTGATTATTGTACAACTCTGTGAATATACTACAAACCATGAAATTGTATACTTTAAATGGATAAATTATATAGTATGTGAATTATATCTCAATAAAACTTTATTTAAAGAAGCACACACTTCAACAAACACACACATCTGTGCAACACACACCATGCCTGCAGCAATTTAAGTAAATATATGAAAAAGAAATTTTACAAATTAAAAAATTGAAAAATCTATTTGCTTTAAAAGTGAGCTCATTTTGGTATTCAAATAATTCTATTCATACAATATCTCATAACATTTCTCTGCCGAGTGCCTGCGCCCTGAATGTTCCAAGGCGTTTTGTTAAGATTAAGGCAATCATCAATAAGATTCATTCTCATCTGAGTTCATTTTATTTATCCTTTTCAACGACCTTAACAAAAGCAGGATAACAAAAAAGCCTCTAGACACACCCGTGATTCAGTCGCGGTGCTCCTAATAACATGAAAAGAATTAAGAAATTGTTTTTAAGTTGCATACAGCAAGTCTTTCTCTGTATCTGAGAAATTCTTAAATCTATGACATTGTTACTATTTAGTTATGGTAATACCAGTAAGGCAAATGAAAGCATCATTTTTGCATTTTTTCCTATCTGTGTTTTTAAGATTTTCATAAAATTTAAGCAGAAGTTTATGCACAAATGAAATCCAAACGGCAATGTTTAAACTTTTCCAGAAAAGACCCAATACACACCAAGCTGTTTCCATTTAAAATCCTTTAAAATGTCAATCACAACAGACAGAAAGTATATAACCATGATAATACAACAGCTGCCATTTATTGAACACTTTCTGCGGGCCAGGCACTAGGCTCAGCACTTTTCATACATTATCTCATTTAATCCTCAGGGCAACATTACAAAGTGTTACTAACATCCCTACTTTCCAGAAGAAAGCACTGCAAGTCAGAGAGGTAAATGAATTTTCCAAGGCCAGTATCTTGGCTAAGATCAAAATCAGATCTTTCTGTAGGGCAGACAGCTCAAATTAGTACAGCTGCACCAGTTAATGAAACATTGAAATCATCTTGCATTGGTTGGTAAATGGCCACTTCTCAGCCCTCCCCAGTGCTCTGTCCCAGTCCCCATTCCCACTGCCCCAGCCACCCTGGCTGCTTTCCAGGGCCCTATCACTTTCCGTCAATGCTGCCTGGCCATGCCCATTTCCCTGCTTTGTGGGTTGTTAAATATTTTAATATCACCCCCGCCTATGCACCTGCATACACTCTCCCCAGAGACTTTGGGAGACTGCAGTTGATGACTGAGCCATGGCTGATTGTAGTCCAAATCTACAGCCTCTGAGTGTGGTCTTCCTCCCAGGTGCCCAGTGCTAATTGCCATTGCAGCAGGATGGCAGATCTCGTTCCTGCACCACATAAATGCAGTGTGTCCTTTAGTGCAATGGCTTCTGCCCACACCACCGCCCCCCGCCCCTGCAGTATCTGGGCCTGCAGGAGCCAAGGCAAGCCTGAGAAGACATCAGAACTAAGACATCAGAAAAACCACTTCCCACTGAGGTGCCTCCTATCCAACCGCTGTCAAAATTACCATTATCACCAGGTACTTACAAAGCTTCTCATGTATAAATAAGCAATGAAGATCTTACTCATTTTCCTACAACAATCAGGTGAAATAGGTTAACTGTGCCCTCATTGGAAAAGTGAGAGGCCGGCATATTGTACAGGGTGAGTAGCATTTGCAAGGCACTAGGCAAATTAGAAGGAATTCATCCAGAGTGCACTGTTTCGCCGGGAAATCCAGCTGCCTTTCTGATTTGACCTACAACAGGAAAGTGAAGTCATATTTGCCTCAAACATTTGGGTCCTGGAAATGCTTTGGCTTGAAGTAGACAATTAAGGAAAATAAGGAATTTCATTTGGATAATTAATATAATTATTCTATTGTCTCTCTTACTTTCCTACTTACATTTAGTGTCATAAAATAATGAGGAGGAGGTACAGCAAGTAGAGTAGAAAACCAAGGTTTAATAAAAAGCAAATATAGGTCACATGCGTTCATGCACAAAATGTTCATAGTCATTGAAAGTAGATCACTTTCTATAAATGGCTTAATATGACTCTATCACAACACGATGCATTGGACAAGACCCATGAGGAGAATTCTGAGGCTGGAAAGGGCAATGGTTTGCTCAAGGACCCATCAATGAGTAAATGGTGGAACAGGGATTGGTGGCATCCCCAGTGGGAGCTGCTGGAAGGGAAAGAAGGGAGTTAAACTGTGATCCCCAAGAGTCTCCTTCCTCTTCCAATCAACTGCCACTCCTGCAACCCTCTACAAGGGTCTTCACAGGGACAGACTCAGATTTCCAGACCTTTCTGTTTAGGATTTTTTCCATTATACTACAGGAGCCTCCAGGATGTCCTCCTCTTCCACTTGAGGTTTAAATTCTAAATGCCAGGAATAGATATTTCAGACTCCACCCCACTGTGCCAAGAAACGGGGGTTTATCCCAGCATTGGCTTTGAGCACGTCCTCTTTACTCTTCTGCCTGTTCCTCCATCATTGTGTGATATTCCATCCACCAAAGCTCTGCCTCTCCCCTCCTATAACACAGGGTTTCTACCAGAGCCCATCTGCGATGCCACCACACCACAGTGATGTATTTGGGAAGCAGCAACCCAAGAGGCCTATGCAAAATGTGTGTGTGTGTGTGTGTTAGCTGAGTAAGAGATCACGAAGGGTGTGTGCACATTTTTACCTTACTCAGCAGAGTTGCTAAGGTACATCAGTTGTCAACCTTTGATCTACAAAAGGTATTTGAAGACTAAATTTAAACATCAGTGGTAGGTAATGTGAATGAAATGCTTTTCAACTTCTGCTATGATGATATTTTTTAAAAATTGAATCAAGTTTTTCAACTGAATTCACATCTATGATTAACTGGCCTGCCCCTCCTCAAATTATTTAAATTTCCATTAGAAAACTCTAAGCTCTTTAAACCTTTAAATCAAAACAGTGTTGACTTTTAAATACCTGAAGCTAAAATAAGCTCTGAAGAATTAAGGAAAACCTCTGGCAGCACATAGCTTAGGCTTAGTTTTCATTGAATCTTCCAAGTTTTTCATTAAATGATCAACTTGCTTTTTCTCCAGAGTCTTTGTAATACATTTCCTGGATAAAAGCCTAAACCTTAAATTCAGATTTATTAAAGCTTGTACACAAATCTCCAACAAATATGCATACACATGCACACATAAACACACAGAGAATTCCACAATCATGTTCAAATACTTAGCTCATTATTATAATAAAACATTTTAACTTGATTCTATTATATTTACATTCACATTTAATACTCTTAGATGTATTATATAACTGGGCACACATTCAAGTATGGGCAATAAATATTGTATTAACTTTTGTTTCAATCATCTTGGTCAAAATAAGATTATAAAATAATTTCTAAGAATTTAATGTTTCTTTCCTCAGATAATCTATTTCAGGTAACTACAATTACTTGACATTATATTTCAATCTTTTCTAAAATTCTAGCCACCTGGATTAACATATTTCTTTCACAAAATAGAAATTATTCCATTGTTCTATTCTCAAAAGCAGGGCTGTGCCAAGCACATCTCTGTATCCAAATGCCTAAAACAGTGCCTGGCTTGCAGTAGGTGTCCAAAAAGTACATCTTTGTAAAATAAATAAACAATTTTAAAGAACTGGTCTTTTCTGAAGAAAATAAGAAGCTTTTTCAATCAGAACTGTGTAATAAAAGAGCTTCAAATTGCTTTTCTGATGCATATATGATAAACTACCTCCTTTTAAAAATAAATTTTATTGTGTATATTTGAGATTTTACAACACGATGTTATGGGATACATAAAGACACTACAGTGATTACTACAGTGAAGCAAGTTAACATACACCACATCTTTAAGAGAAAATATTTAGACATGAAACACGTCTAAAACTTATCTTGCTCATATATTTGGGGGTGTGTCAATTAACAATGACATTTTTCTGAGTTTTAGATACATTCCCTCATGCTTTAAAGTTTTCAAACAACTTCAAATAAGAAAAAAATCATTAAGTGCAGAGAGGAAATCTGGAAGGATGTGAAAGCATTGAGTTTGTAGAATTGGTGGATTTGTGGTAGGTAAAAGGGAGGCTGTATTTTCAGCAATGGAGATGTAGTTCCGGAAATCAATAGCAGCTTTGAAGCAGGGGTTATCTTGACCCTCTGGCTTCTGTACTTGGATGGTTCCAGTGGGAAGATGCTTGTCCAGCTGATTTTAATCCTAGCCTGGGAAAGCCAGAGTGGTCTCTTCCATCAGTGCAGAAGGGGATGGGGACTTTGGGAATGCTGGCTCTGACATTGAACACCTTCTTCTAACCTTACTGGGATATACAGGGGCTCCGGCACACATATGTGGTGGCAGCCCCCCTGGGTTTTGGGTTGCTGTGGCTGAGTGTACATTGCAGGATGATTTTCAAAATTGCTATTTATTGTCAATTATGGCATGAAATTGCTGCTGAACACCAACGGCCTAATTTATTCATTTAAATGTGTGATTGGTCAATTATTGTCCTTCCACTTCTCATCACTGAGCTCAGATCCTATAAGGAGATAAGGAGTTTTCATTTCACTCTTGAATGATTTATTTGGTCATCCAAGAAGAGAATGACGTGCTCCAGAAGGGCAGGCAGCAGGTCCTCTCAAGGAGACAGGCTGAGAGGACATCCAGGATTTTACACTCTACAGAACTCCAGCCTGGTCTCCTCGCTGCATCCCATTCCTCCACACAGAGAGGAGACATGGAATAGTGAGGTTGTCAGATAAACCCCCTGCCACCAGATCCCAACACAGCTCCCAGCCTTGGGGCCATGCAGCCCACACTAACCCACCAGGCCCAGACCCACAGAAGCCAGCCGCTCACCTGCCATGTCCTCTATGGAGAGTGTGGTTTAGAATCTGTAGCCCAATCCTCACAGTATCAGGCAGGTGTGAACTCTGAGCATAGCACCTGGCCTGAAACATATGCCCACTATGTGGCATTTATCATTTAACCTGTATCCCCGTTATAAGTAAAACAATTTCAAATTTGCCTTTGAGTAAGAAGGATTTAGAGAAAACGTCAACACCCTATGAGAAGGATGTGCCTTTGGTTTCACTGCAGTCTTTGCAAGAAGAGCTGATGATGTCACGGATAGCAGGGTGGAGGCGCCAGCTGTGTGGCCGGAGGAAGGTCAGTGTTTGGGTGCCGAGAAACAGCCAGCTTCTCTCCTCTCTCTTCGAGAATCCTAAATCACTCCTAAAAGCCGGACTTGAGGGGCCGGGCTTGGTGGCTCATGCCTGTAATCCCAGCACTTTGGGAGGCTGAGGTGGGTGGATCACGAGGTCAGAAGATCGAGACCATCCTGGCGAACACGGTGAAACCCCATCTCTACTAAAAATATAAAAAATTAGCCAGGCATGGTGGTGGGCGCCTGTAGTCCCAGCTACTCAGGAGGCTGAGGCAGGAGAATGGCGTGGACCTGGGAGGTGGAGCTTGCAGTGAGCCGAGATCACGCCACTGCACTCCAGCCTGGGTGACAGAGTGAGACTCCGTCTCAAAAAAAAAAAAAAAAAAAGCCAGACTTGATCGCTACAGGGTCCTAGGTTACCAAATGTAGACACAGCCAGCCTAAGAGGTACTGTACCTTCCAGAAATGTATGGGAGTTTATTGCTGTACTCCCAGAAAACCTTCCCCGAGGTGTACCCATGTCTCCGTGATGGGAGAATGACAATGACGACAAGGTCCTTCAATGGTACTCGGTGGCACTCTGTCAGGAATGTCCAGCTCTCTCCCTTGTGGGTCACCTAGGAGAGCATTTTCCAAAGTGAGTCCTGCTTTCACTACCTGCTCCTCTAAAAAGAGTTTCCTGGTAGAAGTGTTCAAAAACAGCCACCTTGGAGATTCAGGGTAGACTTGAAGGATCTTAAAAGCTCTGAAATAAAGAAACTTGCTTTATTCTGTTCAACAGAGCATGTTCCAAGCATCCCTAACTGCAGCGCTCTACTAAATCCTAACACCTATCAGCAGCCCACGAAACTCCCTTTTGGAAATACCTAAAGAAGCCGTGGGGAGAACTCAGTGGGCCCTTGGATGGGAAAAACATTATGTCTTTATTTTCACTCACCACTAACTAAACGTTAGCATCTCCCTCAATTATGAATGTGACCAACCCACCAAAGTACTCAGGACTGCACCTTTGTTCCTGAGAGAACACAATTATATGTTCATTTTTCATCACAATTGTTGCAAATCTCTCATGCTTATCACTATTTCTAAATTACTTTAGTCATCGATGCACCAGATGTCATTTATTAATAAAACACATGTCAGTGTATCACAAATTTATTTTTAGTACTTAGAGAACTGCATTTTAATATAATTGGTTTCCATTATAAACAGTGTTTTGCACATTAAGAAACATTATTCCGAAAGAGATCTGTGGCCAAAGAGATTCATCACAGAAAAATCCAAGAATCTGTTTCCCTTGCCTGTGTATGAGGGCCATTTTTTTTAAAAGCCTAAGGCTGTACCAAAAGCTGCTCATGAAAACATGAGTCTAGGGTGAGGCATGTAAACTGGGGCATTAGAGTCTGTATAGAGCCGGGAGGGCTCTGTGGGAAGCGGGGTGGGGGATCATCAGGACAAACCTAAGGTGTCATACCTCTCCCTCTTCCCCCAGGCCATGAGGCCTCAGCAGATCTCAGGGTTCAGGGCTGGAGCACTGAAGGCTACTGCTGCCTGCATATGGCAGAAAATGCACAGAAGGTAAGAAGGGCAGGAGCCTTCCTTAGATTGCATTTTATATGAGTAGTTCTAGGTTAAAAAGGACAATGAAACTCTGAAGGATCATCTGGGAGCAAATGTTGGAAATGCATGATCACAGCAGTCACACCCAGGAACATGTGAGATGGCAAGACCACTGGCTGGCAGGGAGCGGTCCCTTCTGCAGCTTGAGGGGCAAACGCAAATGCCTGGTGTGAATGGAATTAGTTTCAAGTTCCCCTGCAGCACTGGCACGCAAAGGCTCACATGGACTTTATTACTGAAGTGATGATATTGTCATTCATGAGACTGGAAAACAGGGAGGAAAGTCACCCAAATGTCATGTTACCACACAAGAACAAATAATTGTTGAGAGGTCAGTACACACAAATCTTACGTACAATGGAGAAAACAGTCTGGGATATGGAATAAATACTGTTACTGCATTGACTACATCTACCAGGAGAGGGAAAGGAAACTCATGGAACTAGAGAATTCCAAACTAATGGCATTCCTTTTGAAAATGGATAATTAAAAAATCACCAATGTCTGGGACCCCAACACACAGCAGTTGAACTAGCATGTCTGGGGCCAGGATTCTGGCTCTTTCCAAATTCCCCAGGTGGTCAGAGAGTGCAGCCAGGGTTGAAAATCACACCTGGGACTTACTGGAGCTCACTCCTCCAGCTGGCTGGGTGTTCTCAGTACAGATGATTCACAAAGGCCAGGATACCAAACAAGTTAACCAGCCATGAGTTTACGTGTTAGCACTTAACCCAGGAACCCATAGCAGCTGTGATGGCTTTACTAGTAGGAGTATCTAAACCACGTTCTCCTATCTTAACCTACTTGCACACACTTGACGACAAGTGATGAAATACTGACTGTGCTATACCCCAACCCACTATGAAGGATTAGCAGCATTTCCATCCTGAGTCACACAAACAAAAACACTCCTCCTCTAAGAGGGCTGCGAGATGGGAAGGTGGGACAAGCATGGGCTTTGGAATCCAAAGAACCAGGATCCAAAGTCTGGATTTTCCATTTATTAACTCCGTAATTTTGGATCAATGACTTAACTTCTTAGAGCCTGTTTTTTTCTTTGCATTTATAAAATAGTGCTGATGAAAACTACACTATCGGATTAAGAGGATTAAATGAAAGAATGTGCATCAGTTACTATATTACTTGTGTAAATATAAATATACATTTGCATATAGCATATAGTACTTAATTAAATAAATTGTGGGGGTTTTTTAGTAAGATGCTCTTTCTCACCTATTTTTTCATTATAGTTGAAGCCACCTCTAATGTAGTTTGTATTTGCTGAAAATTGAGACTATCCCAACCTAAAATTTTAGTTACATGTATCAGGAACGAACTCCACTATTCTCCAGGAAAAAAACAAACAAAGATCCTGAGAAGGCGTGTGAGGCCCCTCAGCCAGCTACCTGTGCTTTATTCAGCATCCGTCATGGCACAGCCCTAAATAGATTTTCCATCTTGATTTATTTATCATTTATTTTGCTAGGTCATTACAGATACCTAAAGTGTAATGTAACATGGTTTCACAGTATCATCACTCAAGTTAGAAGAAAAAAATAAAAATAAAAGTGGCATTTGAAAAGCCACAATTTCATATTCTTTGTCTTTGGCATATTTTATTTTCCCCTAATTATATTCACTTACTGACTCAGAACAAAATAATTCCCTAAACAAACAGATCTTTCAGTGAACTATATCTGAATGTAATGAGAATAAAATAAAAAGTTCTCTTTCAATTTATTGTATTATTATCACATGCTAATTGAGAAAGATAGATTTGCATAGTTTAGAAGGTTGTTTTAACAGTCTCCTAAATTCTGAATTAGCAAGTGATTCACTATTTTTAATGTAAAAGCTAAATAATATTAGTAGGAAGAAGAAAGCACTTCAAAATTCTGCATTTCAT
Organism: Homo sapiens; assembly: GCF_000001405.40. NCBI lineage: Eukaryota > Metazoa > Chordata > Mammalia > Primates > Hominidae > Homo > Homo sapiens. The sequence continues at coordinate 73,926,247 of NC_000018.10, forward strand.
GTTTTCAACCAAATAGGGAGATGATGAAAGAATAACATGAAGATTATGTGTTAGAAACAGGAGTAATTACAGTATTACAAAGACTGCCTGATGTCCATGAGCTCTTTGCTTATGAAAATTATGCTGATGACCTAAATCAGTGATGTATACATGGTAAATAATCAATGGTTGAAGTGCTTTACCTTCAAAAAGAATTTTGTTCCTGTTATCTATTGTTGTGTACAAACTATCCCAGAACTCAGGGACTTAAAACAACCTGTTTTACCATAGTTTTGTTGGCTGAGAATTCAGGAACTGCACATCCAGATTTCCAGGTGGTTCATCTCTGATCCACATGGCTTCTTATCTGGGGCACTGGAGATAGAGGCTCCATTCCCAAGATGGTGCCAAATTGCTCCTTGGTGTGTGTGTGTGTGTGTGTGTGTGTCTCATTCACACACACACACACACATACAAACACACACACACACACACACACAGTCTTCCAGAGTCTCTCCACCTGCCTTAGACTCTCACGGCATGGCAGCCTCGGGTAAGCAGACTTCTTAAGCAGTGGCCAAGAGCTCCAGCTCTAAAGTGAAGTATTATTCACTTAAAGCCTGGGCTTAGGAACCAGCCTGGCATCCCTTTTGCAGTTTCCTTCTACTGAAAGTGATCACAGAGCCCATCCAGATTGGAGGAGACAAAGGTCCTCTTACGTCTCAAGGAGTGGAGAGTCAACTCGTGGCCATATTTAATTCACCACAAATTGTTACCACAGTGGTTCCCAGCCAGAGCAAACTTGTCCCACAGGGGATAGTCTGTGATATCTGGAGACATTTCTGGTTATTACAACTGTCTTAGTGGTGGGAAGGGTGGCAAAGGGGAAGTTGCTATTGGCCCCTAGTGAACAGAGGCCAAGAATGCTATTAAACACTCTACGATTCACAGGACAGCCCCCCAACAACATTAAGCATTATCTCCCCAAGATCGAGACCATCCTGGCTAACACAGTGAAACTCCGTTTCTATTAAAAATACAAAAAGAAATTAGCTGGGTGTGGTGGCGGGAGCCTGTAGTCCCAGCTACTCGGGAGGCTGAGGCAGGAGAATGGTGTGAACCAGGGAGGCGGAGCTTGCAGTGAGCCGAGATTGCGCCACTGCATTCCAGCCTGGGTGACAGAGCAAGACTCTGTCTCAAAAAAAGAATTATCTCCCCAAAATGTCAACAGTTCCAAGGTTGAGAAGCCCTGTTTTAAGGTCTTTCTTTATAGCATAAGAAATTCTTAATTCCCTGGAGCCACAGTTTGGGTTTCAGAACAAAGATGAAATCCATATGAAAGGGAGCATTATTCAATGATTTTAATTCAACAGGAAAGCTGGCTCCTTGTTGTATGCTGGGATGCAAATGGGAAACCAAAGGTCAGTAATAACCATGTGCCTGGCCTCGGGAAAGCATAATCCAATAGCGAGGTGCATGGGGAGAGTGGCAGTAAAGGTGTGTGAATCACTACCTCTAATCTAGAGAGCAGTAAAAGAAACACCTGATGCAATATCAGCTCCATGAATTCAGTACATTTGGCTTATCTTCTACTCTATTTCCAACACCTAGATCAGTCTCAGGTATATTACAGTTGCTTCATAAATATCTGTTGAATGCATAACTGGAACTGAGGTACCATAGAGGGGTAATGTTTGAGAAATTCCCCTAAGGGGCTCCTTGTTGGAAAGGACGGAGGTCAAGGGTGCCTCATGTCATCCAACCCAGGAGGGCTTTGGAGCTGCCACTTGTCCTCCTAAGCAAAGAAACATTGAACTCTCTACCTTAGTGTCCCCCAAAGGCAAAACCAAAACAGCTCAAGGCATGGTGGGTGGGAGAGGTACAAACAGACTCTGGGCTCTCAGTGGGAAGCAGGGACCTATGGTCAGGGATCCTGCTCTGAAGATTTCCATAGCTTCTCCTCATCTCTCATTTGAACTCCGTAATTCCTTGGCTATTTCTCTACAGTGGTGAGTAGCAAGGAAGGAAAGATCCGAAAAACCTTCTGCTTGAATAGCCCAAACAATGAGGTAGAAACAAAGAGAAAGCAGGAAACAACTTTACAGTAATATCCAAACTGGGGACATTGACATTGGGAAAAAAGCAGTTTTGATTCAGACCTGGGGCTGAGACCCTGAGGCCTCAAACAAAGGGATAAAACAGTCCAGTATGAGCCATTCGTGCTCAAAGAAGGATCTGCCAAGTCAGCTGAAAGAATATGCACCTTTCTTCTAGTAGAGTCAGATATCATTAGCCTATTGCTGATTGGCTGCCTGATTCCATAAAGGAAGGAAGGGCAGCCTTTTTAATCAATAGAAAAAGATAGATTTTTCAATAAATCAGGAACCATTTGGGGGGAAATTTTGATTCTTCTTTATTCTGTTAGGTTGATTAAATTTCTGCCATAAAAATTAAAACCAGATACTTACTAGAAGAAAATATAGATGAATGCTCCCATAACCTTGTAGGAAGGTGCTTCTTAATTCTGACTCAAAAGGCAGAGCCCATTAAAGAAAAGACTACAAGCTTGAATACCTAAAACATATACAAAATGTAAAAGCATAACCCCTATAACATAAAATTCACATAGTTAAAAATCAAAATCCTTCACCTTGTCAAAGATGTTGAGACTACCTGGATTGGAAAGAAATCTACAAAAGATAAGCTATACAAAGGGTCAACATGCTTAATATAATTTTTAAAACCCTTAGAAATAAATAAGATAGATGGCCATCTTGATAAAAAAGTAGGTAAAGGACACAAATAGAGAAATTATAAAAGGATTTCCAATGAACATATGAAGAAATTCTCTTTACTAATGATAAAAAATATAAACCAAAATCAATAAAATACAATAATTTTCCATCAAATTGGCCAAAATGAAAACAAATATACAGAATAAAAATGGCTAGGAAATTTTTTGAGAGTAATTTAGCCAATATTTTAATAATATATAAATTTTTAGCCCTCAAATTTTACTTCTAGAAATTTATCCCAAGAAAACGACTGAATAGCAGAAAACATGGGCAAAGATGTTTATTGTGCTATTTACAATAAAAGAAATTATAAGGACCCTGAATGTCCAACAATTGGCAATGAGTTGAGTGAATTATTAACAAAAATATGTAATAACATTTTCATTTATAATGATAACATAAGTGTATACTCTATTGATATGGAAAGATGTTTATGACATATAAAGTGAGAAAAGCAGAATCTAGAAAAGTGTTTCAAATATGATCCAGTTTTGTTTCTGAATTGATAGTTTGAGAAGGAAGTATACATTCTGAAATGCACAGAAACTTAATAGTGGTTTTATCCAATTGGTGGGTGAGATGAGTGAATTTTTTTGACCTCTCTGAAATTTCTGCAATGAACATTGTATATGTAAGTTTTTTAATGTCTTAAAGAAAATAAGGAAAAACTTTGGATTAAAATGTGAGGGTTCTGCAGATGCATTTTAAGATTTTAAGCACAGAGGGAAAGCAGACAGAAGATAAGATCACATGGCTATCCATGACTGATTTTCTACTACCCCTTTAATAAGCCAAGATCAAGGCTCATTATAAGATATCTGCATCAAGTTGAGTTCCCCATCGCACGACGAATTTAGAACATTGTTTTAGAACTCCAGCCTGGCCTCCTCGCTGCATCCCATTCCTCCACACACAGAGGAGACATGGAATAGTGAGGCTGTCATTACAGATTAGTATTGACATTCATAATTTTTAATATTAATTGAGGTCAAACCACTTTTCTCAATATAAACATTTGTTTTTTGACAATCTAAGACATTTAGCGATCTTAATTTTTTAAATTGTGTACTTAAAGCATTTTCACCCATTATCTCCAAGAACTTTCTAGAAAGATGGCATAGCAATTAAGAAAGTTTTGTGTTTTATCTTCAGAGGGTGTTTGGCTGATTTTTTTTCAATTTGAAAAATTCTGCTGCAATTTATTTGTTACTGTTTAAGGCATCGTCTAGAAAATTCAATAGAGAGCATACTGACATCTTTTCCCTTACAAAGAGCTTAATAAAAACTAAGTAAAATTCACATTTTATTAGCAGTAATGTTTTAGTATCAGTAAATGATTGTCTTTCTAAGTCTGCAGATAATCCATCTGGGTATTTTTTGGTCTTTAATGAGACACAATATTTGAGAACTCATTCATCTTCTGCCTCAAAAAAACTCAAAATTTTCATCCAATAATTGAAATGAATCATATATTATATCATTCTTCACTCCTCTTTTTGGAGGTGAAGTTACCTAATTGATAGGTGCGAGAGATTGGAGAGAGTTAGTAAGAGCTCCTTCAAAGAATTCATGTATAGCCTTCTTGAGATTCTTACTTCCTTTCTAGCTTTGCATCTGTTCAGTTTGAAAAATGGGAAAAGCAACTTCCACCTATTCCCTGCCACATACGCATTAATTGGATAATCAGTCAACAGCAGGAATTAAGAATAGTAAACACTGTACAACCCTCTTTCCATACATATTAAATGAGCAAATTGAATTAAAAGAACAATTTTGTGGTTATAGAAGGCTTGAGCCTCTTAGGGAGACTTTTGTGTGGAAGTTAATGGGTATGAAGTCCCTCTTGAGTTTCTACCCCTTATCAAAGCTGTTGATGCTACCTGGATTGGTAAAATAAAGCTAGGTACCCTCCTAAAACAGAAGTTTTAACCTAAAACCATCCCTAATTGTAAGTTCTATCTTATTTTGAAAATGCTGTTTATCCATTGTGCATGATCTTGTGAGTGCCAGGGACACAAGCCACACCTCTAAAACCAGTGAACACTGCCACAATGGACCAACTGAAAGGAACTGAGGAAAGATGGACACTAAAAAAGCTAACTTCTTATAACCTGAAATTAAAATACCTATTAAACTCCCCCTAGCACTAGCTTGACTTAGTGCTTGCCCTCAAGGAGCTTGAAGGCAAACTTATGCAGCTGTAACAGACAGAACAGGAGGGGAGGGAAGGAGAGAGAGAAAGAGACAGAGAAAGAGAAAATTTGTTCTCAATAATTATACCAGACTAAGGAACACTTCTCACCATTTTCTCTCCAGCTCTCCAGATCTACCAGAAAAGAAAAAAATCAGATTAAAGGTTGTAACTCCCAAAATTGAAGAACTGTATTCCTGTATATTTTACCTTTTCCTTCAAAGAACAAGTTTCTGCTAATATTCTTTGTCCAACCATGCAGAAGAGTAAGTAGATTTGAAACACACACACACATACACAAACACACCACATTTTGTAGGCACTACATAGAGGTCAAAAGACACACATAAGCTATTTGGGTTCAAATTTATTTTTCCTTCATTTTCTGAAATATTTTATTAATGCCTATGATTTGCTAAATGCAAATTTATGAAAGGGAGATTGATATGGTTTGGCTGTGTCCCCACTCAAATCTCATCTTGACTTGTAGCTCCCATAATCCCCACGTGTCATGGGAGGGACCCAGTGGGAGGTAATTGAATCATGGGGGTGGGTTTTTTCCATGCTGGTCTCATGACAGTGAATAAGTCTCATGAGATCTGATGGTTTTATGCATGGGAGTTCCCCTGCACATGCTCTCTTGCCTGCTGCCATGTAAGACGTGTCTTTGCTCCTCCTTCACCTTCAGCCATGATTGTGAGGCCTTCCCAGTCATGTGGAACTGTGAGTCCAGTAAACCTCTTTTTCTTTATAAATTACTCAGTCTCAGGTATGTCTTTATTAACAGCATGAGAATGGGCTAATACAGGGCCATTCATATGAGAGGAAATGTTTAGTTCAAAGAAATGCTGACTTCAGCCTATCATTTCTTACATTTGAATAACCAGGAAAAGGATCTAAACCGTTTGAATTTTAACACATTTTATGGCCTCTTTATATCCTTCCAAAGTGCATTCATACTTATATAATATAATGAACTACCCACCTGACTCGAATTCTTTCCTTGTCTAGTTAGAGGTGGCATTTGAGTTAGCTGACCAGCTATTGTAAATACAAATGAATTTTTCTAGGAAAAGACACAAACTCACACTGGATAGTTTATTGTGGTGTTTATTGCACACCTGGGGACTGAGTTTTATTACCTGCCTACCTTGGTGAGAAACAGACTACAATGGCCAGGAATCATTCTGTGTTCTGTGTGAAGGAGGTATTTAATTTGTATCTTGGTTGTACCTTGGTTGGGGAGGTCCAGTTATTTGCAAAATGAGTTCAATCCAAATAATGAGCTAAAGCATAGGCTGAAATGGAGCCATTTCTTCATCAAGCAGGACCAATTCCCCAAACCAAAACAGTTGAAAGCATTTTACCTTTCCCACATTACCTGGGAAACTGCTGTGAAGAAGAAAGCCTGGGAGCGTGGAACCCACGAATATTGCTGGTACTAAATCTAATGGCCAAATGGAAAAGCTAAGTTTGGTTCCAATAATAGAAAGAATATTGAAGAATTTCTAAAAGGGATCACAGTAGCATTTCCTGAAAACACTAGAGCTGTGATTCTTATACTTTTGGGGATTATTTTAAGAATATGTTGAAAGCTACAAGCTGTCTCTCTAGCAGTTCAAGGACACCCTGAAGGCTGCATGGACCCCAGGTTAAGCTCCTGCAGGAAAGGAAAACTGTCACTTCTGAGGTGTCTATGAATTCTCTGTCTTCCTTTTAACTACAGAAACTCTTAATAAAAGTAGCTCTCATTGCCCAGAAATATATATTTTTATATCTTCTGAATAATCTTTACAACAACCATGCAGTGGGCTTCACCCCTAGTTCAGTGGCTATTACCCCCAGTTCAGAATTGAGGAAACTGAGGCTGCGAGAGATGGGTTGCATATTTGTCCAGAGACACACAGCTGGTGAGGGATAGAAGCAGCCTCCTGGCCCAGAGTCCTGGGGTGGGAGGTGTCCTCCTCATCTTGGGTGGAGTAGAGGACGATATGCTTACTCTGATTTACATGATAAAGGAACATGACTTCAGTGAATACAGCTGACAAAATAAGGGAACTCTGTACATGGGGGCCTCAGACCTCTTGAGCCCACTGTGGCCTACAGCACGTCGGTGTAACAAGCAAGCTAAAATTTCAAGACTTTCCCAAGCAGAACCCACTTGGGACCTGCAAAACCGATTGGAATTCAAGGCCAGGCCTCAAAGCCCATCCACATCAACTCTCTCTGGCTTGATTTAATACCTGGCCTTGATTCTGGGCCATGCATTTAAAGAGAGTGGGAAGAAATACAGTTTTTATTAGCATTTTGGAACAAAGTAATGTTTGATTATCAGTTATTTTGAACAAATAACCAAATCTATTATTCAACTGTATACACACATTCCCTGTCACGGTCTAGAAATAACCGAAGGAAATTGTCCAAATTTACTAATTCAACCCCTGGAAAGACTTTTGTTGGTTTTATTTTTATTAACCAGTTTAGCTCTCTCTACAGCCTAAATTTACAACATGATTTTTATACTTTCTGGTTCAGTTTATATTGTGTAAGCCTATGAGCTGAAAATAAAATGAGTATGTAGGTAATTTATGGGAGAAAGAGAACTTGCCAAGAGGTTGTATTAGTCAGGGATGAGGTGCTAAGGAAGTTGTATGACCGAGATTGCTAATTGCAGCCTTGGCAAAGACAGAAACAGAGATGTAGAAAGATGCTGATTAGGCACAGATGTGTGCATGGGTGTGTACAAGAGTGCATGTGTGTATGCACATATATGTGCGTGTGTGTGTTTTAATTAGGCTCTTTCAGTTGGCAGTGAAAAGAGACAAGCATTTCCATCGAGTAATGGAATTTATATGGAAAACATGTAGAGAAATAAGGAAGCATGGGTTACCTCTACACAGGTGGACAAGGAAGTGCCTGGGAAGACGGTGTCTCATTCGGGACATAACAGCCTTCTCCCGTTGCGTGTGCTCACTGTGCCAGCCTTCTGATGGGTCTTGCGTGACCCCCACCTACTCCCGGGTGCTGTGTCTGTGCACTTCTGCTGCTGTCTGGCTCTCCTGCCTCACTGTCCCTCCCCTTGACAAGATCTGTCCCCACTTACCTCAGAGCCCCACTGCCATTCAGGAGGGCTCTCCAGCCAGGGCTCTCTTCAGCCTGCAGTCTCACCTTGGCTGAAAGACCAAGTTGAGAAGGCCACTGTTTACACAGCCTTAAGAGATTCGAGAATAAAGAACTATCCAAGACCCAGTTCCCCAAAGAAGCTGTGCATATTGATCTTTGCTGCACAGACATCTACAAGGCTACTTTGAGGCAAATCTGTTTGTTATAATGTAGGGTAAATGCACCTGATAGCAATCACAGCAATAACTTAAACATAGCCATAGAATGACCCTGTATGGCAGATGCACCTAGATTTGTGTTCTGAGAGTAGCCAGCCTGGAGATTCGTTCCTTCTCTATGAGGAATATTGGAACCCCGGACTTGGCCTGTAAGACATAGGCTGTACAGGGGATTGAAGCCCTGAGTTTTGGGTTAAATGAAGGCTGCCAGGTAGATGTTGTTAAGGGGAAGGTATTAAGTGAAAATGCTATATAAACTGCATGCTGTTTGCAAGTGTTTTCAGTTCTCCTGTCCAGTGCGCCGCCACTGGACTCGCTCTGGGTCTCTTCTTCAGCCTCTTGAACCTGGTACCACCTCACTGAGGTTAACAGCCATTCAGCACAGCATATAAGGATGCCAGGATCAAAATCAGAGAGCCACCAAGGATAAAGGCAAACTTCACTCCTATGGCCTCAATGGCACCTCTGTGGTCTCTGACGACCTGGGATATTCTGAGTGATGAAAGTTATTTATATTTTCCTGTCCAGATTCCGGAGGAGGAAGTCTTATTGGCTTATCAAACACAGCCCTCCTCACCAGGCCACTGTGGGAAATGCCAAAGACAGACACATATAGAGCTTGCTGGATTGTGTTGTCAGCATGGAAGCACCATGCCCCCAACGCCCGGGACTATATTCCCCAGTCTCCCTCTCTGTACAGTTCCAGATTAGAGTGGATCCTCGAAACACTAACCATAGGGATTACCATATGGCCTAGCAATTGTTCCTAGACATGTACCCCAAACAATTGAAAGCAGGGACTCTAACAAACATCTGCGTGCCAATGTACATTGCAGCTCAGGCCTGTGCCTGTGCACCAGGACAATGAGGGTAAGGGGTTTGTTCTCTGACACTTCCAGGCCTTTCCTTACCCAGCCCTCCCTACCTTGGCAAGTTTTCATTCCCATATTTAATTCTCTATTCCCAGAACACTTAGAGGGGGCTCTTTTTCCAGCTAGTGAAAGTCCCCACTCCTGGCCCCACTGAAAATTATCCTCTAAGAAGGACAGCCAGGTCTTCTTCCCTGAGTGGAGAGCTGGGTGTGGGGTCGGCAACGCCAACCACTGTCCGAACAGCACTTCACAGTTCAGGAAGAGCTGTCCGCATGTAGTATCCCCCTCCACTGGGACTAGGGCTGTGTTATTATTTTGAGAAGTGTAAATGGAGACACAGAAAGGTTAAGTGGCCTCCGAGAATAGTGAATTCCTAAGTGATGGCGTGGGGTCTGGGTCTGTCTCGATTTCTCTGGGCCATCAGCACTCGTTCCTCTTGTGACCTGGGGCTCAGTAGTGAGAATGCCTCTGGGCAGCTGGGTGAGGTCCAAGCATGTGTGGCTCCTGTCCACTTCCAACCAACCTGGCTCACTCAGGCTTCCTCGGAGTAAGCCCCAAACCCCACCTAAGAAGCCTGTAAAGTTAGGATTTGTTTTACAAATTATTGTTATGGAGCTCATTAGTGTTACCCTATTTGTCTTTTACCGTTAGTATTGATTTTTCAGATTCACCCATCACAGAGCGTCTGGGCACATGCCCAAGACAGATGCATGCTAATTAAACTCTGAGCATCCTCACTCTCGATCTCATGCACGTGTGTCCCCGTATCATAAACCAGGCAAATGTCAGGATAGTCAGATGGCCCTGGAATCATGTGCAGTAAAAGTGACCAAATTCCAACAGGTACCTCCAGCTTTAAAAGTTCCCTGTGGGTTAGACACGTTCTTGTAATGCACCCTCAACATTATGGTACCACAGCGACAAGCAGGGCCCCACCCCTGACTGCCAAGGCAAGTTTCCACGTTCTTGGGAGGGGTGGAGGCCCTCCTGCAGAGTGCACTAGTTCCTGCTTTGGTAAGAATGGCTGGTGCATTAGCCCCAGTGCCATGGTGCCCCTGAGGACAACAGTCATCATTTAAACCAGAGACCCTTGGGCAAGGCTGGTCCTGAGCCAGGACCCTCTCAGGTTCTGTGTCCCCTGAAGGATTGTGTTCAGACCCAGACCTTGGGGGCTGCCATGCGAACACTCTCTCAGGTTCTGTGTGCACATGGTGACTGAGGCCCCAACTTCCAACCCTGGCACTAGAGTGAGATATCAATCCGCCACTTCCAAAGGTGTAAACGTCACTAGCAGTCTGAAAGTTCAGGGTAGTGATGCTCAGCTGAGGGCCACTCTGCTCCCCCCAGGGGACATTTGGCAACGTCTCAGACTATTTGGTTGTCACGACCAGACAGGGTGCTACTGGTATAAAGTGGGCAGAGGCCTGGGATGTGCTGAACATCCTACAAAGCCAATGCCCAGGACAGCATCACATCAAGGAGTTAACCAGCCCGAAGTTCAATGGAACAGATTGAGAAACCCTGGACTAGAGAATTCTTACCTTGTGCTTCTTCTTCTAAAGACTTTTAAAAGGTTAAAATCATTACAATGTACTACATTACAAGTTGACCATTTTTATTTCTACCTTCAAACCAATATGCTTAACAGCGGAAATATAATCTCCAATATATTTAAGATGTTGCACCTATACTTGTCATGCATCTTTTTAAATTTTGGTCAGTTTCTTAAGTCTTTTCTTACTTGTTTGAACACTGAGGTTCTATTTACTACAGGTTGAGAATCCCTTATCCAGAATGCTTGGGACCAGATGTGTTTCAGATTTCACATTTTTTTCAATTTTGGAATATTTGCATTATACTTAGCATCCCTAATCTGAAAATCTGAAGACCAAAATGCCCCAGTGAGCATTTCCTTTGAGTGTTGTATCAGCACTCAAAGTGTTAGATTTGGGAACATTTCAGATTTTTGGATTAGGGATGCTCAACCTGCATTTGTGGAGATGTACGGTCCAGAGGGCACATGGGAGACAGAATTTTCTTTTTCTTCCCCAGTAAGAGAAGACCCTGTCTCCTGCCTTTAGGAATGTGGAAGCACATTTGGAAAATGAAGGCACTGCGAGGGTGTCTGTGCTCATACAATGTGGACAGTAAGAGCTATCAGCGCATAGAAACCACTGCAGGCTAACATGGTCTCAGGAGACTCCTTGAGAAGGTCAAATTTGGTCTGGACCTTCAAGGAAAAGTTGGAGTTGGAAAGGCAATGGGAGAAAAATGCTGAACAATGCATGACACACAGGCTTTGCTGAGCACGCTGAACTCAGTGCCCAGGGCAAGAGAAGTGTGAAGAACAGGATCTGTATCCGGGAGCACCAGGAGTTGAATCTGGAAAGTTGAGAACCAGATTACAAATTGCCGTGAAGAGCAGGTTTAGGCTGCTACAGAACATTCTGGAGCAATGGATTTATAAAATGAAAGAAGCATTTTCATAAATGAAATTGGTCACTTTAAATAAGCGAAATTAGAGGTCAGAAAGACAATTAAGAGATCCCGTGATAATTGAGGACCAGTGAAAAAGGCCATGATTGGGGTGAGATTTTGAGCCTGGGTGGTGAATAAATAGTATTTGTTCTTGTTATTATCAAGAAATTAGAGGTTACCAAAAGTGGAAGAGGGAACAGGAGAAGGATGAAGGATTGCGCTCAGTTCTTTGAGGAAGGAAGAAGCAGAGAATGCTATCTCCATCTTTTGAACCTTAAATAATTCCTCAACCTTATAAAATCTGCATCTTCCATCACTTTATTGAAACTTGTCTTAATATAGAAGTCACAGTGACCTCATAATTGGTCAGTCTAGTTGCTTGAATTTCAACCATTTCAACCTACTTAATTTTCCCATTTTTTTAACTACTTGAATTTTATGTTTTTAGTGCACAGTCAACGTGCATTTTTAAAAATGTGTTTTCATGCAAATATTTTGTATTACTTTCAGGCAGTGTGCCATGCCAGGCACAATCAGAAACCTGAAAGAGCAAGGTGGCTCCATCCTCGGGGATGAAACTGCTGAGCAGAGCAGGAGGGGGCCCGTGGGTGGGACGCCCCCCCATGCACCCACCCACCCTTCCTCAGTAAGGATTGAACTGTACCCAGGGTCAGAACAAGGCACTGAAGGCCTGTAAGCAGGAGCGAGACAGACTCAGGTTTGCATGTTTGAAACCATATTTGGGAAGCATCTTTCCTACAAACCATCTTTGTGCTGTGTGGACAAGACCCCACAGGGGTGAGGGTGGATGGTGGGGACAGCCAGGGAGCTGCTGCAGGTTCCTCCAGGAATCAGTGTGGTGATGGAGTGGCGGGAGCTCTGGGAGAGATGGACTGAGAGGCCTCCCTTAGCAACTGGGCAAAACTCCCTTCCAGGTGTCTGGCAGGAGCATCTGAGCAGAGGAGCCCAGAGGGAGTGCCTGGGAAGGAGGGAAGCTGCAGAGCCCAGTTTGGATGCATGAAATATTGCTGCCTGGGACATGCCTGTTGAGCGTCCTGCAGTGAAGAGAAGGTGCTGAGCCCAGGAACGCAGTCTGGGGCAGGAGATGGTACCCCTTGCTTTCTACAGAGCTCCCTCTTCCTCCTCAGGCTTGCATGGACCCCTCCTCCGCCGCCGCCCTGTTTCAGCAGTGATAATGTCCAGAACCCCCAGCTCTCAAGGCTGTGCTTTGTCTCTCCTAGGACAACCTCACCCTGGCACAGGACTCCAGCCCTACCTTGATGCAGAATATGCAGACATCCTCACCTGACTCCTGGCAAACTATCCACCTGCCATCGATTTTTTTTTGGTGCTTTTTTGGTATCTTTTGCTTAACAAAGAAAATCTGAGCTCATTTTCTTTCCTAAAAGAGAAAGAAGAGGGCCTCCTCCTCTGTTTATGGTTTTACCCTTTACCCAAATGTCCAGCCCCCAAATGCAGATCCATCTCCTTAGCTGGGGAATCCCAGTCATTCTGGAAGCTGTGGAGATTCCGTCTCAGAGCTGCACCTGCTTCTCCTTCCTCTCCTGACAGCCTTAGTCCATGCCCTCCTCACAACCTTGCTAACTCACAGTTGCTTCTGACTTCTTCTTCCTCTCACCAGCCTTTCAAACTCCAGCATACCCTCCACATTGTACTAGGGGTATTACTTTAGCAAGCAAACTGACCCCATCACCACCCAGCCATAGCACCCACTGCCCCCTGTGGTCTAAGGACACACCTGGGCTGGGCACACACAGCCCTGAACAGCCTGGCCCCATCCTGCTCTGCACAACTCTCCTGTCACCACTCCACCACCTCCCATCTCCCGGCATCCTTGCCATTCCTCGAATGCACGCGGACTCCTTGCCTTTACATCTGCTGCTCTCTCCACTTAAATCCTCTCCACCTAAAAAGCCTATTCTCTGTTCAAAGGCCACATCTCCTGGGAACCATCCCTGCCTCCTCCAAGTGAACTGGGTGTTTTGCAACTTATCTCTTTGGTTGTCTATATTTACAAAAGTCTCCTATCTCTTCTTTGAATCCTTTGATTCTTTGAATCTTGAGGACAAAAGAAGCCAAGGGTTGGCTACATTTCATTTCCCCTGTTCTGAGTCCTGCCTGCCCATTAGAGCCCCCCGGGAAGCATCTTTCCTACAACCCTGCCTGGGCCTCCCTACAGAGATTCCAGTTCCCTTGATGGGGCAGGGTTGGGCTGATAGGATCTTGCAGCTCCCCAGGTCATGAAAATGGGCAGCTGGAGCCGAGAACCAGAGTGAGAAACAGGAAATCACTGGCAGATATTTCTACCAGGAAGAAGAATTTAGAAGATGTGAGTGAGGGGAAGCAGGAAGACACCCCCACACTCAGACACCCAAGGGGGGACGAATTCAGCAGTCCAAGTGACTTGGCAAGGCTGAAAGCCAAGTTGCTGGAGATCCTGGTAAGTGTATGATGGGCTAGAATTTGCCTAGATGTGCTCAAGCCAGATGGAGAAATTGGAGATAAGATTCTACATCACGTCACGGGGTAGAAGAGGAAGGTGAAAGATTATCTTAATTCTCCTTACTCTTAGCCCTTCCTCCCGGGATCCACCTGCATGACAGTGTGATTCATGTGAAATGTGCTCCACGCCTTCAAAATAAGAGGCCAGGGCATTCTTCATGCTTCCACCCCTTGTCCTCCACGCTCTTCAGAGGCTTGGAGAATTCTTTAGGAGGATTCCATTACTAATAGAGTGAAGGGAGAGATGAGCCCAAGGAGCCCCCGGCATTCAAGGCTGCAACAGGTTCCCCTTCAGCTGCCTAAATTCCCTCTTCTCTGTTCCAGGTGTCTCATTTTGTGTCTCTAGCCCAGGAGTGTATTCCCATCAATTTCCTCTGCCTCTGCTTCTGATGAAGTCCTGATGATCCGTTTGTGGGTAAGCAGTGATTTCTGCCTTCTTGTGGCGAAGACAGCCCCAGGCTCCAGCTCAGCACCCATCTGGAGGACCTGGGAGTCGGGGCCAGGGCTGCCTTGCCTGGGCCTGACCAGCCACAGGACGATAAGCCCCGGGACGTCTGAAACCCTCACCCATGGGAAACGTGCACAGGAGCAGAGGATGACATTTGGGAAGGAACAAAATAGCACAACATGTAGGAAGTTGTGAGAGAAAGATTATTTAATCCTCTTCCGAAATGCTGGCTGAGCTCCAGAAGCAGTAGGCAGAAGACCAGTTTAGAAAAGTGAAAACTAATCTGAATAATGATGAGAGCGCTTGTGTCAGGAACTGGCCCAGCAAACTCATTTATAGCCTTGTAAGTGGGGGAATAATTGAATCTTCCTGCAAAAATGAACATGCCACATAAAAGAGATCAAATTGGATTTCTCTCACCAGGACGTAGATCAGCAACTCATATTTATGCCCCATGCAGTTGGATAAATAATTACATAATCAAAAGAAAATATCTTTATTTTAGAGCCTTACAAATGGCGTTTAACTTCATTCTATATGTCAGATTCCATTGAAACTAGTTCCAGGTTTGCCTGGTCAGAAGAGGGGTATTTTGTTTGTTTGTTTGTTTGTTTTTGAGTTTTGAAATAATGCTGCATCTGAAATCAGATTCCAAAACATACATTCTTTTGTCAAAAGCAGAAACAATAAGCAGCCTTCTTTAACATTGCCTCTCAGGTAATGAGACACTACCAACTGTAGCCATTCATCCTTGAAGAAAGAAGCCAGTGTATTTGTGCCCGGGCTACCTCACCTCATGTAGAAGCGCACTCTAGCCTCTGCTCACCTTGTCTGTAAATGGCACAACCCCAGGGAACAGAGTACATTTGGGTCTGACCCCTGTGCTGGAAGACACCCAAGAACCACTTGTAAGATTAAGGAGTGGGGAGGTGGGTTTGTACTTGAAATGGACCCTGTGCTGGAAAAGTGGGGGGCACAGGTCCATGTACCAGGCCATGCTGATGAGGTCAGGAAGACTGGCATGACCCCACACAGTTTAACTGGCTTTCAGAGTAGGTCTCTCCTCCCCTCTTTTACTGCTTTAGAACAAAAATATTGTTTTCCAACTAAAATAGCTCACTTGTCTCTGTGCCCCCATAATAAACTGACAGGTGCTATGTAAATAAAATACAAAGGAATTATTTGCAACCAGAAAAAAATTCAAAGCTTATCAAATTAAAAATTAGAAAATCATGGAATAAAGGTTCTAGACCTGAACGCTCGTCCTCATGGCAGTTTTCTAGGAAGTGAGATTCTGCTCCCAGGGTTAGCATCTTCATCATAATAATCCCCGATGCTTCCTCCATGGCAGCATCGCTTTAAGCGCTTTACACAGGTCACATCCCACGGTGGGGGAGGAAGTGTTGGTAGCTTTGCTTTGTAGTAAGTAGCCGAGGCATAGCTATTTTAGTCAAGATCACACAGCCAGTAAATATCACAACTGGGAGAGGAAGCCAGGCAATCCCAGGCCAGGGCACAGGTAGGCACCTGCCACACTATGCACTATGTCAACACCATGCACTATGTCAACACCATCAGAATTGCCTAAAGGCAGCAACTGCACTAAGCAATTTACAGACATGGCTACATTTGGTCTGCACTTCCTGCAACCTTCTAAGATGGATACTCATCCCCTCAACGTACAGGTGAGGAAAATGCAGTTCATAGAGTTAGGATAAGACTGACTCCAAGGTCTGGGCCTTCAACTACTAGGGGGGCAGGGGGCAGGGCACCCCGGTGAACCACCTGCTGCACAAGTCACTTTTAGGGGTTCGCACACCTCAGCATGTGCACCAGAGATGACTACTTCTGCCACACATGAACCGTTAGAAGCTTCCTCCAGTCCTTGGCCTGGCAGTCATTTCCCTAATACGCATTATCGCTGCTCTGAAACCCTTCTGAGAAGTCTGAAAATTTACTTCCACATCAAAATGTGGCCTATTGACACTTTCTCAGGATATCAACTGTATACGCACACATGTAGAAACATACGTACATGCATATGTACACACATGGACCCACACACAAAGGCGCACACACACGCAGAGCACACAAAGCCTAGCCATTTGCCCACGTTAGGGTCACTATGATCATGACTGCCTCCTAATTAGGATGGATTTCCCCAGGAAGAAATGCCTGTTCTGCTGCCTAGCACCCTTCTGTGTTTGTTATTTGGGTTTGGGAACGGAAGCTAGAAGCAGCTGATTTTTTTCACATAAGGATAAAGGTTGGAATTCATGAGAAGACCAAGGAAGCGAGAGGCTGGGAAGATGACAGAGGCCACAGGTATGCAACATTACCTCTCCCAAGGGCCTCCAGATCCGAAGGCAGGCCCATTATATATTTGGATGCTTCTGGGTGTGCTGTCTTTTGGGGGAGTGGGGGCTATAGGAAGGGACTGGGATCTATTTCAAAGTAGTATGGTTAAGAAGCAGTCCTTGAGCATCACGAAGCCAAGGAGGCAAGTTGAGCTTCCTGGACCCTCATGGGTGTCCTGGGGGGAACCTGAGACCTGTAACATGCCACGGAATTAGTGAGTGTTCCAGCCAGTGTTGCCCGGAGCCAGAGGGGAAGGCAGGGGCCTGTGGCCTGGCCTCTCAGTTGCAGTTCCACAGAAAGGGCTCACATGGGGCTCAGGGACTTTGAGTATTAAAAAATGAAAGAACATAGGGGCTCAGGTGAAGACAGCAAGTTTCTCCCATGAAAAGCCTTCACCCTGCTCATGCCTCCGGAGAAGGAAAGGCACGGCCACCAGACTGTGCCCTTTCTACCAATTCACGGGGCCCACAGGCTCCAGTTACTCTTCCTCCTCATCAAGCCCCCATGAAGCGTGTAACAGGTGCTTGTTTTAAATACCTCTTTACTGCACTAAAGGACTTGCCTGCCAGACATTTCAAACCTCCCAGAGGGCCCATCCACAGACACAGCATCCTTTGGAGGGCTGTGCAGCCCACGGAGAGTGGTGGAACCATTTGGACGCAGAACACACCAGGGGTGGGAAGCGTTGTCACCTCTCCAACCTGGAAACCAGCCGGCTCCATGGGCTGACCCCCTCCCTCTCTTCAGTAGCACCGCCGCCAACTTCCAGTCCATCATCCCCAGAGGGGCCCTGGCTGTCTTGCTAAAATAATAATGCCAGTTTTGCCAACAAACCCGGTGGATCTCTCACTTCGAATGAACAATCACATTTACAAACCTGCACCATCTGGCCTCAGTCCATCCTCCCACCTCCTTCCCCACGGCTCCACCCACACCACAAAGTCCCTCCACTAAGCCCTCTCCACAGCCAAGGCCCCCTCCCCACCGTTGTCATGCTGTTCCTTCTTCCTTTAATGTTCTTCTCTACTTATTTGCCTGTCAAATTCATTTTTATCATTCCAGATCCAGATGTTAACTCCTCCATGAGGATTTCTTCTCCTACACTCTTTCAAAGATACTCATTTACTAACCCCGTCTGCTAGATGGCCATAATAATTTGTTAAAACTTATATTATATTATACTTTCAACCTCTAGAGTCTGGATACATGTATAGATAGGTAGAGAGAGACAGGGATTTACATATATACATATTGATTAGCATATGTATATTGATAAATATATAGAGAGAGATTTTATATATATATATATATATATATATATATATATATATATTTCTACCTCTAGACAAGAATGAAGTATGCTTAACTCTGTATCCTCAGTGCTAACTGCGACACCCAGTATGTGCTAAGTATTTGGAAATGCTTTGTGAAAGAACGAATTGATATATGGAAGGATGCCATTCAGGTTTATGAACACAACTAAACACAGTTACCCTCCTGTGAAAAGAAGGCATACAAATCAAGGAAGAAAGTCTGGGAGAAGCTTTCTTGTCTTGAAGGACAGTTTAGCACCATGACTAAGAATACAGGTTATGAAGATTGAATGACTGGGTTTAAATCCTTCTTTCACATTGACTAGCTATTTCCTCCACACCTCACTGTCCTCATCTGAACCATGTGGGTGACTGATAATAGCACCTGCCTCCTAGGGTTACTGGGAGGATTAAATGAGCTGATGCCCGTGGGGAACTTAGGCCCCCACACCTAGGCCCTCAAATCTAGAGCAGTGTGTACTCCATGCATGCCCCTGTTATTATTACCTTACTGCCTCTCCCCTGCCTTGATGTTCCAGGAATTCTCCTCTCCCCAAGGTTCATAATAATTCACAGTGGGAGCTTGTGGACATCAAGGTGACTCAAATCTTCAAAAGGAAACAAGATGAATGCCAGAGTTTATTTAAATGAGTATAGGTCCTGGATTTATTTTTCTTCCTGAGTCATTGCCCTGAGAGGATGACAAATAGGAAGCAAAGCCATTTTAAGACATGGCACTGCAGAGTTTGGGACAGCTCAGACCCATTTGGCCTCAGTAACTGGAGTTTTCCCATGAAAGTAGTCAATCTGAGAACAAGAATGTTCACTCGTTCCAGAAAATGGATTGAGTACATACTCCAGACCATGCCATGGTTTTATACACTACTCCCTGCTCCACACCACCAGGCCATGAGTGTACAGTCTTGGCCATGCTTCACATCAGGCCATGAGTGCATAGTGTACACCGTGCTTCAAATCAGATGATGAGCACATAGTCTACACCATGCTCCATGCCAGGCCATAAGCACATAGCCTAGGCCATGCTCCATACCAGGCCATGAGTGCACAGCCTACACCATGCTTCATATCAAGTGATGAGCACAGAGTATACAGCCTACCCCATACCAGGTCATGAGTGCACAGCCTACGCCATGCTTCAAACTAGATGATAAGCACATAGTCTACACAATGCTCCATACCAGGCCATGAGTACATAATCTAGGCCATGCTTCACACCAGGCCATAAGCACATAGTCTACACCATGCTTCAAATCAGATGATGAGTGCATAGTCCAACACCATGCTCCATACCAGACCATAAGCACATAGTCTAGGCCATGCTCCATACCAGGCCATGAGTGCACAGCCTACACCACGCTTCAAACTAGATGATAATCACATAGTCTACACCATGCTCCATACCAAGCCATGAGTACATAATCAGGGCGATACTCCACACCAGGCCATGAGCCCATAGTCTACACCATGCTTCATATCATATGATGAACACATAATCTACACCATGCTGCATACCCAACAATGTGCTACATTTTGAGATGCACAGGTGAACAAAATGGCACCCCTGACCTTGTAGAGCTTAGTCTAGCAAAGGAGAAGAATATTCATGTTTGTATTAAATACCATAAGGAAAGTACTCCATGCACAATGAGGATCTAGAGCAGAGTGACCTTCCCTAGGATTAAGAGTTAGAGAAGCTTTTCTGCAGGTGACACGTGAGCAGAAACCTGACAGCTGGGAAGGAGTTAACTAGGATAAGAAGGGAAGGTGCACTCTCCAGGGGAGTCAGAATTAGCACAGGTGCTAGAAGCCAGGGAGCTTGCACAGACGCTTCCGGGACATTTGTTTACAATGGAGGAAGAAGGCCAAGGGAATGCAGGCCATGTAGAAGATTTTTTTCCTTCTCCTAAGAATAATGGGAAATGACTGAAAGTTTTAAGCAAAGTTGTGACTGCTTTCCTTCACAGAATGGAAGAAATGGTGGAGAAAATCACCTTTGTGGCCCCATAGGAAAATCAAGACTACATTGGAGGTACTGGATAAGTGATGTTACGCAAAAACAAAGAATTCTGGATGGAGCTTACATTGAGTGTAAAACAACCTAATGAAAGAGAAAACTCTGACAGAGCTGCCTGTCACATTCATCACCCTCTTTGGTACTTTGAGCTTGGATTCCATGTACTCTCTGAAGGTCAATGTGACCTCCAGCCTACGAGGTACTGGAGGCCCCTCGTCACCTGTGATGAGCTGCACTGCTGTCCAATTTAGTTTAACTGCTGGTAGGGGATCATTTTTCTTTTGGAAGCTTCTTGTTTTAGTTATTCCAATCAAATATATCATCTCTTGCTTACTTTGGAGGTTATCTCTGTCTACTAGAATGTCATTCATTACTGCTCACAGAATTTTTATTAATAAATGCTCACTACAGTTCATATTTCTTACTCAAACACATTTAATTTGTGTTCACAGGAAGCTTGCTCTGCTTGCTGTCACTGTTGTTTGCTCTACTGAGGATTAAAGCCACCTATTTATTTATTTCCTCCATTAGCCACCTGAGAGCAGGCTAAAGAGTAGGCAACTAGAAGAAAAAAATGCCTTCTACACCATTATATTTTCCATTTTTCTGCCATTTTCTTATTCCCCCTTCATTCATCACTTATTCTGCCTTTCAAAATACCCATGTTCACTGACCCCAACAGCTAAATAACTTCATAAACTTTCATCTATTTTCTGAAGCTTCCTCCCACATGCCTACCGTGAAATCATTCGCCACCAAGCCACCTCCTCCACAGACATTTTCAGAACAAATGAATACACACAGCCTTTTTTTTTGTTGTTTGCTTTTTTGGCCTAGACAGACCACAGATCCCTAAATAGAAGTAAGAAAATATATTCACTAAAGAACATCAAAACCAAGATACATCACGTACCATGTAAAGCTGGCCACTAAATTGAGCAGTAATTTTACCACAAACAGAAATGATGAATATGTTTTTCAAATGAAAAACTCCTGACAGAGAGGCTATAAAAATCACATTACTATTGTTACATATTCATGTGACTAGAAATGCATCAATAAAGAGACATTCAAGAGGCCATATATTCTATACATATGGAGACCATATGTCTCAAGTTTTCTGGGAAAGAAATATTATGTCCTGTGTACCCATATGCACAGTCATCCTTGCTGGGCCATGTGTCCCAAATTTTGTCTGAGAAAATATGGCCACTATAGCTAACATAAACAGTTACTGCAAAACCCAAGGGATGTAGCTGGTGACGCGTGTAACTACAGTCGCTGCAGCAGGGGTTTTTGAGAGAGAAGGCACAGGAAGCAGCTCCAGGATGCAAGGATAGAGTCTCTTATAATTATCACAGGATATGGAAGAGCAAACAGTACCTTTTTTAAACTTTTCAAAGGTAGTGGTGCAGAAAAGAAACAATTTGAAGCAATCAGAGGCATGTTGCAGCAAAAATGTTTTGCAGCCAGCATTTTCAAAAACATTTGCATTGGAGGAAAGCTCACCCTGGCATTGTGGAATTAGCAATTAAAGAACAGAAATAGCTAGACCATTGTAAATGAAGTTAATGAAGACTTTAAAGGCTGAACACTGACAGTGGCAGACGACAGGCAGCGTGGAGTGACTTGGGGGGGTGCAGCACTCAGACTGGCAATTCTGATGATCTATTCACATGGTCGGGAGTGACCTGGGACAAATGGACAAGAATGGGCTTTTTCCTAGCTACACTGGAGATGACAGGACTGCCTGTTAATATCAGGATTCTGCTGTGAGTTTACCTGACTATAATTTCTTTGCTAGCATGTGTATTTATGTCTAAATTAACCATTGGGTCAAGTACCAATAATTCTTTTTAATACTGTTAGAGCAGGAAAGGGAGAAGGAACGAACAGAGGCAGCTCTAGGGCAACAAAGGTTTATTGAACAAAGATTTGCGGAGGGGGACATCAGCTAGCACCAGAGCCCACACCCCCTTACAGGCTGGGGTAATTATAGTTCCAGGAGGGAGAGGTCTGGGCTTGTTGGGAAATGGGGTGGGCAGTGTGGTTAGCTGATGATAAGGGAGGAATTTCCTGGGGTCAGGCAGTTAGGCCTGGGACTTGTCTGGAAAGTCCCAGGATGTTTCTTATGTGGCCTGAGCCCTAGTGGAATTTTCCATTCTGACCAGGGTTTGCAAAATGGCAGGGGTTTACAAAATGGTGCAGCTTGGACTGTCAAATACCTTCATAAGAAATTAAAGTTAAAAGTTTAGCTTCCGGAATCGTCTGCCCTGCTTCAAGACCCAGCTTCACCAACTACAAAGTGTTACTTAGACTCATTAAGCTTCAGTTTCCTCATCTATGAGATGGAAAAGAATTCTAGTAGCTATCTATGAAATAAAGAATTCAACATGGCCCAAAGAGAAATCTGGTCTTTTCTTTTGGTTCATGGGAGGTGCTCTCTAAGCATTTGGAAAGCCTTAGCATCTTAGTGTCCTGATAAACGTGTCTTAGTTTACCTGGGTGTGTTGGGCCACCCCAGTCTAACAATATGATTTAGGAAGAGGGTTTCTGGTCACATGTATCATCAGTTCAACTTCGAAGGATCTAGAAGCTGAGGTCAGGCATGTCTACATGACCAATCCCCAACAAAAACGCTGGACACCAAGGGTTGCGTAGCTTCCCTGGCTGGCAACATTCTGTGTGGTTTGTCACACATCACTGATGGGAGAAGTTAGTACTGTGACTCTACTGGGAGGAGCAACTGGAAGTTCCATGTTTTGAACCTTCCTAGATCTGCCCTGTGTGCGTCTTCTCCTGGCTGATTTTAATCCTTTTGTTGTAATAAACTGTAACCATGAGTATAATAACTTTCAGTGAGTTTGTGAGCCCTTCTAGCAAAATATCAAAACTGAGGATTGTCTCGAGGACCCCCAAATCTGCAATTGGTGTCAGAAGTGAGAGTGGTCTTAGGGACTGTTCCCTGACTTGACACTACCTCATTCATTTGTTGTGAGGCTTAAGAGACAACCCATGTAAAGTGCCAAATGCACTGCCTGCCACCTGTTGAGTGTGCATAATAAACGTTGCAGCTGCTGCTGTTGTTACTAAAATCCTGAATTGGGAAATCTATAAGTGTTGTTAAGGAAAGTTGTCTTAAAGGGGTTGGACCCAAACAGTGTGTCAGATCACCATTCTCCTCCAGCAGATAGACACATAGCCCCTCAGGGACACTATAAAAAAGAAGAGGGCTAAATGTATTCCCACCTACTTTCAACCGTGACCCACTCTGATTTTTAATATTGGCATTCTTCATAAGATTTCCCTGGAAGAAAGCATTTCATACACAAAAATTACTATAAAAACCACTCTCCTAAGCTAAGTCCACAGAATCCTGCCTGGATGAAACCTTCTTGGTTCTGCACAGCCACATTTTTTTATCTAGTTTTGATGTATACAAACAACAAAACCTTATAAGTAAAGATACATTCAATAAACTACAAGTTATGGTTTTGTTTTGCACAAGCTTCAACTTCTTTGAACAGAAAAAAATCATTTCCACTTGGTGAATCTGGCACCCCAATACAGAACACTGCTGTAGTTTGAATGATGACCCAAAGATAGGGCAGTCGTGTGAACTGACCTGGTGGTTTGGGGAGCCCCTCTCTCCTACCAATTCCCTATAGAGAGTGCAAAGGCATTTTAATGTGCAAGTGAGTGAAGTAAAATGTAATTATTAAATCTGCTGAATCAACAAAACTAGGACATTACAGGACAAATGAAAAATACCCTTTTTCATTATTTTGCACTTCCACTGATTCCCTCTGAAATCATGGATGGTAAAGGATCACACGCACAGTCACACACACAATCACACCATAAGACACAAGTGCTCTAGGATCTTTGCCTTGATGGTGGATGTCAGAAAACATGAGGTTGTGAGACATCCATGAATCATGCTGGGCTGAGAGTTCCTCACTGCTAAATTCAGGATGTTCTACAAAAATCCCTCTGACCTGAGTTGACCCAGATAACCTTTAGACAAAACTCACAGGCAGCTGAAAAAATAGAGCATTTTGCAGGTGACATTGGAAAAACCCATGCATACTGAAGGAAAGGCACAGTTATCCAAATTTTCACCTACATCAAAAGAAACGCTACTAATGAAATATGTGTACTTAGGGGGAAAGCTTTTCCATCGTTTAAACACTGAACTTTGAACAGTTTCAGATAGAAAGACTAGTACTTCTGTAATTAGAATACCAGTCACAAGAAACATGCAATCACAAACTCCATAGTCAAATATGTTTGAGAAATGACCTACTGTATACATTATTTTCTTGGAAGGCCATCATGCATGAGGAGATCAGCTCCTGTCCAAATTCCTGTGTGTGATTTTTTCAGGCATAACTGTAGACAATTACAAAGATGTACCTGGAAGACCCCATGAGGGAAGCCACCCTCCCAACAGGGACCTGGTGCACGCGGCGTCTTACCTTCTCTTGGGGGAGCTGCAGGCCACGCCAGTCATGTGCTTACACATATCTGTACCTAGCCCTGACACCTGCATTCCAAGCCCTCTTTGCCGGGGTCCTACCCAGAGGCTTCCTCAGGCCCCTCTAGGTGACCTCCCTGTGGAGAGAGAGGAGCGGGAATCTTGAAACTATTTCTCCACATTGACTCAGTACTTGATACTTCTCCAGTTCTAGCACTTTTCCAATCCTCCCACACCCTGGCTCCCAGTGCATAAAACTGCCAGAGCCTTTTCCGTTCAGGGCTCCCTCCGCAATGAGATACCCGCCACCCTCCAGGTCTGTGCTGATTCACCTGACCTTCAACCTTGTGCCATTCCATGGGGGAAAATGGGGCAGGGGGTAGTTGGTGCTTCCTCAGGTTCAGCCCCTTGATTGTGCCATCGTTGCAGGAAGGGATTAAAGGCTGCACGGTGACTTTCCTTTTAGCTTATTGACTTCATCAACTACTCCCACACCTGGCAGCTCAGCTAGGCCCCTGGCAATGCACGTAAGTGCATTAGAGGGTCCAAGAAATCTTGTCGTCAAGAAATATACTTAACCAGGCATCTTACAAACCTATTTGACCATGGAGAATTTTTGTCATATGACTTCTATCAATAATGCCCTTTGTGAAATACAGAATTTTAATATAAACTCTGAGATAAGGAAGTCACTGCCCTATAAATTGCTGCAGGCCACTACAGGCCACACAGAGTCATCAGGGAAAATGAGCAAAAGTGCATATCAGAAAATAGGAACTGCCTAACACAGCTCTGGCTGTGTATTTCATAAGCAACTTAACATGAAAAGACGTGACTTTAACCCCAGAACCACATTCACATTAACCGCCTTTGGAAATCACCAGCATCAGCTCTATTCCCAAGTGTACTGTTCGTGAATGCTATACTCAAAGTACAGATTCATACTTATTGACAAACACTTGATTGGTTTGTATAAAGGATTCAGATACTAGAGTAGATCTAACTAGTTCTAGGGTAGAATAACTAGTAAAGTAATTGGCAATCACAGTAGATGAAGGAGGTTACCTGCCCCTTTCCAGAACACAGAGCCAAGGAGGACTCTACCTGGTGGTCACGCTGCCTCCTTTCAATCACACAAGAAAGGCTGAGGGGACCACAGTGTGCAACAAAATGCAGTGCACGTTGAAACTCGGTTAACGCCTATCAGTTGACTCCCTCTCATCCATCACTGTGTTGGGTGCTAGAAGTGGTTTCTGTGGAAGCTGCAGACCCTGCAACAGAGGAGTAGAAAGTCCTAGCAGGGATACAAAGCACACTGATGTGACAATGCCAGAACACATGAACAGGAAGAAGACAGCCAAGAGCCCAGCAGATAGCACCAACAAGAGCTCCAGTTCAGAGAGGTAGATGTCATCGTAAGGTGGAACGTGTTTACAAAACAACAGGGGTCCTCATGCCTTCAAACCCCTGGAGAATGGGAACTGCAAGGAACGGTGACAGGAAGGACTCTGTGGATTTAGCCCTGAGACTGTTTCTCTAATCTGACATCCCAGTGGGATGTAACAGGATATAGAATCGTCACCTTTCAGAAAAGATCCAGGTGCTGAGTCCCCACGCGGCAGTGCTGAGAGCAATTGGAAAAGGGATAAAAGTGAGTCATTAAAATGACAGCATAAGACATTTAGTAGCAACCACATAAAAGGCAAAGATAAAAGTGTATTGAGACTATTAAACTTCATGGTGAGAGCAGAAAAGGAAGCTGGAAAGAGATGGAGCTGATAACAAGGGACTATGAAGGAGGCACCTATGCTCACTGGCTGAGATCAAGACACAGGTGGGAGGGTGGCAAAAGCTTCTTTCCAAGTTGGAATAGAAAGAAACGAGTCATTATCAGAGCATCACATGGTGTAATGAGGAACCATATGTCTTACAGCAACTGATCCAGATAAATTTTAAGTTGGAAAATCCACTAACTTTGTTATCAAGCACCTGTTGAGGGCATACTACAGATGCATGTGTTGACACGGGAGAGAGGTTGTGTTCAAAAAGTGTCTCAAAAAACAAACTTCTGCTATAATTTTCATTGAATTGGTAATTCCTCCCAGCTAGTAATTTTTTTTTTTTTTTTTGAGACAGAATTTCACTCTTGTGACCCAGGCTGGAGTGCAATAGTGCAATCTCAGCCCACTGCAAGCTCTGCCTCTCAGGTTCAAGTGATTCTCCTGTCTCAGCCTCCCGAGTAGCTGGAATTACAGGTGCCCGCTACCACACCTGGCTAATTTTTGTATTTTTAGTAGTGACGGGGTTTCACTGTGTTGCACAGGCTAGTCTCGAACTCCTGACCTCAGGTGATCCACCAACCTCGGCCTCCCAAAGTGCTGGGATTACAGGCGTGAGCCACCGCACCCAGCCCAAATTTCTCAGAATACAATGCTGCCATGCTCCTGTTGGTTGCAGACACAAGAGTGTTCTCAAATGCATTTTCTGCAATTAAGGTGAAAATTACTCCTAGGAAATAAGAAACTAAAATATGCTCTCCACAAACTCAGAGCGGTGCTTAGCCTCAGTCCTTGAATTGCCGAGAAAGTTGCTAAGTGCATAGTCAATGCTTTTTAAAACCTTTTCCCCCCCAATCCAGGGGACTATTATTGTAACAATAGCTATAAAGGCGTTGAGTTCCTCAGAGGACTTTTATATAGACAAGGAGAAAATACAAGCAGCTTACATGATGGTTTCAGCACTGTAAATGGCCTGGGCAGCAGCGGGGCAATCTGAGAGCCCGTGTTTCATGCTTGTGCACCAGTGAAGTGTCTGGCCCTGAGTGGGCACTGGGGTTTGTTTTACAGCTGAGAAGGTGAACCTGCCTACTTATTGGAAACCCCGCACTCAGGGCTGCCCAGCATGCGCGACCTTGAAGTTGACTTCTGAACGTAGGAGACTTTTGAGCAAAAATGCAAAAAATGCATCAGACAGTGGCCTCTTTCCAAAGTAGAACCACGTCAAGTGCACATGGGAGACAGCAGGATTTGCCTTAGAGCAAGGCTGAACCAGATTTGAATCCCAGCTCTGCTGCTCAGTGATTATCCAACCTCACTAAGTTTATCCAAACTTCCCCAGCAGAATAGACATAAAATCAGCTCTCTAGAGTTGTTCCGAAGATGAAATGAGATAATATATTTATTCATTATTCATTGACCCATATTTATTGAATGTCTCCCAAGTGATAGGAGCTGTTTTAGACACTGGAGATGCAGCAGGGATCAAGAGCAGAGTTAATTTGAAGCTTCTGCCCCCGGGACCCCATCTCCATGTTCAGGTCTTCTTCTGAAAGAGGTGACACAGGGCCTGCCTCCCTACCGGCCTCACTTCCCCCCAAGAGGGACTAGCAGATTATTTGATGTGTGAACTCAGAGGAAGCAGCTGCCCCTGGGTGTGGTGCTTTCTCTCTGTGAGTTCTTGGGGCCGATTCTGCTCCTGCTGTGAGGAGCAAACCGGCAGATGGGGTTCAATGAAATGGGAGGGGACATCATCAGAGCCCTGGTGGAGCCCTAGGTAAGACCACATTCCTAATTGCACTGGATCTGTTAAATGCTGATATTTTAATCCTTCTGTTTGGGAGAAGTGTGATCAATTACTACTTTCAAAAACCCAATCTAAGCAAAGGTATCTGCTCTTATAGGGCTCACATTTCAGAAGGATGAAGGAGAAATTAACATGCAAAGAAATATGGTGAACATGGATGTCTTAGAGGGTGATAGCTCCCATAAGGAAATAAAACAGGGATGGAGAGCAATGGAAATGAGGGCTAACATTTTGGAAGGATGAAGCATCTGATCCAGTATAGACACTGGATACACTGAAGTGCCTTCTCTTCCTCTAAACCAACAGTAAATATGGGTAAGATTCCTTAAATAGGTGTTTCTGGATTTTGCAGTATTAGAGGGTTAGTATTTTGAACCTCAGTTACCGTTAGACAACAGGTGTGCAGAGGTGTATGTCAATCAGATTCTAGCTGAGGTATATCTGCATAACAAGTAGTTCCGTTACAGGTAGACAGGCATGAGCGAGGCATGAGAGAGCTCCCCCCGCCACCCACAAGAAGTGTCCGGTGATGGTTAGGCAATTAATGCATTGCCTCTCTAAAAGTGATAAATTGGGGCGCCAGGGAGAGGCCAGTTCCTGATGGTCCACACCTGTTAACACTAAAGTGTTAATTAAAGCAGACTCCAGGGAGAAGCAACTTCCTGGGCATGCACATTAAAAAACAATAATGATAAGTGTGACCTTCTGGGGACACTCCACCAGAAAAGGGAAGAAAGCCTCTGAAGGGCAAGCAACTCCCTAAACGCACCGTGTGTGCTCAATTCCCAAGGGTAAGGAGGGCACTGTGCCTGTGGGCAGCCCACCCTAAGGGGAGCATCACGGGAAAGGGGCCATCCTATAAAGTCCCAGGATCAAGGTAAAGGCCCCCTTTTTTCTCTCTCTCTCTTTGACCTACAGGTGCCCACTTGGTCTCTTCCAAGCAAATTTTCCTTTTTTTCCTGTTCTAAAGCCTTTTCAAATAAACTTTCACTCCTGCTCTGAAACTAGCCTCAGTATCTTTCTCTGCTTTATGCCGCTCAGTCAAATTCTTTCTTCTGAGGAGGCAAGGGCTGAAGATGCTGCAGACCCACATGACTATGCCACCGGTAACTTGGGGTAACTCGGATCTCTTCCACCACTAACAGTTCCGGTCATTCATTCCTTCATTCATTCCACAAATACTCATGTGATTTTTAGGCAAATCAGGGACTAAGTGGGCAACTTAGTCCCTGGTGTATTAGTCTCCCATTGCTGCTGTAACAAACTCCCAAAAACTTAGTGGCTTAAATAACACAAATGTATTGTCTTACAGTCCTGGAGGCTAGAAGTTCAACACAAGTCTCAGAGGGTGACTTTCAAAGTCTCAGCAAGTCTGCAGACCTTTCTAGAGGCTCTAGGAGAGAATCCAGTCCTCACCTTTTCCAGCTTCTAGAAGTGGCCTATATTCCTCGGCTTATGGCCCCTTCCCCCATCTTCAATGCCAGCCACAATGGGTCGAGTCCTCACAGTGCATCATTCTGATTTCCTCTTTTACCTTCCTTTCCCTCTTTAAGAGCCCTCGTGAGTACATTGGCTCCACTCAGATAATCCAAAATAGTCTTTGCACTTCAAGGTCCTTAACCTAATCTCACATGTGAAATCCTTTTTGCTACATAAAGGAAATCTACTCACAGATTCCAGGATTAGGACAAGGCTATCCTTGAGGGGATATTATTCTGCCCATCCCACTCTGTGTCCTGGAACTTTATGTAAATGGGGAATCTGCTACCCGATGTTTCAGGCTGATATTGTCCTGCCATTGTCTCTTTAACCTGACACCACCAGAAGAAGCTCAGACCTTTGTGCAGCTCTGCTTAAAGGAGACCAGGTCGTGTGTTTTCTCTTAGGAAGGGAAGGGAGAGCAGAGCTGCTCGTTTGACTGTTATGAGTGATCTCTCATTTTTGGTAGGAAGAAAGAATAGTAAATTAAAATACAAACCCTGCATCATTACTCTTTATCTACTTGATTACTTAGCATAAACTGACTTTATACCACACAGCAATTTAACCTCAGGATTCTAATTAACATTCATGAATGAATGAACCTTGCATGGTTAATTCATTACATAAAATATTTACTCCTTGAGGTTGTCTTGTTACTTTAATTGTCATCTTGTAGATATTATGTTATTGCAGAGTTTTTAGTAAATCATTCAAGTTCTACAGGATGAGCCAAAGTAACTACCATCAACCCATTTTGTGGCCCTGCGGTTAAGTACTGGAGTAGCGATTTTGTACAACATTTAACTTTTACAATCAGGACAGCCCCTGCTGTCTCATATTTCACAAACAACAAGTGAAGTACCAAGAATAAAATGTCATTATTTAACCACAAAAGTTTGTGTGGAGCTTTAACAAAGCATAAATTAGTCTAAATTTTGAAGGAAATTCTGAAATCAGCATGAGGGGGAAAATGACCAGATGATTTTAGGTAAAGTGGAAGTCTCTACTGAACTGGAAATGCTATCTCTTTTCCTTAGTCCATCAGAACCTGTGCTATGCCAGTCACATTCCCTAAGCCACAAAGACGCCAGTTTGCAAAAGTGGAGATGCCAGGCTCAGAAACCAGAGAAGCCTAGACTGGAAAAGTGCCCCAACCTGGCGGGAGACATGCTATCCAGTATATTTCACCTTCTAACGGTGACAAAAAACTTGGCTCAAGTCTCTTCATATGCAAAATAGAATTAGGCAAAAAACTGAGGGGCCTCGCCAGCTGTCTCTGGATGCTATTATTCTAAATAGGTTACTGAGAGGCTGTTGATTGAGTCTTGGTTCTTTACAAAGTGGATCATGGTCCTGGAGACTGGGACTGAATGCTGGGGGTGTGTTGGTTGCACTCTCTCACTCTGCCTTTCTCCTCTCTTTCCTCCATGCCAAGGTCCAGTTTACTGAGCATCTAAAGAAGATCTAAGAAGAATCAAGGACTCCAAAACATCCCCAGATAAACAGAGCCATTTAGATTTTGCTGAATTTGCTGTATATTTTTACATTTAGCCTTCTCTTTCCCCATTCCTTCCTTCATGTATGAGCCCCTGTACTCATAAACCTGTGTGAATTTATTCATCTTCCTCTTCCCACCTGAGTTATTGATCTGTGAATCTGCAAGTTTGAATTCTTTTCCTTTTCTCCTATGGGAACTTTTCCAGACAGAACTTCTGGGTAATCCTTTCTTATTTCTTCAAGTCTATTCTTCCTTTCATTACAAATTATTCTATTTCTGGACTATCTCTCTTTTCTCGAATAACTTTCTAGCATCTTCCAATAGTATGTTACTAAGAAATAAATTTCATTTCAACATTACGGACTGTGTCCCTAGAGAAACATAGTAGGATTCATTGGGCATATCACTTGAGAAAAACTTTGTGAATGGCTCCTAAATGAGCCTGAAGAGGCTAGACTCTGCATCAGTAATAACCCCCAAATCTCAGTGATTTAATGGCAGTGGATTTTCCACTCACACAGCATGGAGGAGCACCAAGGCATCTTTCTCTGCAGCTACTCATGATCCAGGTTGCGTTTATCTCTACATGTAGTCACCTGGGCTGCTCCAGCAGGGAGAATAAAGGAACGTGGACAGCTCACTGAAGCTCTCGAGTGCCTCAGACTAGAAGTCCCCACATCACTTTGCCTTGTGTCTCATTGCCTGGGACTAGTCACACGGCCCTGCCTAACAGTAAGAAGCCTGGGAAGTGGAGTCTTCTCCGTGCAGAATGCTGAAGGCAAGCAAGGTTTCGGGGAGCACTGCCATCTGCCTAGTAAAGAGGCAGATGGCATTTCCTAGTAAAGAGGAAACTGCCATTTCCTAGTAAAGAGGAAAAATGCGGGTGGCCCCAACAGGAGGCAATCCTAACTTTTCTCCAATGTATGGGTTGGAGATTGTGTGTGTGTGTGTGTGTGTGTGTATCCACTGTGGCTGTCAGAGTAAGCCAAGAAGCCCAGCCCCAAGCTGACAACACAGAGAGACAATCAGGTGCTTTGGGCATCAGAAGGGCTGTACATGGACCTGGAAAGCTGCAGGGCAAGGTAGGGGTCAGTGGATAGTGTCAAAGGACACAAGGGAGGGGAGGGGCGAAAAGCCAGGATAGGAAGATGCCCCACTTCCTCCATCACTCTGGGCATCAGTGGTAAGAAGGACATTCCACCTGCAAACGCCATCAGCTGACTCAACACACATATTCCTCTTGGTTACTTTAACTTGTTAACCACCCTTTCCTGTGACTACTGGCAAGGAGTGTGGCAGCTCCTCACATGTCTCACATTCCCTGAGGAGCTGGAAAGGAGGTGCCACACAGGTGGTATTCTCAGAAATAAGAATCTGCTTAGCTGTATACCTTTGAAATAGATCAATTCTACCAAGATAGACCAGGGAGCAGGTAAAGGTTTCACCTCAGGCAATAGCCCAGGGCACAGTCACACCAGTGACTAAGCTGATCATTAAAGCAGAGGCCTGGGGAGGCAGCACTTCCCTCCACGTGCCAGCCCCAGCGAGCCATGCCAGCCCCAGTGGGGTTTGCCTGCCCCAGCTCATGGTGCTTCTCTGCTCAGAAGAGCACAGGGCACACTTCTGTTCTCCTGCACCTCCTGCCTCAGGAGGATCTGGTCAGAGGATAACTAGAAGCTTCTCAGGACAGCCTCCAGTTCACTGGGAAGTAGCACAAAGTAGTGGGAGAGAATTTCCCAGCGAACACACCACGTGGTACCACCTAACTGTATCAAAAGCTGGAAGTCCTTTACCTACTCAGGTGTGTGGTAAAACAAGGATTTCCCTATCAGCCATATAGAACTCTTGCTTCTAACATGAGCAGCAGAAAATCGAGGGCAGCTGTCTGCATTGCATTGAGTTGGCTGGGTGCCTGCTGGATTAGAACACTCCAGGGCAGGACTTGAGAAACCACAGCAGCGTGGCTGGGACACTGTGATACCCACCCATGGATGGTATCTTCTGGCTCGTGCAGCCACCCTGAGCCAATCAACTATGGCCACAGTAACAGCTGGGTTTGCCCATATCACAAACCAACAGTTGCAAAAATAGCACAAAATATCTTTAAGCAATCAATAACTATTAAAAAGTCATTTTGTATGTGATAGCTTCTGAAACTTGATGTGTTCAACCTTGATCCACCCAGCAAACTGAGGATCTGGAAGTGCATTAGGTACACCTAATCCAGGGTGTTATGAACCTTGGAAGATTAACCACCATACAGACAGCATGTTGCCTGCCCTCAGGGAGTTCTGCACCTGTGATTTTACCAACTGAACAATTTTCTATTTACTAATGAGATGAGATGGCTATAAATTCACAGTCATGCACCTTACTAACTGGTAAATCTACCAACAGCATGCTTATTGAAATAATCTGTCTCTATTACTGTCAAGATACATTAAGATGATAATTAATCTCCAAAGTATTATTTCTCAGATACTATCCTAAGAAAGGACACATCATCATTTCTGCCAAGACACAGCCAATTTCTTGCTACCTATACATCCCTCCCTATTCTTCTATGTGGATCCATTCCCAAGGTCCACATAAAATCCCGTCTCTTCTCTAATGCCTTCTCAGACCAGCCCAGATGCTCTTGTTTTCTGAACTCTAATAGCATAGACTCCTTGTGTAATTAATTTACTCGCCATCCTTTCATGTAATTTTATCCTACCGTGACCACTGGAGCATAAAATTCTTAATGGCAAAAGTTTCTATCCATTGTATCTAGCATAATATTTTACCAAGGGTAATGTTTAAAAAGTACTTAGTTGATTGAACTAATTAAAAGGAATGGGGGGCCATCAGCAATAGTATATGATAATAACAGGATGGAGCTAGAGAGACTCCTCAGTCTTAGCTTGGCACCTTACCAGTGGTTTGACCTTCGGCAACTTCTCCCTTTTCAATGTTGGCTTCTATATCTATAAAAAGGAAATAATAATGCCTATGTAATGGGTGATTTTCAAGACTACATAGATACTAACATTTTTGAAGATGCTACTAGTTAGCTACTCAACATAGATTATCTTATTAGCAAAAATTCTAGTTTTGTTTAACTTGACAAAATACTCACAATACTCACCCTCACTGACTCAGTACTAGCCAGTGAGGCAGATGCGAAGTTTTGCTAAGTATTTCAGAATTTTTTTCATGAAATGGACACTGCTTCTTTCTTTTTCCTCCTCCTCTTTTTCCCCATTCTACTCCTTTTTTCCTTTCCTCCTACTCCTGTTCATTTTTGTCTCTGCATTCATCTTTATTTTCTTATTTTCCTGCCCAAAATGTGGGTGTGAGGTTGGAGGAAGTGCCTCTATCTCATACCTATGAGAGGAAAATTATCATTAATTCAACAGACATTATTGAGAGCCTACAATGTTCTCAGCATCTCAGGGCACAAAAAGACAAAGCTAGAACTCACATTCTCATGGGACATGGGTAGCAATAAGCAAATATACTAGGTAAATGCTACAGTATGGTAGATCCTGATAAATACTGCAGGGGCAAGGGAACAGGAAAAAAAGACTGGCTGCTGTGGGGTCAGTAATGATTATAAATAGTGTGGGAAGGGCGGACCTTCCAACTTGGAGGTGACTTTTGAGCACAAACTTAAAGGAGATCAAGCAGAGAGCCAGGCCATTGCTCAAGGGAAGCACCCCAGCAGAGGGGACAGCCAGTTCCCTGAGGTGACCCTAAAAGGGTGGGTGGCTTCTAGGAACATCAAGGAGGCATTCGGGAAGGCAGTGGGGTCAGAGTGTACAAGGACCAGCCCTCGTGAGGGGTGAGCCACTGGAAGAACTCTGGCTTCTTCACCAACTGGAATGAAGAGCCCTTGAAGGGTCAGCAAAGGGGTGACATTTCTGACTAATGTTTCCAGGTCATTCCAGCTACTACATGTGAAGGAACTATAGGGTGGCATGAGTAAAAAGAAAGCTTTTGCAATACCCATGGAAAATTAGGGCTGGTTGAGCCAAGGTGGTGCCAATAGAGAAAATGAGACGTGATTTGACTGTGGATATATCTTGAAAGTAAAGTCAGCAGGATTTCCTAAGAGATTGGATATGGACTATGAGAGACAGAGAGATATGAAGAACAGCCCTTCTGAAGTTAGGGCCTGAAGAGCTGTGAGGATAACACACTGGGGAAGCAGCTTTTGGTGGGAAAGGTCAAGAGCTTCATTCTGGAAATGTTGGGAGTTAGATGAAAATAACATTTGGGGCAAGAGCTAAAGGAATACTATCATGGAAATGCAGTAGTGGGTGTATGAATCAGAATTCAACCAGAGAAGAAAAACCAGTAGGAAAAATATGCATCCTGCTAGTATGTATTTGTTACATCTACATATAACAAAGTATTGACTTAATTATGGGAACTGGCTAAGAAGCCTGAAGTCCACAGGACAGGCAGCCAGCAAAATCACACACAGACAGGACCTCATGAACATGCTCTGAAGCTTCTTGGCCACAGGCAAGCAGGTAGGAAGGAATACCAGGGCAGGCTGGAGCCCCACAAGCACAAGCTTGGAATCTCTGACTTCAGGAAGGACTACCTTTAGAAGACTTCCATCTGATGAGGTCTGACCCTCCCAGGATAATCTCTCTTTTGATTAATTCAAAACTAAACTGATAGAAAACTTTAGCTACATCTGCAAAATCCATTCACAACAGCACCCAAGATAGGGTTTGACTGAATAACTGGAAGAAGGTGTATGCTGCTCAATAACCACTTCCCCTTTCGTAGCCCACACTAATTGGAAACATACTAGAGAGGAAATTCCCAGGAGTATGGCTCAGCCTAGCCAAGCTGACACATCACAGCCCCATCACAGTGTGGAAGGTCCAGGTTCAAAGGCCAGCTCTGTACTACCTCTGTGAATTTGGAAGATGCTTGGATTCCATTACTTCATCCATAACTGAGGATAATGACAAGTCCTTCAGGGCTATTTATGTAATTAGCTCAGTGTATGGTAACATACGAAATGCTCCGTGAGGCATCATCAACACTGTGTGTGTGTGTGTGTGTGTGTGTGTGCATACATGTGCATATGTGTGTCTGTGTGTGTGTGTGAAAGAGAGAGAGCACACACACATGCGTGTGCTTTGGAACAAGTATCTCTCTTTTCTTAACTCCAGCTGACTTCCTTGTCATCCTCTGGGATAACTCTTTAAAATTCAAGAATTATCTTGCCCTGAACACTTCAAAAAGATACTTAACTTCAATGTGAAAAGCCTTTCCAGATGCATTTCTGGCCATGCTTGTGTTTTATTATCCACCCATAACTTGATCTGTTGCAATATGTTCCCTCCACTTAGCTTTTGCTGAAACTCTTCTCTCCATTCAGCCCCTCCAAAGAGAAAACTGGCTTTTTGTATTCTTTCACTTCTATGGGCTGAGTAGAAAATTCCAGCAAATCATGAGTTCTTCCAAGACTCACCTTCCAATCAGAATATGTTTACCTGAGTGAAAACTTACTAAAATAGAAAATGTCAACTCACTTCTTTCTTTTTTCAACGTTTCTAATGATTCTAGATTTATATTTTTAAGTTCTAGCATTAACATGCCATATAGTACTTATGGTGAGAAGCACGATTGTCCTGGGGGATGATGGTGGTCACACACAGGGGCAGATCCAGGCTTATGGAATGTAGTAGTCAGTTCTCAAACTGCTATAGAGAACTACCTGGGACTGAATAATTTATAAAGAAATTAGGTTTAATTGACTCACAGTTCCACAGGCTTAACAGGAAGATGGGAGGCCTCAGGAAACTTACAATCATGGCGGAAGGTGAAGGGGAAGCAGGCACATCTTACATGGCGGAGCAGAACAGAGAGAGAGCAAAGGGGGAAGTGCCACACACTTTTAAGCCATCAGATCTCATGAGAATTCACTCACTATCATGAGAACAGCAAGGGGGAAATTCACCCTCATGATCCAATCACCTCCCACCAGGCCCCTCCTCCAATTCATCATGAGATTTGTGCAGGAACATAAATCCAAACCATATTATTCTCCCCCTGGCCCCTCCCAAATCTCATGTCCTTCTCACATTTCAAAACCAATCATGCCTTCCCAGCAGTTCCCCGAAGTCTTAACTCATTCCAGCATTAACTCAAAAGTTCACAGTCCAAAGTTTGATCTTAGACAAAGTAAGTCCCTTCCACCTATGAGCCTGTAAAATCAAAAACAAGTTAGGTACCTCTAAGATAAAATGGGGGTACAGGCATTGGGTATATGCTTTCATTCCAAATGGGAAAAATTGGTCAAAACAAAGGGGCTATAGGCACCATGCAATTCCAAAGCCCAGCCAGGCAGTCATTAAATCTTAAAACTCCAAAATAATCTCCTTTGACACCATGTCTCACATCCAGGACACACTGATGCAAGGGGTGGGCTCCTACGGCCTTGGGAAGCTCTGCCTGTGGCTCTGCTGGGTACAGCCCCCACAGCTGCCTTCACTGGCTGGTGTTGACTGCCTGTGGCTTTTCCAGGTGCATGGTGCAAGCTGTTAGGGGATCTACCATTATGGGATCTGGAAGACAGTGGCCCTCCTCTCACAGCTCCACTAGGCAGTGACCCAATGAAGACTCTGTGTGGGGGCTCCCACCCCACACTTCCCTTCCACACTGCCCTAGCAGAGGTTCTCCTTGAGGGCTCTGCCCCTGCAGCATACTTCTGCCTGGACACTCAGGTATCTCCATACATCCTCTGAAACCTAGGCAGAGGTTCCCAAACCTCAATTCTTGTCTTCTGTGAACCTGCAGGCTCAACACCACATGAAATCCACCAATGCTTGGGGCTTGCACCCTCTGAAGCAATGGCCTGAGCTGTACTTTGGCCCCTTTCAGCCATGGCTGAAACTGGAGCAGCTGGGTTGCAGGGCACTTTGTACTGAGGCTACATGGAACAGCTGGGCCCTGGGCCTGGCACACAAAACCATTTTTTCCTCCTAGGCCTCAGGGACTGTGAGGGGAGGGGCTGCTGCAAAGGTCTCTGACATGATCTGGAGACATTTTTCCCATTGTCTTGGCTATTAACATTCAGCTTCTCTTTACGTATCCAAATTTCTGCAGCTGGCTTGAATTTCTCCCCAGAAAATTGGTTTTTCTTTTCTACCACATGGTCAGGCTACAAATTTTCCAAACTTTTATGTGCTGCTTCCCTTTTAAACTTAAGTTCTAATTTCAGACCATCTCTTTGTGAACATGACTATATGCTGTTAGGAGGAGCCAGGCCATCTCTTAAACTCTTCACTGCTTAGAAATTTCTTCTGCCAGGTACCCTAAATCATCTCTCTCAAGTTCAAAGTTCCAAAGATCTCTAGGGCAGGGGCAAATTGCCACCAATCTCTTTGCTAAAGCATAGCAAGAGTGACTACTTCAGTCCCCTGTAAGTTCCTCATCTCCATCTGAGATCAACTCACCCTGGACTTCATTGTCCATATCACTATCAGAATTTTGGTCAAAACCACTCAACAAGTCTCTAGGAAGTTCTGAACTTTCCCACATCTTCCTGTCTTCTTCTGAACCCTCCAAACTGTTCCAACCTCTGCCCATTACCCAGTTCCAAAATCATTTCCATATTTTCAAGTACCTTTATAGCAGTGCCCCACTCCTGGAACCAATTTTCTGTATTACTCTGTTCTCACATTGCTGTAAAGAAGTACCTAAGACTGGGTAATTCATAAAGAAAAGAGGTTTAACTGATTCGCAGTTCCACAGGCTTAACAGAAAATGGATGGGAGGCCTCAGGAAACTTACAATCATGCAGAAGGTGAAAGGAAAGCCAATATGTCTTACATGGCAGAGCAGGAAAGAGAGAGAGAGTGAAGGGGGAAGTGCCACACACTTTTAAACCATCAGATCTTGTGAGAACTCACTCACTATCATGAGAACAGTATGGGGGAAACTGCCCCCATGATCCAATCACCTCCCACCAGGCCCCTCATCCAATTCAACATGAGATTTGGATGGGGACACAAATCTAAACAATATCATGAAGGCTTCTCAGGGACCCGAGACCCACAGCACTGCTGCAGATGGATGCAGTCTGTGGCAACTCTCTCAGAATCTTCCCCGTGAGCTTTTGAGAACCAGCCCTGATGCTTCTTGCTAAGATCTTCAGTGACCTTCTGGTCACAGCTCTACTACTGAACTCCCCTGACTCGTCTCACTTCTGTGTAAATGGAACTCCTATATTGAATGACTCTGTTTTTCTGTTCAACCCTACTGATACTGCAGCATTGAGCACCATCAGCGCCTTTGCCTCCATCCCAACTCTCAAGGGAATGTTGGCCAAGCTCCAAGCCAAAAACACTAGGTCCATGTTTATCCTGGGTCCTCCAGATCATGGCAATTTTGTCACTAGTGGAGTTATCCCTCCGTTTCCCCAGGTGCTCCACACTAGTTAATCCCAGTTTGTTGCTTCAACTGATGTATTCACTGTAGCAAACTGTTAGAATTGCTCAAAGTTTATCACTTTAATTACAGGCCTCCTATATTAACCAACAAAAATTATTCACCTAGAGTTCCTCAGGTTCTTGTGTGTGTGTGGGTGTTTGTTGTTTCAGTATTTTCTCTTACTAGAAAGGTGAGGTGCAAAATTGTCCCAGTTGAGAACTACTGCCTTAAGGTCATGGAAAACCAATGCAGGTGGCTCTGGAAGGAAGGGAATTCCTGCACCCAGTGCCTGGACTTATGCTAGGTGCTTCATAAATATTGAGTGAATGAATGAATGAGCCTCCTGGGGCCCCTATGGCATATATGTTTGGGGCCTTGATATGGTTTGGCTCTGTGTCCCCACCCAAATCTCATCTCGAATTGTAATCCTCATGTGTCAAAGGAGAGACCTGGTAGAAGGTAATTAGATCATGCAGGCAGTTTTTCCCATCTTGTTCTCATGATAGTGAGTTCTCATGAGATCTGATGGTGATCTTAAAAGGGCCAGTCTCTCTTTAGCTCTCTAAAAATCAGGGGAAATTTTGAAATTGGCCGTTTCCCCTTAGCTTTCTGTCTCTCCTGCTGCCACGTAAGACTGTAAGACGTACTTTGCTTCCCCTTCACCTTCCACCATGACTTTAAGTTTCCTAAGACCTCCCCAGCCATGCAGAACTGTGAGTGAATTAAACCTCTTTCCTTTATAAATTACCCAGTCTCCAGTTGTTCTTTATAGCAGTGTGAAAATGGACTAATATAGGCCTCATCCAGAAGAGCCTGGGCTGCTAATTAAGTTGTAAGATCACTGCTAGTTAAGGCAGAGGAAAATATCTTAAATGCAGAATTTTGTCAGAAAAAAATAGCTCCACTGCTCAAAATCTATTTCTCCATAGTTGCTTCCATGCTTTAAATACAAATGTCTCGCAGCAAAGGGCTGCCTGGGGCTGAGACTGACCTGGTTGGCTCATTTGGGTGTTAGCCTTTCCATAGAGAAATTCACAGAGAGAGGAAATCCATGTCCATTGGGTCCACCAGGCAGATTTCACACTCCAGTGTGCTTCACAATTACGACATATTTTCCCCAATGGACAGGGCTTTATGTGGAGTAAGGAACACAGCAGATTAATTGTGTTAGTTCTTAGGACTAACTAACTAGACTTCAGAATAGAAAAATTTCCAGATTCATTTCATGCAAATGCAGGGGAAAGCTCTCCATGAAGCATGCACCTTCTTGGCTCTTACTGGCAAAGCCTGTGAGTGAGTTAAGGAAATCAAGCTTTCTCTGTTCTAAAAGCACAACATAAGGCACCCCCCGAGTGTGTACTTTCTGTTTACAGTGGCCATGGCACATCAGTGAAGGGGGATGGTATGTCTTGTTGAAATCACAAAAATACCTGGACTCACTAAAAGGAATCATTGTGATAACAGGAGAAAGTATTTATTTAAAATTGTGTAAGAGAAAACTGAAATTTTTATTGCCTGCACACACACACACACACACACGCGCGCACACACACACACACACACACACACACACACGTGTACTTGGAACCCCAGGCTGAAAGCCTCAGAAAAAGAAATTATAAGCATAGACTCTTTAATAGAATGAGTGCAAAGTCAGCTTTTCAAAGGAAATCCAGACTTTACATAAACATTATTATCATGATAATTAACTGATTACTCTAAGGAAAAAAGATTTGCCAACCAAGTGCCTTCTCTGGTCTGAGTCAGAGAAAAATCTGTATCTACCCACATGATTGTCATGGATGGCGAATCTGTATGGGCCTGCAGCAACCTCAGTTCTTGCCTCCTCAGAAGAAAGAATTTAGCCGAGGGGCATAAGGCAGAAGGAGAGACCAAGGCAAGTTTTCCAGCAGAAGGGAAAGTTTATGAAAAAGCTTTAGAGCAGGAATGAAAGGAAGTAAAGTACACTTGGAAGAGGGCTGAGTGGGAGACTTGAGAGATCAGG
This sequence comes from Homo sapiens, assembly GCF_000001405.40. Classification (NCBI taxonomy): domain Eukaryota; kingdom Metazoa; phylum Chordata; class Mammalia; order Primates; family Hominidae; genus Homo; species Homo sapiens. Next base: position 73,968,063 of record NC_000018.10, read on the forward strand.
TGCGTGGTTTGGTCTTTGGACTTGGGGTTTTATACACTGTCTTGCTTCCAGGGTCTTGCATTGTTTCTCCCCTGATTCTTCCCTTGGGGTGGACTGTCTGCATGCACAGTGGTCAGTTAGCACTTAGGAGGGGAGTGTGTGCAGTGTGATTACTGGAGTTGTACGCATGCTCACTTGAGGCATTCCTCCCCCGCCAGTCTAGCATTCCTGCAGGAAGGTCATATACCAGTTAAACTCCATCCATTTTGCCCCTTAGTGCACATGTTTGAGCCCACTCACCCAGCTCCTGAGACCTCATCAGGAAGCTGCTCATCACCAGCTTCAGGTGTTTCTATCTATTGAGAGACTGCCTTTCCCTAGCGCTGACTGTGACCAATTATTATTTTAGACAGAGAGTTTAACAACCACCTGACCATCACCTGATGGTCGCCTAACATTTCTGGTGTTGGTGGGGGGCAATGGAGCAGGGGGAGCCCTCTCCTGCCCTGCTCATGCCTGACTAGCTACCTACTTAACATGATGATCTGGTAAAACTCAACATCCCATAAAATGCAGGACACTAGAAGTGTTTTTGTTATTATTTTTTCCTATATTTACTAAGATCTTGTTTTCTTGGTGACTGTACTGGACAATTCTTCACACTGAAAATAAAAGCCCTTATTTTATCTAACTCTGAGGTCAGATTCTTCAGTGTATGTTTGACCAAAAATGTTTTGCTTTTTTCTTTTTGAAAGAAGGCCGGGTGCTGTGGCTCAAGCCTGTAATCCCAGCACTTTGGGAGGCCGAGGTGGGCGGATCACGAGGTCAGGAGATCGAGACCATCCTGGCTAACACGGTGAAACCCCATCTCTACTAAAAAAATACAAAAAATTAGCCGGGCGCGGTGGCGGGCACCTGTAGTCCCAGCTACTCTGGAGTGTGAGGGAGGAGAATGGTGTGAACCCGGGAGGCGGAGTTCACAGTGACCCGAGATCACACCACTGCACTCTAGCCTGGGCAACAGAGCGAGACTCTGTCTTAAAAAAAAAAAAAAAAAAAGGAAGAAAGAAAGAAAAAGAAAGGGGGCATTTTATGTCTTTAAAGTAGACTCAACACAGACATCAACTGGCTCTGGGACCCTGGCTGAGAGGGATCTCAGTGCCATCTCCAGAGGGAGGCAGCCTGCAGAATCACAGCTCTCATCAGTTCCTCCCAGCCTAGAATGGAGGGCACGTCTTTACTTCCAGCTGCCTGTCCGTCTGCCCACGAGCTCAGCATTCGAGTCCAAACCTTCCACACCACAGCCATGCACTAACCATGCAGAGAGAAGGCAGTTCCTGCCTCACTGGCCCAACAGGCTAGTCAAAGACACCCCAAGATACACAAAGATATTTTATATTTCTCAAAATATTTCACCATAAAGTTCCTTTCACTCCTGTCCACTTAGAGTTCCAGTGCTAGAAAATGAGGCTAAAGTAACTGTGACATTCTTCCCCCTTCAAATTCATTTCAATCCAAAATAGGGGTAGCAATTCGATTTCAGCATTTATGCAAGTTGTTTTCTGGTATTTCTCAGCTAGTAACACTTAGACTTATTTTTTAAGTGTTGTGTACAATATAAAAATGAAAAATAGAACAGAGGAGAGTATCTTTGTCACCTTGAGGTAGGAAAAGATTTCTTAGGACTTTATGGCTAAAAGCACTAGCCATAAAAAAATGGTTAAGTGTTAAATAACGATTAAGCACACCATGAGGAAGACAAAGGGACACAATTCAGAATGGGTGGGATACTCCCACACATAAATCTGGTAAGGGTCTTGTATCTAGAGAATGTGCAGAAAACCCCAACAGTTTCACAATAAAAATAACCCAAACTTTTTAAACAGCGAAGACTTGAACAGACATTTCACCCCAACAAATGAGATGGTACGAATGGCTGATATATGAGAAGATGCCCACTCATCATCAGGAAATAATACAAATTAAAACGATCATGAATGCCACTGGCTCACCCTACAACAGCTAAAATGTAAGACTGGCCTGATCGAGCATTGACTCTCCCATGGAGCAACACTACCTCAGGCCCTGCTGCTGAGTGACAACCGCACAGCCACTTTGGAAAACTACTTGGCAGTTACTGAAACACACACTTACCCTGTGGACTCAACACTGCCACTTTAGGGACGTGACTAAAAAGAAAGAAGACATATGTCCACAAAATACTTGTATATGCATGTTCATTGTAGCTTCATCATTGCCTCAAACTGTTAACAACCCAATTATCCATCAATAGTTGAATGGATAAACAAATTGTTTTTTCATAAAACTGCATGCCACACAGTGATTAAAGAAAAAGAATCTATTACTGATTCATGAAATAACACAGAGGAACTTTGTAGACATTACATACAGCAAAGTCATGCACAAAAAAGTATAAACTGTATAATTCCAATTATATGAAGCTCTAGAATTAGACAAACCAAGCTATGATGATAAGAATCTAAATAGTGGTTGCCTTAGGGAAGGTGTCAATTGTCTGGAAGGGAACAGGAGGGAACTTCCTGGGATGATGAAAATAATTTATATATGCACAAGGCAGTCTCAAAACTCCTCACACTTACAATCTGGGCATTTCATTATATATAAATTATAATCTGAGTAAAAATAAAAATTGCTGCAGCTTCTTTGTATTTCGAAGGGTCGGTTGATGATCTTTAACTTGCCCACAACTTGATTTAAAATTTTAAAAATCACACAGAGAAAACATTTACAAGCCCACAAATAATGATCTGATTGGTATTTATAGATTCCTTTCTCATTCTCCTAACTGTATTTTTTGGTTCTGGCTGCTAGTCACAGAAGTAGGAAAATTTATTAAAGTCAAATTTATGCAGAGGCTGAGTCTACACTAACAGTGTACCTCGATTACTTATTGACCACATATTATGTACAATGTGGCTACATAAAATTTCTTCTTATGAAATTGTGATGCTGTTAATCCACTGTCACTAAGACATGTCACTTCGATCATAGTACACATTATTTCCTTTTATTTATATAAAGTTGTGAGTGGACAACCACACTGCATGCATAGCAAGTAACAGGGTATTCAACAAAGCATCCAGCAAAGGTGATGATGTATGTATTGACTATTCCTTCTGCCTCGGGGTAATTAGGTGCAAATAATAGTTTACTTTCATGTCTAGATAGTTCTATTTCTTCTTCCACACTTTTAGTTTCTCAGAATGTGAAGTCTGCATTCATATAATCTATGTTCCCGACAAGCCGTATCTTTCAATCACTGCATGCAAAGACATAAACATGTCTCGCGTGCTTTGGAAGGCCTTGTATCTCCCTCTTACACACATGGGAAATCTTCCTCTGCACTTGTTAAATGCCAGTAGAGGGGGATAGAAATGCTTTGTTTTATAAATATTAGTATTGTGACACATTAGCTCTAGGTACTCAGGATAGTGAGAGAACAATTCATGTGGATTGTCTGTGTGAAAATCTTATTGAGAACGGTTATCTTTGTTTTGAGAACCAAGAAATCTCAGCATATAACCATGGGGTCTAAACCTTTGTGCTAAGAGATAACCAAGCTAGTTTGGCTTCTAGCAGCAGAAAGCCACATCCCTAGGATGAACCCATCCCTGCTTAAAATGCCTCCCTGAGAAAGCTCAAGGCTGCTAGGACAATTTACTGTTCCAGCCACACCCCATATGAGCCCTGACCTCCCTTTCTTAGAGGGCTTATGGAAAGGGCTTACAACAAGCCCATTCCCAAGGACCAGAGAACCACTCCCTGGCAACGGGGGAAACGGGGCCCTCAGGAAGGACGGGGTCTCCGTGGGAAGATGGATCCTGAGAGGCGACTGCCCGCCAGGGGGCACAGCTGGTTTGGTGGCCTGGACACTGACCACCCTTTGGACTTTTTCCACGTTTCCTCGCTCTCCCCTCTCCTCTCCCTCATTCTCTCTCTAAAACCTCCAAATCACCTCTGCACAAATGAAAATACAGCCGGCCCCTTCCCCTACTGTGAATAGTTACTGAATAAAATGTGTTTTTACTGCTTTAACTGATGTCCAGCTGTGTTCATCTTTGACAGTCTGCATACCTATTTGGCCTAGCATTTTCCTTTGGTACAAAGTTAATATTTTTGCTAATCACGTTCTACGGTTGGAATTATAAGAAACCTGAATTTCACCTCCTCAGCCTTAGGATAATTCTCACAAATATGCAAAATGATCAGACTCTTGGCCTCTAACTGTATAATTCCTTCTTCAAAGTCTCCCAGTTACTTCTGGGGACCCTGAGCAAGCACACCCGATTCTGAAGAACAAGGCTCTGAGCTCTTCCCCAGTGTCTGCTCATGGGGGCCACAGAGGATGAGCCCAGAAACACAGCTTCCAGTGCCTCCTGGGCCCCTAGCACTCCCCCAATCGCACAACCATCTGGGTGCTCCTTGTGGATCTCAGGGCAATACTCTTTCCCCAGTGAGGGGGCTTCCTTTTCCATGCAGAGCCAAAGTCACACGTCTCTCAAAGTCCCTCGTGATGACAACCACTGGGTATCTGGGGCAGCCCCTCTTTCCCGGGTCAGCCTTTGAGTCTCCTGGAGGCACCAGCAGACAAGGTGGTCACATTAGTCTCATAAAGACTTACCAATGTGTTAATTTTTCTTGAAATATATAGGTTTGTTTCCTCAGTTCTGTTTATTTCTTGTTATTCATTTTGGCTATTGTTTTCTTTTAACCTCATTTATTTTTCATTGCTTTTATTATTTAATGCAAATAGTTGGGATAAAATCTATTTTTTAAGTACTGTTTTGGTGGCAAGTCTTTAGTGTTGATATGTGATATTTATATTTTCACAATATTTAACTACTCTGTGGCTGTATTTCTGATCTCTTACAGGACCAGACATTATTTGAGTTTTTTTTAATTCTATGGAATTAAGTACCCTTAAATTTCATCATTATTCATTTCTAATTCTACTTTACACAATGAGCCTCGCCCTCTGTGAACATTTCAATCCATCTTCCTTCTCAGATGTTTCACCTGCTCAAATCTCCATGGTCTCTGTGGTCTCTGTCTTTGGCCTCAGGGGTGGCTTAGCAAAAGTTGGAGGTCTTGGGTGTTGGAAACATTCGCCCAGCAGGTGGTGGGAAGAAGAGCCCACCTGGGTGGGCTTCGATTCATCAATTCCATTTCCCCGCCACTGTCTTCCTTAGAAACAAGACAAGAAGTTACTCTCATTTCAATATTTCAGACTTTTCCATCTTTCTCTTTCTGATGATTTCACGTGTTTGTCCTGCCTGTTCTATTTTCCTTGATGATTATGTTCTTGGAGGTCGCTGTTTGCAGACTGCTCTGTAATAGACCTTGTTGAAATGTGCCTGTTTCGTGGTTGTTTTTAGTCCAATGTCCATTGTTCTCCTTTCTCCTGGTTAGCTTTTCATCCTTTCCATTTATGCCAATTGTAATGAGCAGCTATTATGTGCTAGGCACATTTTAGGCATTGGTAATATAGCGGCAAGCAAAGCAAACTTTCTTCTATCATGGAGTTGGCCTTTAAGTGGGGAATACAGGGAATAAACACGGTATGTTGGCAAGTGACAAGTGCTACAGAGAATGAAGCAGGGCTGGAGAGAGCACATGGGCGGTGGGAGACATCAATACAGGGCTGCCAGAGGATGCCTCTCAGGACACATCTGAAAGAATTAGAGGTTTCCACAACTGCTGGTCTGAGTCTCCTCTGGAATCTGTGTTTGTCAACGGAATCCCTATCTTTTCCAGGCCCTTTTGTTTCTCTTCCACGGCAGCATGTGTCCTATCTGTGAGGCACTTGCAAGAGCTTCCGTGTTGCCCATGCCTTCCTCTGCATCTCCTCTACTCTCCACAGCTTCCTGCAGCGTCTTCATCCTCTCTCTGGGATTTACAAGCACGGCGCATATTTTCAATAGCACCACATCTAAACATTGGCAGGTAGTGTATCCTTCCAGTAAGTTAGTATTTCTTTTCCAACAAACAGTTGGAATCAGCTCTTCAGGCATATCTCATTTAAGGCAGTGCTGCAAAGGAAACCACTGAGTTCCTCTACCCTGGATCTTGCCCTTCACAGTTAGAATAAGTGGCTTCACTGCATTGCTTTCATTCCACTTCCTCATACCCTTGCTCTTCCCCTCCTTCCCTAGACAATGCAGTTAGAAATCCATCAAGAAGGGCAAAGCCATCATACAGGCCCATAGGGAGAGGGGAAGGGGGAAGAGGGGAGCGCTGGAGGATCTGAGTGGGGTGTTGGTGCCTGAGCGGGGTGGGGGCACATGATGTCAGAGTTGCAGTGGGTGGGATGGACTTCTACCCCGGCGGGTGGGAAGCACAGCCCATAAGGTTGGAGCAGTGCAAGGAGAGGGCTTCCATGCAGAGGAGGGGATGGTGATGGAAGGATGGTTACACCTAGGACAAGTATGCAAATAAATGAAGATATTAAAGATAATTATCATTATCACAAATAGTGAAAGGAAGGAAATTAGTATGAACCCTATGGTGCTGGATTACAATTGGAGGCATCTATGTGGATTGAGGTAGGTAGGTAAATTTTAGATAGATAGATAGATAGATAGATAGATAGATAGATATATAGATAGAATGAGTGGAGAGCTAGTTCTGGGAATGAGTACAGTATAAATGTGTATGTGGTGTGTGTGTGTGTGTGTGTGTGTGTGTGTGTGTTTGTGTGTTGTGTTTACATGCACGTATACCCTACCTCTGACCACTAAGACGGCCTGGGATCGGTGCTACCCCAATAGCAATGAGCACATCTGGTGCCCAGATCTTGGTTTCTAAGTATGCCATTCCTCAATAAAGGGCATCTGTACTGAATACAGAAATGGTTCCTTCTAGAGATGGAGTGGGAAAAGTACAAGATACTCCTGAAACATCCTGTTATTCCAGAAAGAATGTGCTCAAGGGATGAGGATGGAGGGTATCAGAAAGACACAGAAGTGAGATTGGGAGCGCTCCCTCTCACCAAACCTGGGACTATATGAGCCTCAAAATAAATAACAATAATGAGTGACAACTTGATGAATAAAACTGGACACGATTGTGCAAGATTCATCAAATAAAATAAAGGCATAAGTTGAAGTTTGATGAGGAAGGATTTATTTAAATAATTTAACAAATCTTTTCCTCGAAATGCCTATTAACCCAAAGGAGAGAAGAGTAGCTTTCCAGGGGAGAAGGCTGGCAGCACCCTCATCAGGTGGCCGGGTGACCTCCATCAGCAGTGGGTCCAGTGGACGCTGTGTGCTGTGTGACAGGAAGCAGAGAGAAGAGAAGAACACAAGGCAACGGCAGGGGTGCTCCTGCCAAAGACAGACAGCCTGCGTCCCACCAGAGGAAACCACAGACCACACTGAGGAGCCTTTGACAAAGCAACTGGCCCGTAATCCTGAAATGCATCAAGGCCATAATAAGCAAAGACAGATTGAAGAAATGTTCCAGTTTGAAGTAGACTGAATACACATGATGATTCATGTACCACGCAATTCTAAGCAGGGTCGTTTTCCCATAAAGGGTATTACTGGGACAACTGGTAAAACCTGGGGTGGTTAGGGTATAAGGATGTGAATTTCCTGATTTTAAGGACTATCCAGGAAATACACCCCGAAGTGTTCAGGAGTGAAAGGGCATCATGTTGGCTCCTGACTCTCAAATAGTTTAGAAAAAAGATCTTTGCAATGTATTTCCAACTTCTTTGTAAGTTCAGATTGTTTCAAAAATATTTAGAAATTAAAGTAAAAAATAAAAAACAACAATAAATTTTATGACTTTTCAAATGTTGCTGATTGTTTTTGAAGCACACTTTTTCTCTGGCTTTTATTATCTACCCCCTTTTCTCCACCATAATCCCAGAATTATCTGTGTGTCTCCTCCTATGGATTATTCTAAGTCATTCGATCCTCTTGAAAATTGAAGTGAAATTTCTTGTCAATCCAAACCCCTCAGCCCAATATCTCCTGAAGATTATTTTTTATCTGAGACAGAAAAAAGAAAGATTTGTGACTACCAAAAAGAGTTCCCTGTGCTCAACACAAAACATTCTGCAGATATTTTATATAACAGTTGCTGAAGTTACTTGAAAAAAATAATTAGAAACTGTCTTTTTCTTACTATACACATTCTACTGACCCTCTACTTCATCTGGAAAAAAAAAGACATATTGGAGATAATATTTCACTTGTCACTGTGGCTTAGTAGAAATCCAGAGAGACATCACAAAAAGCCATCTGTCTTACTGACCATGCTGAAGATATTTATGATAGCAAGGCCATAGTGTCAAATTTTACTCCATTAATACTAAAATAAATAAGTTTATCTTATTGCTAGGCATCTGAAAATCCTCTGCAATAAAGTTCTAGGTACTTTAGGTGCATAAACAATTTAAAATAATAAAAAGTAAAGCAGAAAAGACAAGTATATTTACAACTTTTAATTTTATGTAGAAGTCGTATGGCATTATTCAGTACGTACTGTGCTTACTCATGCTAGTTGACAATTTTAGATATGCACATGGAATACCTTTCAGCATTCCAACTAGGTATATTACATATACACAGCTCACTGCCACATTAAAAAAAAGACTATTTAGAAAAGCACATAGCTGATGTAGCAAGATTCAGGCTGATGAGTTAACATTTGTAAATACCCCTTCTTCTCCGCTTGTGGCATGACCCTTGACAGAGTCAGGGCCAACCTTTGTCATGGCCACAGAAAGTGATTGATTTTTTCCTCCCACAAGTTTAAGACACATATTTGGAAGAAGGGGAACTAAAATAAAATATTTTCTCAGTATTGAACACAAAACAAACCAAAAAGGAAGAGGGACCATTCTGATGATAAATGACTCAAATTGTATGAACATTGCCAACCTTTTAAGAAAAATGGATTTATTCCATTTCCTATGATGCAGATTGTAAAAATAAAATATTCTGAATGTTAAAAAGTGGCTATCATCATCAGATCACCAGTTCTCCAAAATTATAATTTACTATGCTAAATTCATTTGGATAACAATTCATCTTTAGTTACGCAGGATGTTTTGAATACCTACGACTCTATGCCAGGAGCCATGCTAGGAAGTGGAGAAGCAAAGAGATATCAAGTAAACACTGTTCTAATGACCTCACAGTCCAGCAGCAGCAGCAAACAAGCCCAACAATCATGCAAAGACATGCTATAACTCCAGTAGGTCCAGTGAGGACATCAAGGAAGGAAACCGAGCCCCTGGAATAAGAAGGACCACATCTTGTAGGAGGTTATTAGCAAACTGGAAAGGCTAGGAAAGGCTACATCTTCCAGCACCTCATGGCCATGCCAAAGAGTTTTAACTTGGTAGGAAATGTGGCCACTTTAAGGATCTAAAACTATACACGAAGGCTCCTGGATGGGTTAAAACTTTAGCACACTGCCTTAAATTAGCCAAGAAGTAAACAATTTCTCAAGGGTCTACAGAGGTCCTGGAAATGTGATGCTAAGGTTGTGTTCTAAATCCAGCAATGGCCTGCTCTGCTTTGCTCCAAACCAGCTCCTTGTTCTTCTACAAGGAATGAAATGGCTGAGTGTACCACAGAAGACTGATCAGCATTGAACTTGAAGGATCTACAAGGAATGAAACGGCTGAGTGTACCACAGAAGACTGATCAGTATTGAATTTGAAGGATCTACAAGGAATGAAACGGCTGAGTGTACCACAGAAGACTAATCAGCATTCAACTTGATGGATTTGGTTCTTTTTGGTTCTTGCTGTCAAAGACACCCAGCAGGGAACCTGAAAAGAAAGTCAATCCCAAAAATTTTGCCAGTTGAGATGAATTGAGGAAAATATATAACAACGTGAATGTTTTGAAGCCCTGAATTGCTATTTTTTTAATGGTCTCAGGTAAATAAATCAATTGAAATCAGACTAGCAAAGGGTAACTCGACGGATAAACTAAGAAATTACAAAGCACACCCATAGAAAAATATTCTGGAGTTGGCCCTTGGCCCCACCTTTTTCGACTTTAGGCCAGATTTCTCCAAGGATACTCCATGCATGGCCCTAGATCCCCTGCCTACACTTCCCCCTCGAATCTGGCCTCTTCTCTCGTTGTTCTGAATCCACCCCAAGTTCACCTGTTCACATCCATGCCCACTGAATTTTCATCCTACTTAATTTCTCTGCTAGAGTAGCAGAGCTTGTATTTTCGCAAGATAGCCGTGGGAACATCTGCTGTGCGTGCTCTCTTCTTACAGCGCGGCCTTATGGCCTCATCAGAAGCACAGCAAGAGGTGCAGTCTCTGCACCCGCCTTGAACAAGGAGGACTTTCATCAGGATCTCAATTGATAGCACAGCACAGCGACACCGTGACTTCCCAGGAGAGGCCTGCAAGCACAATGCAGCTCACTCGCTCTCGACTCTCTCTCCATCCCTCTCAGTATTTCTGTGCCTCTCTAGCTCTCCAGCCATCTCTCTCAGTTTCTCTCAACATCTCCCTTGATCTCTCTCGGTATCTCTCTCCTAATCTCTGAGTCTCCACCTGTCTCCCTCTCCTTCTATCTGTCTTTCTCTCACTCTCCCCGACCAGGGCACTTGCTCTTAGAACCAAGCCACCATGCTGTGAGGAAGTCCAGACCCCACAGAGGAGCCGAAGTGGGATGACCCCAGCTAAGATCCCAGGTTTTAAACACCAGACATCTTTCCTTGGGGAGTTCTCACTCTCACATGGAAACCAAGAAAGAGAAATACATCCCTGCATGGTGACCAGCAGGCAGGGTGAGCACAGAGAGCTAGGGGAACCTAGAGGAGACATGGTGGTGCGGGCAGAGTGAAGGAAGCTTCCAAAAGGAAATGAGAGAAGCTTCCAGTGAAAACCATGTCACTCCAGGGAAAAGTGTGTCCACAGTGAGGCCTGAAAGATAAGAAGTTGTGGCCAAGTAAAGGGGTGGAGGATGGCGGGGAAAAGGGAAGCAGGAAGAAGTGTACATTTAGGGACCTTCACAGTGGGACCCACCATCCTTTCCGGCATCGTTCCTTCCTTATTCTCTCCCTTCTTACACGGGGAGCTGTGTGCAGTCACAGCATTGCACTCCGCTAATTCTTATCCATGTGGTTTTGGCCAATGCACTGAACCCCTCCCAGCCTCAGTTTTCATATCTATAAAATAGGGATGATAGTAGAAACCACCTCAAAGATTTTCTGCTTCTGTAGGAATAAAATAATGACGAGCGCTGGGTTTTGTTTTAGCATTTTGTGTGCCACTATGTATGCGATGCCTGTCAGAATAAATTCTAGTTCTAGCATTTTATAGGAAATACTTTGTCTCCCTTGAATTTTAATATTCCCCATATCTAAGAAGATGATTATAAAACCTAATCTGTCCCTTTTGATGTTGGCTACTGGGAGATTGAATTAAATGGGAAATTCTGTCATGGTAACGAGGTATAGCATATTAACACCTATAGTATTTAGCTTTTCCTATTTTCCATTTCATCTTAATTTTCTATTTTAATGGGTTATCGAAATACCACTTTATACCCAATTCCCTCAAATCCTTTTATAGAGGTAAACACAGTATGAATATAAATAAACAAAATCCAGTGAGAGAAAATAACATTGTGATCTAAAAACACACGGTATGTATTTGGATTGCCTACCTGAAATAATGCAAAACAAATTGACTCTTCTATTTTAAAAGTAATGCTCTAGACATCCCAGACAAACGCTCTTCCCCAGACTGTGACCCACACTCAGTGGTGTCTCCTGCTACCTGCAGGCTCCTCCTCCTCAGTCCCTTAGAGAAGCTCCTCTTCTGCCTGTAGAAGCTGGCAGGCTTCCCTTATCCCTCTCCTCTGTCTACACTCCCTGCTTGGTGACATCATCCTGCTTCATAGCTTTAAATACCATTTACACAATTAGGATTCTCAAATCTGAGTCACCCAGCTCCTTCCCTTAATTCCAGATTTACATATCCATCTCCATCCTGAACATTTCCACTCGAGGAGATAACAATTAATTAAACTCTGTAAGGATAAAATTGAACTACTGACCCCTTTACCAACACCACCAACCCCAACCAGACCTGCTCCTCCACAAGCTGACCATGTCTTATTAACTCCAGTCTGACCACCTCCTCCAAGCTGCCATCACGTCTTTCCTGGGCAGCTGCAATGGCCTGTTCTCCACGTGCAGCCACAGTCATCTTGTTAAAATTTAATTTAGTTCCTAGCATCCTCTGGTTAGTGATTCCCTCCCAAATAAAGTAACACCTAAACCTCCAATGGCTTCCTCCACAAATAGAGTAAAAGCCAAACCTCTTGCTGGAATTTGCAAGGCCCTGCATAGTAAAACACCTCCAAGCCTCTACACTCATCCTTTACCCGCCTCTCCTCCTTACTACTCATCCTCCCACCAGCTTTTCCGTCTCTCTCTCTGTCTCCCTCTGCTGGGCTCCTTTCTCTCCGTCTGGACATTTGGTTGGAATATTCTCTCATCACTTTGTTCTCACCTCAAATATCACCCACTGGGAGAGGCCCCTCCCTGACCACCCTAAACCTTCCCGGATTACTGTCTAAGCTATGACTCGGCCTCTCCAGCAGCCCAGCACCCACATCTACCATGAGAGCTAAAGACGCAGGGAAGCAGGTGCTCTCTCTCCCATCCCCCGGGGCACTAGAACATGGAGCAAGACTTAATGATCCAAGCACACAGAGGCTCTGCTGCCCCCGGGACTCCCACTCACAGGAGCTGCCCTCAGATGGAGGGTCTGAAGCTGCCGCAGGTTGCACAGAGTTGAGGGTTGAGTGGTGAATAGTTTCCAGCCTTGGCAGTGTGGTGGGGGCAGGGCACCTGCAGGGGCATCCTGCACTAGTTGTTGCTAGAACAGTATCCTGGCTGCCCCGGCTTCCTTTGATGCTGATCAAGTCTTCTAGCTGATTCCGTCAGCCCCCTCATAGGACTCCAAATGTCCTTGTCTAATAGCCGAAGTTCTGATATACATTGTTCGCTACCAAGGACTCTGACTGGTTCGTACTTATCACCACCTGAAATGATCTAATTCACATTGATTCTCTCCTTTCTTATTAGCAAAAGTTCTAGTTTTGTTTAACTTGACAAACTACTCACAATACTCACCCTCACCGACACAGTTCTAGCCAGTGAAGCAGATGTGAAGTTTTGCTAAGTATTTCAGATTTTTTTCATGAAATAGACACTGCTTCTTTCTTCTTCCTCCTCCTCTTTTTCCCCATTCTACTCCTTTTTTCCTTTCCTCCTACTCCTGTTCATCTTTGTCTTTGCATTCATCTTTATTTTCTTATTTTCCTGCCCAAAATGTGGGTGTGAGGTTGGAGTGCCTCTATCTCGTGCCCATGAGAGGAAAATTATCATTAATTCAACAGACATTATTGAGAGCCTACAATGTTCTCAGCATCTCAGGGCACAAAAAGACAAAGCTAGAACTCACATTCTCCTGGGACATGGGTAGCAATAAGCAAATATACTAGGTAAATGATACAGTATGCTAGATCCTGATAAATACTGCAGGGGCAAGGGAACAGGAAAAAAAGACTGGCTGCTTACATGTTTACTATCTCTCTCCCACTGTAAAAGATAAACTTCTTGGGGGCAGAAAATGAGCCTTACTAACACTGAGTCACAGTAAATAATAGGTTCTCAATAAACAGTTGTTGATCGACAGGTTGAAATGAGTCTAAGTCTCCCATAAACAGAAATATCTTGTATTTGATGTGCTCCCTCACAGCCCCTAAGAGACTCATGTAGAACTTTTAAAAAGATACCAATTTATATTAAAATTCTGTAGAAAGCAAGATAAAAAAGTTTTGAAAGGATTTTGAAAGGAAACTGATGCCAAGATCTAAATCTATATATCTCTGATTCATCCGTTTGAATTCAGGCCAGAAGCATCTAAAATGAACTAAATCTGGCAGCAGTAAGTTATCTAACATTTTATAAGAACAAACCCCTCCACGGTTGTGTTTCTGGGTTATGCCCTGAGAGGCCTCAGGTCAAGTCCCTGCTTGCAGTTGTCCATTCTTGGAGCAAACATCAAACTCCATCAGAACCGGGCTTCCTCCCAGGTGTCCTCGTTCCCCACTGCCATTGCACAGCCAGTGGCCTTTCCTTCTTTCCCAGTGAGAAGATCAGGATTAGGATTGAGGGTGTGCTCCAAGCTGTTCCATGATTGCAGGGCACTGAGCACACTGGAACCAGGAGCCCCTTCCTCTGGCTTTTCCAGTATTTTCCATATTCTGCTCACCCAGACGGCTGGCAGGTTTGCAACCGCACCCTTTCCTAATGATGCTTCAGTCAGGTGAAATAAAACACACGGCCTCCAGTAGACCAATTGGAAATGAGAATAATAGAGATCAACTAAACTGTATCTAAACTCAAGGCTATCCAACTTCTTCCAATATCTGGTTCTTTTACCAGAATTACAAAGAACCAATCAGCCTAGCACAAACCCAGACACACATGGTCAGTGCTTAATAAAAAGCTACTTGAGGCTAGGTACGGTGGCTCACGCTTGTAATCCCAGCACTTTGGGAGGCTGAGGTGGACAGATCACGAGGTCAGGAGTTTGAAGCCAGCCTGGCCAACATGGTGAAATCCCGTCTCTACTAAAGATACAAAAAATTAGGCATGGTGGCAGGTGCCTGTAATCCCAGCTACTTGGGAGGCTGAGGCAGGAGAATCACTTGAACCTGGGAGGCGGAGGTTGCAGTGAGCCAAGATCGCGCCACTGCACTCCAGTCTGGGCGATAGGATGAGACTCCATCTCAAAAAAAAAAAAAAAAAAAAAAAAAAAAACTACTTGAGGAAAGGAGTGAAAGGACCAGAGCTTATCCCCCTAGCCCTGCCTTGGGGCAGCCTAATGACAGTGGTTCATAAGACTGCTTTAAGTCACATACAATAAATGTAAATGTGGAATATAGTAAGTGCTTTGAGGGAATATGGCAAATGCTGAGCCCTTTCCCCTGAGAAGTGCACATCTGAAAACATCTATGAGTATTTCACACAACATATATACCTTCATGGTACATCTGAATCTCTAGAAGTCCTTAGACCGATTTTAAGAACCTCTGCCCAGACGTCACACACATTGAGAGACTCTGTAGAAGGAGGCAGTAGAGGAGGTGGTGGGTATGCAGCAGGGCCGCTGTGCACTGGGGATCACTCCGTCTGAGTCCAGTGAGACAGAACACCCAGGCACAGGCTACATGAAGCAGATTTCTTACTTCTGGATAGACAGGGAGGAAAACCTAAGCCCAGGACTCGTTGCCAGCCAGTCCCCCCATCTCCAGAAAGCCGCTGGGTGGATGGACTTGCATTTGCACATGGCCTACTTGCACTGAAGGTGACGGACCCCAAAGAGCAGCCCACCACGGGCTTCCTATCCCAGGGTCGTGTTGCTCACTGGCGAAAGTGTTCACAGGCACCCTCTCTCTAGAGGGTACTGGGACAGAGCCCTGGCTGTTCTGCCAGTCCCTTCCTACCTCTGAAGGTTGCATACCCGCCACATTCTATATTTATTCTTGAGAACAAGTGAGAAAGCAGGGAGAACTGAGTCAGCCCAAGGCTACCCAGAGAACTGTCCAGCAGCAGGGAACAAAAATGCAGTCCACAATCTGGAAAATCAAGTAGCAAGAATCTGAGCAGCCCAGAGGTCAGGAAGCACCGTGTCCTTGATCTTCCCATCCCATCCAGTGACCCGGGAGGGATCAACTCACCTGTCTGCACTTCCTTTTATGTTCATCTGTAAAACAAGGACAGTTGCAATGGATGATTCTAAGATCCCCTCCAGATCCCAAATCCAATGATACTGTATATTCCTCCTTAAAACTTCACCCCCTGTCAAGCCATCATCAAACTGACAAAGTTCTCTAGGAACCAAAAAAAAAAAAAAAAGTCACTAAAGTCTCTTACCCTTTTAGGAAAAAAAAAATAACATTTCCAAAAATAAAGTGTTCCCTTAAATAGTCATCTGGCTGTCTCGGCACATAGCTGGGATTGTCACTTGAGAATAAATGTAAGAGTCAATCAAGAAACTTCGCAAATAATCCACGTTCTTGCCTCCCACCACCTCTATAAAGCACTCATTATGAAGGCGAACACCATTGTTGCTGCGGTCTGTCTTCTTATGTGGGAGAGATAATTGCAGAGCCACCAATTGTGCTAGTTTGAATTAAGTGGTGTCAGCAACATAACAACAAATTCTGCCCTTAAAGGGTTCCAACTTGTCTTAGAAAGGACACTTAAGGGCCGGGCGCAGTCACTCACGCCTGTAATCTCAGCACTTTGGGAGGCTGAGACAGGCGGATCATGAGATCAGGAGTACGAGACCAGCCTGACCAACGTGGTGAAACCCTGTCTCTACTAAAAATACAAAAAAATTAGCCAGGTGTGGTGGTGCCTGCCTGTAATCCCAGCTACTCAAGAGGCTAGGGCAGGAGAATAGCTTGAACCTGGGATGCAGAAGTTGCAGTGAGCCGAGATCACACCACTACATTCCAGCCCGGGCGACAGAGCGAGACTCAGTCTCAAAAAAAAAAAGAAAAGAAAAGAAAAGAAACTACACTTAAGCTGAAACAGGAGGCTCACCAGCCCCTGACAGTAGTGGTTTAGGCCACATGCTGACAAGATCTGACAAACTCTGTCAAGAAGACACCAACATTAACTCTGGCATGTATAAAATCTCCCTGTCCTCAGGGAAGGATGCTCCAATGTCATCTGGAACAGGGCCTGAAGTCTGGACATTTCCTTATCCACCAAAAAGTCTGCAGCAATGGTTTTAGGCAGCAAGGCAGTTCATGCATGCCCACTGAACATATACTTTTTAAAGACTTTCTTTCTACACAGACACTTTTGAGTGCTAAGACCATTATCCTAACATTAACAAAGATTTACTGCAAAATTTTCTCATCGTGCTTTTCTTCTTTACTGGTAGGTGTTAAGTTGAGACTAAGAGTCTGATTGATTCTCAACGAGGCTTCAGACTCTAAGCTGATGGGGCTTCCCTTCCTATAGGATCCCATCTTGTCACAGAGCCAGCCTGTAAGTAGCACAGTACCCTCTTATAATCCTACAGTGTTATTTCCTAGAAAGAGGGCTCATGGAGCTGATTGCTCACAAAACATCACGTATTTAAGGAATATTAGGGAGTTTCCATTAAAATTTGTTAAGAGTGTAGCTCTCATGTTATATTCCAACCACAATAATTAATTAATTTACTGATTGATTAAAATAAATAGACCAAGGCAGGCATCATTCTTCTAAGGTGAAAATTGGAGTTGTCATGAGATGCAGCCACATCTCTTCTACCTTGTCCTTCTGGGGGCTGACATCACTGCCCAGGGGAGACCATCACCACCATCATGGTCAAGACCAAGGTTGGGGTGAGCTCCTGACTGGTGAGCACAGATTAGGCAGTTCTAGTCTGTGACTCACACGACTCCCCTCCTGCCACCTTCACCAGGCCCCACCCTTGTTCCTAGAGATTACTTGACTCACCTGAGTGGAAGATTCTTTCCACGACCTGCACTCAGAACCATGGACCCAGGACTGTTCTAGGGTCCAGGTTAAAAAACAAACTGCACACAAGGTCCCTGATCCATTCTAGTGGAAGGAGCCCAGCAATGAAGATGTATTGAAATACGGAACAAGATCACATCAGCGAAGGAACAGGAAACAGAGCAGAGGGACCCTGAGAGCATCACAGTGAGGGGTGGAATTATCTGGATGGGAGCTCCAGACCCCATCTGTGCAGACAAGCTGTTTGTGCTAGGACCCTAATGGTTACCTGAGCCCCCTGTGTGATATGTGGACCAAAAATCCCACACAGATGTCCATCAATCTCCCATCTCCACTCCCCAAAATATAGCCTGAAATGACTGTGAGGTTGAAAAAGTGTGGCCTCAGACAATATTCGCCCTCACCTTGGCAAAATGCTGAGCAGACAATCTTGGTTGATGCCTGCTGTAGTGGATAACATAAGTGCTGCCCCCAACACACACAGTTCCCCAGATGGACTAGTTTGGATTGTAAACTACCAGCTGTCCCACATACAGTGACCCTTGTCCTGATCCTGTGTCTCCTCTCTCATCACAACCTACCCTCAATGTGTATCATAAAGGATTTAAACAACTAATTCATACAAAGATGTTACTACTGGTAATAGTGAAGCAATTTGCCACCTAACAGATATATTTGTACTTTAATGCAGAATGTGCCCTACTCCTAAGAAAAAATTATCTCACAGTATAATGTCAGGATTGCAGGCACTGGGTTGTAGCTTCCTGGCACTCCACAAAACACCCTACAGAAAACATTTGTCTTCTGCCAGTAGCATAAAGACTCACTCCATGAATCTTTATCCCTGCATACATAAAACTCCAGCTACAATGCCTCTTAAAGGGAATTTAACCAAAACTGCCAACAGACCAAACTCATTTTTAAGTGCCTTAAGTCAGTGAGTGAGCTGTTCAGCAATATTTATTGACCATCTATGCTTTGACGGGAACTCTATCATGTCCAGTTTTTGACCAGTGCTATGAATATGAAATGCACTGGAATTTCATCATTAAGACACAGTACAATTTCATAAGAGTCCTAGGTTCTGTGAAGGAAACATGTGCTCTATACAATGTAAAGCCTCCAAATAACTTATTTATTTTTCTTCTAAGAGCAATTAAACACAAGCAAAACAAGTTAGAAAGCAGAGGCCTGGAATCTAGAGGTAATTTATTCAGACTTCCTACTCTCTAAGGATAATAAAAGGTAGTAAATCCTAAACTAAACAGAGTCAGCGGCACGGAGCCTTTCAAAATTTATTCTGTTCTAGATTAGTAACGATTAAATCACACAGTGATTCATTCCAAAACACAATGATTTTCAGCACTGCATATGTTTAAAACATTAGTTTTCTCCTTCAGCTTAAAACAAAGAATATGATTTCTTTATTTTCCTCTACAACAGTTCTTAGCTTTTTCTTCTTTCCACAGCTCAGAAAGAGTTTTCTTTCCTGAAATACAACTTCTGCATCCAAAGCAAATAAATTTATTCTTTAACTATATTGGATGAGAATATACGATTTGGCAAATAAAAAACTTTCCATGAAAAAAGCATTGTTGTCTAAGAGTCATCTCCATATTCAAAATTGAGAGATTAATCATTAAATCTAGAGCAAACTAGAGGTGTTTGGTACACTCCTACTTACTGTGCACCCCTCCCTACCCAAAACCACCTTTGCAAAAAGTATAACATTGAATTATGACAATGAAAGAGATCTGATCTAACCAACTCCATCTTGCTTTTAGCCTCCTAACTGCCTGGCTCATTCTTGGCTGTGGGCCAAGATAACTTTGGTCATTTCTGGGTGTAGGCCAAGCTAACTTTGGGAGAAATTTGGTTTAGATGACAATAGCTTCTCCCAAAACTAAACCACCTTTATAAAACTAATAAAGGCTACAAGGTTAGGATTATGAGAAGGGCCTGAATGCTGCTAAGATGTGGGTGTAGTTAAACAATTATCAGCCAGTGTTCTGGAGGTCACAAGATTTGTAACTCCCCCAATTAATCCTGTAAATAACATCACCATTGTAGAACTTAAGATTGGCCTTTTGAGATATCTCTTCAGACTTTTGCATTCTGATGACCAGACGACTCCACGCAGATCCATGACTCATGACTCCACTGCTCCTGTTATCTCCACTCAGAAGCTGGCTCAGCCCATGAGGACCATTTTCCACACCCCTGTGATTGCATCCCCAACCAATCAGCAACACCCATTCCCTAGCCCCCTGCCTGCCAAACTATCTTTGAAAAACCTTAGCCTCCATATTTTCAGGGAGATTGATCTGAGTAATAATAAAACTCTTGTCTCCTGTTGAGCCAGTCTACGTGTATGAAACTCTTTTTGTTTTTTTGTGTTTTTTTTTGAGATGGAGTCTCGCTCTGTCACCCAGGCTGGAGTGCAGTGGCGCAATCTCAGCTCACTGCAAGCTCCGTCTCCCAGGTTCATGCCATTCTCCTGCCTCAGCCTCCCGAGTAGCTGGGACTACAGGCGCCTGCCACCACGCCCGGCTCATTTTTTGTATTTTTAATAGAAACAGGGTTTCACCATGTTAGCCAGGATGGTCTCAATCTCCTGACCTCATGATCTGCCCACCTTGGCCTCCCAAAGTGCTGGGATTACAGGCATGAGCCACCATGCCTGGCCTAAACTCTTTCTTCATTGCAATTCCCTTCTCTTGATAAATTGTGTCTGCCTGGGCAGCAGGCAAGATGAACCCATCAGGCAGTTATACCCCTCTCCTCAGCTTTCTTGATTTCTACTTATTTCCCAACATTTCTACTGGGCCAGCACTGTCCTCCATGAAAAAGTATAAAGAGAAGAGACTGAGTGAAGAAAGCAATAAAGGCTGTGGTCTGTTGTTCAGTACAGTCTTGCAAGGCTCCAGCAAGCAGAACAGCATCCATGACCAAGAGAATGAAGCTGATCAGTAGATGGTGCTGGCCCTGCCTCATTCAGTGCTCCCACTCCAAGCATAGACATCTTTTCCAAGTCCTTCCTCAAGGGTTTGGTTCTTTCCGTGATGCTACTGATGAGAGGAGCCTTTGTAATAGCACAATTCCAAATGTAGGCTTCTCAATAAGTATTAGTAGTAATCAAATTTGTTTCCATTTGAAAGACATTGTATTAGTCTGTTCTCACATTTCTGTAAGGAAATACCTGAGACTTCCCAGCCCTCAGCCACTTCTGAGAAATAAAATTCTCCTTTCCAAATGTATGACCCTCATGATTCTTCAGTGGACAATGACAATAGATGTCAGACCCACACCCTCCGCAGTAATCAGCCAAGAAGGGGCAAGACTTGGACAATAACTGCCAAATGCCTTATTATTTATTTTTGTTCCTCCTACAATTCAGGACCAAACAGAGAAAACCAAGTATGCTCCCAAACTTCAAAAATAAGATGGCCCGACTGTTTGTCAGCTGCCTCCAGCTTCCCCAGGCCAACCAACTCCAACCAGGGCACCCCTGAAGCCTCCCTGCTTTTCTGCTATAAAACTTTCCCAGTCTCCTGACTGCTTTGAGGAATGCTTTGAGGAATGGAGATGGACTTCCTTGCTATGGCAAGCTCTGAATTAATTGCATGTTTGTTCTCATTTGGGTGATCCTCATTTATTTTCACAAGACAGAAAATAGTCACCTGAGCATACTCC
The DNA here is from genome assembly GCF_000001405.40 of Homo sapiens. NCBI lineage: Eukaryota > Metazoa > Chordata > Mammalia > Primates > Hominidae > Homo > Homo sapiens. The sequence goes on from NC_000018.10 coordinate 73,989,326, forward strand.
TCCCCTCCTGTGCCCACCCCCTACTCTGACAACCAGTGTGGGACAGGCCACCCCTTGATTCCGCTCTGGATTGGAAACAGGTGGTAAGTACAATTTCCAAAGCTGGGAGAAAACAAACTCCCAGACAATGAAAACCATACTTTTAAAAGCTGTGTACTGATGAGAAGTCTTACCTAGGTAAGCTCTTGATGTCCCAAATCCAAGACCAGGTATTACCATTGCCACAGATTCCTGAGAATACCAGAGGGCCCTCCAGGTTAAACACAACCTTACTGGCTGGAACTGTGGCTCAAGTGCCTCTCAATTCTCCCATCCTGGTAAAGCCAGAGGGTCCCATAAGATATGCAGGGCCCCATCTGTCCTCCTGGATGAAAGTGAGGCCTGCCATGTGCCCTCCTCACTTTTAGCTCCAACAGGTTCCTACCTGACTTTCAAGATGGGGAGATGTGGGAAGGGCTGTCTCACTGATCTGGCTTCTTTGAAAGCAGGAGCAAAGAAAAGGGATCTAAAGGGGACCCCACAAAGTGGACTAACAGTGCCCTTCACCTCTGCCAGGTGGGCCTCATGTTTTGTAGGTGGGGAGAGAAATAGCCCTGGACTTTTCCCTAGACCAGTGGCTTCAATTTTTTTTTTTACCATAATCCATGATAAGAAATACATTTCATTAATACAGCACAACACAGTACACAGACACACACACACACACACACACACACACACACAATAATTCTTCACATTTTTCATAGATACTTTCTGATAGCTTTAATTTTATTTCAATTTTATTTCATTATTTAAAATAGGCTGGTCATGACATAATAAATTAGCTTCATGACTGTATTAGTCTGTTTTCATGCTGCTGATAAAGACATACCCAAGACTGGAAGAAAAAGAGTTTTAATGAACTTACAGTTCCACATGGCTGGGGAAGCCTGACAATCATGGCAGAAGGCAAGGAGAAGCAAGCCACATCTTATGTGGATGGCGGCAAGCAAAGAGAGTTTGTGAAGGGAAACTCCCCCATATAAAACCATCAGATCTCATGAGACTTATTCACTATCATGACAACAGTACGGGAAAGACTCATCCCATGATTCAGTTACCTCCCACCGGGTCCCTCCCACAACACGTGGGAATTGCGGGAGCTAAAATTCAAGATGAGAGTTGGGTGGGGACACAGCCAAACCATATCAATGACCCACCAATGAGTCACAAGCATCAAATTGAAAAACTATTGCTCTAGGGGATAGAGCCAGTGGCCCAGTGGAACCCTTGGGTACACAAGAGACTAGGTGCCTAAATTAAGCTCATATTGGGTCGAATACTTCTATAAAGGTATAGTATGGAATGTTTTCTTTCCTGCATGTGTAAGTAAAATAACACAGGCACCATTTTCACAAGAGGTTCAATTTGATTGTGAAAAGAAGTTTAATACAGTCCATAATATGCAAACTGAAACATCCTTGATTAAGGAAAATTCCAGAACTTAGCTATTTTACTATAGTGGGATATGATTTATAGGCTACCATTTGGAAGTAAAAAATTACAACTTTATTTCTCTCTTTTTCACCTAAACATCATCAGGCTGCATAGCAGAGAGTAAAGCTGAGAGCCACGTGTTGATCTCAATTAAGGATGTATGGGGCAGAGACAGCCGCCTATCGAAAATTCGTGTTTCCTGTCCTTAGTGTGTGGTTGTGTTGAGGAGGTGACAGGGACCGCTTTTCCTGCTGACAACCCCCACAGCATTAGGTGCAGCCATTTGACTTATGGTCTTGCCAATAAAATGTGAGAGGAAGAAATGTGTCACCTCCAGGCTGGGGTTCTCAGAAGTCCACCCTCTCTTCCCTTCTGCTGGCTGGAGACAGAAGGTCTCAGAGAGGAGGTGCTTGGGTCCCTGGAACACCATGTAGGAGAAAGGCAACTACTACCCCACTATACACACACAGAAGTATGATGGGATCAAGGAAGAAAGGCCTAGTGTGTTAACCTTTTGAAATGTGAGAGTTTATTTGTTGCAGTGAATAGTATCACACTAACTAGCACAACACCTCAAATTTTGCTTGAATACAGCCCCTGCTTTTGCTTCATCCTAGTCTTAGGCAAAAGCCTAGCTTTCAGATTTTCTCCATCCTCCTTCGTATCCTGGTCATCTTCATGTGTAGGGGAATCTGGGGCTGGGAAAGCAGAGGCCCACGCCTCCAGGCCTCCACCAACCTGTTGGTTCACAGTCACCGAGAAGGTCCTGATGGGGCCTCATCTCCCTCCAGTGGGGCCACCTATGCTCTAATTTCTACCTGGACCAACCCCTTGCTACTGTGGTTCTGTGTGGGGCTTCTCTCTCAGCTGCCTCCTGCAACTTCCCCAGGAAGGAAGCAGGTAGGTCCAGGTGTATCCACAGCATAGATCAAGAGCAAGGTGGGGGCTATCCCAGGCACTCTCCCCATCCTGCACGGTCCCCTCCACCTGCTGTAGCCACCCCATGTGGTGGGGTGCATCCCTGTAGGCAGCCCCATCCCAGATTTCCAGATGCACAGTCGAGCAAATGCCACTCTACTTTTAGCTTTCTCATACATTTATTATGGTTTTCTCTCCTTTTGCCAATGTTTCCTCTATTTGAGGGATGAGACTCAAAAAAAATGGAAACAGTACACTAGGATTCATCTCTCTATCACCCCCTTTACCCTCCCAAATCATTCTTCATGCCCAGGAAAAAGTGCAATGTGCCCTTGATATCCCATAGAAACTATTGCTTCATCTTTATCTTCCTTCTTCCTGACCTTACGGACCTATCTGCCATTAGCAATCCCTGACCTCTTTTTCAACACTTAACAGCAGACAGAGTGCAAGCAGAGAATCTGACTTACTGATACATCAAAAAGTACTTTAAAATGATGTTTCCTCTTACACTGAATCTGAAAAAGCATAGGGATGAAGGAGAGACATTTTATCCCTAGCTACTTACATACAGACAGACACATATACCTGCACACAGACACACAATTGCAGTGCAGTGCCTCACAACAGTTGTCACCCTCCAACCCATGAAACGAGTAGTCAGAATTAGGCATTACTAAAACCACGCTGATGGGACTGGAATTATCCCCTGTGACTCATACCACTCTCCTCTTTCCTCAAGGATGGGTAGCCATGACACTCACTGCCCAGTGGCAGACACCTCCCTACACAATGCACCCTGCAACATACCCATTCTGCCTTCCAAACAGTGTCATGACTTTTTCATAGAAAATCCATTGTTAAAGCTCTTTAGAAATAATTCCGTGGCTTGGAGATTCCAACCCCAACTGCTGCTGGCTGTAGGGAACATTGACTGAAATTAGACAGAGCTTAGCATCCAATGGAAGAGACTGTGTGTAGCTCGGACTTCAGTCAAGAAGTACCTCTTTCATCAGCAACCAGGAGGATTTATATAATGGGGAAAGGGTTCATGGCCAGATAGACACAATGAAGCTTTACATGATTCATCCTTCTGGTTAAGCATTCGCATTATGCCCTTAGTGAAGGAGAAATGAAAGTTTACATCAGAACCCCACAGGAAGCTTTGAAGTGTTTTGTAGTAAGTTTCAATTAATCTCTAGTAAAATATAGACACTTCTTCCTTTATGAGTTTAATCATTCTCAACAAATGTTTGTGTCCATTTTGACAAAGTCCCCATGAAAGAACCCTAGTCTCAGTGTTGCCAGCATGTAGATGCCTGACGGGGAGGCCTTCACCTGACTATAATCACAGAGACTCTCAGGCCCCAAAGCAACACAGCAGTTAAGTAGTGAGGATTACTTAATGAAGTTATTCTCCCTGGGTTTGCCGCTCATTATAGCTCTAAAATATGGCACTGAGAACAGGCCTCTGTATGGGAGAATTTGGTAGGAAGTTTATGGACCATATGATTTCCCTTATATTGTCTTAAACATTTCTTATGTCCAAAAGTACACAATAAAGAAAGCATGTCAGCTGATAAATGATATACTAAAAGAGATTTCTCATGGAAAGCTGAGCAACAATATATCTAAAATGGCTTAAATACAATCCTTCCTAAAGACAAGAAGGTGGACTAGATGACTTATTAAAACAACTCTCAACAGTAATACATAAAAACCGTATCAATAAAAATGTCCTATTTTTTAAATGCCCTACAAATAAGATTCTACACGGATTCCTTATAAGTTTCTGTAACATTAAATAACCCTTCCTGGTAGACATTCTGCTTTTAATGTGAGAACGATTCCTAACTTTTTAAAAGGTCATTAATCGTTTTTAATTTTTTTATTTTTGTGTGGTTACATTGTAGGTGTATATATTTATGGAGTACATGAGATATTTGCAATGCAATGTGTAATAATCACATCATGGAGAATGGAGTATTCAGCCCCTCAAGACTTTATCCTTTGTGTTACAAACAATCCAATTATAATCTTTTATTTTAAAATGTACAATTAAATTATTATTGACTATAGTCACCCTGTTTGCTATCAAATACTAGGTCTTATGTATACTTTCTATTTTTCTACTCATTAACCATTCCCACCTTAGCCCTACTGGCCCACTACCCTTCCCAGCCTCTGATAACCATCATTCTATTCTGTATCTCCATGAGACTGGAGTCTCACTTGTTTTGATTTTTAGATCCCACAAATAAGTGAGAGCATGCAAAGTTTTCCTTTTGATGTGTGGCTGATTTTCCTTAACATTATGAACTTTAGTTCCATCCATGCTGTTGCAAATGATAGGATCTCATTCATTTTTTTTTTTTTTTTTTTTGAGACAGAGTCTCACTCTGTCACCCAGGCTGGAGTGCAGTGGCGCGATCTCAGCTCACTCCAAGCTCCTCCTCCCGGGTTCACGCCATTCTCCTGCCTCAGCCTCCCGAGTATCTGGGACTACAGGCGCCTGCCAACACGCCTGGCTAATTTTTTTTGTATTTTTAGTAGAAACGGGGTTTCACCATGTTAGCCACGATGGTCTCGATCTCCTGACCTTGTAATCTGCCCGCCTCAGCCTCCCAAAGTGCTGGGATTACAGGCGTGAGCCACTGCACCCAGCCACATTCTTTTTTATGGCTCATTAGTCCACCATTGTGTATAAGTACGACATTTTCTTTATCCATTCATCTGTTGATGCACACTTAGATTGCTTCCAAATCTTGGCTATTGTGAACAATACTGGAACAAACATGAGAGTACAGGTATCTCTTTGATGTACTAATTTCTCTTTCTTTTGGGTATATACCTAGCAGTGGATTGGTGGATTGTATGGTAGCTCTATTTTTAGTTTTTTGAGGAACCTCCAAACTGTTCTCCTTGGTAATTATAGTAATTTATATACCCACCAACAGCGAAAGGGGTTCTTTTTTCTCCACATCCTTGTCAGAATTTGTTATTGCCTATCTTTTGGATACAGCCATTTTAACTAGGATGAGATGATACCTCATTGTAGTTTTGATTTGCATTTCTCTGATGATCAATGATGTTGAGCACCTTTCCATATGCCTGTTTGCCATCTGCATGTCTTCTTTTGAGAAATGTCTAGGCAAATATTTTGCCTATTTTTTAATTGAATTATTAGATTTTTCCCTTATAGAGTTGTTTGAGCTCCTTATATATTCTGGTTATTAATCCCTTGTCAGATGGGTAGCTTACAAATATTTTCTCCCATTCTGTGGGAGTCTCTTCACTTTGTTGACTGTTTCCTTTGCTGTGCAAAAGCTTTGTAATTTGGTGTGATCCCATTTGTCCATTTTTAATTTGGTTGCCTTTATGGTGTATTACTCAACAAATTTTTGCCCAGACCAATGTCCTGGAGATTTTCCCCAATGTTTTCTTATAGTAGCTTCATGATAGTTTGAGGTCGTAGATTTAACTCATCAATTCATTTTTATCAGATTTTTATATATGGTGAGAGATAAGGGTCTAGTTTCATTCTTCTGTATATGAATATCCAGTTTTCCCAGCACCATTCATTGAGGAAACTGTCTTTTCCCCAGTGTATTTTCTTGGCATGTTTGTTGAAAATGAGTTCAGTGTAGATGTGTAGATTTGTAACAGGGTTTGACTGTGTCCCCACCCAAATCTCATCTAGAATTGTAGCTCCCATAATCCCCACGTGTCATCAGAGGGACCTAGTGGGAGGTAACAAAATCATGAGGGCGAGTTTTCCTTTGCTGTTCTCATGATAGTGAATAAGTTTCACAAGATCTGATGGTTTTATAAATGGGAGCTCCCCTGCGTAAGCTCTCTTGCCTGCCACAATGTAAAACATGCCTTTGCTCCTCCTTCACCTTCCACCATGATTGTGAGTTCTCCCCAGCCATGTGGAACTGTGAGTCCATTAAACTTCTTTTTTTATATAAATTACCAGGTCTTGGGTATGTCTTTATTAGCAGTGTGAAAACAGATTAATACAGTAAATTTGTACCACAGAGAGTGGGGTGCTACTGTAAAGATATCTGAAAATGTGGAAGTGACTTTGGAAGTGGGTAACAGGCAGAGGTTGGAATTTCCTAGACATTTGGAGGGCTCAGAAGAGAGGAAGAAATTTGAAACTTCCTAGAGATTTGTTGAATGGCTTTGACCAAAATGCTGATAATGATATGGACAATAAAGTCCAGGCTGAGATGGTCTCAGATGGAGATGAGGACCTTGTTGGGAACTGGAGCAAAGGTGACTCTTGTTATGCTTTAGCAAAGAGACTGGTGGCATTTTGCCCCTGCCCTAGAGATCTGTGGTACTTGAAAGAAATGATTTAGGATACCTGGTGGAAGACATTTCTAAGTGGCAAAGCATTCAAGAGGAAGCAGAGCATAAAAGTCTGGAAAATTTGTAGCCTGACAATCCAATAGAAAAGACAAACCCATTTTCTGGGGAGAAATTTAAGCCAGCTGCAGAAATTTGTATAAGTAACAAGGAGCAGAATGTTAATTACCAAGACAATGGGGAAGGTGTCTCCAGGGCATGTCAGAGACCTTTGCAGCAGCCCCTCCCATCACAGGTGTGGGGGCCTAGGAGGAAAAAAAAATGGTTTCATGGATACCCCTGCTGTATGCAGCTTAGGGACTTGGTTTCCTGCACCCCAGCTGCTCCAGCTATGGCTAAAAGGGGCCAATGTACAGCTTAGGCTGTTGCTTCAGAGGGTGCAAGCCCCAAGCATTGGCTGCGTACATGTAGTGTTGGACCTGCAGGTGTACAAAGGTCAAGAATTGAGGTTTGGGAACCTCCGCCTAGATTTCGGAGGATGTATGGAAATGCCTGGATGTCCAAGCAGAGGTGAACATCCACCTGTCCTCTGCTGCAGGGGCAGAACCCTCATGGAGAACCTCTGCTAGGACAGTATGGAAGGAAAATGTGCAGTGGGAGCCCCCACACAGAGTCCCTACTGGAGCACTCCCTAGTGGAGCTGTGAGAAAAGGGTCACTGTACTCCAGACCCCAGAATGGTACCGATAGCTTGCACCATGCACCTGGAAAAGCCTCAGACACACCACCAGCTTGTGAAAGCAGCCAGGAGGGGGGCTGTACCCTGCAAAGCAACAGGGGTGGAGCTGCTGAAGACCATGGGAACTCACCTCTTGCATCAGCATGACCTGATGTGAGACATGGAGTCAAAATAGATCATTTTGGAACTTTAAGGTTTAATGACTGCCCTATTGGATTTCGGACTTGCATGGTGCCTGTAGCTCCTTTGTTTTGGCCAATTTCTCCCATTTGGAACAGATGCATTTACCCAATGCCTGTGCCCTTATTGTATCTAGGAAGTAACTAACTCGCTTTTGACTTTACAGGCTCATAGGCAAAAGGGATTTGCCTCGTCTCAGATGAGGCTTTGGACTGTGGAGTTTTGAGTTAATGATGAAATGAGTTAAGACTTTGGGGGACTGTTGGAAAGGCATGATTGGTTTTGAAATGTGGGGACATGAGATTTGGGAGGGGTTGGGGTGAAATGATATGTTTTGGCTGTGTCCCCACCCAAATCTCATCTTGAATTGTACCTCCCATAATCTCCACATGTTGTAGGAGGGACCTAGTGGGAGGTAATCGAACCACGGGGGTAGGTTTTCCCATACTGTTCTCATGATAGTGAATAAGTCTCATGAGGTCTGATGGTCTTATAAAGGTGGTTCCCCTGCACACACTTTCTTGCCTGCCACCATGTAAGATGTGCCTTTGCTCCTCCTTCACCTCCACCATGATTGTGAGGCCTCCTCAGCCACGTGGAATTGTAAGTCCATTAAACCTCTTTTTCTTTATAAGTTACCCAGTTTCAGGTATGTCTTTATTAGCAGTGTGAGAACAGACTAATACAATTTGTTTCTGGTTACTCTATTCTGTTCCATTAGTCTGTGTGTCTTTTTTTTTATGCCAGGACCATGCTGTTTTGATTCCATCACTCTGCAGTATAATTTGAAGTCAGGTAATGTGATTTCTCATTTTGTTCTTTCTGCTTAGGGTAGAGTTGTCTCTTCTGGGTCTTTTGTGGTTCCATATAAATTTTAGCATTGTTTTTTCTACTTCTGTGAAGAATGTCACTGGTATTTTGATAGGAACTGCATTGAATTTGTAGATTGCTTTGGACTATGGACATTTTAACAATATTGATACTTCCAATCTATGAACATGAAATGTATTTCCATTTTTTGGTGTCCTCTTCAATTTCCTTCATCAGTGCTTCATAGTTTTTATTACAGAGATCATTGACTTGTTTGGTTAATTCCTAGGTAGCTAATTTTATTTGTGGCTATTGTAAATGGGATTACTTTCATGATTTCTTTTTCAAATTGTTCACTGTTGGCATATAGAAATGCTACTGAATTTTGTATGTTGATTTTGTATCCTGCAACTTTACTGAATTTATCAGTTCTAATGGTTTTTTGTGGCATCTTTAGGTTTTTTTCAAATATAAGATCACATCATCTGCAAACAAGGATAATTTGACATCTTCCTTTCCAATTTGGATGCCCTGTATTATTTATTTGAAGTTTTTTGCCCTGTATTGTTTATTTGAAGTTTTTCTTCTTATTTGATGTTAGGCACTTATAGCTATAAAATTCCCTCTGTGCACTGCTTTTGCTGTATCCCATAGGTTTTGGTGTATTTTGTTTCCTTTATCATTTGTTTCAAGAAATTTTTCAATTCTCTTCTTAATTTTTTTATTGACCCACTGGTCCTTCAGGAGCATATTATTTAATTTCCATGTTCTTATATAGTTTTCAAAATTCCTCTTCTTCTTGATTTCTAGTTTTATGTCATGTGGTCACTGAAGATTCTTGATTTTATTTCAATTTTTTGAATGTTTTAAGACTCGTTTTGTGACCTCACATATGACCTATCTTTGAGAATGATCCATGTGCTGAGGAAAAGAATATGTATTCTGCAGCCATTGGATGAAATGTTCTGTAAATATTTATTAAGTCCATTTGGTCTATAGTTCAGATTAAGTCTGATGTTTCTTTGTTGATTTTCTGTCTGGAAGATCTGCCCAATGCTGAAAGTGGGGTGTTGAAGTCTCCAGCAATTATTGTATTGGGGCCTATCTCTCTCTTTAGCTCTAATAATATTTGCTTTATATATCTGGATACTCCAGTGTTGGGTGCATATATATTTAAAATTGTTATATCCTCATGCTGAATTGACTTCTTTATCATTAGATAAGAAGAGACCTTATTTGTATTTTATACTTTTTGTCTGGAAATCTATTTTGTCTGATATAATTATAGCTACTCTTGCTTTTTTATTTACATTGGTATGGAATATCATTTTCCATCCTATTATTTTGACTCCATGTGTGTCTTTACAGGTGAAGTGTGTGTGTCTTGTAGGCAACAGGTCATTGGGTCTTGTCTTTTTATCCATCCACCCACTCTAAGTCTTTTGACTGGAGAGTTTAGTCCATTTACAATTAATGTTATTATTGACAATTAAGGGCTTACTCCTGCCATTTTGTTATTTGTTTTCTGGTTGTTTTTTTGGTCTTCTATTCCTTTTATCTTTACTTCCTGTCTTCCTTTTCATGAAGGTGATTTTCTCTGGTGACATGATTTAGTTTCTTGCTTTTTATTTTTTTTGTATCTGTTGTATGTTTTTTCAGTTTGAAGTTACCCTGAGGCTTGCAAATACTATCTTATAACCCATTATTTTAAGCTAATAACAACTTAATACTGTTTGCATAAACAAACAAAAAGAAAACTAAAACATTATGCCTTAACTTCATCCCCACTTTTTATCATTTTATTGCTTCTACTTATATATTATTGTACTATGTGTTGAAAAGTTGTTGTAGTTGTTTTTTATTGGTTCATTTTTAGTCTTTCTACTTAAGAGTAAGAGTAGTTTACACACCACAGTTACAGTGTTATAATATTCTGTGGTTTTCTGTGCACTTACTATTGCCAGTGAGTTTTGTACCTTCAGATGATTTCTTATTGCTCACTAACATCCTTTTCTTTCTGATTGAAGTACTCCCTTTGGCATTTCTTATAGAATAGGACAGATGTTGATGAAATCCCTCAGCTTTTGTTTGTCTAGGAAAGTCTTTATTTCTCCTTCATGTTTGAAGCATATTTTCAACAGATATACTAGTCTAGGGTGAAGGTTTTTTTCCTTCAGCACTTTAAATATGTCATGCCACTTTCTTGGCTTGTAAATTTTCCACTGAAAAATCTGCAGCCAGATGTATTGGAGCTCCATTTTATGTTACTTGATCCTTTTCTCTTGCTGCTTTTAGGATCAAAGGATCCTTTGACCTGGATCCTTGACCTTTGGGAGCTTGATTATTAAATACCTTAAGGTAGTCTTCTTCGGGTTAAATCTATTTAGCGTTCTATAACCTTCTTGTATTTGGATGTCGATATTTTTCTCTAGGTTTGGGAAGTTCTCTGTTATTATCGCTTTGGATAAATTTCTACCCTTATCTCCATCTCTACTTCCTCCTTAAAGCCAGTAACTCTTAGATTTGCCTTTTTGAGGCTCTTTTCTAGATCCAGTAGGCACACTTCATTGTTTTTTATTCTTTTTTCTTTTGTCTCCTCTGTGTATTTTCAAATAGCCTGTCTTCAAACTCACCAACTCTTTCTTCTGCTTGATCAATTCTGCCATTAAAAGACTCTGATGCATTCTTCAGTATGCCAATTGCATTTTTCAGCTCAAGAATTTCTGCTTGATTCTTTTTAATTATTTTAATCTCTGTTAAATTTACCTGATGGAATTCTGAATTTCTTCTCTGTGTTATCTTAAATTTATTTGAGTTTCCTCAGTACAGCTATTTTGAATTTTCTGTCTGAAAGGCCACATATCTCTATTTCTTCAGGATTGATCCTTGGTGCCTTATTTAATTCATTTGGCAAGGTCACGTTTTCCTGGATGGTCTTGATACTTGTAGATGTTTGTCTATGCCTGGGCACTGAAGAGTTAGGTATATATTATAGTCTTCACAGTCTGGACTTCTTTGTACCCATCCTTCTTGGGAAGGCTTTCCAGATATTTGAAAGGCCTTGAGTGTTTTGATCTAAGCTGTATCTGCTTTAAGGGGCATCCCAAGCCTACTAACACTGTGGTTCTTTCAGACTCATAGAGGTACGACCTTGATGGTCTTAGATAAGATCCAGAAGAAATCTCTGGATTACCAGGCAGTGACTCTTGTTCTCTTTCCTTACTTTCTCCCAAACAAATGGAGACTCTCTCTCTGTTCTGAGCCACCTGGGGATGCGGTTAGATTGACCCAAGCACCCCTGTGGCCACCAGCACTAGGACTATGCTGGATCAGACCTGAAGCCAGCACAGCATTGGGTCTACCCCAAGTCCTGCTGTAACCACTCTTTGGTTACTGCCTATGTTCACTTAAGTCCCTGGGGCTCTATAATCAGCAAGTAACAAAGCCAGCCAGGCCTGTTTCCTTCCCTTCAAGATGAAAAGTTTCCCCAGGCCCCAGGTGGGTCCAGAGTTGCCATCCAGGAGCCAGGGACAAGAGTCAGAAACTACCCAGTGTTCTATTGAACTGCAGCTGAGCTGGCACCCAAACCAAAAGATGCAGCCCTTCCTACTTTTTCCTCCCCTTTCCAAAGGCAGAGGAGCCTCACCCCGTGGTCACTGCCATCATAGGTCCATGGGGAGTACTGCCAGACTACCACCAATGTTCCCTTAAGGCCCAAGCAAGGAGCTTGCGGTAAAGCCTGGCTTGGGACTCTTCTTTTAGGGCAGTGGGCTCCCCTCCAGCCCAGTGCAGATCTGGAAATGCCATCTAAGAGCTAAGCCCTAGAATTCAGTACACCAAGAGCCCGCTTGGTGCTCTATTCCCCTATGGCTGAGCTGGTACCTAAGGTACAAGATAAAGTCCCCTTACTTTTTCTGTTTTTCTCAAGCAGAAGGAGTCTCATCTGTTAGCCAGCACAGCTGGAAATGTGTTGAGTCTTACCTGAAGGCAACAAGTCTCAAGAGTCTCACCCAAAGGTGATGTCCTCAGTGTAACCTGCTTATTGCTGCTGGTTATTCAGGGCCCAAGGACTCTTCAGTTAGCAAGAGATAAATCTTGACAGAACTAGGTCCTTCCCTTCAAGGCAGCAGGTTCCTTTCTGGCCCAGCATGTATCTAGACATGTCATCCAGGAGTTAGGACCTGGAAAGAGGGCCTCATGAGTTTGACTGGTGTCTTATCTTGCTGTGGCCTAGCTGGTATCAAAGATGCAAGACAAAGTTTTCCCCACTGTTCCATCTTTTCTCCTCAAGCAGAAGGAAGGGGTCTCTTTTGAAGCTATGAGCTCTGCAGCTTGAGGTTAGTGGAGGGATGATGCCAGCCCTCTCTTATCTGCCCTGGCTGGTATCTCAGTAGGTCATGTGCCCTCCCACCCTGAGTCCATTGTCTCTGGGCCCATTTCAGCACTACGACTCGCCTAGGAGTTGGAGTCCTTGTGGCCTAGGCTGCCTTTCAAGTTTATTTCAGGCTTCAGAGTACTTTAGCCTGCAGTGGTGAGGCTTGCAGGAACTCTTCACCCACTTGGATCAGCAATTCCCCTCTGGCTAGGGCTGGTTTAAATGCTCCTTCCATGGGTGGGCATCTGCTGAGTTTGGTCTGGCTTTGCCTTCTGTTATGACAGGACAGCACTAAGTTCAATGCCTCACACTTACCGCACTCTCCCCATCCCCAGTGCACAGCAATGTCCTCTGTACCACACTACCATGGCCAGGGTGGCATTGACAATTCAAGACTGTTTTTCCTACCTCCTTAGTGCCTCTTTCAGTGATATGAAGTTAAAACCAGGTACTGCGAGTGCTCACCTGGCTTGTGGTTCTTATGAAGGTGCTTGTCATGTGTTGATGATGTTATATCGATGTCCTTGCAAAGGAAATGACTGGTGAAGCCTTCTATTCCACCATCTTACTTTGCCTCTCTCCCAGGTCATTGATCTTGTTGAGAACCTTTTGACAGCCATGAACATCTTGCTCAGTGTGGTAGACTAATGTACAGACACACAGACACATTTTGATTTAATAAATACAAATAAATATTCATAGCCTAATTATAAAATATATAGAATGATTATTATGGGTTGAACTGTATTCCTCAAAATTTGTATGTTGAAGTCTTTACCCCCAGTACCTCAGAATGTGACTTTATTTGGCAATAGGGTCTTTCAGAGGTTATCAAGTTAAAATGGGATTATTAGGCTGGACCCTAATCCAATATTCCTAGTGTCCTTTATAAAAACGAAAAATTTAAACACCGAGATACACATAGAGGGAAGACAATGTGAACAGACATGGGAGAAGGTGGCCATCTACAAGCCAAAGAGAGAGGCCTGGAACAGTCTTCCCTCGCAGCTTCACAAGAAACCAACCCTGCTCACACCTTGATCTCAGACTTGGAGCCTTTGGAACTATGAGACAACAGATTTCTGTTGTTTAAGCCAACAGTTTGTGGTACTTGTCAGGGCAGCCTTAGAAAATACAGTAATTCTGTGAGACTCTTCAGGTTGGTATGTGTACCTGGAGCTCGTTCTTGCTGCTGTCTGAGTACACTGAATTCTATTTGTCCATTCTGTTGCTGGTGGGTTGTTTCCAGTTTTGCAGTGTTCAGTGATACTGCTGTGGACATAGTAATATATGCCTCATGGTACGTATATATGGGCATCTCTGTGATGCCCAGGACTGGATGCAAATTGCTCGGAAAGTGGATGTTCCAATATATATAGCCACCACCAGTGTATAAAATGGTTTCCTCTGCTCCTTAAACTTTCCAAAACTTGATATCATCAGAATTTTCCATTTTTACTTATCTTCTCAGTGTGAAATTGTAACTCATTAGACAGATTCATTGATTGATTTCCATGTGATATTACCACCATTTTCCATTGTGTCTTTTGTCATTGATTTTTCAAATTGTAAACTTTTTAAAAAATCAACTTGAAAAAAAATCAGGTAACATGATGTGATGTTGATATCTTATATTTCAAAAGTTGTGGTTTATGAGATGAGCATGGTTCCAAACTGGAGTTGTTAGCAGCCTTTCCAACACTGTCCACGCCCTGTGTTCCCCAGAGTGTCTAGTTATGCAAAATTGTAAGTTCAGTGTAGCAGTCACAATTACAGATGCAGACCTGAGTTGGAGATTTTGTGGGAAACAGGTACTATGCCAACACAGTTCTAGATTGATAGTGAGTGTCGATTCATGTTTATGGCCATAATATTGGGTCATTTTTCTAGTGATTCTTCATTAATAGTAAAACATTATTATATAACCATTATAAATATCCTTTTTGGACAATGTCATTCTTTGGATATAGTCATCTCATAACAACATTTTGAGGTAAGAAGAAAAATTGCTCTTAGATCCTTAAGTGAGCTGAAGCACACAGATAGGATTTAATTTCCCACAGGTCAACCTGCAGGTCAGGGTAATATTTAAAATAGAAACAAAATGTCTAAAGCCCCATGGCTGCCCCATCCATTAAACAATACCAGTTTCCTTGCTAAACATTAGCCTTCAATTCTCTCTCAAAAGACATACAGTTATTACACACTTCATCTAGTCTTCTTGACATGAACTTAAACTTGTAGGATCAATATTTTAGAGATGAAAGAAGCTTTAGAAATTACCCTAGTCTGATCTTTCTCATCTTAAATATTACAAAAATGAAACAGAGAAAATGTCATTCCTAAAACCATATAGCTATTCAGCTACAGAACCAAAATTAAAAGCTGGGTGTTCTAAGTCCCAAATCTGGATATGAGCTATACACATGATGACTTGTACAATTCAGACTGTGTTCCGAGCAGCCCAGCATTCTGCAATTAATACCTGTAAGAGGAAACGTTGGTTCTCTGGACAGGCCTACATAGCCCTAAGTAAATATCACCTAGTGGTGGAGATTGAAGAATTTCTCTCCCCAAGAAATATCATAAGACCAAAGAATATTTTTCTGTTTGAACAAAGAAATCTGCTGAGTTGAGGTTATTGATACAATATCGTAAATAAAATGATGTGCAATATCACAAAGCTCAAAAAAGCACAAAAATATACAGGAGGTCCTGCTATGTCAATTGCATATCAAAGCTCTAAGAAAAGATGGCCTGTGAAGAAGAAAAAGACATTTTTCTTGAACACCTGCTAGGTGAGCATTGTGCTAGTTACTTTACAGACCTTGTCTTATTTTGATTATCCCCACTTCATGTATGATGACATTGTAACAGCAAATGTAAGTAACCATCCCAAATGCACAGAAAATAATAAAGTTGGAATTCAAATCCTATTCTAGTGTCCTCATATATGCAGTTATAATTTGGTGTAGTGAATGTTTGGGGTCTGCTTTGTTTTGTTTTTGATGATGATAAAGCAGAAATGCAGTGTAAACAATTTGAAGGAGACAGCATAAAGGAAAAAAAATGTAAATCTGCAATTACACCACCCAGAGAGAACCACTTTTAATATTGTGATATAACTTGCACTTGAGCATCTGCAAAGATGGCTGCTATCAATTGCTTCTCTCCCTGAAGATGCAAATCCTCTGCCTTCCTCTGGCATCTGGCCTGTGGCTCATCTTGACCAATGGAAAATGGCAGAGGTGATGCTATGCCAGCTTCAGTCTGGCCTTTGAGAGATCTAGCAGCTTCTGTCTTTTCTCAGGGGAAAAAACCAACTGCCACTTAAGAACTCTGACTACCCAAGACCACCTTGCTGTTAGGAAACCTCAGCCACCCATGTGGAGAGAGGCATGAAACAAAACGGAAGTCCCAGACCTGTGAGTGAAGCCTTCTTGGATCCAGTAGCCCAGCCCCACCCCAGTTGAATATGATGCAGTGAGGTACCCCAGCCAAGCCCCTAGAGCAGAGGAACCCCATCCCCAGCCACCGCCGGAGCCCAGTCAAGCCACAGAATCATGAGAAAGAATAGATTTCTGTTGTTTCAAGCTACCACATTTTGCAGTAGTTTGTTACATAGCAATAACTAAGACTAATAGATAACTAAGGCTTCATCCTCATAGATATTCTCTGTATATATGGATGTATGTTTCTATGCATATTCAAAACCATTTTGTACTCTGCTTTTCTTATTTAGAATCACTTTCACTTTCAGTGAATATTCACATTCTTCTGTAACTTGACTTCTTAGTGGCCACAAGGTATCTACTCATCTGGAGGTATCATAGCTCATGGAAGGGTTCCATATTGTTGGGCAGTTGGTGGCTTCTCCATTTTCCTTATTATACCTGAGACCTGCCATGAGTGTTCGTCAACACAAATCTGTGCACAAATATCCCACTATATTCTTTGGATGAATTCTGGGCATGTTATTTGAGCGTTAAAGCACTACATATTTGTATGGTTCTGGCCAAATTGCCCTCAACAAAAACTCTCCAATTACAGTCCCCCCAGCTGGGAACCAGCACTCTACTCTCTTCACACATGATCTAGCAACACCAGGTACTTTTCATTACTCTATTCCAATTTGGCAGATGACAAATGGATTCTCACGGTTGTTTTAATTTTCCTTTCACTAATGAGGGTTAGACCTTTCCTCGTGACGGTGCGATGCCCACGCTCCGCACTTGGCTGCCTTGCCTGCAGAACCACGCTGTACATAACACCGTCTGACAGTCAAGGTTAAATGAACAAAGCTACTATGAAAACTACATGATGGAAAGAATGTTTTTAATATATGGATGACAGGAATAATTTTATCATAGGGCCTAAAGAGTCATAATCAATTTCCCTGACAGAAGAATTTCACAATCCATTGATTTAGAATCGCCTGGATTGGTGATGACATTTCTAGGGCACTTGTACCTGCCACTCATCTTTGTTACCTATGTTTATAGGAAACTGTAAATCATTTCTTGAGCCAACCACTAATTGTGAAAATAAATTTCAACCTGATAAAACTTCAGAGACAATTATTTTATACTATAAATTTTAGTTAAGAGAAACTAATTCTCAAATTTCTCTTCCACACAAGTAAAAAAAAATTTTTTTAAGACGAAATCTCACTCTGTCACCCAGACTAGTGTGCAGTGGCGGGATCTTGGCTCACTGCAACCGCCGCCTCCCAGGTTCAAGTGATTCCCCTGCCTCGGCCTCCCAAGGAGCTGGAATTACAGGCACGTGCCACCATAAGCAGCTGATTTTTGTGTTGTTTTTAGTAGAGATGGGGTTTCACCATGTTGGCCAGGCTGGTCTCAAACTCCTGACCTTGGGTGATCCACCTGCCTTGGCCTCCCAAAGTGCTAGGATTCCAGGTGTGAGCAACCATGCCCAGCCCTAAATTTTTAATTAAATATGTCTAACCCTCAACAGGTATTATAGGTGAAAAGTCACCCTTGGCACCAAAAGATCATCAAACAAAGAACAGGTCTAAGCAAACATCATTTATAATGTGACATGCTATAAAAACAGAATTTATTAAAATAACAACTTCATTGAAAATGTTTATTTAGTTTTACTTATTTGAGATAAGTGACAGGAAATAAGAAAATGGCTTAAAAGTTTAGATATTTAGATTCCACATGGAGTTATTATCTTACAGAATGTCACAAATATAATTTTAGAATTAAGTTGCATTTTCCCCATTGTCATTAAGAAGAAAAGCAACTTACTTTTTGCTCACTTTCCTTGTAGGTTTTTATTTCACTTATGGTACTCCCCTCATCAACCCGTTAAATATTTCCCCCAGGTTCTGCTTTTGTTCTCTTCTTTCAGCCACTATTTATTATTTGTGTGCTGCGTGCTAGAAATCGGGCTAAACTCCTCGCAGACATCAGTCTTCGCGGATGCTTAATAACCACAGTAGCCTGAGGTGGGTATGATTGGCCCTGACTGACAAAGGAGGAAATTGAAAGTTAAAGAGGTTAAGTAACCTGCCAAAGTTGTAAAATACTCTCTCTCTCTCTGACTAGACTGGCACCATAAACTCGGTGTCGATATGTAGTGCCAGAGTGCTTCCAAGTCTATGTCTTTAGTCCCAATTCTCTCCGTGCTGCAGCGCCGTGAATCAGTCCCACTAGGAGACATTGCCACTTGCATGTCCCACAGGCACCACCCCGAAAGTGACATGCCTGAAACCCAACCCTAGCCTCTCCTCGCAAACCTGCATCCCATTCTACAGACCTTTGCTGTTTGACATAGACATATGCTAGCTATGTGATGATCCACAATGGAGACCCGAAGACCCTGGGACTCTCCTGTCCCCTTCCCCTGCACACCTGCACTATGTGCTGTGTGCCAGGCCTTGGACATACAGCAGCGGACAATTCTCTGTAAACACAGACCCTGGTGCTAACTCACGTTCTCATGGGGAAGATGGAAAATCCATTGAAATGTACACAAAAGTCATCCTATGAAATGGCATAAAAGCATAGCACAAGATACAAATCGAGGCCAGGCTGTTGTGCAGCAAGGGTGAGGGTGTCAGAAAAGGTAGAGAGTAAGATATGAAGGAAAATGGAAAACCTAACACAGAGGTAGGAGGCTCCAGGTGGGTGGAACAGCATGTGTGAAGTAATCAGAAGTCAGGTTAAAATTGCTGTCGATTCCACCTCTAAAATATCTCCCAAATGGTTTCCCTCACTCAATTTGTAATAGGACTACAGCCTGCCAGCTTGTTCCTGGTCTTCACTTGCTCCTCCTTCAATCTACCCCTCAACACCACTGAAGGAGTCATTTTCCCCACACACAAATCTGGCAGCTTCACATCCCTGCCTGAAAGCCTTGGGTGGCTCCATCACCTCCAGACTCCGGCCCCAGCTCCACCACAGCTGCTGAAGGCAGGCTAGTCACCGCTCAGCAATTCTTCCATGCCTCCCTTCCTCACCCTTAGGGTTTCTGTGTCTTCCCAGTGGAGTTTGTGCTGGATTTCCATTCCTCTTTACTACAGAGGTCACTTTTCCCAGGTTAATTAGCTGTCATTTTGACGTGCATCATTTCAGAAGAGTAATACACCTAGAAATCAAGTTCATCCAAACACCTCGGTGCTGAGGAGGCTTCCTGAGACCTGCACCTCAGAGCCAAAGGACTCCTGCACCCGGATGCTGGAGGGTACGCAGAGCGACAGTGAACTTCACCAACGCTTTGTCCTGGACCCCCACAGGCCACAGTTTCTCTTTCCTTTGCAGTGAGCAGCCTCTGCTGTCCTAAGTCCACAGACATGAGTGTGTAGTTGACCCCATGGAAATGACATTGATAAGTCCATTATCATTACACACACAAACTATTGTGTGTGAGGTTTTTGTTTGTTTGTTTTTTCCACTAGACAGCTAATGTTACATTATGAAGATGATAAATATATGATCAAGATATTATATTGTTTTGGTAGCATAGACATACATTATATTATCAAGATGGCAATTGCCATGGGAAAGCTGAGTTTGTTTTTTTTTATTATACTTTAAGTTTTAGGGTACATGTGCACAATGTGCAGGTTAGTTACATATGTATACATGTGCCATGCTGGTGTGCTGCAACCATTAACTCGTCATTTAGCATTAGGTATATCTCCTAATGCTATCCCTACCCCCTACCCCCACCCCACAACAGTCCCCAGAGTGTGATGTTTCCTTTCCTGTGTCCATGTGTTCTCATTGCTCAGTTCCCACCTATGAGTGAGAACATGTGCTGTTTGGTTTTTGTCCTTGCGATAGTTTACTGAGAATGATGATTTCCAATTTCATCCATGTCCCTACAAAGGACCTGAACTCATCATTTTTTATGGCTGCATAGTATTCCATGGTGTATATGTGCCACATTTTCTTAATCCAGTCTATCAGTGTTGGACATTTGGGTTGGTTCCAAGTCTTTGCTATTGTGAATAGTGCCGCAATAAACATACGTGTGCATGTGTCTTTATAGCAGCATGATTTATAGTCCTTTGAGTATATACCCAGTAATGGGATGGCTGGGTCAAATGGTATTTCTAGTTCTAGATCCCTGAGGAATCGCCACACTGACTTGCACAATGGTTGAACTAGTTTACAGTCCCACCAACAGTGTAAAAGTGTCCCTATTTCTCCACATCCTCTCCAGCACCTGTTGTTTCCTGACTTTTTAATGATTGCCATTCTAACTGGTGTGAGACGGTATCTCATTGTGGTTTTGATTTGCATTTCTCTGATGGCCAGTGATGATGAGCATTTTTTCATGTGTTTTTTGGCTGCATAAATGTCTTCTTTTGAGAAGTGTCTGTTCATGTCCTTCGCCCACTTTTTGATGGGGTTGTTTGTTTTTTTCTTGTAAATTTGTTTGAGTTCATTGTAGATTCTGGATATTAGCCCTTTGTCAGATAAGTAGGTTGCGAAAATTTTCTCCCATTTTGTAGGTTGCCTGTTCATTCTGATGGTAGTTTCTTTTGCTGTGCAGAAGCTCTTTAGTTTAGTTAGATCCCATTTGTCAATTTTGGCTTTTGTTGCCATTGCTTTTGGTGTTTTAGACATGAAGTCCTTGCCCATGCCTATGTCCTGAATGGTAATGCCTAGGTTTTCTTCTAGGGTTTTTATGGTTTTAGGTCTAACGTTTAAGTCTTTAATCCATCTTGAATTAATTTTTGTATAAGGTGTAAGGAAGGGATCCAGTTTCAGCTTTATACATATGGCTAGCCAGTTTTCCCAGCACCATTTATTAAACAGGGAATCCTTTCCCCATTGCTTGTTTTTCTCAGGTTTGTCAAAGATCAGATAGTTGTAGATATGCGGGGTTATTTCTGAGGGCTCTGTTCTGTTCCATTGATCTATATCTCTGTTTTGGTACCAGTACCATGCTGTTTTGGTTACTGTAGCCTTGTAGTATAGTTTGAAGTCAGGTAGCGTGATGCCTCCAGCTTTGTTCTTTTGGCTTAGGATTGACTTGGCGATGTGGGCTCTTTTTTGGTTCCATATGAACTTTAAAGTAGTTTTTTCCAATTCTGTGAAGAAAGTCATTGGTAGCTTGATGGGGATGGCATTGAATCTATAAATTACCTTGGGCAGTATGGCCATTTTCACGATATTGATTCTTCCTACCCATGAGCATGGAATGTTTTCCATTTGTTTGTATCCTCTTTTATTTCATTGAGCAGTGGTCTGTAGTTCTCCTTGAAGAGGTCCTTCACATCCCTTGTAAGTTGGATTCCTAGGTATTTTATTCTCTTTGAAGCAATTGTGAATGGGAGTTCACTCATGATTTGGCTCTCTGTTTGTCTGTTATTGGTGTATAAGAATGCTTGTGATTTTTGTACATTGATTTTGTATCCTGAGACTTTGCTGAAGTTGGGGAAAGCTGAGTTTTTAAGTGAATAAGAATTAAAAAAAAATCCCTTCCCAGGAATGCATTTGTTGTTAAGTTTGATGGTATATTGGCATCCACTTTAGGAATAGAGCTGCCAAGCTGTGGGGGGCAATTAGGTCATCTTTTCCCAGGACAGTTCTAGACCTTCATGGTGCCCTTCTTGCAAGTGGTCTTATTCCAGGTCCCAGCTTTAGGTAGAAAGTGCAAACTGCTTGTGGCAGGACTGAGCCTGCAGAGCACCGCATTCCCCCAGGGGAGGTTCTGTGGACAAGGAGTTGGAAGCTCACCAGTGTCGCTCCTTTCTCCTCTGCCAAGAAGGCAGCTCCCTCATCTCTGGGGCTCATGAAGGGAGGCATGGCCTTCTGCTGTCTCTGCTGATGGAGAATGGGGTCTTGCCACCACCAGAAGCCTCCCTGAGGTTATTGTCTCATATCCTCAGCGCCGTCTGGATCCGGGAGTCCAGGACCACCCATAACCTGATGCCACTCTCCACTGGAGCCCAGGAGACCTCAGGATGGAGAAGCAGGTCCAAGTGACCCCGGCCACCCTGTCTCTCAGCCCTCACAAGAAGAATGCCCCAAACTGTGCTGGGAGAGGCAGACCTTGTCCCTGAGGATAAAGGTAATTTCAAAGGCAAAGTACAATGAGAAGCGACACTTGGCCCTCATAAGAAAGGGACACTTATTTAGGGACACAGACACACACTACCAAGATGGCTCACCTGCTCTTGGAGACCTCTGTTACCTAGTTGTTAAGCCCAAGAACTTCAGTTCTCCACTGAGGAAACTCAACCCATTTCCTTGGGAAGGTCCCAATCCAGGGACCCCTCCCTCTGGACACTGAGGGTATCGCATCACTTGATGCCCGCAGCTGTCAGTCTCAGTGCCCTGCAGGGGTGGGGCAGAGCGAGGGGACAGGAGAGGGATGGATGGATGGGTTTCTATCCTGGGGGAATCTCCAAATGCTGATCCTTCATGGAACTTTCCTTTTCTGTATTTTCACGGATGAACAGTTTCCACAGACCCTTTATGAGTTAACTCCTAAGGTCAGCATGTCTCCTTCAGAGACAGCAAACCCCACACTCGCAATGAGAGAAAAGTATTTTCCTAGTTCGCGGGGTACAGGTTGTGCCCCTAGTGTCAAGGGACCCCCACTGCTGTGCTGAGTCCTGAAGTATCACCAAAGAGCTCGACTCACACACCTGATACTGAGTGGCGGCTCGGTTACCTGGAGAAGGACCGCGGCTTAGATTAGGTGCTTGCTATGGCATGAACCCTCTGAGCAGAGGCCTGGGCCTGGGCCTGGGGAGACAGCAGAGCGCCCTTTCTTCCGGCCTCATCGACAGCATTTGTGGCACAGGCTTGAGAACGAATAGACATCTAAGAAAGACTTCGGTTGCTAAGTGATCAATTACAGCTCTAGGGGAAACTGGAAGACAGAGCTGGACTTGGGGCTCAGATACCTTGAGTGTCACGCAGGACTTCTGCCATTCAGTGACCTTCAGTTGCCTCTTGTGTCCCAAGACTGCTGTGAGGATAAATGAGATGTTTGCGGGATCTGAAAGTGTTGACACAGGGCGGTGCACAGCAAATGATGGTCTCTCTTCTTGTTTTCTATTCGGCTTTACAATCGGGTTAACAATAAGGAGAACACGGTATTCTAAAGTTGCACAATCATTCCAAAAGCAAGTTGTTGTGAAATCTTCAAAAAGAACAAAGGGGCCGGAAGTGGTGGCTCATGCCTGTAATCCCAGCTGCTCGGGAGACTGAGGCAAGAGAATCGCTTGAACCCAGGAGGCTGAGGTTGCTGTGAGCCGAGATCGCGCCACTGCACTCCAGCCTGGGCCACAAGAGTGAAACTCCGTCTTAAAAAAAAATAAAAATAAAAAATGAAGGGGCAGTTTTTGGCTCCCATAATGATGTAGGACAGGTGAGCCCAAAATTGGGGCTGACCGGGGGAGGCCTTGGCTTTGCCTAGGAAAGAATTCAAAGGCGGACAGTGTTGTAAACAGGAACTTTCACTGAAGTGGCCGTGCACAGCCGCGGCAGAGGTGCTGCTCCTTGCAGAGCAGGGCGACCCCATAGGGCAGGGTGTCCCGAGCAGCAGCTCAGGGGCGACCCCATAGGCAGGGTGTCCTGAGAAGCAGAGCAGGGCGACCCCATAGGCAAGGTGTCCCAAGAAGCAGCTCGGGGCGACCCCATAGGCAGGGTGTCCCGAGAAGCAGCTGAGGGGCAGGTCTGCAGTCACATTTTTACCTACTTTCAATTACATGCAAATTAAGGGGCAGATTATAGAAAAATTTCTAGAAAAAGGGTGGTAACTTCTGAGTCCTTTGGCGTTGCCATGGAAACGGTTGGTACCTTCAGGGTGTTGTCATGGCAATGTAACTGACATGGCACTGGTGGGCCTGTCTTATGGAAAGGGGCTTTTGCCTCTTCACCCTTTCAGCTAGTCCTCAATCTGGTCCAGAGTCCAAGCCCTGTCCCTGGAGTAGAGTCCTGCCTTCTACCTCAGTAACACTTAAAACAGATTGGTAAAAATAAAGGATTGGGCACATTTTCAAAAGCATCAAATATGTCAGAAACGGGGAAAACACTGGAGCTTGTTAGATCGTAAAATCTGATGCAGTTTCTAATTGTTCTAATCACACATTTTTATGAGGAGATCAAGTTATTGTCAAAGGAAATTATATCCTGTTAATGGCTTATTAATAAAAATTACATTCTTCAGAAATTGATACACAGGACAGAATTCAATTTGTTCTACAAAATATAACTTTATCATTTGGCTAAAGGTATTCTGATCACAAAATGTCCATAATTCCTGCAATTCTGTTACTTGTTTGAGTCTGAAATTACACTGCTGACATCCCTTTTGTGACAAAAGCACTTTAACAGCCAAAAAATTTTAGAAATGACTGGTAGGTCTCTTTTGATTGGAAGTTTGTTGAATGCAGCTGCAATATTTCTGAGTTAAGTTATGTTCATACGTTCTCATTCTGGCTGGAACATTTCTGTGTTGTTGTGATTGCGATATTGTCCAGCCGGCCAGACTGATGATTAATTCACGTTATTAAGATGACTAACACTCCTTTCAGATGGCAATTGAAAAACCACATCAAGAGAACAGCCTGAAAGTGATTTGACTGCAGATTTGGGAGGAGTAGAGATTATGCAATTGTTCCTTCTGTAACTCAGCAATATTTAGCGGGTACATGTGACATCCTGTAGACCCTTATGGTTTCTTGAGGACCCTGAAAATAGTGGGGAGAAGTCATAATTGCTGGGTTCCCAGGGGTCACATAATGAGACTTTGGCAAACTCAGTCATTAAGAGATAAGCAACTTGCACTCTTAGACTGGCCACAAGTAGGACTCTTGTAGCAAACACTCCTGCTTAGCCCATCCCCTTGTTTAGAATACCCCCCAGCATTCTTTGTGAAGGGGTGGGCTAGCCAGCAAGGTGCCAGGATGGGCATTGGACCCAAAGTGGACTAATAAGATTTTTTTTAAGCCGTAAGTAATGCATACGGTAACTAGCTTGACTTAGCTGCCTCATAAGCTTACATGTTTCAAAACATCATGCTGTACACCATAAATATATACAATGTTTGTCAATTAAAAATAAATAATAATTTAAAAATTTTTTCTCTTACACAGGAGGTACAAGTTCAAGAGATTCACTTACAGCATGGTGACTATACTGAATAACAGTGTATTGTGAACTTGAAAATCACTGGGAGAGCAGACTTTGTGTTCTCACCACAAAAAATTTGTAAGTATGTGGGATAATGTGTATGTTAATTAGCTTGATTTAACCATTTCACAATGTATATGTATATCAAAACATTACACCATAAATAAGTACAATTTTGCTTTTTCAATTAATAAAAGCATTTGAATGAAAAAGAAAAAACTCCACCTGCACTCGATTTTGTTGGGTATTGACTACATAAACTCATACAGAGATGGGGACACATCCTGCACCCAAAGCCACTTCTTTGCCAATGTTATGAGGAAGCAAGAGACAAAAAGCCCATACAGCATCCAGTCTGCACAAATCACATAAAGTGGACACACGCGAGAAACAAGTTTCCTAGGCTCAGAGAGATGAGGAGGACATGAGACCATTCCCAATGACCCCAGGCCCAACTCCTACAGCTATAAGACTCTGTGATATCATTACCATAGATCCTCACTCATCTGGAAAGCCAGGATAACTGTGAAACCCCAGGTACCAATGACAAAGACTCCACTGCCCCCACTATGGGGATCATGCTGTGGGCCCAGGGACCCATGCAGGAAGCCTCTTCCACCATGAGTCTGAAATCACCCTCAGACCCTTTGGCAGCTTAGGGTATAACTGAACTAACTGAATGCACAAATGCATTTTTTTTTAAATCAGGTGATCTTTCACTATTTCCTCTTTTTAAAAATAGAGATGGCCAGGCATGGTGGCTCACACCAGTAATGTCAGGACTTTGGGAGGCCAAGGTGGGTGGATCACTTGAGGTCAGGAGTTCAAGACCAGTCTGCCCAACATGGCAAAACCCCATCTCTACTAAAAATACAAAAATTAGCCATGTGTGGTGGTGCGCACCTGTAGCCCCAGCTACTCGGGAGGCTGAGGCAAAAGAATCGCTTGAACCTGGGAGGCAGATGTTGCAGTGAGCCAAGACTGTGCAACTGCACTCCAGCCTAGGTGACAGAAGGACACTCCATCTCAAAAAAAAAAAACAAAAATAGAGATGATAGTAATATCTATCCACTACTTGTATTGTTACTATTATTACCTCCTTTACAAAACCTGCTCTCATTGCCCAAGATGGAATTCATTTGAATGAACTTTGTTTATATCTCTATAGTAAGAATGGACATTGTGATGGTTAATTTTACATGCCAACTTGACTGGGCCATGGGGTGCCCAGACATTTAGTCAAACATTACTCTGAATATGTCTGTGAGGGGGTTTATGGATGAGATTAACATTTGAGTGGGTAGACTGAGTAAAGCAGATGGCCCTCCCTAATGTAAGCAAGCCTCATCCAATCAGTTGAAGGCCTGAAGCAAATACAAAGGTTGACCTTCCCATGAGTAAGAGGGAATTTCTCCTGCCCAGCTGTCTTCAACCTGGGACATTGGCTTTTCCTGCCTTCAGAGTCAAACTGAAACACTGGCTTTCTGGGTCTTCAGCTTGCCAACTGCAGATCTTAGGACTTCTTAGCCTCCATAATCACTTGAGCCAATTTCTTATCATAAATCTATTTGTGTGTGTGTGCATATATATATATATATACAGTTGTATGCATCCTATTGATTCTATTTCTCTGGAGAACACTAATAGAGATACATTGTATTATAATTCTCTGTATACATTGATTTTCTTCATCAGACTGTGAGACCTTCCATTGCAAGAATTGCCCCAAATGCATCTTTGTAAACACAACACATAGGACAACATCTGGCCCAATAAATGTCGAGTGAATGAATGACTACCTTTCAGATCGCCTTCTGTGGCTGTTAGGAGGAATAAATGTGTATAAGCCCTTTAAAATCAGTACAGCTTCTGAAAAGGAATTTGATCTTTCTCCCTATCAGTCTCCAAACCTATTCTTACTAGAGAAAATAAAATCAATCTAGGAGTTGAGTATTTCTAACCTCTCCCTGCATTCTAGTAATCTTTATTCATTCAAAATATAATTAACAATTGTCTGTTGTATGTGAGACATCATCCCTGGCACAGAGGATGAACAACTGTGACAAGGGTCCTGAGATTCTATTCTAGTGTGGAGGTAGGGACAAACTTAAAAAACAAACAGAGTGATCCATTAATGATAAGCACCAGGAGGGAACAAGACGGGGCCATCTGGGGAGAATGGACTACATTAAATTGCACCATCTTCCCCCACATTGGAGAGCTCTCCTTTTATTTTTATCTGTTTTTGTTTTTTGGTTTATTTTTCTAGTATTTTCTTAGCTCATTTTCAGTTTCTGCTACCTCAGGAAAGAGCTTTAAGCAAACTCAGAATTCATTCAAGTTTATTTTCCTAAAAAATAATTTTGATTGCATCATTCTCTTATTTAAAAAGCTGTGTTGGCTTCTCATTTCCTACAAAGTAATGTCCAAATAATTTATTGGTATCCAAGGCCCTCTACAGTTTGGTCTAAACCTTTCCATCTTGTTAATCTTTGGAAATGCTTGCTCACTTTCACAGTTTTGTTTGTTTGTTTCTTTGTTTGTTTGTTTCAGACAGGGTCTGTCTCACTCCATTGCCCAGGCTGGAGTGCAGTGACATGATCACAGGTCACTGCAACCTCAACCTCCTGGGCTCAAGCAATCCTCCCACCTCAGCCTCCCAAGGAGCTGGGACAACAGGCATACACCACCACACCCAGCAAATTTTTTTTTTTTTTTGAGAGACCAGGTCTCACAGTGTTGCCCAGGCTGATCTCAAACTCCTAGGCTCAAGCAATCCACTCACCTCAGCCTCCCAAAGTGCTGGGATTATAGGCATGAGCCACCATGCCCACTTTCTGTTTCATGTCCCCACCTCAACCCAGCTTTTGCTCACTCCATTGCCCTGACTATACTTCCCATCTTCCTTCCTCTAACCTCATCATAGGTCCCATCTTTTAAGACCCAGATTACATGGTTCTTTAGCACATAGTATCTGCTTAGTCTGAGTTCCTTCCTTTCTAGCTAGAGGAAAACATTTGCTCCTGCAAGTCTTATAGCACTTGGTCCAAACATCCCTTATGATATTTATCTGGCTCTGTCTTGTATTATCATTTTTTAGGAACATGTCACGTCTTTCCATCTGGATTATTATTTCCTTGGGAGGAAGTTGTTTTATTCCACTCTGTTTTTCCTATAGTCCAGTATAAAAGTGCATTCAATAAATGCTAGTTGAAAGATAAATTTGGTGAATAACCAAATGGCCCAGCGAATACAAATGAAGCATCTCAAACTTTTTAAGATTCTTCTACTTCAACTGCTGATGTCATATTTATAATGAGTCTTAGAGAACTCATTCTTCACTCCTTATGGGGTTTTGTAATAAACTGTCACCACAAAAGTGCAGAAAGTGAAGGTAATTTCTTTTTACCAAGAATGATCATTTTAGTGACAATGCAGAAAATTTTGTGCTGTGTATAATTATGAGCTATTTCCAACAACAAGAACAACAAAAAAAATGAGCAATTTTGAAGTTCTCTTTACAGAAGATTCTAAATTTTTGGCTCTAGTGATTCTCTACACAATTATCATGATAGCACATCCTGGCAGTAGGACCCCAGGGGCTCTGAAAGCAGCATAAGGGTTTGAAAGTCATTCCAAGCCTCTGGCTTCGGCACAGGAGCCTGGATAAGCCTTCAGGTGCAGGGAAGGTGCTGGAATTGACCATTCCTCTGCAAAGTGTAGTTGTGAACAGTTCTCCTGCCCTTCTGTTCATCTCAGGGATGCAAACTAAAAAATCGCTTGCATCGATTTGACATCTGACATGATAATACATGGCTTGTCTATGGGACTCTACTTTTCACTGCACAATAGGGGTGCATACTACATTTCATTTAAAATCAAATGTGAAAGATCTCAAACGGTATGCAAATCCAGAAGCTTCTAAGGTATAGCAAGAATCTTGTTGCTGCCTTCTTCTCTCAAAGGTGTCATTTGGATATAGTATTATCAACTTAGAGATTATAGCTATAGTTACCCCAGCAGACATTCATTCTGAGAAAAGCTTTATGGCTTAGCTTTCCTATGCAAAGAAGTAAGTTGAACAGGTTTCCAGCTAACATAATTACTGATTAGCAGTATTTCTGCAGATGTCTCATAAATATAATTTTTTCTACACCTAAACGTGCTAAGCTCTTATCCTACAGACACATAATGACTTTGGAGTTAAGGACACTTTGTGATAACATTCTTAGTAAGTGGTGTGTGATTCAAATTAACAACTGAGCAATGGCCATGTAGAAGGCATTGAGGGAAGTGCCCAGGAGAAAATAAAGATGAGGAGGTCACAGTCTCTACCCATGGGAGCTGATCTTAGAATAGAAGCATTCACCACACAAATGTCCATTACACAGGTAGATTAGACAGGTGAGGCACAGGAGGGATAACGGACTCTGGAGCATGGACAAAAGAGGCATTACCTTCAGCCAGAGGACAGTGGCATTTGCTGTGGCCCTTGGAGAATTATATCAGGATAATAATGGCAAAGAGAACGCTGGAGGGATGGCAACACTGGGGAGCCAGCTCACATGAGGCTGCCTCAGTCTGTGCAGGAGGGAGAGGTGGGAGGAAGTCGTCCAAGGTCAGGCTGAACATGAACACTTTGCAAGCCATGCTGGGAAATGAGGACTGTGTTCTTAAGTCCATGGGAAACCATGGAGAATGCTCTGCAATGATCTCATGTCCTCCAGAAGCAGTATCCAGCAGGCACAGGAAGCACGGGGAGCAGCTGAAGGCCAGTAAAAGCAATCAAAAGCAGTAATGATTCAACTGGAGGTGAATATTAAGTGAAAAATTAGGAGGAGGACTTGAATGGCAATGGTACTGTTTGTGATGTGGGGATAAACTGCTCTTTTTGAATTGCCAGTAGGTTTCTCTTTCCATTGCTGAAGGTAGACTCTGGAGAGTGAAAACACCAAAGCTAGAAAGCTTCCAGCTTTGCTCTTCATAACAGCTTCTGCGTGGGGACATTGCAGGTGTCTGTGCGTACCTTGGTGGTACATTGTAGTCCGCCAGGTGTCAGGCAGGTATCCAAGCCTTGACTTGGGAGATGGGTATATAGATGATGTCATTCCAAGCAGGCTCCTGGGGCCCAGGTGTTAAGCATATTGTTTGGTAAAAGAATGGAAGTGCACCTTTGGCCTGGCAAAGAGGCGTATGGCTTAGTTTTGTTTGTTGGTTTCTTTCTTTCTAAATACCAATTAAGGCAGGACTATCCATAACATGTCAGTGCATGTGCACACACCTGTGGGTTACACGGGCACACATGCCTGACCACGTGCTCACAGGAGCACACCTTAGCAGGAGAGTCACATTGTTTCTACACCTCAGTCTGAAGGGAAGACCAGAAACAATATAGGACTTAGCACAGAACCATTGGAACTGGATGTCCCACCCATGGGACTGTGCTAGAATTCTCTTAATCAAACTCCAGTGTTCAACTCTGCAAATTGTCAGTGCCCCCCATGCCTTCTGCAGAAGCTCAGACTCAGATCCAGAGTACAATGCATCCCAAAGAGCTCCTGAAGTACACCAACAAGGACACATCTATTTTCAAGACTGAAAAATTGCACATACCAAAGCTTTGTTGGTACAGAAATTATAGTTTTCTAAGCCAACTGAATGGCATATAAATACGAATGCAAAAGAAGATTCGTTCTTTCTATAAATTTGAACGCTGAGAAAAACTCATTAAATATGAATTGCTAAAAATGGTGTTGTATTAGCCCATTCTCACACTGCTATAAAGAAATACCCGAGACTGGGTAATTTATAAAGAAAAGAGGTTTAGGCTGGGTGCGGTGGCTCACGCTTGTAATCCCAGCACTTTGGGAGGCTGAGGTGGGCAGATCATTAGGTCAAGAGATCAAGACCATCCTGGCCAATATGGTGAAACCCTGTCTCTACTAAAAATACAAAAATTAGCTGGGCATGATGGCACACATCTGTAGTCCCAGCTACTTGGGAGGCTGAGGCAGGAGAATTGCTTGAACCCTGGAGGCAGAGGTTGCAGTTAGCCGAGATCACGCCACTGCACTCCAGCCTGGCAACAGAGTGAAACTCTCTTAAAAAAAAAAAAAAGAAAAAAAAGAAAGAAAGAAAAGAAAAAGAAAAAAAGCAAAGAGGTTTAATTGGCTCATGGTTCTGTAGGCTGTACAGGAAACAGGCAGCTTTTGCTTGCAGGAAACCTCAGGAAACTTACAATCATGGCGGAAGCAAAGGGGAAGCAAGTACATCTTACATGGCCAGAGCAGGAGGAAGAGAGAGAGCAAGGAGGTGCTACACACTTTTAAACAACCAGATCTTGAAAGCACTCACTCACCATCATGAGAGCAGCACCAAGTGGAAGGTGCTAACCCACTCATGAAAAACTGCCCCTGATCCAACCACCTCCCACCAGGCCACCTCAACATTGGGGATTATATTTTGACATAAGCCTGGGCAGGGACACAGATCCAAACCATATCAGGGGTCAATTCAGATATTGTCAAACCACTTGTAAAAGCTTAAGGGGGGCCGGGAGTGGTGGTTCACGCCTGTAATCCCAGCACTTTGGATGGCCCAGGCGGGTGGATTGCCTGAGGTCAGGAGTTCGAGACCAGCCTGACCAACATGGTGAAACCCTCGCTCTACTAAAAAATACAAAAATTATGCAGGCATGGTGGCATGCGCCTGTAACCCCAGCTGCTTGGGAGGTTGAGGCAGGAGAATCGCTTGAACCTGGGAGGTGGAGGTTGCAGTGAGCCGAGATTGTGCCATTGCACTCCACCCTGGGTGACATAGCAAGACTCCATTTCAGAAAAAAAAAAAAAGCTAAAAGTTTAAGGGGAAGAATAACAAAATCCAAAGAAGAGACCTAGCAAATAAGTAATTAAAGATTTTTTGTCCTGCAGCTATTCAGGTTCATTATAAAATTCTTTCAATGTTTCTGTAAGTTTCAACATTTTCATAATAAAATGTTTAGGAAAATGTATCTAAAATTCTACAGGGATGATTTTGAGTCCCCAGCAAGATGGTAAATTAGCATGAAATGCTGGTTCCTTCCTCCTGTCCAATGCTAGAGAGCCCACACAAGTGACAAGAAAGACACAGGACCTAGGGAATAAAATGAAAATTACGCAGATGCAAAAGACCACATGCCCTGCCTTCCAACTGTTCATCCCGTGTTGCTGTTTTCCTTCCATATTGTAAGTTTTTGTTTTCTCAACCATGCACACTCCATCCTTGCAACCCGCCCAGAGGTTTAACTATTAGAATTCTAATGTCTGGCCAAAAATATGCAGGTGCTAACTGCGCATGAAAGAAAGCTCAGAAAAATAAGTTGAAAATGCTGCTTCTATTCCTTCAACTAAACAAATACAGATACTATGCATTATGAAACTGCCTTTGCAAATGTTATTTCTAGCAAATAAATATTGTAGGACATTCATAGTCAGTCCTTGATGGTGTGTTCTGTGACCATTTAAGAAACTTGACATTCTAACAGGGTGTCATACTAAAAATTTTTGGCCCTGGTAATAATATTCAACTTTATCTCTCTCTCTCTCTCTTTTCTTTTGTTAACTTAAAAGCATAAATTCTCATGAATTTTCTTGGTAAACCAGAAAGCACTGGTCATTACTCCATCATAAATAGCTTTTCTTGGACAAATGACTTTTACTTAATTATTTTATTTTATTTATTTAAGTTATTTGTATTTAACCTACTGGGTCAGGGAGGAAGCATTTGTGGAAGACAGTGATGACCTGGAGCAAAGGCTAGCATTGGAAAGGAGCTGAGGGGAAGGCTTCCCCTCTGAGCTCTTTGCTCCCTGTCACATTCCCCTGGGAAGGCCACTGACTGACCCCCCGCTCTGACCACCATGAGATTAAAAAACAGCAGCACTTCCTCCTGGGGGTTGAATTGTGTCCTCCAATAAAATATGTTGGAATCCTAAGTCCCAGAACCTCACAATGCAGCCGTATTTGGAAATAGGGTCTTTGCAGAGGTATCAATTTAGATGAGGTTGCACTGGATCAGAGTAATCCTGAGTTCAATATGACTATGTCCTTATAAAATGAGGAAATTTGGAAACAGACAGACATGCACACAGGAAGAACACCATGAGAAGATGATGACAAAGGTCGGGGTGATGCTTCAACAAAGCTAGAAACACCAAAAATTGCCAGAAAACTTCCAGAAGCTGGAAGCGAGGCCTGGAATAGATTCTTCTCCAGAGCGGTCAGCAGGAATCAACCCTGCCAACAACTTGATTTTGGACTTCTGACCTTCAGAACTCTGAGAATAAATTTCTGTCATAAGTCACCTAGCTTGTGCACTTTGTTTCAGCAGCTCTAGGAAATGAATGCAGAATGATTATCTTTGATTATTCACACAGGCCCTAATGCAATAACTGGTGTCCTTTAAGAAAGGGTAAGTGTGGACTCAGAAACACGGAGCATGCCAGAGGATAACAGGCAGAGTGATCCTCTGACAAGCAGGGAAGGCCAAGGACTGCTGGGAGCCACCAGAAGCTGAAAGGGACAAGGAAGGATCCTCCTTGCTATAGTTTGAATGTTTATCCCCACAGACCTCATGTTGAAATTTGATCCCAATGTTGCAGGTGGGTCCTAGTGGGAGGGGTCTGAGTCCTGGGAGAGAATCCCTCATGAATAAATTAATGACCTCCCTGGAGGAGCAGGGGAGTCTGTTCTCACTCTATTAGTTCCCTTGAGAATCGGTTGTTAAAAAGAGCCTGAAACCTTCCCCATCTCTCTTTCTCGCTTCCCCTCTCCCCATGTGATGTCTGCACATACAAGCTCCCCTTCACCTTCTGCCAGTGGTGGAAGCAGCCAAGGCCCTCTTCACTTCAGATGCAGATGTGGGTGCCACGCTTCTTGTACCACCTGCAGAACTGTGAGCCAAATACCTCTTTTCTTTATAAATTACCCAGTTTCATGTATTATTTTGTAGCAAGACAAAATGGACTAAGACATTCCCCTAGGCCTTCAGAGAGCGTGTAACTGCTAACACCTTGATTTTAGATTTCTAGGCTCCAAAGCGTGAGAGAACACATTTCTATTGTTTTAAGCATTTTTGTGGTACACTAACGCCTCACTTCACAAATGCATCTTTAGGCAATTTTGTACCTGTGCAAACATCACAGAGTGCACTTACACAAACCTAGATGGCAAAGTCTGTTACACACCTAGGCTATATGGTATAGCCTATTGCTTCCAGGCTACAAAGCTGCAGAGCATGTTACTATACTGAATACTACAGGCAACTGTGACAGAATGGTAAGTATTTATGCATCTAAACAACTAAAGGTTAAAAAGGTACATTAAAAATATGGTATAAAAGATGAAAAATGTATAGGACACTTACTGAGCTTATAGGACTGGAAGTTGCCCTGGGTGAATTAGTGAGTGGTGAGTGAATGTGAAGGCCTAGGACATTACTATATGCTAATGTTGACTTTGTAAACACTGTACACTTAGGCGACACTAAATTTATTTTTAAAATTTTCTCTCTTCAATAATAAATTAACCTTAGCTTACTGTAACATTTTTACTTTATAAATGTTTTAATTTTTTTAAACTTTTTGACCCTTTTGTAATAACATTCAGCTTAAAACACAAACATATTGTACAACTATACAAAAAAAGTTTTTCTTTATACCCTTATTCTATAAGCTTATCTCTAATTTTTAAGTTGCTTATTATTTTTTACTTTTCAAACTTCTTTCATTAAAAAACTAAGAGACACACACACACACACACACACACACACACACACATTAGCGTACATCTACCCACGTCAAGATGATCAATATCACTATCTTCCACTTTCATATCTTGTCCCACAGGAAGGTCTTCAGGAGTCATAACATGCATGGAACCTTCTCGTGTGATAACAATGCCTTCTTCTGGACACCCCCTGAAGGACCTGCCTGAGGTTCTTCTTGATGAGGTGCTGCCCTTTCCTGAAATATGTTCAGGGTGGTTTGCTTGGTTTGTTTCTTTTTTCTGCCACGGATGTGCATGAGTAATATGTTACGCTACAACATTACGATGGCTACAGCATCACTAGATTACAGGAAATTTTCAGCTCCATGATGGCTGATAGTCTTACGGGACCACTGTTGCATATGCAGTCTGAAATGTCATTATGTGATGTATAACTGTATTTTGCTGCAACAGCCCTGGAAAATGAGCAGACCACCCCATGCCACAGATGCTACAGATATTGCTAGTGACTCACCAGAGACCAGGAAGGTGAAGAGTGACAGGCAAGAAATGCAGGTGGATGGGCCAGCCCCTATGGCCCCTTTCCTCCCCTCCCTCCTCACAGGGAACATTAGGCTACTACATTCAAGGGAGAAAAGCCCTCAGGGGTAGAAAGAAACAACCAGCACTGTGGGGACCAGAAATGATAGAACTGCCAGATCGAGACTTTAAAATAAGCTTGACAAAGAGATAGGAGGTGATATGAATAACATAAATGAAGAACAGGCAGTTAACAAGAAAAATCATTGGGTTTGAAATAATAAACTCAGTAGATGGAATAAATAAACTGAATAAAGGTAAATAAAATCTCAGGAGCTGAACAATCAGGTAAAGAAACTTACCAATCATTATTGGGAATAAAGAGACAAAATATAAAAGAATACATAAAAGTTATGTGAGCTAAGAAGTAAAAGTGTTTGTGGACTAATAAGAGATATCAGAGAAAGAGAAAAAAATTAATTGAGAGAAAATATTGGAAAAACAATCCCTAAAAATGTACTGAGTTAAAGAAAGGTGAAAGACTTCTGGAATGACAGCAGAGACAAGAAAGAGAATTCATACCTAGATATTAATATATTATAATAAAACTTAAGGACATTAAGGTTGATATGAAAATTCTAGAAGGGCTGGTCAAAAATAATAAATTTCTCCAAAGCTAAAACAAAAACAAAAACAAAAAAAAAAACAAATGGGTTAGCATCAGGCTTCTCAAGAGCATCTTTGAATAAACCACAAGGTAGTATTTTCAAAGCATCAAAAAAAAAAACCTCCAATGCTTGAACATAAGCAGAAGAGGCAATGGGTATTCATTCAGTATAGTGCAGGATGTCATTCACAGGGCCTCTGGGAGCATCCGTTCCTATAGGGACATGCGTCTTTGATTGATTATCTATTGAATGATTTCCTTTATGACTCTGCAGGGGTAGAAGTTTGCTTGTAGAAAACTGTGAGAAATGCAAATGTCATTGTCCACAGTTATGCAAAAAAATTCATCTGGAAGAGATAAAATTAATTTCTTCTGGGTAGAAAAGATAACTCCACACATTACATTTTACTCCCCTATAGGGATGCATCTATTAGCAAATTGATTTCAGAATGCTTAACTCTGATATGTGTTGTATGTGTTCTTCAAATACTCTTTTGAATCTTGATGGTTTCCTCATTAATTACTAAGTTGCATAAAATCTTTAGTATGTGTTCATTTCTTATTTGCATGTGAGTCTTTTTTTTTAACTTTTCAAAAATTATACTTTGAAAAAGAATTAAAGAAAAAGAATGCCAAGCCTATGATTTTGGTACAACTGAATTATTTAAAGGTGAGTAAACAAAAACTATATTCTCAGATACATATAGATTCAGAAGGATTATCATACAAGGATCTTAAAAGAAAACACTCTTAATAGATGTATACAGGAGGATACAATGAAATATATGAGAATGGTGAGTAAATAAATTAGTAGGGTTTTAATGTTGTTTAAGAAAAGAAGAACCTAAAAAGAGTTAAAGAACAACAAAAACAAAAAGTAAAGGAGGAAGGGAGCGAGGATGAATATCTATAACAACTCAGAATTTAGAAGCTGGAGGAATATGAAATAGCAATTCACACCACCAGAATAACTAAAATGGAAACAAAGGAAAGT
The DNA here is from genome assembly GCF_000001405.40 of Homo sapiens. NCBI lineage: Eukaryota > Metazoa > Chordata > Mammalia > Primates > Hominidae > Homo > Homo sapiens. Next base: position 74,026,710 of record NC_000018.10, read on the forward strand.
ATCAAGGATAGACAATAATGTGAAACAATTAAAATTCTCATAAAGTGCTGGTGGGAATGTGAATCAGAACATCACTTCAGAGAACTGTTTGGCAGCATCTACTAAAGCTAAATGTGTGCATACCCTATGCCCTACCAATTCCATTCCCAAGGCATACATCCAAAATAAAGCCTTATATAGGCTCAAACACCAATAGACGTGCACCACCATGTTCATCCCAGCGCTATTTGCAATACCAAAAGCTGGAAACAACCCAAATGCCTTTAAACAACAGAATCAATCAATAAACTGTATAGGCATGCAATGGAACACTAAACAAAAGTGGGAATTAATCATCCACAACTAAGTGCAACAATGTGGATGACACAACATGATTCCATCTGTGTGAAGAACCGAAACAAAAGTAATCCAAGGCACTAGGCATCCTTCTGGCGAGTGGAGGCAAGGTAATAACTAGGAAGGTGCATTAAGGACACAGGAGTCTGGAATGCTTGTCGTGTTCTGCTGGTAGATGTGAATTCAGTTTGTGAACGTTCACTTACCTATACACTTATGATTTGTGTACTTTATGTATACTTATCATACTTTAACTAAAAGGTTTTTTGTTTTTTTTTTTTGAGACAGATTCTCGCTCTGTCACCCAGGCTGGAGTGCAGTGACACGATCTCGGCTCACTGCAACCTCTGCCTCCAGGGTTTAAGTGATTCTTCCGCCTCAGCCTCCCAAGTAGCTGAGATTACAGGCACGTGCCACCATGCCCGGCTAATTTTTGTATTTTTAGTAGAGACAGGGTTTCACCATATTGGCCAGGCTGATCTCAAACTTCTGATCTCGTGATCCACCTGCCTTGGCCTCCCAAAGTGCTGGGATTACAGGCATAAGCCATCACACCTGGCCTAAAAGTTTTTTTTTAATGAGGACAGCATCTTGGAGGTGAAGTAGAGGGAACCAGAGAAAAGTCAGTCATATTAAATCACTTGTCCTATTCAGAGAAGTAATACTGAAATTAATAAGTTTAAGATAATAAGTATAGACTGGGTGCAGTGGCTCACACCTGTAATCCCCAGCACTTTGGGAGGCCGAGGTAGGCAGACCACTTGAGGCCAGGAGTTCGAGACCAGCCTGGACAACATGAAACCCAATCTCTACTAAAAATACAAAAATTAGCTGGGCATGGTGGCACATGCCTGTAATCCAAGCTACTCTAGAGGCTGAAGCATGAGAATCACTTAAACCTGGGAGGCAAAAGTTGCAGTGAGCCGAGATCACACCACTGAACTCCAGCCTGGGTGACAGGGTGAGACCCTATCTCAAAAAAAGATAATAAGTATAATAAGTTAGGAGTAACCACACAAAGGATGAAAATAGTTCATGGTTTTTACGACAATAGAAAGATAAATTTAATCTGTCTAGTGAAAGGCAGAAAAAATTAATTTGATATATAGAAAATAGGAAATAAGAAGGTATAAATAATTCCTAATATTATAGTAGTCATGATAAATAAAATAGGATTAAATTAGCCAATCAAAAGATAGAAACTCTCAGATTAAACCTAAAAAAAAAACAGAAAAACTAGATCTAGTAATATATTGTGCATAAAAAAATTTAAATAAAAGTTTAAAATACATGAATAAAATGATACACCAAATTTTATTTTAACTAAAATACAATCGAGGTAACAAGCTTAATATTAGAAGAAATGGAATGCAAAGAAAACAAAATGTTGTTAAGTAAGAGGAATACTGTCTTCTGCTAAAAGGAGCAGTACATAAAAAAACAATGATTATGAACTGATCTATACCTAACAATACAGATTTTAAAATTTATAAAAACAATTGTCAAAAAACGGGAAGCAATAAATACTTAAAGAAATTTACATTGTAATTTTTTAAACATACCCTTCTCAAAATGATAAATACAACTGGATGAAATATAAGCAGATATATTTAAATTTTAAATAATGCAGTAAACTTCCAGTAATATACATCTAACAAGTCTGCACATTGCACATAATCTTTTGGTTTCATTTAGTACATTTACTCAGACACACATACACACACACATACACAAAAATTAATCCCCAAAATATTCTTCAAATAAATTCCAAAAAATAACATTATAAAATTCTGTTCTCTAATTGTATTGCTTTAAAATTAGAAATAAATAACAAACAGAAAAGTAAATAAATAAATAAATAATATACCTAGGAACAAATTGCATATTACTAAGCAATATTCTGTTGAAGAAGAAATGAAAAGAAAAATTAAGGAATTGTTTAACCCGAATACCTTGAAAATATTGCATACCAATTTTTGTGATAACAGAAAGAGCAATTATTTATAGGGAAATACGTAACTTTAAATAAATTTATCAAAAAACTCAAAATATTATAAACAAATAAACTAAATATCCAACTCAGAGTTAAAATACAAAGACCAAAAAGGAAAGAAAGAAAAAACAGAAAAGACAGAAGAGAAAGAAAAAGAGAAAGAAGGAAAGAAGGAGAGAAAGAAAGAGAGGAAGGAAGGAAGGAAGGAAGGAAGGAAGGAAGGAAGGAAGGAAGGTTGGTTAGTTGGTTTATAGGTTTTGGCTATAGCCAACTAAAAATGGCTGAAAACAACTGGGTGAAATGGCCCAGAAAACAACTATAAAGCTTCAAGCTAAAAGGAAATCACACCAGATAGTCACTTCAATCCATAGGAAATGAAGGAAATGGAGAACACTGGAAATGGTAAATTTGTAAGTTAATATAAAAAACTCCAAATATATTTCTTCTCATTTCTTCTTTTAACTTCTTTAATAACATGAGATTGCTTAAAGTGATCACTGTAATATTATATTGTTAGGTTCATAACATATTTATATGTAACAATATGACAACAATGGCTCAGAGAAGGAGGAGATGATGGAGCTACATTGGAGTAAGTTTCTCATTTTGCCAGAATTAAGTTAGAAGGAGACTGCAATAAAGTAAAATGCATCATTTAATTCATAGAGCAACTGTTTTAAAAACCACAAAATGATTAAAAACAAAAATTATTCTTAAATCTACAAATGAATTAAAATTGTACATTAAAAATATTTAGCACAAAATAAAACAGTAAGGGAAGACGGGAGAAGCAGAAAAGACAGAAGGCATAAAGAAAATAACAGTAAAATGTCAAGTGTAAATCTCACTGTATGAACAATTATATCAAATGCGAATGTTCAAAAACCCTAATTAACAGGAAGACACTGTCAAACTGGACAAAACACAGATCCAAATATATTCTGTCTACAAAGGATACACCTTAAATTCAAACATGTAAATAGACTGAAAATAAGTAGATAAAAAAAGGTATACAATGCAAACTGCAGCTGTAAGAAAGCTAGAATGGCTATGTTAATACTAAATTGATTTTAAGACAAATAGTTTTAAAAATAAAAAGAAACACTTTATAATGATAAAAGGATCAATATATCAGGAAGATATAACAACATATGCATACCTAAACACAGTTTCAAAATACACGAAATACAATCTGACAGAATTGAAAGAAATATACGGATGATTCTAGTAATGATTAGAATCTTCAACCACAATAATTGTTGAAGATTTCAGTATCCTGCTCCCAATCATTATTAGAATATTAAGAGAGAAATCATCAAGAATATAGAAGATGTGAAAAGCACTATCAACTAGTTCCATCACATTGACACTTATAGAACATGCCACACAACAACTACAAAACACATAATCTTTGCAAGCACGTATGGAAAACTCTCCAGCGTAGAGCATATGCTGGTTCAAAAAACAAGTTTCCAAAAATTTAAATAGTTTGAAATTATACAAAGTGTGTTCTCAAATTACAATGGTATTAACACTGGATAGAAATTTGTCTGTAGCAATAGAAAGAAAATCTGGAAAATCTTCATATATTGGAAAACTAAGCAACATGCTTCTAAATACTCCACAAGTCAAAGAAATCATAAGGGAAATTAGAGAATATTTTGAAGTGAATAAAAGTTTTTAAAATATCAAATTTATGGGATGGAGCTAAAGAAGTAATTACAGGGAAATTAGAACTTTAAACCTTATATCATAAAAGAAAAAGGTGGCTGGACGCGGTGGTTCACGCCTGTAATCCCAGCACTTTGGGAGGCCGAGGTGGGCGGATCACGAGGTCAGAAGATCGAGACCATTCTGGCTAACATGGTGAAACCCCATCTCTACTAAAAATACAAAAAATTAGCCGGGCGAGGTGGCGGGCGCCTGTAGTCCCAGCTACTCGGGAGGCTGAGGTAGGAGAATGGCGTGAACCCGGGAGACGGAGCTTGAAGTGGGCCGAGATTGTGCCACTGGACTCCAGCCTGGGCAACAGAGCGAGAATCCATCAAAAAAAAAAAAAAAAAGTAACAAATAAATAACCTAAGCTTCTACCTTAAGAATCTAGGAAAAGAAGAGCAAATTAAACCCAAAGTACACAGAAGAAACAAGTAGTAAATTAGAGCAAAAATCAATGAAATAGAAAACAGACTGTAGGAAAATATCAATGAAATTAAAAGTGTGTTCTTTTAAAAAAAAATCTAAAAAAAATAACAAATCTTTCACAAGACCAGGAGGAAAATAAAGAAGACAAAAATTAGCAAAATTGGAAAAAGAAAGAGGATGTCATTAAGGAAACTGGAGAAATTTAAAAGATTATAAGAGAATATATGAACCATGATATGTTAACAAATGAGACAACTGAGATGAAGTGGGCAAAATCTAGAAATACAACTATCAAAACTGACTGAAGAAGAATGTATATTCTAACATAAGCCTATAACAAGAAAATAACAACCCAATACAAGAAAAGAATGTGAAATGGTAATAAAAAAATTTCCCACAAAGAGAAACCAAGGCCCAGGTGACTTCATTGTCAAATTTCAGCAAATATTGAAAGCAATAATACCAATCCTCCACAATTTCAGAAAATAGAGAAGATTTTTCAAATCATTTAATGAGTAGTACTTCCTAGTATACTACTACTATCTACTAACATTACAAAGCTGTAAAAAGACAAGACAAGAAAACTACAAATCAATATTCCTCATTAACATAGACAGCAATGCTTATTACATATACATATTAGCGAACCAAATCCAGTAACATATAAAAAGGACTACACATTTTGATCAAGTGATATTTTCCCAAGAATGGAAGGTTGGTTTAACATTTGAACATCAATTACTATGATAAACTATATTAACAGACAAAAAGACAAAAAACACATGATCATCTTAATAGATGCAGGAAATGTACTTGGCAAAATCTAAAATCCATTCATGATAACAAGTTTCAGCAAAATAGGAATGGAAGGGAACTTCATCAGCCTGGTCAAGGGTAACTATGAGAAACCAACAGGTAGTATCATATTTATTGCTGAAAGGCAGATTGCTTTGGTCCCTAAGTTTTAGAACAAGATCAGAAACTTCTATTCAACACTGAACTGGATGGTTTTAGTCAATGCAGTAAGATAAGTATAAAAAGAAAGAGGAGAAGAAGGAGAAAGAAAGAGATGTGGAAGAAGAAGGAAGAGAGAGGAGAAGGAAAGGAAGAAGAGGAGGACTGAAGAGGAAAAAGCAAAAGAAATGGATAGAAAAAAATAGAGTCATCTAATTTGGAAATAAAGAAGTAAAACTATCTTATAATCTTGGATGTAGAAAATCCCAAAGAAATTCTCTATTTCTATCTCTCTCTCTCTCTCTCCCCCCCACACACACACACACACTGTTAGAACAAATAAATGAGTTTATCAAAGTCATGAAACCCAAAATCACTATACAAAAATAAATTACACTTATATGTTATTTTTGTACTATAAATTTTTATAGAAATATAAAATGACAAAATTAGTGCATGATGAAACAGAATAGGTGTGTTTGAAAGTTTATTAAAGCTCACACATAGATGAAGGAATTCAGGGGTAATGGCTATAATTACTGCTTCAATATTTCTTAAGTTTTTTTGCCACTATCATTGTGCTTTCATTATTTTGGGCTTGTGAGATGTTAATTTCTGCCCCCCAAATAACCTATAAATTATCAATATAATCCCAACCAACATTCCAGAATAAAATTTTTGAAGAATTTCTCAAACTCATATTAAAATACATAAAGGTCTGCAAATAGCTAAGTAAACTTTTTAAAAGAAGAGTAAGCAGAGAGGACTCTCCCTATGTGATATTAAAACATACTACAAATTAGTGTAACAAAAGTCATATTGTGCTAGCACAGAGACAGAGACATATTCCCATAGGATAAAAGAGAGAGCTCACAGATTTGCCTGTAATTTTACAAGAAAAATAGAAAACAAACAGGTAATTAATGATAGAAAAACTTCATATACTCTGCAAGGAAAAAAACAGGTGTATTTCTATTTTACACCACATACAAATTAAAGACCTATATGTAAACTGTAAAACTAAAAGGCTAATAGATGTAAATGCACTGGAATCACTTTATGACCTAGGTGTGGAGGGGGAAAACTTCTTTAAAAGTACAAAAACACAAACCATGTGGGAAAAGCTGGCAGATGAGAGTCTGCAAAATATAATACCTATGATATATAAAGAGCACCTACAAATCAACAAGCAAAAATACACTTAATAGGAAAATGGGCAAAGGATAGAAATATACAATTCATAGAGGAGCCCAGATGGCTAAGAAATATATGAACTGTTACTTGATCTCATACAAGTAATCAAAGAAATACGGAATAAATAGTGTATAATTTTACAACCATCAAAATGGTAAAGTTTTAGTAAGACAGATAATATCATATACTATATAGGTGAGAAAGATGGGAGGTAGAAATTCTGTGCACAACTGGTGAAATGGAAACTGTTATCACAGCTCTCAAATGCAAAGTGGTACAATTTTGTTAAAGAAAGTATATATATATATGCTCCAGGATCCAGTAGTCTCACTCCTAGCTATAATTCCCAGAAAACACACACACACACACACACACACACACACACACACACACAACTCAAACAGATTTGTAAGACTCACGTACTAGCCTATCCATCTGTTTGGGTAGCAGGATGTTAAGGTATCCCAATGTCTGTGGTAGGTTGTTACAGCAACAGCTCCTGATGAATTGCACCTCCCTGTATGCATACCCATCTTTACACACTCTCAGGTTGGCCACTTGAATTGCTTTTGCCGATAAGATATTAGCAAACATGATATAGCAGAGGCTTGAAAGTTCTTGTACATGGGGGTGTGTAAAGGAGCCAAAGCTACTTGCTAGACACTGGTGACACACAGTCCAGAAGAGAGTCCAGAAGATAGCCAGCACTTGCCTCCAGACATGTTACTGAGGAGCTGCCTGAGATGATCCAACCCCTGCCGAGCAACCAGATGGCCACAGGCATATGAGAGACCCTGGGCCAGGCTGGAAGAACTGCTCAGCTCTCAAACCGTAGTCCCACAGAATCATGAGCAAGTAAAGTGTCATCTTCAGGCACAAACCTTTGGGGCGTTTTGTGATGCAGCAAGAAACAATTGTGCTATCATTATGGGAAATGAATAAGAAACGTGTGGAAAAATATAGACTGTGGATTATGATGCTGTGGTCAAAAAAGACCCAAACTAGGTATATACTCAGCAGTATGAATAGTCTACCAAAAAAAAGTGAAGAGAAAAAAGGAGTAAGAATGAGATTCATAAATTAACACCATTTAGGTGAATTGAAAACAGAAAACTCACCATCTACAAGGGTACACATCTGTTTAAGGGTAATCAACAAGAATGGGAATCTAGGGGAGGGCAGCAGGAGTCAAGACAGCTGAGGAAGAGTAGAAATTCCACAATGTGGCATAATGTAACATGACTTGATGTAATCTCACTCATAATACAGCATAACAAAGAAAGGACCCTTGCAGGGGCCCATTACAAGTCCATTATGACCTGAAGAATCAGGTTAATCCCACTCTCTACAACTAATCAAAAATATATTTTTAAAGGGATTCTGAACTCAGATTCCTTTGCAAGTGTCTTTAAGTTCTCATTCTACTGTAAGCCATAAATAAAATTCTAAGTCCCCCAACCATCTGAATGGATCCCTTCCCTTGGCCAAGCGCACTCCAAAGTTAACCTGAAAAACTAGATCAGGCCACGATGGGAATGGGGAGCCAGACGTACCTCATTTGTACCCCCCTTTCCTTTTAGAATTACTGATAGAACAGACTCTTTAAGTCTGATAATAAACATTTGAAATCTATTCTCTCTGAAGCCTGCTACCTAGAGGCTTCATCTGCATGATAAAACCTTGGTCTTCACAACTCCTTATCATAACCCAGACATTCCTTTCTATTGATAATAACTCTTTCAACCAATTGCTAATCAGTAAAACGTTTAAAACCACCTATGATCTGGAAGCCCCTGCTTTGAGTAGTCCCGCCTTTCTAGACTGAACTAACGTACACCTTACATGCCTTGATTGACATCCCATGTCTCCCTAAAATGTATAAAATCAAGCTGTACCCCCAAACACCTTGGGCACATGTCATCAGGACCTCCTGAGGCTGTATCACAGGCACATCCTTAACCGTGGCAAAATAAATTTTCTAAATTGATTGAGACCTGTCTCAGATACTTTTGGTTTACACTACTTTCAAGAAAGCAAAGTTGAACACAGTAGATGATGAAATATGGCCATGGTTTATGCAAGAAAGATGACACAGAATTAAACACTATACTCAGAGAATAAACCTTGGTTCTTCATCTAAATATTGGCAAATGAAACCATGTACTTATGTTTGAAGTTAAAATAAATTCATGCACGTATGCAGCATTTCCTTATGATTCCCCATTTAACTGATGCTTTTAATTAACTACCCAAATATTGGAGTACTTCAGGTACAGGGGCTTCTTCTGCATTTACTATTGCATAGCACAGACTTTGAGAAGTGGATTGCATTGTGAACATCTTCCTTGTGTCACGTGAAGCCAGTCTAACACTGAAGAAAATGGGTGTTCCTCCTTTCATTCATCTGGAGGTGGAGAAATGAAGTTGATCTTAGACTGGTATCAAGGAGGACCTGGCCTTTCTCTCTGGAGGCTGAAGACACTCATGAAGGGGAGAGGAGAAGTGAAGAAACTGATCTTCGAGAGCAGTGAATGATGTCCTTCCAGCATGGTGGAAAAGCAAGGCTTAGGGACGAACAGCTTGATCTTAGCCCTCCGAGAAGGACCACGACAGATTCCAGGTTCACTGGGAGCTTCTAATGAGCTTTATGTTTTCCTTTTCAGAATCACAAGGGCCTTCCTTCACTCTTGTACCTTCAATAAAATCAGTGAAACGCTGCAGGCTGGAACTGGCTGAGTTTGCAGGAATCAAGACAGGAGCTGTGTGCATATTGGAGCTGAAGTTGTCCAATCACGACATGGTCCAGGGAGGTACTTGGGGCAGAAACCCAGAACAAAGGGTTATAGCTGGAAACCAGACCAAATGGGCAAAACACACAAACTTGCCCCAGAGGCCACAGAAATAAACACTTAGAGAAAGGCCTGTGCCCTTATCATGGAGCGCAGCGTTCCTCCCATGTCAACTGAGGCTTACAGGGAAGACTACGGGGTGGGCAGCATGCAACAGAGCCAGCCCTTCCTTCTGCTTGACAGCCAGCTGACCACCCTACTCTGGGAAAGGCTCCTCTTCCACTCAGCCAGCAGAGTTCTGCCCCTGCCTCCATCCCTGCCATCAGCCAGAGATGGACCTCCCAGGATATTACCTGAAAAGGGAGAGAGAATTTTGCCTTGTCTCTTGCTGAGGAGCCCCAAGGTTGTGATTTCAAAGTGGCCAGCAGTTCTATCCCCCAACACTTGGGACGGTTGAGAAAACAAGCAGGGACAGGAAAAAACAGAAAAGGAAACAGCTGACAAAGACCCCCCTGCTCTTTTTGCTCTGATTCATGGCTGGCAGCCCACAGTCCACTCCTGCATGCCTTGCCAGGGTGGGGCTGTATCCCTCTTCGTTTGATTCCTAGGACACCCAGGGTCCTGCTGGTAAACTCCTCCTTGGTTTAGTTGGTTTTTCAGACATCTCCTTGAGGAAAGGAATATCCAGAAATGTTAGAGGGAGCTTGCTAACCGTCAACAAGGCACATTCACTTCCTGGGGCTCCTGGAACAGAATATCACACCTGGGTGGCCTGAAACAGTGGTCCCCAAGCTTTTTGGCACCAGTTTTGTGGAAAAAATTTTTCCACGGATCAGTGTTGGTGGTGATGGTTTGAGGATGATTAAAGCACATTACATTTGTTGTCTACTTTATTTCTATTATTATCACATTGTAATATGTAATGAAGTAATTATACAACTCACCATCATGTAGAATCAGTGGGAACCTTGAGCTTGTTTTCCTGCAACTAGACAGCCCCATCTGAGGATGATGGGAGACAGTGACTGATTATCAGGCATTAGATTCTCATAAGGAGAGTGCAACGTAGATCCCTGGCATGCACTTTTGATAATAGTGTTTGCACTACTATGAGAATCTAATGCTGCCACTGATCTGACAGGAGGTGGAGCTCAGGTGGTAATGTGAGCAACAGTGAGTGGCTCTAAATACAAATGAATCTTCACTCACTCATCTGCTGTTCACCTCCCATTGTGCAACCCAGATCCTGACAGGCCATGAAGTGGTACTGGTCTGTGGCCCAGGGGTTGGGGACCCCTGGCTGAAAACAATGCAAATATATCCTCTCCCAGTTCTGGAGGCCAGAAGTCCAAGATCAAGGTTTCGCAGGGCTGGTTCCTTCTGAAGGTCATGAGAAAAGGACCTGTTCTGAGTGCTCTCCTCGGCTTGGCAATGGCCATCTTCTCCCTGTGTCTTCCCTTCATCTTCCCTCTGGGACTCTCTGTCTCTGTGTCCAGATTTCCCTTTTTCATAAGAACATGACCATGTTGGATAAAGTCCCATTCAATGACCTCATCTTCACTTGTTCACTTCTGCAAAGACCCTATTTCCAAATAAGGTCACATGCACAGGTACTGGGGATTAGGGCTTTGATGTCTCCTGGCCCCATGTCCTCACATCTCTCACCGTGCAATGACCTCCCTGTTTCTGCAATGACCTCCCTGTTTGTTTCTGCATGTCCTCACTTGTCCTCGCAGCCCAGGTGGCCTCTTCCACTCACTCCTCTCTCGTAGGCTCTGCTTGCCTTCCCTGGAAAGACATTCTCCAGCCTTGCCCTCACTCTTTGAAGACCCCCCGGCCTTCAGTGAGCAAAGAAGGATGTCGTCACCCCCTGCACAGACTGGGTAAGGACTCTAAAGAAGTCCTGCAGTGTTCTCATCACTGCCCCCAAAACACAAAATAGCTGCCACTTTTCAAAGGAAATGAGCCGTCTACCTCTGATTTTGTCTCCCCTCCTGGCTGAGCCATCCCTCTTTTCTGGTTCCTCTCGGCCTAGCATATTGCCCAAATGGCTTGGCATCCATCCAACAAGGAAGGCATGAAAAAAACCCTCATAGCTAAAATGTACACAAAGTCAGAAGACAGGCTCTGTCCCTGCACTGAAGAAGGTCCTGGGGAGAAGCAGAGGTCACAAGCTCTCAGAAGTGGCTGTGGTTCACAGGCAGATGTCCTATCTCCATGCTGGCCAGGCACCCACATGAGCAGGAAGGTTTGAGTCTCGCTGAGTGTGTGCCCTGGGCCATGACATCTGGAGGACATGAGCCTACCAGGAAGTGGGAAGAGCCATCGAGGCAAGCAGGTGCCAGGAAACACCCAGGGCCAACAGTTGCCTGTGAAGAGGAAAGGAGATGGCAGCCCAGGAGAACAGAAGGGCAAGGTGTGTGGTCCATCACACTGAGATTTAATCTGCAGAGGTGACTGCACAACACAGACAGGTCAATGCCCTTGAAGGAAGGATTCTTACTTGCAGCTCCTAAGACAAGGGGCCACAGGATGCAGCACAGGGCCATGGGCGGAAGGAAGCATCAGGGCGGTCAGGAGGCAGCAGACGTGGAGGGAGAGGACAGCCCCATGCCCGCACTGTGTGGGCAACAGGAAGGAGTGGGTGTGGCAGGAGAGGCAAGTGTGAGCAAGAACAAGTCTAGGATTGGACAGTTTGAGTTATAGTGGACTCTAGGGGCAGGGTGATCCTCAGTTCAGTGCCTGGCCCTGGGGTGGTTCAGGGCAGGAGAAATGCTGGCTGGGGGTGTGAGAGGCAGATCAAGGACGTAGGTGGGATACAGGCTTTGGGTTGTTGGTTTTCGTATGAAAGGCACACCCTCAGGGCAGTCATTTGCTGTCTCTAGGAACTCGCCAGCCCTGGGAAGGGCTGTCTCATCCCAACAACCAAAGCTCCCAAGACGCTGAAGCATCATAAAACACAGAAAATAAAACCCATGATGAATACAGTGTGGAAATGTCTCAAATATCCTCTCAGAACTTATACATTTGATCAACTTTGTATCAGTGAGCCAAGATCATGCCATTGCACTCCAGCCTGGGCAACAAGAGAGAGACTTTGTCTCAAAAAAAAAAAATTATTATTCCCAAAAATAACAGAAAAAAAATTACTGCTCTGTGTATGTAATGGACTGGTATGGTTGAATCTGTGTCCCCGCCCAAATCTCATGTCGAATTGTAATCCCCAGGGTTGGAAGTGGGGCCTGGTGGGAGGTGACTGGATCATGGAGGTGGAGTTTTCATGATGGTTTAGCAGCCTCCTCCCTTGGTACTGTATCGCGATAGAGTTCTCACAAGATCTGGTGTTTAAAAGTGTGTAGCACCTCCCCTCCCCCTTCCTCCTGCTCCTGGCTGTGTAAAGTGCCAGCTTCCTGTTCGCCTTCCGCCATGATTCTAAGTTTTCTGAGGCCTCCCCAGAAGCTGATGCCACCATGCTTCCTGTACAGCCTGCAGAACCATGAGCCAACGAAATCTCTTTTCTATATATATTACCCAATCTCAAGTATTTCTTTATAGCAGTGTGAAAATGGACTAACACACATACTCTCTTCATGAATGCCAGATTGTTCTAAGAATCTACATGTTACCATGTCACAACCTGCTTAAAACTCTCATGTCCTCCCCTAAGGTTGAACTCTTTAGGAACACACACACAGGCCCTCCCATCCTGGCCCGATGAAGACATTCAGCTCCAACCCCTGCCATTCAAGAATATCACACTATTTGCCTGCGATCTCTATGCAATCATATCAAATAAAACCCTTACATTATCCCGTAGCACACACCAGGCAGTCGGCTAAGCATTCACAGGAATTACTTGATTTAATCCTTCAGACAATATGCCCATTTTACATGAAAGGAAGTCAAGGCCCAAGAGCTCAAGTCACTTGGCTCTGTCACATACTTAGGAAGTGAGGGTGTTGGATTTGAAGCCGGCCAGTGCCTTTTGGAGCCATGGCTTGAGCATTCCCACTCTACAGCCTCTCTGGGCCTTGAGCCCCTTTGTTCTCCCTCATATCCTTCCCTGGCCCCCTCACTGTGATTCACAGGGCCTCACTATCCCCTCAGCTGCACTAAACTTTAGGCAGGCTTCCTCCTGACTGTAGAGCCCGATTTCGCTTTTCCTAGAGCATTTACTTTAGAAAACTTGCCATTGTGATTCCTTTATCTGCCGCTTTGAGATGTAAAGCTTCCTCCAGCCTCTAGCCAGTTTTATAGCCCAGAATTGTCTTCCTCAAGGACCTGAGGGCCATCACTTTGAAATATAATCATCAAGAAAGATACCTCCTTGATTATGGTGATCATTTCACAGTGCACACAGATACTAAGACACCAAAAAGTACACCTTAAAGATATACAATTTTTGTCACTTATACCTCAATAAAGCTGGAGGAAAAGAAAGACAGCATCCTTATTCCTCAGTCTCTATGGGAAGGTAGGAACCTGGAAAACAAAGGTCACTTAGCAAGCACAGCTTTCCTAATCCCACGGACCGGCCTCTGCCCTGACATACTTAGAGCTTTCTACCCTTCAAACCACTCCTGCTTTTCGTCTCAACACAGTTGAGTTCTAGCGTGCGCGCGTGCTCTCGCACTCTCTCTCTCTCTCTGTCTCTCTCTCTCTCTCCTATTGCAATAGTCTTGGGTAAAGTCTTTCTGGCCGTTTTTAACAGGCCTCTAGTGAAATTTTTCTTCTACAACTTTCCTTTTCCCACCACAGAACAGTCTCGGTGATGCCTCCTCACCCCGCCAGCAGGGGGCAGCAGGCCTGCTCCACATGGCTCCCATGGAGGCCTTCCTACAGCAAGCAGAGACCACAGCAGGCAGAGAACACTGCACGCAGAGGCCACAGGGCACAGAGACCACTGCACGCAGAGACCACAGCACACAGAGACCACAGTACACAGAGACCACTGCACGCGGGGGCCATAGTACGTGGAGACCACAGCACACAAAGACCACAGCAAACAGAGACCACAGCACACAGAAGCCACAGCACACAGAGACCACAGTATGCAGAGACCACTGCACACGGGGGCCATAGCACGTGGAGACCACAGCACACAGAGACCACAGCACACGGAGACCACAGCACACAGAAGCCACAGCACACAGAGACTACTGCACACGGGGGCCACAGCACACAGAGACCACAGCACACAGAGACCAGAGCACACAGAAGCCATAGCACGCAGAGACCACAGCACTCAGAGACCACAGCACACAGGGGCCACGGCACACAGAGACCACTGCACGTGGAGGCCACAGCACACAGCGGCCACAGCATACAGAGACCACAGCATGCAGAGACCACAGCATGTGGAGCCCACTGTATGTGGAGACTACAGCATGCAAAGACCACTGCCCATACACCACAATACATGGAGACCACTTGCCCTCAGGACCATGTGCCCCATGGGTCTGCAAGCTCTCCCCAGACCAAAGCTTTCTCCTACTCTTCCTCTTTGAATTTTTCTTCCTCTTTTCTCAGCTTTCTGGCTTATATTCAGCAGAGTGCATACCACACTGTGAATGCTAGTAAGAGTGCAATGAAATGATCACATAAATGAACTGGAAAAAGAAAACAAATCTTTCAATAACTTATTTTAAATCAGAAGGAATGCAAACTATGAGAAGAGTATGTATTTTGTATGTATTACACTAGCAGTTTCTAGATTTTAGGATGAGATTAATTTCAGCTTTCCAAGGACATGATTCAACAGGATAGGAAAAGAAACAAAGCAAAAAGAAATAATGCCAATTCTTGCAGTAGATAAATTCCAAGCCTCTGTACCTGATTCCCAATTCTACTCTACTTTTCCCTTTTCAGCCGTGCTGCTAAGTAATACGCACAGACATAATTCTCTGTAATACACTGCTCAGTATAAACACGGAGAAATGATAACTGTATTAGCTGGACATTTATTATGGGCCAGGTGCTACCCACGTTATTTAACACAGCAATCTTATGAGACATTTTCTATCATTACACAGATGATATTTCACAAATGACAAAACTGAGACCCAGGGAACCAAATCACACATACAAGGTGACTCGATTAATGGGCAGCAGAGTGCAGAACAGAAGCAAAGCTGCCCCAGTGGCAAAAGCAATGCTCTAGCCATTGTCCTTGCTGCTCCACCCTGAAGGCCAACTACAAACAAATGCAAACCCAATTTGAAAGACTAGTAGTGATTTATCTCAAAAGAGACTAACAGATTTATCTCAAAAGAGACTAACACTCCTCAACTTTTTAAATTATCTGGTCTCTATCACATTTTTTTTCTTTATTCTGTGCTATTAAATCACCACACCAAAACCTCAACATAAAGTTATCTTAATAAGAATAATAAAACTTTTCTAAAAACTTAGAGGGGGGATATGTTTATACGGAGGCTAGAAAAACTTTTCAACTTTATAATGGCTTTTCTCTCAAAATATTTAAATATTTCCTTCTCTGAAGGTGTCAATGTGTTTCCTATTAAACTCTCTCTCTCTAAATTTTTTCCAATCTATCCATCTGACAAAGAATCTACAAGGAACTTAAACAAATTTACAGAGAAAAAACAACCCCATTAAAAAGTGGGCAAAGGACATAAACAGACAGACACTTCTCAAAAGAAGGCATACATGCAGCCAACAAACATATGAAAAAACGTTCAACATCACTGATCATTAGAGAAATGCAAATCAAAACCACAATGAGATATCATCTCATGCCAGTCAGAACAGTGATTATTAAAAAGTCAAGAAACAGATGCTGGCGAGGCTACAGAGAAATAGGAACACTTTCACGTTGTTGGTGGGAATGTAAATTAGTTCAACCATTGTGGATCACAGTGTGGCAATTCCTCAAAGACCTAGAACCAGAAATACCATTTGACCCAGCAATCCCATTACTTGGTATATACTCAAAGAAATATAAATCATTCAGTTATAAAGATACATGCACACGTATGTTCATTGCAGCACCATCCACAATAGCAAAGACATAGTATCAACTCAAATGCCCATCAATCATAGACTGGATAAAGTAAATGTGGCACATATACACCATGGAATATTATGCAGTCATAAAAAGGAGCAAGATCATGTCCTTTGCAGGGACATGAATGGAGCTGGAAGCCATTATCCTCAGCAAACTATCATAGGAACAGAAAATCAAACACCACATGTTCTCACTTATAAGTGGGAGCTGAACAATGAGAACACATGGACAAAAGGAGGAGAACAACACACACTGGGGCCTGTGGTGGTGGGGGAGGGAGAGCATCAGGATAAATAACTAATGCATGCAGGGGTTAATGCTTAGGTGATCGGCTGATAGGTGCAGCAAACAACCATAGCACACGTTTACCTGTGTAACAAACCTGCACATCCTGCATGTGTATCCAGGAACTTAAAATCACATTAAATTTTAAAAACTCTCTCTCCCTCTTTCTCTCTTGCTTACACACACGCACACACACAAAGAGCTATCCTTACTACTTCTCCCTATTTTCATTTTCATGTCTCCTAAAAAGAAACAAGAAGCATTTCAGCAAATTAAGACAGGCAAGCCACACTAAATGCCACAGTATAAATAGCCGTCATAAAATATATTTTAAGAAATGTGCTAATTACAGGACCCATCCAACCGAGGCTGTTGTATGATTCCATGCATAAATCCCGTGTCCACCTCTACATCCCTCAAGCCTGGGAGGCGGGCACAGGAGTCACCCTTTCCTCCTGCACCCTTAAGCACAAGCTTGTCACTTCCACATCACACAATAGAAACCACATGTGGAAGTCCAGAGCATGTGATAAAAACATAGTACCATCAACTGTCATTCTAATATAACTGAAAAAAGCAAAGTCAAAGTTTTAAAATGTGCTCACCCAATATTCTATCACAGAAACATGCCCACAACTCCTCTGGGTGTGACGCTCTTGGCCCAACCCTGGGCCACTGGCTGCTCCCAAGAAGTCTTAGTTCTCCTTCACTTATGAAGCTTAGTTTGGCTGGATATGAAATTCTGGGTTGAAAATTCTTTCCTTTAAGAATGTTGAAAAACACATGAAAAAATGCTCACTATCACTGGCCATCAGAGAAATGCAAATCAAAACCACAATGAGATACCATCTCACACCAGTTAGAATGACAATCATTAAAAAGTCAGGAAACAACAGGTGCTGGAGAGGATGTGGAGAAATAGGAACACTTTTACACTGTTGGTGGGACTGTAAACTAGTTCAACCATTGTGGAAGTCAGTGTGGCGATTCCTCAGGGATCTAGAACTAGAAATAACATTTGACTCAGCCATCCCATTACTGGGTATATACCCAAAGGACTATAAATCATGCTGCTATAAAGACACAGGCACACGTATGTTTATTGCGGCACTATTCACAATAGCAAAGACTTGGAACCAACCCAAATGTCCAACAATGATAGACTGGATTAAGAAAATGTGGCACATATACACCATGGAATACTATGCAGCCATAAAAAACAATGAGTTCATGTCCTTTGTAGGGACATGGGTGAAATTGGAAATCATCATTCTCAGTAAACTATCGCAAGGACAAAAAACCAAACACTGCATGTTCTCACTCATAGATGGGAACTGAACGATGAGAACACTTGGACACAGGAAGGGGAACATTACACACCAGGGCCTGTTGTGGGGTGGGGGTAGGGGGTAGGGATAGCATTAGGAGATATACCTAATGCTAAATGACGAGTTAATGGGTGCAGCACACCAACATGGCACATGTATACATATGTAACTAACCTGCACATTGTGCACATGTACCCTAGAACTTAAAGTATAATAATAATAAAATAAAATAAGAAGTCTTAGTTCTCCCTTTACATTGCTTGTCTGGCTTCATGTCCATTCAGATTTCCAAAATTCCACCTGGAATGGGAAAGGAATGAAAGGAGCACCAGTGCCTCCCACGTGTAGATGCAGGGCCAGCCGCCTTCCTCCCATTAGCTCTGCAATAATCCACTGCCACGGGCAGGTGTTGCTTCCTGGTGATGGCTGGAGAACTCAGGATCTGAAGTTAAAAATGTTACCCAGATCACATTCTAGTCAGTGACACAGCTACGACTGGGATCTGGATTTGTCCAACTTCCAAATGCTCATGCTTTCCACATCATCTCCTATTTCGACAAGTTTATCAAGCAGTTTCTCTAAGTAACTCAGATTTTTAAAGTGACTTTATTTCAATATAGCCAACACAGGTAGCCAAAGTGCAAAGGCTGGGGTGAAGACAATTTCTTGTGGGGCCGAAAGCTCCTAAATTAGTGCCTTTTAATCAGAGCTTTACCTGGCCAGAGCCTCCTCAGACCCAGCTGCCCATTGGCCTCTCTGTGCTCTCTCTGGCCCCAGCAGAACTCCTGCCCTCTTCCTAATGCCCGCCACCTTGCAGGTCCTGGCAACCAAAACCAAAGGATGGTGGCCCTTCCCCTATTTTCTATCACTGCAAAAAAATATATATATACATGTCATCAAAATTATAGGCCAAACATTAATTTACAAAGTGTTTCATTTTATCATCTCCAAAGCACCTGCCCATTGGAGATATCATTTTATTTATTCTTTCCATCTTCTTTAGGGCTTTCTGAGTCACACCAAGCAAATAATGGTTAGAACCAAAAGGACAAGTCAGAGAATGAAATGGGGACATGGGAGATAAAGCTATAAATAAAAAGCCTCAGAACTGTCCTTCACTATCCAAGACATCGATTTACTTTTAAATATTAAGTAGCAATTATCTCCTTGACCTACAAAAAGTAGAAAAGTGTTAAGGAACTTGCCAAGCATAGCAAAGAAAACAGCGTGGTACGTTCAGAAATATAAGCCATTAACAAGTCACTCACTAAGCCAAGTTGGGTTATGGTGGCAAAACAATAACGAATTTTCATTGATTTGTTCATTATGTAAATTACATTTTCACTGGGTATTTGACGTGTGCTAGGCACTGTGCTTTATCAGTGCTCTAGGGAGGAACAAGAAGCCCAAATATTTTGTCTGTCTCTACTATTCAGAACCATCTTTCATCCAGCAGTTGAATAAGAGCTATTAGGTTAGAGCTATTAAGTCAAATACTTTTGAAAATTTTCATCTAAATTTCCATCTTTTTTTCTGAAAGGTAGCATAGTGCTATTTTCAAACCCCTTTATGAGAGCCCAAAGTTGATACCAATGTCTTTGATATTCATTTCTAACAAGAGAGCAGCAGGAAGTGCACGGAGTGGCACTCAAAACCAATCCCAGTTGATGTATCCATTGCCTAACTGGTTGTGCAAATGATACATAATAACAAATGGCCCCAGGGTGGCTCGAGGACAATTGCCTTAGTTGGTAATATGGGACGGACGTATGTGTCCTTTCAAAATGCATATGTTAAAGTCTTCACCACCAATGTGGCTGTATTTGGAGTAAGGAAGAAACTAAGGTTAAATGAGGCCATGAGGGTGGAGCCCTGATCTGATGGGATTAGTGTCCCTATAAAAAGAGACTCCAGAGTTCTCTCCTTCCCCTGCCACGTGGGGACACAGCAAGAAAGCAGCTGCCCAAATCAGCTAGAACCTGATCTTGGACCTCCAGCCTCCAGAACTGTGAGAAATAAATGTCTGCTGTCTAAGCCACCTGATCTATGGTATTTTGGTGTCGTTGCCTGAGAAAATAAGACAGTGGTATTTTGTCATTCTTCCCATTTAAATCTGTAAGTTACAGCAGAGCTTAGATTACACAGTCGCACGTTACTGGTAACTTCCTCACAGCAGAAATTACCCATTGTTTTGCGTCAGTTCTAGTGTTACATAGAGTTAATTCTCTTCCATTCAAAGACTGGGTCACTCCTAATGTCTAATGGCTGGCAATCTAGCGTATAAAGAAAACAACATCAAGGAAAGTGATGGAAATGTTTGCAATAACATCACTCTCTTGTTGGCCTAATACATTAATATTTTAAAACTCTGCAGATGCTTCCTAGATCCTGTTTTTATATCTCAGGTTTAATTTGCATTTATAGTATCCTTTCCTCAGGCCTTCAAGTGTAGGGGATTGGCATGGAAGGGTGAGTTAGAAAAGAGTTGGAAGGAGGTCAGAGGTTAACAACATCCAACCACTTTTTTTTTATATGATCGTCTTGAGAATTGCTGATTAATTGTAGTAAATGAGATTGTAGGCGTATGTAATTTATATATTGCATATTTGGCCTTATTTAACTATACTGGTTTCTAAAAACTTAAATAAACCTAAACTTTATATGCATATATAAGTATGATCATGAAATTACTATTCGATATGTCTATGAAATATGACCTTACTAAGGAACACTATTTAGATATCAAAATTGAGCACAGCGATATGATGGTACATACTAATGATGGTTTTCCTTTCTGTATGAAATATTTCAAGCATACCATCATTCTTCATTGCTTTTTCATATTTGCCATATTGGTTTTATATCACTCTTTAAAGTATCCTCAGTCCCACTAACCCTCTCTCCCTCCCTTCCTAAACATAATCTCTCACTTGAATTGATGTTTATCATCTCCATTCATATGTTTAATGATTTTACTATAAATGCATGTTTTCATAAAACATATTGAGTGTTGGTTTTGAAGGTCTTAAAGTCTTACATAAATGATATCATACTGCAATGCTCTGTTTTTTAGATTTATCCATATTCATGCATGTGGCTCTGGTACATTCACCTTGCTGTATAATATTAACATTTTATGAATATAGCACAATTTATTCATTTTCCTGTTGACAAATATATAGGATGTTTCCCATTTCTTGTTATCACAAACAATATTTTTATAAGCATTTTTCATCTCTGTGTACATGTGCACAAGTTTCCATTGGCATGTACTTAGAAATGGAATTAGTAGATTGTAGATTATGCACATTTTGAACTTTATTAGAGAATGCAAAATTATTTTACAAAGTGGTTATACCAGTTTGTACTCCCATCACAGGGCATGTGAGTTTTTATGCTCCACATCCTAACACTTGGAATTGTCAGATTTTTACATTTTTGCCAGTTGAAGAATGTGAAACGGAATCTCACTTGGGTTTTAATGTGAACTTCTCTGAGGACTAGTGATGTCGATTATTTTCATGTTGGTTCCTCTCCTGTGACTTGTTTGTTCATATTCTTTATCATCTTCCTAGTGAGTTTCTGGTCTGCAGCTTACTGCTTTGAAGGAGTTTGGGGTTTTTAAAGTTATTCTCAACACCGCTCATTTATCAGTTATAGGTTTTACAAATATCTCTCATTCTGTAGTTTATGTATGGAAATTTTTGTTTTAAATATAGACAATTTGATGTGCATTCTTCCCATGGCTTGTGTTTTTTGTGTCTTTATTTAAATCCCTCCCTATACTGGGATTAGATATTCTCCAATATTTTCATCTCAAATTTGAAATTTTGCTTATATCTTTACCTGGAATGTATCTCAGCGTATGGTGTAAAGTAAAAGCCTAATTTTAATATTTTGCATATGGATATCCAATTTATTAAATGGTCTATCATTTCCATCTAATTGATAATGCTACTTTGCTGTAAATTGTTACCATTATGCATGACTTGGTTTATAAAGCAACGTTTACCCTCGAGCTACGTCTTGAAAGTATGCCCTCCACACTGTTCTTCAGAATCGTCTTCTCCATTCTTAGTCCTGTAGTTTTCCAAGTGTTTTAATTCACTTATTAAATAAAAAAACTCTTTAGCAATCAGATTGCAGTGATATTGTATTTGTAGATTTAGTGGGAACAGACATTGCTAGAGCCTTTCCATCTATGAAAATGGTAACTCTCCATTTATTTACATTTTTGTCTGTGGCTTTTGAGAAAGTTGTAAATTTTCTCCATAAAGGTTTTATATGTCCTTTGTTGAACTTGTTCCCAAGTACCATAGAGTTATCTATCTTTGTTTCAGTCAGGCTTTTTGGCAATTATAAATACCATATTATTTAGTTTAACTTTCTGATTGGTGGGTTTTTAACGGAATTAAATTGATTTTCATACATACATATTTTATCCAGAATTCTTACTGAACTTTCTTATTTTAAAACTTGTCAATAGGTTAGTTTCGGGTGTCGATATAGAAAATCACATCATTTGCAATTAACAGCTTAGTTACTTCTAATTCTTATGCATTTTTTCTCTTTACAAACTTACTGCACTGTCCACGGACCCCATCAAAGCCATTTGTATAAAGTTCACAAACAGAAGAAACTGAAACACTTAGGAATGCATAGTAAGATAATGAAAGTATGAAGAGGCTGGGCGCGGTGGCTCACATCTGTAATCCCAACACTTTGGGAGGCCAAGGCTGAGGGATCATGAGGTCAGGAGTTTGAGACCAGCCTGACCAACATGGTGAAACCCCGTCTCTACTAAAAATACAAAAATTAGCTGGGCATGGTGGCACGTGCCTGTAATCCCAGCTACTCAGGAGGCTGAGGCAGGAGAATCGCTTGAACCCAGGAGGCAGAAGTTGCAGTGAGCCGAGATCGGGCCACTGCACTCCAGCCTGGGCAACAAAGTAAGATGCTGTCACAGAAAAAAAAAAAAAAGAAAGAAAAAAGAAAATAAACTATGAAGAAAAGTAAGCACATAATATCCTGAAAGCCAGGATAATGTTTATCTTTATGGAAATAATTCATCTCAGTATTGGAATAAAATATTTGGCAACATATTTAGAAAGGTCACTTCCCCCAATGGAAAGAAAGTGGATTTAACTATTTTCACCAAATTCTAATATTCTGTGAGAGAGTGTAGGAATGCAATGTATTAGGAAAATTATTTGCTCTTTTAGCCAGGAGTCATCTATCAATACCTTACTTTATATTTTCCATGCTGCTTAGCTGCATCTCAGTTTTTATTTTAAATAGTACTACTGCATGGTCTCAATTGGCCTTTATCTTGTATTTGAAATTGTACAGCAAACAAGTGAAAACTGTCATCCCCATAGGTCAGACTTAACTATCAATTTCTATTTTTACTTCTCATAAGACAGATAAGCTCTCTAACTAATCATCCCTTCTTCCCTGCTCTACATTGTCTGCAGAGTTGGTGGATTGGAAGGTAATTCTACAAATGACAGAAGTAGGAACATCATATCTAAGATTCATAGATTAATAAAAGGAGGCTTATCCCACTGTTTCTTAGGTGAATTCCATCCCAATTATACAGGTTCTTCAGAGATCTCAGCTCTGGCTAAGGAATTATACTAAAGCTACATCCCCAAAACTAAGCTATTAACTTCTCTGGACACAGGCAGCTATAAAATGTCCTACGGGCAGAGACTTGGGCACAATTTCTAGTATTCATCTGACTCTAAAAATAACTTGCCTAATTATATAAACATAGTACTGCTTTTCTAATGGATATTAGCGGTTTAATTATTTGAGTCAAGTCAGAAGAAGATGTGTAATTGCATTCACTGCCACAAACTTGCTTGGATTCAACATTTGTTGACTGTCTGCTACATGAAGGATGACATCAGTTCATTACTGCAATTTCTCTCCCTTGGCAAACTGTAATGAACTATGAAGCTTCATCAATTCAACGTGTTCTCTTTGTGGGCTTTATTTAGCATGCCAACTTGATCAGCAAGATTCTCTTCTAAATGACATCCTAAAGGTCCTTCTGAAAGTGAACCTCAAAGTTAGAAGCAGGACATATAACATCATTGACTCCCTCTCTAGTGCCCAGATGGTTACAATAAACACTCTAACCTTCATGCAGTCACAATGCTTGTAACTTTCTAAAATTGAACGTTTTCAGCTGCATCCCGCCTTCCTCATCCACACATCCACCGTCTTCCTTTAGACACATGCCAGGGGAGTTGCTGAGGAGGAGGGAAAGAACTACACTGCGGCATCCAGCACCATCTGCAGCTGCTTGTTATATATGCATTGGATTTCTGATCCCAGGATAGGCATAGCTGACTTCCTCTCATGTGGAGCCATTTCTCTAAGATTCCAACATGGCAAGTGAAAAAAACAGAATCATGAACCCATTTTTAATTCATAGAAAGTGTCTATTTCCTCGCCGCAAGTTGCCCAGGAACTTTAATTTGGGCTCTGAAAATTTAGGCCTTATCTTAAAGTTAAATAGACAGTGATGGTTGAAAACAGTGAAATTACTATTGAATCACAGACAGATCTTATTATAGAGTGTGATAGAGTAAATACTGTAGGGAGACAGGTAATAATTTACACCTGTTATGTACTCAGTAAATATTTGTTGAATGTAATAACTTGGGAAGGAGTGTGAATAAAAGCAGTTCTTTTCACTCGCTCCTAGCTGTAGTTTCTCCTGTGTTTCTCAGTATTGAACCCTGTCCTCCAACAGACTTTCTAAGGACATGCATTAGCCCCACAAGGGATTCTCCTCTCATTACAATGTGATTTGTCATTCTGTACACTGCACCAATGGGAGAGTGAGCACACAATTATCTACCTCAGGGTGAAATCCTGATGGCCTTGATTTAAGGTTCAGAACTCTTATGGAATATTTTCCCAGAAAATTAGCCCTGTTAATGTTTCTGGAGGAAAGAGAGGAGACAGGGAGTGTGCAGACACAATATATCTTTGTGCATTAAGAGTGTTACTGTGTGTTTGTCATTGCAAGCTAGTAAATCCACACTCTACTCTATCACCCTGCAAGTTTTTATACAGGGACGAGTACTGCTGAGTTGCATTCTACTTGTACTACATCAGAAACTGTTATTTTCATCCCTCATTGATTTCTTTGGAGAACTCCATTTTGGGTTGTAGGACATGAAGATTGTTATCATATTAAGAAGTGTAGAGTTGCTTACTCAGAGAGTAATATCATTGCTCAGCATGGAATGCCAGGATAAACAACAGTAACCTTTTGGCATTGATCACCTGGGATGTCCCGCAGGCAGGCAGCATATTCCCAAGTCCAAGGCAGGATGGTTCCTGTCCTGCAGTCAGTGCTGCTCCGTCTGACCGCTAAGAGATCCATAGATTCCTTAGCTCAGACAGAGTGCTGCCTCTGCCCACACTAAGATCACAGTTTCAACAGTCCCTGGGTTAGGTTGTGTGAGTCTTGAAGGCAGTGAGGATCTGGGCTATCCCCCATGTATACAGAACAATGCCTTTTATACCCTAGGAACTTAATGAGAGTTTTGTACATGAATGAATGAACGCATGAATGTAGACCCCATAGACACATTTTCTGCTGTGTAGCTCCTTCTGCTAGCTGCAGTTTCTCAGGGAGATGGACACACATCACCTGGTTGATTCAGGGCAGATACAAACAGGGAAAGTCTTCCCGCCCTGACCAAATATCTGTCATTACCCTGGAGTCTGTCATCTAGTCATGACTTTCAAAGGGGGATATTAATCTATTTCAATGAGCACTTTCTGAGTAAGTCTTTTTTATGAGCAAAGGAACATGTTTTGGGGACACAATGGTGAATACAAACTCACCCATCCTGCACCAGGGTATAAACCTTCTTCCCCAAGCGTCTGCCTCTCCTGGTTTAGGCTCTCTCAGGGCCATTTCTCACTGGGCTCCCCACCACTCCCCTGACCCCTGTCCTGACTATGCCCCACCTCACTCCTCTCACCCTATATGTGGATGAAGAGTTATTTCCTAAAGCGGGGACATCCTTTTGACCTTTCCTCTGCTTTGATTCCAGATTCTCTGGTGACTCCTGAGCTGTGAGAGGCGGATGGGAGACTCCAGGGTTCTCAGCACTGGGCCTGACGGCCAGTGGCACCATCCAGGGACCTGCTGGAAATTCAGATTCTGATGTCCGGACAAGATGGCCAAATAGGAACAGCTCAGGTCTGCAGCTCCCAGTGAGACTAATGCAGAAGGTGGGTGATTTCTGCATTTCCAACTGAGGCACCGGGTTCATCTCATTGGGACTGGTTAGACAGTGGGTGCAGCCCATGGAGGGTGAGCAGAAGCAGCGTGGGACGTCACCTCACCTTGGAAGTGCAAGGGGTCAGGGAACTCCCTCCCCTAGCCAAGGGAAGTCATGAGGGACTGTGCCATGAACGACAGTGCTATTTAGCCCAGACACTATGCTTTTCCCACAGTCCTCACAACTCACAAACCAGGAGATTCCCTCGGGTGCCTACACCACCAGGGCCCTGGCTTTCAAGCACAAAACTAGGCGGCCATTTGGGCAGACACTGACCTAGCTGCAGGAGTTTTTTTTCGTACCCCAGTGGCACCTGGAACACCAGCAAGACAGAACCTTCACTCCCCTGAAAAGGGGGCTGAAGCCAGGGAGCTGAGTGGCCTTGCTCAGTGGATCCCACCCCCACAGAGTCCAACAAACTAAAATCCACTGGCTTGAAATTCTCACTGCCAGCACAGCAGTCTGAAGTCGACCTGGGACACTCTAGCTTGGCGAGGAAAGGGGCATCTGCCATTACTGAGGACTGATAGGTGGTTTTCCCCTCACAGTGTAAACAAAGCCACCTGGAAGTTCAGACTGGGTGGAGCCCACCACAGCACCACAAAGCCACTGCAGCCAGACTGCCTCTCTAGATTCCTCCTCTCTGGGCAGGGCATCTCTGAAAGAAAGGCAGCAGCCCCAATCAGGGGCTTATAGATAAAACTCCCATCTCCCTGGGATAGAGCACCTAGGGGAAGGGGTGGCTGTGGGCGCAGCTTCAGCAGACTTAAACATTCCCGCCTGCCAGCTCTGAAGAGAGCAGCGGATCTCCCAGCACAGCGCTCGAGCTCTGCTAAAGGATAGACTGCCTCCTCAAGTGTGTCCCTGACCCCCGTGCCTCCTGATGGGGAGACAGACACCTCCCAGCAGGGGTCGACAGACACCCTATAAAGGAGAGCTCTGGCTGGCATCTGGCAGGTGCCCCCTTGGGACTACGCTTCCAGAGGAAGGAGCAGGCAGCAATCTTTGCTGTTCTGCAGCCTCTGCTGGTAATACCCAGGCAAATAGGGTCTGGAGTGGACCTCCAGCAAACTCCAGCAGACCTGCAGAAGAGGGGACTAACTGTCAGAAGGGAAACTAACAAATAGAAAGGAATAGCATCAACATCAACAAAAAGAACAATCACGCAAAAACCCCTTCCAAAGGTCACCAACATCAAAGACCGAAGGTAGATAAATCCATGAAGATGAGGAAAAACCAGTGCAGAAAAGGCTGAAAATTCCAAAAATCAGAATGCCTCTTCTCCTCCAAAGGATCATAACTCCTTGCCAGCAAGGGAAAAAACTGGACAGAGAATGAGTTTGACAAATTGACAGAAGTAGGCTTCAGAAGGTGGGTAATAACAAACTTCTCAGAGCTAAAGGAGCATGTTCTAATCCAACGCAAGGAAGCTAAGAACCTTGATATAAGGTTACAGGAACTGCTAACTAGAATAAGCAGTTTAGAGAAGAACATAAACGACCTGATGGAGCTGAAAAACACAGCACAAGAACTTTGTGAAGCATATACAAGTATCAATAGCTGAATTGATCAAGCAGAAGAAAGTATATCAGAGATCAAAGATCAACTAAAT
This sequence comes from Homo sapiens, assembly GCF_000001405.40. Taxonomy (NCBI): domain Eukaryota; kingdom Metazoa; phylum Chordata; class Mammalia; order Primates; family Hominidae; genus Homo; species Homo sapiens. The sequence continues at coordinate 74,054,682 of NC_000018.10, forward strand.
GAAATAAAGTATGAAGACAAGATTAGAGAAAAAGGAATGAAAAGGAATGAACAAAGCCTCCAAGAAATATGGGACTATGTAAAAAGACCAAACCTATGCTTGATTGGTGTACCTGAAAGTGACAGGGAGAATGGAACAAAGTTGGAAAACACACTTCAGGATGTTATCCAGAACTTCCCCAACCTAGCAAGATAGGCCAACATTCAAAATTCAAAAAATACAGAGAACACCACAAAGATACTCCTCGAGAAAAGCAACCCCAAGACACATAATCATCAGATTCATCAAAGTTGAAATGAAGGAAAAAAAATTTTAAGAGCAGCCAGAGAGAAAGGTCGGGTTACCCACAAAGGGAAGCCCATCAGACTATAAGCCAGAAGAGAGCGGGGGCCAATATTCGACATTCTTAAAGAGAAGAATTTTCAACCCAGAATTTTATATCCAGCCAAAGTAAGCTTCATAAGTGAAGGAGTAATAAAATCCTTTACAGACAAGCAAATGCTAATGGATTTTGTCACTACCAGGCCTGCCTTACAAGAGCTCCTGAAGGACGCACTAAATATGGAAAGGAAAAACCGGTACCAGCCATTGCAAAAACATACCAAAATGTAAAGACCCATTGACACTATGAAGCAACTGCATCAACTAATGGGCAAAATAACCAGCTAGCATCATAATGACAGGATCGAATCCATACATAACAATATTAACCTTAAATGTAAACAGGTTAAATGCCCCAATTAAAAGACACAGACTGGCAAATTGAATAAAGAGTCAATATCCATCAGTGTGCTGTATTCAGGAGACCCATCTCATGTGGAAAGACACACATAGGCTCAAAATAAAGGGATGGAGGAAGATTAACCAAGCAAATGGAAAGCAAAAAAAAGCAGGGATTGCAGTCCTAGTCTCTGATAAACCAGAGTTTCAACCAACAACAACAAAAAAAGACAAAGGGCATTACATAATGGTAAAGGGATCAATGCAACAAGAAGAGCTAACTATCCTAAATACATATGCACCCGATACAGGAGCACCCAGATTCATAAAGCAAGTCCTTAGAGACATAAAAAGAGACTTAGATACCCACACAATAATAGTGGGAGACTTTAACACTCCAATGTCAATATTAGACAGAATGACGAGACAGAAAATTAACAAGGATATTCAGGACTTGAACTCAGCTCTGGACCAAGCAGACCATCTACAGAACTCTCCACCACAAATCAACAGACTATACATTCTTCTCAGCACCACATCACACTTATTCTAAAGTAGACCACATAATTGGAAGTAAAACACTCCTCAGCAAGTGCAAAAGAATGAATCATAACAAACAGTCTCTCAGACCACAGTGCAATCAAATTAGAACTCAGGATTAAGAAACTCACTCGAAACCACACAACTACATGGAAACTGAACAACTTGCTCCTGAATGACTACTGGGTAAATAACAAAATTAAGGCAGAAATAAATAAGTTCTTTGAAGCCAGTGAGAACAAAGACACAATGTACCAGAATGTCTGAGACACAGCTAAAGCAGTGTTTAAAGGGAAATTTATAGCACTAAATGCCCACAGGAGAAAGCAGGAAACATCTAAAATTGACACCCTAACATCACAATTAAACGAACTAGAGAAGCAAGAGCAAACAAATTCAAAAGCTAGCAGAAGACAAGAAATAACTAAGACCAGAGCAGAACTGAAGGAGATAGAGACATGAAAAACCCTTCAAAAAAAATAAATGAATCCAGGAGCCGGTTTTTTGAAAAGATTAACAAAATAGATAGACTGCTAGCCAGATTAATAAAGAAGAAAAGAGAGAAGAATAAAATAGACACAATAAAAAATGATAAAGGGGATATCACCACTGATCCCACAGAAATACAAACTACCATCAGAGAATACTATAAACACCTCTACGCAAATAAACTAGAAAATCTAGAAGAAACTGATAAATTCCTGGACACATACACCCTACCAAGACTAAACCAAGAAGTCGAATCCCTGAATAGACCAATAACAAGTTCTGAAATTGAGGCAGTAATTAATAGCCTACCAACCAAAAAAGCCCAGGACCAGATGGATTCACAGCTGAATTCTATCAAAGGTACAAAGAGGAGCTGGTACCATTCCTTCTGAAACTATTCCATACTATAGAAAAAGAGGGAGTCCTCTCTAACTCATTTTATGAGGCCAGCATCATCCTGATACCAAAACCTGGCAGAGACACAGCAAAAAAAAGAAAATTTCAGGCCAATATCCCTGATGAACATCAATGTGAAAATCTTCAATAAAATACTGGCAAACCAAATCCAGCAGCTCATTAAAAACCTTATCCACCAGGATCAAGTTGGCTTCATCTCTGGGATGCAAGGCTGGTTCAACATATGCAAATCAATAAATATAATCCATCACATAAACAGAACCAATGACAAAAACCACATGATTATCTTGATAGATGCAGAAAAGGCCTTCAATAAAATTCAACACCCCTTCATGCTAAAAACACTCAATAAACTAGGTATTGATGGAATGTATCTCAAAATAATAAAAGCTATTTATGACAAACCCACAGCCAATATCATACTGAATGGGCAAAAGCTGGAAGCATTCCCTTCAAAAACCCGCACAAGAAAAGGATGCCCTCTTTCACCACTTCTATTCAACATAGTATTGGAAGTTCTGGCCAGGCAATCAGACAAAAGAAAGAAATAAAGGGTATTCAAATAGGAAGAGAGGAAGTCAGATAATCTCTGTTTGCAGGTGACATGACTGTGTATTTAGAAAACCCCATCGTCTCAGCCCAAAAACTCTTTAAGCTGATAAGCAACTTCAGCAAAGTCTCAGGATACAAAATCAATGTGCAAAAGTCACAAACATTCCTATACACCAATAATAGAGAGCCAAATCATGAGTAAACTCCCATTCACAATTGCTACAAAGAGAATAAAATACCTAGGAATACAACTTACAAGGGATGTGAAGGACCTCTTCAAGGAGAACTACAAACCACTGCTCAAGGAAATAAGAGAGGACACAAACAAATGGAAAAACATCCCATGCTCATGGATAGGAAGAATGAATATTGTGAAAATGGCCACACTGCCCAAAGTAATTTATAGATTCCATGCTATTCCCATCAAGCTACCATTGACTTTCTACACAGAATTAGAAAAAACTACTTTAATCTTCATCTGAAACCAAAAAAAAGGCCCAAATAGCCAAAACAGTCCTAAGCAAAAAGAACAAAGCTGGAGGCAACACACTACCCGACTTCAAACTATACTACAAGGCTACAGTAACCAAAACAGCATGGTACTGGTACCAAAACAGATATATAGACCAATGAACAGAACAGAGGCCTCAGAAATAACACCACACATCTACAATCATCTGATCTTTGAGAAATCTGACAAAAACAAGCAATGGGGAAAGGATTCCCTATTTAATAAATGGTGTTGGGAAAACTGGCTAGCCATATGCAGAAAACTGAAACTGGGCCCCTTCCTTACACCTTATACAAAAATTAATTCAAGATGGATTAAAGATTTAAACCTAAGACCTAAAACCATAAAAACCCTAGAAGAAAACCTAGGCAGTACCATTCACGAGATAGGCATGGGCAAAGACTTCATGACTAAAACACCAAAAGCAATGGCAACAAAAGCCAAAATTGACAAATGGGATCTAATTAAACTAAACAGCTTCTGCACAGCAAAAGAAACTACCATCAGAGTGAACAGGCAACCTACAGAATGGGAGAAGATTTTTGCAATCTACTCATCTGACAAAGGGCTAATATCCAGAATCTACAAAGAACTCAAACAAATTTACAAGAAAAAAACAAACAACCCCATCAACAAGTGGGCAAAGGATATGAACAGGCACTTCCTCAAAGAAGACATTTATGCAGCCAAAAGACACATGAAAAAATGCTCATCATCACTGGCCATCAGAGAAATGCAAATCAAAACCACAATGAGATACCATCTCACACCAGTTAGAATGGCGATCATTAAAAAGTCAGGAAACAACAGGTGCTGGAGAGGATGTGGAGAAATAAGAACACTTTTACACTGTTGGTGGGACTGTAAACTAGTTCAACCATCGTGGAAGTCACTGTGGCGATTCCTCAGGGATCTAGAACTAGAAATACCATTTGACCCAGCCATCCCATTACTGGGTATATACCCAAAGGATTATAAATCATGCTGCTATAAAGACACATGCACACATATGTTTATTGCGGCACTATTCACAATAGTGAAGACTTGGAACCAACCCAAATGTCCAACAATGATAGACTGGATTAAGAAACTATGGCACATATACTACGTGGAATACTATGCAGCCATAAAAAATGATGAGTTCATGTCCTGTGTAGGGACATGGATGAAGCTGGAAACCATCATTCTCAGCAAACTATCACAAGGTCAAAAAACCAAACACCACATGGTCTCACTCATAGGTGGGAATTGAACAATCAGAACACATGGACACAGGAAGGGGAACATCACACACCAGGGCCTGTTGTGGGGTAGGGGGAGTGGGGAGGGATAGCATTAGGAGATATACCTAATGTTAAATGATGAGTTAATGGGTGCAGCACACCAACATGGCACATGTATACATATGTAACAAACCTGCACATTGTGCACATGTACCCTAAAACTTAAAGTATAATAAAAAATAAAAATAAAAAAGGGATAACCTGAAGGTTTGAGGTGTTTCATGTGTGAAATCAATTAAACTGGACACGGTCACATATTTATTTAGAAAAAGAAATTATAGCAAACTATATAAAATATGAAGTCTTTTAATATTTTTTCCCAAAATTGTGCTCCTGAAATGGTGGGTATGAACCTTTCTGCCTGTTGTATAGAACTCAGAAATGCGTCATTGCCTCTGGCAACATACACCAAGTATTTATGGCATCTATGAAAGTGTCCTAACTAAAGAGTGCCAGTAGCCAGGTGTGGTGGCACACGCATATAATTCCAGCACTATGGAAGATCAAGCAAGAGCATCACTTGAGCCCAGGAGTTCAAAACCATCCTGGACAACATAGGGAGGCCCCCATCTCTACAAAAAATAGAAAAATTAGCTTAATGTGGTGACATCCACCTGTAGTCTCAGCTACTCAGGAAGCTGACATGGGAAGATCACTTGAGCTGGGGAGGTTGAGGCTGCAGTGAGCCATGATCGAACCACTGCACTACGACAGAGCAAGACTCTGTCTCAAAAAAAAAAGAGTGCCAGTAGATAAGGTATAGGCTATGTAAGCAGCATGCATGGATTGAAAAAATAAAGAATCATACTGGGATTACTGATATGGATATTGTTATACCCATATCAATAATATCTATGAGTAAAAGACTTTGTAACAAGAATATTAAAATATTTGGATTATTTAGGCAAAGAAGAGGAAAACACTGGGCCTTGCAAGAAAGGAGCCTGCCCATTCCACTTTCCCCTGGGCCCTCCTCAGCTCCGGGCCACCTTGCCTGGTGTCTTTTTGGCCTCTACCCAAAGCCGAACCCCAGCTCTTTCTTTTTCTCCAGTTCTCATCCTACTTGTACTTGTGGCTCCCTCTGTCTACAGCTCTCCTGGCCCTGTGATTTATCTCCTACCTTCTCCTTTCCACACACTTGTTGAGGACTTGCTATGCTTTGAGATCAACTGTTATGCTCAATACTTAAAAAATAGGCTGTATTGAATACTGAAAAGGAAGCTGCATTTTCCCCACGTTCTTCCCTTTTCTTTCCTTTCTTTTTCCTTATGCTTTTCTCCTACCTGGATAACCTCAGTTTTACAAAACAAAAATCAACCCATATTTCAAAGTGAGGTAGAAGGCACAACTTGACTCCAGAGGTGGAGCTTGGACACCAGACCAAATTGAGGACTAGCTAAAATAGGGAAGAAGCAGACGCACCTCTCCTAAGACACACCCACCAGTGTGGATGTCAGTTTACCATTGCCATAGCAACATGCAGAAGCCACTGCCCCTTTCCATGGCAACAACCTGGTGACCCAGATGTTACCCCCCTTTTTCTAGAAATGTCTGCACAATCTGCTCCTTAGTTTGCATGTAATTTAAAGTGGGTATAAACACGGCTGCAGAAGGGCCTTTGAGCAGCTACTCTCAGTGCACCACCTGTGGGTAGCCCTGCTCTGCAGATGCAGTCACGGAGCTGTAACTGCCACCTCAATAAAGCTGTTTTCTTCTACCACCAGCTTACCCTTGAATTCTTTCCTAGCTGAAGCCAATAACCCTCCTGGGTTAAGCCCCAAGTTGGGGCTCACCTGCCCTGCATCAAAGGCCCATGGAGACTTTTTCATTCCCTCCTCAGACCTCATCCCCCTTCTTCCCTCCACAGAGAACAGAACTGGGACACGGCACACGTCATGGTCTGCTTCTCTGGTCATCCATGTCTTCTCCTCTTGGAATCCAAAGTAGCCAGGGTGTTGCCTTATGCTGAAGAAGCACAAAATAAATGCCTGCTGGCTTTCCTTCTTAGGGTCCCTGGCTATTGTTAGGGGAAGAACAGTTTTCTTGCCTGTGTTTTAGAATGAGTGGCACGAAATGCGAGCAAGAGCCTGCTACTTAAGTGTAAAGTATCAGCTGCAGCTCACAGAGAATGCATACATCTAAAACCCAGAGCTCATGCTGAAATCTGAAACAAAGGGCTTACATTCGTCTGCTACACGATCCTCTCACCATTTTCATGGGGAGACTAGAGCATTTAAAATAATTGAAGGTAATCCTAAGTATTCTGTCCGAAAAGCCATATTTAACTCCTGATACAAGAACAAGTTTCAAACCCATATTCACAATTAAGGGAACGATTTTCTCACATCCACAGATGGGGACAGGGGAGATTCTGCACACAGAAGTAATATTCTCTGTTGCTATTAGGATTTTCATAAATCACAGTGATTAAAATGCATGGTTATACTTCCTAATTTAATAACACCCTGAGGAATAAAAGTGATGGGAACATAAACCATGAGACTATAATGCATTGTCTGCCTCCAGAATAAAACTTTCAACATTTTCCTAATGCCAGTGTGGCAGGTTTTCCGTTTTTTGCCCCTCCATGAAACAAAGTTTTACCATCTGGGGACTGGGGACTTTTTTATACAGTATAGCTTTGAGAATCTCTTTTTACAACAGTTATAGATGTACCATAATTATCTCCTTGTGAAAGAGAAGAGCAAACGCCTACAATTTCAGGTCAGGCATCACGCAGGTCTCTTTCAGCTGTCCATGGAGCCCTTACTAAATAGATACATCAGCACAGTCATTTTACAGGGCTGCCACAGAAATGCATTTCTCCGGCATGGCCATTCATTCCACTTAAGCAAAACCAATAATAGGGCAAATTCACAATTTAGCTGCAAAACAGTGGCCAACAGAATCTTATTACGGAAAGAAAGTATCTTGTTCTGGGAAAATGGGTAGATGGGGTCTATAAATCTGTAAGCAAGCAGACAGCCACTTAGTATCTTATTCCAAGACAACAGCAATTCTTGCCTAATAGTGCAAAGATCAGTGTGTATTGCACAAACACAAGAATCGGGGGCAATATAAGACCGCTGGGATGTAGGCTGTATGTAAATAAAACATTGAATCATTTTTATGGCTGGCTCCAGAGTCTAGTTACATCAGAATTTAATAGTAGAATTAATGTAACCATGAACTAAATTTCTCATTTTAAAATATTTTATTATAGCAACATTAATAAAATTACAAATAAAATGTACTTAGAATCTCTTGACTTCAACAAATCAAATTGCGTTTATTTGTCCATTATTACTTCTAGTCTCTTATTAAAATATCTAACTTTTGCTTAGCTTAAAGAATGCTGCAGTTAAGAAGTACTTGATATTTTAAATCAATACAGAATGTTTAGAATGTTTTAACCTTACTATTTTAACCTTGAGGATGTTTAGGCTCTATTTATCAATAAAATATTTTTCTCAGAATTATAGCAAGATGAAATGCCATTAAAGCAACTTGATCGTTTGATTAATTACCAAGACTGCATAAGTGAACTGTTTTCAGTTTTTCCTTTTCACTGGGACCAGTTCTCATCCATGTAAATTTCACAATATAAATTTGATTCATTGATTTTTTTTGATCCCTATCAAATTTTACCAATCAACATGTCTGCCCCTGAGCATTTTCTGAAATGACCATTATTTCTTCCCAGGCTAATGTTCTTATGTGAAGTTTTAACTACTCTCAGTTTTACTTTAGATTGGTTATTTCCACCAAGTCTAGTTTTTTTTTTAAATAATGCACCCAACAAACATCATTGTGGCTAAAATGGCAGAGTTAAATGCCCTGTTCTCTTTATATATACATCATATAATAAGACTTTCCTTTTGTTTTTCACAGAGTTGATTGTAGATGACTAAGATGTCCCTTACAGCCCTAACTGAGAAGATAGGGCACTGTCTGCTTAGATGCAACATAGATTGTTCCTCCAGCTTTTTTAGTTGAAGCTTTGAGGCCCATCTCCTCTTCCTCTTTAAAAACAACTGAGATGAGGCCGGGCGGGGTTAGACTTATTCTATGAACCCCCAGTAGGGGGAAATAAGACCAATGAGTCATATTTTTCTGAAACTTACTTATGGGCAGGTGTCGCCTCTGGGCTGATTCAACTTGGAGAGGAATATTCCAGCAAGAGTTATCAAAGGAGAGAGTATGTTTCCTAAGAAAAGTGAGAGTCCTATTTCTAAAAAAGTAAAAGAATGGTTCCCAACTTGAGTGCCCGTCAGAGATGACGGAACATGGAAATACTGCCCATATTGTCTTCCTGAAGCTTCCTTACTTTGCTTTCCACATTTAGGGCATGGTATAAGTAGGTCCACTTTTCTTTCTTCCAGATGGCTACACAATTGTCCCGGCATCATTATGAAAATGTCCATCCTTCCCCCACTGCTCTGAGATGCCACCTTTGCCATAAAACAGCTGCCCTTCTCTGTGCGTCTGTTTGAGTTCTGTGTTCTGCCCCATTTGTCTATTTACTCTTTTCTTGCACCAAAGGGCACTCTAATTTCCTGTGGTGTTACACAAAGCCTTCCCATGTGATAGAGCAAGCCCTGTCACCTTCCGCTTCTTCAAAGTGACTTGGTTATTCTCAGTTCTTTGTGTTAGTATATACCAGTTTCATTGATTTAAGACATAGTTCTTTCAAACGGCCTTATCCCTGTTAGGCAGAATAAGCTTCACTGCGTGTGTTTATTTATGCTCTGCTAAATACCTATGTGATGACCTTTCCTTGTGTGTCAAATGTTCATAATCCATCATCCACCGTCCAGCACTATGGGTGCACAGGTGGCAATATGGGACAACAGGCCATGGGCTTTAGAATCAGGTCAATCCTAGCTTTGTCCAGGCCAATCCTAGCTTTGTCCAGTACCAGATGTGCACCTCTGGGCATTTAACCTCTCTGCTCAGTTCCTCATTTTAAATGCCATTTTCATACCAACTGCCCATAGTGTTTTGGGAAGATTTTAAAAAATATAGGTGAAGCTTATTGCATAATGCCTGGCACACAATAAGGTTCCAACTTTTAAAAATGAAAGCTACTATTATTATTTCATGGTGAATTTTTCACTTTCTCCTTTACCAAGATTAAGTCAGTGAGAAATCACAGGTGTTTCATCTTGCATTTCTGGGCACTTTTCTGAACAAAACACATAAAGATTAATGTATTTCTTATAGCCGTTTCACTGACTCAATCATGTGACAGTATGTCAAGCAGTAAACACACATTTTCCTTAGGAGCACCTCTCGGAGTTCATTTTTATCATCACCAGGAGGCCAGAAGGTAAAGTGAGGGGGTTGGCACAGGCCAGCTGTCCAGGCTGAGGCAGGTGAAAGAGGCTGAGGACCTGTGTGCCCCATCCCATGTGACTCTAAAACCTGACAAATCCCCAATGTTTACACATTTCTCAGGGCATGCGCTCATCTCTGCACGCATATTCAGGAACAAACTGACGCCCACAACATCCTGCACAGCTGCAGTGATGGATGTGTGAGCACGCATCCTGCATCCCTGCCAGAGCTTGCATGTTGTGCTGGTGGCAGGGGACCTGACATGGTCTGTGGCTGCACCTTTAACCTGCTTTGCCCACAGCCCAGCCTTTTCTTCTAAGCTCTTCCCCGGGAGCCTGGTGGACCTCCTCGGCTGCAGTGAGCAAAGGAGAGCTGCCATTCAGCTGCTCTCGAACATGCATTTCATTTCCCCATAGCAGCCCTCATTTCTTTGGGTGTCCTACACACTCCCCTCCTTTCTTGCCTTGTGTTTAATTCCCAGAGCAGTGCTTAGTGAACCTGCCTCGCAGCCCCAGGGGCTTCTGCAGCTCGAGATGTACCCAGTAGTGATCTGGCTCATATTCCCCATAGCTCACGGGAACCTAGGGTTACTCCTTGCAGCCACGGAAGACCACAAAATACTCCCTAGCCTGCAGGTAAATGCCATGATATTCCAGGCACCAAAGGTTCACAGGTGCCTGAAACCATCCAATGTGTTAAAGGTACAACCTCTTTCCATTACAAGTATTGGGAAAACAGTTTCCATAGATTTTCCCAGGAGAACATTTTGTTTCTGAAGAAGTTATGATCATTAGACTTAGGTGGATGTTAATGAAAATAAGAGACAACTATGGAGTTACATATAAAAGTCAACTTTCCAAAGGACGGTCAGATCTTTGACTTAATTTTGAATCAGACAAGATTTTGCATCTGGAGTTTACTTGAAATAAAAAACATGTCCTTTTTTTCTACACTAGTGGTAGGTATGCTTTCTTGTAACTCAAACTTGTTTTCTTTGCCAGCTGCATGATTAAGAGTTTGCACCTGTTACTTTTCTTGACTTGATTCAGCTCAATGAGCCCTGCCTCGTGATTTTTTCTTCGTAGTCAAGATACCCCAGCACAATAATTCCTCTTGCTTTGCAAACAAAAAGCTTTATCTCTGACAAAGGAGTATGATTAGTAAATGCTTTCTTTTCATGTGTCTGACAACTGCATTTCACACAATATTAACACACACACAATATTAACACACACAATATTAAGATGGTCAGTCCCCGCAAAAAGCTAGTACTTCTACTGGGTATAATCTGTGAACAGTGATGACACACAGAACTTACATGATGTTAGCATATTTAATCCTTGAGAAATATCTCCCCTTCACCCACTGTGGATTCCTAAAGCCATTAAGTGGAGCAGAGCAAGGCAGTACCTGCAGCTGGTGGGATGAGCGATCCTTAAGGCCCAGGTGGAGTGACTGGGGTGCCTGGTAGAGGAGGCAGGGCTTAGAAGGAGTGGCTGAAAATTGGTTTGTTATTGTATCGTTTTCACATTGCTATAAAGAATTACCTGAGACTGGGTAATTTATGAAGAAAAGAGGTGTAATTGACTCACAGTTCTGCAGGCTTAACAGGAAGCATGACTGGGAGGGCTCCCAGAAGATGAAGGGGAGGCAAGGACCTTCTTCACGTAGTGGCCGGAAAGAGAAAGCGAGGGGGTTAAGTGCCACACTTTTAAACTATCCGATCTCGTGAGAACTCACTCACTATCACGAGAACAGCATGGGGAAACTGGCCCCATGATCCAATCACCTCCCATCAGACCCTTCCCCAGACATATGGGGATTACAATTTGAAATGTGATTTGTGTGGGGACACAAATCCAAACCATATCAGTTTTTTTTAATGCTGTACCCATTTAATGCTTGACCCGATTTTGAGGATAGAGGCTGGTCAGTTCCCTTCCTGAGCAGTTAAGTCCACACCCCAACCAGTTCCCTTATCAGGCTCTCATCGTCAATGTCCACTATGTGCCAGCCTTAATGGCTCCGGGGCCAGGTACCAGACAACTAGGATATGCCCACAGAATTATTCAAGTCAGCCAATCCACAGGGAGGCTGCCAGACCTAGCTAGTCTCCCTCCACATCCAGCTCACCATTAATAGGCTGCTTCTGCAATGCCAGCTTGCTGTTACCCTGTCCCCAGGGGCAACCCCCAAGCAGCCCTATCTGGCAGCCTTCTCTCATTTGGAGCTGCAAGTAACCACGAGTTCTGCCCATCATCCATCCGAATGCCAGGATGTTGTGGGCATGAAAAGTAATCTTTAATCCTATAGGTCAATGGTTGAGTGTGACATTTCTGAGCCTCAGTAGATGAGAGGGCCGCACAAACAGGAGTGGGCGCCCTGAGGCATGAGGGGTGGGGGCCCTGGCATAGTGCAGAGGGTCTCCTTGTGCCTGAGCCTCTCATCACAATCTGTCAGAGCCCAGGAGAGGAAGCGAGGCATCTGCAGGAGAGGTGTGATGGGAGATGGGATGGGATGCCCCGAGGAGGAAAGAGATTCAGGATGATGGGAGTCAGGTGGGCATGCGAGCACCAAGCATCCAAAGGAGAAAACAAGAATGACCTTGTGGTGCTGTGTTGAAACTGAAGATACAGGAGTGAATTCGTGCTTTTCAATATCTGCGGATATATTAAGTTCGTGCATAAGTAATTGCGGTTTTCGCCATTAAAAGTAATGGCAAAACCGCAATTACTTTTGCAACAACCTAAAAAAAGGATATAAGTGAATGTGTAGCATACATATGAGGGGGAATACTTACATTCCTGATGCTGTTCTTGGAGAGGAAGTGAAGCAGTGACACCTCAGTAGGAATGAGCATGCCTGGCACCCACATCTTTGTTTCCAAATACTCTCCACCAGAAGGAAGCCACGCTCTTTGAAGAAAGGCTGATTCCAGGGCTGTGGCAGGGAAAGTACAGGATGAGTCTGAACCACCTTATTCCAGAAAGGAAGTGTCCAGAGAGTGATGGGGGACATATCACTAGCCAGGGCTTCTGCCAGACAGACCTGAGAAAATTTGAGCACAGAAATAAATAATAATGGTAACTGATGACAACCCAGTGAGGAAAAAAAGAAAACCATGATTCTATACTGATAGAAACAAATAAATATGTTAAAAGTTTGCCAATGAATAGGACAGTTACCTAGTTTCAAAGTACCTCCCACAAAATAATCATCACTAAGGTGGGAAAAGTAACCAGAGAAGATGCCAGACACCATTCTCATCCAGGGCCTGCAGGGAACAGTTTGGTAAGGGGACAAATTGAAATCCTATGACCCCGATAGGACACAGTGAGAACACAGCACCACTTCTGCAATATTTTCTGACAAAGATGCTGTATTAGTCCATTCTCATGCTGCCATGAAGAGATACCTGAGACTGGGCAATTTATAAAGAAAAGAGGTTTAATGGACTCACAGTTCTGTATGGCTGGAGAGGCCTCAGGAAACTTACATTCATGGTGGAAGGGGAAGCAAACATGTCCTTCTTCACATGGCAGCAACAAGGAGAGTGTAGAACGAAGTGGGGGAGAAGCCCCTTATAAAATCATCAGATCTCATGAGAACTCACTATCATGAGAACAGCATGGAGGTAACTGCCCCTATGATTCAATTACCTCCCACCAGGTCCCTCCCACAACACGTGGGAATTATGGAAACTACAATTCAATATGAGATGTGGTGGGAACACAGCCAAACAGTATCAAATACATATTATCAGACAAGCTCATATTGAGGGACATTCTTTTAAATAACTGGCCTGTGACATTCAAAAGTATCAAGGTCGTAATAGTCAAGAAGCCTGGTGAGCCATTCCAGAGTGAAGGGGAGGAGAGCCATGGGCCAACCAAACACAGCACCTGATCCTGAACTGGACCTTCTGCTATGAGGTCATTACTGGGACAACTGGGGAAACGTGAATGGGGGCGGTCTAAGCATGAGATCATTGTCATCAGTTGTGTTGATCTCCTGATTGTGGTGGCTGTGATTATGTTATTAGGAAACTATCCTTGTTTGTAGGAAATATACATTAAAGTATTGAGAGGTGATGGGGCAACCTGTTAGCAACTTACTCTCAAATGATTCAGTCATTTAAAAAAAAGTTATTTGAACTGCACTTGTAACAGTTCTGTAAGTTTTGAGAGTGCTTCAAAAGAAAAAAACTAAAAATAATTATCAAACTGAACTCCTTGATTTAAAAAAAATATATATTGTCTTGTCATTTAGGAACCTGGAGAAAGACATTTTTAAGTGTCTCCCAAAGTAGATTTCCCAGTTGTTTTCAAATTGCTAACGTTTGGAAAGCTCTGGTCACCTAAATACTACTAAGGTAAATTATTTTCCCCTAAGATCTTTTGCTTCATGTCCTGGTCCACTTCCCTTTCTCACACCCTTAATCATAGGAGGCCAAAAGCACACAAATGTTACTTCTGCTCAGATTCCCACCACGACCTCCCACCTGTTATCCCTGCCTTCACGTCCTCCTGCTCCAATCCATCCTTTCCCATCTGTGTGGAAACCACGTCCAACCAATGACAGTTTGCTTTGGCCAAATGGAGGTGGAGTAGTTTAGAAACAAAATTTTCATTTATATTCTGATTTATATCTTCCTATTATTTGAATGTATTACCTTTGTATATGAAAACAAAGCAAAACATTTAAGAACTTCCGATCATGTAAAGAATCAAGTCCAACTCTATCTGGACATGCTGTTCCCTTCTCAGCATGGCCCAAGCTGTGGCAGGTTTACTTTCTCCAGGCTGTAACCACAGCAAGCCCCTCTCCACACCCTTTACACGAGGGACTCTTGTGCAACCCTGGGCTCTTGTGAAATGGGAGAATTCTCCTGTGAAGAAACTGGCAGCCCTAAAGAACAGACTTCCTAATACGCATATTTGGAGGTCCCAGTACCAAACGCAGTGCAGGGCCCAATTACTCCAGTGTACCCATCAGTTGACAAGTGGGTCCCCTCGGCAGACCTCCTGCACAAGTGGGTTCCCTCGGCTGACCTCCTGCTGCACTTCTGAGGGCCTCAGTCTTAAATATGAGCAGACACAGAGGCTCCAACAGGCAACCCTGAGAGCAAGGCAAATAGACTGACAAAGACAGCCTGAATTCCACAAAACAAAGGGCATGGGAAGATGTGAAAACCTTTTTTTTTTTTTGTTAACTTTTTACTTTGAAACAATTTCAGGTTTACAAAACAGTTGCAAAAATATAACAAAGTTTTCCCATATGCCCGTCATTCAGACTCACCAAATGGTGACGTCACATTTTGATATTAAAGTCAGGAAATGAATGCTGACATGCTATAAACTACAGCCCTTTTCGCATTTCACCTGTGGTTCCATTAGTGCCATCTTCTGATCCAGGATCCCATCTGAGATCACGCGTTGCTTTCATCTGCCCCCTCCAGTCGAGGAGACATTGCCTTTTATGACCCCGACACTTTTAAAGGGGAATGTAGACTACAAGTACAAATTTAAGTGCAGAGTTCCCTCCAACCTATATTTGTCTGATGTTTCCCCATGTTACCATCCTTGTTATACATTTTTGATAAAATGCCACAAAGTGATAAGGTGTCTTTCTCATGGCATGATCAGGAGGCAAACGTCTGCCCATTGCTGACGCTGCTAAGCACTGGTTAAGGTGCTGTCCTAGGCTCCTTCACTGTGAACTTCCTATTTTTTCCTTTGTAACTAATATTATTTTGTGGCAAAATCTTTGAGACTATGTCAATATCTCCTTTCTCATCATACTTTCACCCACATATTTTAGTATCTACTGAAGAGTCTTGCCTAAGACTATTATTACTACTATGGTTTTGCCAAATAGTTAAGATAAAAACTTTATTGAAAACTGAAATCAATAACCTAGAGATGTGTGCAGAACTTGGCAAACTACAGCCTGAAGGCCAAATTCAGCTGCTGTTTTTATAAATAAAGTCTTTTTGGAACACAACCATGCCCATTTGTGTACCACCTATAGCTGACTTCACACGACAATGGCACAGTTGAGGAGTTACAGCAGACACCATATGGCCCACAAAGCCTCAATTATTATCTGGCCTGTGCAGAAAAAGTTTGCCAACACCTGCTTTAGAGAAAATATTACATTTATAAAACAGACACAAATGCTTTAGAAGGAACTAGAAAACAGAGTTCTTACAAAGTAAAACCCTGATCATCAAAATAAAAAATAAAATACAAAAATGATGCAATATTCCATAAAGCAGAACAAAAGACTAAAAGACAGACGATAAGATGGAAAAGATAAGGCATTTGAGAGAATCAATCCAGAAAGAATCACAGTTAACAAAACTGAAAGACAGCAAAGAAACTACTGTCCGATTTTTTTTAAATCCAAGACTTAAGTACACAAGTTCATAGATAAAAATGACCCATAATGAATGCAAAAAACCTATTCCAACGCACATCATCTTGAGATTTTAAGATACCAGGAGAGAAGAGTAAACCCTAAAAGCCTTCAGCGACTAGAGAAAGAGAGAAGACCACATACAGAGGAAGAAAAGGCAAAGTGGCATTAGATACAGCAACAATGATAACAACTGTCTTCAAAGTTCCCAGTGAAAACATTTTTCTTCCTACAGTTTGGTACCCAATTAAACTATCCATCAGATATTTTTCAGAAATTCATAGATTCAAAATATATCTTCCGTGTCATCTTTCTTAGAAAGCCACAGGAGAACATGTACCACTGAAAAAAAGGATATGAACCAGTAAAGAGGAAGACAGGATTCCATAAAATGGAGGATGCATGCAGGGAACCCCAGAATGACAGCTGCCCAGCATGGCTAGAGAACAAGCATTTCACAGCAAAAAGAGATGGATCTCCAGGGCTGAAGTATCCTGGGAGAAACAAAAAGTAGAATTCATAATCTGATATGTTTAAAATTATTTAGAAATATGGAGGCAAATATAAGAGACAGCTTTAAAAGCTGAATATTAATATCTCAGACATGTGTAAGTGACACTGGGACAGGGCTGTCCGCTGGCATCTTTCAGTTGTGTGTGGCATGCACACCTGTTTTCATGAGACTCTTCAAAGCACCAAGGCTTTATGAGCACTGCCTCCTCCGCCTCACCCTTCCCCATTGCTGCCCAGTAAACCTTCCTTCCAGGGTGAACTCAGATGTCACCTGAGATGTAAGGGACTCCCAGACTCATCGGTCAGAATTGCTCCCTGTTTCCTTCATGCTCCCATAGCTGCTGGTATATCCCGATAACGGTTTCCATTGGTTTGACAAATCGTTATTGAGTATCGATTATGGAGCACCTGGCATGCTCCTAGGTGCTGGAGATGAAGCAGTGAACCATTGTCCCTGCTCACAGGACTAGCAGTCTAGCAGGGAAGGCAGGCGTTCATGTCCACGGAGCTCCACTGTGCCATCCCTGGAGGTCCTTGCTTCCTTCCCTCCTCCATCCCAACATAATTAAACAGGAGGTAGAGAACAGGGCTTCTTCCCCCGCTCTACTATGTTTCCAGTATTGTCAGGACATCTAGTCCCTCACAATTTAACCCAGGGGGTTCAGGGGGGTCTCCATGCATTTTCTCGTGGTTGTATTCCAACGCAGCTCTGTAAGCGGCACTCAGCATCCCTGGCCTCCCTGACTCCTAGTCCTCATCTGGGCTCAGTGCTGAGGCCAGTGCCTCCTTCTTCCCCTGATGCTCACTCAGCTGGGGAAGACACTCCACATTCCCTCATTGGTGACACCATGAAATAACACAGCCCAGTGCTCACAACATCTGACCGCATTTCAAATTCCTCTCTTCCCAAGGACTTTGGCCCAAGGTCATGGAGGACAGGAGGGTGGAGGACGGTGTCAGCAGCAGAAATCCTTTTACTCTCTCATTTTTTGGGGCAAGAACATAATATCTGTCCCCCATCTTCACTTGATTGCTGTCTTCAGGCTCTTTATTCTGCACTCTCACATGCTCACTATCATACACATACCTCCAAAGAGAAAGTGGCCAGGTCACTAAACAGGAGAAGAATGAAACACAGAGAGGGGGAATGTGCTCATGCACGCCTGAGAAGGAGGAACATGGCAGGACGTCGAAAACCACCTTGGAGGGGATCTTTCAAGTAGGGGATAAAAATATAATCAAAACAACCAACACAATCTAAAACAAATGTAGAACCAAATGCCCTAAAATAACATAGGCTTAGATACTTATCACCCCTATTTGAATCCTGATCATCTGTCAATTTTCTTAAAATATTTCTGCAGAGGAAGTTTCAATAACTCATCCGTCTCTATCCCCACTCACACAGAGCTGGTGTCCCCACTGGACTTGTACTGTGCCTTGCTCTTTTAAGTTATAACTTCCTTATGATTTCAGATATATCTTTCCTTGTGAATGAGGCCACTGGTCTATTTAACTTTATTAAATACCGATATGGCTGCTGACTGTCAAGAATGTAGCACTTTCTAATTCTAGTGAATATAATGAAATTTATATTAATATTTAAGTACATTTTCTCATTTGAGCTTCTTACCAATAAAGAAAAAGAAAAACCGTTATCTGTAAGAACACACCCCTACACACACATACACACACACACACAGAGTGATCACATGATCATTTGCTTAAGTAAAAGTTCTTAGATTTTTAACGAAGGGCGGAAGAGAAGTAAATACCTTTTCTTCTTTTTATATGAAGTTTCACTGTTATTTTTGTTTTTAAAATATAACTGAATCCTTCAAACATTAACTTAAAAATGACCCATAAATCATAATTTCTAATGTGAGATGAAAGGCATTGCACAGCACTCTGCAGATTTGCTTTATTTTAATTTTCAACACCAAGAACAAAGCCAGTCAAAAATAAACAACTAAATAACAACAATAATTTGCCACCTACTGCTAATATTCAGTCCCAAACCAATGGTTGATTTTTGCGATACTAAGATAAAGGACCAGGTTGACAATAAGGTATTCTTCGGTCTCTCTGATCCACACCAGCTCCACGTGCACTCTTCCTTCCGCATCAACGTAGTCCACGTTGTATGTCTGTCCCAAGAAGCTAGAGCTGTCAGAGGGTGTGGCAGGCGATCTCAGGCACACCGGGGAACTGAAACACCAAAAGGGTTTCCCATGTTCATCCAAAAGAGTTACGTCCATCATGGAACAACTCTGCAAAATAAACACAGATTGACAAGGATAAAAAGGCCAATCAGACCTGATTTTCACAGAAAATCGTGACTCTGTAAAACTCACTAGAAATGCTGCGTGTGGCATCAAAATCCAGAATACTATCATTGGTTTTTCATGGCCTACTTCATAACCTAGATTATACTTGGGCTTTTGTGTGTCTCATCACTTAATATTCATTCTCAAATATACACAGGAGCTCTCACAGGGCTCAGTTTAGGACTTAGCACTGGGAGCTCAGAGAAATGTGTCACAAATATTGTCCCTCTCCTCATGGAAGTTAAAGTACAGTGGCTACAGATGTGACACAAATCACACCAACAACCAGTCAGCGCTTCCGAGCGTGAGGCACCGCATCACCCTGAGAAGCAGTGTGCCTGTGTTCCTGGGTCTTCACTGCCACCACCAGGCCGACCCCTCCCCTCTTCTGAGAAACCTGCTTCTCTGAGGCTCTGAACTGCAGCTCTGCACCCATGCTCCATGCCTGTCTCTGACATGTGCCAGCCTCCTGTCCACCCACTCTCATTTCCAGGACTCTGGCACCAGCCCTGCTGTCTGCCTCTCCCTCTCACTCTCTCCCAAGTCTTCCAAGTCTCACTGTCATCCCAAGTGATCCCAACATCCGTGGGGACCCTGGTGGAGCCTCCAGTATCCTGGACTCTCAACTCCTGAGCTGGTCAACTCCATGACCTCCTCCTCGACTTGACCTCAGTTATTCACTCCCACAGTCACATGGCCGACACAGCACTTCCCGGAAGTGGTCCACTTTCACTATCCATGCCTCAGGCACCCTGTCTTCTAACTGCCA
Source organism: Homo sapiens (assembly GCF_000001405.40). Lineage (NCBI taxonomy): Eukaryota > Metazoa > Chordata > Mammalia > Primates > Hominidae > Homo > Homo sapiens. The sequence goes on from NC_000018.10 coordinate 74,074,557, forward strand.
CCCTTCGTCTTCCAGCTGACTCACTGGATGACTTCCACTACAACTGTACTTCAGATTTACCCAGTGTTTTCACCCTGCAAGCCATGACCTATTAATGTATCCTGAAGTAAATTTAGCAGGACACAACTGTTTGTCAAAATAAAATGAAAAAGAACATAGTCGGCATGCATTACATACACTAAGCATAAACGTCATTTCATGAACGCTGCTTTCATTGCACATGAATGTGTGGTCTGTATATGCCCATACCGCAGTGGATATGTAAAAAGGCCTGAAGAGCACTGCCCATGGACCTAGCCCACCCACTAGCCAGCCCTTCCTTCTCCCGCCTCTTCCTTTCCACTTTAGATTTCACTGGCCTTTGCTGGAATAACACTCTTGCCAATGCACATACCTCCCTCACTCCCCTTGCAACACACCTTAGGGCCAGGTCCAGCAAAACCCCAGCCCCAGAGGAGCGCAGTTATTTTCTATCTGTCTGGACCTGAGCACCAAGCACAGCGGGAGGGCTGCACGCAGAGCTGCTGGGTGCCCATGCAGCTGCACCATCCTCAGCTCGGCCTGACGGTCCCACCCTGGCTCTCTGGGTGGCTCCCTCTCCGCCTCATGGAACAACACCTCATCCCCTCCCTCAGCCCTCTGCATCCTGCTAGGAGGGTGATCTCTGCAGAGAACCTCGGCCTTCACAGACAGGGGAGAAGGATGTTTTCCTCAACTTCCCACTGCAGATCCACAGCCCAGCTCCTCTGCGCCCACCTCTCCTCACATGTGTTTCTCATCTGCTCCTCCCGGGTGTGGCCCAGTAACCTCCTGCTGCAGCGTAGCCCATCTTGCAAAGGCATGATGTCCCTCTCAAGTGACTACTTCTGTCCTCCCATCAGCTTTTAGTCTTTAACACATTCAAGTAACTCCCATCTTAGAGAGGCAGAGAGAGGGAAACAGCCTCCCTGGGCCCCGCAGGCCCCTGCTCTTTCCTCGCTTCCCAGACAACCCTCTCCAAAGAGCTGTCTCCGCTGGATTTGTCCATTAATACCCATTCACTCATCAAACCACTCTGGCCTGGTATCCTTTTTCCATCATCTGACCGAACATCTCTTGATAAGGCCACTAAATCCAGTGACCATCTGTCAGTCTGCTTCTCAGCAGTGTTTAGTTTTTCAAGAGAACAGTGAAGAGTAATTCTACCTCTCCAAATGCATCCAGAACCCACAAGCCCTGCAGCTCTCTACCCACTCCCATTGCTGAGGTTCCTACAGCTTGGTCCTAGGCCCTATTTTCACTCTATGTAATCTCTCCCCATAAATGGAACTCATCTACATTCACATCCTAAGTTATCACCAACATGCCTGTGATTCCCAAAAGTTTATCTCCAGGCCGAACTTCTTTTCTAAGTTCAAGACCTAAATATTCAAGTGCGTACTCAACTTCTGGATCTTTCAACGGTCCCTCAAGTCCAGCAGGACTATGCCCAAACTCAGGACCCTCCCAGCAAAGCTCTCCTGGTACTCCTCGTCCCAGGGACTGGTGGAACCATCATCAGTCATCTGGCTGTGCATGCCTGAAATGTGGGCGTCCTTCTAGGGGCCTCCCTCCTAGCCCTGACGAGCCAACCATCACCCAATCCCGTTAGTTCTTACCTCTCTTTCGAATCGCTTTAATTTTGTCCATCTCCATTGCCACTGCCCTAGTCCAAGTGCTATGGTCTGAATGTTTGTGCGTCCCAAAATCCGTGTCTTAAAATCTGATCACCAATGTGACTGTTTAGGCAGTGCGGCCTCTAGGAGGTGATTAGGTCACGGGGGCAGAGCTCTCATGAATAGGACTGAGGTCCTTATAAAAGAGGCCCACAGAGCTGTCTCACTCCTTTTACCAGGTGAGGACACTGCTAGAAGGTGCCTCTAGGAACTAGGAAGAGGGCCCTCACCAGACACCCATCTGCTGGTGCTTTGACCTTGGTGCTTCCAGCCTCCAGAACTGTAAGAAGTAAGTTTCTATTGCTTAAAAGCCACCCAGCTGATGGTGATATGTGATAGCATGCCAAGCAGACTAGGAAACCAAGTGACTGCTCTTCCTTTAAGGAGGCAGCCATCTAACTGATCTCCCCACTCATTCGCCATATTCAGAAGACAAACCTTTACAAAACATGAGTCTGAGCATATCACCCTGAGACAACTTTCCACGGCTCTCAAGAAAGAACCAAATTCCTTCCGGCTACCATTAAGGCCTGACCTGGCCTCATCCGCCCATCCCACCTCATTGCACACATCTTGCCATCTGTGCTCCAGCCACACTGACCCTTCACCCTTGAACACACCATGCCCCCAGCTGACAAAGAGCCACCCAAGCTCCCCTGCTGAGAGATCCTCTTCCCATCTTCTCTTTGTCCATCTCAGCATTCAGTTCGAATACCAGTCCCTTGAGGAAGTTTCCCTGATACTCTCATCTCAACTGACCATGTACCCAATGGGCAGAAACACCAGTGTGTTGAATGCAGAACTTGATACAGCTGCAGTGCTGAAACTGACTCGGCCCGGCCAGTGCAGGTAGAGATGGATGCTAAGCACCAAGAGGGCAGGACTTAGGCCAGCTTGGTTCAGCATCGTGCCCCTGGCCACCTGCATATGCACACAGTCACTGAAGCTCAACCACTATGTGCTGAATGAATGAATGAGTGTGATAAAATGAGAGGGAGGTGGTAAGAGTAGTGATGGAGGTGCTGGTTGTTATTAAACACTAAGGTAGGACAGCAGGAGCCCTAATGCATCAGGGGCAGCAAACACCAGGAAAGAAGAGATGGGTGAAGAAGCAGCCAGCATGAAACACACTAATCCCTGATGGGAGAGTGCACGCCAGAGCCTAAGGCCCCTCACATCAGATGAGCTACACAGTGAGACCACCCAGGAACCCCTCAGACACCTGACCTTGCTCCCTGATGCCTTTCCCAGGCAATCGGCTGCAGTGGTCCTGGAACAGCAGCGACCAGCCCCACACAGCCTGTTCCACAGCACCCACTGCTTCCTGCATGACAGGGACCACCACACACAGAGCCTGGGCTGCGAGGAGGACACCAGAGTGGGGAGCAGGTGGGGAATAAGAAAAAACACCCTACACTGCAGCCTCACTGAGGCTGAGAATGGGGGAGTTGAAGCCAATACTGAGGGCCAGCAGATGGCTCTGTCTTTGGCAGGCAGCCGGAGCCCTCCTGGAATGGGCATTACCACTGTGGCCGTTTTAGAGAGAAGGCTCTGAGGTCTAAGCACCTCTGAGATAACACAGCAGGTGGGACTGCATGGTGCATCCATCTTCCACACCCCACCACCCTGCACGACCTTAGCCACTGGGCTAGCAGTCACTTGACTGTGTTACTTACAACCTCACCAAACCCACCAGCATAGAGATGGTGGTTAGATCCTATGGGAGGAAGGAGGTGGAGCCCTGGGTCCCATCACCTGCGAGAAGGTTGAGGAGGAGAAACCCTGGCAGAAGTCAGGAAGGAGCGGCCGGTGGGGCACAAGGGCTCCTTGGTGAGGACGCTGCTCACAGCCCTAAGCCGTCGGTGGGTGTCTCAGTCTTTCTGCTCTCCCACCTCCTCTGCTGCCAGATCAAGAGCTGGGAGCTGACTCTCCTCTGAAGCCCTCCTAGTTCTCAAAGTCCAGCATTCTCCAATTCCCTCCTAACCTAAAACATGGCCTAGCACACGATAGGCACATCAAACTCTTTAACAACATCCACAGATACACCAAAATCCAAATTCTTTCCTGAGGGTTTCAAGGCCCCCCCCCGACCTGCCCCAGCAGCCTTTCCAATGCCCCCCAGTCACTGTCCCTCCTGTCCCCGGGTGCTAGCCCACCCCAGGCAGGACAGCCAGCTAGGAAGAGGCCCGCCTCAGCACCAGCCGCAGCGGCACAGTGGGTCTCGCACCCCTCCCCGGGCCAGCTGCCCCTCACCTCTAGAAGCTCGCTCCTTATTTCCCATCCTGTCCGAAGCATCTCTTTCTCCACTGGGTTCCTTCTCCAGAATAAATCACTCCCAACCTTCTGGGGGGGGATGCATGTCAGAACCTCTCATGAGCCTTCCTCCCACTGGCCCCTTTCCTCTTTCTCCTCACAGAACTTGTTTTCAATCATCCCTCTCCTAAATCAGTCCCTCTCACCCTGAACGTCCAGGAGGCACACATCTGAGCAGTCGGCAGACCTCACCCTCCTTGCAGGAGGAAGTCTCTCCTCACCTGCGCTCCCATGGACCAGTGAACTACGCCAGGCTCAAAACTCAGTGTCTGGGGAGAGTGCAGCACTCGCACGTGTGGGACTGTTCTGTTCTTCCTGCGATTTTCGGTTGTATCAGCACCAGCAGCCTTAATCACCCATGCAGCTGCAGTGCTTGTCAAGTGAAGTGGCCAGGATGCCTTTCTCATGGGCCACGGCCACCCACAACATGCTGACCCACGATGTACCCACAGCAGGCTCTACTGAACTCAGCTGTTCTTACATAAAGCAGAACCACAGAACTACACTGAAATATCTAGTCTAAATAAAAATTGATGCCAATCTCCATATAGATTTAGAAGTAACATTAAAATAACATCAAAAATGCCAAGGAGTGAAAGAAAAACATAAAAGAAACATACGGGAAAAGCCTCACCAAAAGAAAATCCATCCATCTGAAATTCTGATAGGCGCTGGGAGGAGACAGAGCAGGAGAGTATTTCACTTTGATTACTTGACTTATGCTGAAGACTGCAGCAAGGTTACCTTGAGAGGGTAGCCTAGCTGTTTCAACATGACTTTGTAAAATAGCATGGTAACCACTTACAGAGCAAGCGTCCTGCATGGATTCAGTACTAACACGTGGCCACTGAAAGCATCTTTAAATGAAAAGTTCTGGAGATTAGACAGTAGTGATGGTTATACAACAATGAGAAGGTATGTAAGCCACTGAAATATAGAAGTCAAGTGGTGAAGGTGGTAAATTTTATGTTTATTTTACCACAATTAAAATACAGCTCATTCATAATATTATTGTAATAATTATCAGTATCTTTTGAGTTTTTTAAAAAAAGAATAAAAAACTGACCTACTTAGAATGTGATTTTTAAAGAATTTTAAAGTTTAATAATTTACCACATAAACTTATGATCTGTTGAGTTTTTGCTCTAGGAACTCAAACTAAAGATACTTTCCACCTGAATTACCTCCACACCAGTAAGTGTTGGAGGTCACTCAACTCTGAGGTTGGAGGAAGACGGAGATTCTCATGGGAACAGCAGGTCCCAAGGACATCAGATGTCCTTTCACGACTGCACATCACTTCAACCAACACGACACAACTAGGCAGCATCCTCCGTCATTATCATTAATATTTTCTCACTTCTTTGTCCTTCCACCAGCATCGTATTTGGGTGACGTACTTTCTCAGTAGCCTATGCTCTGACAGGCATCGTAAACTATTTAGTAGAAGCTCCTCACCAGAGGTTGTGTCTACAATTTCCAGAAGGAGCCGGGTTTTTATTTTACATTTTTTTAAAAGTCATATGTACCTAAGAAACTTTCTAAGCTTATGTCCATGCTTTAAAAAAAAAGTTTTTAACTCCTTCCAAGCAATTTCTTAAAATAAATGTTATCATTTCACTATTCTTAGGGTGATCAGATTCCTGGAGAGAAATACCTGAGCTGCACAGCAAATACAAGACATATGACATCACTGATCTGACTTTTTATTCTTTTGGGAATTCTGAGGACGGCTTAGTCTTAATACTGAATCCAAGAGCATAAAAGGCAAACAGAAAATAAACCACATCTACCCTCCAGGCCCAAGGGAGAAGGTACAAGCTTTTGAGCTATCTGCTATCTTTTCCCAAAGCCCATCTGAGAGAAGGAATTTATGGGGAAAACTGTCCAGGGACATGCAATCCATTCTCTACTTTAAAAACTCAAAATCCTGCTTTCAGATCAAGCTGTTTTTCTAAACACCTGTGCACCTCAGTCACATTGGTTTAGCAACCTACAGAATCACTGCTTGGAGCTCATGTAAAGGTCCAATTTTGAAGCCGTATCTTCAGCTTCTCTGAGAACTTCTATGAGAAATCTGTGAGTGCATCTGCTGCTAAGATGCTATTCAGGGTGGGTCCATTATGTAGCTTAGTCTGCCCTACATAAAGTCCCATTGGAAATTTTGTTTTTAATGATCAGAACTGGGATAAAGCTTTCTTTGTATAATTACTACATTTCCCTTTTTTCTCCCAATGAGAACTAAATGACTGCTCTCATCTTTCTCTGGACTACCAGAAAACACAGAACAAATTATTTTTAAAAATTATGCTGACCCTTTAAAAGACAGTCACATTCACATTCTGCCTTTCTTGATCCTCAAGGTCTATTTTGACGTGAATATTTTATCTTAGTACCTACTTTTATTATAGGCTTTATTGAAATCTGAAGAAAAAGAAAGAAGGTAGGTCTGTGCTCTTAAAGGCATGAAACAACATGGTGTGTGATAAACATCATTTTTACCAAAACTTAAACATTTGCTATGAATAAATAGGATTTGTAAAATATCTCATTGCATCAAATATCAAGTGGCTCAAGGGACAGTGCTTCATGATAACACCACTCTTGGTCCCAGTCGTCATCATTAATAGTTCTAACAAGGTGCGCATGCATAGCGCCGTATAAAGCCATGTTACAGGAGGCCCCCGCAGTCACAGGAGATTGATCCCACTGGTCCCTGGGACAATGAAAATCTTGTTCATCCCATAAAATAAAGTTGGAGAGTGACAAGAACCAGGAGCAGCCATGGGCACAAGGACAGAAGAAAGCAAAACTGTGAGAACATCTTTCTCCTCTTCCTCCTCCTCCCTCCTTCCCTGCTACTTCCCAACCACTAAGTCAACTCTCCCACCCATGTGGCTAATCTTTATTTAACAGTTCAAGGAAATCCCTATATCCTGGACTAAGAATTTATAACTGCAATAAGTTTTAAATTGGTACATGGATGATCAAGATGTTTTGAGTAGATGCTGCCTGCGTGGTCCAACCTTCAGTTCCACTCTCTTTCCACAAAACAGAGGGGCTTTGAGAGAGTAGGGGACTGTGATCAACAGTGTTCTGAAATGCTGCTGCAGACTACCTGCCCCTCCAACTCCACCATACTCAGTGACAAATGAAAGGTACTCAATAAGCATCTCATGAGTGAATCCACTGGCTGTCAATGGCTAACAGAATGTGCACCAACCTTCAGAAACCAGAACAATAAATCCAGAACTATAAAAGAAACATCATACATATATGACAATATAATTTATATATATAAACAGACTTTTTATTATATAGAAATCAAGTTACTTGAAGAAAAGAAAACGGTTCTGTTTTTACCTTTATACAGCCATCAAAAATATCAGTTTTCCACGAGAGGCCAACTTTTCCAATAAGAGGTAGGTGTTCTCTGTTATTTTTTAAATGTATAACAATGAGCTTCACATGTCCATTTTCAATATTTCCTGAAAAGATATAAGATTGTTTCAATCACTGTCTTCCAGTGCAAGATGACAAACCAAGCACGTTCAGTCGGCGACTTTATAAGGATACCTCACCCTGGTAAGCCCTGGCCTCAGCGATGAGGGCAACATGGGCACAGCAATCCCAGCCTCTGGCTTGAGGCCAGAGTGATGCATCTGTGTCCCAGAGGCAGAAACATTAACAAGTGCCCAGAAAGGTGATGTCAAAGGTGAGTCAGGGGAAGCTGGCTGAGGCGAGCCTGGATAGCCACCTGTCACTGATGGAAAGGTGGTCGCTGAAGGAGGAAAGGGTTCTTCTGATGTGGGTAAGCCAACAGTGTTGGAAACCGATATCTAGAATTACACAGCTGAAGAAAGCAGGTGCAGAAATGGCAAAGAAACAAGGGGCTGGAGAGCAGGCGAACATGAAGAGGAGTGGAAGAAACTCACATGAAATAAACCAACACCTCTGCACATGCTTGTAACTGAGTGAGAGTCCGTGCACATGCCCACCTAGCTGGAGGCCAAACCCTGGCCCTCTGCTGCCAGCTCCAAGCCAGCTACTGGCAGCCTGGCCACACGGAGGAGCCCTCGCACCCACACAGCACACTAGCCCTGCTGCCACAGGCCTCTTGTGGCAGGGAGAGCCGCAGCACCACTCGGTCTCACACAGACACAAGCTTCCTGGTTCTGTCTGAACGCACCCTGAGAAGCGACCATCAGTTGCTTCTCACACAAACCAACCGACAGCAACACAACTCATACCCGAGAATTCTCCAGAGATGGAAGTCTGAACAAAGGGAAGATGCAAGTCACAGGGCAAAGCAAACAGAAAAATCATGGAAAAGAGCAAATGTTCTCCAGCCCTGGCCTGGTTATTTCATGAGACAAAATAAAACCAAAGCCAAGCTGCCTTGGGAGCCAAAGCTCTGCTCTAGAAATGTTATACAGTGTTCTCCAACTTCAGTGTCACCAGAAGGTTAAAGCCCACACTTTGCCTGGGGCCTCTTTTGTGACCCAGTAATATGCTTTAAGTGAAAGAGGACGCAGAGGCAGGGTTTCCAGCCCCGCAAACGGGAGCTCCTTGCCCAGATGCCACACTGCTGGTTTCTCCACGTCTTACTTCTGTTCCAAGGACAGAGGCAGCCCACATTTTCCTCTCTAATGCTGAGTAATTAGCAAGAGCTGTGTAGCTTCCCTTCCACTCTCCCCAGGCATAGGAAGAAATGCCAAATGACACGGACCCTTCCCAGGCAACAGCTCTGCTGTCACCTCATCACCTCGTCACCTCAGCAGGGCTCGACGGAAGCAGGGAGGAAGTGTATGAAAAGCGAGGCCTCAGTGGAGGCACAGTAATGACATTCTGAATGGACCAGATGTGACTCTGCTCTGCCCTGCACTACTGCAGCCACGTGCAAAACCAAGGGAGGCCTCTGACTGGTGCGGCAAAGGCAGGCAGCCGACGGCGCCTACAGAAAACCAGGAGCTCATCTTCCACACAGCTTGTCCCCAGGACACGGCAGAAAATGCACTCCAAATACAGCAGCCAATAACGTCTCAGTGGCAACTGCCTGAGCTAATAAACCTCAAATCCCTGTAGGAAGCAGAGACTGTTATTTTGTTATTACCAGGTATTCTCCCACTTCAGAACAATTATAACACTGTGGTGTCTCCAAAGGTCAGAGCTCTTTCCGCCAACCCTCTGTAACCACTTATAAGACAGAGAAAGGTTAAGCTCTTCCTACATTTAAACAGTCTGCACATGGAACAGATGTGTGAAAGTGTGTGTATATAAAATAGGTGTATTTTTGAGTACTTATTGTATACCAACCACTGAGTTAGACACTTAACAGCTTAGAAGAATACTTTAACACCTTAATAATAATATTAACTGGGTAATATAATTTTCTGAATTCATAGGTGATAAAACTGATGCAGAGAGGTTAACAGTAACTCGCCCAAGGTCAGATCCCTGGTCAACGGCAGAAACATGATCCAAACCCTGTTCTGTGTCCAGAGTCTATGTTACAATAGAGTAAGAAATATGCAAAACATAGCACTAATTAATTACTAGCCAATAATTTATAATGCAGATTCAGATTCTCATGTTTGTTTTCATACTACTCCCAAGAGAAAAGCCTATTTATAAATTAGCAAGCAGGATACACTGGGGAATCACTATGGCTTCCCAATACTTGAAGTAATGGCTCAGCCTATGAGTCCCACAGCCTCTGCTCCCAGCCCTCCTTATAAGCCGGTCACTGGTGATGCAGGCTCCTTCAGTGAGACACATGTGTTCCTGTAAACCTGGAGTCGGAAATGAGCATGAGAGGAGGAAGAGAACGGGAAGAGCCATCTGCTGGCAGAGGCAGTGGCAGGGGCCTGCGCCTCAGGCGGGCAGGAGCAGAGGTTCTGAGGCTGCTAATGGTTACTATACTGCTGATAGTTTCACAAGAGAAGCCACAGAGCATGGCTTTGCATCTATAAACACAGAGTGTGGCTCTCCTAGAGAGACTATGAGCAAGTATAGCCTTCATTAAATTCCCGTGCTCCTTAAGTCATTCAGAATAAACTCTGTTCTTGGAGACTCTAATCTTAACTTACCAATACACAAGACCATCTGCAAAATTCAGCAAAATACAATTTGAGGCTCACCATCCTTGGTTTCCAGTGACACTGTACTGGTAAGCATGGCCTTTAGACTCATAAAGACCTCATTCCAAACCCTGCTCAGCCATTTATTAACTGTATAACCACGGTCAAGTTCCGAACTCAGTAAAATACGGATACAAACAGCACTTGATAAGGCCTTGTGAGGATGAATGGAACTGATAATATTAACATTATGCAGTAGTTGATTATGTATGCCAAGCTAAGTGTGTTAAGTACCCTCTATACTTTATCTCAATAATAATATTCTATCTAAAGACTGTCAAGTGCATTGTCAAGCAGAATGTGGAGATGTGCCATGTTTGTAGACTGGAAGACCCAATATAGTGAAGATGTCCAATTACCCAAACTTATCTATTATAGTTTCACACAATCACAAGCATAATCCCAATAGGTACTTCAGAAAATGGTTTATAAATAATTAATACTTATATAAATAATAATATTGGCAAGATGATTCTAAACTCCATATGAAAATGCTATGGACCTAAAATAGCCAAAACAATCTTGGAAAAAAAAAAGTTGACTTCAAGACTTACTATAGAGCTACAGAAATCAAGACAGTGTGGGATTATTTATAAAGACACACAGATTGGCTGGGTGCAGTGGCTCACACCTGTAATCCCAGCACTTTGGAGGCCAAGGTAGGTGGATCACCTGAGGGCAGGAGTCCGAGACCAGCCTGGCCAACATGGTGAAACACCATCCTACTAAAAATACAAAAATTAGCCAGGTGTGGTGGCAGGCATCTGTAATCCCAGCTACTCAGGAGGCTGAGGTGGGAGAATCGCTTGAACCAAGGAGGCAGAAGTTGCAGTGAGCCGAGATCGCACCACTGCACTCCAGTCTGGGCAACAGAGTGAGACTCCGTCTCAAAACAACAAAAAAAAGACACACAGATCAATAAAATGGAATAGATTGGTTCAGAAATAGACCTACACTTTTACAAGCAATTGATTTTTGACAAAGTCATCAAAATGATTTGATGAGCAAAGAAAGTCTTTTCACAAATGGTACAAAAACAACTGGACATCCACACTGGGAAAGAACATCAACTTATCTTCTAATTTACACAAAACACAGATAACAAACCGAAATGCAAAAGCTGAAACCATAACAATGGTAGGAAAAACAAAGAAGAATATCTTTATAACCTGGGATAGAAAAAGTTTTAAAACAGGAAAAAACAACCAGGAAATTTAAAATTGATTAGATTTCATCAAATGAGAAACACTAATTTGTAACACTTTCATAATAAGTCATCAGATGTACAAACCAAGAAAACATGTACTAACAAGTACTAATAAATATGCTATAATGAATTATCTGCTTTGACTTTTCTAGGTAATTACCACTCAGAAAGGAGTATACTGTTTCTAATGCTTTACCTATTATAAATTCTTGGGGAGTATAATCTGAACTAGACACAGAAAAAAAATTAATATCAAGAAACTTGATAATATCAAGATGGAACGAAAAGTCACCTATTTTTGGAATTACAACAATAAAAAAGACAATAACATGATATATACAAAAATAACTGAAAAAAACTCAAAAACATTAAAGAAGAATTTCATAAGGAGATCACCTGCACTTCTCAGGTTCTGCTGCTAAAGAGCTAAACAATCTCCTACCTCTGAGGCCCATAACTTGTTTTTCATACCCTTGACATTTTCTATTGTGTCTTACAGAGTAAGCACTGAATAGCGTTTTGTTTTGTTTTGTTTTTAGACGGAGTCTCACTCTGTCGCACAGGCTGCAGTGCAGTGGTGCGATCTCAACTCACTGCAAGCTCTGCCTCCTGGGTTCAGCCCCCCAAGTAGCTGGGACTACAGGCGCCCGCCACCACGCCTGACTAATTTTTTGTATTTTTAGTAGAGATGGGGTTTCACCGTGTTAGCCAGAATGGTCTCGATCTCCTGACCTCATGATCCGCCCACCTCAGCCTCCCAAAGTACTGGGATTATAGGCGTGAGCCACCATGCCCAGCCAGCACTGAATAGTTTTTAATTGGTATTTTAATAGAAACTATATTACAGAAAGTCTATAGGATATAGAGCACATCTAACAAAATATGGAAACATAATAAGAATTTGTTCACAAAGGCAACACAAAAATAAGTATTAATAAATGGAGAAAGATGCAGGATCTACATAAAAGCATTTCTCCAGGGTACTAGAGGGAAACTTAAACACAAGCATATCTCAGACGTACCGCAGATTCAGTTCTAGACCACAGGAATAAAGCAAATATCACAAAAAAGCAAGTCACATAAATTTTCTGGTTTCCCAATGCATATAAAAGTTATGTTTATACTATACTCTTTTAAATGTGCAATAGCATTATGTCTAAAAAATAATGTACATATTTTAATTCAAAAATACTTTATTGCTAAAAAATGCTAATGACCATCTGAGCCTTCCGCAAAGCATTATCTTTTTGCTGGTGGAAGGTCTTGCCTCAATGTTGATGGCTGATGACTGATCAGGATGGTAGTTGCTGAATGTGGCTGTGGCATTTTTTTAAACTTTTATTTTGGTTCGGGTGTGCATGTGGAGGTTTGTTATATAGGTAAACCGCATGTTGCAGGGGTTTGTAGAGATTATTTCATCACCCAAGTAATAAGCATAGTACCCGATAGGTAGTTTTTGGATCTTCACCTTCCTCCAACCCTCCACCCTCAAGTAGGACCTGGTGGTATCTGTTGTTCCCTTCTTTGTGTTCATATGTACTCTATGTTTAGCTTTCACTTATAAGTAAGAACATACGGTATTTTGTTTTCTGTTCATTAGTTCACTTAAGATAATGGCCTCTAGCTCCATCTATGTTGGTGTAAAGGACATGGCTGCATAATATTGCATGGTATACAAGTACCACATTTTATCCAGTCTACCACTGATGGGCATTTAAGTTGACTCTATGTCTTTGCTATTGTGAATAGTGCTGTAGTGAACAGATACATGCATGTGTCTTCATGGTAGAATAACTTATAGTCCTTTGGGAACATACCCAATAATGGGATTGCTAGGTCAAATGGTAATTCTCTTTGCAGTTCTCTGAGAAATTGCCAAACTGCTTTCCACAATGGCTGAACTAATTTACATTCACACCAGCAGTGTATAAGTGTTCCCTTTTCTCCACAACCTTGTGAGCCTGTGTCATTTTTTTGAATTTTTAATAATAGCCATTCTGATTGGTATAAGATGGTATCTCACTGTGGTTTTGATTTGCACTTCTCTAATGATTAGTGATGTTGAGCATTTTATCATATGCTTGTTGGCAGCATGTACGTCTTCTTTTGAAAATTGTCTGTTCATGTCCTTTGCCTACTTTTTAATGGGGTTTTTTTTGCTTGTGAATTTAAGTTCCTTACAGATGCTGGATGTTAGACCTTTATCAAATGCACAGTTTGCAAATGTTTTATCCCATTTGATAGGTGTCTGTTTACTTGGTTGATAGTTTCTTTTGCTGTGCAGAAGCTCTTTAAAGTAAGTCCCATTTGTCAATTTTTGGTTTTGTTGCAATTATTTTTGGTGTCTTCATCATGAAATCTTTGCCAGTCCTATGTTCAGAATGGTATTTATTAGGCTATCTTCCAGGGATTTTATAGTTTTAGGTTTTACATTTCAGTCTTCAATACATCTTGAGTTGATTTTTATATGTGGTGTAAGGAATTGGTCCAGCTTCAATCATCTGCATATGGCTAGCCAGTTATCCCTGCATCATTTATTGAATAGGAAGTCCTTTCCCCATTGCATGTTTTTGTCTCTTTGTTGAAGATCAGATGGTTGTAGGTGTGTGTGGCATTATTTCTGGGCACTGTATTCTGTTCCATTGGTCTATGTGTCTGTTTTTATGCAAGTACCATGCTGTTTTGGCTACTGTAGCCTTGTAATATAGTTTGAAGTCAGGAAATGTGATGCCTCCAGCTTTGTTCTTTTTGCTTAGGATTGCCTTGACTATTTGGGCTCTTTTTTTGTTCCATATGAATTTTTAAATAGTTTTTATCTAATTCTGTGGAGAATGTCATTGGTAGTTTGATAGGAATAACACTGAATCTATAAATTACTTTAGGCAGTCTGGCTATTTTAACAATATTGATTTTTCCTATCCATCAGCATGAATGTTTTTCCATTTGTGTCATCCTGAATTTCACTGAGCAGTGTTTTGTAATTCTCACAGAATTATAAAATAGATCTCATAGAAGTCTTTCACCTCCCTGGTCAGCTGTATTCCTATTTGTAGGTATTTTATTCTTTTTCTCTTAATTTAAGTTCTGGGATACATGTACATGACGTACAGGTTTGTTACACAGATAAATGTGTGTCATGGTGGTTTGCTGCACCTATCAACCTATCACTTAGGTATTAAGCCCCACATGCCTTAGCTATTTATCCTGATGCTCTCTCTTTCCACACACACACCCCTCGACAGGCCCCAGTGTGCGTTGTTCCCCTAGGTATTTTATTCTTTTTGTGGCAATTGTGAATGTGAATGTGTTCTTGATTTGGCTGTCAGCATGGATGTTGTTGGTGTACAGAAATGCTACTAATTTTTGTACATTAATTTTGTATCCTGAAACTTCGGTGAAGTTGTTTATCAGATCAAAGAGCTTTTGAGCAGAGACTATGGGGGGTTTTAGGCATATAATCATCTTGCCTGCAAACAGGGATAATTTGACTTCCTATTTGGATGCCTTTATTTCTTTGTCTTGTCTGATTGCTCTAGCCAGGACTTCCAGTACTATGTTGGAGTGGTGAGAGAGGGCATCCTTGTCTTGTTCCAGTTTTCAAGGGGAATGCTTCCAGTTTTTGCCCATTCAGTATAATATTGGTTTTGAAATAGATGGCTGTTATTATTTTGAAGTATGTTCCTTCAATGCCTAGTTTCTTGAAGGTTTTTATCATGAAGTGATGTTGAATTTTATCAAAAGCTTTTTCTGCATCTATTGATAATCATGTGGTTTTTGTTTTTAGTTTTCTTTATGTTATGAGTCACATTTATCGATTTGCATATGTTGAACCAACCTTGCATCCTGGAGATAAAACCTACTTGATCATGGTGGATTAGCTTTTTGATGTGCTGCTATATTCAGTTTGCTAGTATTTTGTTGAGGATTTTGGCATCTATGTTCATCAAGGATATTGGCCTGAAGTTTTCTTTTTAATTGTGTCTCTGCCAGGTTTTGGTATCAGGATGATGCTGGCCTCACAGAATGACTTAGAGAGGAGTCCCTCCACCTCAATTTTTTGGAATAGTTTCCCTAGGAATAGTACCAGCTCTTCTTTATACAGCTGGTAGAATTTGGCTGTGAGTCCTTCTGGTCTGTGGCTTTCTTTTGGTTGGCAGGCTTTTTATTACTGATTCAATTTTTGAACTCATTACTGATCTGTTCAGGGATTCAATTTCTTCCTGGTTCAGTCTTGGGAGGGTGTATGCGCCCAGGAATTTATCCATTTCTTCTATGTTTTCTAGCTTTACGTGCATAGAGGTGCTCATAATAGTCTCAGGGTTTTTGTATTCCTCTAGGGTCAGTGGTAATGCCCCCTTTGTCATTTCTGATTGTATTTATTTGTATCTTCTCTATTTTTTATAACTCTAGCTAGCAGTCTGTCTTAATTTTTTCAAAAAAACAACTCCTGAATTCATTAATATTTTGTACAATTTTTCACATCTCAATTTCCTTTAGTTCAGCTCTGATTTTGGTTATCTCTTGTCTTCTGCTAACTTTGGGGTTGATTTGCTCTTGGTTTTCTAGTTCCTCCAGTTGTGATGTTATATTGTTAATCTGAGATCTTTCTAACTTTTCGATGTGGGTGTTTAGTGCTATAAACTTCCTTCATAACACTGCCTTAGCTTTGTCGCAGAGATTTTGATATATTGTATCTTTGTTCTCATTAGTTTCAAATAATTTCTTTATTTCTGCCTCAATCATTTCCCAAAAAGTCACTCAGGAGCAAGTTGTCTAATTTCCATGTAATTGTATGGTTTTGAGTTATTTTCTTAGTATTGATTTCTATTTTTATTGTGCTGTGGTCCAAGAGCATGGTTGGTATGATTTTAGTTTTCTTTATTTTCATTTGCTGATGATTGTTTTATGTCTGGTTGTGTGGTCGATTTTGGAGTATATGCCATGCACAGATGAGAAGAGCGTATATTCTGTTGTTTTGGGGTGAAGTGTTCTGTACATGGCTATTTGGTCAAGTGTCAAGTTCAGGTCCTGAATATCTTTGTTAGTTTTCTGCCTTGATGATCAAATACTGTTAGTGGGGTACTAAAGTCTCCCACTATTATTGTTTGGTTATCTAAGTCTCTTCATAGGTCTCTAAGAACTTGCTATATAAATCTGGGTGTTCCTGTGTTGGGTGCATACATATTTAGGAGAGTTAGTTCTTCGTGTTGAATTGAGCCCTTTATCATTATGTAATGCCCTTCTTTCTCAATTTTGATTTTTGTTGGTTTAAAGTCTGTTTCGTCTGAAGTTGGAATAGTAACCCCTGCTTTTTTTCTCTTTTCTGTTTGCTTGGTAGATTTTTCTCATTCTACATCCCTTGAGTCTATAGGTGTCACTGCATGTGAGATGGGTGTCCCGAAGACAGCAAACCATTGGGTCTTGCTTCTCTAAATCCACTTGTCACTCTGTGCCTTTTAATTGGGCTATTTAGCCTGATTATATTCAAGATTTGTGCTGCTGTGTCTAGATTTGTTGCTGTCATCATGTTGTCAGCAGTTACTATGTATATTTATTTGTGTGGTTGCTTTATAGTGTCACTGGTCTATGTACTTAATGTGTTTTTGTAGTGGTCAGTAATAGTCTTTCATGTTTACAACTACCTTGAGGACCTCTTGTAAGGCAGGTCTGATGGTATCAAAATCTCTTAGCATTTGCTTGTCTGAAAAGGATCTTATTTCTCTTTCCCTTATGAAGCTTCATTTGTCTGGATATCAAATTCTTAGTTGAAAATTATTTTCTTCAAGAATGCTGACTAAAGGCACTCATTCTTTTCTGTAGGGTTTCTGCTAAAAGGTCCACTGTTAGTTTGATGAAGCTCCCTTTGCAGGTAACATGCCCCTTCCCCCAGCTGCCTTTAATGTTTTTTCTTTCATTTTGACCTTGGAGAATCCGATGACTACATGTCTTGGGGATGGTCTTCTTGTGTAGTGTTTCACAAGGGTTCTCTGCACTTCCTGAATTTGAATGTTGGCCTCTCTAGAGAGGTTGAGGGAATTTTCACAGACCTTATCATAAAATATGTTTTTCAAGGCGTTTGCTTTCTCTCCATGTCTTTCAGGGAGGCCGATGCATCGTAGATTTGGTCTCTTTAATCCCATATTTCTTGGAGATTTTTTTCATTCTTCTTGTTTTTTCCTTATTTTTGTCTGACTGAGTTCTTTTGTAGAGCTGGTCTTTAAGCTCAGATTCTTTCCTCATGCTTGGTTGATTCTGTTGTTAATACTTGTGATTGCATTCTGAAATTCTTGAAGTGAGTTTTTCAGCTACATCAGCTCAGTTTGGTTCTTTCTTACATGGCCATTTCATTTTCCATCTTCTGTGTCATTTTATTGTAGTCCTTAGATTTCTTGGATTGGGTTTTGACATTCTTCTGAATGTTGATGATTTTTGTTCTTATCCATATTCTGAATAATATTTCTGTCATTTTAGTCATTTCAGCCTGGTTAAGAACCATTGTGGGGGAACTAGTGTGGTCGTTTGGAGGTGAGAAGACACTCTGGCTTCCTGAGTTGCCAGAGTTCTTGCAATGGTTCTTTCTCATCTGTGTGGGCTGATGTTTCTTCAATCTTCGAAGTTGCTGTCCTTTGGATAGCTGTATGTTTTTGCTTTTATCTTTGATGTCCGTGGGGGTATGATTGTGACGTAAGGTAGGCTGAGTTGACTCGTTTCATTTCTGGTAGATTTTGTGGGGGCCAACGCTCAGCTCAGCACCCCTAGGCTGCATGTTTTAACTCTGGAAGACTGATATCATGACCCCAGCTTTGTTCTTTGACCCCCCTCAGGATGGAAACCTGCTGTGTCAGAAGAGCCAAAGTGTTCCCAGAATGCTGGTCACAACACTCTGATGGGTGGTGCCAGATAAAGCATCATGTGGTGGCAGCAGGATCCATGCTTGTTTGCATGGGCGAGCAGCAGCAGCAGCAGCACAGCAGGGTGCATGCTTGTCAGCTGAGACACAGGGCTGGTGGGCCCAGAGAAGGGGGTGGGGCAGAGAAGGGGGCAGGCTGCTAGGGTCCATACACACATTCACACCCACAGCTGTGTTGGCACAGGGGCAGGGTGCTGGCAGGCGCAGAGCTGGCAACCTCCATGCATGTGTTCATACCAGCAGAAGTGGCAACACAGGGTGGGGGCAGGCCTGCTGTTGTCCATGCACATGTTTGTGCCAGTAATGCACATGGACAACAGCAACAGGCGGGTGGTGGGTGTGCTCATGCCAGCAGCAATAGCATGGTGGAGTGCACATACACCCACATGCTGGAAAGAAAGGTAAGGCAAGGTTCACTCATACACGTGTGCTGGCAAAACAATGGGGGGGGGGTGGCTGCAGACAAGTACATGCTAGCAAAGTGGCATAGGGTAGTCTGCAATGAGGAATGAATGCATGTGGCTGGTGCGTGTCAGCGAGGGCCACTCTGCTGGAGCTCTCTGATGGTCAGGTGTGGTCTGCCAGTGCAGGAGCTATGATGTGGGTCCAAGCCATATTTGGGCTTCCAAGGCAGCACTGCAAGCAGGTACAGCCAAGTTGGGGCCCTGGGAGAGGCCAGCAGACATAAGGGTGCTCAGGTGAGTCTGGCCTCATTTCATGGGCAAGATCACCCTGCTCCATTCAAGAAACCACTTTCCCTGCTCATCTGTAAGAAGCAACTCCTTATCCATTCAAGTTTTATCATGAGATTAAAGCAATTTAGTCACAGCAGGCCCCACTTCTAACTGTAGTTCTCTTGCTATTTCCACCACATCTGCAGTTTCTTCCTCCAGTGAAGTCTTGAACCTCTCAAAGTCATCCATGAGGGTTAGAATCAACTTCTTCCAAACTCCTGTTAATGTTGATATTTTGACCTCCTCCCTTGAATCATGTGCGTTCTTAATGGCATCTAGAATAGTGAATCCTTTCTGAAAGGTTTTCAATTGACTTTGCCCAGATCCATCAAATGAATCACCATCTCTGGAAACTATAGACTTATAAAACTATAGACTTGTAAAAAGACAAGAGAGAGACAAAAGAGAGACTACAGACTTATAAAATGTATTGCTTAAATAAGACTTAATGGATGAAATTACCCTTTATGGATTACAGAATGGATGTTGCGTTAGCAGGCATGAAAACAACATTAATCTTTTTGTACATCTCCATCAGAGCTCTTGCATGACTAGATGTATTCTCAATGAGCAGTAATACCTTGAAAGAAATTGATATAGTCTAGATATGTATCTCTGCCAAAATTTCATGTTGAAATGTAATCTCCAGTGTTGGAGGTAGGGCCTGGTGGGAGCTGACTGTATTGGAGGGTAGATTTCTCATGAATGCTTTAGTGCCACCCTCTTGGTACTATTCTTATGATAGTGAGTGAATTCTTGCAAAATCTGGTTGTTTAAAAGTATGTGGCCTCTCCCCTCCTTTCTCTTGCTCCAGCTTTTGCCATATGATGTGCCTACTCCCCACTTCGCCTTCCACCCTGATTGTAAGCTTCCCGAGGCCTCCTTAAAAGCTGATGCCATTCTATATCCTGTACAGCCTACAGAACCTCGAGCCAATAAAATATCTTTTCTTTATAAATTACCTAATCCTGAGTATTTCTTTTTAGCAATGTGAGAACAGACTAATACAGGAATCTTGCTTTCTGAGAAGTGGGTCTCAATAGTGGACTTATTCAGTAAACCATGCTATAAACAGATATGCTGTCATCTCGGCTGTGTTGTCTCATTTATACAGCAGAGACAAAGTAGATTTAGCAGCCTCCTTAAGATCCCTAGGATTTCAGAATGGTAAAAGAGGATTGGCTTGAACTTAAAGTAAACAGCTGCATTAGCCATGAACAAGAAAGTCAACCTGTCCTTTGAAGCCAGGCAGTGACTTCTCTTCTCTAGCTATGAAAGTCCTCGATAGTGGCTCCTTCCCATGGAAGACTGTCTCATCTAAATTGAGAATCCATTGTTTAGTGTAGCCACCTTCATCAATGATCTTAACTAGATCTTCCGGAGAACTTGCTGCAACTTCCCCTCAGCACTTGCTGCTGTACCTTGCACTTTTATGCTGTGGATATTTCTTGTTTTCTTAAACCTTATAATCCAACCTCTGCTAGCTTCAAACTTTTCTTCTGCAGCTTCCTACCTTTTATCAGCATTCACAGAATAAAAGGGAGTTAGGTCCTTGCTCTGGATTAGGTACTGGCTTAAGGGAATATTGTGGCCAGCTGGATCTTCCATTCAACAACTAAAGCTTTCTTCATATCAGCCATAAGGCTGTTTTGATTTTTTATCATTTGTATGTTCACTGGAGTGGCACTTTAATTTCCTTCAAGAACTTTTCCTTTGTATTAATGACTTGGCTGTTTGGTGCAAGAGGCCTAGCTTTCAACCTCTCTTGGCTTTTAACATGCCTTCCTCACTAAACTTAATCACTTCTAGCTTTTGATGTAAAGTGAGAGACATGCAACTCTTCACTTGAATGCTTAGAGGCCACTGTAGGATTATTAACTGGCCTAATTTCAACATTCTTTTTTACCAGGGAATAGAAAGGCCTGAGGGGAGGGAGAAGGACGGCTGAACAGCTGGCCAGTGGAGTAGTCAGAACACATACAACAGTTATCTATTAGGTTTGCCATCTTACATGGGCACTGTCTGAGGTGCCCCAAAACAGTTACAATAGTAACATCAAAGATCTCTGATCACAAATCACCGGAACAGATATAATAATAATAATGAAAAAGTTTAAAACATTGGGAATTACCAACATGTGACATAGAAATTCAAAGTGAGTACATGCTATTAGAAAACTGGCACCAATAGATGTGCTTCATGCAGAGGTGCCACAAACTTTGAAGCTGTAAAAACTACAATATCTTAGACTTCCAGATCCAACATGGTAGCACAGAAGCAAGCTGGATTCACTCCCCTCAACAGAAAACTGAAACAAATGCACAATGCTAAGATTATCACCAGAAATATTCCAGAACTCAAACACAAGAATGAGATAGTCCCTGAGGCCACAGAGAAGTGAAAGACCCTGAGCAGATGGTGATAGAATTGGATTTCACATCTGTGACACCCCTCCCCCGATTCTACCCATAACCAAGGGCGTCGAAAATTTTCCTGCAACTCATGGTCTCCACAATGCAAACCATGAGATTAAGGTGGACAACCAGCTTCCCCACCATCTTGGGTTCCCTGGCAGGAGACCTGTCCCTACTTTAAGCCATGGGAAGTACTGAGCGTGCCTGAGAGAGAAATATCCTTGAGGACAGACAAAGTCAAAATGGAGAGGTGAGACTATCATCCCCAGCCCTGGAAATGCAGCTCAGTAACTCAGACAAAGGAGATGCCAAATCACTGTGGCTGTTCAGTAGCACCACACTACAGGATGGGTGTTCCACTGGTTCCTGGGCACAAACCCCTAGCCAGCCTTCTCACACCGCCAGGATATACTCTTTGGGGCCTCCTGCATCTGAGACAAGTAGTACTCCAATTAGTTACTACAGCCAAGGTGAAAATGGGCTTAAGGCACCACCTAGAGCCAAAAAGGAGCCAACAACTTGGCAGTAAATAATATCTAAGCAAATACATCCCATAAAAAAAAACAAAAGCCAGACAGAGAAGACTGGAATAAATAACTAATCATTCAGTGGAAAGATATAGCCATATAGCCACAAGAAAGAAGAGCGAACAGGGAGCCATAATCTCCCAAAGCAAACAAAAAAAAAAAACACAAAAAACAAACAACAACAAAAAACAGTAACTGACCCTAACAAGATGGCGATATGTGAGCTTTCTGACCAATAATTCAAAATGGTAGTTTTAAGGAAACTCAGTGATCTCCAAGATAACACAGAAAAGCAATTCAGGAAAATAAACATGTTGATAAACAAGGAAAGATGAGAAAAGACACAGACCCTCTGAAAGAAGCAGATTACTCCTGCAGGATACAGGACACACACCAAATACTGTGAGTACCCAAGCTATGGAAGTAGGAAAGAGGAATCACCCACCCCGAAAACACACCCTCATTGGAGAACTTGAAGGTCTAGATCACGGGAGAAGGTCTAGATCACGGGTCCTTACCTGGAGCTGAGTCAGTTTAGAGAGCCGAGTGAAATACTGGGGCAGAGGAAGCAGTGGGAAAAGCCCTGTGGGCTCTCTGGATCCACAAGGAAGCCATTTCTGCCTTGCCTAGGAAGGATCCTTGGGGAGGGTTGCCAGAGGAACTGGGAAAAGACCAAAAGGAAAAGGAAACCTCCAGCTAAACTTTGTAACAACTCCAGCTGAACGCAATGTCTCCTGGCCAGAACTTGGGGGAGGGTGTGAATCCGGTGTGCAGACTCCACAGGTTGGGAGGCACGAAAGCCCTCCTTGCTTTCACAGTTGAGAGGCAGGTAGGCTGGGGCAAGTTCTCAGCCCTGCACAGCCACTGCCTGGAAACAGACTTGGTGCTGTTGGGGGGTTGGGGGGTTGGGAGGATGAGGGGGGCGGGTGCGGTGGAAGTGAGATCAGCCTTTTAGGTTGCGTGGGAGCTGGGTGAGGCCTGTGACTATTGGCTTTGCCCCGCTTCCCTGACAACCTGCATGACACAGCAGAGGCAGCCATAGTCTTCCTGGGAACACAGCTCCATTGATGTGGGAACCACACCTCCATCCCCCACAGCAGCCACAGCAAGACCCACCCAAGGAGAGTCTGAGCTCAGATACGCCTAGCCCTGTCTCCACCTGATGGTCCTTCCCTGCCCACCCTGGTAGCTGAAGACAAAGGGCATATACTCTTGGGAGTTCTAGGGCCCCACCTACCACCTGATCCTCCCTATACTACTACAGCCGATGCTCTCTTAAAAGCACAACCTCCTGGCAGGAGGCCAACTAGCACAAAAATAGTGCAATAAACAAAATTACAACTAAGGACCCTTGCAGAGTCCACTTCACTCCCTTGCCACCTCCACTGGAACAGGAGCTGGTATCCATGGCTGAGAGACCTGCAGACAGTTCACATCACAGGACTCTGTGCAGACACCCCCTCCTTCCCCCAGTACCAGCCTGGAGCAGGTAGACCTACCAGATGGCTAGATCCAGAAGAGAGATAACAATCACTACAACTTAGCCCTCAGGAAACCACATCCCTAGGAAAACACAGAGAGTACTACATCAAGAGAACACCCCATGGGACAAAAGAATCTGAACAGCAGCCTTGAACCCTAGACCTTCCTTCTAACATAGCCTACCCAAATGAGAAAGAACCAGAAAAACAATTCAGGTAATACGACAAAACAAGGCTAATATCCCCCAAAAATCACACTAGCTTACCAGCAATAAATCCAAACCAAGAAAAAATCCTTGATTTACCTGAAAAAGAATCCAGAAGGTCAGTTAATAAGCTAATCAAGGAGGCACCAGAGAAAGGTAAAGTCCAATTTAAGGAAACCAAAAAAAGATATAAGAAATGAGGGGGGAAATCTTCAGTGAAATTGAGAGCATAAATAAAAAACAATTAAAACTTCAGGAAATAAATGCACTTAGAGAAATGCAAAATGCTCAGGAAAGTCTCAGCAATAGAACTGAACATGGCAGAAGAAAGAACTTCAGAGCTCAAAGACAAGGTTTTTGAATTAACCCAGTCTAACAAAGACACAGAAAAAAGAATAAGAAAAAATGAACAAAGCCTCCAAGAAGTTTGAAGATATGTTAAATGACCAAACCTAAGAATAATTGGCATTCCTGGGAAAGAAGAGAAATCTAAAAGTTTGGAAAACATATTTGGGGGAATAATCCGGGAAACTTCACTGGCCTTGCTAGAGACCTAGACATCCAAATATAAGAAGCACAAAGAACACCTGGGAGATTCATCACAAAAAGATCACCATCTAGGCACACTGTCATCAGGTTATCTAAAGTTAAGACAAAGTAGGCAAGGCGCGGTGGCTCACATCTGTAATCCCAGCACTTTGGGAGGCCAAGGTGGGCAGATCACTTGAGGCCAGGAGTTCAAGACTAGCTTGGCCAACATAGCAGAACTCCATCTATACTAAAAATACAAAAATTAGCTGGGCGTGGTGGCACATGCCTTTAGTCCCAGCTATTCAGGAGGCTGAGGCAGGAGAATCACTTGAACCCAGGAGGTAAAGGTTGCACTGAGCCAAGATTACGCCACTGCACTCCAGTATGGGCAAAGAGCGAGACTCCATCTCAAAGAAAAAAAACAAAAGTTAAGACAAAGGAAAGAATCTTAAGAGCTGTGAGGCAAAAGCACCAGGTAACCTATAAAAATCTATCAGATTAACAACAGATTTCTCAGCAGAAATTCTACAAGCTAGAAGGGATTGGGGCCCTATGTTAAGCCTCCTTAAACAAAACAACTATCAGCCAAAAATTTTGTATCCAGTGAAATTAAGCTTCATAAATGAAAGAAAGATACAGTCTTCTTCAGATAAACTAACACTGAGAGAATTTGCCACTATCAAGCCAGCACTACAAGAACGGCCAAAAGGAGGGCTAAATCTTGAAACAAATCCTGGAAACACATAAAACAAAACCTCTAAAAGCATAAATCTCACAGGACCTATAAAACAAAAATACAATTAAAAAAAGGTATACAGGCAACAAATAGCACAATGAATGGAATAGTACCTTACATCCCAATACTAACATTGAATGTGGCCTAAATGCTCCATTTAAAAGATACAGAATGGCAGAATAGATAATTCACCAACCTACTAGTTGCTGCTTTCAAGAAACTCACCTAACACATAAGGACTCACATAAACTTAAGGTAAAGGGGTGGGAAAATACATTCCATGCAAATGGACACCAACAGCAAGCAAAAGTAGCTATTCTTATATCATTAAAACAAACTTTACAGCAACAGCAGTTTAAAAAGACAAAGGGGGACATTATGTAATGATAAAACGCTTTGTCCAACAGGAAAATATCACAGTCCTAAAAATATATGCACCTAACACTGGAGCTCCCAAATTTATAAAACAATTACTACTAGACCTAAGAAATGAGATACACAGCAACACAATAACAGTGGGAAACTTCAATACTCCACTGACAGCTCTAGACAGGTCATCAAGACAGAAAGTCAACAAAGAAACAATGGATTTAAACTATACCCTGGAACAAATGGACATAACAGATACTTACAGAACATTATACCCAGCAACCACAGAATATACATTCTATTCATCAGTGCATGGAACTTTCTCCAAGATAGGCCATATGATAAGCCACAAAACAAGTCTCAATGAA
Organism: Homo sapiens; assembly: GCF_000001405.40. NCBI lineage: Eukaryota > Metazoa > Chordata > Mammalia > Primates > Hominidae > Homo > Homo sapiens. The sequence continues at coordinate 74,100,187 of NC_000018.10, forward strand.
TTTAAGAAAACTGAAATTATATCAGGTACTCTCTCAGACTACAGTGGAATAAAAACGGAAATCAACTCCAAAAGAAACCTTCAAAGCCACACAAATACATGGAAATTAAATAACCTGCTCCTGAGTGAGCACTGGGTCAACAATAAGATCAAGATGGAAATTTAAAAATTATTTGAACTGAATGACAAAATGAGACAACCTATCAAACCTCTAGGATACAGCAAAAGTGGTGCTAAGAGGAAAGTTCATAGCCCTAAATCCCTACATCAAAAAGTCTGGAAAAGCACAAATAGACAATCTAAGGTCATACCTCAAGGAACTAGAGAAAAAAGAACAAACCAAACCCAAACTCGGCAGAATAAAGGAAATAACCAAGATCAGAGGAGAACTAAATGAAATTGAAACAAAAAAAATACAAAAGATAAATGAAACAAAATGGTGGTTCTTTGAAAAAATAAATAAAATTGATAGACCATTAGCAAGATTAATCAAGAAGAGAGAAAACCCAAATAAGAACAATTAGAAATGAAATGGGAGATATTACAACTGATACCACAGAAATAGAAAAGATCATTCAAGGCTACTATGAACACCTTTATGCACATAAACTAGAAAACCTAGGTGAGATGGATAAATTCCCGGAAAGATACAACCCTCCTAGCTTAAATCAGAAAGAATTAGATACTCTGAACAGACCAGTAACAAGCAGTGAGATTGAAATGGTAATTTAAAAATTACCACCAACAAAAAAGTCCAGGGACAGATGGATTCACAGCTGAATTCTACCAGACACTCAAAGAATTGGTACCAATCCTATTGACACTATTCCACAAGATAGAGAAAGAAAGAATCCTCCCCAGATCATTCTATGAAGCCAGTATCACCCTCATACTAAAACCAGGATAGGACATAACCAAAAAAGAAAACTAAAGACCAATATCCCTGATGAACACAGATGCAAAAATCCTTAACAAAATACTAACTAACTGAATCCAACAACATATCAAAAAGATAATCCACCATGATCAAGTGGGTTTCATACCAGGGATGCAAGGATGGTTTTACATAATGCAAGCCAATAAATGTGATACACCACATAAACAGAATTACAAACAAAAATCACATGATCATCTCAGTAGATGCTGTAAAAGCATTTGACAAAATGCAGCATGGCTTTATGATTAGAGCTCTCAGCAAAATTGGCATACAAAGCACATACCTCAATGTAATAAAAGCCTACAAGGAAAACTACAAAACACTGCTGAAAGAAATCACAGATGACACAAACAAATGAAAACACATCCCATGCTCATGGATGGGTAGAATTGATATTGTGAAAATGACCATATTGCCAAAAGCGATCTATAAATTCAATACAATTCCCATCAAAATACCACCATAATTCTTCACAAAACTAGAAAAAACAATCCCAAAATTCATATGGAAACAAAAAAGAGCCTGCATAGCCAAAGCAAGACTAAGCAAAAAGAACAAATCTGGTGGCAACACATTAACCTGATTTCAAACTATACTATAAGGCCACAGTCACCAAAACAGCATGGTACTGGTATAAAAATAGGCACATAGACCAGTGGAACAGAATAGAGAATCCAGAAACAAACCCAAATACTTACAGTCAATTGATCTTGAACAAAGCAAACAAAAACATACAGTGGGGAAAGGATACCCTATTCAACAAATGTGCTGGGATAATTGGCAAGTCACATGTAGGAGAATGAAATGGGATCCTCATCTCCTGCCATACACAAAAATCAACTCAAGATGAATCAAAGACTTAAACCTAAGGCGTGAAACTATAAAAACTCTAGAAGATAACACTGGAAAAACCCTTCTAGACATTGGCTTAGTCAAGGATTTCATGACCAAGAACCCAAAAGGAAATGCAATAAAAATAAAGATAAATAGCTGGGACTTAATTAAACTAAAGAGCTTTTTCACGGCAAAAGAACAGTTAGTAAACAGACAACCTACAGAGTGGGGGAAAATCTTCACCATCTATACATCTGACAAAGGACTAACATCCAGAATCTACAAAAATTCAAACAAATTAGCAAGAAAAAAACAATCCCATCAAAAAGTGGGCTAAGGATATGAATAGATAATTCTCAAAAGAAGATATACAAATGGCCAACAAACACAAAAAAAATGCTCAGCATCACTAATGATCAGGGTAGTGCAAATCAAAACCACAATGCGATAATACCTTACTCCTGCAAGAAAGGCCATAATCAAAAAATCAAAACATAACAGATGCTGGCATTGATGTGGCACAAAGGGAAAACTCCTGTACTGCTGAAGGGAATGTAAACTAGTACAACCACTGTGGAAAATAGTGTGGAGACTCCTTAAAGAACTAAAAGTAGAACTACCATTTGATCCAGCAATTCCACTACTGGGTATCTAACCAGAGGAAAATAAGTCATTATACAAAAAAGATACTTGCTCATGCATTTTTATAGCAGCACAGTTCACAATTGCAAAAATGTGGAACCCACACAAATGCCCATCAATCAACAAATGGATAAAGAAACTGTGGTGTATATGTATACAATGGAATACTACTCAGCATAAAAAGGGATGAATCAATGGCATTTGCAGCAACCTGGATGGGACTGGAGACTATTATTCTAAGTGAAGTAACTCAGGAATGGAAAACCAAACATCACATGTTTTCACTCATAAGTGGGAACTAAGCTATGAGGATGCAAAGGCGTAATGACACAATGGACTTTGGGGACTCAAGGGGAAAGGGTGGGAAGTGGGTGAGGGATAAAAGACTACAAATTGGGTTCATTGTATACTGCTGAGGAGACGGGTGCACCAAAATTTCACAAATCACCACTAAATAACTTACTCATGTAACCAGATACCACCTGTTCCCCCAAAAACCTGTGGAAATAAAATTTTTTTAAAAAAAGAAAAGCAATTCAGAAATGTATCAGAGAAATTTAGCAAACAGATTGAAATAATTATAAAAAGTCAAACAGAAATCTTGGAACTAATGAATACTTTTGCTGAACTGAAAAATTCATAGGAGGCTCTCAAAAACAGAATGGATCAAGCAAAGAAAAGTATCAGTGAGGTAGAAGGCAGGCCTTTTGAAAACACTTAGTCAGAGGAAAAAAGAAAAAAGAATGAAAAGGAATGAAGACTGCCTACAAGATATAGAAAATTACCTCAAAAGGCCAAGTCTAATAACTATTGGTGTTCGATTGAAAGTTGAGCAAGAACAAGTAGTAGAAATCTTACTCAAATAAATAATAACAGAAAACTTTCCAAAACTTGAGAAAGATATATCCAGGTACAAGAATACTAGACAACACCAAACAGATTTGACTCAAATAAGACTACTCCAGGACATATAATAATCAAATACTCAAAGGTCAAGCACAAAGAGAGGATCCTAAAAGCAGCAAGAGAAAAGAAGCAAATAACGTAAAAGAGCACAAATTCATCTGGCAATAGATTTCTCAATAGAAACCATACAGGCCAGGAGGGAATGAAATGACATTTTCAAAGTGCTGAAAGAAAAAGAAAATTGCCATCCAAGAATATTGTATCTGGAAAATCTATCTTTCAAATATGAAGGACAGATAAAGTATCTCCCACACAAACAAAAGCTGAGGCAATTCACCAACACCAGACCTATCTTATAAGAAATGCTAAAAGGAGTTATTCAGTCTGGAAGAAATAAATACTAATATGTGAAAAGAAAACATTGGAAGATAGAAAACTTACTGGTAAAATTAAGCACAAAACTCAGAATATTCTAACACTGTAACTGTGGTGTGCAATCCATTCATAACTCTACTATGAAGCCCAAAAGACAAATCTATCAGCAATAACAGCTACAGCAACGTGTTAGGAGATAGGTAATATAAAAATATGTAAACTGAGACAACTAAAGGTCAAAACATAAGGTGAGGAGTGGTAATTAAAGTATGTAATTTTTTTCTCATTTCTTTATTTGCGTCTATTCTTTTCTTTGTGTTCTAAGTTTTCATCTCTTTAAAATAACTTGTTATATCTATAAGATGTTTTTATAAGCCTCATGGTACAAGAATGAAAAAACCTATTAATAGATTAACTAAAAATAAAAAGCAACAAATTAAAATATTCTACCAGATAATATAACAACAAAAAAAGACAGGAAGAAAAGGACAGAAGGGTTACAAAACAACCAGAAAACAAGCAACAAAGTGGCAGTAGTAAGTGTTTCCTTATCAGTAACAACACTGAATGTAAATTGACTCAATTCTCCAATTAAAAGGCAGAGTGGCAGAATGGATAAAGAAATAGAATCTAACTATATGCTGCCTACAAGAGACCCACTTCACCTATGAAGACACACGTTTACTGAAATGAAAGGGTTAAAAAAAGATATTCCATACAACTGCAAACCAAAAAAGAAAAAGTGTAGCTGTGCTTCTACCAAATAAACTACAAATCAGGATAAAATAGACGGTAATAATGGAGAAAGAAGGTCACTAAATAATGATAAAGGGGTCAATTTGGCAAAAGGATACAACAATTATAAATATCTGTGCATCCAACAGCAGAGCTCCCAATTATATAAATCAAATATTAATAGATCTAAGGGAAGGGACAGGATACAATACAGTAATAATAGAGTGCTTTAACATGTCTGCACCATCCCATGTCTACTGCAGCACTATTCACAATAACTAAAATATGGAATTAATCTAAGTGTAAATCAATGGCTGAATGAATAAGGAAAATGTGAAATATATACAAAATTAAATATTATTCAGCCACTAAAATGAATGAAATCCTGTCATCTGCAGCAACATGGATGAAACTGGAGGTAATTATATTAAGTAAAATAATCTAAGAACAGGAAAACAAATATTGCACGTTCTCACTTATATGTGGGAGCTTAAAATGTGTATCTCATGAAGACAGAGAGTAGACTAGTCATTACTGGAGGCAAGGAAGGACAGAGATGAGGAGAAGTTAATGGGTACAAATACATAGTTTGACAGAAGAGATAAAACCTAGTGTTAGACCAGTAGAGTGACTACAGTCTATGATTGCCTATTATATATTTCAAAATAGTTAGAATTAAATAATTCAAATGTTTCTAACATAAAAACCCTTAAAATGATGAACCTCACAAGTATATTATTTGATCTGCAAAAGTTATATAAATGTATTATCACATGTATCCTGAAAATATGTACATCTATTAGGCATCAATTTAAAAAAATTATTTCCCAAAGGTTTTTTTTTGAGATGGAGTCTTGCCCTGTTACCCAGGCTGGAGTGCAGTTGCATGATCTTGGCTCACTGCAACCTCTGCCTCCCAGGTTCAAACGATTCTCCTGCCTCAGCCTCCTGAGTAGCTGGGATTACAGGTGTGTGCCACCATACCCAGCTTATGGTTTTTTTTTTGTATTTTTAGGAGAGGTAGGGTTTCAGCATGTTGGTCAGGCTGGTCTCAAACTCCTGACCTTGTGACCTGCCCATCTCAGCCTCCCAAAGTGCTGGGATTACAGGCATGAGACACTGTGCCTGGCCCCCAAAATATTTTTTAAATGCAATATGTGTGAAGCATAATAAAACAAAGAACAATAAAGCAAGGTATGTCTGTAGTTGGAGGGATAGATGAAAACTCCAAATAAAAATATATCCATTCCAAATTAATACAGATTTAATATGAATCTGCTCAAAATACAAAGAAGATATTTTAAAATCTGGCCAGGTGAATATTAAAAACATCTAAAAGCATAAATGGATAAAAATAATCAAGAAATCTTTGATAAAGTTCATTAGTAAGAAATTTTATATTGGGAACATATTTTCATGACAAAATGAACAAGAAAAGCTTGAAGTATCTTCTTGCCCAGTAGAGATAAAAGAAGGTGCACTTATTCTTAACAGACAAGAATAATCCTAAGAGGTAAGGGTACAGGAATCTGTAGGCTATGTGTAATTTTTATGTTAATCAAAAGGAAGTGTAGGTTGAAAAAGGAGAAATACTCAATCTAAAGAAAATATAGCTGAGTATTTGCCTTTTATTCAAGAGTAGAACTTACCATATTTACAAAAATTTGAAAGATGCAACATTAATTACTGACATGCAATTAAAAACCTCTGAGATTCAAAACAATATATACAAAATTAGAAGGCAAAAGATAAAATGGGAAAAGATTTTCAACAAATGTAATGCATATAAATCTTATAAACATTTAAAACAATGGAACCAATTGAACATGAATAATGAATATTCAATTAGAAAAGAAATATGATAATGAACAACAATAACAGCACCAAGCACATGTGAAGCATTCTTTAGTACCTCATAAGGTAGGTACTAATGTTTTCCTTATTTTGCAAGCAAGGACACTGTGGTAATTGATTAAGGTTAAACACATAGTTAAGAGGTGGTACTGAAGTCAGATCCTAAGAAGATTCCCCTTAAACAGCCTGCAATATGGTTGCTATAAAAACCATAAACCTCTGTGATAGTCAGTTTTTAAAATAGTCAATCTAACATTCAGGCATATGGAAATTTAAAACAATCAGATGTCCTTTTCACCTCTCAAATCAATAGATATTTTTCAAAATAATGGTCATGATAACAGTGCTATAATCATGAAAAGTGGATACTAAATGTCCAACATTAGGAGAATGGGTCAATAAATTATAAAAAACCCAAACAATGGAATATTATACAAATTTTCAAGAACTATTTAGTGGCATTTGAAAAACACAATGCAATTTAAAAGGAAAAAGAATGTAATATTGTTCACATAATGTTGTCTAAGGATATAAACAGAGCTATATATGTGAAAATGAACCAAAATATAAACAATAGTTTTCCTGAATGATTATTTGCTTCTTTATAAATTCTACATATTCTGAATTTTCAAATCGCATATCAAAAAGATAATTATTTTTTGTTTTATTTCACTTTTAATTGAAAATAATTAAATATATTTATGGGGTACACAGTGATATTCTGTAAAAAAAAAAAAAACAACAAATTCTGTCATTTGTAATAATATGGATGAATCTAGAAGACATTATATTCAGTGAAATAACCAAAGAACAGAGAAACAAATACCGCATGATCCCACTTATATGTGGAATTTCAAAAGCTGAAGTTAAAGAAGACATTAGTTTTTTAAAAAAATATTTTAACAGCAACTCAGATAAAAAGTAAAATGTGACTGGTTTCCAGACCATTTTTAAAAACGTTGGAAGTCACCACTCCATCCTAACAAGTAAAAATCAAGTCTTGTTAGATCTATAAGAAAAGTGAAGTCACAGGGCAAACCACTGTCCCAAAATTGGAGAGACAGACAGGAGAATACAGAGACGCGTAGCTCTATTGAGCCAAAACCTCCATAGCAACCAGTATAAAAAAAAGGGAAACCTGAGCTGTAAATGATAAGCTGCTAGAGACTCAGTGTGGGCAAGTCTGAGAGTTAAAAACTTCAGGGGGACCCAGTCAAGGGGTGTGGGCACACTTATGTGAGTTTTACCTCTAGAAGCTTCACCTGGTTCTCACAGTGAGTATCAGAAAAATATTCCTCTATTCCTCTGGAAAAGGGAGGGGAAAGGTAACACCAAAATGTACCAGAGCATTCTGTGCTACTTAACAAGGCTTTTCCTCAAGAGAAACTAACTAGAGAATAACCTACTAGGGGAATTATCAGAGCCTAACCTACCTGAAGGAAGAGAAACACTAAACTGCAGCCCCCTCTCTCTAGCCATTCTGGAGGTTGTAAAGCGGGGGACTGAGAAGCGCCTGTGAAGTTCACAATCTGGGGTCACAGGCTCACTCAGAGACTGAGATCTAACCAAAGGACTAGAGAATGCTTACCACACACACACACCTTACCACCACATTACTATTTTTTGTGGTTCCTTTTACCCAGGACATCATGTCCAGCTATCAAGAAAAAATTACAAGGCATACTAAAAAGCAAAACACACAGTATGAAGAGACAGAGCAAGCGTCAGAACCAGACTCAGCTGTGACAGGGATGTTGGAATTATCAGACTGGGAATTTAAAACAACTATGATTAACAGACTAAGGACTGTAAGAGATAAAAAAAATTTTTTAAAAAAAGACAGCATGCAAGAATAGGTAAGCAATGTAAACAGAAAAGTGGAAACTCTAAGAGAGAACCAAAATAAATGCCAGAGATTAAAAACCCGGTAACAGAGATGAAGAATACCTTTGTTGGGCTTATTAGTAGGCTAGAGCTGAGTAAATAATTTCTGAACTTAAGGATATTTTAATATAAACCTCTAAAATTGAAAAGCAAAGAGAAAAAAAAAGACGGAAAAAAAAAAACAGAACAGAATATCCAATAACTACAAGAAAACCACAAAAGGTGTAATTTACATGCAATGGAAATACCATAATAAGAAGAAAGAGAAGGAAACGGAAGAAATACTTGAAACAGTAATGACTGAAGATGTCCCCAAGTTAAAAGTCAGACATCAAACCATAGATACAGGAAGCTCAGAGAACACCAAACAGGATAAATGCTCCCCAAAACTACACCTAAGTGTATAATCTTCAAACTACAGAAAATCAAAAATGTTAAGATCCTGAAAGAAACCAGAGGAAAAGAACACATTACCTATACAGGACCAAAGATAAGAATTACATCTGACTTTTCCTCAGAAACCAGGCAAGTAAGAAGAGAATACAGTAAAACATTTGAAGTATTAAGTGTTGAGAGAAAAAATCCACCAATGAAGAATTCTCTACCCTGCAAAATTATCTATCAAAAGTGCAAGGGAAATAAAGGTTTTCTTAGAAAAACAAATATTGAAGGAATTTGTTGCCACTAGACCTGCCTTGTAAAAGAAGTTCTTCAAAGAAAAGGAAAATGATCATCTGACAAAGGGCCAATATCCAGAATCTACAAAGAACTTAAACAAATTTGCAAGAAAAAAATAACCCCATCAAAAAGTGGGTGAAGGATATGAACAGACACTTCTCAAAAGAAGACATTTATACAGCCAATAGACATATGAAAAAATGCTCATCACTGGTCATCAGATAAATGCAAATCAAAACCATAATAAGACACCATCTCACGCCAGTTAGAATGGTGATCATTAAAAAGCCAGGAAACAACAGATGCTTGAGAAGATATGGAGAAACAGGAATGCTTTTACACTGTTGGTGGGAGTGTAAATTAGTGCAACCACTGTGGAAGACAGTGTGGCAATTCCTCAAGGATCTAGAACTAGAAATACCACTTGACCCAGCAATCCCATTACTGGGTATATACCCAAAGGATTATAAATCATGCTACTATAAAGACACATGCACACATACGTTTATTGTGGCACTATTCACAATAGCAAAGACTTGGAACCAACCCAAATGTTCATCAATCATAGACTGGATTAAGAAAATGTGGCACATATACACCATGGAATACTATGCAGCCATAAAAAAGGATGAGTTCATGTCCTTTGCAGGGACATGGATGAAGCTGGAAACTATCATTCTCAACAAACTATCACAAGGACAGAAAACCAAACACTGCATGTTCTCACTCGTAGGTGGGAGTTGAACAACGAGAACACATGGACACAGGGCAGGGAACATCACACACCGGGGTCTGTCAGGGGATGGGGGGCTGGGGGAGGGATAGCATTAGGAGAAATACCTAATGTAGATGACGAGTTGATGAGTGCAGCAAACCAACATGGCACATGTATACCTATGTAACAAACCTGCATGTTGTGCACCTGTACCCTAGAACTTAAAGTATAATAATTTAAAAAAAAGGAAAACGATAAAGATCAGAAACTTAGATCTACATAAAGAAATAAAGAGCACTGAAGGAATAAGTGAAAAAATAAAAGCTTTCACTTCCTTATTCATAATTGACCTAACAGATAACAGTTTGCCCAAAACAGTAGTAGTAATAATATATTCTAATATATATACATATGTGTGCATATATATATATATATACACATATGTGTGCATATATATATATATATATGTTTATGTATAAGTGAAATGAGAAACAGCAGTAATACAAAGATTGGGAGGGAGGAATTTGGATTATTTTGTTATTATAAGGTATTTGCACTAACCATGAAGTGGCAGAATGTTATTTGAAAGTGAAACTGGATTTGTGGTAAATATGGTAAATTGTAAGGCAACCACTATACAAGTTTAAAAAGAAGTATAAGTGATATGCTAAGAAAGAAGACAAAATGGAATCATATAAAATGCTCAATTAAAACTACAAAATGCGGAAAAAGCATAGAATACATAAACAGGAATAAAGAACAAAAGTAACAAATAGAAAACAATAAAAAATATGGTATATATCTCTCCAACTATATCGATAATAACTTTAAACACCAGTGGTCTAAATATACCAATTAAGAGACAGAGATTCTCAGAGTTGGTAGAAAAAAAAAACAAGACCTAACTATATATTGCCTATGAGAAACTCACTTTAAATGTAAAGATACATACAAATTAAGTGGAAGGAAAAAAAATATACCAAGCTAACACCAATCAAAAGAAAACATAAGTAGCTATCTGTCAGACAGAGCATACTTCAGAGCAAGGAAACTTACCAGGGATAAAAAGGGGCCATCACATACTGATAAAGAGATCAACTTTCCAAAATGCCATAACAATTCTTAATGTGTATGTGATTAACAACAGAACATCAAAATATCTGCGGCAAAAACTAATAGAACAGCAAAGAGAAATAAACTAGTCCACTATTATAGTTGGAGACATCAACACCTCTCTATCAGAAATTGACAGATCCAGCAGGCAGAAAATCAGTAAGGACATAAGTGAACTCAACAATGTCATAAATCAACGGGGTATAATGAATATTTACAGACTACATCATACAACAAGAGCAGAATGCACATTCTTCTCAAGCTCACATGGAACATTTACAAAGATAGACCACATTATGGGCCATAAAACCATAAAACACACCTTGGCCAAGTGCGGTGCCTCACACCTATAATCCCAGCACTTGGGAGGCCGAGGCAGGCAGATCACCTGAGTCTCTGTCTCAAAAAAAAAAAAAAAAAGAAAAAAAAACATAAAACACACCTTAACAAATTTACAAGACTGGAAATCATACAACGTCTGCAAACTGATACAATTAAACTAGATATCAATAACAGAAAGTTAGCTGGAAAATTCCAAAGTACTTGGAGACTGAATAACAGATTTCTAAATAACCCAGGGGTCAAAAAAGAAATCCCAAGAAAAAATTTAAAATGTTTTGAAGTAAATGAGAATGAAAACACAACTTCACAAATTTTGTGGGAGGCAGTAAAAGCAGTGCTTAAATGGATATTTATGGCATTAAATTCATATATTAGAAAAGAAGAAAGATCTGAAATCAACAATGTAAGCTTTCACACCTTAAGAAACTAGAAAAATGTGAGCAAATTAAATCCAAACTAAGAAGAAAAAAAAGAAATAATAAAAATTAAAGCAATAATCAGTAAAATTAAAAACAGAAGATCAATGCAGAAAAATCCATGAAACCAAAAGCTGGTTTTTTTGGAAATAACAATAAAAGCAATAAGCATCTAGCAAGGTAAACTAAGAAAAAACAAGAGAATACAAATTGTTAATATCAGAAATGAAAAATGGGAATATCAGTGTAGCTCCCATGGATATTAAAAAGATAATAGGAGAATACTATGAACAAAGCAATGCCCACACATTTGATAATCTAGATGAAATGGACCAATTCCTTGAAAGACACCATCTGCCAAAATTCACATAAGAAGAAATAGATAATCTGAACAGGCCTATAGCTATTAAAGAAATTGAATCAATAATTAATAACCTTGTAAAACAGAAAACACCAGGCCCAAATGGGTTCACTGGTAAATTCTACCAAATATTTAAGGAAGAAATAATATCAATTCTCTAAAATCTCTTTCAAAAGATAGAAGCAAAGGGAATACTTGCTAATTCACTCTATGAGGCCAGCTTTGCTCTAATTTCGAAACCAAAAACATTGCAAGAAAAGAAAACTATAGACAAGTATCTCTCATGAATAAAGATGCAACAATCCTCAACAAAATATTGGCAAGTCAAATTCAACAATGTAGAAAAATAATTGTATATTGTGATCAAGTAGAATTTCTCCAAGGTCATCACAGCTGGTTCAACATTGAAAATCAATTAATGCAATCCATCACACAACAGGCTTAAGAAGAAAAATCACATAAGCATAACAATACACACAGAAACAGCATTCAACAAAATCCAGGAAAAAAACAGGAATACAGGGGAACTTTCTCAACTTAATAAAGAATAGCTACATCAACCCTGTAGTTAACATTGTGCTTTATGGTGAGAAACTCGAAACTTTCTCATTAAGATCAGCAACAGAGCAAGGATGACTCCTCTCATCAGTGCTTTTCCACATCATCCTGGAAGTCCTAGCTAATGCAATAAGACAAGAAAAGGAAATAGAAGGTATCCTGATTGGGAAGGAAGAAATAAAACTCTTTGTTCAGAGATGACATGACCATCTTGGTAGAAAATCCAAAAGAATCTAAAAGAATGGCCAAAATCCAGGACACTGACAACACCAAATGCTGGTAAGACTGTGGAGCAACAGTAACTTTCATTTATGGCTGTTAGTGATGCAAAATGCTACAGTCACTTTGGAAGACAGTTTGGCCAGTTCTTACAAAATTAAACGTACTCGTACCACATGATCCAGCAACCACACTCCTTGGTATTTACTGAAAGGAGTTAAAAACTTGTGTCCATGAAAACCTGCAAATGGATGCTTATAGCAGCTTTATGCATAATTGCTAAAACTTGGAAGCAACCAAGATGTCTTTCAGTAGATGAATAAACTGTGGTACATCCAGACAATGTGATATTATTCAGCACTAAAAGGAAATTAACTATCAAGCCATGAAAAGACATGGAGAAAACATAAATGCTTATTACTAACCGAAAGACGCTGGTCTGAAAAGGTTAATACTGTATGATTCCAACCATATGATATTCTAAAAAAGGAAAAAGTATGGAGACAGCAAAAAGGCTAGTGGTTGCCAGGAATTAGGGAGGAGGGAAGGATGAATAGGTGAAGCTCAGAGGATTTTTAGGGTAGTGAAACTGCTCTGTATACTACTGTAATAGTGAATACAGACCATTAATATTTGTCAAAACTCATTAAATATATAACACCAAGAGTAAACCCTGCCATAAACTATGGTAGGACCTTGTGTGATTATGACATGTCAACATTGTCCACTCTAGTGCAGGATATTAATAATGGGAGAGGTTATGGTTTTGTGGGGCAGAAGCTATATGGGAAATCTCTGTACCTTCCTCCCAGTTTTGCTGTGAACCTAAAACTGCCCTAAAAAGTACAGTCTATTTTTAGAAAAACTCAAATGATAGAAGCAGCATACTTTGTTATTTAAGATTTACCTCCCTTAGATTCTTTAGTATTCCTCTTCCTCTCAATACTGATAAAAATACTACAACATACTGTACCATGCAAAACATTTTTCCTTCAGCTTCTGAAAATTGGTAATCATTAGCCTGATACAAAGATCAAATAAATATACATTTCTTCATACTTTGCATTGCTGATCAGGCCCTTTGGCAAGCTCTATTTACACTTCAAAGACACAACTGGACTATTTCCTGTCTTCTCTTTCACAGGGTGGCACCATCACCTCATCAAAGTGCTCATGGACAGCTATGCTGAAAATAGTTCACACAGCAGGCCTCATACTGTCAATTCTTAGGAAGATCTGCTTGCCAGCCTGGCCCTTGGATGTGGTCTAGGCATTTGGATTTCAGGAGTGTTCTCACCCACCATTCCCTAACCAGTAAGGGTGGTCCCTGTACCTAAACAATTTGTACAGTGTGGTTAATGCTGAACATCCTCTTTGCTTCTGAGAGTCTGGAATTCTGCTAGTGCCAGGCAGAGACTGCCTATGTGACAAGCCCAGAGTAAAAACCCGGGGTGCTGAGTCTCTAATGAGCTCTCATTAGAGCTGTCTAATGATAGACAACATTTCACATGTCTGGTCACAACTCATTCTTGGAGGAATTAAGAGCACTTTGTGTTGACTCCATGGGGAAGGACTCTTAGCTTGCACTGGTTTCCTGCAGATTTCACCCCATGCCCTTTTTAACTTGGCTGACTTTGTTCTGTATCCTTTCACTGTCATAAATCTTAACCAATAATGCAACTATATCCTGAGTCCTGGGAGTCCTCCTAGTGAATCACTGAAATTAGGGAGCCAATGTCATCTATTTACATTTCCAAAAGAATAGAAAACAAAAGCTATACAGAAAAACCCACAGGCACTGTTACAAGTTCACCTTAAGTTTTCATTTACAAATCACTCTTTCAGTATTTCCTTCACTATTTACCCACATTCCCTCTTTCCTCTCATAAATCCAATTCAGATAGCAAAATACTTCTTCATCTAAACTTCTTTTTAACTTAATTTTAGTGGCAATACACAAAGAAGCAGGTAACAATATGTGCAAGTCTAGGGATCATACATTTTTCTTTGAAAAGAAATTAGATCCTTTTTAAAATTTTCCACATAGCCATGACTTGACAAAGTGGCAGAACACATAAAAATACAAAGAAAGGACACTTCCCAGTTCCTTGGAGGAGGAGTATGACAAAGTTCCAAGGAGAAGCAGTCAAATAAACCCATAAGGAAAAAAAGAAAGGACACAGATCCTTTTTATTCACTATCAGGTAGTGCTGAGAGGTCAAAAAGCCTTTCCCTAGACACAGCTTCTTACTGAGGGAGATAATGTCTAGAAGCATGAGCAATATTTTATGGAATTAGAGGACCTACGGTCCTCCTAACCACGCCAAAATAGAACATCCTCAGATCTGAAAGGACAACAGAGGAAGAAAAGTAGAGCAAAACTTAGTGTCCACTGGCCTGGGAGCTGAGCCCGCTGGAGACATGTCAGAACTCAAAGCTAAGAGACACGAGCTGTTGCCTCAAAATGGATGACTGCAGCACTGGCTGAGCTGGGAGATGTTGCTGGTCAGCCAATGAGGTGATGCTTATTTCTGAGCATTTACCACTGAGTCAGTTTGGAAATATTCCTCCCACTCTGTGACTTGAGAACCTAATCCCAGGCACCAAGAGTTAAATGGGTTCTTCTGGTTTGTTTTTAGTAACAGACACTGAAAAAAAATCAAAGGACCTTGTACCAAAGTTCATGGGACAGAGTTAAGAAAATAGAACTAAGGGATATTTTGTTCAGAGAAAATATCGTGACCAAGAGGTGGATGACATCAAATTGCCAGAACTCACTCTGAATACTTCACTGGGATTGTTCTGCCTGAAAACAAACACGAATCCTTTGATTATTTGCATTCCCTACATATTCAATTCTAGAGATCCTTTTAGCCAGTATAAGGCAAATTATTCTACACAACGCATTCCATACTTTCTAAAGAAATACATATGTATCTTTTAAAGGATGAAGATATACACTGATATATAGATATATCATAATGCATAATGTATAATTTAAATAGCTACTCATGACTTTTTCTATGAGTCTAAGATTTATTAAAATATGAATAAAGGGTTTATGTACACAAAAATAATTTGACAGAAAAATCTGGAACTGCAAAAGATGTGAAAGATGTTTTGCTCCACTCTCCTGGGTATCTATTTCTTTAGTGATACTGTACTTTCTTGGTCACTGTAGTTTCAGAGTGGTTAACATCTGCTAAGCCAGCCCCCTCTCAATTCATTTTCAAAACTTAAGACCTGGATGGTGATCACACAGGTGTTTTCTTTACAATTATCTGTCTTATGCATTTCTCTGTGTGTCATTTCACAATACAAAGATGTTTAATTACCAAAAAAAAGGAAAAGCAAGGGAACAATTAACACAACAGACAGAATGGTGGTTCCCTCTGGCAGGAAAAGAAGCAAATGAGAGCAGGTTGGGGACATGCAGGCTGCTTCAAAGTTTGTGGTACTGGTCTATTTCTATACTGTGGTGGCTACATGATTTTTTATTGTATTGTTTTTCTGTAGCCTGTATACATAGAAAAGATTATACTTTCTCATTAAAAATTTGAAACAAAATTTCTCAGCCATTTCATATGCATATGTGCATTTCCAAAGTGATTTTTTAGATGCTACTTTGCAAGTTTGATAATAAATTTCTATTGGGGTTTTTAATAGGATTGCAATGACTTGGTGGACTTAATTGGAGCATCCATAAAATCCCTTATTCAAAAATAGAATCCTGGAAATGTCCATACAGAATGACCAAATTCTGGCTCTATTAATAAATTATGTCATAGTTGAAGTTTTATCCTTTCCACTCAACCCTACTACCTCGGCCTGGACCCTCCCAGTAACCTGTCTGGACACTGCAACTGGTCACTTCATCCCCACCCCAGCTCCTCCTGGTGTGCCCTTCCTCAGAACATTCCAGAAATCCCTCATGCCACCCCTCCCCACTCATGCTTGTGCCTGGATTACCAAGCCTCTCTCTGTCCCTAACCCTATCAGGCAGGGATCACATGGAGGCAGGGCTTCCCTCTGTGTGGCCCATGTCCTGCATTCAATAACGGTTTGTTAATAGATGAACCCCAGAAGACCCAGCCTCATCCCTTTACTTCCTGCAGCTCCCTACAGCCTGCCTGGTTAGCGTCGAGCCAGGCTTCACAGGTCTCTCGGAGGATGAAGAGAGCAGAGAGCCACCTACATTCCACAGACGTGACGACAGAACATTTTATCCTTGATAGGGAGAAAGGCTTTTTTAAAAAATGGGGGCAAAGTGATTTATACCCAAACGCAATGACATAGCTGAAATTTACTAAATATACCACATGGTACCACAAGAGAGTTTCTCAAAAACTACAGAGGACATTCTATTTGTATAATACTTTTAAAAATGTTACAAAGACACTCTGATGGCAACAGCACCCTCTGCTGACTCCTAGTAGTGCAACCATGGGAAGTAGAAATATATTTGAGTCCACCTTGGAAATCCTACTTTGTCATCTTTTTACTGGGGGGAAAATCACAAAAGGCCAATTATTCCTAACTCAGTTTCCCATTCTCCCTCATTTAACTTAACCTCTTATGCGTTATAACAACCATATAACCATCAAGGGGTTTATTAACGTTAACACAAAATTGGCTTAAATGTTACTCCAGCAAGTCAACAGCCTACCCTGACCACACTTACAGTGCCAAAACTTTGGAAATACACTGACAGTCACACACACACACAAGAAGATACACTCTAAAAGCACATCATTTAAAAGGCAAAAATATACAGGAAGCATATTACAGGAAGCAGGACATACCCAGCTCTGGAGTCGCGCGGACCTGAGTGCAGACTGTGCCACCTACTAGCTTTACAGAACACAGACCTGACTCTCTACCACCTTCTGATTCCTCATCAATAACATGGGGAGGTGAAAGTACCCACAGCTCAGGCGTGCTGTGAAAAGGAAGTGAAATAACACGAAACATTTAGCAGAAACCTATAATGAGTGCTCAAAAATTTTCCCTATTATTATCGTATTCATCATTATTAAGGGCATATTTTAAGTATGAGGAATGCAAACATAAAAATTAATCAACGCTATGCTGTATTTGTTTGCAATAGTGAATGGCGAGCCCTCTTCTCTGAAGTTCTAGACAGTCCACTGAGACAGACCTAGCACCTAACAGGTCCTAACTCCTCAAGAATAGAGTGATGGGATAATTCTACATGCGTATGGATCCCAACATACAGAATTCTACATACATATTTCTTTTTTTTTTTTTTTGAGACAGGGTCTTGCTCTGTTGCCCAGGCTGGAGTGCAGGGTCACAATCATGTCTCACTGAACCCTGGAACTCTCGATCCTCCCACCCTCAGCCTCTCAAGTAGCTGAGACTACAGGTGCATGTAATCATGCCCAGCTAATTTTTGTATTTTTTTGTAGAGGCCGGGTTTCACCATGATGCCCAGGCTGGTCTGGAACTTCTGGGCTGAAGTGATCTGCCTGCCTCAGCCTTTCAAATTGCTAGGTACAAACATGAGCCACCACACCACATCACATAAAGGTAGGCCAGGGTGTGGTGGCTCATGCTTGTAATCCCGGCACTTTGAGATTCAGAATGTTAATATTCCCCTTGACGATTTTATGACCTGCGTATATACACATATATACACATATATATATATATGTGTATATACACACACACATGTTGTATAAACATCAAGGGGTCTATTAACATTATACACAGAGAGAGAGAGAGAGAAAGAGAAAGAAAAATGATTTTTTAATGGCAAATAATGTTATAAATGAATAAATTCTGTATAAAGACTGTACAGGAGTTCTCTGTACAATGTAAAATTATTTCAAAATAAACATTTTTAAAACTGAAAGTAATATAATTAGTGTCTTGGAAGCAATTTTTATAGAACAGTTGGTATTCTGCAAAAACTATGTCTTATAAGCCATCTCAGATGAGAAATGGCACAAGTTCCTGATGTTTGCCTTGTAATGAGAGGATGACATAGACACTAAGTACCTAAACACAAATTTCATTTTTATTTGTGTAGCCAAGTAACCTACCCTAGGTACAAAAGTAGAAAGTACTCTGCCAGACGTTGAATTTGTGAGGCTTTTTATTTCCAGAGAGAAGTACACAGTCATGTACTTTAGAAGGGGAACTCTGATGCCCTTCCTCTGGGTTGTAAGAGAAAAGGAATCAAGGCAGTGGTGGAAGACCAGCAGTGGCAGCTCTGGAACAGCACAGTGGCCTAGGAAATAGGCCCCACCAGCCTCCTGGGGCCTCCCCAGGCCCTGGGAGGCGGGATGAGGGCAGGGCTTCCCACTCCTGGTGGAGAGGCTCAGGCCCTCGCTGTCGCCTTGCTTTGGTCCCACAAGAAGGGCCAGCCTGCAGCTCTGCTCTGCAGCATCCTGAAGCTGCATCTTTTCCTCTAGAGGCAACAGAGAACTGCAAGAGCTTTGACCAAAAAGATCCTGGCCAATGCGGCTGAGAATCCTTTAGCTAAAGAAACAGAAAGAGCTTTAAGATAACAGGCCCAGAAGAGTCTATCTAAGAGCCCCTCAACTGCATGGCCTTTGGGAGCCACCCATTCTCTTTGTGATATTTATGTGCAAGCCTACTATGTGCCATGACAGTCCTGAACAAAATAAACCAAAATACTGCCCCATGGAAGTTACTTCTCTTAAACATATAAACTACCTAAATAAGTAAACTCAGTGTGATAGACAGTGCTATGAAGAAAAATTGAGGCAGGCAGGTGAGAAATGGGGAGAGTGAGGGCTTCTAGGTGTAGCAAAGTGGGTAAAGCCTCACTGAGAAGCTGTCAGTGAATCAGGCTCAGAGAGACATGACCCCCAGGACCCACGCTAAGATCTGGGGCAGTAACACTGCAGGCAGGAGGGGCACACCAAGAATGTGAGGCCACAGAAAGCCTGATACAGTCAAGGAACAGAGAGGAACTCACTAAAGCTGCAGCGGAGCTAGAGTGGGGAGGACAGAAAAGGATAAGGCCAGAGAGGGGATGGCAGCAGTGTGGGCTGAGGTGGGGGAGGCAGAGTGGGGACACACAGGGCTCTGTAACGGTTCACAAGGTTTAAAGGGGAAGGAGAGCTCTGAGGAGCAGCTGTGGCTGGGACCAGGCAGCCATCTCACCTCATCTCTGTGGAAATCGCATCTTGTTCCCCCATTTCCCAGGCCAGCTGCCCACAGTGGTGGCACCAGGTCAGGCTAGATGCCGAATTCAACACTCCATGAGGGCTGCAGCCATGGAGAGCAGAGACTCAGTTCTCCGCTAATACTGGCATAGAAGGCACAGCGTTTGTACCCTTGGTGTGCACTAGGGCACACTGGGGGCACCCTCAACAATGTACACAGTGTGTACTTAGTCAAAGGGATATCATAGTCTCCAGTGTTCATGAATATAACAGAGCTTCAAAATACACATGGCAAAAACTGATAAAACAGCAAAAAAGTACACAAATTCACTGTCAGAGTTGGAGATCTCAACACCTCTCTCTAACTGATAAAACAAGTAGGCAAAAAATATCAACTCTCTCAACCGGTATTACCTAATTAATATTTTCGAACACTCTACTCAACAACAGCAGAACACATTCTTCTCAAGTACACATGGAACATATACCAAAATAGATCATATTCTGGAACATACAACAAATTTCAGTCACTTTTTAAAAATTCAAGTAATACAAAGCATATTTCCTGACCACAATTGAGTTAAATTAGAACTCAGTAACAGAAAGATCTCTAGAAAATCCTCAGATATTTGGAAACTATATTACACACTTCTATCTAACCCATATATCAAAGAAGAAATAAAAAGGAAATTAGAAAGTATTTTAAAGTGAATGAAAATGAAATAAAACATATCAGATTTTGTGGGATGCCACTAAAGCAATACTTAGGTGGAAGTTCATAGCACCAAATGTCTCAATATGATAAAATGAAAGTTCTCAAATCAATAATTTCCACTTCTCCCTTTAGAAACTAGAAAAACAGAAAATTACAACATAAGCAGAAAAAAAGTAGAAAGAATAGAAATCAACATGCAAATCAATGAAATACAAAACAAAATAATACAGAAAAAAAGGCAATAAAACCAAAAGTTAGGTATCTGAGAAGATGAATAAAATTGATAAACTTCCAGCCACACTGATCAGGAAAAAAAAGAAATACAGAAATACATGAATTACCAATATCAGGAATCACATCATGTCACTAGATTCTATAGACATGAAAAAGATAATAAGGGACTATTACGAAGAACTTTATGCCAATAAAGTCAGCAACTTAGATAAAATGGACAAATTCCTTAAAAGACAAAAAATACCACAGCTGACTCAAGAAGAAATGGATAACCTAAATAGCTCCATCTCTTTGAAAGAAAAGGAAACTGTAGTTAAAAGTCTTCTCATAAAGAAAGGTCCAGGCTTGGATGAATTCTACCAAACAAGGAAGAAATACTACCAATTCTATGCAAAATCCTCCAAAAAATCCAAGAGGAAAGAATACTTCCCAATTCATTCTATGAGACCAAAACCTCACAAAGAAATCACAAAACAGCTGGAAGATAAAACGAAAGAGAAGTAACAAGAATTAAATACTTCATAAATATCTTAACAAGAAATGTGCAAAACTAGCATGAAGAAAATTCTGAAACACTCCTCAAAGACATAAAAGTATTTTTAAACAAACTGAAAGATGTTCCACATTCTTGGATGGAACAATTCAACAACATAGATGTTACTATACCTCAGGTTAATATGTGGAATTGAATAATTCTGATAAAAATGCCAACAAACGCGAGAAAACCTAGCAATCTTCCTGAGCCAAAAAGCAAGGAAGACTCAAAGACAAAGAGGATATCTACAGGACACAGAAGCAGCCCAAAGCAGATCCCACCGACCAAGTAACTTCAAAAAGAAATGTCTATAACTGACTATAAATTATTAAATAAATAAATATCCAAGAGTCCAAAGTGACATTAAACAAGGGTGGGGGCGAGGAGGAAAGAAGAAGAGCTCACATTTCTTCCACCACAGGAGATGACTAGTGCCTCAGTGAAACCATGCTCCAGAGTTAAAGAAGCTAATGACTAACAGAAATGCTTGAGTTTGCAAGATGGCAGATAAGAAAAGAGGCAACTTACTAAAATAATAAAACGCCCTCCACTTGTAAGATAAAACTGGCTGAAATCAGTCGGAACCAATATGGCCAACTGGAGTTTTCACAGATGGAGTTTTCTGACATCACAGCCTGAATTCCCACCACATGTTTCATATTAACTCCTCCTGAATTTGCAAGTGACCTACGAGGGCATGAAGAGGTAACTGCGCCATGCCTGAGGACTTTCCAGACCTCCCTTTCCTTCCACCGATCACCTACTAATCCCAGAATCCACTCCCTACACCTTTTCTAATAAAATTACTGCATTAAAGCCAGCATGAGGAGACAGATTTGAGCTGGACTCCTGTCTCCTTATCAGTGGGCCAGCCATAAAAAGCTTTTCCTTTCTCAAAAACCTGCTGTCACAGTATTGGGTTCCAGCACATTAGGCAGCAAGCCCCTTGTGCTCTGTAACATCAATTTCTTCATCTGAAAATTGGCAGTTAAAAGGAAAGAATTAAGCATTTGCTCTGCCTTTATAGAAGTTCACCCAGGTGATAAGAGAAAGTTCTTTACAAAATCTCAGTTGATAAATATAGAAATAGTGACATAATTAGAAAATCAACATTTTTAAACAAAATATTTGATTTAGGCACATATCATTAATGAGTGTCAAGTCCACTAGATGAAAGACTTTGGAGGACCAGGATATTTGGAAAAGAATACTTTTAATAATGAAGATATCTAGTGGTCACCATCTTAACCAGATGATAAAACCAGGCATTACTAATAATGGGACAACCTGACATTATATACCTCTCAATATAATGCAAAATGAAGTACATAACTTCCCTTTTAAAATATTTTTACCAGAAATGTTAAACTTGAATCTAAGCAAGTCCTTACATGAAACTCCAAGTTTACAGGCTACAGTAGAATGAAACCAAAAGGAAATAATCAGATAAGTGAGAATGGGGCATTCTCCACTCCCTCGTTTTTCCTGCTTGGCGTAAGCTCCCTCCTTTCCTCTGTCTGCCCCAGCCTCTGTCCTGGCTTTGGTAGGTGTGGCAAACAGTGATGCAGTACGTAGAGGAGAAAGGCTGGTTTCTCTTTACTCTCATCCTGGAGCGGCACGGGCCCTGCTGGCAAATTTACCACATTCCTTTAAGAAAGAAGGGAAGAAGTCTGGGGAAAGCAGAGAGCATGGAAAAATAATAAGGAAGCATCAGTAGAGAAGATGAGTAGGGGCTACCCCCAGAAGGTGGCATTGAGAGTGATGGTGGTGAAGGAGACAGAGCCAGTTCTGAAGAGACTCGGTCCAGTGAGGACTTTCACAAGCCCTGGGATGACACACGGGTCTGGGAGGATACTGGTGCCAAAAGATTATAAAGTGACCAGTGAGGGCAATTCTTAACTCGGACATCAAAATTGGTTCCCTCACCTCAACCTTTAATTTCATAATGAAATAAAAACTCAATCAATTTCACCTCTCTTGGTGAAGAGATTGCGAAATGTACCACATAGGTAGAAAACCCCACCGCTGTGCAGATCAACATGGAGTTGGTAGCCGTGCAGTCCATACTCGGGGCTATCATCCAAAAAGGGGCTATGTGGAGGCAGTTCATAGGGGCTGAAAAGCAAAACAAAAGAAACATACAAATTTGTCAACACCAGGGATAAAATTCTTGGTTTGAAAATACTTTTTAAAAAATTACCATCTGTATCAAAGCACTACCTCCTACAAATGAAACTCCATAGGATTCCCTATAATCTTCAATACTGTGAACTTAAAAGACTGCTCAATGTTACTTTTACCAACTTCTATAAAAACAGGCAATGATGTGAGTTCTGTAGGCAGCCACCGCCCAGCACGGGTGCACATGTTTCTGCAGCTGATCCCAGCATGGCCACTCTATAAAAGCCACTCTGCCCTCCGTGTTGTTCTCAGTGTCCAGGGGACAAAAGTGCTCAGCAGGAAAAGGCACTGAATACCGATCTGCAGGACAAACACCCAGGCAGACCCAAAGCCAAGACAAAGTTTTATTCAACAAGAAAAACATGACTACGTAAGGTGACAAACTCAAAAATACTCAGGAGCTTCTCAGGTAATTAAAAAAAAAAAAAATGAGTAAGGGAGTCTAAGTCCACAGGAAAAGGGTGAGAGCTGTAGTGAAATGGGAAGCCTGTGCGCCACCTAAAGACGCGCAAATTCATTAAAAGACACACACTGTCCAGACCGGACAGAATCATCCGCAGGCCAGGTTCAGCCCAAGGGCCATGAGTCTACATGCCTTACAAGATGTGAAAATTCACATAAGAGCAAGAACTTGAAGGACAGTAGTGGCATCTTGAAGTAATCAAGCTATCCTACCCATACAAATAACAACCTACTAGGTACAAATTCCTTGACCCAGAATAAATAAAGCAAATATGTACTCGTGAATAATCCAATTATTTTAGCGACAGCTAATTGTGCCTGTTGGTTTGTGTTTACTGATTAAAAACAGAATATCTCTGCAGCTATTCTCAGGATATTAAGATGGCATCAACTTCTAATACTTTATATTTACTGTACAAAAATTCAACACACCCACATATAAATACATACATAGTAGCCGAGCCTAATGTGCTCCTCTCCACAAGGTGATGAAAATGAAGATTTGCCATAACAAAAGCCAGTTCTTCCTCCTTCTGAAAAGTTAATTGAGAAGAATACATATTTCAACCAAAATGCTTACATTTTTCACAAGATCATTGTGAAGATCACAGCACATTCATCTTGCAGATAGAGGCACTTTCTTACAAACATAAGATCACCACAGTGCTAATGCATTATTACTGCTAATATGTTACTACTATCTAATAAGACTTATATTTCATATTGACAGCAGGACCACAATTCACCCAAATATGCAGAGCACACAGGACCAAAAGAACTCACAGCCTAGAGCTTGTGAAATATCAAAAGATATATATGATAGTTGTGAAACTATGCAGTTAGTTCCAGGCTGTTTCAAATTCCTTTCAAAGACTTTCACAGATACCAGATTAATTCTACAAATACTGAACTTTACTGACACAATGTTCCTCTTGCAAGTAACTGCTTGATTTGGCCAACGTGGTGGGAATGATTAGATTCAACTTCTTCACTTGTCCATGAGGTTGAATAGCAGAAAATGCGACTATTTGGGGACTGACCTCCATTTCTCCCCAGATTCACAGCTGACACTGATGGGCATAGGTGACCCCCAAATGGTAAATTTGAAGGTGCCACTCTCCAGTAGCCAGGCAGAGGACAATCGAAGCCACCAGAGTGCTCACAACTCTGCAACCAACAAAGCTGGATGCATGCGAGTCACCGAATGCAGAGCAGGCAAGCTGCGGTCTCGCCCACAAGCCACCTTCACACAGAAAGGGGAGGAGGGAAAGAAAAAGTGACGGCCACAGTTGGCTAAGGAAAAGGGATGAGGATGGTGTTGTCTGAAGCTAGGGTCTTAATCCCGTCTAGTCATTGTAAACTAATGCATAACGCCAACTCAGAAACAGATTTGTGAACTACTATCTTAAAATATCAGCCAGACCTGGTGAAACGAGAAATCTTATGCAGAGAGAAAGGATAACATCGTAGACAGCTGACCCTGAAGAGCAGATTTCACTCAATGCCGCACCTACAGGATCAGAAACAGGCTTGGGAGACAAGCGTGCTGAACACATAGTAAGGGAAATGTTGTCAGAGAAAGAGCATGAAAGGAAGAGAAGAAGGAACGTGGACTGATTGGAAGTGGGAAAGCCACATGACATGAAAGGAATAACATGAAGGAAAACATGAAGGCAGGAAGAGGTTGTTGTCTATGATAGCAGAACAGCAGAACAACAGATAGCAGAGTTGTCTATCATAGCAGAACAGCACAGCAGCCTCGGTGGAACAGAGAGGGCCATGTTAGCTTGAAAAAATGAAGTTGGTGAGATGGTAAAATGGATTGCAGTTAGTGAAAAGCTTAAAGGATTTTACATTTGAAGTCATACATAATGGTAAGTAAATGTGGTATTGTGATGGGGAAATGACACAGTACATACAGGGACTCAAGTCTTACCTTCCACACTCCCACCAGGAGGCCAGGGTGCAGGCAGAAGATCCGAATGAGTCTGTCACAGCCAATCATGGTAGATATGGTCAAATGACTCAGATTGTACTTTGCAATTAAAGAATGCCATCGGAGTCTTTGAACGTTATGCCAAGGAAAGGAGAGAGAGAAGTGAGCTTTCCTGTCCATAGTGTTGTCAATTCTCTTTAGTGTATCACAAATGTGTTTGAAGAGCATGTTAATGATGTGCTCAAACTAAGTGGCATGTTGGCAGGGTGAGGACACAAATGAATAAAAGGCAAAATGGATACATTCAGATTTCCAAGCCAACTAGGTATTTCTTCCCCTCCGTCTTGCTCTTACTGTCAACTCAATGACCCAGCCGGGAGGAAGTTGAAGGACCAGGAAAGTGATGAAGTGGCAGCATTGTCTCCTGTTCTATTCCCTCCAAATCCAGCACAATACAATCTAAAGTAGACTCTCAATGTGTATTCCTAGTCAAGTGAGTAAAACAACACAGAAGCAAAGATACACTATTTCAAGTGACATAAGAACGGGTGGTCTCAGGAGATGGCTGGAAAGCAGATGGGCCTTTCACAGTTATCATCAAGGATAACTCAGAGATAGTGAAAGTTGACACATCAGAAATAAACTTAAACTAAATCACCAGTGTTTTCATAAAGGAGACACTAACACAGCATTAGACTGAAATCCCTGAGGAGCTGGGGCCACATCTCATTCAACAGTTGGTGCCCAGCACCTCAGGCACAAGCCAGCAGGCAATAGGAATTCAAAGGTACATTAAATAAATAAGTTAAAAAGGACACCAGCTGCAGTCCAGCTTCAAAGTGGAAGGGACTGTGAAGCATCAAAACCAGATCCGCAGCTGCCACATGACCCTAGTCCCATGTTCAGCTCTTCAAAATAACTTCTTGTGCAGAGAACAACAACTGGGTAAGGAGAGACGGTCGGTGAACGTGTGTGATGTAGAAATTAGAAATAAACCCAGCATATGCAGAATACACTTGGAGGAGGATAAATGCAGGGTCAGGAACCTCACTGTGGAGTCAGAGAAACCTGAGGTAAAACCTTAGCTTCAACCTACAGTGACTTTGCGACTATCACAGGCTGGTTCTTTGTGTATGAAATCACCAGCCTGCTGAGTGGGGACAAGAGCACACGGCATGGGGCAGGTGCTCAATAAATCGCAGTCCCTGCTAGTATCATTAATGTGGATAGAGGAGGCTGGGTGGGGATGTGAGAAACCTTCTTCTCTGAAAATCTGGCTGTAGAGGTACTTATTAAATAGACTCTGGGAATGTGCTGAGTCCTCATGTGCTTGGCCTTACAGCCACAGACACAGAAACTAAGGCTGACGTTTCCCCAGCAGTTCTCACAAATTTAGGGTGGGACAGCACAAGCTGCAGAGCAGAAAGTGCTGGCAAGGAAGAAAATTTGGAGTCTGACTAGAAAGGTATAAATTACAGGGAAATCCAGATTACATCAATGAGGCTTTCACTGTTGTTGAAAAACTTCTCATAGAGGAAACAAAAAAGACCCAAATAAAAATCACAAAGGCTCTTTTTGGCTGTCACACAGATGCGTACAAGGATTTATATTCCTGCACAATGAAAGCATTCACTTACAAACTTGCAATAAAAGTGCCGATCAAAACAAATCCTAAAAAACACTTTTAGTTTTGTTTATCACAGTTGATCAAAGGCTGGCTGGAGTCCATGGAAGTTTCACAGAAATAAATTACATCAAATGAATTTTCCCAATGAATTCTAG
Organism: Homo sapiens; assembly: GCF_000001405.40. Lineage (NCBI taxonomy): Eukaryota > Metazoa > Chordata > Mammalia > Primates > Hominidae > Homo > Homo sapiens. Next base: position 74,127,757 of record NC_000018.10, read on the forward strand.
CATTGGGCACTATGTAGTATCTATTACTTCTGACCTTGATGACCATTTCAGGGAAATACTGTCTTTAACTGAGCTTTATAATTCAACATTATCCATTTAACTTAATTCTTCAGGATCATTTGAATTAATGTTAGCCAGTTTGTCCTAATATCTGTAAGTAACATTTCATGATATGCCAAGTAACATATTGTTTAGCAAAACTAGTACAGTTTGTGGACTTGTTCTCCAAACGTAATTTTGAAATGCATAAAGCCTAATTACTACATTAGAAAAAGCTGGCTTCCTTCATGATCCCGTATGAAATTTCAAAGATTTATCCAAATAAAAGTACCATTTTTTAAAAGGTAACTGTTTCCAAAGTATCTTCAGTAATATATTTAGGAAAAATAATTCATTTTTCATCATAACATTAAGAATATTTTTAGAGTACAATAAAACCTGGATTTGCCAGCACCAAGAGGTCTGAATAGTCTTACATTCAGAGCATGGGAAGAGAGCTCAGTAATCACTAAAACAATGCTCAAAGAGCAGGCGCCATGGAGAGGAGCCAAAAACAAGGTCCCCAGTTACAGAGCTGCAAAAAAAAAAAAAAGTGTCTGTATCCAGGGAAACCATGAAAGAACCCTGTCCCTCCATAGAGATGGCAGGCACTAATGTCAGATATCACAGTATCCTCCATAGCAAGGACAGACAGGAGAGAAACCAATGGGTGGAACTGCAGCACGCAAGGATGGTAAGAAAACGACATGGTAAATACTCCTGAAAAGTCAAAGAATACTGAGACAGTGAAGGAGATGGGAGGGCAGGAAACCAACGCAGGAGAAGGCAGGTATTACCTTTATATTTGCAATATATCTTATATAAAGCTATGTTAGCTTGCTCCAGAGATGAGGATGCTATGCATGCCATAATCCAGCTTTTAGGAGGAAGCAATCAATGATGAAAAAGACAGCCCGAGAGAGCTGCTCAGAAAGGCAGAATGCCAGCCTCATAGTGAGTATGGACTCAGTGCAAAGCCACCTGACAACAGAATAGTAAAGGGCTCACTAAGCATTACCCATGTGCTGCACACTTAGCTGATCTACGCATTTTATAGTGATATCTTTTGATCGATCTTATTCATTGCAGTCATATATGCTAAATACTATGCCAGTATAACGATCATTCCATTTCATAGAGGAGAGAATGGAGACACAGAAAGAGTAAGTTACTTGCACAAGATCACATATCTAGTAAGTTCAACAGAAGGCAGACAAAATAACTCATAATTATGACTTGGTTTCCTCATATTTAGACTATGATTAGTATACCATTTACTAAAGAAGGAAGATAACATATATCTTTCTGTTAAGATGGTTAAAATGAAAAACCTCAAAGGTTAGCCATCAATCATCCAGGAAATTTTGTTAACTAGAACATCATTCTTTACCATTAAAGACAACCCCAAGATACGAGGAAGTTAAATTTAGACCTAATCAGAAATGTGATAAAATGCACTCTTTTCCTCTTCTGCATTAATGCAGAATGTACATTTAATATGTGATAAAATTAAAAAACGCTGCTCTTATTTTTTAATTACAAAAGTAATGCCAACTAATATTTACATATAAGATGCTCTCACTCAACAGTTCTGCTGATTGGTACTTACCTATGTTTGGTGGGAGTTTTATACCAGTCGGTAAAAACTGGTGTCATGCCACATAAATCTAAGGTTGACAATGATGCTAGGCATGGCCATTTTTTGCCATACCATATAACAGTAACTGATGTGTCATTTATGGAAAGATCAACATGCTCCATGATATATTCTTTTCCACCTTTTTCTTTCAGTATAATTGCCCAACCTAAACCAAATATTCTGGAGAAAGAAAAAAAAACTAACAATGTTTGCCTCATTGAAAAAAAAAAAATGCTAAAGGCAATTTCATGTATCTTCTCTAAAGCATCTAGTTCCTTAAAAGCCAAAGTCAAAATTCTCAGAATGTGCCCAGTATAATTTTCACTTCAACAATAGTACTCTCTTTAGACTTTTTCTCCTCACCTAACACCCACTGAACATCCATGATTTTCCAGGTACTGGCAATATATAAATAAGACAAAGGTTCTGCCCAGAAAAGAGACCTTGAACATTCTTATTGTACTATAGCAGATAAGTAGGTTACTTCTGCTTTTCATTAAAACTTTAGGCTACTTACTAGTTATCCCTCTGTCTCCGCAAGAAATTGGTTCTAGGAACCCCATGATACCAAAATCTGTGGACGTTCAAGTCCCTTATATAAATGGCATAGTATGTGCATATAACCTATGCACCTCCTCCCGTATTCTTTAAATCATCTTGAGATTACTTATAATACCTAATACAATGTAAATGCTGTGCAAACTGTTGTTATTATGTATAATGTACTGGTTTTATTTGTATTCTTTTTTATACTGTTATTATTGTTTCAAGTTCCCCCCCACTAATATTTCTGATCTGCAGTTGGTTGAATCAGCAGATGCAGAAGGCTATGCGGAATAGGAAAATGATACATATTTTATAGATGCACAAAACACACAAAAATACTAGAGACAGTCCCACACAATCTAAACTGCACATACGTCCTACGTACACGATACTTTGAGCTGATGCCATCATTCTCTTTTGGAACACACTGCGTACCTGAGGGCCTCTTTGGTCTTAACTGGAAGGCCTGTGTAAGGGTTGACAGGTTTGAGAATGTCAGCTAGTGCGGCTTTTACAGATGCTATTTGTTTTGTGATATATTCTTTCTTCCAATAACCAGCTTCTTTATCCTGAACTGACAGAAAGCTCATAGACATAGCTATCTTCTCTACTGAATTAAATTTCCAATTTGATCTTGCAGGTGAAAAAGCAGTTGAGTAGATTCCGATCCAAATAAAACTGGAGGGAAAAGAGGAAATATGTTAACTAAGAGACACTGTCACCTACCTTAGTCATAATATATCAAATTAGAGATGCATATTTTCAAATAATCCAATTCCATGAATAAGCCAAGCTGAATATTTACAGTTGAACGTTCATCTGTTAAAGTGAATTGCAGTTTGAGATTTAGTGTTTTAAATTCAACACCACCAAAAACACATTTTAAAAAAAGGAAAAGCCCATTTCCCAGGGTCAGGTCTCAAGTGAGTAATCTCACGTTATTTAGGATCATCCAAACGACTGCCCTCTTATACCAGTAATGGAATAGGAAATATATTATTTAAACATAACAGAAAGTATATGTAGTATGATTCTTGTTTTTAAATACATACATGCTTTTAAAAAGATCAGAAAGGATGTATGTACACACACCAAGAAATTTCAATAGGGAACAATGGAATTGAACACTCTTTTTGCTATTTTTTAACTTTCAACAAGGAATACGCTTTCACAAAGAGAAAAAAAGTGAAGGTTTTTAATGGTAACAACTAAACAATAGTTAACATTAAATTTTGTCAACACTTACTATGTGTCAAGCATCGTTTAACCACTTTATGTATTATACATGACTCATTTATTCCTCAGAAAGAAACCAGGAGGTGCTGGTATTCCTGTCCCCACTGCATAGATGCTGTAACTGAGGCTCAGATGCAAGGTGAGCTGGCCCAGGTCTGTGCACTCAAGTGTATAGTGAAGCTGGGATCGGAACCAGAGCTCACACTCTTATCACCTGGGTTTCACTGCCTCTTCAATCACAAAGAAATGGGTCAAAGAAACTGAATAAGCTCCCCAAATTCAGAGAGCCAATAAGCCTCAATGTTGGAATTCAAATTCAGCTCTGACTCAAAGTCTGTTCCTTCCACTCATCTCTACTAAGAGGGCAGGAGAAGCCCCACGAGTGGTGGCAGTGAGCTGGCCTGAGAGCTCCTCCCTCTCAGCCAGTACTCTCCACCAGGAAAGAGAAGGAAGACACAGGGAAAACTGAGGCAGCGGTTAAAATCAATTCCTTATCTGAAAGGCAAACTTTGCATTTTAAACATTAATGATTTGCTCATTTAGGTCTCCACATTACTACTCAGAGCAGCATGGGATGAAGCAGTCAACGGCCTGGAGGCTGCAAGGAAAAAGCGATTCCCCCACAGAGCAGTGGTCCTGAACTGCAGCAGGACCCCTGGGGATAACTGGGTGCTCTGGGGAGGCAGAGCTATTTCCTTAACCACAGCAGAAAAGGACCATTTCTCAAACACGTGACTTTGGAACACCACCTCCTTGACTCAGACATTACATGGACTTCCCAACAAATGCAAGCTCACATACAGTCAGACCCTGGTTGAATTCTCTTCCTAGTGTGGGTTTCTCAGTCATTTCTCACTCTGCAAAATCACTTCATGCCTAGCTTTTATATTAAAGTGTTTGTGTTTTCAATTCAGAAATTTCTAGACTTTCCTATGTAAGCGGACAGATGCAATGCGATGATGAGTTGAGTACATTTAAGTAAAGCTGAAACTGTTTCACCAAAATCCTTTGAATAGACACTTTTAAAACTCCCTTTGCATAAAAGCTTGCTTGTGTTTTCTTCACATTTATTTTATTCAGCATCTCACCCTATGTAAGTATTCCTTTAGCAGGACCTTTATGGAGCCTTGAATTCCTCACATCAGCACTATCTAAACAACCTCTGATACTATTTTTACATGTGTTAGCACTTACCAACTGCAAAAACAAACACTGCCGCAGAGATGGGAATCACAGCATAAACTCCACATGCAGTGAGTAACCATAACCACAACTAACATTCGTATGATGAACTATGTTCACATACATGATCATATATTACTTACCGTAAGTGAACCTAAGTGAAAACATTTTATATTGCAGATGGTTCCCCTTGATTTTTTATAATATACAAATGTTAAGGTTCAGATACCTTTCACAGTCTCCAAACACATTTACTTCTTGATCCCCAAATGCTCCATCCTGTTAGAAGGCCTAGTCAGATTCGAGGACGAGGGCATATTTATCCAACAGAACTACCAACAGGCTCAGGGAAACTCAAACAAGTTGTTTAGAAAATGGGGCCAATTTAATGTTCAGATAAATAGTGTTTGCCAGAGTACATGGCAAATAAAACCCCCTTGTGATAAACCAGATGTCACCTCATCCACACACCCCTGTTTTTCTCACGCAGAGACAGGGCTCACACAGAAGGGAGTAGCCCCGCTGCTGGGATGGGGCACTGGGGAGCCCCCTGCCCTTCAAGTGTGCCTGCCCATAAGTCATCAGTGTAACTCACTACACTATGTGTGCTTGCCCTCTCTTCAGAAGTAACGCTTAGAATACACTGTAAACTTTTCAAAAACACATATTGATTACTTGTTCAATTATCACACATCCTTTTCTGTAGTCTGACTTCATGATCAGACGTTGACTTTAAGAGTCAGACTATGACTCTTTAGGTCCTTTAACAGGACCTAAAAAGTGCAATTCAACTTAGCACAATTAAATATGTCTTTTGAAAAAGAAAAGAAATGTGAGTGCAATTTCATCAGTAGCTCATATTTCCAAACGGCAACTTCCAAGAAAGTGAGGAGGGCACACAAATAATACTAAAAGTATGCAAAAAACATCACTAGAGCCATGCTCCAAATCTGATTCCAGGCCTGGTTTCTTCACCATGCAGGTGAAGTGGAGAGAGAAGACAGTAAAGAAACTAAGAAATATACAATGTATCAGCTTATCTGAAGAGTCTGAGTTCTACCCTTAAATAAAGTGGGAACCCTCCAGAATGCTAGTTTTAGATATTTGGTTGACTCCTTCCTTGAAAAATGCCTTGCTGTGCTTTCTTTTAGTGACCACCTTCATCTCTTATTAGATCATTGTCATAGTCTCTTTGTGTTGCTACAAAGGAATACTTGAGGCTGGGTAATCTGCAAAGGAAAGAGGTTTATTTGGCTCATAGTTCTGCAGGCTATACAAGGAGCACAACACCAGCATCTGCCTCTGGTGAAGCCTCAGGAAGCTTCTACACGTGGCAGAAAACCAAGGCGAGCCAACTGTGCAGAGATCACACGGCAGAGAGAGAGAAATAGAGTGAGTGAGCAAGAGAGAAGGAAGGGAGGTCTGCCAGGCTCTTTTAAACAACCAGCTCTAGAGCAAGAACTACAAGGAAGGCACCAAGCCATTCAGGAGGGATCTGTTCCCATGACCCAGATGACTCCCATTAGGCCCCACTTCCAACACTGGGGATCAAATTTCAACATGAGGCTTGGGGAAACAAACAAATCTCAACTACGTAAACTACAACAATCATTAAGGAAGGGAAATGTAGAAATTGCTCTAATTCATTCTATAACTACTGTGAAGAACATTATTAGTTCATTCATTGATATGTGTATGTGTGTGTTTGTGTGTGTGTGCATGTATTGACATAGACATACATATATTCTTCCATATAGGAAACATCTCTTTAAATTAAAAGAAAAATCACCCTTTCCAACTAGGGAACAGTGTATGTCCTCTTCAGAGTATGACAATGGTTGAGGACAGCTTTAATGAGATCTGAGGGCTTATTCTGAGTTCCTCACTTAAGTGGCATACACCTAACAACAAAGATGGACTAGATTAGTTATTTCGGAACTTGACTATTCATTAGTATGACCTGGAGAATTTTTTTTTTTTTTTTTTTTTTGAGATGGAGTCTCGCTCTGTCACCCAGGCTAGAGTGCAGTGGCGATCTCAGCTCACTGCAAGCTCCGCCTCCCAGGTTCATGCCACTCTCCGGCCTCAGCCTCCCAAGTAGCTGGGACTACAGGCGCCTGCCACCATGCCCAGCTAATTTTTTGTATTTTTAGTAGAGACGGGGTTTCACCGTGTTAGCCAGGATGGTCTCGATCTCCTGACCTCGTGATCCGCCCGCCTCGGCCTCCCAAAGTGCTGGGATTACAGGTGTGAGCCACTGCGCCTGGCTGGAGAATTTTTAAAATACAGATTTCAGAGCACTAAATTATAATCCCTAGAAATGCAGACTAGGGATGGAAATGTTTTAAACTTTCCCAGGTGGTTCATATGTAGTCTTCCCTGGATGGCATCTGAGAACCACTGCACTAAATGACATTCTTGTCCACCATGTTCCAGGGTTAACTAATATGACAGCTCTCATTCTGCCACTCTCCGTCTCCTTACCTAGCAAACAAAACCATCAGTTAAAACCGGCATTCCCTCTCATCTTGCTGATCTCCCCAGCTGACATGCAGGTTCTATGTAGGAATGATGTTTGTCTGATCTTTTGATGCTAAATGAGAGAGGGGCCTAAAAAGCCAAGATGTTCTGTTGTAAGCCACGAAATCCTCACTGAAAGGAGGATTCCACCATCTCTCCCTCCAAGATACAATTCTGAGATGCAGGCTAAGATTATAGTGACAAACAGAAGCAGAGGTTTCTCCCCTTCCTTCCTAGATCCACCCCCTGCAAGACCAGATGACCACAGGTGAACCCCTCTCTTTTGGCTCCCTTCATCCAAGCGTACAACCTCTAGGAGAGGACAGTCTTGGCCTCTCTCTATCCATTTCGCTCTCCCCACAGAGTAAGTTAACTTGATTGGCATGTTTGGGAGGAGAAGCTAAGTACACCTAACTTAGTCTCTTCCTTCTCTTTCTTTAGGATCTGCTTGGCCATCAGCAGAGAGCACTCATTCTGCTCTGCGAATGCACGGCTAGGGTCAAAGCCAGCAGGTCCCTGCAGTGCTGCTTGAGACTCTGTGGTTAGGTCTGATTCTGTGGGGAATACAGCGAAGACCTCCTGGCAACAGACCTGAAGCTGCATTCTGTAACAGCTACAGCAATAACAAGTTTGATTTTTTTGTTCCATGCAAAGTATATTCCTTTAAGCATATAAATGCAAATATTTGAAAATTTCATAGTTAAAGCATTTGACATTTCCACTTGTGTGTAAAAATACTCTTGAATTCTCTTAAATTCTTAAAAATGGTTAAAAAGTTACTAGTTTTCCTGACTTCCATCAAACTGTCATCAAAACATAACAGAGACTTGGATTTCTGCTTACTTGTCATTGGCTAGATGATAAAAGCGCCTGCTCACACATCCAGTACACAGAAGGCTCACAGCATCCAAGTAGGAAAATATCTTCAGCAAGATTTCTGAAGGCATTCTGCAAAAACAGAAAAAGAAAAAAAAAATCACCAGAGTGGACCAGGGCTTAATCTGCAGATTACCCAGAAAACAACTGGCTGCTCATCTCTAAATAGAAGGCCGTAGAGAGACCCCTCCTGTACAAGAGGCAAACTGTACCCTCATCTTCAATTACTTTCTTTATTGAAACGTTCTGGTTATTCTAATTCTCATGACATAAACCATAAATAGAGCCAAGGGTTGGAAGAGCTAACTTCCTCAGCATTTTAATCACGTTCATACACTGTGAATCAACAGGCAGGATTTCAATGTCCCCCATGAAACTGTGTATTTTTTTATTATTATTTTTGTAGAGATAGGGTCTTGCTCTGTTACTCAGGCTAGAATGCAGTGGCATGATCAGGGTTCACTGCAGCCCAGAACTCCTAGGCTCCAGCCATTCTCCCGCCTCAGCCTCCCCAGCAGCTGGACTACAGGCGCACGCCGCCAAGCCTGGCTAATTTTTTGTATTTTTTGTGCAATTTCACCATGTTGCCCACCAAACCTGGCCTAAACTAGGTATGTTTCTTTAGTGAGATAAAAAGAGAATCAGAGAACATATTCTTAGGTATTAATAAGAAAAACACAGAATCTCTTTCCCCAAAAAAGTAAGTATAATGGGAAATAGCAGCTTATTCCCACCTCGCCCACACCGATCCCAGGCGCCACCTTCTGAGCACCCTTGGGCTTTTCACTGCTTCGTCTGGGGCTTCAAGGAGACACCAAGGGCCATAAGTTTTTTCTGAAGTGTCTGTTTTATTTGTATGCCTAAATATGATAGTGAGATATAGTCTCAATATTCCACCTATTTCTATGATCTCAGAATTCTATAAAACACAGTAATAATCTGAAAGCGACTAGAAAGTATCACTAGTGTCAAGAAGTCAGGAGTGCGCCTCTGTGAATCTTCAGCAAAAGGGCAAGCGGCAACAGAGCTACCACAGATTGTATCAAGGGTCGGTGGGGGGCAGTTCTAGGGATAAAGGAGTCAGGGGAGAAATCTTTTGTCCAATTTAAAAGGGCTTGCCCATACTGTCTACTTGTGATTGTTATGATTTTAAATTTGTTTATTTTTCAAGGAAATGAGGTAACTGGGTGTTTCACAGGAAAATAATCAGTCCTATAACTCCGATAATACTGAGAAAGAATAAAGTAGATCTTCAGAAAAAAGACAGTTAACGTTATGCCTGTTGGATATGCATCACCATGTAAATGTCCCCACTGCTCAAATCTCCAGCTATAGTTAACCAGAGACGTTCTGAGAGTTTAAACGAAAAGCTTTGCTTAAGCATTAATTAAATCAGTCCCCAAAATAAAACCCCTCCCATTCAGAGTCAATAAATTAGATCCTTGCAATGAGAAAAAGTCTCTAATGCTAGAGACAGCAAAGTTGCAAGAAAACATATTTTTGTGACCATTTGGATTATTCATTGCATATAATTTTTATATTTTGATTTAACTATTTCACAAAACTTCATATCTATTATTTTTTAAATCAGTACCATTGAACAAAAAAACAGAGCTGGGCTTAAAGACATTTCAGAAAAGTATCCAGCAACTACCAGAATTATTTAACTGGAATGAAATCCCATTCAAGACAGGCATTCAGCAGGTTTTTACCTTCCTCCCCACTGGACTAACCTAATGAAAAGGGGGGTACTCTGTGTCCTTCTAGCAAAAGGAGAAAATCTCTACTTTATAGTTAAGACAGTGGAGATCGAATACATTCTTAATCATTGTTCAAATAATTTCTTCTAACCTGGTACACAATGTTTACACCCATATTGGATTACTTTCTGTTGGATTCTAGTTATTTCACTTTGTGTGGGGTAAGGAGACAGGATGATAGGGAGATAAGGGAAAGGGGAGGTGAGAGGCAGGACCGTTAAAGAAGTTCAGAATGTAGAACAAAGAAACTGCTCTAAACCAACAAGCTTCCCTGAGAATGTTAATTTGTGCGTGTTCATTTTCAGTACTGTGGGAATTCAAATGTGAACACGTCCTTGTCCCTGCTTCATATTGTGGATCTATCCCAATATTCCTGCTTTCCTCACTTTCTTCCCCCTATTCCGATGGAGAATGCTCACTTCCTCTCATCAAAGCACCGGTGCTCTAGGTCCCCACGGTTTCTGCACAAGGACCTCAGCCTCCGGTTCCTGCCTCCCTCTTCCACACTGTTCATAGGAGCCTCTGAATCACCCTGAATCTCTCATCTGAAACTGCACTCTTCCTTTGGTTCTCCCCACCCCCATCTCTCTGGAGCCGCCACCTAATTTCTAGGCTCCCTCGCACTGCCAAGCTCTGGGAAAGAACAAAAGAAAACAAAACACTTGTCTACACCTGTTGCCTCCACCTCCAAGCTCCCTAATTTTTGCTTTCTACATTCCAGTGTGGAATAGAACACACGCAAGTAGGAAAATGAGCGGCCAGCCCCTTCCCTTGCATTCACCTGCAACAGCTGTGAGGGGCCACCATGCCCTGCTGCCTCCTCCCCCCGCCTCCCCAGGCCGCAGGTCACCGACTGCTCTTGTGTTGCAGGCTCTCTCCTCTTCTGCTTCACACACAGCCTCTCCTCAATGTCTTGGACCTCAGGGCTCTTCCCTGCCTGCTTGGTTGGTTCTCACTGCCGCAGGTCCTCCAAGCTTGCTCCTGAGTCGCCTTTGCCTTCCCTTCCCCACCCTTTCCCTAAGCCACCTCACCCAGCTCCATGACTGCTGACCCCACCAGGCCTCATCCTGAGCCAGACTGACACATCCATCATCCATCTGGCATCCTCCTTTGCACCTATCCCAGGCATCTCAGCTGTAACCAGTCCAAAGTCATTATCATGGCCCTCTCTTCCGCCCTGACCCCACCTCTCTTCCATCTCAGTCAACAGCACCTCAACCTGTGCTACTGCTTCAGCCAACAGCTCTGGATTCCTACTTGCCTGTTTCCCCCTCACACCTACATTAATTCATAAATGAATCATGTCAGCCATGCCCCCAACTATATCTCCCACTTGCCTGTGTCTCTCCGTCTTCCCTACTTCTAGAGAAGAGAGGTAAACAAATAAACAAGATAATTTGGGAAACTACATGGCATCCACACTCCTCCCCAGAGCCTGGTAGCCCCACCTGATGGGCTCCCCGACCCCCACACTGTTCCTGCAGCATCTGGAGCCCCCACCACCACACCTCTGGTCTCCCCTCGCTGGCAAGCTCCTCTCGAAGCTCCTGAGTCTCAGTGTTCAGTTCTCATCTTAAATGCGCCTCCTGAAGTAAGTCTTTCCTCACCACGCCACCCCATTATTCTGGACTGGGGGATCCATTTGTTTTCTCAACAACAGGTATCCCAGCTTACTGTATTTTAAATCTGCCTCCCCGACTAATCATCAGCTTCATGAGAACATGTGAGTGGCTCACCATTTCTGTCCCAGCACCAAGAACAGTATCTGCTACAGAGTAGGTCCTCAAATATTTAATGGATGGACTAACCAAAGGAATATTTGCTCCATTTCTCATATCAGATGCCTGTAAAACAGCCTATTCCCAGAGCATAGGGTTTTAAGCTGAAATTAATGTCCTTAATGAAATATCCTTTCTGGCTTTTTTTAAAATACACTGAAATGTGTATACAGATATGTACACTGTTAGCTGAGCAAGCTGTGATACAGTATTAAAAGCCCAGAACTTGAAATCAGGCAACTTATATCTGAATCACACAGTTCTGCAATATGCAGACTACGTGGGCCTAGCTTCCTGCAGTGTAAAATGTCTCTCTGTGATCATCTCAAGCTTTCAGGCTCCCCATGAGGCTTAGCATATAATCGGTGTTCCATAAATGTTACTACAGTACAAATCTATGGACTTCTGAGCATCAATTAAACATAATAATTTTTTAAAGCTTCTGTGGATCTTGGTGCTGAGGGTCACAGCACAGAATCTTGCCATGGCAAATGGGCTCCCAGATATTGAAAGCTGAGAAATGAACAGAGCTCTTGAGCTTTCAGGAAAACACACTTTAATCTTCTTTCTTTCTCCTTTTTCAAGGGTCTTTATCAACTCAAAAGTGAATATTTTTGAAGAACGTTTTAATAAAAGGAAAATTCAATTTACTTGTCACTTCTTGAAGTTTCGTTTCATAAAGTTCATCTCATAAGGATAGTGGTGACAGGCCCATGACTCATCAAATGCTCCATGCTGTACTGTCTTCCTACACAATCCTATTCTTAGCAAGCTCAAAATAGCAACTTGGTATATACAGCATCATAACTTTCTCTAATAACCCCATGCCTAGAGGCCCCCAAAAGTGACAGTCTACTTCTGCTACTTACCCATCCAGGAACCCAGAACAGCAGGAGAAAGAGCTCTCCCAGTGCTGTCCACCTCCGGCATGGCACCTCAGGGCAGCAGAGCCTGCAGAAAGCTTGACCCCTGGCCCCTTTCTGAAAGTAAATGTGGGAAATTCAAATTATGTAATTACCAAATGAGGTGAATTATCTATTCCCTTCTACAAAATTCCAAAGGATTCATAAACTCCAAAGATTACTCACTGAAAAACTTAATTTCTGCAAAGAAAAAAAGGAAGGGAAGAAGAAAAGATGGAAGGAAGGAAGAAAGGCAGGGAGAAGGGAGGAAGAGACAGTGAAACCTTGATGGTAAGCAAGGAAGAAAGGCAGGGAGAAGGGAGGAAGAGACAGTGAGACCTTGATGGTAAGGAAGGAAGAAAGGCAGGGAGAAGGGAGGAAGAGACAGTGAGACCTTGATGGTAAGGAAGGAAGAAAGGCAGGGAGAAGGGAGGAAGAGGCAGTGAAACCTTTAGTGTCCTGGTAAGGAAACCTCAAGACCGTACTTACTCTGATGTGCTTTCACCCAAAGGTTTAGAAATATACACTCTCACTGTAGGCTTTCAACATGTCAAAGAGGTGTTACCAAATACATTTAATGGAAACAAAAAGGATACAGTTAGTGTACTGATTAGCCAATTTGGATAAAACAGAAACCATTAAAGTTTTTTTTAAAAAACTTACTATTAGTAAACTAGAACTGTCAACATAAAACACAATCTACAACTTTTCTGATCTTTGAGGGTTCCAACTCTAGCTTTTGCAGTCATAGACAAACTACCAAATACTCATCCACAAACTTTTACATTTTAACCTCTCCCATTCAATGCAATATATTTTCACTGGCCATCTTTTTATTTTAGTGGTACAGAAAACAGTAGTGCATCTTAGAATGAATGGTTTTTTAGATTCAATGAAATAGCATATAATATTTTTATGCAGTGAGTCTTTTTCAGAGGTTCCTAAAGTAAATTTTATTAAGATCAGTCCTCAAAACCAGTAGTACTCAGCAGCACCTTGAGGGAATCTGAAACACCAGAAAATCATACAGCTCACAGCCTCCATGTCTAGGCAGCAGCACACCCGGAGAGCCATGAATGGTTACACTATTTCTCTAGGAAAGGTTTGGAAGCTTCTGCTTTAAGCAACATACAACACACAGGTATTGGATATTGGCGCACCTCCTTCCTGATGTGCTATTTAAGAAGTGGCTAAATCCTAGAGAGTACATTATGTATACGCTCAGTTCACCAACATCATTGCTTTGAATGTGTACTTTGTGCACTGACAGTTTAACCACCCTCAGTTTTTCACACCAGGCCAATTCCCCAGATATAGTTGAAACAACATTCATAAAGGAGGGCAACAATTGGGAGCAAAAAAAGAGATGCCTTAAGAACTTGGAAGAAAAAGTAATGAACCAACCCCCCTGAAAGCTGAAGTATGAAATCCACACACAACTGGTCTTAACAGAGGATGGCCCTCAACTCTGAGCACAACCTATTAGATGACACAAGTGGTGAAAAAGGAGCCCTTGCCCTAGGCATCAGCTGGCCAGGTGACAGTGTAGCCTGGAGCCTACCGCAAGACAGCATCATGATATGCAGCACGCACTCAAATCACCCACTGGCACCTGGCTGCCCTGCTTCCCAGGCACAAGTCTCCACATGCTTCCAAGCAGCTACAGAGTAAATTCCTCTTCCCTTTGTGAATTTTTCTCTCTAGAAAAAAGCACAGTAGCTGGTACAGGGTAGGCCCTCCACAAATATTAGTGATCAGCTGCTCCACTGGCATCTCAACAAAGAAGTTGCATAAGGTAAACTTTTCCAGATCCTGTAAGAGTAAAAATGCACCGAGGAAAAAAAAATGCTGGCTCCACATGCCTTTCCATCCCAGCTTCAGTAAAAGGTGCTTAATATACTTTTGGTCTTATATGACTTTCTAGCCAATGGTTTTCAATCTGTGCTCTGCAGGGCAGGAAGACAGGGAGAAAGGACAGGAAGAAATGCTAATTGGGACATTTTTGCAATACCCTCTCCTCCTTTAATCAGATAATTCTACCTGTTATATATTTTTGTACTTCTGTTAGAAATTTTGTTTAAACACAGATTTCCACAGGAGAAAAGCTTAGGCTCCATTAACATGGTCCTAACATAGTAATCATAAGTAAAATATCATTTCCTAATTGCATTCGTCTCCTAAGACTACCTTCACAAACTGGGTGACTCAGAACAACAGAAATGTATTATGTCTCAGTAGCCAGATGTCCAAAACCCAAGTTGTCAACAGGGCCGTGCTCCCTCTGAAGGCTCTAGAGAGGATCATTCCTTTTTCTGGTGGTTGCCAGAAATCCTTGGTGTCCCTTAGTTTGTGTCAGCATAACTCTAATCTCTGCCCCCATCTTCACAGAGCAATCTTCCCTCTAGGCATATCTGTCTCTGTGCCTCTTCTTATAAGGATATCATTCATATTGCACTTAGGACCCTCCCTCATCCAGTATGACCTCATCTTAACTAATTATACCTGCAGAGACCCTATATCTAAAGAAAGTCACATCCTGGTGTTCCAGAAGGACATAAATAACTTTAGAAGGTATAATACACTTTGTTTACTGTCAATAGTCAACACAGTAAACAAATTTGTAATACATTCTAAAATTATTTAAAAGCATGACTTATTTTTAAATGGTTATTATTGTTGTAAAGTCTGTATTGACTTATATTACATATTCAAAGATAAAATATCTACAATTGATAAAGGATTCTAACACTTAAGCTTCAAATAAAGGGAATTTCTATCATTCCTTCATCAAACAATAACAATTCCTATCAGGAGCTCCAAACCTGTAACCCTTAAGCCTATGGGAGTGTGGGGGTTGGCTGTACCTAGAATCGGAGTCCACACATACCCTAAGCATCATATGAATAATTCTATATATACTTTAAACATAAATATTATTGTAGTTCATCAAATATAATTTTATTTAAGATATTAAATAAATACCTTACTGAATCAGTAACAGCTTTTTGTCATTGTTTATTTCCTCAATAAGAAGCCAGAAAAATAAAAACTGTTACCTTAGGCCTTTCCAAGAGAACCAAAGAAAAGTAAATTCATCTGATGGATCAATTTTAATCTAGCAATTGGCAAATACCAAATAAATGATGATGATTCATGCTGGCTATGTTACAAAGAAACAGGCATCCTCATTTACTGCCCGTAAGACAAGATACAGTGGTACAAACGTTATGGAAAGCCAAATCTGATATTGGAATCCAGGATCCTTAAAAAGCACATATGCTCTTTTAAGCCAGGAATTCCACTTCTAGAAATGTGCACAGATAGTTCACTCAAGAATGTCCATCTCAGAGTTGTCTGCACTGGGGGAAAAAAATACTAAAAACGGTATAGAGATTGGTTAAATTGCATGGTCTCCATAGAGTTAACAATGTCTAGTCAATTAAAATATAGATTTTTCAACCCAGGTTAAGTGTTTGAATTAGAAACAGGTCCCTGATGGCCTCCAGGTGTCTATATGGCTTGCTCCCTCACTTTCTTCAGCCATTTACTACAATGTCACCATCTCACTGAGACCTTCCTTGGCTGTTATATTTAAACTGCAATCCAGTCCCCTCTGCCACACACACATGCACTTTGTGTCCTTTCTCTGTTTCTCTCCTTAGCACACATCACCATCCAACACTATACATTTAACCTGCCTGTCTTGCTTACTATCGCTGGAATGACATGGGCAGTTATACTGCATGGGTTTGTTCACTGCTGATCGTTCAGCACCCACAATATGCCTGGCATGCGAGCAGCATTCAATAAATATCGCTGAATCACTAACAGTATAACTGAGAAAGCAGGTTATATCAGTATATACTACTAGGTTGGTGCTAAAGTAATTGCGGCTTTTGCCATTACTTTCAGTAACAAAAACCACAATTACTTTTGCACCAACCTAATACATAAACTTATTTTTCTATTTCTCTAAGAGGAAAAGTAAATATATGCATACAAAGAAAAGAGATCTAGAGACACCAAGGTTTAACAGTTAACAGATCTGATTCATAGGATTACAAAATCTGTTGGTGAAGGTCTTTTTAAATGGGGACGATTTAGGGGGCATAACTCCATGTATGTTCTAATTTTTCTTAGCATATTGAATCTGTAATAAGTTGGGGGGTGGGGGTGTTGTTTTAATTTCAAACCTAAGAGTCACATGCAAAAGAAGGCCAGGGAATCACAGTTTGACAGCACAATCCTTGAGACTGGAGCAGTGGTTCTCAAAGGCATTCCTAGCAACAGAACTCTTGCAAAGAAACTGAAACCAGGTCCCCCGAAATCTGGGGGTACAGTCTGCAGCAAACTCAAAATTTCTTAGGAGTCTCCCAATTGATCTTAAAAATTAAAGCAAATACTGCATTCTACTAAATAATCTGTCTTTGTCCTATCATAAAAATGTATTATATTATTTACCAGTTAAATTATTTAACATTTTCCCCAAAGCCTTTGTGTTGATTTTGCAGACAAAGAAGATGCTCTATGTGTTCCCCACCCACTACAACTACTCGTTTGAGAAGCACAGCGCCAGGGTGCTTAGATGTTTCAAGAATACATACTGGCTTAATCCACCACCAAGTTCTTACTGAAAACCTTAACTTGTGTGTCCCGAATTTATGAAAGATTACTGTGAAAACACCAGTGAAATAAAGTCACCTGTTTTGTAAACATATATGCATATAAAATATATGTAAATAAAATGATCTTAGTAAGTTCCTCAAAGTCATGCTGTAACTCTCCCCACTCAAAGATAGTTTTAAATAACGATTAAGCAAATAAATCCTGTTTGGTACTAGTTATTTTTTTTAAGTACCAAATGCTTTTCCCTAATCTGAAACCCTAATTCAGTAACGAATGGATATGCCTCTATCTTTGGCTAAAACATTTAACAGGGCTTAGTTAGTTCAATTCTACAAATACTTCTTAATCATATACTCTGCACAAGGTAATGTGTAAGTGCTTTAAGACATTTCATCCTTTATTTAATTGGAATATGAAGGCTATTTTATTACAAACATGTTTTCACACTTTTAAAACGTCAAAGCTTATTTCTTGCTGTTTTGTTTTTTCACAATTAAAATGGATCTCATAGAGTCCCTCATTTCAGTTTACAAGGCTAAGGCTCTAACAAGGCAACTAAAGAAACTTAAGGTCCCAAGCTAGAAGCAAAGACAGTCTCTGAGACGCCCATCTCCTTAATGTCCTGTCAGAGCTCTCTGTACCATGTCTTACATGAGACCATACATCTTATCAGTGTACCTTTTAACACTATTGGAAACACATTTCTATTTATCCATAAAATAAACCAACTGCACTTTTTTTTTTTTTTTTTTTTTGCGACAGAGTCTGGCTCTGTCGCCCAGGCTGGAGTGCAGTGGCGCTATCTCGGCTCACTGCAAGCTCCGCCTCCTGGGTTCACGCCATTCTCCTGCCTCAGCCTCCTGAGTACCTGAGCCTACAGGCGCCCGCCACCATGCCGGGCTAATTTTTTTGTATTTTTAGTAGAGACGGGGTTTCACAGTGTTAGCCAGGATGGTCTCGATCTCCTCACCTCCAGATCTGCCCGCCTCCGCCTCCCAAAGTGCTGGGATCACAGGCGTGAGCCACTGCACCCGGCCCCAATTGCACATTTTTAAGGTCCACATAATTAACAAATCAGCAAGTTCTATTTATGTTTTTATGCGAATCTATACGTCTACAAGGTTAAGTGTAGACATACACTGATACATTTAGCAAGATAAATTTAGTTTGAAAACACTTTTTTTCAAGTGACAGGTTTTTGTCTGATAGCTTTCAATAAGTCCAATATTTTAAAAACCTAATGACTGTGCTTCATTTTAAATATCTGGCAAATCAAATAAATTACAGCAGGTACAAATTAAGCCAACTTAATACGCTTTCTGCTACACTTCTTACAGTTTGTGATATTTATACATATTCACATTTTGTGTTAAAAGGGAACACTGATTCCTTAACAACATCTAATTTTCCACAGCGATATATTAAAATAACCACCTGCTTTGACCATAGTCAATCATTCTATTTTTAGCAGCGGACTTTTCTTTACCAAAAATAATGCATACATTTCCAAATCAGCTTGAAATGCAGGTTCCCATGCCAGGCATAATGACAGGCCCTCTAATTATATCAATCCAGGAAGTTCACTCAACTTACAAAGGATAAAAGATTCATCATATAAAAATCATTCTGCTTCCCCCTAATAGAGCACTATGTAAAGACTAATTTTAGTAATAGCAGCAAATTGATTAAAAGTTCAAGTTTCCTATTTAAATTCCTGCTTTTTCTCCTACATAAAAGAATTTTTGCAGGCATTGTCACCATTCTATTTGTGACAAGGCTTGTGGTATGTCTAGCATTATAGGTATTCAATTAAGAACTATTATCACAGCACTAAGCAACAGGGCTGGGCTTCTGAAAACAGGTAAGTGGAAGTAATGGAGACCTAGAGAGGACACAGGACATAGTTCTGGAGATTCAGGGGGAAAAAACAAGTAGTTCAACTAGTATGTAATAGACTCCCTTTGTGTGCTTAAACATAGACCATTGGTTTATTAGAAGGCAAAATATGCATGACTTTCCCTATTTATAAATCAAGGAGTCTTACAAGCAGAAAGATAATCCTCAAGAATGTAAACCATTCTTGGCATTATCCCTCCATCTGTAAACTAACTGCAGTGATGGGTACACAGCTAGGGAACAGCTCACGATATAATGAGAGGGATTTCATAAGGTACCATTATGCATGCTGATACTTCTGATGCACTGGCTCATTTTACTTCTTCACGCTGAAGATGCTTCTGGAAAGCAGATGAGCAAGACCTGGCAATGTAGATGGCAACTTAGCCTTGACGTTGGAGGTGCAGAAAGTGCTGCCCCCCACCCGCCAGACCAACCTGCCTGCCCGAGGTATCTGCTTGGGGGATGAGGGTGTCAACTGATAAGGTTTTGATGAACAGACTCTACTTCCCTAAGTTGTAAGGTCATGAAAAACACGAAGGGAGATTCTTGGTTACAGAAGAGCGAAAATACGAAGGCAGGGGCGGAGCACACGTGAATTTAGGGCACGCATCCCGGAGAAACGACCTCTTGGACCTGCACCTGTCCTGGCAGGTGCGCGCATCCCCGGCCACAGGCGCCGCAAGAAAAAATATTTCCCCGAGAGGCTACTCTATTTGTGTCATAACTTAGGGTACCCCACGTTGCAGGGTAGAAAGGATTTCCTCCGGTCGTTCTTCCATACCCTTCTCACGTTGAAGACGGCCACGGGCCTTGCGCCAAGCTGGACGAATAAAATACACGGTGAAGAGAGCGGGGCCGCGCAGTGACGGGCTTCCCGCCAGGGGACCCCACCCGCAGGCCCTACAGTCACCTGCACCCAAAGGCCCTGGCGCGCCCCCGGGCCGCGCCACCGCCCCTGCTGGGCCCGCGCAGCGTCTGGAGGCCGAGCCAGTGCTGCTGCAAGATCCGACCGCGTCCAGTCGCCATAGAGACAAGGAGTTCACCACAGGACCGCGCCAGGGCTGAAACGAAGAGTGCACGCACCGCCCCCACGCCCGCACGTCGCCACACCCCTTATGCGCATGCGCGCGTGAGCAAAAGTAACGGTATGCCCACCCTTGCGCAGACGGCACCGCGCCAGACACCCGCTCACAGAGCGGGCTTCTAGAAACTTCCGGGCCTCGGCTTCCTTACCCACCCCTAACATTCTGCCGCCTAGGGCGCCAAGCCAAGTTCGCGGCTTAACCATTTAGGAAACCGGTGCCTGCTTTGCAGCGGCCTCGTTCATCCCCACTTGCTGACTCTTTATTGTCCAGTTTTTCTGAAAACACAGTAAAACGCAAAAACTAAATCATTTGCCCACGCGGAATTGGCAAGACCACAGTCCAAGGGGGTATTTCCCACTGTGCACAGTCCTCTCTATAAGGATCAGGAAAACACGTAGATTGTAACTGCTAATTTGGCTTTTGCAAGTCCCGCCTGAACCACGTAGGGTGGGTGGTACCAATTCCCCCACCAACACCCCACTTTCCGCCGCTCCAGGGACGCGCAGCGTCTGCGCCGACGCTGGGCGCGGAGGCGTCTGGGGGCGCGGGAAGGACCTGCGCCGTGCTCTGGCCGCCTTGAATTGTGGGAGATGTAGTCTCTTTTGCGCGCCTCTTTGCCGTATCCCAGTTAAGAGCGAGGTTTTCAAACTACTATTCCCAGGAAGACGGGGGTTTCCCAGGTGACTTTGCGAAGGCATGGCGGGGACACTGTGAATGTCAGCCCAGAAGGTGATCAGAGCCTGTTAATTAAAATGGAAAGAAGACAGAAGGGAAGGTAGACATCAGGTTCTCCCTGGAGACTTTTCGTTTTCATTTACGCTGCGGAAACTGACGTTTTTGCCTAACACCCCATGTAATGTAAACGTATAGGCTTGAGTACGTGTCCGGCCGCATGTGTAGTGAACCCTAAAGCTTTCCTAATTGTAGTTAGCATCGTCCCTAAGCGGAACGATTTTCCGTGAACATGATTTGTACTTTTCTACGAGCCGTACAGTATACGGAGAAGCTGCACAGGTCCTCGGCAAAGCGATTGCTTTTGCCATACATCGTGCTTAACAAAGCGTGCTTGAAGACTGAGCCCAGTTTGAGATGTGGGCTTCAATATCAAAAGAAAACGCTGCGACCTAGATGTATTCTTGGAGTCACCCAGAAAACCATCTGGACGCAGGGACCGAGCCCCCGAAAAGCAAAGGAGGATGGCAGCAAACAAGTGTCTGTGCACAGGAGTCAGAGAGGGGGAACCGCCGTCCCAACATCACAAAAAGGTAAAAAGGAGTACTTTAATGATTGGGCTTTCAACAGACATGACAAGAGCTGCCAATGCCCTTTTATACCAAGTTCACTGCTAAAGGTGAAAAAGCAATTCACATGAATTTTTAAAAACCGTTTAAACATAATTTAGAACTAGAACATATAGATCTACAGTTTTCTTCACAGATTGGAACTCAGATGTGAAAGTTGATCTTGAATTTGATATAACTTTTTTTCATTATGTTTGGGAAATTTTTCTCAAGTTATATTGGCTCTGTTACATATAATAAAGAGTAATTGGATAGGATAAAAAGAGAGAGAGAGAGATTATTGACTCATAACTGGTAGGGAAAACTTTCACATGTTACCTGCAGTAATAGAAAAACATAAAATAGGGAGGATGGAATGTAAGTTGTCAGGGAAAGTCAGAGATGTATTCACAGATATTTTAAGATTTTTTTTTAATGTCTTCATTTCGCATGTGATTTGTAGGAAAAAAAAAGACAAAGCAATTTAGACCGCCATGATTATACCACACGAAGATGACTATTTTTAACATTTTGCACTTTCATACACATACCTTTTAATAATTTTTAACCCAAAAAATTGGATCATACCAATTGTTTTAGAGTCTGCTGACTATGCCAAAAACCTAGCTTTTCATTCATACTAGTTCAGCACGAAGGAACAACCTGTATGCAGAGGTGAAAGGCATAGAAGTGGCAAACAGCATGTGCATCAGGTCATCTGGCTCAGGCAACAGTGCTCATGCTTGCACTGCACACCAGGCCTGCTTAGGGACCCCTTCCCTCATCTGCACCCCATTCAGACGTGACAGTCCTTGTGGCTGAGTGAATTGATGGGAGCAACATTCCCAAATATGGAATATGCTGCGTCCAGAATTCAAACAGGCCTATGAAGCATTGTGGTAGGAGGTATAGGGTACAATTGTCTTTTACTTGGGAGGGCATGTCTTGGCACGCCCCAGTGTAGCCCCACGAGGTCGGCTCATGTGTTGATGAGCCTCTGCATCTTTGTTGGACCCACCTCTCACACTTGCAGCTTCTCTGACCAAGCCTTCTAACACACTTGCCACTTGTTACTTATGGGCTCTAACATGATGGCATAAATATAGTAGACAAATGTGATATTCTCCTGAATGTCCAGAACAGCATTATTCAAATAAAACTTTCTGCATAGAAATGTCCTATATCTGTGCTGTCCATTTGGGTAGTTCCTGGCCACTTGTAGCTATTTTGAGCACTTGAAATGTTGCTAAAACTTGTGACTGAAGAACTGAATTGATTTAATTTTAATTAATTTAAAATTGAACTGAAATAGCCATGAGTGGCAAGTGGCTACTGTATTAGACAGCCCAGGTCCAGAAGGTTTCAGTCCCTTAAGACTGTTATGATAGAGGGTGAGAGAATTAGCAAATCCTGGGCAGGATCATAAACATACACTGTTATTATCTGTTTCATGTTACTACAGACTACTGCTGCTGCTTCTGAATAGAAGGCGTTCTTCAAAGCAATGGCCAATACCATGAGATTGTGTTAATGCATTCCCCTGTAAAGTTACCATTTGTGGTATTACATGTGTACCCCGGCTGCCACTTGGTTGAGTTTGCAGTTAACCACTGTCATTCTCCAGCACCTATTTGTGTTTTGTAAAGGAAGACTGGTAAATTACAAGGGACCGTGATGGGGATCGCCATGCCTGTATCTAAGGTCTCTAAGAATACTCTGCCATTCCCCATAGATGTGATATCATTTTTAATTTCCTATCTTGGTCACCGAAAGGGCAGCTTCAGGGGCTTCCATTTGACTTTTCCCACTGCGATGGCTCTTAACCCACTTCCAAAGGAACTAAAGTGGGAGTTATTGTTGCCAGTTACTCAGTACATCCCCTTGATTTATACATTTGGAAATCACAGAAATTATTGCCAGGTAAGTCCCTGGACCCACCTGTGAGCTTCTTACATCCGGTGATGGAGGGCGGTCAGGGGGTCATCATGACTCTTTGGGTCCTTGGGTATCACTGTCAGCACAGACTATGTCCAAGTTGATAACTGTAGGTCCTTTTGGTGAAGGACGGGGGGAGTCAGTTACATACGCTTTCCTTCAGTAAATGCGTTCCAGGTCTGAAAACTGGTTCAGGTCCAGAAACTGGGGCAATGTTCAGGACTTTGCATTAGAGCAGCTGCCTTCAGCCTCAGGAATCATCTGTAGTTAATTTCTCATGACTGTGTAATTCAGAAGTAGCCTTGTCCGCTGCCCTTGTGTCTTCCCTTTGGAAACACTGTGTTCTAGTCATCAACTCTGTTGCTTTCTGTAGGTCAGACACTCCCGACTGCCACTCCAGCCTTGCCATTAGTTATGATGGTTGCACCCACCTTGGCTTCTGTTTAACACCCCAGCCTGGTCTCTGCTTCATAATTCTTTCATCTCCATTTCTGTCAGGGCATCCTGCTCTATAAAGATGTAACTGTGGCTTCCTTGTGGCTTTGGTACACAGTGTCCTCCTGTCCCTCCTAAGAACATAGTCAGCTGGTGGGTTTTCGGGCTTTATATCTTATATCTATGGTAGCATCCCCATTCTTGGAGGCTGTTGAGCCTTTCGTCCAGTTTGCCATGGCTGTTCTGTCACTTTTACTTAATGTGGACCATCACTGTCTCGAAGTTTCCAGGAGCAGACCTAGCCAGCTGCATATCAGTTCCCAGGGTGCTTGCCTGGTTGCTAAATTCATCACAGGAGCGTGCCCCATGCTGATCAACTCTCAGCTGGTTTTGTGTTCTGTGCCCTTGACACACCACCCTTAAGAAGCAGTGGTGTCTATGTTCCCCCCCCCCCCGGGGGGACCTCCAGCTCCTTCCGAGTATTGTTCTTCTCACCCTTCTCATGCCCAGTCGTGTTGTAACTTGGCCAGGAGGGGAGGTGGAGAGCCCTCCTGAGAGCAGCACGTATCTTGCTAGGCAGAAACCCCCACCCACCCCTCGCCCAGTTTCCAAGGTGGAGGAAGTGCCAACCTTTACCAGACACTGAGCTGCTGCTTCAGGGCTAGAGGGGTCAGGAGAATTGGGATTCAAGATTTTTTACAACATTGACCTCAAGGGCCCCCTACCCAGCTTTAGGTTGCCTTTCCTCCCAAATCAGGACCCTGACCTTGGTGTGGGAGGTCTCATGGGCTTGAAATGCCAAACTCCCTGAATCCCTTCCGCCCCAGACCTCACCCACGCATTTTCTATCCTCTGGGTGCAATTTGAGTCTTGTTCTGCCGGGGAGGAGGCTCCTGCCCTTGGCACTCACCTTCACTGGTGATTAGTTACACACTTCATCTCACCATCCCTCTCCATGGCCCCAGCCACAGCCGTCTGATATAAGTCCTTAAAATTGCTGATTCCTCCTAAACTCCCAGAATAACACATCAGCCAGTACATTCCCTTCCGCCAGCATTCCATCCCAGGTCCCCATTGGTGAGAGCTGCATCAGCTGCACTACAGCTCTATGACAGGTGCTGTCAGTACCCCCCTACCACCAGGGACAGGGTCCTCATTGCCAGCCAGTGGCCGGCAAGCCAGCTCCAAAATCCAAATTGAGAGCTGCTTACCACTCCTGGTAGCACCCGTTGTAGGTTGGCTTCCCAGGGAAGTGGGATTTGCGTAAGGTTTATCAGGGAGTGCTCTCAGAATACGTCTTGAGGGATGAGGGAAGCAGGACTGGGCAGAGGGAGAGGCCGAAGTGCATTTGCAGTTGGGGCCTCAGCTGCTGCTCTGGGGACTTCTGGAGCTGAGCTGGCCAGTCACTGTCCTACCTAATATGGGGGCTGAGTCTTATGCTTCTGCATCAACCAGGCATTGAATATGGGCTGGTCCAGGGAAGTGCCGTGACCTAAGTGAGGAAGCTCTCTTATGATGGAATGCCCAGAGAGGAGCTCAGCTGACAACTGTCCGCTACCAGTGCTCCCTGCAGCTGGGAGCCCCATACCACAGCACCCACTATAGGAGGGGTAGAGAATTGTGGAAGCAAATAAATGGCATGAGGGTTTTTTGCATACAAGTATTAGGTCTGATAGGGTTCAGAAAGTTAGACAGTGAGCAGCTTCCATTGGAGACAGCTATAAAGTAACAAACAGAAATTTTTCAAGTGTGTAGAATATGGAGAATATTTAGCACAGGGCTTTATATATAACAGATATACAGGAGCTGTTGTTTATCAAATAAATGGAAAAGACCTGTCAGATACCCTAAGCAAGGTAGGAATGAATTGTTGGAAGGGACAGTCAGAAGTCCAGGGTGTTGGGGCCAATGACCCGGTTTGGGTAACAAGGACAAATAAGGATACTTACTAGAACTAGTTAGTTGTTATTGTATTCTCAACCTGGGAGTTGATACATAACTGGCAGGTAATATTTATTGAAATGTATTTTGTGACACTGAGAGTGGAATGAGATGTCGTCATTGTAGGCCCCAACTCCTGAACCTTGGAAGGGAAATTGGATTTGTGACAATTGTTTGAGTCAGTCCCATGAATTACACAGATTTTGGCAGATGAGGTCTTTTTATTATTTGAATAATGTCTTCTAAGTTGGGAACCTTGCTGAAAACTTGAAGGATTGTGATACGCTAAAGACTACTTTTAAACAAGCGTTGTATTAGCTAAATACTTCTTTTAAACAATGTTGTTTATAAACATAATAGAAGCTTTTTATACAGAAGAGAAAATAACAGCAACATCTATTAAAATTTTCTTCCAAAAGTTTTTTTCTTAAAAATTTTTTAAAGATTTATATTTCAGAAGTCTGAATGGCTAATGTGGTGAATAAATTAGTCTATAAACATAATGCCAGGAGGTGACTCACTTTCTCAGCATCAGTGAAAAGCATAGTCGTAATTGTAATGTTAAGGTAGTGTAACTGTAATGTTATAGCTCTTTGCATATATATGAAGATACACATGGTAGATATACAGTAGCTGTTGGTAAGTGAAAAAATAGAAAGACTCACCTGATACGCTAAGCAAGGCAGGAATGAAATGTTGGGAGGGACAATCGGGAATCTAGGGTGATTGGGGTAATAGGGACAAATAAGCGTACTTGTATATGTATTTCTGTATAATACAAATACATTTATTTATAGCTATACATATGTATATATTCTGTCCCCTGACACTGTCTTTTTTTTTTTGGACGGAGTCTCGCTCTTTCGCCCAGGCCGTAGTGCAGTGGCGCTATCTTGGCTCACTGCAAGCTCCGCCTCCCGGGTTCACGCCATTCTCCTGCCTCAGCCTCTCGAGTAGCTGGGACTACAGGCGCCCGCCACTGCGCCCGGGTAATTTTTTGTATTTTTTGTAGAGACGGCGTTTCACCGTGTTAGCCAGGATGGTCTCGATCTCCTGACCTCGTGATCCGCCTGCCTCGGCCTCCCAAAGTGCTGGGATTACAGGCATGAGCCACCGCGCCTGGCCCCCTGACACTGTCTTGATTGAGTTTCTCTAGCTCTCAGAGTGTCTGTTTAACCCATATGCACATATTTTATTAGTGTGGGAAAACAAATGTCTGGTCTGTGCATTTTCTTCATTTTCTAAGTTTAATTCATAAATCTTTCTGGCCAACCATATTCCTACTCTGAACACAGTTCTGTTTTTATGCACCAGTCAGTGTGGGGTGGGACTGGCATTCGAGCTAGTTACTAACTGTTAAGAGTTGACACCCATTTTGGTCCATTCAGTCCCTTACCCATTTGGTTGACAAAAGCCAGCACTCTTCCTAATCTGGGAGTGTTGCCTAACCTACAGCAGTTGTGGACTGGATCACTTGTTAAAAGGATTTCTTCATCCTAAATTAAAACATAGATTCCCAAGCCCTGCTCTGAGAATTCTGCTGAGGCGCTGACACACAGGGAGTTTTCAAAACAGCTGCCCCTGAACACACACAGACCCCTTGCTTTGATCTGGAGGCTGCTTTTCTCTCGCAAGAAGTGCAAAAGCAGCAGACAAGCTTGCCTGCTCCCAGCCGGCACCCGTAACCCATTGGTGTTTTCTCTTCACAGTGAAAGAAGCCGGAAGAGATTTTACCTATTTAATAGTGGTGCTTTTTGGAATCAGCATTACAGGTTGCAAAAAACAGCAAGTATAAGCCCTTGAATATTTTTTAAACTGGACTTTTTATGTTGCCCTTGCTTCGCTTCATCTTTGTTTTCTGTGATTTCAGGTGGCTTGTTTTACACGATTTTCAAAGAACTTTTTTCTTCATCCAGTCCTAGCAAGATATATGGGAGAGCCTTAGAAAAATGCAGATCACATCCTGAGGTTAGTTCTCAAGATTGAGTTACATGAACTCTGATGAGGGGGAGAAAATGTCTGGGAGGAGGAAGTGGGCAGAATTCAAGAACCAGTTCTCACGCTAGTGAAATTCACATAATAATACATAATGGTCGAGTCATCATTACATTATTAGGTCTTTGCTCTTTAAGAGAACCCAAAAGTCAGTGTACAGATGTTTTCATGCTAATTGTACAAGACAGTCATTTTGCTGGTTGTTCATAGATACTAAATTTTTAGAATACACCAAAATATTGAACTCATGGTAAGTTTCTAGTCTTTTTAAAGCCTGATGCATGACCTCATGGTCATAATGTCATTGCTGACACTTACCGAAAATGTGTCCGTGCAAGCACTCTGCCCAGGGTCTCAGTGCATCATCTTTATTCAGTCTCACAAAAACCATTTGTGTTCGGCACTACTTTGTCTTCAGTTTGCAGAAGGGGAGACTGACACTTAAAGAGATTAAGTAACTTCACCAGGATCACTGAGCTAGTAAGT
Source organism: Homo sapiens (assembly GCF_000001405.40). NCBI lineage: Eukaryota > Metazoa > Chordata > Mammalia > Primates > Hominidae > Homo > Homo sapiens. Next base: position 74,155,917 of record NC_000018.10, read on the forward strand.
GGGGGAACCGGAACCCGAATCCACACAAATCCAAAATTTGCTTCCAAATCTAAGCTCTTAAGCACAGTCTGCCTCTACCCTTCCCTGGGAGGAGTGGACATGGGGAAGCTGCCTTGGTTCTTTGAAGGACCCTGTCAAGAAGGAAGGCTTTAGATGTGACCTTCCAGTCACACGTAGCCGGTGTGGCCTGGGAAGTGTCAGATTTCTTACTCCCTGCTGCAGACCTTCAGCACTGAAAATATTACTCATTGAAATACAACTTCATTCACCCTGAAAGATAACAGCAGGTAATCGTCTGCCATTATCATCATAAATATTAGGGCTGTTCTTCACACAGACCAAGGAGTAATGTCATAGCTCGCATTTGCAGCCCCTGAAGAGGAGAAAGATTTCAATCCACAGCGTGCTCAGTATAGAGCCCGGTGCTGATCTTCCCTGGGGCCCCGGCTCTGAATGTTCTACCAGTTTTCTAATCATGTCAGGGTGGAAACCTCAGAAGCTAACGATCTCTGGCATCTTTCCTTTTAAATCCACTGATTTCTCTTCATTGAGCTCTGGACAGCCAGTGGTAACCATGGAGAAAGGCAGGGAGGATAAAGTATCTCAGAGGTGAAAACCAGGAAATAAGGAAGGTTCGTTCCCATAATAGTTACTGGGAATCCAAATTTTATCTGACAAGAAACATTCTTTACAGACTCCGGAAATACCTGTGGGTGGTAACCTCATTAAATGTTAGGACGCATCTCTGGAAAGAGATGAAGAGTTGCTGTTTTATTCGCAAACTCAGCCTTTCGTAGATTTTTCAGCATTTTGAACAAAAAACTCCACAAGAATATACAAAAGTGGGATATTATTGAAGTCGTAACTTCATTTGCTGCCTGAAAAAACTCTACAAATAATAATTAAACTTTAACAATTTTGTCAACATTTTTTAAGGGGTACCCTTCTCTTTGCTGGGTACTGTGTCTGCTTGAAAAACAAAATCTTGATGGATGTTGATATTTATATGTTTAATAGATTAAAGTAAATTGTTCTATTTGTTTGTGCTATACAATTCTGCAATATCATCTTACATATTACTTCTTTTTATCCTGGAAAATGTGATACTGAAGATACTCCACAAACAGACAAAATAAGATAAATTTCGTAGAGTTGAGGGTCAAACTTTTTTAGTTTAATATCAAATTTATATTTTTTAGAGGGTTCCACAGTATTTGCATTTTGAATTCAATAAAAACTACATTTCTACTTCATGTGGATTTTCTCATTAGAAATAGTAGATTCACACCTGTAGCTCTGATTTATTTTAAATGTCATTATCTGTTTTCTTTTTCCTCACTGTGTTTGGTAACTTTAAAAATTTTTTGATCTCATAGTTTTAGTATTAGATGCTATTAATTAATTACATTTCATTAAAAATGTTCATACATTTTATCTTCAAACCATAAGGGGTTAGTAGAGAAACATCTGAACTCTGTGTTGTTATGTTTGTTTTCTGTAAGAGGAGCAGGAACTGCGTCATGTCAACCTACATTGCTTTGAAACTACAAGTCACACCATAAAGCTACCTATTTTAATCTTTGTGCATGAAATATTTGTTTAAATTATTTATGGGATGATTTTTGTATAATAACCCTTTTTTCAGTTTTCTTATTGGAGTGGTCATTTTTTTATTTGTTTGTTTGTTTGTTTGTTTTGAGACGGAGTCTCGCTCTGTCACCCAGGCTGGAGTTCAGTGGCACGATCTTGGCTCACTGCAGCCTCTGCCTACTGGGTTCAAGCGATTCTCCTGCCTCAGCTTCCTGAGTAGCTGGGACTACAGATGCGCATCACCATGCCCAGCTGATTTTTATATTTTTTAGTAGAGACGGGGTTTCACCTAGTTGGCCAGGCTAGTCTTGAACTCCTGACCTTGTGATCCACCCATCTTGGCCTCCCAGATTGCTGGGATTATAGGCGTGAGCCAGGAGTGGTCATTTTTGAAAAGGTCCTAAGCTTACTGATTTTTTTTTCCTAAAATCATCTGGTTTGTTAAAAATTATTTCTTTAGAAGCTTAAAAAAATAACACAAAATAAAGCACTGTCCTTGTTCTGCAGGTGATCGGTGTCTTTGGTGAGTCTGTTAAAGGCTATGGGGAGGTGACAAGGCGGGGTCGCCGGCAGCATGTCAGGTACTGTGGCTTGAATTCAGAGGAGGCTCTGGGGAGATTTTTAAATGAAAGGAACTTAGACTGATCTTTCGTTTTCTCGACAGGTTCACTGAATATGTAAAAGATGGGCTGAAACACACGTGTGTGAAATTCTACATTGAGGGCTCTGAGCCAGGGAAGCAAGGAACGGTGTATGCGCAAGTGAAAGAGGTGTGGGAATCATGGGATGTGGGGTCAGAGGTTCTGAGCGCGGTGTTATTTAAGTTCTGGAAAGGAAAATAATACCTGGAAACACTACATTTTTTTCAGAACCCAGGAAGTGGTGAATATGATTTTCGATATATATTTGTAGAAATTGAATCTTATCCTAGAAGAACTATTATCATTGAAGATAATCGATCCCAAGATGATTAAAATAGGGTTTCTGATGGATGTTGAATGGCGTGGACTCGCTACTCCGTTCTTCACAGCTGCCTTCCAGAATGTGTTCAAAAGAAAGACAAGAAGGAGTGTATGGCTTATAAAGTGAATCTAATACAGTATTTGTTGCATTTAAACAAACTAGACATTTTCTTACGGAAAAATTATGAAATACAGCATATTTTATGTTCTCCCATTGACTCAATCATGACAATATTTCTGCTTTAACACCATCTTTCATGATTAGAAATGTTTGTTATTGGAAATGTTACACCATGTAAATAAAGGAAATAGATTTTAGTATTGTATTCATTTTATATTATAGAACTGCATAATGTCTGCAGAATAAAATTAAAACTAACAAATATGTCATTAGCAGCTGCCCTCCGCATACTTTGGAATCTGACTTGAGATAAGCATGTGAAAATGGTTGAGGGCCATAGGGAACCAGATGGTAAATACATTCTTCAAAATTGTGTGAGTTTTAGGAATCTGTCTCATATTTCGCGCTTCATGAATTAAGGGCCTAGTACATAGCGGGAAAAGTACACACTCCCAAGTTGGGTAGACCTGGGCACCCACCCCACCTTTTCTAGCAGGTGCGTGGTCAAGTGTCCCTGTTGTGTGGGTTGTTAGGATGGCAGTGTGATGAGAGGTACAAGCCTGGACCATAGAAGGCAGCCATGAAGTGCCCTCATCCCCTTTAGAACTTACTTGCACTGATACTTCTGACTGCCAAAAGAACATGGGAGTGAATGAGAGACATTCAAATACGTGTGTGAGGCCCCTTAAAGAAAAAAAAAAAAAAAAAGGAAATTCTATTTTATTTGAAATATTTGCTGGGGATTTGGAAAAAAGTGACCTTCACTTACAAGATCCTGATTCCATATCTATGTAAGTGCTATGTGCATTGGGAGGGGTCTAGAACCATGTTTATCTGCGGTGGCTTCAGTGTGAGGTATCCCCTCTGATGTGTTTGTTCCTTCTCCCCGAGAACTGTCTGTAGAGGAATTTCTGATGTGTTCTTGAAATTTTGGGATATTCAGGATAGAGAGACCTCCAGGCAATCTATCTCCCCTTTTTACTTTATCTCCCTGCTTAATTTAGTTAGTTTCTTGGTTTGACTGCTTGTTTTAGATGTTTTTAATTATAAAAATTTCCAACATTTAAGGAGTATAGAAAATATAACAGACACTCGTCTCCCTGACGTAACACACTTTGACTGAATGAGGCCTTAACTTAGGCTTTCTCTCCTAATCGTTTTTTCCTTTGCTATAGAATGTTCAGTTTCAGGATTCACTGAAATGTCAACATTTAACAGGCTGAGAAGTTCCACTTGCTATCCTAAACTCAAAAAAGCAGCCCTGCTCTTCAAACAACCTGCTCAAACTGTAGCTTGCTGAAGAAGCCCGGCATCTGAGCTCAGGTGGGGATTTAGCCACCCTCCATGGCCCTGTCATTTGACTTAAGACTGTTTGCTTTTTCTGTATTCATTTTTATGCACCTGCCATTTTACAATATGCTCATGCCCCTTTAAGATCTGAGCTTTTGGCCAGGCGAGGTGGCTCATGCCTATAATCCCAGCACTTTGGGAGGCTGAGGCAGGTCAATCACTGGAGGTCAGGAGTTCAAGACCAGCCTGGCCAACATGGTGAAACCCTATCTACTAAAAATTCAAAAAAAAAAAAATTAACCAGGCACGTTGACACACTCCTGTAATCTCATCTACTCAGGAGACAGGAGAAGCGCTTGAACCCAGGAGGCAGAGGTTGCAGTGAGCCAAGATCATGTCACTGCACTCCAGCATGAGTGACGGAGTGTGACTTCGTCTCAAAAAAAAAAAACAAAAAACAGATCTGAGCTTTTATAATTAGAAATAAAACTAAATTACTTTTTCAAAAGGAAAAACTCTGTACCAATAAGAGATTCTTCTGTATAGCCACAGGAAAATGTGATGTGTAACTCTCTAGATCTCTGTTTTCATTCCCTCTGATGTACCCTACTAAATGTTAAAATTTCTGTGTTTTAAGACCCTCTTTAATCCACTTTGATTGTGGTGTCTCTGTCCATGGGCTTACTCCCACTTTTTCTCTGAATTCTAGGGCACTTATCTGACTCTGCCTGGTATCCCCTTCCGTCATATTTGTGAATTTGCAAATGCTCTGGTCATTTTCCTCCAAGGCCTCTGTCATTCCTCCACACCTGATCAGTGAACTCTTTTCACAACTAACTCTAGAGCAGACTCTCCTGTCACTGTTTGCTCTTCCTCCTTAATGAAGAAATTATATGCAAGGCAAGAGTTTATCAGAAGTTCTGCTTTTAGCCCCGTGAGATTTCCAGCCTAACTACCCTGCAAGCTCCCTTCATAACTATTGTTGATCAATGCTAGTAATACTTTATCCATTTATTTCCATTTGGTAAGCCATTACAATATTACTTCTGTTTCTCTTATTCTCATCCAGAGACAGTTCCCCAATTCCTAATTCATAGATTTCTACTCAGGGTTACACTTACTATTTATTTTATATAGTACCACTCATGTGTTCCATCTGTTAGATTTCATGCAACATATTGATTAAGGGTATGCTATATGTCAGACTAGAGTCGTCTAGTGCCACGGAAAAGCTTGCGGGCGGGGTGTGGAGTGCAGGGGCCAGGTATATCGTGTGACAGTGTTAAGGTTTTGATCCTGTAGGCCCTGAAGAGCATCACAGGAATCTGAGTGGGAATTAAGCTGCTGTATCTGTATTTAGAAGTGGTAGTTGTGTGCAGGATGGCTTGCATTTGGCAGAAGCCAGGTAGAGGTTACCGTAATAGTTGAGATGAGAGAGGATAAAGCTAGAGAGGAGGTAGTACATTTGAGAAATGTGTGAGGCTGGGGGAAGGACAGGACTTTGTGACCAAGTGCATGTGGGAAGTCACGGTGAGGAGTCGAGAATAACTCAGGCCTCTGACCGTTAAAATCCGGAGTCACACGGGGAGGAGTCGAGAATAACTCAGGGCTCTGACCGTTAAAATCCGGAGTCACACGGGGAGGAGTCGAGAATAACTCAGGCCTCTGACTGTGTTAAAATCCGGAGTCACACAGCGGGAGCAGTCGAGAATAACTCAGGCCTCTGATCGACTGTTAAAATCCAGGACAGGATGGGTCATGAGCAGAAAACAGTCAGTTCTACATTGAGCTCAAGGTACATCAGTCAGCCAGGTGAAGGCCTAGAAGCAACAGGTTTCTCAAGTCTGGCGCTCAGGATGCTGTCTGAACTGGACGAGATTAGGAGTGGCCTGCAGAGAGGAAGCAGCTGGAGCCGAGGGGGCAATGGCATTCCCCGGGAGGAGCATGCTGGCCAGTTGAGGCAAGCTTGCCGTGTGTTGGGGTCATCTGGCCAGCAACATCTTGCAATCCCCTCTTTCCCTCTAATGGTTAGCAGATTCTGAGGAAAGGATTTTATTTTTCTGTTTTGAGTTGTAAATTGGATTTATATTTTTGTTAAAGATGAAGGGAATGGGGAATGTGCAAAAGGAAGGGAGGCCATGGAGGAGAGGTTGGAAACCCATGGAAGATCAAAGAGAACAGTGGAGTAAGGTCTCGGCAGGTTCGACTCAGAGCAGAGCTGACCAGAGGCAGGAGAGCAGCTCAGGCAGAGGAGTTTATGGAAAGATGATGCATTGGCAGCTGAGCCCAGCTGGTCAGCCTCCGTGTGTCGTCAGCTGAGTGGCAAGGAAGGGTGGCATTGGGACTTAAAGAGAAAGATGAAAGCTTGGAAGAAGCCCTGAAGGAGAAGGGAGGAAACTGACTAGGGAACAGTGGCCAGTGTGAGACACCGCAGAAAGCAGGTGATGATGCTGGTCTGCACAGCTGCGCCGTCCGCTCACACAGGGCTCACAGGTGTAGGAATGGGTGAGGCAGGCTGCTGGACTGATCTGTGGTGAGCCTGCTGGACTACTCTGAGCTGACCTGTTTCTTTGAAGAATGCACACCTTTACGGAAGATGGAGGTAGAGGTACTTCCCCAACCAGGTATCTGCACTTCCTAGAAAGCTCCAGTAAGTGCAGCAAGGCATTCATGCATCGATAGACAATTAAGGCAGTGGAACAAATGGAACAAAATAGAGACCCCAGAACAGACTTACACATTTGTGGAAACTAGTTACGTGTCAGAGGTTACATTACAGTGCAATGGAAAGGGTACAGTATTCAACAAATAGTGCTGAGACAGTCGTATATCCATGTGGGAGGAAATGAAATTAAATCTCTACCCCACACCACATAAGAGTCAATTCCAGGAAAATTAAAACCCTTACATTTGCAACACTAGACAGGAGAATATCCTTACGACATTTTGGAAAGGATTTCTTAAATAAGACACAAGATTAGAAACCATAAAGAAAAAGTTTGATTTTAAAATCAAGAACTTTATCAGAAAAAAAAAAAAATAAGCCACGAATGAGAAAACTTTAAAGAACACAAAGCTAAGAAAGCATCACTTTTCAGATACACAAAGGACCCCCCAAAAAAGGAGGAAAACGCTGCCCTAACAGGCAAAAGACCATTTCAGTAAAGAGGAAAACATGAGGCGAATATACTTCCAAAAATACTTTCAATCTCACTAAAATCAAGAAAATGTAGAATGGGTTACTCGTTTTCATCTGCCAGATTGTAAGAAACTTTTAATGAATAAAACGGTGAATAGAGCAGAGAGAACTCTCATCCCCTGCTGGTGAGATGTATATTCGTGGAACCACTTGGATGCCCAACTTGGCATTATTTAGAAAAGTTGAAACTGCAGATTCTCCATAACACAGAATTTCCTCCCCTGGGTATTCACCGTAGAAAAACTCTTGCCCATGTCCCTGGAGCCAAGTATAAGATATGTAAGAACAAAAACTGGCAAGTTTTGACAAAAGATTGGGGGGAAAAAAATGTGATACACTATTTCAGTCACCATGGGACCGTGCAAGTTGAGGCGAGAGTTCTGACTTGCATGAGTTCCGCAGATGTGCAAAGCAGGAACTGCCTTTGTTTCGACAAGCAAGGGAAAAGGAACTAACAGCTGCATTTGCCAGCACCAATGAATCTAACAAACACTTCAAGCAAAAAAGGCGAATTGCAAAATTAAATATGTATTCTGGCAATTTATATAGAGTTCAGAAACACGGAGCTAAATAAATACTTTTTGGAGATACATACGTATGTGTGAAAACCTTGTAAAGAAATGCAAGGGAAAGGTAAGCCAAGGTTTTAAGAGAATGTTGTTTCTGGTGAGGAGGAAGGAGGATGAGATTGAGTTTCCCAGGGGTTCATCTTAGACAAATTCTTACACAGTATGGTGGATTGCTGGGTGTTCATTCTGTTACTATATACCTTTCACTGCAGGTGGGTGAGTTACCCAGAAGGTCACAAAACTTAAGTTTTGGGGCCCCTCACTTTCGCAGACTCCAAAGCCCAGTACTTAATTTTGTGTTGATAATGATTTCCTTTCTTATGGAAGACTCCACAACCTATCTAACCCTTGGGCCCTGAAAACTTGGATCCACACCTGCATACAAGTTATACCTTATACACACCAAGTATTTCATAAATTTTAGCATGGAAACATTCCACTGCTTGCCCTCCCAGGCTTGTGTTCCAGACCTGAGTGTATCCTTCAGCCTGCTCTCAGCCTTAGGTTTTATTAACCTTGTTACATGAAATTCTTAAGTCTTCCAAACTCCATGCATTAATATATAGATCTGTGAAAATCCTGCTTTCTGTTCTTTTTCCCCACTATAGAATCATTACATTTATTTCTTTCACTCATGTTTTTCTTTCTATATCCTAACTTGTCTCTAACCTCACAATTTTGGCTACACATTTTTTCCTCCATTCTCCTTAAATTGGTTCTTAGTCCACGTGCTATTCCCATTCCCCCTGCCCTGTCTTTGTCTGGTGCTCACAGCTGCTGTCAGCTAGGAAATTAGGAGTCATCTCCAAAATCACCGTCTATCCCAAATCGCTCCTCCGTGTCTCTCCTCCTTGCTGCACAGGAGCTGATTGTGTCCTGATGCTCCTATCGTCCTTCTGTGATCGCCAGTGGTCCTGAGAAAGCTGAATCCGGTTCGCAAAGGCCTAATTGGGAAGTCAGGCTCCACCGTTCTGCCGGTCCTCCCACCAAGGTCCAGCTTCTGGACAGGCAACCCTCCCTGGGCTCCCTCCTTTATACCCTTAGTTTAAGAAGTTCTAGTAATGGGTTGTTTGAAGACTGTTGTGTCTGTTTTGCTAGTAGACATTCCCAGCTACTTGGAATTTTCTTTTCTTTTCTTTTCTTTTCTTTTTTTTTTTTTGAGACGGAGTCTTGCTCTGTCACCCAGCCTGCAGCGCAGTGGCGCAACTCCGCTCACTGCAAGCTTCACCTCCCGGGTTCACGCCATTCTCCTGCTTCAGCCTCCCAAGTAGCTGGGACCACAGGCACCCATCACCACGCCCGGCTAATTTTTTTGTATTTTTAGTAAAGATGGGGTTTCACCATGTTAGCCAGGATGGTCTTGATCTCCTGACCTCGTGATCCACCTGCCTCGGCCTCCCAAAGTGCTGGGATTACAGGCGTGAGCCACCGTGCCCAGCCAGAACCTGCTGGGCAGGTTCAGTCTCCATGTGACAAGTCCTGCCGTCACCTCAGCTTCCACACACCCAGCCCTGCACTTGCCATCCCCCTATAACCAGCTCCAACTCCCCCAGGTTCTTACTGATTTCCACAGCGTACAGTCACCATTGCCATCCACTCCTTCCTTCCCCAGGCTTAAGATCCTAGATTGTTCTTTAAATCCTCTGTATTTTTAAACATGTATTGCCAATTAATCATTGACTCCTATGATGATTCTTTCAAAATTTCTGTAATTTCCATCCCTTCCTCTGCCATAATGCTAGTCTAAGTACACTAAATATGCATGACAAAAATTCGCCTCCTTTTATGAGACAAAACAGAAAGTGTCCTTTTCATCCTCCTGTCCCCTCTACAGAAAGTGGCCTTCTCTTCCCAGGAATCAGATATCAGATCTGGCACAAAGATTTCTGTGACCTGGTTCGAGACCATAGTGCCTACCACTGATTGGATGTGAGCCTTGTCTTCTGAGATCCAGCATGCAGGGCTCCTCCATGTTCAGTGTTAGCATCCTCAGTCTTTTCCCTTCCAGACCTTCTCAGAAAGATCCAGGCCCTTTTCTACCCTTGAAATGAGGGGTGGAGCTGCAGGCCTGACAGATCTGGAGGAGCCGGGGGCAGCCAGCCTCTGCCTGCTGGAGGGGAGGACAGGCCCAAGGCCAGACAGAGGTCGCTGGCCCTGAAAGAGCAGAGCAGAGGCCTGAAGGGGTGGCTGCTACATTGTCACCATTGCCTTCACCCTGGCTGTGGTTAGGAGGGGTGAGCAGCTGCTGGGACACAGGGGATGCTGACAGAGAGACAGACAAAAAGGAACTGACAAGGTGAGCCTGCCGCACAAGGAGCAGCTCCTGTCTTTCTGCCACTGCCTAGAGAAGTGTGAGTGTTGCCATGAGATCGGGGTGCCAAGCTAGACCCAAAGCAGAAACAGGCAGTGCTCACCTCGGCTCCAGCTATGAGATCAACAAGCTTAAGAATAAAGTCATGGGCAGCGGGGCTGGAGGCCGCCCGAGCCCCTGCAATTCATCCCTGTTACAGCAAGGTTACCTTTCCACACTCCCCGCCCAGGATCTTTTGAAAGATTGTTTTTTCATCTTATTAGAAACTGCACAAAAGAACCATGAGCCAAGTGGAATAGTTGTCTTCGCACTTACAACTTATTTCTCTACTCAGTAATAATTAATACAGTATAAGCTCATTTTAAACAAATCTCATAATTTGTTATCAAATTAACAAGTACTGATTGAGCAGGTACCTGGAGAACCGCAGCACTCAATGCTGCCTGCACGAGGAAGCAGCTGGCACTCTTCCGTTGAAGCCCTACGGTTGAAATGAACTTTCTAGTTAAACATGAGATAAGGAGTTTCTCTCGGTTTTATTTATTTATTTAACAAACTCCCATGTAACCCTCACAACATGCCATTGTTCCAAGCACCACACAAATATCAGCTGGTTTCACATTCCTGACAACTAGCTACTGCCAGCAGTTCAGCTGTACCTACGAAGTAACTGATGCACAGGCTGGTCACAGAGCCAGGAAGCAGGGAAGCTGGGTTGCACCTAAGCAGAATGTCACTGTCACTGTGCAGTGGCACCTGGGATGCTTTGTTTCCCGGAATGCCTTTTGTTCAGAACGTGACTAGGGAGAGTGAATGGTAATGACTCTCCCTAAGGTGAGATGAGGAAGAAGAGCAAAGCAGGCTGAAAGCTGAGGGACAGTGATGCTGAGGGCTGAAGAGAGGAAGAGGAGCCTGCACAGGAGAGGAGGGACAAGTGGATGACAGGGATGGACAGGTGAGATGCACAGATAATAGACAGCTGGATGGATGGACAGGCCAGAAAGGAAGAAGGAAGAAACAAGGACAGAACCATGGAAAGAAGAGAGGGGAAAGCTAAGGGTAGCAGAGGCTGATGCCTCCTGTTACAGACTGAACTATGTCTCCCTCTGGCCTCCAAAACCCCTGTGATGAAACCTCCCAACCCCAGCACCTCTGAATGTAGCTGAATTTGAGGATAGGGCTTTTAAAGGGGTGATTAAGTTATAATGAGGGTGGAGGGCCCTCATCCAATTTGATTTGTCCTTATAATGAAAGGAAATCTGGGCACACAGAGACACCAGGGAGGCATTTGCACAGAGGAAGTAGCATGTGAGGACACTGCAAGAAGGTGGACATCTGCAAGCCGAGGAGAGATCTCAGGAGAAACCCACCCTGCTGACACCTTGATCTTGGACTTTCAGCCTCCAGGACTGTGGGAAAATAAACGTCTGTTGTTTAATCCCCCAAGCCAGTGGTATTCTGTTATGGCAGCTAACTTTAAGAAGTTGTAAGTGATTGTAGCAGCGTGACTTCCAGCCGTGCATTGTAAGAAACCCTGTGGCGTCGCATCCTGCCCTACCCTGTGACTGTCAGTCTTGTTCATATTTGCCAGCCACATGGTGTAAAAGGGGTCTCTTGGTGGTCTTGACTCCCATTCACTAATCATTAATGAACATTTTTATGTGGTTTACGTGTTCCTTCTTCTGGACAAATGCCTGTTCATGTCTTTTGCATGTGCTTTTATTGGTATTTTTCTGTTTTCTTTGTGTTTGTTTATTTGTTTGTTTTTGTTTTTTTGAGACCAAGTCTCACTCTGTTGCCCAGGCTGGAGGTGCAGTGGCATGATCTGGGCTCACTACAACCTCCTCCTCCCAGGCTCAAACGATTCTCCTGCCTCTGCCTCCCAAGTAGCTGGGATTACAGGTGCCCACTACCACTCCCTGATAATTTTTGTATTTTTAGTAGAGACAGGGTTTCACCATATTAGCCAGGCTGGTCTCAAACTCCTGACCTCAAGTGATCCACCTGCCTTGGCCTCCCAAAGTGTTGGAATTACAGGCATGAGCCACCATGCCTGGCCTCTATTTTCTTATTAATTTGTAAGAAGGTTTTTATATATTTGATAGTAATATTCCATTGGTTGTGTGCATAAAAGACTATCTCCAAGTTTTAAACTTGCTATTTTGCTTTATATATGATATCTTTGGATGATCAAATGTTTTTAACGATAATAAAGTCAAGATCAAGTGTATCTTTTCTTTTAAAGTAAAAAGGTACTGTGTCTTATGTAGGTACTCTTTCTCAAGTTTTTGTGTAAGGAGTCTAAACCAAGATTGAAAGGATATTCATCTCCATTGTCTATTAACCATTTTAAGTTTTGTTTTTGATATTAAGTCATTAATTCATCTGGAGTTGATTATTTTTATTTTAAGAGTATGAAGTAGTGATCCAACTTTATGTTTTCCGTATGGATGACCATGCATTCCAGCTCCATTTACTGAACTGACATCTACGTCTGTCATACACCGAAATCCCATATGTGTACAGGTCTATTTTTTGGCTCTCTTTCATTCTATTGGTTAATTTTTGCTAATACCAATACTGCACTTATCTATTTACTACATAGCTTCATAGTAGATGCTGATACCTAGTAAGAGAAAGTCACTCTCCCTACTCTTCTTATTCAGAAATACTCTAGCTAATGTTAGCTCTTTACTTTAACATAATATTTAGCATTATTTTCATCAACATCCATGGGAAGCCCTTTCGGGATTTTCTATGGTCTCTCTATTTAATTTATTAAAAAATTGGGGAAGTAATATGTCTATAGGAATGATAATCAAATTTTCTAAAAATTATCGGCATTCCGAGGCTTGTGGCCACATCACCCCCGTCTCTGCCTCCATCTTTACATCATAATCTCCTCTGCACTTGTCTTCTCTTCTGTGTCTGTCTTACAAAAATACATGCCCTTGAATTTAGGGCCCACCCCTATAACCCAGGACTAATGCATCCTCTCAAAATCCTTAACTTAAGCACATATTTTACCATAGAAGATAATATCCGCAGGTTCCCAGATTGAAATGTGAACCCACCTTGTGGGAGACCACCCCTCAGGAGGCCACCAAAAGCATCTGCTACAGCAGTGTGTGGCCCGAGGTCATCTTACCATACACGCCTGGAACCAGGGATGTCTGATTTTCAAATCCTGAGTGTTTACACATCACCTAATGTTGCCTTTCATGTTTTTTTTGTTTTTTTACCTGCCTACATTTCAGTTTCCCCATCTCTTAAATGAGGACAATAATACCTACTTCTTAGGGATTTTGTAAGGACCATATGAGGCCATAGGGAAGGGGCTTCAGCAGTAGCTGGCACATGGTTACCCCGCAACTGTCGGTATGTTTCTTGCCTTCCTTTTACATTGTACATAGAGAAGGCATCATTTTAATTCCTGTATCTCCAGTTACTACAGTATTTGGATGTTAATAAGTTCTCAGAAAAAAAAAAATGTGTTAAATCTAAACCTTATAAGTACCTATAGTTCTAATACCCAAGCAATGCATTATTCAAAAAGTGACTGAGAAAGCTACCAAATTCCTGGAGTGCCAGCCATGAGAGATAGGAGGCTGCAAAAATTACGGATGTGTCCCGTTGCATACAAAAGTGGTCTTGCATAAGCAACATAAATCTAATGCCTCTAGAAGGCTGAATCACCATGAGGAGCAGGGCTGGCAGGAGAAACACATATGCTGCTCTTCAGGGTATGGAATAAGGCAGCAAAAAAAAAAAAATGGTTATGGAACAATCACCTTCTAAGACCACTTACTTTATAATATGACAAAACAAAAATGCCAAAAAGGAAGGATATTCTGATCAAATAGTTACTAGAACCACAGTAAATGCTTTGATGGGTATCTATTGATTTGACCCTACAGATGTGGTTCATGTTTAGAAGAGAATGTTTTCATGATAACACATTTATTCGACTGCAGTGAAGGTGGTGCAGCCATTTACATGAGAAGCTCCTACATAGCTCGGAGTCACCATTTGCTTTCAATCATTTGCATGAGATATTCTGCACTTATCTGTTGACCTTCCAGAGTGGCATCTTGGCCCCACCTTGCTTCTCACTGTGTGGAATATGATGCTACCAACAGTTGGCTGTGTGTAGCTTGGAAGAAAGGTACTCCCCAAATTACGCCCAAGACTCTTCCTAAGGCACTCTTCCCCTTTTACCACCAATATCCTATTTCTAGATTTCTCATCCAACCTAGAAAAACATTAGTCTGTGCTTTTCTGGTTTATAATCATAATACAGACATCTCCTAAAAATTATAAAATGTCCCTCTCTGTCCTCTTTTTCTACACTCTCTGCTTTTTCTTGAATTTGTGCTGAACAAGGAATTCGTTTAAAAATAGTTAAAGGAATGGCGAGTACAGCATAAGATGTTTAACAGGTTTTCCTTTACATGCTTATTACCTTGAGATCTGAGTAATTTATAAAAAGGGGGGGAAAAGCGTACCAAAATTAAAGCTTAGTTGAAAAGGTCAGATTCGTCGCATGGACAATCTTGACTTCATTCCTTGCAGCTGGCGTCAGTGGCTGCATTTATTGCTGACAGTCATGATTATTCGATGGGTATTATAACATCATGTGAGGGTGGCACGACAAATGGGGAGAAGGACAAAATGATTTGGTCAATGACGATACTTAATCCAAACACGAGTCACATTTATGAGAATTTACTGTTCACATCCACTGATTATTCTGGCCACCTGAGAATGGACATGGAAATGTTCATTTATTTAAGCAAAGTTGTCAGCATTGTTTCAAAGACATGTAAATGCTGTCAACAAATAAATGCCAAGTGAGGCAAATGGCTTACTGCCCATAGGGAAGCCTCTAAAGGAATATGTCTTGATTTCTAGATGAACCCAGCAGAACCCCTTGTCTCTGGCAAGATGATGAAAATTACCTATACTTTTCCTGGAAGCCACTGGCTGCTCTGTGTTACAAGCTGCGAATACTGCTGTCAATTTTATTTAGGAATAATTCAGATAAAAGATATAAACTTATTAAGCTAAATATCATCAGCATTGATATCAATTTGTATTTAGCCTATAGATACAAGAAATGAGATAAAAATATGCTTCAAGTAGTTGCAAATAATGAAATTGAATCTTCATAGGCTCATTATTTTTCATAACAAAGGATTACAAAAGTGTTCATTTTTACTCTATCAAAGGTGACTGTATCATTATTTGTTATTAATATGGATTTATTTCATTTTTAATGTATTTCATCCAGGAATGCCAATGCATTCACTAAGACCCATGCAGAAGTTTCTCATCCATGCCAATACCACCTGCCACAGCTCTGCGAGGCTCTCCTTATGGTAGCACATGGGAGATCTGGCTGAGGGAAGGAGCCAACCTCTTGGCTGGATTGCATCCAGTCTTTGAAGTGTTCTTGACTTGGCCCCTGTGGTTGCAACTCTGAGGACGTTTTTCAAGGGGGCAGCTTGCATTTCTCCTGTGTGAGGGGCACCCGCAGACTTCTAGTGTCTCAACAAGAGAATTGAGGTTTCAGTGTGTGGAGAGCTCTGATGAGCAGTTAAACGACACAAAACCCTTCAAAATCCAGGTGACTCCACACAGAAGCTCATGTCCCAAGGAAACAGCATGACGCAGCTTCCGGCTAACTCTCATTGGAAGCCCATCAAGCCTCAGTGTCCCCAAGTTACAACCCTTGTTTGTGCCCTTTCTCTTTTCTTTTTTTTTATTTTTTGAGACGGAGTCTCACTCTTATTGCTCAGGCTGGAGTGCAATGGCGTGATCTCGGCTCACTGCAACCTCTGCCTCTCGAGTTCAAGCAATTCTCCTGCCTCAGCCTCCCAAGTAGCTGGGATTGATTACAAGTGCCCACCACCACACCCAGCAATTTTTTTGTATTTTTAGTAGAGACGGGGTTTCAGCATGTTGGCCAGGCTGGTCTTGAACTCCTGACCTCAGGTGATCCATCTGTCTCGGCCTCCCAAGGTGCTGGGATTACAGGCGTAAGCCACCATGCCTGGCCGTTTGTGCCCTTTTTCTCCTGCTTCTCTGTCTCTGATGTCCCTCCCTCCTCTCTCTGCTGTCCCCCCTCCTCCTCTGTTTCCTCATCTCCATACTCTCTCAGACTGTAATAAAGACTATAATAAAGACTAGTGCCTTAAACAGGTCCTAAACACAACCATGTCGACAGGTGTTTATGTTCCTTTTTCTTGGTTTAAAATCAGGCAAAGTGAACATTTTAGGCGCCACCGGATCAGTAGAGGTGAGGAGGAGTCTTGTGGATTGGGAGAAGCATAAAGTGAGAAAGGTGCCCTTTCCTCAGGTCAGCTCAGCACAACAGAGAGCTCCCCACCCCGCCGATCTTTCTAATATTAATACCAGGACCGCATCTCATTCTCAGACCAGCTCCTCATAGTTTCACTTTCTTGTTTGCAGTGAACAGGTCCAGAGACTCAATCTTTCTTCTCTTGAGCAATACAGCTTCGCAATTGAGCATTTGGGCTCAGAATTCAGACAGCTGTAGCTGTGTCAAGTCCCAATTCTACCACTGCGACAGGTCATTTACTTTACTTCTCCGTAAATTGCCTAGTTCCTTATCTGTAAGTGGGAAAACGATAGTGCTGATCTTGTAACTCTTTCTGATAATTAATTGTATGTAAAGTTCTAAGGAAGACTGCAGTGAAGGAAAGGGTGCAATCTATTCCTTAAAGTTCTAAGGAAGACTGCAGTGAAGGAAAGGGTGCAATCTATTCCTTAAAGTTCTAAGGAAGACTGCAGTGAAGGAAAGGGTGCAATCTATTCCTTAAAGTTCTAAGGAAGACTGCAGTGAAGGAAAGGGTGCAATCTAGTCCTCAGGAAAAGTGCTAACTCCGTAGTGTGGCTCTTCCCACCGCGCCTGCGCACGCTGCACATGCAGGAAGATGCTGCCAACGAGGGGAGGATCTCGCCGGGCAAATCCCAACGGTCTCACCTGGCTCCGTGGCGAGCTCCCATGGGGGAAACAAAAATATCAACAAAACAGGACAACATGCCAAAAACAAGGCGAGTGCCGAGATCAGAGAAGAGGGAGCTATTCATTCTAAGGGCAGGACCGGGGAAGGCTTCAGGTGTTTCTCTGCGCAGGGGCCCAGAAAGGGGCTCTAAGCCATCGCTGCACCTTGTAGGGAAGCAGTGAGGATGGGACGAGGAGGGTCCCGCCTGGCCACCACGTCCTGCATGCTGAGGAGAGGGTCAGAACCCGCTCAAGGGAAAGCCTGGCAATGCCAGCCCTCCTTACCTCGTGGCCAAGTCCGCTTCCCGCTCGGCGCTCTCAGCCCTGTCCCCCTCCCGGTTCCTCCTCCCTTCCTCACCCAGTCCTCCCAGTCCTCCCAGTCCTCCCAGTCCTCCCAGTCCTCCCAGCTGCACTCACTGCGCTATTTCTCTCAGCAGCTGGCTTGGGCTCCAGTCTCTGGAGGGTGCTTTCATCTCTCTTCTCCGCCAGCTCTGTGGTCCCAAGGATGCTCCTCTAGGTAACACTGCCAGCCTCGCCTCCCTGCCTGTAACTCCACCGGCTTCCTGCCTCCTTTTCCTCATGGAGGGCTCCCACCGGGGTGCCACAGCCTTGGGTGCGGGGCGGGGGTGGTGAGGAAACGCTGAGCGTGACAAATACTTGATCCTTTGCTGAGGAGATTGGGTTTCCTTCCCTGAGTGATGGGTAGCCATTGAAAATTTGTTTTGTTTTGTTTTGTTTTGAGACGGAGTCTCGCTCTGTCGCCCAGGCTGGAGTGCAGTGGCGCGATCTCGGCTCACTGCAGGCTCCGCCTCCCGGGTTCCCGCCATTCTCCTGCCTCAGCCTCCCGTGTAGCTGGGACTACAGGCGCCCGCCACCACGCCCGGCTAATTTTTGTATTCTTAGTAGAGACGGGGTTTCACCGTGTTAGCCAGGATGGTCTCGATCTCCTGACCTTGTGATCTGCCCGCCTCAGCCTCCCAAAGTGCTGGGATTACAGGAGTGAGCCACCGCGCCCGGCCGCCATTGAAAGTTTTTAAGAAACTGACTTGCGTTCAAGATCACTCTGTCAGCCAAGTAAAAACTGGATTTATTATTTATTTATTTATTTATTTATTTTATTATTATTATTATTTTGAGACCGAGTCTCACTCTGTCGCCCAGGCTAGAGCTCAGTGGCGCGATCTCAGCTCACTGCAACCTCCGCCTCCCGGGTTCAAGCGATTCTCCTGCCTCAATCTCCTCAGTAGCTGGGATTACAGGCACCCGCCACCACGTCCGGCTAATTTTTGTAGTTTTAGTAGACACGGGGTTTCACCATGTTGTTCAGGCTGGGCTTGAACTCCTGACCTCGCGATACACCCGCCTTGGCCTCCCAAAGTGCTAGGATTATAGGCCTGAGCCACTGCACCTGGCGAAAACTAAATTTAAAAGGTGAGAAGTTAAAAAGAGAGGAGCTAGCTCAGAGAGGATGCCCTTGGCCTGAGAGGTGACGGAAGCTTAACGGTCAGGCTGCGAAAGTGAATGGGGACATGGGGCAGAAGCAGGTTTGGGAGATGTTAGTAAGTAGGATGTGGAGGATTGGAAACCAACCAGATGTACATGGAGAAGAAAACTTAGCCAAAGATGGCCCTGTGGTAATATTTTCCAAAATTCACTCCATGGATTTTATCAGACTTTCTATTTTTAAGAAAGAATTTTATGGTAAAATAGTTTTTTTAAAATATGAAATCATACTTTAACATTTAAGTTAAAAATCTTCTCGACTGCAGGATGTCTAAGGTCATTGAAAAAACAACTTATAACAGTCAATATCTAAGTGGGGAGTTAGGACGAAGACATTCTCAAAGTTATTTGAAGAAAGAACCTTCTCCCAAAGATACACACACACACACACACACACACACACAGATACACACACAGAGAATGTTTATTCACACCTCAAAAAGCAAGGAACACCATTTGGAAAGTGCTGCCTTAATGCATACAACTTTATATGTGAGGAGAATAATAGCATCAAAGTGGTAATAGAAGCTGGTAACACAGAAATGGGGGTGGGTGTGGGGAGTAAAATTATAAGTTCAGTTTTGGAATTTGAAACACCTCTCACACACAGACCACCAGCGTTCAGCAGCAAGCTTAGAACTCAGAAGAAAGAACAGGAATGGAGACATCCAATTCGGGGCTTTTTAGCATAGAATTAATACTTTTGATACTTTATTTATTTATTGTCTTTTTTTTTTTTCTTTGAGACAAAGTCTCACTCTATTGCCCAGGCTGCAGTGCAGAGGCACAATCTCGGCTCATTGCAACGTCCGCCTCCCAGGTTTAAGCAATTATCCTGCCTCAGTCTCCCAAGTAGCTGGGACGACAGGTGTGCACCATCATGCCCGGCTAATTTCCATATTATTAATAGAAATGGAGTTTCACTATGTTGACCAGGCTGGTCTTGAACTCCTGGCCTCAAGTGATCCACCCGCCTTGGCCTCCCAAAGTGCTGGGATTACAAGTGTAATCCACCGTGCCAGGCCAGAATTGATACTTTAAAGACAAAAAATTAGAGACCCAGAAGGAGAGCGTCAATCAAAAGTGGGGAGAAAAAACAATTCTTGAAGACACTGTGGCCAAAGTTAATTCCAAATTTGATGAAAAGCAACAACCCAGAAATCCAAGAAGCTCAGTGAGATATACAACAAAGAAAACAACACCGAGGCATGTCAGGGTCCAATTGATGAAAGCCAAAATAAAGAAGTTGTAAAACAGTCAGAAAAAACTGTCATGTTAAGGGAACAAACAGAAGTCATGTGCAGTGACAGAAGTCATAACATTGTTTGCTTTGTGGGCTGGGAGAACTAAATGGAGGAGGGGGACATCCGTGGGGTTGTACAAATACACACAGCTGTCATAACTCAGGCCGTATATCTATGATCTGGGTGTTCTGTAATAATGCCTCAGTTTAAACGAAAAGGTGGAAGCAGGTGTAGAAAGGGCAGGAAAACGGGAGTGTGCAATGTGGGCAGAGCCATGGAGGCAAAGGACAGTGGCCGCCTCCAGCATCAGCAGCTGTGGAGTCAGCAGAAACCAACCCCTCCACTCAAGGGACAAGAGGATCCACATCTTAGCTTGTTAGCATCTTAGGTGGATCTCAAACGTCTTGTGATGAGAATCATCCACCCCAGGTCGCCTGAGTCAGGACTTCTGCAGGTGCAGCCTGGACATCCCAGGTAATTTTAAAGCTTCCCAGGTAATTTGATGTGCAGTAGGCATCAAAAACCTCTAATCCTGATCAGTGACACAGAGGGTACATCCTGGCCTATCTGATCCTCAGAAGCACTTTAGAGCTTCCTAAAACTGCATTTCAGGAGGCCCAGGGCAGGGTCTGTGTTTGTCTCCTGCAGCTGCCAAAACGACCAACCACAACCTGGCTTACAAGAAGAGGTTTATTGCTCGCGGCTCTGCAGCACAAAAGTCTGAGAGCAAGGTGTCCGCAGGGCAGCGCTTGCTCTGCAGGTTCTAGGGAAGAGTCCCTCCCGCCTCTGCAGCTTCAGGTGCCTCCCTGCAACCTCTGCCTCCCTCCCTCGCTGCAGAGCCTTCTTCTCTCTGGGTGTGTCTCCATCACCTCTCTTCTAAGGACAACTGTCATTGGATTTAGGGTTCACCCTGGTAGTACAGGATGACCCATCTCAAGATCATCCATTTAATTACATCTCAAAAGACCCTTTCCAAATAAGGTCACATTCACAGGGTCTGGATATTAGGACATGGACATATGGGGAGGGAGCACCCTTTAATCCATGACGGCCCAAGAGTTTAACATTTTTAGTGAATTCCTCGAGTCACATGGTGATTGGGAACAGCTGGCCAGGAGGACACCTCCACGCTCGGATCTTATGTCTTCAGCCACCACTTTGTTCTCCGAGGGTTTCCTGCTGCTGGTCCCGGCTCTCTAATTCTGCTGTCCTTTTTCTGGGGACAAGGGCCTTTGTAAGGATTCAGTAAACATGCAGCGGTGAGAATGGGAAAGATGCCTCGCAGGACTGCCGGCGAGCAGCTCCTTCTCCAGAGCCCCCGCTGCACGGCCGCTCTCCCTCGCAGCCTCGCCTCTCAGGGGTGCGCCCATCTGTTCACACGACATCTGTGGTAATTTAATAAACGTGGGCACACAGAAGGCGGCTCCGCTTTGGGAAGACATTTAACCTGCTGCAGAGGTAAATTATTTGACTCTACCCGGTGAGAGCGAAGAAAGATGTCCTTAATGCAGCTTCTGCTGGGCTCCGTGTGTGCCCGAGGACAGTGGCCAGTGAAGGTGACAGCAAGGTTTAGCTGTCTCTAGCTCAGCCTCTACTGTGCTCTGAGTGTGGAAAAGCCATTGCGAGTTAAGTGCTGAGAATAGAGTGGGCTATAACTAACAAAGTACTACAAATAACCTTGCCATTGGCAGAGCCATTTCTTTTTTTCCTCCTGAAAACCATAAAGGCAGAGATGATGATATTCATGAGTATGGTGCTCTGTGATATCTGATGAGACATTAGGAGCCTTGGTTAGGAGGAACCGAAGGGGTTCGTCAGTCTGTTACAGCTGCAGTCACTGCCTGCTCAAGGTTGAAAGTGCAGATAATTTCCTACTCAAAATATAATTTGGGTCTCTGTTCACCTTAATGCCCCTTACAGAGGCTGCTATGAACTCCCTTTGACATCATTGCCCGAGAGAAATCTCAGATGTGATTTTTCTGCTTACCTGAAATGGGCTTTGGAACAGTCTTTGGTTCTTTACAGAAATTATGACATGAAGAAGTATTCATAGGAAGTCAGAGTTCATTACAATTTATAGGAGACCAGCCTTCAAATTTGAACGTATTTTCAGAACAAAAAGGAAGATAAATTGTTTAGTGTACTTAAAGGGTTTAGCTTAATTAGAGTCTGTCTTTGGGACAAAATCATTTCCGTGGCAAAAAGGAAATAAATCCCTAGCTCTGAAGCATTTTTTAAATATCTCATTCAAATACTTTGTTTGAAATTATATTGAGCAGAACTATTTGGGGAAGTAGTAAAGCTACTCTGTATGTCTGTTTTAAAACCTTGTCTTAGAGTTTTACTACGTTTTAAAAGTTATGATCCGGATTTGTCACTGAAGGGAGAAATCGTTTCTTTATTCTATGAAATCTTTTCTCATACAGTGTACTCTGCATGTAACTTTTATTATCATTATCAGCCCTCCACCTTTATTCATTATTATGATTTTCCTTATCAGAGTCCTTTCTCGTCTTTCCCTCTGATTGCTTCCCATGTGAGAGAACATCAGCTACCCCGTCTCTGAAGTACGGCACAGCCAGAGGTCAGATGGCCTCTTCTGACTTCACTGCCCAGGGTGCTGGACATGAGACCATGAGGGCTAAGCTGACCAGGAAGCAGAGGGAGGAAGGTGTCACCTCCACGCAGCTTTTCTTCTAGGCATGGTTGCAGGAACGTTGTAGAAATTATTAGGTAACCTACATTTCCACTCTATAGGGAAAGAAGTCTTCTGAGAAATCTTTTTTTTTTTTTTTTTTTTTTGAGACGGAGTCTTGCTCTGTCACCCAGGCTGGAGTGCAGTGACGCAATCTCGGCTCACCGCAAGCTCCACCTCCTGGGTTCATGCCATTCTCCTGCCTCAGCCTCCCAAGTAGCTGGGACTACAGGCACCTGCCACCATGCCTGGCTAATTTTTTTTGTATTTTTTTTTTTTAGTAGAGATGGGGCTTCACCGTGTTAGCCAGGATGGTCTCGATCTCCTGACCTCATGATCCACCCGCTTCAGCCTCCCAAAGTGCTGGGATTACAGGCATGAGCCACTGCGCCCAGCCTGAGAAATCTTCACAGTACTGAGAAATCTTCACAGTACAATAGTATTCCACTATGATTTGAAAATGTTTTCAGTTGTCATAGTTAAGTAGTTACAGGCATAGCTATAGAGCTAGATGAACCCAGGAATGAAATGCTCATTCTGCCTCTGACTTTGTTGAGGGATGTGGATAATTTTGCTCAGCCTCTCTGAGTATCAGTTTATCTCTCAGTGATACAGAGACTGAGAGTCAGAGGCAAACACTCATCCCCAGCCCAGCACGATCTCTGGAATATTCAAGGCTCAATAAACATGAGCTGTGGTGCTGTCACCCAGCCCTTGCTCTAAAGTAACCACTCACATTCACTAAGAATGCACTTTAAGAATTAAATGCTACATTTTTCTACATAGTGGAAATGTGTGACAAGAATTCAATGTTTTTTTCAGGTAGAGCCTAACACATGTGACCCACACCATGTCAAAATGCAAAAGAGTAAAAGAGTAATGTAAAAATGAGAAACTGGGGAGAATCTCAGCACCACCAAAGCAGCATTTAACTGCTTTTTAAGAAAAAGTAGGCCCTTTGTTTCCATTCTATTTTACTAAATACCACTAAAAAAACCTATCTTCCTTTCTTATTATTTACCCTCTATAATTGACCTTCCTACTAGTTAGCGATAGCCATTTGTCTCCATTTGTAAATACTTGAAGAGTAGCAAAAATTTAAATTATTTTTAACAGAAGCTAGGAACAATATAATCATTTATAAGCATACATTCTTTAGTAACTCTGAGCTATCTTCATAATTTACCCAGAAAGAATCTACCTTAAGAAGGAAGTCTCCTCTTGATTTCCTTTCTCAGTCAGCCCAATATAGGGCCTGCTGTTTCTCTTTCATTGCCATAAATTCTCAAATGGCCACATCATACATGACACTAAGAAGCTTAGCCCGGACAGTTGCAAGAGTGAAAGATGCCTCTGACACAGTGGAGGAGCTGGGATGTGGACTTGGCTGGTGAGGCCGGAGGGACAGAGTGAACACACGTTTGCATCAGACATGCTGGATTCCAGGGTCAGGTGTGCCGGCATGTGGCACCGGCAGCCGACAATACTGGGTTCTGAGCAGTTCAGGACTGGAGACTGAGAACTGTGTGTCATTCAGACACATACTTGGAGTATCCAGTGCTGGAAGCCATGAGAAAGGGCATGACTCAGGGTGTGACACTGGGTCGAGAGCAACAGTCTGACAGACACCCTAATCCAGCACTGGCCACAGACATCGGGCATCAGAGACAAGCCTCCACATAGACGCTGCCATGAGTCAAATCTTGCCCCGAAAATTCAAGTTCTCCTGGAATCTCAGAATGTGACCTTAATTGGAAATAGGATCTTTGCAGATGTAATCAAGGTAAGGCTGGAGAGGAGATCATACTGCATTGGAGGGGCCCGAAATCCAACAGGAGCATCCTTAGAAGAGACAGAAAAGGACACACGGATGAAAGATAGCCACGTGAAGATGAAGGCGGAGACTGGGGTGATGCTGCCACAAGCCAGGGACACCAAGGGTGCCTGGAACCACAGAAACTGGAAAGAGCCAAGGAAGGATCCCCCGGCCTGCAGCCTCCAGAGGGAAGCATTCTGCCAACCCCTTGATTTTACACTTCTTGCCTCCAGAACTGTGGGAGAATAAATGTCTACCATGTTAAGCCGCCCAGCTCCCGATCAAATGTTACAGCAACCACAGTCAACTAACACAGGAACCAAAACACGAGTGGCATTGGGCAGTGACAGGAAAGCAGTGGCTTCTGCTTCAGAGGCATCCGGAATTGAAGAACAAAGGGGGCGTTCCTGGAGACCGTAAGGGGCACGTTCATGGAGCAGAGGAAGCAGAGACATGAGCGATGGTGGGCGGAAGTCCACACCAGCCGGAAGATCACCTTCTCCACAAGTTAGGCAACCAACAGGAGGAACCAGAAGGGACAGGCCCCAGGAGTGTTTGGGAGAGTCAAGAAAAGGATTTTAAGGTAGCAAGACCTTGTTATACTTGAAGGCAGCAAAAAAGTCACACATACTTGCCCTAAGAATTGTAAAACTCATAGAATTGTCAGTTAAGATGGCTACATCCTTGGAGCAAAGATCAATTTACACTTCTCTACTGTACCATAAATTTTGTTATGTTATTAAACCAAAGCCGTCTTCTTACTGTGGCCTCACATGGTCAGCCCTCTCTGCATGACTGTTTTCTAGTCTTATTTTAAGGACACCCATCAGATTAGATTAGGGCATATCCTAATGATCTCATTTTTGCTTAATTTCTTCTTTAAGGCACTATCTGTAAATACAGCCACATTGTAAGGTACTAGAGGGGAGAACTTCAATATTCAACATTTAAATTTCACACAGGAGGCCCAATTCGGCTCACCAAGTAGGAGAATGTCCTCGTTTGTAGAAAGTACACACTAAAGGATGTGGAAGTAACGTGGCATCATATCAGCAGTTTATTTCCAGGTGATGTGGGAAAAAAGGGTTTTTATACTGCACTTGCAATTTTCCTGTAAGTTGGAAATTGTTTTTAAAAATTGTTTTTTTAAAAAAAGCAATCCGTGTGGGGCATTTAAAATGTGTGTTACTGGGTAGGTGAGTCAACCACATTTAATTAAAGGCTGTGGCAGCCCTGTGAAATCTCAGCTCTGAATGTATTCCAGCTCTTTCTCTCGATCTTTGTCCACGGCAAGCGTTCCACTCAGCACGGCATTCCTCCCGCGATCCATTCTCAAATGTTGGCATGAATTCTTAATATTCTGAAAGAAAATGATCCTGGAAAGTATAAAATATTTACACCCTGCTGTCTGTTCTGCCTCGCTTGAGGAAAATTCTCATCTGTACACAAATGTTCTTCAGCTTTTGAGACCAGATGGCAGAGAGTCATAAAAAGACTGAAAAATTAGAAGGCGGGAAGTGGAGCGCGATGCCCAACAGAGAGCGGTCGTTCCCTGCGGGCTCAGCGTCTTTACGCTCTTCAGATGAAGGGTTTGCACCTACGAGGCAGTCTCGGTCTATCAGGCTCTGTCCATTCCTCTTCTTAATTTCATATAAATCTCCTTTCTGCCCCCTGCACATGACCCACGCCCAGGGAAAATGCCTCATTGCAAACGCTATCATCCGTTGGGGCCACTGAACAGGGGTGGGATGGCTGTCGCAGCACTGATCCCCCTGCAGGGAGGCTGACCTCATGAGGTCTGCGAGCCTCCATCACCGTCTTCTTCGCGGGCTCTGGGCTAGGAACTGCCCGCAGCCTCACTTGAAGGCCTTCTGTCTCTCACTTTCTCGGTCCATCTGACCTAATCTTGCCACTGTGATCATCACAGGCAAAGGTGTCAGGAGACCCCGCCAGCACACAGCAGCTGCGCTTGGGGCCTCCTAGGTTCACCTGGGGCAGCGGTCCCTAGCACGCGGGCCAGGTGATGCCCTTCAATCCCGAGCCAGACGCCCTCCTGCTCTTCAATATCACCTGTCAGTCGCCAAGGCCCTCCATGTGAGCTCCTCCAGAAGCGGACGCTCAGGGCTATTCGGGAGGTGATCCCAGCAAACGCCAGGAAGGGCTGGGAAGCGAGACAGGAAAGGAGAGGAAGGCAACCCAGGGTGGGAAAGCAGGGGCGGCCTCCTGGGCTGCTGAGCCTCAGCTCGGGGCCACGGGAAGACACCCTGGCACCTGCTTCCGAGCCGTCCTCCCCGGGGCCGGGCTGGGCTCTCCAGAGGGCAGCCTCGCAGGGGCTCCGCGGGACCCTCCAGCCCTGGGGCCTGGGTCAGCGGCTGCTCTACGCGAGGGTTGGAGCTGCTCTACTGAGGGGGCTTTCTCCCAGGAAAGATTTGCTCCTAAGCTTAGTTCAGCTGCACTCACGCCTCAACCTGTGCCTGACTCACCTCTCATTACAATTCATATGATAACTTAGAAAGGTTTTCTCCCAGGAGGCGGTCTGCACAGGTGACTTTCTGCTTAAGACAATCAGCTGGTCCATCAACCAGGCGGCTCAACTGGCGCCTCTGTGCTGCGTCCTCCTGAGTGCCCAGGCTCGTGAGGCTGTGCCTCCCCCTGCACCAGCTCCCTCCAACTCTCCCCCTCCTCTCCCCTGCCTCTCCCTGCATCTTCCCCACATGTCCTCCACCACTCCTCTCCCTCTCCCCATCCTCTCCCCTCCTCTCCCCCACCTCTCCCCTACTCTCCCCGACCTGTCCCCTCCTCTCCCCCACCTCTCTCCTCTTCTTCCCTACCTCTCCCCTCCTCTCCCCAACCTGTCCCTCACCTCTTCCCTTCTCTCTCCACCTCTCCCTTCCTCTCCCCGACCTCTCCCCTCCTCTCCCTCTTCCCGCTCCTCTCCACTCCTCCTCCCACCTCCCCCTACTTCTCCTCTCCTGTCCCGGACCTGCCCCCACCTCTTCCCTTCTCTCCCCACCTCTTCCCCACCTGTCCCCTCTTCTCCACTCCACCTGCCCAGCAGCACTTCCTGTTCTACACACAGATCCTCCTTTCACTGGGCAATTCAATCCCTTCTACTCCCTGGTCTCATGTTACACAGAGGAAACAAGAGCATATCTGTGCTTCATAATAGACATGAACTTAAAAGAATAAACCCCACACATGTGTGTACTAACATTCCTCTACTTATTAACACCAATAAAAATTAGGCATGCCCTAATACATTCACATTCCTTTTTGGCACATTTGAGATTAGCTTTTCTTTCCAGAGCATCCTTACAAATCCACAGGTCTGCAAATACTGACCTTACCTGAACTAAGGTTGTCATTTTCTTTTTAAGCTCGTTACTGCAATGAGACCATCAGAAGTTTCTTTATGCCAGTTCCTTTGTCGTGATATCATTGAGAGGCCCGATATATGGGATGCATTCCCTCCAAGAGCACTGTCTGGAGGGGTGGAGAATGGTGCTGGAGAGAATCATGACTCAGGCAGTGGGAGCACACAGGACCCGGAGAGGCAGTGCCATCCATTCTCCTTAGGCCACATTTCCCAAGGAAATCGGGAAAAACATTTTTTTTAAAGCTCATAATGTCACATTATGTTAATTAAAGTTAATTAAAATGGAAATGAAGTAATTTAATTTAAACAATTTAATTAAAATGTTTGAAATTTCTATTTTATTTCCACTACAACCTATCTGCTTTAATTTTTAAACCTGTCTTCAAACTGTAATTATGCCTCTTTCTCTTTAATAAGTTCCACCTTACTCATTAACCATCTTTCTGTCACAGTTTATTGAGAGTTCCATTTAAGAAGCCCATAGTGTATGTATTTGGGAAATTCAGATCTTCAAACAAAGTACACGAGCTTAGAATGTGATCTAGAAGGCACAAGCCAGTGGGTAGGGAGGTTTTGGGGGGCTAGGACCTTTCCATTTCCCTACATTATTACTGTGCCCACCACCACTTAAAGAAAGGTTCCAGGCTCACCCCTAAAGCTGCCATCTGACTTAATAAGGTCAGTCTACAAGGTATTGTTTGTCTTAACAGTAATTTAGCAAGGTCCTTTTCTTTGGTTTCCAGAAAGCCAATGTAGTAGGTTTCACTGCTCATGTTTTTTAATGAAGGGAAACGGCTTTAAGTTTTTGTAAGTCTTTGGTAACAATGGGCTAAATTTCCCCAGCAGTATTTCGGAAGACCTTCTTAACTTGCCTCATTACTCTTTAGCACATACCTATGAGCCTTGATTCTTAGAAGAATAAGAAGAAAACGCTCTTCTGGGTGTTACAGCTGGCAGACTTGAAAAGGGCAATTTACTTTCCTTTGTTTACCTCTTTTATTCACTGTTCTTCTCTAAAGAAATACAAATGTGCCAATTAGGTAGAAAATACAAATGTGCCAGTTAGGGAGAAAAGATTTGCAACACAGGTGGATTCCTCTATTCACCAAAGATTCATCTCAGTTTCTTTCCAAAAGCAAGACCCTTAACTACATTTAATTATAATTTATATATTCTAGAACAATATTCACAATCATACAGAGGCATTAATCATACAGAGGTATTAATTTTTAAAGTTCCAATAACACAAAAGGTGGAAAATGCAGGTTTGACTGGTATCCCAGGTGGTACAGTGAGCAGCTGCCATCTCACCTTTGCCAAATGCATTGGAAAACTCTCCAAGGGCCTCAAAGTGGGGCTGTAGCTTACGGTCCCTTTCAGGCCCATGAGAACCTGGGTGGGGTGGGAAAGGTGAAAAATGCATGCCTTCCTGTGTGGGACAGTAAATGTAGGTAATCTGGAATGTGTGAGGTTTGGCCTCGGGCACCTAGTGAAGCAGCGTCATTGTCTGGGGTAAATACCAGAAGTTCATTGTCTCACACCAAGGGAATCAAGGATGTGGACACACAAAAAGTGAGTTTAAAGAGCAGAGGTTTAATAGGTGAAAGAAAGAAAAGAGAAGAGCTCTGTCTCTTGCAGAGAGAGAGGGGCTCCTAAGTGGGACTTCTGGTCTGCAGCAAAGTGCACGGGGGTTTTATAGGCTGATAGACTGTCTTGAAGAGGCGGTGTCTGATTTACAAAGGGCCCAAAAATTGGTTGGACCAGGTGTGCTATTTATGTAGTGTGCAAAGAAGCTGGCCACCCCACCTTAATTTTTATTATGCAGATGTGTTCTCTATCTGGCTGGCACCATGTTGTCTGTTCCTTATTGTACACGTGGTTGACAAAGAAAAGGGAAGATAGAGCCTTCGTGTTGAATATACCTGCCCCCCAGGTAGACTTTTCCTATTGGCATAGCTGCCGGCATTCACCTGGGCAGGATTCCAGCTTGCTTATCTATGTCTGCAGCTCGATTTTAGAGGCTGCTCTTTGGTAGAAAAGAAATGATTTGGGGGCTGCTTTTCATTAAAAAGAAAACCTTACCAAGGACACGTCTACACTCACTACCTGCCTAAATCATTTCTTTTTAACTCCTATATCACTAGGGCTGCTTTGAAATACTGGAAGGATCATGAGCTCATCCTGGGACTGAGAGGGAAACTGAAATGGCAGGAAATATGAAAAAGTTTGGAAACTTTGAGTGAGGCTTGGGCAAGACTGTGTTTCCACAGCAGATTGATGTCTGGGTTCTGATTAAATACTTCTAAAATCCCCTAAGATTCTTCCAGGCAGCCAAATGGTGATTCCACTGATTCTACCATTCTACTAGAATGGTGATTGTAACTGATTCTACAGCAATAACCAACATATGTTGAACATTTAATACGGGTCAGCTGTTATGCTGACTTGCTTTTTATGCATCATCTCACAATATTTTTTAAAACAGGTGATGTCAGCACCATTATCACTTTACTTTACAGATGGAAAAATCAAGGCACCCAGTAGGAAAGCAGCCCATGCAAGGTCCTGGAGCAGTGATTTTAGAACACAGCCCAGGCTGTGGCTGTACCATGGGGGCCAGAACCCATCCTCGTCACTTTCACAATGGATACAAATGTTACCAAAGCCAAGGTGCTGACCATGCTGTTGAGATCTGCTGCATCTCTGCTGGACTTTTGTCCAGTTACTCCATCAATGTTTGAGAGAGGAATTTTATATATATATATATTTTTTTTTATTATACTTTAAGTTCTAGGGTACATGGGCACAACGTGCAGGTTTGTTACATATGTATACGTGTGCCATGTTGGTGTGCTGCACTCATTAACTCGTCATTTACATTAGGTATATCTCCTAATGCTAAAACCTCAAATCATGACGGTGGTAGTGTCTACCTCTTTCTTTAATTCTGTCATTTTTGCCTCATGGATTTTGAAGCTCTGTTATGGAGCACTTATACATTTATGATTGCTATGTCTTCCTGCTGAACTGATCCTTTCCTCATGAAGTGTCCTTATTTGTCTCTCATGATCAATTTTGTTTTGAAATGGACTTTATCTTACATTAATGAAAGATTCTCCCTGAAAGCTTGAAGGGATGAGTGATTCCTCCCTTCTCAGGCCCAGTCCCAAGGTGCAAGGCCCACTTGCGTCAGCAGCGTGTGTCAGCAAGATAGAAGCAGGAAGAGAGCCAGCAGGAAGACACCTCCCCTGGCCAGGAGACACCTCCCCTGAAGATCGAGAAAGAGGCTGTCCAGATACTATGTAGCAGTCATGTCAGACTGGGACACTTGCTGTTTACAGAGGACTATAAACCCCCCTGTCCCATCCTCAGTTGGGGCTGACACCATTTTGGGCCTTAGCCCACCTGCACTCAGGTGCTCATTAAAACAGCATGTTGCTCCACACTCCCTCGTGTTGTCTGTTGGCGCGCTCTCAGGGTTCAAACCGATACAAGAACCTTTCAGTTAATACATCACTCCAGCCTTCCTATTTGCCTCCTCTGTTTTTAATTCCTGTGTTTCCCCTTTCCTGCCTCTTTTGGCTTATTTTGATTGTTTTAGAGAATTTACTCAAGGCTGTTAACGGTGAGTCATGAAACAGATGCACTGATTCTCTACAGGTGGGAGCTGCAATTGGCACAAGCTCCAAGGTGGAGAATCTCATTATATATTAAGGGTGTCAAAACTTTTAACAACATGCTTGTCATTTATCCCAGCTGTGCCACCTCTGCACATTTATGTTTTTACAAGAAATCAGGCCAGGTGAGGTGGCTCATATCTGTAACCCCAACACTTTGGGAGGCCAAGGCGGGAGGATCCCTTGAGCCCAGGAGTTAGAGGCTACAGTGAGCCATGATCTCACCATTGCACTCCAACCAGGGTGACAGAGTGAGACATCATTTCTTAAGTAAATAAGTCAATAGATAAATAAATCATTGGTGGCCCTCCCCACCCAGGCCCCAGACTTACTTTACTTCTGCCAGAGTTGACAACAGTGTTCTTCCCACATCCTCACCTCCCGGCCTCCCTTCCTCTCTCCTCCTTGCCACTTTGTCTCTTTCCCACTGTTCCTCATCTTACTGTCTTATTGATGTAAAATTCACATTATACATTTTAAATTAATCTTAACCCTAAGAATTCCACACATTTTTTAAAAAGTTTTAGAATAAGTGATACATTCTTTGTCTTCAAACTATTTCATTATGAAATCTTAAGGCATACAAAAATAAAATCATAAACACCCATGTGCCCATCATCTAGCTTAAATAAAATTATTCCTGAGTCCCTGCTCTTCTTGACCCACTCTATTTAGGTGTTTGTTTTTGTTTGTTTGTTTTTGACAGGGTCTCACTCTGTCACTCAGGCTGGAGTATGGTGGCTCAATCACAGCTTGCTGCAGCCTCGACCTCCTGGCTCAAACAATCCTCCTGTCTCCATCTCCCAAGTAGCTGGGACTACTGATGCACCACCAAACTTGGCTAATTTTTTTTAAAAAACTTTTTGTAGAGATGGGGTCTCACTCTGTTGCCTAGGCTGATTTTCAACTACTGGCCTTAAGCTATCCTCCTGCCTTGGCCTCCCAAATTGCTGGAATTACACGCATGAGCCACTGTGCCCGGCCCCATTCAGTTTTCTTTCCTTACCATTCCTGTCCCCATACTGCTCTTTTTAAGGTCACCAGCACCCTCTGTGTAGTGAAATCCAGTTATCACGTATCTGCCAATGTTATACTTGATCTACTAGTGGTGACAGAGGCTGGTGACAACTTCTTGAGATGCCATCTGCTCTTGGCCTCCAGGGTGCTACTCTCACGGCCCTCTTCTACCTCTCTGCTGTCCTTCATCACTCTGGCCGCTATATTCTCTTCTCTCTGAACTTTAAAGGCTGGAAAACCTCATGCCTTGGCCCAAAGCCCTTTCTCTTCTTTGTCTACACTGTCTCCTTAGTTGATCTGTTTTGGTCCCATGTCTTTTAATAACATCAATATATGATTTACCTTCAGCACTGAGACTGTCTTTAGCAGCAGATTATATGACATCTCTGCTTGGATATCTAATGGGCATCTTCAATTTTTGTACATGTAAAGCAAAACATTGAATTTCTCTCACTCAGAAAATTCCCTCCTCCAGCCTTCCCCACCTTGATAAGTGGTACCACCATCCTCCCTGTTTCCACTTCAGATCTAACATTTCCACAAGTTTTACCAGCTATACCTTCCAAATATCTTCCCTTCTCATTATCTCTGTTACAGGAAAGGGGTCCCAATCCAGACCCCAAGAGAGGGTTCTTGGATCTCGCTCAAGAAATAATTCAGGGCGAGTCCGTAGTGAAAAGTGAAAGCAAGTTTATTAAGAAAGTAAAGGAGTGAAAGAATGGCTACTCCATAGAGCAGCCCCGAGGGCTGCTGGTTGCCCATTTTTATGGTTATTTCCTGATGATATGCTAAACAAGGGGTGGATTATTCATGCCTCCCCCTTTTAGACCATATAGGGTAACTTCCTGATGTTGCCATGGCATTTGTAAACTGTCACGGTGCTGGTGAGAGTGTAGCAGTGAGGTCAACCGGAGGTCACTCTTGTTGCCATTTTGGTTTTGGTGGATTTTAGCCAGCTTCTTTACTGCAAGTTGTTTTATCAGCAAGGTCTTTATGACTTGTATTTTGTGCTGACCAGGATCCTGTCTCATCCTGTGACTTAGAATGCCCTAACCATCTGGGAATGCAGCCCAATAGGTTTCAGCCTCATTTTACCCAGCTCCTATTCAAGATGGAGTTGCTCTGGTTCACATGCCTCTGACATCTCCACTGTGACCTCTCTGGGCCAAACCACCAACACCCTTTGCCTGCAGCAAGAGGGCACCTCTGGTCCTGCCTGCCTGGTCTTGCCTCTCTATCTGTTCTCCACACGGCATTGGAAGGGATGCTTTTAAAGTGTAAATTAGACCATCATTCCCCGATTTAAAACCATGAAATCAGACAGAAGCTACTGAAGAAATCACAATCCGCCTGCCCCTCTGCTGCACCTCCGGCAAAGATTTAAAATTCTTGGACAGACTCCCCTGGGTAATGACTCAGAGGAACAGTGAAGCATCCTAATTACCAGCCCAGCTACTTGTCCAAGAGCCTCCTTTGCAAATTCACAGTTTGCCTCCTTATCTTCTGTGAGGAGTCCCTAATTGGTTCTTGTTAGGTAAAAATTAAGTTGCAATTCTGGTTTGTGATGCAGCCTCTGGCAAGTCAAGCATTTTGTTTCATGTTCTACTGAATTCTCTGCAATATGTTATTTTCTACGATTCAACCTACTTCTGAGTATGCAACAAAACAGTATTTCCTACAAAGCAAGAGTTACCTTTAAGGGTTACTCTCAGGTTCTAACAGTCATTATTTGTTGAGCTTAAGGAGTTGAAAAATTTTAGTATGGTTAGAATTGAATCTATAAACTTTAAGCATTTTCCAGTGGTTCCCAAAATATAAACAACTTGCTTATTTTCCTTTTGAGTATGTTATTACCCTGCTCAGAAATATGCTGTGGTATCAAATTTCCTCTCAAAGTCAATTTGCAACACTTAAACTCATACTTCTAACATTCTCTAATGCCTTCTCCCCTACATAATTGTGTATTTCCCATAACACTCTGTCTCGGAGACAGCTACGATCCAGCCAGCACATTCATGCGCCATCTCTCACCGTGCAGTAGACTGCTGCCTTCTCCACCCCAGAATACCAGGCCTCCAGCCAGACTGATCACCCTCTTTGTATTTTAAACATAAAACTCATTCCAACTTTCAAATCTATGTTTCAAAAAGTGCCTTCCCTGGATGATCTCTCCTCTCAGGACTCTTCTGATTGCTCCAGCAACCATTTTAGCAGGTATACCTGCAAAAATGCTTTGTCTCTGTGTCTCTGTCTGTGTCTCTGTCACACACACACGCACACACACGCACACATGCACACACACACATCTCTAATATCTAAGACAAACACACATGTTCTACTCCAAAGAGTGAATTGTAAGTCAACCAAAACTGGGGTCATGGTGGGGGTGGATATAATGCTTCTATTTCCAAGATCATAGAATTATTGATGTGGAAATAATTACGAAGTCATCATTCTATGCTGTTTAACTCATCATGATAACAGAAGAAGGAGCAACATAAATACCAACCAGAGCTTTTCCAATAATTTAGACTCTCAATCTGCAACCACAGGGCCCTATGAGATGTGCTATTAATGCCTCCCTCTGTCCGAGGAGGAAGCTGAGATTCAGAGAACTGGTGGAGCGGCTGTTACAGGTCACTCAGCAAGTAGTCCAGGTTTGCTGATCCTCCCCATCCATGCTCTTCCTTACCCTCGATGGATGGCTCTTTTTCTTTTTTTTTTTTTTGAGATTGCGTCTCGCACTGCTGCCCAGGCTGGAGTACAGTGGCACGATCTCGGCTAACTGCAACCTCCACCTCCCAGGTTCATGCGATTCTCCTGCCTCAGCCTCCTGAGTAGCTGGGATTACAGGCACACACCACCACACCCAGCTACTTTTTTGTATTTTTAGTAGAGATGAAGTTTCACTATGTTGGCCAGACTGGTCTCGAACTCCTGACCTGGTGATCTACCTGCCTTGGCCTCCCAAAGTGCTGGGATTACAGGCATGAGCCACCGCACCTGGCGATGGATGGCTCAATTTTAAAAACATGTAGTTGCAATTCTAACCATCAAAATCATGGAAAACATTTCACAATCAGAGAAGGCTAAGAGGCTAAACACCAACATCCTCAAAAAATGGTGAAAATAACTAATAATAAAAGCCATAAGGAAGTAAAGCTCTTTCTAGCGATGCCATAGACTAAAATTTCCTTCCTTCATTCCACAAACTTTGAGTTCCTACTTCGCACCAGGCTTTGGGTTAAGCCCAGGGGATAGAAAGACGAGAAAGAGTCAGTCTCTATGATGGAGGAAACGGCACATTACAGTGGGGGCAACATTTGAGCACCTGGCAGTTAACACCGAGTGTGAAACATTCCCCAGGGCGGGCAGGGGAGTAAACACAGACAGGGTGCCGACAGCCAAGCTGCATGTCCAAGGGGCCAGAGCAATGTGGGTGGCAGGAAGGGGACATTTCAGGTGGGAGGTGCGGCCTGTCCAAAGGCCGATGGAAGGGAGCTGGAGCCAGGCACGCAGTGCAGCGGCACAGGCTGCAGGGCGTGTGGCCGCCCCCATGTACGCTCAGGCGCCATACCTGGATGCACCATGCCTCTTAGGTGCCACCTTGTCGTTATGACAATTTTTAACATTATTATTATCATTTTGTTAACCCCAAAGATGGCATTTTAAAATATTTATAACAGTTTTCTGGCAGATAGCAGTAAAAGGTGTTGTTTTAACAAAAAATTAATGTATTATGACAACTTTCTGATGATAGAAATAAAGCATATTATTCTACAAGGACTGATATACAATATATACATATAGAGAGAGAGAGAAAAGTTCTGCTTCAAGTCACAAAACATAACTTTGGCAAATCAAAAGATTTGATCAGCAAAATATTTTAATGATAATCAAAATGTTTTATTGATATAATAAGATCTAAAATAGCCCAGGTTTCTAAACAAGAGCTGCAATTCTAGCTGATGTACTGATCAGCAAACATTTTAAAACATAAAAAGGAACCCCCGGCCGGGCACTGTAGCTCACGCCTGTAATCCCAGCACTTTGGGAGGCTGAGGCAGGCGGATCACCTGAGGTCAGGAGCTCGAGACCAGCCTGGCCAACATATAGTGAAACCCCATCTCCACTAAAAAATACAAAAATTAGCTGG
This sequence comes from Homo sapiens, assembly GCF_000001405.40. Lineage (NCBI taxonomy): Eukaryota > Metazoa > Chordata > Mammalia > Primates > Hominidae > Homo > Homo sapiens. The sequence continues at coordinate 74,192,470 of NC_000018.10, forward strand.
GCATGGTGGCACACACCTGTAATCCCAGCTACTTCGGAAGCTGAAGCAGGAGAATCGCTTGAACCTGGGAGGCAGAGGTTGCAGCGAGCCAAGATCGTGCCACTGCACTCCAGCCTGGGCAACAGAGCAAGACTCTGTCTCTCAAAAATAAAAATAAATAACTAAAAAGGAACTCCTATTGCTATTAGATCACTTGATAAAGTTAATGTTTGCCATTGTATTCCTTATGGGTATTTACCAGAATGGTATTGCTGAGATGACAATTTAAGCCTTCTATTTCTTTCACTGTGACATTTATTATTACTGTGCAATAATATATTTGTTTGCCATGATAACCCACAATGTAAGAATTGCATATAAATAAGTTTGATATATTACATAATAATGCATAAATGTAGCAATTGTTTATAGTTATATAATTTTCATCAGAATGATAGACGTTGCTAAAATTTAGATGCTTCTTGCCTATTTTTATGTCACTATTTCTAAGACAAAATACTTCTTAGATGTCAGAAAATAAAACTTAGAATCAGCAAATTAAAAAAACTGAAATCTATGAGAGAAGAAAATGAGGGAAAAATGTATTATTGAACAAATTCTTGGAGGTAAATAAAATGTCAGAAAAAGGGAACAGACTTAAAGCTCCTACGTTTCCGTGGAATGTCGCAGTCACCACACCAGGGACACACAGTGTTGAGTTTACTACCATCTACCTCCTTGTCAGCTGCAATTTCACAAGTTGCATGAAATACTGGAAAAGGTGCTATTATCATAGACTTCAAAGCATACAGACTACTATTATTTTGACTTTTAACAGGCACATAAAATAAATCGAAGGCTTTATTTTCTTTAGCTTTTTACAAGAAAAAACCATTAACACATGGGGATAGCAAAAGCAAAGCAACAGCTGTTCATTCAATGCATATTCTATATTCACATCAGGCATAGTATTCTATGCCAAATTAGTATGTAATAAATATGAAAAAAGCAGAGGGTAGTATTTTAAAAGCTGTTTTTCAGCAACATCAAATCTCCTACTGCCTTGGCCGGCATGTAAAGAATATAGGAGAATCTAGGACAAGGATTCTCCAACTGAGCACAGCAAACAGCATTAGTGCGCAGAGGTTACTCCAAGAGGCACAGAGACAAGGAAGGTCACACTCACTACTGTCCCCTCCACCAACCCCCCTCCATCACCCCCCTCCATCATCCCCCCTCCACCACCCCTCTTCCATCACCCCCACTCTGCCACCCCCCCCACCACCCCCACCCTCCCTCCATCACCCCCACTCATCCATCCCCCTCCACCATCCCCCCCTCCACGTGGATGGCTTCCATCAGCAGTTTCTCTCCTTCTTCAGGAGGCATTCCATGCAAAGGCAAGCACGAAGGCTTCCTTTCTCCTTCTTGACTGTACCCGCTCCTTGCCCCTTGCTTTTAACTTTGGATTGTTATTGGAGATTGCTCCATGGAAGCCATCCCATTCCCGTCACCAGCTGCCTCATGGTGCTTTGTCTGAACACATATCCTGTCCCTATCAGAGGTCTTTGCCAGCCTTCTGCTGTTCGAACGAAGTTGGATTGGTTGTTTCAGCTTTGATTTCTCTGCAAACGGCGAGGCTGCCCACTGTGCCAAGGCTCTGTTCCCAATGCCACCTACCAGCAGCTGCTTCCTCCAGGCCCTGGCCCTCTTGCTCCACTGGCTACTACCTAATCCTTAGTGTGGCCTGAGGAGTCCTGGAGAGGAGGAGGCAGCACCACTGTCCTCTGTTCTGCCACCTTAGCACTGAAAATCCCGGGGGGAGTTTAAAGATAACATGTCCTCCCCTGCCTCTTCATCATAGTTGAAAACCTCTCACCTAAAGTCAGAATCATTTTGAGGAAAAAAAGAAATATTATAGTAAGAAGAAATAATAATGTTCTTCACATTCCTTAATGAATTTTTTCATTGTAGATGGGCAAAGACTTGGAAAATCTCTTCTTTCAAAAAGATTTGGAAGTGGCATAGAAATATTAACATCTGAGGAGTGGCTGGGACTGCTAAGGGAGATGGTAGAATGAGAAGAGGAGAAGATCAGAAAGGAAAGGAATCAAGGTGTCCACAGGGCTGAGAAACTCACTACAGGCTCTTGGGAAGGATCTGTTTCCTTGCTCATTTGGGTTACAGGCAAATTCAGTTCCTCAAGATTGTAGGACTGAGGTCACTGCTTTCTCACTGGTTGTCATCTGGGGCCATTCCCAACTTCTAGAGGCTGCCACACTCCTGGGCTCTTGGTCTCCTTCCTCCATCTTCAAAGCCAACAGCAGTGGGATGAGTCTTTCACACTGAGAATCCCTCCTCCTCCTTTCATCTCATCTGCCTGACCCAGCCAGGAACGACTATGTGCTTCTAAGGATTCACAATGATGATGAGATAAGGTATGAACTTTGCCAAGAATCAGGTTCTTGAGTAAGCAACAGCAGCATCTGTTTCAAAATCCAGCTCCCCCAGCTACAGAGGCTGGGCTCTGACCCACACAGAAGCACTGCTCTCTCTCTCTCTCTTTTTCCCCCAACAGGGTCTTGCTCTGTCGCCTGGGTTGGAGTACAGTGGTGCCATCTCGACTCACTGATGCCTTGGCCTCCCAGGCTCAAGCCATCCTCCCACCTCAGCCTCCCAAGTAGCTGGACTACAAGTACGTGCCACCACGCCCAGCTATTTTTTTTTTTTTTTTTTTTTTTTTGTAGAGACGGGGTCTCACTCTGTTGCCCAGACTGGTCTTAAACTCCTGGTATCAAGTAATCCTCCCACTCCGGCTTCCCAAAGTCCTGGGATCACAGATGTGAGCAACAATGCCCGGCCAATGTTGCTCTCTTAACAAGCTCATTTTGGGCAAAGAGGAAACAGTGCCATGCCAGACCACAGTGGAGACTGGGGCAAAGGAAAAACCAGTATCTCTGATCGTGTCTTTACTGCAAGTGTTGACATTTTGTTAATCCTGGATATTCTGCATGGATTTTGATTTTAAAAAATATTTCTTTAAAGTATTATTTATCCAGGCCAGGTGCAGTGGCTCATGCCTGTAATCCCAGCATTTTGGGAGGCCAAAGCAGGTGGATCATTTGAAGTCAGGGGTTCGAGACTAGCCTGGCCAACATGGTGAAATCCTGTCTCTGCTAAGAATACAAAAATTAACCAGGTGGTGGTGTGCGCCTGTCATCCCAGCTACTTGGGAGGCTGAGTCAGGAGAATTGTTTGAGCTCGGGAGACAGGGGTTGCAGTGAGCCAAGATTGCGTCACTGCACTCCAGCCTGGGCAACAGAGCGAGACTCTGTCTCTCTCTCTCTCTCTCTCTCTCTCTCTCTCTCTCTGTATATATATATATATATATATATATATATATATATATATATGTGTGTGTGTGTGTGTGTGTGTGTGTGTGTGTGTGTGTATAATTTATCTTGATGACTGAGTTTTTGTCACTTCCTTTAAATTGGGTGCCCAAAGTGAGTCCTCCTCTTGCCTCCCCGAGTGCCAGAGCCCTGAGAGAAAATAAACCATTGCTGAGGAATCCAGGTATACAACTTTCCCAAATCCAGATTTATATGCTGCTTAGAATAGCAAAATCATTCCACCATACCAAAAATGGGCAATGGAACCAAAAACGTTCATAGTATTCTGAAACATACAGAGTTCTACATCTTGTCTTTGCGTCTTCCATTGATCCAAAGGAGAGAGGAGTAATGAAGATAAAGAAGACAGAACTGATTCTATTCCTTCCTGCCATGCGTTTAACTTTTCAGTACACGGCAGCAAACATGCTCAGAATGGTAGATTAATGCGTTTCATCAAAAGAGGGAGCCCTAACCTTCATTTGCTCATACCTGAGGCTTTGGCTCTTTGTTTGTCTTTGTAAATAGAGGAAGAATGTTAAGTATTCCATATGAAAGAACCAGGTATCGTTGAGTTGATTCTACTGTTTGCCTTTTGTCGTTTTGTTCTGTCTCCAAACCAATTCCCTCTGCTGGGTGGGTGAGAAGGCTTCCTGGTTCTCAGCCATCGTAACAGAAATTCAGGGTCTTCAGAGCCTAAATGACGCCTTACCCCTTCATGGCCACTAGAGGGCAACCGACACCACCATAATGAATTGATCCACCCAGGTTTATGATATTAACTAAGTTGATAATTATTTACACTATAAAGGCATTCTTTTGAGACCATTCTTCCTTTAGAATATCCTTTTAAAGGTATTTGTCTCTTTAAGATATATTTTATATAGCATTTATTTACATTTCGATATCCCCTAGTAAGTCCAATTAAATTTTAAAAAATTTGGACACAGCCTCCATGTATTCAACAAATATTTAAATATTACAGTTTGCATTCCATAAGCCTTTGTGCTAGACAATGAGGCCACAAATTTGAAAAAAGACTCAATCCTTGTCCTCAAGAATAGATGAATGGGAAGCACAAATAACTACAAGTACCAGAGCCAACATTTGCACAGGGACAGGCAGCATGGGTAAGGGAGTAATTCACTCTTTGGGGGAGGGAGAGAATTCAGCTAAACTTGTGTTGTATTTTGCACAAAAGGGATATGGCCAGTATGTAAAGTAACATGCATTTAATGGGAAAAGTGAAGCAATTGATATACTCTTAAAGTGTTTATTACTTGAAATGTTGGAAGTTTGAAATCATTCCCACTCTCTCCCAAAGGGAATATTTTGTTCATCACTGGATTTATCAGAGAAAAAAGCAAAAAGAAAGTGAGTACAAAATCCCCAAGACCTAAGTGCATTAGAAATCTCAAAGGGACTATGAAACATTCCCCTGATGTTTTTCCCCCATAAGAAGCTTAATTTGCTAAAACCCTTTCACTCCTGTAATCCCAGCACTCTGGGAGGCCGAGGTAGGCGGATCATGAGGTCAGGAGATCAAGACCATCCTGGCTAACACGGTGAAACCCTGTCTCTACTAAAAAAAAAAAAAAATACAAAAAGTTAGCCAGGAGCAGTGGCGGGCACCTGTAGTCCCAGCTACTCGGGAGGCTGAGACAGGAGAATGGCATTAACCTGGGAGGCAGAGCTTGCACTGAGCCGAGTTCACACCATTGCACTCCAGCCTGGGTGACAGAGGGAGACTCTGTCTAAAAAAAAAGAAAAAACACTTTAAAAGATATATTTTAATTTGAGAAAGAGTTTTTTAAATGTATTTTCTCCAAAAGCCACATTGTATATAGCCTGGTCCCGGAAATGCTCCTCCCCTCCCACTTGGAGAAGCCAGTAGGGCAGGAAGCTCTCCTGGTGCATGCCTGTGGGCCTCCTGTTTCTGTGAAGTGGGGTATGGCTCCTCTGTTTTGCATAACTGGAGAGCTGAAAGGGACATTAAACAAAGGGCAGAACATGAACCCGGAAATCCCTACCAGGCCAACGATCCAGAGGCTGCTCTCTGTGCCACTTCCCCATGCCCTGGGCATGGAGCTCACCGGAGATTAACCCAGCTTCCCTGAGCCCAGGGGAACCTAGGCTCGGCACCACCACCCCCAGGAGTTTCCCGGGATTGTAAGCCAGTGGCATAAGTCAGCTGGATGCAGAGAATGACCTGTAAACCCTGGGCAACATGCATCCTAGCTTTGCCTGCAGCAGTCAGAGCCAGGGGGCTGAGGAGGCTCGGCCGGGGCGGGGGCAGTGGTTCAGTCCCCCTGGTCCCTGCCCAGGGTTGAGGCAGAGGGAAAGAGAGCAATCAGGTTGTGGGTGGGGGCAAGCCCATGCTCAGCCACTGGGGCCATGCCAGGTGGGGACGTCCAGCTCCCGGACACAGTGCGCTGGGACAATGCCAGAGCCTGCAGGTCAGGCCATGGTGGGGCCTGGCTCCACTGCTCAGGCTTCAGGCAGAAGGGCACGAGGTTGGAACAGGAGCTGTTGATGGGACTCAGAGCTAGAAGAGGATGAGCAGGAAGAGAGGGCAAACAGAGAATGAGGGTATCCCCAAAGGAGGGTCCACTTGGATGACATGGCCAGCTCCAAGAGCCACCTCCAGGTCCTGGTCCTTACATCCAAATCCTAAGTCCTAGGGAGCAGCATGTCCATGCAGATGGGCTGTGCCCTGTGCCCCTCAGTGCTCAGACAACAGAGGTGGCACAGACGCACTGCACCCAGCACAGCTGTGGTGCCCTGAGGCCTCAGGTGTCCGGATGTTGCTCAGGTGCCCTGGTGGCTCAGGGGAGAGCAGACTCAGTCACAGTGGCTGGGCATGGCAGGAAGTGGCTCCTGGGTGTACAACATGGGAGGCCAGCATCATCTGGCCAACAGATCCTGCCAAGATGGGACAGGGTCGGAAATGGAAGACAATAGGGCTTCCATGAAGTACTCAGACTGCCTATGAGATGGCAATAGGCCCCAGGACTTAGCAGCGCTCTGACAGGGAGCTGGAGGTGGGGATAGGATGGACCTGAGGTCCGGGTGCTGGAGGTGGGGACAGGATGGACCTGAGGTCCGGGTGAGGGAGCTGGAGGTGGGGACAGGATGGGCCTGAGGTCTGGGTAAGGGAGCTGGAGGTGGGGACAGGATGGACCTGAGGTCCGGGTGAACTGCTGGAGGGAGGCTTCTCAGGCCACAGTGCAAAGGAGGAAGAAAACGCTTTCAAAGCCCAGGTCAGGGGTGGGGAGGTTACGAGTGATGGCCAGCGGGTTAACAAGCCATGCCAGAAACTACTGGAAAACCCAAGACTGTAGACACTTTCTAAAAGTTCATTTGAAATTATTATACCTTGGGTGATAAGGATAAGAAAAATTGGGAAGTTTGCTACATCAGCAGCCTAGTGGAGGTGAAGAGCTTGAAGCTTGGAGTCCTTATTAACTATGAGACTTTAAATAAGTAACTGAATCTCTTTGTAGCTGTTTTCTCATCTGTGAAACAAGGACACGGACACGTACACTCCTTTCCTCAAAATCCTTTTTCAAGGATAAAAACGAGTTACTGGATACACAGCACTCATAATGGTACCTGGCATATAGCTCAGAGAGTGTTAGCAACTGTTATTATCATCATCTTCTCCCTGGGAAAGAGGAAAACGTCATGCCCGTGATATGTTGGGGGCAATTAATAAATTGGGCCAGGTGCGGTGGCTCACACCTGTAACCCCAGAACTTTGGGAGGCCCAGGAGGGAGGACTGCTTGAGGCCAGGGGTTCAAGACCAGCCTGGGCAACATAGCAAGACCCTATCTCTACAAAAAAATTAAAAATTAGCAACCCTATCTCTACAAAAAAAACTAAAAATTAGCTGGGCCTGGTGTCACAGGCACCTGTAGTCCCAGCTACTCTGGAGGCTGAGACAGGAGGATGGCTTGAGCCCAGGAGTTGAGACTGCAGTGAGCTATGATGGTGCCACTGCACTCCAGCCTCGGTGACAGGGTGAGACCCCATCTCTTGAAAAAAAAAGCGGGGACTTTGCAACAAAGTCATTTGAAAAAAAATAAAACATGTTTCTGTAAAATCATCTTGTCTCCCAACAATCAAGTCTCAGGTTGTGTCCATGGGGTTATGGCTCTCTCACTTCCCAGCCAGACTATGAAGGAGCGAAGCCCCGTCCTTGGGAAGAGGAGACGTGAGCCAGGCAGGATGGGCCCAAGGAGGGAGTCCCTTAGAAACTGTCCAGATGAAGGCTAACGAGGTGCAGCTCCACCCAGCCTCCTCGGGCTCTCCTTCCCACAGGAGCCTCTCATCCTGCGATGGCCACATTCTACCCTGGGTGGTGTGGGGCACTGGTGCTTGTGTGTTCTCCGTTGTGGGCGGGGGGCTGGGAGTGTGGGGCATGGACAGAAGGCACGATTTCTTCATTCACTAAACTCCAATGGATCAGCTTCCTTATTTTCTTCTTATGTGCCTGGTGTGAAGAGTGCTTGATTTAGCCAAAATCCATGGGAAAAAAATAAAAATTAAATGTTTTTCAGTTCATGGGAGAGGAAAACTGTGATGCAGTGTGTGTAAGTTGCTCAGATGACTACCACAAAGAACAGAAAAGGAGGTGGGAAGCCAATCACAAAACCTCGGCTTCCTTAGTTATTTGGGATAAAAATAATTTTGCTGCCAGCTTTCCCGGGAGGGCACCTGAGAAGGACGACTCCGCGGACCCGTTTGACTAAGACATTTCTAACATAAGTCACATAGGGGCCCTTCTTCATGCTCCTCTCCTACTTTGCCAAACATCGCACACAGGAAAATAAAAGACTCTTAGATTTCACAATCTCCTTTTCTTCTTTTATTTCCTCAAACAGCTTCTCTTTCTGTTCAAAGGACATAAAATCTCCCTGTGTGTCCACTGGAATATCTGGGCAGGAGACAGAGCGGCAACGCCACGACTTGTGTCCTGTTTGTTCTGCTTCTGAACGCACACGGGGTCTGAAGCGCCCCTTCTCCTTTTGTGGCCCTGGCTGGACTGTGGTTTGCAGAGTCCGTCTTTCCCCTCAGCCCCCGTGGGAAGCGCCCAGGGCCACGTGGGGAGAGCTGCACTCCCCAGCCAGGATTCCCACTCGGGCATTGCTCTCATGGAGGGAGGATGCATTGGCGCTTCCATTCCAACACTGCGGGTGCTGCCCTAAGCCGCCTGGGAGGGACTTTGACTCACGCTCTGCACGACTAAAGGTGAATGACAGTGGTGCAGGAGGGGTCATGCCAGTGGCCCCAGGTGGGCTGCATAGCCCTGAAGAAGGGACACAGGCTCCGACTCTAACAGAATCGGCTGTGAACCCTGACTCTGCCCTCTTAAAAATGAAGGGCAGTAGAATAGGCCGCCCCAACACATGCCGCTTTGGCGTAAGGATTATTCTGAGCTCAGGGCACTTGAAAACCAGCAGGTGCAAGAAGGAGACCCTGACTTTCCTTTTTCTTCCTGTAAGCAAGAGATGAAACCCTGTGTGAAAGATGCCCCCCCTCCACCAGGAGAAAGGAAGAGATCCTTGTCATCAGAGTCAAAGCCCAGGGTGCTCTACAAACAAACCTTGTGAAGCCAACACTTACCTTCCTGGTCATTTGCCCCCAACTGACTGCCCTACCCAAGCCCCTTTGTCTTGTCATGTTTCCACAATTTATGACACTTTGTTCAACCTAGTGCATAAGTTCGTGGCCCCAACTCCTTCTTTGGGTCTTCGTTTTTCTTGTGAGGGCTCCCATGTCTATACAAAAATTACTTAATAAAATCTGCCTACTTTTCTCCTCTGAAGCTGTCTCTGTCAGTGGATTCACTGGGCTCATCTAGCAACTCTAAAAGGGCTGAGGAGAAATTTTGCATCCCCAACACAAACTAAAACCTGAAAGATGACTTAGCTGCTCTAAATATTGACCTGGTCATCTATAAAATCAAGGTAAGTGTTGGAAGTTTGCTGCATCCCCCCAAAAAGATATGTAAATGTGACCTTATGTGGAAATACAATCATTGCAGATATCATTAATGTGTGAATGAAGATAGATCATACTGGATTTGGATGGGCCCTAAGTCCAGTGCCGGGTGTTCTTATGGGAAGAGGTGGGACACAGAGAGATACACATGCAGAGGCCAGGCGAGGACAGAGGCAGCGATTGGAGTAATGTACCCACATATCAAGGAACAGAGAGGATTGCCAACAACCACCTCTCCAGAGGCTGGAGGAAGCAGGATGGACCCTCCCCTAGAGTCTTCAGAGGGAGAATGGCCCTGAGGACACCTTGATTTTGGACTTCTGGCCTCCAGAGCTGTGGGAGAGTAAATTTCTGTTACTACACCACCTAGTCTATGGTACTTGGTTACAGCATCTCTGGGCAACTAATACAGTGGGCTGGCTGTGAGGATTAAATGAGATTACGTAAGTAAATGCTTGTTCAGTGTTATATATCATCCCCTTTTTTTTTTTCTCTTCCCTAGGAACTAGAAATAGAAATAAACCCAAGAAGGGCTTTGATAATGCTGCTGTCACCTGAGAACTTAAAGGTGAGTCCTGCTGTGCTTTGATCAATCTAACCAAAACGCACAACCAGATTATGCATTCAGAGGCTCAGAGATTTGGAGCTGAGGGGTTTGACCCCACAGATATGAGGGGTATCTGCATGAAGCCTTACAGGAAAGGGTCTCAGTCTGAGCTGGTGACTGGATGCCTCAATGGGCCCCAACCCTGGGCAGGGGGTCCTTGGGACATGGGAGGAGCAGAAGCTGCCAAGTGAATTGTTTTGCTCTGTGATGGCAGAAGGACCTCAGGCCAGTCAGAGCCCAGGACCCCAGTGATTGGTAAGATGAGGGACACAGGTGATCTCCAAGTCCTCTCCATCCTCTCACTTCAGTAGCGCAATGAGTCCAAAATGTGGGGATCCAGGAATCCCAAGAGACCAGCCCCTGAGGCAGTGATACCATATGAGTTGTGCTATTCCAAAAGGACATCTCAAATCCATATTTATGCTTGATGCCCAATCCTACTCAATCCTCTATACTTGTGAGAGTAGCTCAGTTGCTGGAAATCATTTTTTCAGTTTCGTTGAAGATTAGTTGGCCTCGAGGCTCTGGTCTAGTAGAAGAGAAGTCCAGCGTTTGAATCAGATCATGGAAGATGGCTCTAGAGGAAGCTGATGTGCACATGTGTGGAGCCTGGGGGTCACCAGCCCAGTCACAGCCACGGCCCACGAGGGTCACCAGCCCAGTCACAGCACGGCCCACAGAGTACGGTCTTCCCATGGCCACAGAAGGAAGGGCTGGCCTCCCTGGCCATGATGGTGCTCTCAGTGCCCACGTGACGGGGATGGCACCATGTTCTTCCCCAGGGCTGCCATAACAAGGAACCACACCCAGGAAGACTTAGATACAGCTGTGGAAGCTGGAATTCCGAGATGAAGGTGCCCAGGGGCTGGTTCCTTCCGAGGGCACGGAGAGAGAAGCTGTTCTTGGCCTCTCTCCCTGCTTCTGGCAGCTGCTGGCAACCTTTGGTGCTCGTTGGTGTGCAGAAGCATCACCTCGACTTCTGCCTCCATCTTCACAGGGCCTTCTCCCTGCATGCATGTCTGTCTCCGCATCCACATTTCCCCTTTTGAAAAGGACACAGTCATACTGGCTTAGGGCCCACCCTAATGACCACATTGGAATTTGATTGCCTCTATAAAGACCCTATCTCCAAATAAGGTCACATTCTGAGGTACTGGGGGTTAGGACTTCAACATATGAAATTTTAAGGGACACATTTCAACCCATAATTGGTGGGTGCCCTTGCCCCGGGACTCCAGCTTCAGGGGAGCTGGGGGAAGGCCTTAAAGGCTGTAACACACAGTAGCCACATGGACAGGTTTCTGTGGCTTGCCTTCCAGAACCCAAGGCTATGCGGCTGTCAGACTTTTTTAGCATCTAGTGTCAGAAACACAACTCAAGCAAGTTTAGGCATAAAGGAAATTTAACAACCTCTGGAATCAAAAAAAAAAAAAAAATGGGTGGGGATTGTTCAGCCAGATATAAGAAGGCCAGAGATGCAGCTGCCTTCAAGGATAGCTGGGTCAGGCCTTGACCCCACGAGGATCTCCTCTCTGCACGTCAGCTCCCTCCACGCGGTGCAGCTGGCTTCCTTGGTGGGCCAGGAACAAGGCTGCACAGTGGCCTCACAGCCTGCGTGTCAGGGATGGGCTCCTCTTTGGCTCTGCTTCAGAAAGTCCCAGGAGAGGCCATCCCGGACCTGCCAGCTATGGGCTGGGAGGTGGGATGCAGGGGAAGCCCAGCAGTCTCACCAAGGCCACGTGCATAGAATCAGGAGTGGCAGGGGAGTGAGGACAGTCCCAAAACAAGTGGCACAAAAGGAACATATCGTGGGCCCCCAAAATCACTGAGCTAAAGGGAAAATTCCAGCTGGGAGCTGCTCAGGGCAAATCTGCCTCTCATTCTATTCAGTCATCCCTCTGCTCACTGAGATAGATGCATACTCTGATTGCCTCCTTCGGAAGGCTTATCAGAAATTCAAAAGAATGCAACTGTTTGTGACCTGGAAGCCCCCTCCCTACTTTGAGTTGTCCCTGCCTTTCTGGACAGAACCAATGTACTGCTCACATATATTGATTGATATCTCATGTCTCCCTAAAATGTGTAAAACCAAGCTATGCCCGACCACCTTCAGCACAGGTCATCAGGACCTCCTGAGGCTGTCACAGGTGTGTCCTCAACCTTGGCAAAATGAACTTTCTAAATTAACTGAGGCCTGTCTCAAATGTTGGGGGTTCACAGTGGCAAGTTGTTTGGGTGAGGGTGGGAGAAGAAGGGGGATGGGCGAGGGTGGGAGAAGGAGGGGGATGGGTGAGGGTGGGAGAAGGAGGGGGATGGGTGAGGGTGGGAGAAGGAGGGGGATGGGTGAGGGTGGGAGAAGAAGGGGGATGGGTGAGTGTGGGAGAAGGAGGGGGATGGGTGAGTGTGGGAGAAGGAGGGGGATGGGTGAGGGGGCGAGAAGAAGGGGGAAAGTTACAATGTAAGTAGACATCCATGACACTGAAGTCTGGGTAGCTTGAGTTATTTCCCCAAGGCCTGGCCAGCCCCAAGAAGCCAATGAGTGACATCACGGGTCTTAAATTGTAGGTCTCTGGATAATGGGTAAAATTGTAGTCTCTGGATAATGATAAAACTGCCGGGAACAACCCCACACCACCAAATCTGTCTTGAAACACCTTTGAGCCTTGCCTGTCATGTTATTAGCAAAATATGATCATGGTCTCCCAATTTCAGCACCAAAACTATGAGAAGCTCACATTTCCTCAGTATCCAAATGACAAGTAAGTGAGCTGATTTAAGTAGCTTATTTCTTAAGAGTGTTTCCTTGGGTCAGAACATGCATAACTTTGTTTTCTGTACCTTTTTCATCAAGAATACTCAATACTGAGACCAGCTATGCAGGAACATCTTTCCTTCCACAGGTAGTAAAGGCCTGCCCAGGTGTTTCAGGTGTTAGGAAGAGTGTGGACAATTCAGGGATGAGGAAGCCTTCATCCTTCTCAAGGAGCCTTCGTAACTGTCAGTGGGCAAGTTACTGAGCCTTTCGGAACCTCAGTTTCTTCATCAGAATAACTGAGATCATGAACACCTGCTTTCCCAGATGCAATCAGGAGACGCAGCCTAGTTAATACCTGCCGTTCTATAAAACATCCAACGCTGGTTTTGTCTGTGAAAGAAAAATATATCTCGGGGCCCCCACATCACTAAGCTAAAGGGAAGTCAAGCTGGGAACTCCTTAGGGCCAACGTGCCTCCCATTCTGTTCAAGGTCACCCCTCTGCTCACTGAGATAAATGCATATCTGATTGCTTCCTTTGGAGAGGCTCATCAGAAACTCAAAAGAGTGCAACCATTGGGTCTCTTATCTACCTCTGACCTGGAAACCCCCTCCCCGCTTCGAATCTTCCACCTTTGCCTCCAGCTGTCTCACCTTTCCAGACCGAACCACTGTTCATCTTTCATGTGGTTGATTGATGTCTCATGTCTCCCTAGAATGCATAAAACCAAACTGTGATCTGACCACCTTGGGCACATGTCCTCAGGGCCTCCTGGGGCTGTCACAGGTGCACATCCTCAACCTTGGCAAAGTAAACTTTCTAAATTCACTGGGACCTGTCTCAGATTTCAGGGATTCACATGTCTTATATCTTTTTAATATTAAACATGCATTGCCCTAATTTATTTTCATTTTGGAAACCCAACTAAAGCAAATATTATTTACCTTCAGTTTCTCACAATATTTAATTTATAACAACAATAATAATAATACCTAACATTTGAATGGTGCTTGATAGTTTAGGACACTTTAAGCTTTCTAATAAAGCTAGTTAATAGTTCACCAAAAATGTCATGCCCCAGCTATTCTGATAACTAGAGGCTTATTATAATAATAGCATGACAAGAAAATTAAGTCCTTGGAAATGACATTAAAGAAAGGGAAGTTTTAGAGTAATATTGAAAATATTTTCAAGTTTGTAGGTGAATAACGTCATTTACCAACAAGGAAATCTATATGAAGTGCAATGGGTAGACTTTGATTTTATTGATATATTTTTACTTTTTAGTCAAAACTTCATAAGAAGTAATCAGTCATATACTTCAGGTGTTTTGTTTTGTTTTGTTTTGAGATGGAGTCTCGCTCTGTCGCCAGACTGGAGGGCAGTGGCACGATCTCTCAGCTCATTGCAACCTCCGCCTCCCAGGTTCAAGCGATTCTCCTGCCTCAGCCTCCCGAGTAGCTGGGACTACAGGCGCGTGCCACCACACCCAGCTAATTTTTATATTTTTAGTAGAGATGGGGTTTCACCGTGTTGTCTAGGAGGGTCTTGATCTCCTGACCTCGTGATCCACCCACCGCAGCCGCCCAAAGTGCTGGGATTACAGGCGTGAACCTCTGCACCCGGCCCATACTTCAGGTTTTAAGAGCACTTTTGAGCTTCCTGGAGACTCAAAGCTGCCACTCTTAACTGGCCTTGAAGTGAGCAATTCACTTGCTGTCAGAGCAATGAGACTGGTGGGAACTTCATCCTTCACTGGCTGAGCACCCAGGAAAACTTATAGAAAATTCCACCTTCCAGGGAGATAGCAGCAGCGGTGGGTGGGGCAGGAGTAAGAGGCACTGGGAAGGGGAGTTTCATGCAAAGTTTACACAAGGACAAGATCAACAGGAATGGAGTCGTGAGACATTAAGTTTAGGGTTTTCTTCCCCCAAAGAGCAAATGTTTTTAGATCTTCATGAGTGTTGTCAACTTTAAAATGAATTAGTATGGAAGAATGAGAAACAGCATTTTGCCAGAAAAACTATACTATGTGTGTGATCTGGGAGTATTATGTCTAAGCCCAGGAGGTACAAACAATAAACAATCAAAGGAGGATGGCTGCGACATTCTACTGGTAGAAATTAGAGCGCCCAGAAAAGACAAGGCCAGCAGTATTTGCTGCAATAAACCATGAGTGAACAGTGAAACTTATGCCTGCCTAAAACAAACTCAGGGCTGGAAGCAAAAGCCGCTGAAGAAAGTGAATACTCACACTCAATAATAAAAACATTGTTTTATAATATTTTACTAAGTCTCTTGTAAGCAATAATCAGTAAAGTGATATAATTTCAATCTGCTGCATGCACTAAGAATTAATTAGGCCAGACGCAGTGGCTCATACCTGTAATCCCAGCACTTTGGGAGGCGAAGGCAGGTGCATCACCTGAGGTCGGGTGTTCAAGACCAGCCTGGCCAACATAGCGAAACCCCATCTCTACTAAAAAAATACAAAAATTATCCAGACATGTTGGCAGAAGCCTGTAATCCTAGCTACTCAGGAGGCTAAGGCATGAGAATTGCTTGAACCTGGAAGGCAGAGGTTGCAGTGAGAGGAGATCATGTCACTGCACTCCAGTACTCCAGCCTGGGCAACAAAGCGAAACTCCATCTCAAAAAGAAAAAAAAAAAAAAAAAAAGAGAATTAATTAAATATCGTCATAGGAGAAGCATGAGCCAAAATATCAGAATAATTGCAAAATGTTTAATTTGAGCTAGTGCCTGCTGTATAATTCCTATTACTTTTGAAAATGGAATTATATATCAAAATAACCAGACATACCTCTAACTGTGGGAAATAATGTATTTTTACATTATTTTAGACTGACTATTTTTACACTATTTTTAGATTTGCATATCCAATAATGGTCTTATTATTTCGGTCTTAGCCAGTATTTCAGATTTAGATATTTTCCACTCTCCAAATGGGGCATGTATTGCCATGTGAACTATATCTTAATAAAGCTGTTAAAAGAACAGAGCATGTACAATCCCAGATAAAACATATATATCTTCAGGGAGTGGACCCTAGACTATGGTTCATTATTTAGGTTTTGCCAGTCTAATATGTTAACATCCTGGCACAGAATATGTACCCAGATAAACTTTACCTTACTACCAAAAACCTGCTGATAGCTAACACTTACTGAACATGTACTAAGTGCCATGAAAAGCTCCAAACACTTCACATGAACTAACCGTGTAATTCTCACAATGACCTAGGAAGTAGATATCACCACTTTCTCCCTTCTAAAAAAGAAGCCAGGACACAGGATTTTTATAAATTGTCACAAGTCACGCAGTTGGTGAGGAGCAAAGCCAGGATCTGCGCTAGGCAGTGTGGCTCCAAGTGTGGCCAGTGAAATTAGCAGAGCTCTCTGATGTGAAGGTCTACAGCAGGACAGCCCTGAGGACCGGGTGCCAAGTGTCTGTGCTTTCTTTGGCACCCAAATCTGAGCCCTCCTGGAGGCCTCCCGGTGGACCGCTGGCCACATCCCTGTAACTCTGTGCACCCTTTCAAAGCTCAGCATAGAGACATCGTGGAAAGGCACTAAACAAGAAGCCAGAAGAAGGGCCCCGATGGTAAAGTAACTTCGCAATACTGGGGTTGGCCCTCAGGACAGCTTAAGATGAGTCCCAGCACTAACATCTTGAGAACTCCAGGGGACTGACTTCATGCCAGGGTTGACACAGGTCTCAGTCACCTCTAGAGGCTAAATTTGGACCAGGGACCCCAGAGCCAACATCAAGCACTGCCTGTCTCTCAAGTCACCACTTGCCAGATGGGCTCCACGGTGTGGTTGATGCCATTGTTTCCCGTGGGCCGGAAGGCCAGGAGCCTGAGGACAGAAGCAGGGTCTTCCCCGCCCTTTCCTGGACCCTAGAGAGTAAATCCAAAACTCCTCTTCTGCATTCTTGTTCACTGGTGGTTTTCCCTAAAGATTGCAGCACTGCATGTAGTCCTGCTAGGTGACTCTGGGAGGTTATAAACTGAGTACTCTGGGATCTCCATTCCCCCTGTTAGTTATAAGAGGCTAAAGAGGTTACTCTACTGAACCCAAAGGACACACCAATGTTCAGTGGGTAGAGAGATCTCTAACTAGCACTGAGCCTCCCTCAAAACTCTCATGGAAAACTGTGAATCAACAGAAATGCCGCCTCCTTCCCTCCTTCTGCTCTACATATCCTGTTGCTATGCCCAATTATTGCTTTCTCCTTTCTGTTCAAATACCTGCATGCTCAGACGTATTAAGAATTTACCTAATTTCAGCCAGACATGGTGTCTCACACCTGTAGTCCCAGCACTTTGGGAGGCCGAGGCAGGCAGATCACTTGAGGTCAGGAATTCGAGACCAGCCTGGCCAACATGGTGAAACCCCCTCTCTACTAAACATACACAAAATAGCCAGGTCTGGTGGCATATGCCTGTATTTCCAGCTGCTCCAAAGGCCGAGGCAGGAGAATTGCTTGAACCCAGGAGGTGGAGGCTGCAGTAAGCCGAGATTGTGCCACTACACTCCAGCCTGAGTGACAGAGCTAGACTCCATTTCAAAAAAAAAAAAAAAATTTACCTAATGTCAACCTTTGGTAATCAAAATGTGGCGTGACCCCCTCTAAAACCTCTCAGTTGCCATAAAGATAAACAAAGTTTGAAATACTACTTTATGAAACAAGAGCTTTGTATTAGTCCATTCTCACATTGCATAAAGAATTACCTGAGACTGGGTAGTTTATAAAGAAAAGAGTTTTAATTGGCTCACGGTTCTGCAGGCTCTACAAGAAGCATGGCTGGCCAGGCCTGAGGAAATTTACCATCATGGCAGAAGGCAAAGAGGAAGCAGGCATGTCTGACATGGCCAGAGCAGGAGGAAAAGAGAGCAAAGGGGGGGTGCCACACACTTCTAAACAACCAGATCTCCTGAGAACTCACTCTCACGAGAACAGCAAGGGGGAAATCTTCCCCCATGATCCAGTCACCTCCCACCAGGCCCCTCCTCCAACACTAGGGATGACCAGTGAACATGGGATTTAGGTAGGGACACAAATCCAAACCACATCAGGCTTCAAGGGAGCAAGGGGATTGAACTTCCCAAAGCTGAGTTTTGGGACACATGAACTGCTTCT
This sequence comes from Homo sapiens, assembly GCF_000001405.40. Lineage (NCBI taxonomy): Eukaryota > Metazoa > Chordata > Mammalia > Primates > Hominidae > Homo > Homo sapiens. The sequence continues at coordinate 74,210,370 of NC_000018.10, forward strand.
GTAATCTTATCCCTCCCCACAGAAATTATTTCATTGGTGATTCAGAGAGCTGTATTACAAGGCCAGAGCACAAAACCAACTTTCTGGATAGCAGAACTTAGCAAAAAGTATGTCTTCTTTTGGCAAGTTCTACAGACCATATTTAAAATTTATACATAGATATATAATAGGTCAACATAAAAGAAACCCCCTTTTTGTTTCTTGACTTACTCCTGATCTCTTACTTGTAAACTATTAATTTAACAAATCTCTTTTTTCGTATGTAAAAGATGATGTAATTGCAAATACTGGACTTAAAGACACTTTTTGTCCTTAATTGGCCTTTGGGATCTTAACCAAACAATGAGCAAAAAGAAATAAAAAGAGATTAACTTCAAAAGAGTATCCAGATCAGATTCTTATCAGCTATATTGCTTATAGACCTTTTCAGTGAAGAGATAATTTTAAAAAACATAAATAATTTAGGATAAATTTGGCAGGGGGTATATAAAAACTTAAAAGAGAAAAATAATTTGGGATGATTTTTGTTTGATTCAACTAGGAATAAAAGACAGGATGCTCAATTTAACTTGAATGTCAGATAAACAACAAATGATATATTACTTTAAGTATTTCCCACATAGTGCATATTAAACAAATACTATATATGATATAATATCCAAAAAAATATTGTTTATCTGCAATTCAGCTGTAATGGGAAGTGCTGTATTTTAATTTGCTAAATCTGGTAACTGTAGATTGTTGTTATGTTTTGTCATAAAGTGTTCTTGACAGGTAAAAAAAAATTATGTTTGAGAGCCTTGGAAACTGAAAACTGGCATATATCATATTCAGAAAGCACAAATACCTTATTCTGAATTCAAAATGTACTTTTACCAGCAAGTAAGACTATAGAGGCAAGTTAGAGTGGGGCGCTAATCCAACAAATGTTTCCCATCTCAATATGTAGGTGAATTATCACCTAACTGAAATTGGGGAGATAGTTTAATATGGCTACAAAATTAATGACTACATAATTTTCTTTTGTTTTTAACATTTATTTTAAATCTTGAATGCTGGTTTTGAGGACAGCCAGGTTTCCCTTATGAGACAGGGTAAGTGATGTTGAAGGCTTGAGGTTGGAAAATAACTCAACTCAAAGTCAACCACCTCCTTTTTCTTCTGACTGGTTCGGTTCAAGGCGTACATCATTCCCTAGTGAAGGCAGAGTAGCATTGCTTACAGTCATAATAACGTTACTGTCAAAAGAAGCAAGAGGAGTAGCATTTGCCTACAAGGAGCCAGGGGAAAGGGGCTGGAAACAGGACCTGTGTGTTCAAGCAAGGGGAAGACCCCAGGAAGTAAAATTAGCTGAGCTGGGTCTAGAGGGGAGGCAGCAGAAATGACCTGTGTCTCACACTGACCACCAGATGGGGGGGACAGCCCTGGGCAGGTGGTCACCTGGAAGCTGAGGGGGCAAAAATAGTCTTGCCACAAGAATGAAGAATTAGATGAGATTAAATGTTCAAAAGTTAAATTTCAACTCAGGAAGTGATTCCATCTCATAGTCAGATTCAGTTCCTTGTCCTTTGTGACTTTTTCCATAAATATTCATTCAAAGCTAGCTTTTACTGATAAAGAGGGATGTGTCTACAATTTGCCTTCTACATTCCCCTCTACGTGATTGTTTTAAAAACCATGCAGGCCAGGCACGGTGGCTCACGCCTGAAATCCCAGCACTTTGGGAGGCTGAGGCAGACAGATCACTTGAGGTCAGGAGTTCAAGACCAGCCTGGCCAACATGGTGAAACCCCGTCTCAACTAAAAATACAAAATTAGCCAGGCGTGATGGTGGGCTCCTGTAATGCCAGCTACTTGGGAGGCTGAGGTAGGAGAATCGCTTGAACCCAGGAGGCGAAGGTTGCCGTTAGCCGAGATCGTGCCATTGCACTCCAGCCCAGGAAAGAAGAGCAAAACTCCGTCTCAAAAACAAAAAAAAAACAAAAAACGTACAATGTTGTCTAAACTAACACATTTGGAGTTTCCTGGGAAATGAGCCCCGCACAGGTGGCCCCGTGACACAGCCGAGCTGGGAGGGCAGCAGACAGGCCCAGGGTCATCCTGGCGACCCAATCAACTCCTAGGATCCAATTCACTCTCCCACCCACACATAGCTCCCATCGCCACAACATGGCGGGCTGCCCCATGCAAAGGAAGGCGCCCGCTCATCCCCTGATGAGGAAAAGGACTTGCGCACTGCCTTCATCGGGTGCACAGGAGGCTCCTCGTCGTCAAGTAACCAATCAGTTACATTACACAGGCCAGCACCACTCAAATCATCAGAGGAAGGGGCAGGGCAAGGAAAAATGAAAAGAAATCCGAAGGAAAGTGTGCGTAGCTGCTAGTAGTTTGACTTGTAACTGCCAAAGTTAACGCAGTCAGTCCTCACTATTTGAGGATTCCTACTTGCAAATTCACCTACTCGCTAAAATTTATCGCTTGTTTGTTTATTATTTTTTGAGACGGAGTTTTGCTCTTATTGCCCAGGCTGGAGTGCAATGGCACGACCTCGGCTCACTGCAACCTCGCCTCCCGAGTTCAAGCGATTCTCCTGCCTTAGCCTCCCGAGTAGCTGGGATTACAGACGCCTGCCCCCATGCCCGGCTAATTTTTTGTATTTTTAGTAAAGACGTGGTTTCACCATGTTGGCTAGGTTGGTCTCAAACTCCTGACCTCAGGTGATCCACCCGCCTCGGCCTCCCAGAGTGCTGGGATTACAGGTGTGAGCCACCATGCCCAGCCTAAAATTTACCTTTTGAAACCCCCAAATTGGTGCTCACTGTGCTTTCATAGTCATTCGTGGACATGCCAGAATGGTGAAAATGTTGAGTTGTCCAACTCGCCCTTTCCATCTCTACCTTCTTGTTCCAGCTCTCATACTGTAAACAAGTGTTCTTCTTCAGTCTATTTAGCCATTTTTTAAACATTTTTGTGCTTTTTCTTGGTGATTTTGCTCCTTAAAATGGCCCCTAAGCACAGTGCTGAGGCTGTCCTGTATTCCTAAGCACCAGAAGGGCTGTGATGTGCCTTATGGAGAATACACATGTGTTAGAGAAAAGCTTCATTCCAGCCGGAGTTATAGTGCCATTAGCCATGAGTGTTACATGAATGAATGGATAATATATAGAATAAGGTGCCTTCAAGCAGAAACACACATATAACAAGCTTAGCAATAGATGATTGACAAATATGTCATCACACAAGTTCACAGGAACACACCCTGTATTTTCCCTATGAGCAGTGTTCATTATCTGCTAACTCAGCGTTCCCAGTGACTTTATAGAACATAACTGCTATGAGTAATAAAAGTCAGTTGTACTTATCACTTTCTCTTTTTTCCCCCTTTTTCCTTTCCCTCTTGCCTTAGCCAGCATCTGCGGCAGTCAGGGTTCTTTACCTGGTGGGGTGAACTACACCTTCAGACCTGAGCTTTCTGAGCTCTTTGCTATCCTGTATTTATTGGGTTGCTAGACTCGGAAGTACTACAATGCATCTCTGTAATTCCCAGGTCCTGGTCTTACTCCTCTCTCTCCCCACTGGGGAGAAACAATCTGATTTCTTCTTGAAAATGAGATTAATCAACCCAACCACATCAGAACCTCCCCATCTTATCCTGTGAGTTCAGTGGCATGAGGAATTCAAGGCAGTCTGGTGGCAATCTTAACCTCCAATCCACGGAACCATTGTTGTAATGGACACATTCCTCTCTTGAAACAAGAACCGAGACATCTACACCAGCAGCCCTCAAGGCTGTAAAAATAGAAAGCAAAATCTCTTCAGACGAGTTCTTAGGTCCCACCCTATGGTTTCCAGACCCATGCATGTTGGCTGTGGGAGAAGAGACGCCACCAATTATCCATGGTCTAAGACATAGATCCTGCAGGCCAGCATCCCAGCTTCTGGGCATGCTGCCTCCCAGCCAACACAAGCTGCTCCTGTTCTTTCAGGCCACCCGGTGGGGTGTGGTGGGCTATGACGAGCCCAACACTGCACTTCTTTACTCCCTCATGTAGGGTCCCATGACCACGGGTAACTCATGCCTGAAGCCCACAGACACATTTCAGTCAGGGAAGGCACATCCATACCCAGAACAAAGCCTTTCAGCTTGGGACACATAAGCCCTCATGAGATGAGTGTGATGTAATCAATATACCACTGGCTTCTGGCAGCACTGCCCAGCCTCAGGCCACCGGGCCATAGCATCCTATCCTGGGCTCAGTCTCAGCCTAGCTGTAGGCAGATTGGGTCCTCAGCAGTGGTGGTACCAACATTGGCTTGAGAAGGAGGATGTCCATGCTGCTGAGCCTGTAGACAGCTCTATCCCTGCCACCATGAGCCCATTGAATAGACACTGCAGTAGCTGGTAGAAGACACGGTTCTCCATAGAATGGGCCATCTTGTCTACTGGTTATATCCTCTATGGTAGATATTCTTTGGAGCTCACTCACATGAAACACTCTCCTTCTGTGCCCATTCCAGGAGCAGCATCCATATATCTCCTCTTCTGATCACCAAGTCACCCATCTTCTATTTTTTTCTTTTAAACTCCATAAAAACTGCAGAGCCTTGCACTGCCCATGAATCAGGGAAAATCCACACCTCTGAGGATTTCTCCTCCCATGCAAAGTGAACAAGCACATACCCTTCTGCTGGGAGTTCTGCCCACAGAGGATTTTCTTTTACTTTTAACTTTCAGTGACTTCTCTGTATGGGGCTATAATGGCACAGCAGTCCCAGCCGAGCTAAAAATAATGTTGGCCACCATGACACCTGAGGTTTGGTCATCCAACCAAGAAAGGAACTAGAGCCACCTCCAGCTGCTACAGCTAGCCCATTAAATCTTGAGTCTTGAATAAGTGCACCCAAACCAATATACTTTTTGGTCCAATCCAAAGTTATATTTTACCCTATTATGTGTAAGATCCATATAATCTATTTCCTCACATATTCCCCAGGGTTAGAAATTAGCAAACTAGTTTGTTGTAGAAGCTGCCTGCTCGGGAAGCAAAACTTGAAGTTCCTCGCCCTGCCCCATCCTCCTCAGAGAATGATGACACTTGACTCTGGTAATAGGTCTGGAGGCAAAGGTTGCAGTTCCCACAGATGGTGAGAATGGCAACCAGCAGTTGCCATTCTTGAGGGCAACCAGCAGTCTTCACACAAGAAAAGCCTGCTTTCCTCAACCTAACAAATCTAGCAAGATAGGCTCCCAGGAATCAGGGGTGGGAGAGCCAAGATTCTTGGATTTCTTGAGTCTACTCAGATGTCTCTTTCCCAAGTCCCCAGGCCCCACCTCTTCCCCACTAATGCCATGGATTTAATGTATGGATTTAGAAGCGTTGCCATTTCTGAAACCCATAGAGCTAGACACAGCTAGACATTGGACCTGACCTCCAGCCATGCCTGCCTTGTCCCTACATCATATAAGTTATTATTTTGAGGCTGATCTCTGGATATATTTGTGCCTTGAACCAAGATTTCCAGCTCTGAACTTGCTACTGGTTTTCTGAAAAGTCTCCATTACCAACAGATACCCCCCAATCCTTGTAATCATCATCACTTGCACATCATTCCAATTCAGCCTCTATCTAATCTCCCTAAGCCTTGAACCCAACCAACACCTCACCTCCAGCAGCAACAGGTGATGATTTAGTCAATGATAATGCAACTCCATGCCACAGGTGACTAGTGTCCCACCTTCCCTCTGCCAGAACATCATCACTGTGTGCCCAAACAGATGAGCAATCCCGTTCCATGATCTTGTCTTAAAGATCTGATTTTGGCACTAATTCTTGTATGAAGAACTCTATTATTCAGAGTCCAACTTGAAAAGATCATTCCAGTATTTAAAGCAGAGGAAATCTAATGTAAGGAATTAGTTATACCGGTGGCAGAAGTGCAGAGAAACCAAATCAAGGACACCAACAGGGATAAGCAACACAAGAAGGTACTGCCATCCTGGGCTAGAAGGAAAAAGGGGTTCCTGGTCCAGGATGCAGGGCCATCCGGTCAAGGTGGGAACCAGAGCAGGCCTGGCAGATAGAAGCTAGCACCACAGAGAAGATGCAGCCCCTGCCTGAGACCCCACACAAAACAGAGGGAAACTCCTGGCTCCTCCCTTCCCCATCTCTCCAACCTCCTGCCATTGTCTCAATGGCCAAACCAACTGTTCTGAGAGTCTAAAAAATTAAGCCTGCATTGAAGGCTGCAAAGAAGCCCGGGTGATACAGAGCTGAGCAGGGGACAAGTGAGGAATAGATCTGATTGCAGAAAATTCCAAGGACCAGCAGCCCGTAGGGTGGGGTTAGGATAACCAGAGTCAACATGCATAAAGGAAGTTTCACTCAAAAAAATTAGCTATGGCCTGTGTGGATTCTTTTGACTTTGAATGATGGTTGGAATAAACTCTTGTGACTTGTAAATAGAAGTACTGAATGTGAGTCAACAACAGGCAGAAAGAAAACTGTGATGTCGGAAAAATCAAACAAGCAAATATTTATGTCAGATAAGAAGTTCATCAACCCCAATGTGATGATCTGGACAGAGTGGGTCCCTTTAATATACAAAATAGATGGATGTGGACTGGCTGGGTATAAACTTGAAATGGGGGCTGGGAGTCTCACCACCACCCTCACACTCACCATCCCTGAGAACCCTCTGAGTGCCAGCAGGTGTACTGAGAACCACACAAAGGTAAGCACGGATCACAGATTTAACACAACTCTGCAACCTTGTATCATTTTCAAGACACATGTGGCATCCCAAGAGATGTCAAATTCAACCCTCAGTACTGCACGAGGCTAAAATAGTGCAAACCAAAATTATAAAGCTGTAAGGGGTCTTAGAGATAAACTTGCCTATAAATGAGCCGTCTGACTCCAACCCACTATCTAATTTCAGGAGGCAGAGGTCACAAATGTCCCTGATTTCAAGTTACTATTTCTTTCCTTTTTTTAAGGGATATCTGTCAACCTTGGTTCTCTTAAAACTGGCTCTTGTGCAACAAAATGTTGCTTGTTACCGGTTCAATATTTTACTGTTGAATACATCGGGGCCTAAAGAAGTTATGTGACTTGTCCAAGGTCACACAGTAACTTAAAGGCAAAATCGAAATTTAAAACCTGCCCACCAACTTCTAATCAAGCAGCAACCCTTCTGTTTCAGCAAACGGTGGGTGTGGAGAAGCAGAGCTGTGCTGCCACCCGCAACCCTCAGAGTTATGAGGCAACAGCCTGTCGCTTTCCAAAATGTCCCATGAGGTCAGCTCTGCTGAGGGTTGTACCAGTCAAACCTGTGTTGCAAGATGGCTTCAAATATCAATTAAGATTGTAACATGCTGGACTACAAATGAAAAATTCATGTGAGAAGAGATCTGAGTTTGGATAACTCTGGGTCTCGTTCAGAAAGAAAGTATGTTGTGTTTCAAATATGACATTTTAAGTGCATTTACTTCTTTTTTGGATCAGCCTCTGATTCTGGGCTATTCTAGAATTTAGTGCAAACCTCTGCCATAGCACACGGCCCACTTGATTGCCTTTTCTTCATGCAACTGCCTTCCACCTGGCCTTGGTGCTTGCAACTCTGTATCTCTAGTGATTAGCATAGATTTCAACCCATAGTAGTACCTCATCAATATTTACTCGACAAATGAGTATATAAATGAGTAAATGATCAATCATCACACCTTCTAGAGATTGACAGCTCCAAAATTTGTCAATATGATGTGTCATGTGTACATTTTTTCCTGATGTATTCCTTCAACCAGGTGATACATGTAAAGCAGTAACAAATTAGATTAACAGTCCTTAATAAAGATTGCTAGAAAACTAAGAGCCAAGAAATAAATTCATAATTTCAAAAATATCTGCTTGAAGAGTATTTGTAGATAGTTTATCACCATATATATATACTATATATATACTGTATATATAGTATATATATACTATATATACTATATACAGTATATATATACTATATACAGTATATATATACTATATATATACCGTATATAGTATATATATACTATATATACTATATATAATATATATACTATATATACTATATATAATATATATAGTATATATATATAAAAAAACATAATATATATATAGTATATATAATATATACTATATATATACTATATATACTATATATAATATATACTATATATATAATATATATACTATATATAATATATACTATATATATAATATATATAGTATATATATAATATATACTATATATTATATATATACTATATACTATATATATACTATAGTATATATATATACTATATACTATATATATACTATAGTATATATATATAATATATACTATATATATACTATATATATAGTATATATATATAATATATATAGTTTTTTGTTTTTGTTTTTGTTTTTGAGACAGAGTCTCGCTCTGTCGCCCAGGCTGGAGTGCAGTGGTGTGAGCTTGGCTCACTGCAAGCTCCTCCTCCCGGGTTGACGCCATTCTCCTGCCTCAGTCTCCAGAGCAGCTGGGACTACAGGCACCTGCCACCGAGCCTGGCTAATTTTTTGTATTTTTAGTAGAGACGGGGTTTCCCCGTGTTAGTCAGGATGGTCTTGATCTCCTGACCTCGTGATCTGCCTGCCTCGGCCTCCCAAACTGCTGGGATTACAGGCGTGAGCCACCGCGCCCAGCGTTTATCACCATATTATATCCGCCTTATCTGTGGTTTTAGTTAACCGCATTCAATCATGGTCTGAAAATATTAAATGAAAATGTCCAGAAATCAATAATTCACAAGTGTTAAATTGTGCGCCATTCTGAGTAGTGTGATGAAATCTCTCACCATCCCGCTCTGTCCTGCCCGGGATGTGAATCACCCTTTGTCCAGCACATCCGTGCTGTATACACTCCCTGCCCCCATTTGTCATTTTGTAGCTGCCTTGGTTATGAGACTGAAGAAAACATGGTATAGATAGGATTCAGCCAAGGTTTCAAGCATCTGCTGTGGGTCTTGGAACATATACCCTGGTGATAGGGGGGCTACTGTATTAACTCCATATAAAGTGATAATATGAAAATGACTAATTTTAATTCAGAAATCTGTCTTAAGTGTTTTAACATTGCCTTTGATATTCTGTTTTTAATTTATTAAGGCTTCATTGAGCGATTCATTTAGAAAATTATTTTTAAATAGAACAATGAAAAGATGAACTCCAATGAGAGCATTAGCACTAATACCAATTTGATGGAGTCTAAATTAATGAGGTTGCATTGTTGCCAGACAAATACAAGCCTTTCAAACTCAGCACCCCCTGAAAGTAGACCCTGGGACAAGTCTGCAAGTGCAAATCCTTTATTTGGGAGGTGACCCCAGAGTGGGGACGTGAAACAGGGGAGGGAAGAGAGGCAATGAAGCCTGGGACAGTGCCACAGACAGCTGGTGCTCACCCTAGCAGGGGCTCCAGAGAGGGCATGGAGCCCGGGCATTGTCCCTGGTGGAAGGGAGGAAGCCAGGGTATTTACCCACCAACTCTTGCCCTTGTTGACTGAGATCACTCCTGGGGGCATCACCTCCCTGGCCCTCTGCGCCTGCCAGTGATCATTTCATGGCAGAGCCAGAGAGTGCCCTCCCTCAGGGAGAGAGATGCAGGAAGCCAACAGCCCCAAAGGGAATGCCCCAAGGTGATTTCCTGGTAGGGAGAGGACCTGGTTGGGGTACTGAGCCAGGCTTGGGAACACTGGAGCAGCTACACATACTTAGGTACCATCATCCCTTCTAGTTATTTTCTAGAACCCCCATACCACAGAGTTATTCTCCCCTAGAACTTGAAAGGGCCCCAGCTTCCCTGAATGGCTCTGGCCACCCAAGGTGCAGTGAGGTGCATGGTCTCATGATGACAGTGTTTTCTGCTATATTATAATTAATGAAAACCATGCATTCCAGTGATCTATACTTCTTTACTAGAATGCCATTTTGGAAACAAATATGAAAAATCCAAGAGACCAAAAGAACAGGCTCACGCTTCAAACCAAAACAGGAAAAGCTGCTTATTATCTAATATACGTAATATAATGAACTATTCAAATAATGTCAATTGTACTAGAAAAAAATATCCTTTAGGCCTGGTGTGGTGGCTCACACCTATAATCCCAGCACTTTGGGAGGCCGAGGTGGGCAGATCACGAGGTCAGGAGTTTGAGACCAGCCTGACCAACATGGTGGAACCCCATCTCTACTAAAAATTAGCCAGGTGTGGTGGCGTGTGCCTGTAATCCCAGCTACTCAGGAGGCTGAGGCAGAATTGCTTGAACTTGGGAGGCAGAGGTTACAGTGAGCCGAGATCACGCCACTGCACTCCAGCCTGGGCGAGAGAGCAAGACTCCGTCTCAAAAAAAAAAAAAACAAAAAATATCCTTTAGCTCAACCACTGGCTGCCTACCTACTAAGAATTACCAGTTTGCCCCTTTTGGCACTTCAGGGAAATCAAAAAGGAGAAAGAAATGCTGGTGATATGGTTTGGCTGTGTCCCTACCCAAATCTCATCTTGAATTTTACACGTTGTGGAAGGGACCCAGTGGGAGGTAATTGAATCATGGGGGTAGGTCTTTCCCGTGCTGTTCTCATGATAGTGAATAATTCTCACGAGATCTGATGGTTTTAAAAACCCATCGTTTTAAAAAAGTCTCCCTGCACAATCTCTCGTCTCCTGTCTGCCACCACATGAGACATGCCTTTCACCTTCCGCCATGATTGTGAGATGTCTCCAGCCACGTGGAACTGTAAGTTCATTCAACCTTTTTTTAATTCCCGGGTATGTCTTTATCAGCAGCGTGAACATGGACTAATACAGCTGGCCTTCCCTGCTCAGGTGAGAAGGAGAGAAGGAGGGGCCCGAGTGGGGCAGGGAGGGGAAGTAGCCCAATAGCACTGCCTGGGCTCACGTGAGGACCAGTGCCAGTCCCTTTCCATCTTCACACAGGCTGCGGGCAGGGGGTGCTGCCTGAGTTGGGAAGTAAGGCAAGTTTTACTGAGAAAGGGGCCTGTGTACAGCAGCTATTTTCAGGCGCTCAGAGGTATTTTTGTTTTGTGCATTCACAGACATTTTCACAAATGGCCTACAGGAATATTGTGCTTACCTGAACACGTGGGTTTCCTGCTTTACGGACAGCTTTCAGTTTGGTCTGTGCTGTGGTGAACATCCCCATGAGTCCCTGGGCTTCCAGGGCCCCCTTCCTGTCAGCGTCATGCAGTCAGCAAGCTCCCCTTCTTCCCCCATGCTGGGCCTGAGACCCCCAGCTCCTCCCGGGGCTCTCCCCTCTTCCCCACTTGGTGCCCTTTTGGAAATTAGACCAAAAATACACTTTGTAGGCCCCCATCAGGATCAGATGGCTTTAGATCCTGTTCTCCCCACTTGCAACCTTTTCATTTAGGACTTTCATCTAAGACTGGTTGTGAAGACGGGAATTCAGCGCGCCATGCAGGGGACTCACTAGGCCCCAGGTGGGAACCCCATCCCCTCCTCAGGCGTTTTTGCTTCATGCTTATATCCGTGTCATCATCGGGCCTCTTATGCTGGCATTTTGTTTGTGTGTTCTCTCTCGCTTAACAAACTCACTCCTAACAGTTTAAAGAAGTGGCCTCTCAATTTCTAGAGAATCAAAACAGCAGTAAATCTCCTTCTTCTGAAAACGTATTCCAAAACGCTATTTGGTTATTCTCGTCTTTTCTGTGGTAAGAATGCAAATAGGACTCTACTTCATTCAGAGAGCAAAAGACTCACGGAAGTTAAATAATTTATGGAAATATTTAGAAAAGAAAAAGAAAGGTACAGATATGAGCTTTCTGCCAAGTTTTTTCTTTTTCTTTTTTTCTTTTTTTAATTATAGGCCTTTATTGGCTCCAGACAGGGAGGTTCTGATAAGCCCAGGAAGGAAAGCTAATGAAAATCTCTTCCTTAGGGTACCTACCAGTTTTCTCATTAGAAAGCATATCTCAAATATCAAAGATTCATTTTCACTTGTTTTTATGAAGGACTTGGAACCTTGGTGAAAGGTTATTTTACACGTTCAAATCTTACTTTAGAATAATTAATTTAGTCATTCAACAAATATTTGAATGCACACCATATGATAGGCACATGCTGGATCCTGCTGATGGAAACCTAAACAAGTCAGACGATGCCACCCTTGTGGGGCTCAGAATGTACCCATTTAATTGCAATGTGAAGTGTTTCATATTCTTAACCACCTAGAGGCTCATCTGTAAATGAGGTCCTATACTTTTTCTAATCTACTGAAACGTGGCCATCCATCGACCTCCAGGAATATAAAACAGAGGCAGGGAAATCAAGCCAATCCATTTATACAAGTTTTAAGTGCATACAAAAAAAAAAAAAAGGAAATTTAGGCTATCATCTAAAATGACCTTGATGGGTCCAATACCAAGAAAAATAGGATAGCACATAGTAGGTGTTCATTTTTTTAACTTTTTCTTTGCAAATAATTTCAAACTTACAGAAGAGTCTCGAGAAAAACAATTGCTCAAAAAACACCCCCACACCCATTACCCAGATTTCTTACGATTCACATTGTATCCCATTTGCTTTCTCACTTGCTATTACTGTGTATATAATTTTTCTGAACCATTTGAGAATATGTTGCACACGTCATGGCCCTTTCCCCCTAAACTGCATTTCCTCAGAGCAGAGACAGTCTTGCATGACGATAAAACAATCTTGTTTTGTAATTCTTCCAATTTTGTAATTGTTCCACTGAAGTTCTTTATAGAATTTTGGCCTCCAGGGCAGGATACTACCCTGGATCTGGTCCTGCATCCATTTTCGTGTCTCCTTAGTCATCTTTCATCTGAGACATTTGCACAGCCTTTATCTTTTATGACATTGCATTTCTGAAGAACAGCCTCCTCCTCCCATTTTAAATAGAATTGCTTTCATGTGGAGTTTGTCTGATGCATTTCTGGCCAGTGAATGACATAAGTGGTGCTGCATCTTTCTAGGGCATCCTACCTGGAGATGTTCGCCATCCATTGTCCCTCCTTGGTGATGCTTATTCATAGCACAAGTCAAGGCATTTCTCCTCTGCATACGTACTATGAGTTTCCTTGCAATGAGAAACCAGTCTATGGAGAGACACTAGGAGACCACATACATATCATGATCCTCATAAAAATTTCCCCTTAGACTTAGTATCCACCCAAGATTCCTGCCTGAACCAGCCTTCATGGTGATGATGAAAATGATGATGGAAATGATTTTCCATCTCCCACACCACTCCATGTTTACCATCAGCACTTGCCATTCCTAGGCACAAGAGCCCTCCTCTCTCCCCGCTTTATTTTTCCTTTTATTATCGTTGTGTACCTGAGGATTCCTATTTTTCCAGTGGCTTCTCAGGCATTCCTGGACTTCATTGTTTGAGTGCTCAAATTGTGCCCGACTCGGTCAATGGGAGACCTTCAAGTTGTCCCCCTGCCCACCAGCATATCCTTCTGATAGGCCCCAGCTTTTTATATCACTCCTTATGTTGTGGCATAAGGGACTCCATATTGACCCTATCTCTACCCTGTCCTAGCCATAAAATCAGCCATTCTCTGATGGACCCCTGGCTCCTGTTAGTGGGGAATAGCACTACAGACCAAGGTGCGGGCACTGGGTGTGCTCATAGTTGCTGAGGGGCGTTTGCTTCTGGGCCCTTTCAGGGGACATCGTGCTCAACAATTGTTGGAATGCATGAGCAAAGGCATGCATTTTATTGAGATGTCCTTACCAAGAGCTCATTTTGTCTGAACCAGCACTACGAAACAAGAGTATGTTCTCTCTTGGGAACAGAGTCCTAGAGGTTGGGAGAACAGTAGAAAGTTGACCAGAATCTGCGATACAGGCTGGGGGTTCCCTGCACAGGCGCTGAAGCGCATGGCCTCCGTGGAGGAAACCAATGAGAAGGGCTCCACTCGGGACAGAGGCTCCAAGAACTGTTCCCTAGCTCTGCCCACTTGGCTTTCATCTTTGTCGTGGTTTTGGACAGAAAGCCACCAGGTTGCTTTAACTAGAAAACAGAGCAGTGCACTTTCTGGGACACTAGTGGAATCAGGGGATCCACAAGAATCCTCCATTTGCTGTTGTGACAATTACAAGAATTCAGTGACACTCCAGGATGCCCCATGCCCCACGTGTATTCCCAGGCACGAATCTAGATCTGCACTGGCACCAAAGAGCACACAGTCTGTTTGTCCTTTTTTAAAAAACATTTTATTGTGAACAATTTACATCATGGAAGAACACGGAAGAACGTGTAGCCTCACCTGCCATTCTTATTTCATCTACCACCCCTATCCCCACCCATGCTTTCGTCAAGAAAACGTTAAGGAAAATTGTAAACACACATCCATTTGCATCTAACATTAAGGACAATACTGTCCTTATAGCCCACAAAATGTAAAGTAATAGTCTAATTATCTAATATAATTATCTAATTATAGTACTGTTAACTTTAAAAGAAAACCTATAATACATATATTTAGAAAAGGAGAAATTTTATTTTATTTTTTATTAAAGGGTTTCAGCCTGCAAGGTGGCCATTCTTCTGGCTGGGAAGATGCCTCCAGCCAAGACCAGAGACAGGCACTTCCAGGAGGGTTTGGGATAGGAGCTTTATGTTTAAGGTTAACTAGACATACATATTCAGCAGGATATAGGAAGAGCTATGAATACTCATGAAGGCGGTCCTGACACGTGCATATGTAACATGTATCAACATATGACCCGTGTTCACTTTGGGCTGGAGATTAACGTTCACATTTATTGCAATTAGGCCGTATGTGTGAAAAGGGCTGTTCAGGACCAAAGGTTCTCAGGTGTGCAGCCTCTGTAAACTTATCAGGAGAAAGTTATTGAAATCAGTCTCTTGTCCAATCAGAGCTGTAGCTGTGACTGGTGGAACAGGGGTCAATTAGTCAGCATCTGGTGCAATTGATTTAACAGTGCTTATCTCAAGGCCAGTGCTTGTTTGGCTGCTAGAGAAAGAGAAAACCTTGTGGCAGTGAGAACATAGCTTATTCTTTCAGCATAAGGAGCGCGACTTAACCCTTGCCTGGCAGGGCCCTAGGTCCTGTTTCTAATTTGTTATCTTACTGCGTGCTGTCCTATCAGTCTTTCTGATCTCCATTTTAGCATTAATGCTGATTGGCTGTTGTGTCTAAACTGCAAAGAAAGGGGTTATAACCAAGCATGTCTGCCTTGTCCTGTAGTCATGGCTGGGCATGTTTTAAAGTTTTTTCTGGGGTCCCCTTGGCCAAGAGGGGGTCCATTCATATAGGTGAGTTAGGATGTTATTTTTAGTTTGTAGTGTCCAGCCCATGCTTCACATTCTTCAATTATCTCATAAAATGTCTTTTTACACTTTGTTTAAATTGGGATCTAAACAAACAAGACGTATACATAACACTGGATGGATACACAGCTTGAGTATTTCAACCCATAATAGTTTCCCTTTTATGTAGAGCCATTTATTTGTTGAAGAGACTGTGGGGGACCTTATCAAATTTCCCACAGCCTTGACATGGCTGGTTGTCAAGTAGCTCCTCATATATAAGGGATGTTTAGGTCAGGAAAAATTGTCCAGAGGCGAACCCGAATAAATGAATGGTGAACCTGGTGGGTGATGCGGCGACAAGAAGCATGGTGATAAAAATCCATGGGAATGGGAAGAAAGGAAGGGGAGAGGCAGACTGCATTTCTGACCAAGGAAAAGCCTCTAGGAACCATGACACCAGGGTCTGCTGAAAGAAAGCTGGTAGCTGATGGCCAGGCACCAGTGAGCTGGCGCACATTGATTACAAGAAAATCAAAGTCCTAAAAAAAAAAAAGAGAGAAAAAGAAAATCGAAGTCCTTCCTGTAAAGGTTGTGGAAGGAGGTCAGGCTTTCTACAGGCTTCCATGGTGGACCTTGGCCAGCATTCAGTCTGGTCATCGTTCTCTCCAACGTGGCTCATGTTACCAGGAAGTATCTGTGTTGGAATTATTCTTACCATGGAAAGAAAACTCCTCAGCTTACCTTTACAGCCTTTCAAACAAATAAAACCCATCTTAAAACCACTTGTCTTTTTGTGTTCATTTTTATTTAATTTACACCTTTACCTTAATCTTGTTTTCAGTATCTGGATATGGTATGAGGCCAAGATCCACGAGAACAGGCACAATGTGGCTAAAGACCCAGTGACCATGCAGGACGATAAGGACAATTCTGACCCTCCCAGACCGGGCGTCCCAAAGAGGACACACCCATCTCTTTTCTGGATTCATGTCCTAGGGCTGCCATTAGAAAACACCACAAATGGGGTGGCTTGAAACCATAGACATGGGTTCTCTCATAGTTCAACGGCCCGAAGTCTGAAATCCAGGTGTCGTGGGGCCGCGCTCCCTCTGAGGCCTGTAGGGGAGAATCCTTCTTGCCTCCCGGCTTCTGGCATTTGCAGTCAATCCTTGGCATTCCTTAGCTTGCAGGTCACTCCAATTTCTGCCTTGTCATTTGGAATGCTCTGTATGTCTCTGTCTTCTTATAAGGGCACCAGTCATATTGGATGAGGGGCCCACCCTACCCTAGTATAACCTCAACTTATGAATTTCACCAGCGGCGACCCTAGTTCCAAGTAAGGTCACATTGCCAGGTACTAGGGGTTAGGACTTCAATGTAGACATAATTCCACCCATATCATCCCCCTTTCATAAGCGAGCTTAATATGACTTAAGCATGCAGCTGTAGCTCCAAATAAAATGTAGACCATCAAACTCCCTCTCCCCTTACAGTAATGTATCTGCCTTGTCCAGACTCACATATGCAATTCTACAGGCTACCAATGTTTTGAGGTATTGTACGATGCCACCCTCGTGGAAAGCAGCATGTCAACGTTAAGCCATCCACCTGCACAGTGTGAACATCTGAGCTCCCTTCCTGTATGCCAGGGTTAAAAGGCTCTAAGAGAAGTGGTCAAGGAGAGAGTATAGAGCTGCTTGGTGCTGGAGGGGAAAAAAATGAACTCAGAAAGCAAAGCCAGGCTCCCTGAAACCTGCACCTTTGAGAAGAAAGGAGGCCAGGCATGCAGGCCCGTTCCAGTAGTCCCAGCTACTAGGAGGCTGTGGTGGGAGGACCAATTGAGCTCAGGAGTCCTGGGCTGTAGTGCACTATGCAGCTGGGGCATCTGCACTATATTCAGCATCAACATGGTGACCTCCCAGGAGCAGGGGACCACCAGGTTGCCTAAGGAGGGGTGAATTGGCGCAGGTCAGAAACAGAGCAGGTCAAAACTCCCATGCTGATCTGTAGTGGGATTGCATCTGTGAATAGCCAATGCACTCCAGCCTGGGCAAGATAATGAGATCCTGTCTCCAAAAGAAAAAAGAAGTAGCAGCAGCAGCAGCAGCAGAAAGGTGACAAGAGTGAAGAGGTAAGAATTAGAGATACCTGGGCCAACATGCTAACATGTCCTGCTGAGTAACCTTCACCGAGTTACTTAACTCTTCGGAGGTTCCATTTCCTCATCTGTAACAATGAGGCAACCACAGGAGCCTGGCAGGGCTGCTGTCAGGATTAAGTGACGTGATGAATGAATGATGCTTACTTAGCACGTAGTGCTCTGGAAATGGCAGGGCTTGTTACCCACCTTGGGTCCATCCCAGACAGGCACACAGGGATGGTTGGAACCCGATCCACAGGGGATGCATTCCCTGGGTGAATGTCTACTCCCCTACTTCCTGCCAGGCTTTTTGGGGTGCACTGAGGTGGTGAGTGCACACTAGAGACAAGCTTAGCAGAGATGCTGTTCCTGTTCATGGGCAGAGCAGATGAACAGGAGAGCAGCCTCATTCAGCCCAGCTGCAGGTGGGTCACAGGTAGCACAGAGAAGCAATCATCATGTGGTTTGTGTGAACTGAAGACCAGCATATGAGAGCCTTGGTGGACCTAATCGCCTCCATCCTGTGGATGTAAACTCTGCCTCCGTCACGGGCCCATGGAGCCAACTGTGGATGTAAACTCTGCTCTGCTGGATAGCTATGGGAGCAACGACCAGAGGACATACGTGTGGCATTCACAGCCAGGGTGAGATCATCAGCCAGTGTGTGTGTAAGATGTCTGTGAAAGGTGAAGTGCCTCATCACCTGAAATAAGAAAGTCTGGAAGACTCTACTAATACTTCCTGTGTATGAGGACATAGAGACAAGGTGGTTGGCCATGAGTGCAACATAAAGGATGTTAGAAAGGGGAGACCTTTCTGAATATATTGGGGCACAAAAGCATATTAACCCATACAGCAATTGCCCTAAATGCATGCAAAAATGAGCAAGCTGGATGCGGTGGCTCACGCCTGTAATCCCAGCATTTTGAGAGGCTGAGGCAGGCGGATCACCTGAGTTCAGGAGTTCGAGACGAGCCTGGCCAACACGGTGAAACCCTGCCTCTACTAAAAATACAAAAATTAGCTGCGTGTGCTGCCGGGCACCTGTAATCCCAGCCACTCAGGAGGCTGAGGCAGGAGAATCACTTGAACCCAGGAGGCGGAGGTTGCACTGAGCCAAGATCATGCCACTGCACTCCAACCTGGGAGACAAGAGTGACAGACTCCACTGCAAAAAAAAAAAAAAAAAAGAGCATGCATGCAAATGTTTCACAGTCTATTTCCCCACCCAAAATATTGGACTCACTCTGAACTAGAGTTTGTGACAAAGTGTTACCAACCATTGTATCAAAGGTCTAAATTACAGTGCAAGAATCAAGAGCAAATAAATAACCAGGACACAGATAAGAAATAACAAGAAAACAGTCATGGCCAGATGCCTTCCGCCAGCCATGCCTGACTCACTCCAACACACACTTAGACACATGCGACTTCCCTAGCTAGGTTTTGCTCAGCGGCTTAATGGGTTTCACCTTGCATTCAGCACCTGTGACTTATAGGCTTCTCATAGATTCTAGTGGAATAGTCTCCTCCAAATGTTGTACATTTTTAAAAAGTTAGGGGCTGGCTGGGCGCAGTGGCTCACGCCTATAATCCCAGCACTTTGGGAGGCCGAGGCAGGTGGATCACCTGAGGTCAGGAGTTAGAGACCAGCTTGACCAACATGGTGAAACCCCATCTCTACTAAAAATACAAAAAATTAGCTGAGCATGGTGGCGCATGCCTGTAATCCCAGCTACTCGGGAGGCTGAGGCAGGAGAATCACTTGAGCCCGGGAGGTGGAGGTTGCAGTGAGCTGAGACTGTGCTGTCACACTCCAGCCTGGGCAACAAGAGCAAAATTCCATCTCAAAAAAAAAAAAAAGAAAAAAAAGAAAAACCTAGGGGTTACTACATTCCAGCCAGGCAACAGAATGAAACCCTGTCTCAAAAAAAGACTAATATAATACCATCTTAATCAGAAATAAGGTTCATAGATGATATAGATTATCAAAAGAATTGTCAGAACGACTAAACCTAATATAAGGAGAAAATAAAGTGAAAGCAATTTATAATTAACTAACACTATTTGTTTCAATCTGTAAATGCTTGGGTAGAATTACGCCAGAAGACAAAAGGTTGCCACACATTTCCAAATCAGCCCTGTTTTTGGAAGACAGTGTCACCCTCACTGGGCTGGCTCTGTGACAGGCCCACTGACTGCACCTGAGAGATTACCCGACCAGGACGGCACATCTTGGAGGCACGAAGTCTCCAGCAGCTAATTCGCCAAGCCAAAGAGACCAGCTCCGCCAGCACCTATGCTGGACAATGCCAAGCCTACTGGCCGGTCAGAAGGAAGGAGGGGAAAAGCCACCTCACTGAGGAAGTACGGGAGGCAGAGCACGGTAGAGAAATAGGGAGACCCAGTGCCTGGAGACGGCTCTGCTCCTGCCGGCTTCCAGCTTCAACCCCATGCACTGTCCGCTTCTCTGCTTTTTCTTTAAGATGTACTGAGTCCAGTTCTGTGCCTTAAAATCAACATGGTCAAAATTTTGGAGTGAGGTTGGGCACAATGACTCACACTTGTAATCCCAGCAATTTGGAAGGCCAAATCGGGAGGATCCCTTGAGCCCAGGAGTTTAAGACCAGCCTGGGAAATGTAGTGAGATCCCGGCTCTTTAAAAACGTAAAAATAGGCCGGGTGCAGTGGCTCACACCTGTAATCCTAGCACTTTGGGAGGCTAAGGCAGGAGGATCACAAGGTCAGGAGTTCAAGACCAGCCTGACCAACATGGTGAAACCCTGTCCCTACTAAAAATACAAAAATTAGCCAGGCATGGTGGCGCACGCCTATAATCCCAGCTACTCAGGAGGCTGAGGGAGGAGAATCGCTTGAACTCGGGAGGCATAGGTTGCAGTGAGCTGAGATTGCGCCACTGCACTCCAGCCTGGGTGACAAAGTGAGACTCCAACTCAAAAAAAAAAAAAAAAAAAACCCATAAATATAAAAATATTGGAGTGAAAAGGAATTTTTGAAGAGTTTCTCTTTAAACTGTTAGAAAGCTCACCCCATCACTGTCTTGGGGGAAGTGAGCACTAGTTGTGGAGAGTTGTAATTTTCTTTTTCTTTTTTTAGAGACAGGGTCTTGCTCTATTGCCCAGGCTGGAGTACAGTGGTGCAATCATGGCTCACTGCAGCCTTGAACTCCTGGACTCGAGCAATTCTCCCACCTCAGCCTCCTTTCTGGGACTACAGTCATGCACCACCACATAGGGCTAATTTTTAACTCTTTTGTAGAGATGGGGTCTTGCTCTGTTGCCCAGGCTAGTCTCGAACTCCTGGACTCAAGTGATCCTCCCACCTTGGCCTCCCAAAACGCTGGGATTACAGGTGTGAGCCACCACAACCATCCCAGAGCTGTCATTTTTAATTCTTTGCCTGTCACAAACTCAATACAGGTAAACGTATGTAACATTCCATCCATTGCAAATGTCCCTTCCCCCAGTTAAAGACTGAAAGTCTGAATTCAAGTGACAACTAGTGACCCCAGGGATAGGAGCTACTTAATCCCAACCTACATGCCCACCTGCACAGAGAGAGTGCCTCCCACAGGCCTGGCTTGCTTTTTGCCTGTTAGACACATGGTACATTTCTGGCAATGCTCTGCTCCCAGCTAACTGCTGAGTCACCTGCATGGGACTGCCAAGTAGGTACGGGGTTTTCAATTTAGAAATGGCAGAGCCAGGTGAAGCCACCTCTGGCCCGAACCATGGTGCAAGGTTTAACAATGTGGAGGAATGGGGTCCTGTTCTGGGCATCATTCTGCCAAGTTCTAGCGCTCTTCAACCTGTGGAACAGGCACCCACTCTTGCAATGCTGCTGAGGTTGCCTTTCACTCGCTTCACCTTTATACCTGGTCCCTCTCTGTTTTCCTGGGTTTTTGTTTGTTTGTTTGTTTTTGTTTCTTGTGAGGACAACACTGTAGGGCCAGACAGAACTCAAGGAGCTGGTGGGCTCCAGAGTGCCCTGCCCTTGAGCAGCTCCATCCTGCATCCTCCAGGGCAACCAGGATGTGGGTGCCACTCGGGCCGCACCCTCTGACCCTCTGCAGCGAGCAGATCCAAACTGTCGTCAAGATGCAACTTTGCCAGAACAGAAGCCACAGTCTGGATTTGGGCATGTTTCCTTCTCACTGTTTTGCTTCCCCCACTATGAGTGGTAGAACCCATTTCTGGTACAGCACCTTTCTGCTTTAAACAATTAATTAATTTAAAAATGGGCCCAGGACACATTGCCCCTGAATATCTGGTCCAACATTAGGTTTACTTATTGTTATGGCTTGAACTGTGCCCAACCAATTCATATGTTGAAGTCTTAACCCTTAGTATCTCAGAAGGTGACCTGATTTAGAAATAGGGTCCTCAGCCAGGCACAGGTGCTTATGCCTATAATCCCAGCACTTTGGGAGGCTGAGGTGGAAGGATCACATAAGCCCTGGAGTTCAAGACCAGCCTGGGCAACATCATGAGACCCAATTTCTACAAAAAATACAAAAATTAGCCAGGTGTTAGCTAGGTGTGATGGTGCATGATTGTAATCCCAACTACTTGGGAGGCCAAAGCAGGAGGATCACTTGATGTTGGGAGGTCAAGGCTGCAGTGAGCTGTTATCATGCCACTGCACTCCAGCCTGGGCGACAGACCGAGACCCTGTCAAAAAAAAAAAAAAAAAAGAAAGCAAGAAAGAAGGAAAAAGAAAAAAGAAATAGGGTCCTTGCAGATGTTATTAGTTAAGATGAGGTCATACTGGAGTAGGACAGGCCCTAATTCAATATGGCTGGTGTCCCTATTAAAAAAAGGGGTGACCAGGCGTGGTGGCTCATGCCTGTAATCCCAACATTTTGGGAGGCCGAGGCTGGCAGATCATTTGAGGTAAGGAGTTCCAGACCAGCCTGGCCAACATGGTGAAACCCTGTATCTACTAAAAATACAAAAATTAGCTGGGCATGGTGGTGTGTGCCTGTAATCCCAGCTACTTGGGAGGCTGAGGCAGAAAAACTGCCTGAGCCCGGGAGGCAGAGGTTGCAGTGAGCTGAGATGGCGCCACTGAACTCTGGCCTGGGCGGCAAGAGTGAAACTCTATCTCAAAATAAATAAATAAATAAAAATTAAAAAGGGGCATTTGGACACAGGAACACCCTGTGTAGACGAAGGCAGAGATCAGGGTGCTGCTACAAGCTACAGAACACCACAGATCACCAGCAACCCCCAGACGCTGGGAGTGAGGCCTGGGACGCTACTCCCTTACTGCCCTCAGGAGGAAACAACCCCGACTGTACCTTGATCCCAGCCAGCTCTCTCCAGAATTGTGAGAAAATAAATCTCTGTTGTTTAAGCCACCCAGTTTGTGCTACCTTATTACGGCAGTCCTAACAAACTAATACATTCATTTGAATAGAGCTTTTAATTTAAACATTGACCATGTAATAAACTGTAACAAACTATTAGTATTTAATACATAAAATTCATAATGGGGGTCCTTTCTCGTCACAATGCTTATAGTTTGTATTTAAGAGGAAGAGGAAAGTATTGTCTATCAGAAACGCCACCGCATGACTGCTCATCACAACCTGATTTTTTTCTAGTCATTTCCCTGGCACCCCAAATATGCCCATTCAGTGGGTTTTAAACAGATATAATGGAAAGGCCACCCAGCTGCACTTCTGCTGTAAGAAATAACCCCTCGATTCTGGCCCAATATAAACAGTAGACTACAATAATTGCCATTTAACTCCATGGTGTCCAAATCAATGAATATGATATCAGAAGATTTCTTCTCTTGTCCTCTGCTCCTGGACTTTCCAGAGAAGGTTGACGATGACATGGGTCTGTCTCACATCAGTTCCCCAAATATCTTACTGAATCCATTTGGCATATAGCCTTTGTCGTTTATTAGCTATTTTAGTATTGTATGTTTTATTTTACTGATGACTGGTGGTTGTTAAAGCATTAGTTCTAGGTTGCCATTCCAGCTCGCATGATTTTGAGGAATGGTTTCCAGAAGGGCTTTCTAGCACATTTCCCCCACAGAAAAAGCTTAGTCGATTCTTTCCTGATAGCAACAGATGAAAGCTTTATGTCATAGGAAATCATAGTGATATTCTGGTGGCAACATGTACAAAATTATTATATAAATCTTGCTTATTATATAATCCTTTGGCTATACTTAAGGACAGCTCTTGAGGCAGGCACACTGGGAGCCACGTGGCATTAAACAGATCATCTTTCTTTCACACCCACGCAAGAATCAAAAGCAATGCTAAACAAAGTGTTCATCCAGCCCTTAATCTCCAAGGGGAAGAGGTTACAATAAAAATAATTTCTTCACCTGAGTATCAAACAGTCACAATTCTGGGGAACCCAATTTCCACTTCAGAAAGGCAAATGCTAAGGAATTCTCACCATCTGACTCTCACGGTAAAATCCCGTGCAATTCTTTATGTTTCACACTTGAGAAAAAGAAAGGGCATCAACTTTAACAGCTCCTTGAACTTCGGCCCTTGCAAGGAAAGTGATTGCATAACAGGGTACATATCAACAAGTGAGGCTGTTCTTTATATGTTTTGGCTCAGGAAAGAGCATGTGAACTTTTTTCTGGGGTCAGCATTTGGAACAGACATACCAGTGGGAGGAACAGAGGGTGATAATGTTTAACCAATAAACTGAGCTGAACTCAATCTCCTGCCTTGACAGGGGAACTATGCAAGGTCCTTTGCTTTGAAAGGCTTGGGCTCTGAGCATTCGTCAGCAATGGGTTGAGTCATATCATTGTGTTGAAGTTATTATTCGATGATTGGGAAAATGAGAAATGCTTGGAGGCCTCCACTGACTTTTGACAGACTGAGAAAAGCCAGAGTTTCTTCTTTGAAGGCTTATGAAGCAAGTCCTTCTTCTGCCTGGGGGTTAGTGCCTGTTCCAGCAAGGGCTGGCGAGGGGTACAGGGAGGTAAAGACACAAGCATAGGGGAAGTCATCTGACTGGGGAAGTCACACTGGCTATGCAGTGACACGTCGGAGACTCTCAGTCAATATGAATGAATAAATAGATACATTACACACAGGAAGAGTTTGTATGCAAACTCTGGTATGACTCCTCCAAAAAAAAGCAAAAGCCTATTACCTGATGAGACATGATGTGTTAATACTACTTAATTATGACTTCAAGGCCGGGCGCAGTGGTTCATGCCTGTAAGCCAAGGGAGGCCAAGGCAGATGGATCACTTGAGGTCAGGAGTTCTAGACCAGCCTGGCCAACATGGTGAAACCCTGTCTCGACTAAAAATACAAAACTGAGCTCAGTGTCGTGGCACAGCTACGTAATCCCAGCTACTCAGGAGGCTGAGGTAGGAGAATCTCTTGGACTGGGGAGGCAGAGGTTGCAGTGAGCTGAGATTGTGCCAATGCACTCCAGTCTGAGCGACAGAGTGAGACTCCATCTCAAAAAAAAAAAAAAAAAAAAAAAAAGATATGGCTTCAAGTTCAGGCTGTAGTTGCTTTACAGAAAAAGAAACCTGTTGAACAACATGAGCAGAAAAATCAACTGTTTACATCTTGTGCATTCTAACCTAGAAAACCTCCCTTCAGCCTATGAAATTGGCACTGGTCTGACTTACCTCACCATGTCCAAATCCTTGCTGGCGGTTTCCAAATACTGGCTTGAGGTTTTTAAAAAATTCAAATATCTCTTTGCAACTTGAAGTCCCTTCAATCTATTCTCTAACAAATGTATGGGAAGGCATCAATTTTAGGCCATGCCGATGTTTGAGGTGAGAGAATGTCCACCTTGGATGCAGCTGACAGCTGAGGCTGCTGTCATACCCCACATGAAGTGGGGCTCTGAGGGCTAACCCACTTCCATTTGCTGAACTCAGCTGGATTTTGCTCAGAATTATAGTTTATTCAGGCTGGGGCAGAATCCCCAGGGACTGTCAGGACCAGTTCTGTTGGAAACCTGAGGCCAGTTGGTCTGACCCCTCGGGCAGGGCCATAGGAGCCAGCAGTGGTCTCGGCAGCAGCAAACTTTTACATCTCTGTGCATCACCTGAGCTTTGCAGCAGGAGGAGTGAGGGGCGGCAGCAGCTGCGCAGAGACAGGTTCTGGAGCAACCAGTTCCCGGGACATAGGGATACACACACTCCTTCCTCAGGGACAGGATTCTAAGTTCTGTGTTATATTTGTTAGAAGTCTTTGAGTTGTAGAAAAACCCACCCACCTAAAATTGTCTTAGAAAATCAAGGAAATTTATAAGTTTCAACATTTAAGTTGAAAGAGATTTCCATTCTTGTAGGTCAGCACTTGCCAAATTATCAGCAATATCATATGCTTCCAACCTTCTTATTAGAAGTCCACAATAGGTGTGGCTTCGAGAGAGGCATGATCCGCAGCTCAGCCAGCATGTCCAAGGACTCAGAGTTTCCCAGTCTTTCTAACCCACCTTCCATGTTGACAGGCTCAGCCTCAATCTCTGTGAGTCCCCACCCCAGAAGGACCCAAGATACCTCATGACGTCAACATGGCCATGGCAGCTCCAGACACATGCCTTTACATCCCACCACCAGGGGAGGAAAGCAGTCTCTCCTGAACACACACACAGCAGGGAAGCAGGTCCACGTTCCAAGGAACACTGGTGAAATTCCTTCTGCCTCCTTGGTTCTGATAGAGTGGAATCATTTCCCACTAGGCCAGGGATGGGATGTTCTTTAAGCTCAAGTGAATCCTAACTCAGCCTGGAGTTAGGTGAGGGGTCAATCCCACCTATGTCCCATAGCTGAAAACGAGGGAAGCAGATCTCCCGAGTTAAATCTGGGTGCTGTTACTGGAAGGAGAGTGGATATTCAGTTGTTAAAAAAAAAAAAAGCCTACTGCTCACTCCAAGTACAGAGACAGGTGTCAACTGAACAAGCATTTAAACTTAGTGAGCCCCCCAGGGCTAGATTTCCTCAAGGAGGAATCTTTCAGGGACCAAAGGACCTAACCTCCTGCTGGTCGGGCATGCAGGGCCTCGAGCTGGTCTTTGAATGGAAACTGGATAAGAGTGTTTGTGCCCAAGCTTCAGAGGCCAAGCACATGCCCACACAGTGGTCTCGGAGCCAGCCAGCCTCGCAGTGCTATTCCATATCCTTCCATAGGCCTGGTCACTCCCTATTTTGTTCTTATGGCACTTGTTGCAAACCTCTTCTTTCTCTCCACCACCTCCCTCTCCCTCTCAGTGGGTGGCTTCAGGAATAGGGGACAATAGGCGTGAAATTTAAATTTCCCTTTTTCCTCCCCTTCCCCTACTCCCAATGTCAGGGACATTCTTGCCTCCTTGGTCCTTCTAGGAAGTCTCATTCCGAGACTCCCAGGACCTTGGCTGTCTGTTAGCCCCGTCCCCAACAGCCTCTGCCCATACACAGCTCTTGCAGCATTGAAACACCCATTAGTATCTTCCACCTTTAAAACAAAAATGAAATGAAGAGCCACCACCACCTGCCCATCTCTTTCCCCCGGATCACAGCCAGGGTTCCTGAAATGGCAGTCCCCGCTCTTCTCGTCCACTGCGCACCTCCTGGCCTTCCTCTGCCCTGGGGGCTGCCCTGGATCTGCCCGTGGGTGGTGGCTGCTGTTGCTCCCCCAGAAGACACGTTCCGTCCTAATCTCAGCATAACTGGGTGAGCACAGGGACCTTAGAGACCAACAAGAGGAGCTGACTCTCGCTCCGGCACCCACTTTTCTGGGATCTTGGCTGCTGCATTTTTAAAATGGAGATACTGATCACTTTCTACTCCTCTGTGTGCCATGAGGATGAGATGAGGTCATCCACATCACACCCTCTGAGGTTGCCTGGGCCCTGGTGAGCCCTGCACACATGCTGTCTTGGTGGTCTTGCTCTCCCTGGCCCTGCAGCCCAGGGCACTGCCCAGCACGCTGCTGCCATCTGTGGCTGCGTCTCCCATGGGCTCCCATCCCCGGCTCTCTGATCTCATCCCACATACCCTTCCCAAGGACTGCAGCATCCAGGTGGCCTCAGTGACTTCCATGAGCTGATGACCCTCCAGCCATATCTCCCATCCAGACATCCTCATCCCCTTCCAGAACGTTCTCTCTGGAAGACACAGCACCTTGATCATCATGTATCCCCAGTGCTTTCTACAGAAACTGACATAGGGAAGTGTTTCCCACTCCTGAGTGACTGGATGGATAAGAGATTCGGAATGAAAGCAGAGCGTCACACTATCATATGCTTGAAGTTGTAAGAGGAGTCGATTTTGGCCAAGGAATGTGACTGGAGAAAAGCAGATGGCACAAGACAAGACAGAGGCCTGGGGAGCAGCCCAAGCAGAGGGGTGGAAGGAACAGCCCTCCCACCTCGCAGGCCTCCTGAAAACTCTGGGTGGGGCAGGGCTCCTCCTCCTTCAGGGCAGGGCCCACGATTCTCCGTCCCTCAAAAGCTGCTGGAGATCTCACTGCTGTGGGTCTCCCAGGACACACTGAGGAGCCGGGGTTTAGAGGTCGCTAATTCCCCTTAAAAATAAATGCATGTATACTTTATCACAATAAAAAAAATGGTACATATGGATTACCTTTAATAATAATGTAACCCTTTGCTTGTTGATATGGATGGATTTCTTCAATAAACTGTTAAGTGAAAAACAGTCTTTCCAATAGGATTCCATTTTTATAAGGGAATACGAGAAATAATTCTGAAAGGATATAAGTTAAAGTGCTAGTTGCCCCCAAAACAAAAACAAATAAATAGGACCTATTTAAACTAAAAAGCTTCTGCACAGCCAAAGAAAAATCAGCAGAGTAAACAGACAACCCACAGAGTGGGAGAAAATACTTGCAAACCATGCATCTGACAAAGGACTAATATCCGGAATCTACAAGGAACTCAAAGGAATCAGCAAGAAAAAACAACCCCATCAAAAAGTGGCCAAAGGACATGAATAGACAATTCTCAAAAGAAGATATACAGACATCCAACAAACATATGAAAAAATGTTCAACATCACCAATCATGAGAAAATTGCAAATTAAGAACACAATGAAATACCACCTTACTCCTGCAAGAATGGCCATAATTAAAAAGTCAAAAAATAATAGCTGTTGGCATGGATGTGGTAAAAAGGGAACACTTTTATGCCACTGGTGGGAACATAAACTAGTACAACTGTGGGAAACAGTGTGGAGATTCCTTAAAGAATGACAAGTAGAACTACCATTTGATCAAGCAATCCCACTGCTGGGTATCTACCCAGAGGAAAAGAAGGCATTATATGAAAAAGACACTTGCACACACATGTTTACAGCAGCACAACTCGCAATTGAAAAGATACGGAACCAACCTAAGTGCCCATCAACCAATCAGTAGATAAAGAAAAGGTAGTATATGTAAACCATGAAATACTACTCAGCTGTAAAATGGAACAAAGCAATGGCCTTTGCAGCTACTTGGATGGAGCTGGAGGCTCTTATTCCAAGTGAAGTAACTCTGGAATGGAAAAGCAAACAGTGTGTATTCTCACTTATAAGTGGGAGCTAAGCTATGAGGATACAAAGGCATAAGAATGAAATAATGGACTTCGGAGACTCCGGGGGAAGGTTGGGAGGGGGGTGAGGGATGAAAGACTACACATTGGGTATAGTGTACACTGTTTGGGTGACAGGTGCACCAAAATCTCAGAAATTACCACTAAAGAACTTATCCATGTAACCAAAAACCACCTGTACCCCAAAAACTATTGAAATAAAAAATAAAATGCTATTGTCATTATTTTTAGGTGGCCACCAAGCGACTGTTATGATTTAAATTTATTTTTACACATTTCTGATTTGTATGTCCTCTTTTGTTTTTTTAAATGAATATATATAATAATTAATTATTAATTAAATGGAAATTCCATTTAAATAATTTAAATGCCTGAAAAACAAACTTTTTTATAAATACATGCATTTTGATAGGCTTAGGAAGGCCACTTCCTAAGCCTATCAATAAATTCACATATTTATAAAGAGACCCAGAGGCCTCCCTGTGCCTGCTCTTGGCCACCTGCAGTCTATAGTCTCTGATGCATTTCTCCAAATGTAAATCAGATCCTGTCTGTTGCAGCCATGCTGGCCTCCTTGTTCTTCAAATATGCCAGGCACACTGCTGCCTCAGAGCCTTTGTACACTTATTTCCCTCTCTCGGGGATGCTTTCATCAAATATTTTCAAGCTCATTCCTACACTTCATGCAGGTTGCCACCCAGATGTTCCCAATTCACAGATGAGCTTCTAATCACCCTTATTAAAATCACATGGCTTTCCAAGCCTCTCCACTTTCCTCTTTCCATAACACTTTTTCACTGACTGGTGTTCCATGCATGTCTCTTTACTTACCTGTGGTCTGCAGATGTCCCCGTGGAATGCAGCTTCCAAAGGGCCGGGACGGTGGGCACTTGTTTAGGGCTGTACCCCCAGGCTGAGAACGGCTCTCGGCACATGGTACTGCTTAATGCATGGGTGGGGGATGAATTTTAGGAACAGTTGTGTAAACTACACAGGGATTATTTTTTTCCTTCATTCTTAATAAACTCTTCTCAAGGGCTTCTGCCAGTTGGAAAAAGCAGCTTAGCAGTTAAAGACATCTTTCGCTGAGATCACCAAGTACTTTTCTTCCCCTGAGTGGACAAAGTCACGTGTAAGTAGTGATTCTTGATCTTTAGGGGATCACAGACCCCTTAAGGATTCTGGAAAAGTCATTTCTTCTCAGAAAGATGCACGTATGAACAGAATGCTTCATGTAATTTCTGGAGGTCTAAGGACTCCCTGGAGCTGCTTTTTGAAGTAGAGATCGGCCACTCTGAATTTCAGGTGCCACTCATTTAAGCCTAATTGTTATTCGGCTGGGCCAGAAGCTACTAGAAAGAACTTTGCTTGGGTTTCTTTCACTGAGAGACAGGTAACTCCTACTCATACAATGGCAGTTGTTTCTGAGAGAATACACAGAGAACCAAGAATTATAAATGGAAATTTATAATGTGAGCTCGAGATAGGGGAGAACAAAGCGATAGTCTAGATTCAGCAGTATAAACTTCAGAGGAAGTTCCATCAGTTCAGCTCAGCTTACTCGCCAGCTTACCTGTCTCTCTCCACGTCCTCTGAAATGCAAATAATCAATGCCCACGGGGTACTGACCTGCACAGTTGCCTGCCTTCTTGACTGCCTGCACACTCCTGCTCCAACTCGCTTATCAGTGTACTTGTTCCCACTCTGCTTATTTTAGCTTTATTTCTTATTTTATTTTTTTAGAGATGGAGTCTCACTCTGTCACCCAGGCTGGAGTGCAGTGGCACGATCTTGGCTCACTGCAACCTCTACCTCCTGAGTTCAAGCAATTCTCCTGCCTTAGCCTCCCACGTAGCTGGGATTATAGGCACCCGCCACCATGGCCAGCTAATTTTTGTATTTTTAGTAGAGATGGGGTTTTGCCACGTTGGCCAGGCTGATCTCGAACTCCTGACCTCAGGTGATCCGCCCACCTCAGCCTCCCAAAGTGCTGGGATTACAGGTGTGAGCCACCATGCCCGGCATTATATTAGCTTTAAATGTATTTACAATTACACTAATTGAATATGATGTAACCTGAGGAAAAATACAAGTTCAAAAGGAGAGATGTCCCCATAAAAACTATGTTGGATGCTGTTAAAAGCTTTGATAAAGGGATTGTTAAAATGACTCATTAGGCATGTGCAAGGCAGCTGTAAAAGACCAGGAAGAAAAATTCTAAAACTCTAAGACTTCTATGGTATGGAGATAGCTTTGGAAGCTTCTTTACGTTCTCATTCCACATTAAAGTAAGAGAAAGGGACATTTCGGATGCATCGTGGTTACAGAACTCCTATCAGAGGATCCAGACCCAAAAGATAAATCAAAAAAGCTCTTGGCAAATGAACTTAAAATGAGTTAAAATATAATCGTTTTCCACTTTACCTGACTTTGAGTAATCAACCATCCACCCATATAGTTAAGGGCATTCTATCTACTACATTCTAAAAATAGGGAGAGGAGACAGCCAACCCGAAATCATGAAAGAAATTAAGGCAATCTATGAGCACCGTTAAATTAATTTTTTATGAAGTTGTAATGCCATCAGGCCTGTATTGTTTTTTCTTTGCAAAGTCATGGCTCAGGAAACTGACAAATACTAGATACTTTGTAATCCCAAAGAGAAGAGAGCTTTAAAGCTGTAGAGGAACACAGGGAGAGAGGCACGTGCTACAGGTTTGCTTGGGTGAGAAGGGTTTCATGAGGACAGAAGTGAAAGTTATGGAATCCAGTTTGAACTCGAAACATACAGGGAAGCAGCCACAAATGGGTATGATTCTCAGGAGAGATAACTCTGAAAAAATATTAAAGGAAACATGAAGAACCATTGGAGAAAAAGGGCAAAAATCTACTCCATGGTTTCCCTAAAAGGATTTTGTTTTCTCTAACACATGAAAACTCCAACCAGAAACATTTTAGCTGCTCTAAATCACATCTGTGAATTCTGCAAGTTTCTGCAAGTTACTGCGAGTCTAGGAGTAAATCAGTAACGAAGCCGGCGCAAAGAGGAGAGAGAAAAGTGCTTAGTTATTGCTAGGTCTCAGTAGTAAGTCTTGGATGCTGAAATAATCAGTATTTTCCAGGAGGAGGGTGTCACTTGGGGGCGCCTAAAGCCAATAGATTCTTAGTTAAAAGGAAAGGCTGTTAGGCACTGGCCATAGTGCCAAGAACGTGAACTTCATCAACACCGAAGTCTACAGACTCAGGGTAGTGGCGAGCATGCTGAAGTTATGAGATACCGCAGATCAGCAGAGATAAAGAGGAACTGAGTTTATCAAACTCAGGTCCAAGAGCACAGAACTCCCCTGACCTCCGAGAACGAGCCGGCCCTGCCCTCCTACATGTTTGCTGTTGATAATCTTCCGCCCGCCCTCGCCCTCAGTCTTTTGGGCTGACACTAAGATCTAGGCACTAGCTTGACCTTCCAGAGTGTTTCACAAGCTTCCAGGATCTGGTGTACTAAGAATATGACAAACTTTGTCAGATAACATCTGTCTCTGCCTCTTGCCACGCTGACAAACTGTTGGAGTCTGAAAGTTCCCGTGCTCCAGTATGCACAGCCTGGACATCCTGCAGTTCTCAAAACCCCCTGCCTCTAAAGGCTGAGTTTGTAGGGTGCTTCAGAGCTGCCTGGGGCTGGGGGGCAAGAGTGATATCAAAGTGGTGTTTTAGTGAGAATAATCTCATCATGATGGGCACAAGAGATTGAAAATAGAGACTGGAAGTGGGAGACCAGTTAGGGGACTTCAGTTAACAATCACCTCCTTTGTCTCAGGAACTGGATGAGGCTCAGAGAATACACTGCAGGACAGAAATAATGGCCTGGGCAGATCCAGATGCGAGTAGGAAGTGAGCTTTTGCAGCAGTAACTCAGAGCAGCCGAGCTGCAGCCTAGATGAGGGCCGTGGCACTGGAGGTGGAGAGGAGGGATGGGCACTAGCAAGAGAGTAGACAGAGCAGCCACTGAGGCTATCTAGAAACAAACAGTACACATCAGCGATCAGTTTATCTTCAGCTGCAAAAGTCATATATTTAATTCCAACCATATGTAAGTGAACAAAGTATGGAGTGAAACAGTAAAAGCCCCTCCTCTGGCTTCACATCTCACCCTTTACAAGAAGCCACTCTTAACCGAGTGGTGATTGTAGGAAGCAATGCCGAAGGTGAGGGGTGTGAAGAAGAAACCCTGTTTCTGGCATGACCTGGGTGGATGCTCCTGAGATAAGAAACACTGAGGCTGGGCACGATGGCTCACACCTGTAATCCCAGTACTTTGGGAGGCTGAGGCGGACAGATCAGGTGGCATGCACCTGTAATCCCAGCTACTTGGGAGGCTGAGGCAGGAGAATCGCTTGAACCCAGGAGGCAGAGGTTTCAGTGAGCCGAGATAGCGCCATTGCACTCCAGCCTGGGCAACAAGAGTGAAATTCCATCTCAAAAAAAAAAAAAAAAAAAGAAAGAAAAGAAAAGAAAGAAAGAAATGCTGGACGGGACAATTTCTTGGGCATAGAGAATGAGTTCACCTTGACTATGTTGAGTTTTTTTATACAATAGCTCTGCTGAAATATAATTCCCATACCACACAGTTCACCCATTGAAAGTGTACAGTTCGATGGCTTTTAGTACATTTAGAGTTATGCAACCATCACCATAATTCATTTCAGAACGTGTTTATCAATCCCCAAAGAAATCCTGCACCCGTTATCAGCCACTCCCCAGTTTTCTTCAGCCTTCTTCCCAGCCCTAGGTAACCACTTTCTGTCTCTATGGATTTGCCTATTCTGAACATTTCATATCAATAGAATCATACCATTTGTAGCCTGTTACGAATGGCTTCTTTCATTTAGCAAATGTTTTCAAAGGTTCAGCCATGTTCTAGCATGTATAGTACATTTTACTGCAGAGTAATATTCCACTGTATAGGCATAAGGCGACTTGTTTATCCACTCATCTACTGATGAACTTTTGGGTTGTTTCCAGCTTGGGGCTATTATAAATAATGCTATGAGCATTCACATAACAAGTTTTTGTCTAAACACATGTTTTTCCTTCTTTTCGGTATATACCTAGCAGTGGAATTGTTAAGTCATGTAGTAATTCTGTTTAACTTTTTGAGGAACTGCTATACTCTTTTCCGCAGAGGTTGAACCATTTTACATTCTCACCAGCAATGCACAAGGGTTACAATTTCTCCACCTTTGTCAGAACTTGGTAGTGTCTGACTTTTTGATTATAACCTTCCCCATGGGTGTGAAATGGCATCTTGTGGTTTTGATTTGCATTTCCCTAATGACTAATGATACTGAGCATGCTAATCCTGCTTATCGGCCATTCATGCACTTTCATCTGGAGAACTATCCATTCAGATCTTTTGCCCATTTTTAACTTGAGTTGTCTTTTGTTGAGTTGTCAGGGTTCTTTATATATTCTAGATACAGGTCCCTCAGATACCTGATTTGTAAGTATTTTCTCACATCCTGTGTCATCTTTTCGGTTACTTGATGGTGTCCTTTGAAACAAAAGTTTTTAATTATGATGAAGTTCAGTTCATCTATTTCTTCTTTTGCTGTGTGTGCTTTTGTTATCTAAGAAACCATTTCCTAATCCAAAGTCATTAAGATTTATGCCTATGTTTTCTTCCAAGACAAATATGGATTTTTGTGTGCATGTTCATGAACTGGCGAACTAAGAAAAGAAATGTGAAGTAATGCTACCATTACTTATAACAAGGTTAAATTTTTCTTTTTCTTTTTTTTGAGATGGATCTCACCTGTTGCCCAGATTGGAGTGCAGTTACCCAATCTCGGCTCACTGCAACCTCTGCCTCCCAGGTTCAAGCGATTCTCCTCCCGAGTAGCTGGGATTACCAGCACGCACCACCACACCCGGCTAATTTTTGTATTTTTAGTAAAGACGGGGTTTCACCATATTGGTCAGGCTGGTCTTGAACTCTTGACCTCAGGTGATCCACCTGCCTTGGCCTCCCAAAGTGCTGGGATTACAGGCGTGAGCCATGGTCATGGCTGATGTTAAATGTGTCCATGTGACAATTCTCACATGATCTCTCCTTAAACAGCTATTGACTTATAAACATGACAAGCATAATCATAATGGTAAAATAAATTCAGCTTAGCAATAGCATATTAAGATAATGAAACAATAATTCTCAAAGTTGGTGAAGGTTCTCCATATGATGTTACTTAAAATTATCAAGTGAATTTCAAATTCTTTCTACTGCAACTTCAAAGTGTTCCTTTATTTCCAGAATTCCCTCGTGGCTGCAAGAATATTAAAACAAGTCAAACTTTCTAATCTAAAAATGACAACATGGCATTTTAATGGTTTCTTAAATTATCTGGACTAAAGGTAACATTTTGCATTTTTTTTTCGGGAGACCTAAGGTTTTCAAAAAGCAAATTTGTTTCACTTGCTTCTTTCTTCTTTAAAAGGAGTGGAGATGGTGGAGCCCACGGCATCCCATCTCTGGTTGTATGCTTGTTTCTAGGCCAATCATGAAGCCCTTGGTCAACTTCAGCCTGGTCCTACAGATTCCAAATACAACCAGATGCAGAGCTGGCTGCATGGCAACTGAGACCATGCCGGGACCACCCACCCACCCTCAAGCTAGACATTCTACTCCTGGTCTTCATGGAGGCTGTGGTCCATGTCCAACTTCATGGCCTACTGGACTCTGTGCCTTCAGTAGGAAGGAGGAGTGACCAGAAGCTGGGGCTAGAGAGAAGAGCAGAGAAAGAAGCCTCACTATTTTTTCATTTTTAAGGACTTTTCCTGACAGATGTCTCCTTCCCACCAACAACTTGGGTTGTGTTTTCCATCTTGATTAAAATATTCGCATTTCAGTCAAAAAATCAAGGAAGACTGTGATTTATGTTTCAGGATTTACATAATGATTTAGTGATCTCTTAATATTCAGACATTATTGATTGATTACAAAATATGTCTCCTCACAGAACCCCTTTGACACCCCATCCCTATTGGACAAACTCGTGCCCTTTTCGATTGCTTCTGAGCTTCCCTGGCAGGTGCTGAGTGCCCAGCACACTTCTTCCTGCTGGCCTCTGCCGGCCACACCTCCGCTAAGCAGCTGAGCATCAGACTTGACATCAATCCGTGCCCCCATTGTCTTCCCACCTCCCCATACTCTCCCTGTACCCCGACTGTCTCCATGTCCCCCATAGTCTTCCTGTCCCCCCACTATCTCCCCACCCCCATCTCCCCATCCTCCTGCTATCTCCCCATCCTCCCGCTATCTGCCTGTCCCCCTGTTATCTCCCCATCCCCCACTATCTCCCAATTCCCCATCTCCCCACACCCCATCTCCCCACCACCCCACTATCTCCCCATCCCCCCACTATCTCCCCATTGTCCCGTTATCTCCCCATCCCCCATCTCCCCATCCCCTATCTCCCCATCCCCCGCTATCTCCCCATCCTCCGCTATCTCCCCATCCGCCCACTATCTCCCCATCCCCCACTATATCATCCCCCACTATCTCCCCACCCCCATCTCCACAGCCCCCACTATCTCCCCATCCCCCCATTGTCATCTCCCCACCCCCCACTATCTCCTCACCTCCCCATTGTCTCCCCACCCCCTCACTATCT
The DNA here is from genome assembly GCF_000001405.40 of Homo sapiens. NCBI lineage: Eukaryota > Metazoa > Chordata > Mammalia > Primates > Hominidae > Homo > Homo sapiens. The sequence goes on from NC_000018.10 coordinate 74,247,105, forward strand.
CCCCATCCTCCCATTGTCTCCCCATTGTCTCCTGGCTTCTGTGTCCACTCCTCCCAGGAGATGGCAGAGCTCTCAGCAGGGGCCCTGCCATTCCTCTTCCCTTGCCCTTGGTAATGCTGATGACCAAGGAGTGACACTCACCTTCCAGGGTGACAGCACGACCCCAAATGCCAGTGCTCCCCACCCTGATGTGGAGCCAAACCAAATGGTGCCTTCAGATAAGGTGACAGAGTGGACAACAGTGATCACAGGAGAGAGAAAGGGGAGCTTTATATACTGGGCCAGCCTGGCCTTCTAGGGATTTCTATACATGGATGTGATTATTAGCTGCAATTACTGCAATCAGCTTTGTTTTGCTCAAATTTTATACACCAAACACCTCATCTTAACATAAAGCAATCTTTAAGAGGTCCGGATGGGAAAGTGCAAACACGAATTAGACACATGGGCCAGCAGTGGACGGCTGCTCTGTGGTCATTTCAATCCTCACCCGCTGAGGAGCCACCATCCCCTCACATCTGTGGGGCAGGAGGAGCACACATCGTGTGTCCGAGTGTTTTAATGTTGTGCAGCCACTGACAAGTCTTAAAATATACCCCATCCACCTGCCTTGACAAATGGCCAGAAAGGTCACTTTTGAAGTTAGGATTTTCAGATTCATCAAAGTTCTGTGCCAGATGGTGGTGGCATTGGAAGAGTCAGCTCCCAGCTCCCCGCTTCCCTTCTCAGCGCCAGTCCACTCACATGCAGGGTCCAAGTGCACTCAGGAAGACCCTACCTGCAGACCCCACCTGCTCATCCAGGGTGTCCAACTCTCTGAAGACCACCAGCCCTCGTCTACTCTTTCGGCCCTGATGTGCACCCCCCAGAGCCTGGTGACCCTCAGGAGGATGAGCTGGGGAGACCCAGACCTACAGGCAGGATTGGGCTGTGTGTGGGGGGTACTAGGGTTTGGAGGGGTACAGGCTCCAGGTGGGCACATCCTTGGCCCATGGGGAAGCCCACAGCCAGTGGACCAGACGGGGTCCTCCGAGTGGGCAGGACCTCTAGTCGAGGCCTAAGGGAAGCGTTGCTCATGAATTATATCAATAGGAAAGTAAGATTCCGCAAGGATAAGTAATTTACTCAAAACGATGCAGCTAGCAAGCAGGAGGGCCAGGTTTCCAACCGCGGTCTCCAAGCCTCCCAAGCCTTCCTTTCTGCCCAAGAGTGACTTCAGATTTTCAGTACAACAGATGTCTTCCGGAAAGAGAAGGTGTTTTTCATTCTGTCCCTGCTTTATAGTATCAAAGATGCCTTACCTTTATTTTAAAACAATACTTTCAGATTTAGTCATTCCAACTTACAGTTAGGAGTACAGAGTCTTAAAAAATCAAATCAAAGACTTAGAAGCCACGGAAAATATGAAAACAATTCACAATTTAGTTTCAACTCAAAACCTTGAATGTTTCTGTGAGCCAGGCTATGTGCTGAGGCCTTGGACTGATGAGCTAACAAATAAAAAGCAATTTTTTAAATATTTTGCAAGAAAAACATTCAGGCAGGCTGATGTCAAAATTAAGTGTGTAGTGCATAACCTCACTCAATATACACTATCAATGCTTGAAACTTATGTTGTGATTTCACAGTGTGGCCAGGCCATGGAGAAAGGATGTGGGGACAGGTGTGTGAGGCGGTGGCGGGCAGAGGCAGCCAGTCAGAACAAGCTCCTGCCACGAGCTAGTGCTCTTCACATATTCTACTTAAATTACCCTTACAAGAATGTTGAAAAACACCTTCAGTTGCCCTTTAAAATTTTCATAATGAGTTTAAATATTTACAAAGGGCATCGTTATGCAACATTTGAAATATTGACATTTTAAAATAAAGCTGAAATATCACTCTTTAAAATTTGCTAAGTGGAATTTAAATATCAATGCAATTTGCCATTACCCTTTTGTAATAGATGCAGAAACACTCTTAGTAGAAAGAAATTGTACATTGTTCCTTTTTCTCCTTGACCTCATAGGTCTATTTCTTCTCCCCAGTTTTATCCTAATGAAAAATATTATGACAGTCTTTTGCCTCCCAATCACATTGTCTATAATGGAAATGTACACATACCAGTGAAATTAAACATTTGATTTTGATTTTCTGTGGACCCATATCACAAGATGATTTCATGTATCTGACCAGTCTCCCAGGGCACTCCTGAGGGAGGGAGGCCTTCATCAAAGACAGTGAAAGCATGGTAGAACAGATATTGCTCAATGCAATGTCATCACCCCTGCTGCTGACTGTCCATGTGAACTCCAACCACCCTCCAGAAGGCTAAATCGCCCCGTTCCTACTCTATGATTCACCGTCAGCAGAGCACACGCCAGACAAGGAAAGCACAAAGCCTGACTTGGGGTGGGGTACCTTGATTAAAGAAGTGTCTCTATTACAGAGACTCACGACCCCACTATGTACCATGTTTGACAGTAGCTTTCACATCCAATATTAAAATTCAGGATGGGTGAGAAATAGGTCTCTGTCACAGATGGAATGTCTCCCCCAAATTCCCATATGGAAACCCTGTCCCCTAATGTGCAGGTATGAGGAGGTGGGGTAGTATCGTGTCATCATAAGAGTCCCGAGACAGCTTGCTTCCTCTCCCTACCATGTGAGTACGCCGAATCTGCTGGCACCTTAATCTTGGACTTCCAGCCTCTAGAACTGTGAGAAGCAAATGTTTGCTTTTTAAGCCACCCAGTCCAAGGTATTTTGTTGGAGTGGCCTGAGCTAAGATCGCCTCTTTCCTGAAAAGTGGGAGAAGAGGAATTGAGTTGAAAGAGAGTAAAGGAAGAAGCGCAGGCATAAACATCAGGTCACTTTGAGAAAAGAATGTGCTGTGGGTTGACCTACGTCCCCCAAAAACATATGTTGAAGTCCTAACCCCAGCACCTCAGTGTGACTATTTGGAAACAGGATCATGAAGATGTAATTAGTTAAGATGAAGTCATGCTGGGGTAGGTAATCCAATGTGTCCTTATGACAGAGACACAAAGGGAGAAAAATGTCAGTGACAATAGAGGCAGAGCCCTGGGTGACGCAGCCGGAAGCCAAGGACTGCGAGGTGAGGACTACAAGGTGGGGACCGCCAGGTGAGGACCACATCGAGGACCACCAGGCGAGGACTATGAGGTGAGGACTGTGAAGTGAGGACCACCAGGTGAGGACTGTCAGGTGAGGACCGCCAGGTGAGGACTGTCAGGTGAGGACCGCCAGGTGAGGACTGCTGGCCACCAGTGGCAGCTGGAAGAGGTGAGGAAGGATTCCACCCAGAGTGTCGGAGGGCGAGTGGCCCAGCTGAAACCTTCATTTACAACGTCTGGCCTCTAAATTATGAGAACACATTTCTGTCGTTCTAAGCCACCCAGTTGTGGTGTACTTGGTTACAGCAGCCTAGGGAAACTCCCACAATCTAGGTAGAAGCTGAGGATCCGGACGCCATCTGTGTCTGCACACCTCTCAGAAAGGCTACGCTGCAAAGGAGAATCTGCTTCCAGAACTTCCACTTGCCTTCATCTAGACACCTCCAGAGGAAGGGAGATGCCTGTTCCAACCAGAGCCCTAATCATCAACTCAAACCCAGGAGGTGAGCAACTGACACACGTGCACCCAATACAGTCCCTGTGTTACAGGAAAGGGGTCCCAATCCAGACCCCAGGAGAGGGTTCTTGGACCTCGCACATGAAAGAATTCAGGGCAAGTCCGCAGTGCAAAGTGAAAACAACTTTATTAAGAAAGTCAAGGAATAGGCCCGGCACAGTGGCTCATGCCTGTAATTCCAGCACTTTGCGAGCCTGAGGCGGGTGGATTGCCTGAGGTCAGGAGTTCAAGACCAGCCTGGCTAACATGGTGAAATCCCGTCTCTACTAAAAATACAAAAAAATTAGCTAGGCATGGTGGCATACGCCTGTAGTCCCAGCTACTCAGGAGGCTGGGGCAGGAGAATCACTTGAACCTGGGAGTCGGAGGTTGCAGTGAGCCAAGATCATACCACTGCACTCCAGCCTGGGCGACAGAGTGAGACTCTGTCTCAAAAACAAAAAAAAAAAAAAAAGAAAGTTTACTTTGCCAAGGTTGAGGACATGCCCGTGACAAAGCATCAGGAGGTCCTAATGACATGTACCCAAGGTGGTCAGGGCACAGCTTGGTTTTATGCATTTTAGGGAGACATGAGACATTGATCAATATATGTAAGAAGTACATTGGTTCTGTTTGGAAAGGCGGGACACCTTGAAGCAAAGGCAGGAAGACTCAAAGCAGGAGGGAGCTTCCAGGTCACAGAGAGGTGAGACACAAAGGGTTGCATTCTTCTGAGTTTCTGATTAGCCTTTCCAAAGGAAGCAATCAGATATGCCTCTCTCTCAGTGAGCAGAGGCTTGACTGAGTAGAATGGGAGGCAGGTTGGCCCTAAGCAGTTTCCAGCTTGAGTTTTCCTTAGTGATTCTGGGGGCCCAAGATGTTTTCCTTTCACAAGCAGCAGATGAAAAGAAAGGGCAGCCTCTGAAGTCTCTCACCTCTCTGAAGGGAAAGCAATAGAGAAAAAAGTGTCAAATATCTTTCCTTGAGAGTCTGGCTGCACAAACTGTAAATGTTAAAATTAGGAAGTAAACTCTCCTTTACTCCACATGTTGTTCCCAAAACACATGAAGAAACATTGCCAGCCACAGCAGCAAATTGCTGAGTCACTGATAAAAATGTCAAAGTTCAACTGTTATGTTTCTTAACGATATACAGATGCTATTACTCAACATCTTAAAAATGATTTACAAGTTAACCCTTTAATGTCATCTAAGGTACGACTGACCCACTTCGATTCACTTCATAGTTGATTTAGGAGCAATGTTTTAAAAACTACTAAAATGTGAAGCTTTATAGCTAAAAATCACAACCAAAAATATTGAAATATTTACATAGGTCCCTTAACAAGTGTTGTAATTTATTTTGAAATAGAAACTACTTGTCAACTTTCAGTGACTAAAGAAGGCAAAGGCGGTGCATCCTATTTGATTATAAAGGTTGTACTCTGTAAGAACAACACAATTCCTTTCCACTGCACGCGGTCACTTCTGAAGAACCTCGTGGTTTGTCAGCTCATGCCAGTGCAAATGCAGTCACAGCCAATGACACATGTACTGGGTTCTAACAAATTCAGCTTTCAAGTTTCCACATTTAAAAGAATAACACATAAGGCAGAGAATAATAAATGGGAAGTAAGATGACTGAATCAGCCCCTTAGAGCCCCCAGGAGGAGACAGAGCCACACCAGAACTCTTCAGAGCTTGACACTAGCCGCTAAATTTCTTCAAAGATCAGATTCCAATGTCCCACAATCTCCTTACAAATTAGAAAACCAGCCTTTCCTTAGAAGAGTTTACAAACAATTCTACTCTCTGAATGAGGAATTCTTAAAACTTTAGAACCTATGAAGCTGTGAGTGCCTTTGCAATGATACGTGTAAGCTGAGAGAATGGACAGTTGCGATGCCCTCTCATGGTTCATGTGTTTTTAAGTTGCTGATGTTTTTCAATCAGTGAAGATAAGAAGTCTCTCTTATAGGCCCTGTAGGCTACTTTCTTTTTTTTTTGAGACAGAGTTTCACTCTTGTTGCCCAGCTGGAGTTCAACGGCGCGATCTCAGCTCACTACAACCTCTGCCTCCTGGGTTCAAGCAATTCTCCTGCCTCAGCCTCCCAAGTAGCCGGGATTACAGGCATGCGCCACTACGCCCTGCTAATTTTGTATTTTTAGTAGAGACAGGGTTTCACCATGTTGGTCAGGCTGGTCTTGAACTCCTGACCTCAAGTGATCCACCCACCTCAGCCTCCCAAAGTGCTGGGCTTACAGGTGTGAGCCACGATGCCCAGCCGCTACTTTCTTTTTAAGATCTATTTCAAGTAGGACAATTATTAGAAATCCTTAAACTATAATTTCTGGCCTTTCTTAATTTCCTTGAAAAAAAGAAACTATATCGGAAGCATACAATACATGGTTACTCAATGAGATGTGACGATGTGAAAGGAGACACTCAAACCTATTTCCCGCACCTCCAGTCATATGGCCTCTGTGGGTCTGGATGAGTAACACATTGAAGGAATCCTCTAAATAACCAGATTCTAAACATTAAAGACAATTATACACCAAACAGGCAAACACGGTGCATACTTTAAAAGCCAAATATATTTTTAAAAGATCATGCTTATAATAAGTAAATTACACATTAAGGAAACATCAAAATAAAGTAGATGAATAAAAAGGCACACTCGAAAAATTTGAGCGCAGAAAGGACAGTTCTTTTTGTTTTGTTTCTAATGTCGGAAGAAAAAGAAAGAGATATATTAAAATCATTGTTTTCAAGTGAAGGTTTCTGTCAGTTGAAGTAGTTAGCAATGGCTTCTTTTCTCCCGTGTCCAAAGCAGGCTCTTCCTGCGCTGACTTCTGAGGAGGTGTTCAGTCCTCTGCCATGTATAGGCGATACATCAAGGCGACGGCCACTGCAGAGATGGCAGGGATCACCCAGTTGGTCCACCAACTAGAAAGACACAAAAAGCAATGATGCTGACATGATGTGCACTGTGGTGGACTCAAAATCTTTGCTCCTTCTAACAGAAAATTACCAGGGCATGTTTTTCTTAACTCTGTAATGAATTTTGCTGAAAAGGCAACGTGGATTTGCTAAAAGTGACATGAGTGTAACACATGCCCTGCTATACTAGGAATCACTCTGCCCTGCTGGCTTTATGAGAAAACTCATGCCCCACTTGGCTGGGCTCAGTGGCTCACGCCTGTAATCCCAGCACTTTGGGAGGCCAAGGCAGACGGATCACTTGAGGTCAGAAGTTTGAGACCAGCCTGGCCAACATAGTAAAAACCTTCTACCAAAAAATACAAAAAGTAGCTGGGCGTGGTGGCAGTAGCTAATTGTAATCCCAGCTACTTGGGAGGCTGGGGCAGGAGAATCGCTTGAACCTGGGAGGCAGAGGTTGCAGTGAGCCGAGATCACGCCACTGCACTCCAGCCTGTGTGATAGAGCGAGACTGTCTCAAAAACAAACTAACAAAAATAAACAAACCAAAAAATGAATGCCCCACCAGCTGTAAAGTTGAAGAGTATGGGCCCTGTGATGATTAACACTGCCATTAACACCACAGCTTTAAGCTTAGGTTTGGAAAATCTAATCTTTACTACCTGTGCTGAAGTGGATTTAAAGGGTTAAGAAACAGAATGGCCAGACTACTTGGTGTGTGGTCCACAGGTCTAAATTCACCAAAAAAAAAAAAAAAAAAGCCTAAATTTACAGTCCTGATGCATAGAATTTCGATCTATAAATTACAGATTACAAATCAAATCAGGGACAAAGGAGGGATGAGCTATAATTTCTATTTGAATCTTTTTTTTTTTTTTGATACAGAGTCTTGCTCTGTTGCTCAGGCTGGAGTGCAGTGGCACGATCTTGGCTCACTGCAAGCTCCGCCTCCTGGGTTCACACCATTCTCCTGCCTCAGCCTCCCGAGTAGCTGGAACTACAGGCGCCCGCCACCATGCCCGGCTAATTTTTTTGTATTTTTAGTAGAGACAGGGTTTCACTGTGTTAGCCAGGATGGTCTCGATCTCCTGACCTCGTGATCCACCTGCCTCGGCCTCCCAAAGTGCTGGGATTACAGGCGTGAGCCACCGCGCCTGGCCTCTATTTGAATCTTTAAATTAGATTTGAATCTTTAGATTTTGATCTTTGACTTAATTTCTTAGAAAAATGGAAATTAATGTGTAGGCTTTAGAAATAGACTTGGTATACATATGTGTTTCATAGGGACTACAAGTATAATCCTTTCATAAGGATTACAAGTGAAACTTTCATAAGAATTACAAGTGTAACTTTTGTCTTAGTGGGGTTTGGTGGGGTTTTTCAATTTCACTTTAGAAAGAAACTGGCTTGTTAATGAAGAGTAAGGTGAAATACTGCCTGCAGGCAGGGAATATTCCAGAACACCAACGGACTGAGGCAGTTAAATTTGACAGGATGAAATACAAATGTGTGGTTTTGAGCTTGGGTCCAAAAAAGTGGCTACTACTGAAGTCAATATGGTAGAGCTGCCAAAGATGTTAATGTGCACTTGGACTATCATAAACAAATCTGGTGCCTAGAACAATTGAGTCGTGCTACACATAGATTACCAGCTTCAACTTTAAAGCTAATAAAAATGACAAAGGAAAACTGACCCATGTTTAGGGAAATGTAATCACTAGAGTTTAAGAAACAGACATGGATTGAAAGGAAGGAAATGTCTGCTTGGATGAGCCAGGGAGGTGCTGTGGGACTGGCCGCCTAAGATGCTGCCCTGGGGGAAAAGGAAATGCAATTGTTCTGTTTGTTCCTTGGGGTGGATGCAGCCAGCCAGCTAGATCACGTGGCTGTGGACAGTGTTCACAGTCGGCTACCTGAAAGTTTGAGGCTGAGTGCTCTGAACAGTCTGGCCTTCAGCAGAAGGTTGCTGAGACAGCACAGTGTCAGGCCCAGGAACCCAGAAGGTGGGGGACGCACCTTGTCCAACCTGGACCCATGAGCCCTCCCACCCACTACTGCTTTAAAAGAAAGCTACCACATACCTGGAACTAGAATCAATAGTAGTGATAAGAGTTTCCTGAAACACGAGAGGAAAAAGTAAAGTAAGTTCAAGGGAATGCTGAACTTATTTCATTGACTAAAATCCTGTTTGAAAATAAGAACACAATATTTTATGCAATGCATTCTTCAGAAGATGTCGAAAGGGAAAATTATAAACTTCTTTTCACTAAAATGCCTAACTTTGTTTTCTTCCAGAGTAAAACATTTTAATCATTATATTTACTTAAGGACATAACCTCAATAATTTAAAAACATTCAAAATTAATATGCTACATAAAATATCTTGCACACGCTAGGCATCTAAATAATGCAGAAACTGAAAACAGACATTCATGTTCACATACACACAATCCCACGTCACCTTTAGAAAAAGCAGTTTAATTCTTCAAAAGCATGAACACAATGTTCAATAAAAACATCAGTTATTTCATTCAAATCTGACAGATGTAAAAAAGTGTACCTAAATTACATTAAATATATGTGAACCAAAAAGAAAAAAGAGGACTGCCATTTTAAGTTCTACATTCTAGGCCAACTTTCCCGGGGGGCTGCTTTAATTCTGACCAGACGGAACCAGCAAGACACCAGACCAGCCTCACAGGACTGCTGTGCCCGGCGTCACACTTGTCACCAGCTGGTCACTGTCAGCCTAACAGCAAATCCCCAGATAAGGAAGCCCTGTTTTTATCCTCCAGAGCTTTCTGGGAGCAGCTCTTTTGAGTAGCACTAAAGTGAATGGACAATGGTTCTGGAAAAACGCATACTTCTCCAACAGCTGAAAAGCTAAGGTCTAGTGAAATATCAACTTTTTGGGGCTTGAAAATGGGTTAAGAAGCATTCTTTTGATGTTCCACACCAACATAAGCATTAGGGCCTCAAACAGAAGTTGCCATAAATAAGACAGCTTCAGATCTGCAGTTTCCCAAAGCAAAGATAAAAAGCATTAGCAAAACAATCAGCGGCCTGCAGTAAGGCAAGCATCACTCTGCAAAGCACGTTAGAGAAACTCCCGTGAAAAGACAGACCCCTTTCAGGGAAAAGCAAGCAAAGCAGTTATGAGACCCACCAACCTTGAAACACCGCCTTTAAGGTTCCTGACACAGTAGGGGAAAAAAGGTAAGTCATTTAAAAATAAAATTGCAAATTTATTATCTATTCCAGCAATTTTAAAATCTTAGCATCTATAAAAAGTATTCATAACTACAGCAAGAGGATTTTCCAAATTGTGTATATATGAATAAAATTAACAAAAATTACTAGAAATAATCAAAATATACAAAAATATTAGTTAGCTATTAGAGGACACAATCAGTTCTGAAACAAAAGAATCACTGAAGGTAAAATATGATTGTCAAACTAGAAAGTTAAGTTTGAAACAGCCAACGGAAGGCAAACACAAACATCCACGGCGTCGTTAAAATGAGGGCAGGCATTTCACCAACGTGCTGACAACTCTGGAACCTCCCACCTGCCCTCCTGCTGCCTTTGTGGTTACCATGGGAGAGCGCTAAGGTTAAAACACTACTCTGGCACCAGCATCATCAGCAACAGCCATGAACTCTAAAGAGGGGAACTTGAAATAATCGTATCACCTTTTGATTGTTGATTATCTTCTTGGCTCTGTAGCCCAGGATGCTTGACAGTTAAAGGAAGTTTGAATTACCACTTTGCACTTTGATGGAAAAGTAATTGGTCTTTAGTGGTCAGTGCTCTGAGGGCCTCACTTGGGTTTAGGGACGTGACTATCAAAGAATGTCAGCAATGAACAAGGAGAAAGAATATGGTTTTTATGATTGGCTCTGCCACCTGTTCACTCCATGACTTCGAGGTTCAACTTCAGTAAAAAGAGGTTAACAATTAAATCAGTGTGTCAAAGTCTGGGCATGGTGGCTCAGGCCTGTAATCCCAGCACTTTGGGAGGCCGAGATTGGCGGGTTGCTTGAGTCCAGCAGTTCGAGACCAGTCTGGGCAACATGGTGAAACCCTGTCTCTACAGAAAAATACAAAAATTAGCTGGGCACAGTGCTGTGTGCCTATGGTCCAGCTACTCGGGAGGCTGAGGTGGGAGGATTGCTTGACCCCGGGAGGTGGATGGTGCAGTGAGTCCAGATCCATGCCGCTGCATTGCAGCCTGGGCAACAGAGTGAGACCCCGTCTCAAAAAAGTAAAATAAGTATGTCATGCATAATGACTTATAAAAGTCATGTGAATCAGTGTAAATTACAGTAAGCTCCATAAATTATGAAAAGCATGCAAAGCCCAACAAGCTTTTGTGAATCAGAGTCATCTCATTTATAAGTTCATCTAACGTAAACTTTAGTGGGAAGCCTATCTCCCTTAAAATACTGACAGAGTGATGTCTAACACGGCAAGCCCAGAACCTAGAGGAGAAGCTTAAGGGACTGCAACTGACCAGCCTGAGATGGGTGCTAGATGGTTCTGGAGCACGTCTGTGAGCCGGGTGCTTAACACTTCCCAGCTGCAATGTACCTACCTCCCTTGGCAGGTCTAACATGGAGACACTGTGAGGACCAAATAACTTCTACAAGAATGCTTTCAAAACTATAACCAAGAAGGGGTATTGCTACGACTAATATTCTCTATGTAAGCAAATGTGATAGAAACATTTATGTTAGATTAAAATGCATGATTTCTAAGTCTACAAATATCTTAATTTGGTAACTTAACACTATGCTTTCCTTAGGGCAGGTTCAAGCTAATAATCTTTACTGCATTTTATTTCACTATTCAACTAGATATTTTAAGCAGGCAACATCTCAAAACTTTAGACCACAGTGTACATTCTTCAACCTGGAGATCGGCCGATGGTTATACAGACACATGACAAAAGAAATCCCTAAGGACACTCTTTACTTCCACTAAACCAAAAGCACAAGAAAGATACATCCAGAAAAATGCTCATGTATTTCCTTTCATTTCATCTGCTTATGGCCTCTCAAAAAGGCCAGCAAGTTCTTGTCCCACATTCTTCCGGTTCTGCTCTCACTGAAGCAAAGTCACAATAAAGAAGAGTTGTTTAAAAAATACTCAGAAGTTAGTTAATCTGTAAAATCTCTGAAGAGAGTAAAAACATCTACTTTAGGCTGGGTGCCGTGGCTCACACCTGTAATCTCGGCATTTTGGGAGGCTGAAGCAGGCGAATGCCTGAGGTCAGGAGTTCAAGACAAGCCTGGCCAACAATGGTGAAACCCCATCTCTACTAAAAATACAAAAATTAGCTGGGCATGGTGGCAGGCACCTGTAATCCCAGCTACTCGGGAGGCTGAGGCAGGAGAATTGCTTGAACCCAGCAGGTGGATGTTGCAGTGAGCCGAGATCACGCCATTGCACTCCAGCCTGGGTGACAAGAGCAAAATTCCGTCTCAAAAACAAACAAACAAAAATCTACTTTAAAAAGTTAGTGTGATTCTCAAACTTCAGTGAGACCTTCTACATCTAACAAGCTGATCAAGTATCAACTGCTAATGCTGGAATGAAGTAAGCCATGTCTTAACGCACAAAGGGCTGTGCCTCAATGTTGTCAGGAAAGCTTTCTTTGATACTAAAAGCTAAAGTCCCAGAATTTACCACATAAACTTGCTCTGTTCCCAAAATATTCTCAGTATCAAAGTAACTGCCACTTTAAAATAGAAAATAAGAACAATAAATAGTAATGGGCAATTAATCCAACAGAGTATAGGCTGTAATACACGTGTTCTAAAAGCAAATAAGGAAGAAAGTCTTTGTCCTTTAAACTGAAAGTAGTTATGGCAGGAGACACATGTACAATCTTACACCTACAAGTGTTTTCTGCTTGTAGTCTTTATGGTTAGCGAGACGGCTGGCCCTGCGGTCATCTAAGTTCATCTAATGAATCTTAAACCTTTGTTTTGCTATAGCTAAATGACTTATACCAAAATGATTAACATGCTGAACACATGATAAAAAAAATATATATTCTTCCCTTAAGAGACTTCAGAGAAAAAGGAAAAACTTTATGCAACACAGAATTTCAGCTGTCCAAAAAGTAGCCTCAAAAAAGATGCTAAAGTCAAATGAACTCACAGCAAGGATTCTAAGCAATTGTCACAGAGGCCATTGAAATTCTGAAGTCAACTTTTTATCTCCTGGAAGTACTCATATCATTCACATTGAACTTAAGTCTTTCTTGAATAAGGAGAGAATATAAAAAAAATTGCTTTGTACTAAATAGTATTACACAAGACTTTTATTGTACTATCAGGGATGTTGAGGTAAATGTGGCCTTTATGCTTATATTATTGGATTAACTGCTTTGATCCTTTTGTAGATTAAAGATGATGTCTTGGCAGCAACAGCTCAAAAAATCAGCTCACCAGTTCTCGACACAAGCTCAGTGGGGTCTTGCTGTTGCACTTTCTCTAATGAAACCAAGAATTTACACCAAAACGAAAAATTATACTTTCTTTTTTGTCATTTGATTTAAGCAAAACTTTCCCCTGTAGTCCTTTAATTAGACACTAGAAACTATTTTGCCTACTTGTACTTTTCAGGAACTTAGGCTGTGCTCTTCCATTCTCACCCTACATTTATCTTCAAATATAAGTGAGATGGTCAGTTCAGAGAGAAAGGCTAGTGAATCAGAACATAAAACTAGTATTGCCAGAGTTATTTTCCTTTCCCAAGGAAAAGTAAGTCAAAAGGGTATTATTTAATTTCATTAAATTCATCTGACAAGTATTTATTGAACACCTACTATGCCCAAGAGACTTAAAGATGAAGAAGACATGAGACACACCCTTAAAGATTTAAGTAATAAAACCACTATCCATTCAGATTTTAAGTTCTCTGAAAATAAGGCTTGTGTCAAATCTTTTAGATCAGAAGCACGTGCTACCATAAAAAGTAGCTCTTCAAATGGTATATATTGATAATTATGATGAAAAAAGTAGTTTACTGACAGCCTTAAAAAAATTACACACACGCCATCCTAACAAATCATACTGACAGGTTTCCGTAAATAAAAAATACTTGCTGAGCCAGTAGGTTACATATTCATTTATCTAGAAAGACCTGTGCTGGCATCAGTCAGGTAAATAAAAACCCTCTGCCTTCAGTTTGACAAGTATTAAATACAACGAGAACATCCAGAGATACTTGAGATGGTCACACTTACCGGAGGCTTGTTTAACTTTGGTCTGTCATCCTGCAATGAAAAGATAAGGCACATTATGGAATTTAAAAATCTATGAAAGTACCACTTCCAAAATGCTGACTTTGAGACTTTTTAAAATTATAATTCAGTAATTACCATTTCAGATTCAACATTTAGCTATTAAACACAAAGTTTGATCCATCTGATTTAACAGCAAAAATTAGTAGCAGATTAAGTGCCAAGAGATATTTTCTATCTAGAGTTCCAAAGTTTCGAACAGCACCCATGACAGCTCTCTGTACATGCTGATGTGCACACACATTTATTAGACTCAGATTGCGACACGTAATTCAGGGAGGAGCTGAAGACTGATTCTTCCCTTCTGTCCTCTCAAATTCCATTTGAGATTGTGCATGTATCTCTTACGTGTATGATATCTTCAGTTAAGCCCTGCAGTCTCCCAGTTTTAGAGTCATAAACTATTTCAACTTCAGGCTGAAGCTGTCAAAAATACAGTGTGTTTAAAGGCTGGCCAGGGGGAAGCCCAGTGGGCAGGTGAAGCAGAAGTGCCACAGTCAGGGCCTGAAACCTGACCCACAGCTGGAAACAAGGATGGGATCAGGCATGTGTAACGGCAGGCCTCCCTGATGACCCTAAGACACTTTGCCTTTGTGAAGTATGGGATGAAAATATCGGGGCAAATAAACTTGTCAGATGAATGAAGCTTACTCCCTCAAAGTACATATCTCCTACCACCAAAAACAAAATCAAACAAACCTCCCAACTCAATGAAGTTGTTCTCAAATGGATTTCCTACTTTCGAGCCTTCTACAAAGAACCTAATGTAACCTCTTCTTCATTCACAGTCATTACAGGGATCATCAGTGGTATACGATAAGACTTTTCCTATATTCTTTAAGAGTTTCTCAGTTTGCTCACTTAGAATGAGGCTATTTGCCTCTCCATTTTTTTCTTACGAGAGCAGAGCGGGCTCCTAGCAGGTCTTTGTCCCCTTCTGGCGGGCTGCTAACCATGCACCACAAGTGGGAAGGCAGGACGGAGCCAGGCACTCCCAGAGGTGGACAGGGCAGCTGAGTGTGCGGCCCCAGGATCCACTCCAGAAGCTCAGAGCGCTCGGCAACTTCTTTCCAAGTTTTCAGCGATTTTCCTGATAACTTAGGTTGACAGACTAGTAACATTTAACATGGTCATTTACAACTGCCACAGAGGGGTCTAAAACCGTAACACAGCACAGTGTTTATAGAAAAGCCAAATTAGGACTAGGTGCGGTGACTCACACCTGTAATCCTAGCACTCTGGGAGGCCTAGGTAGGTGGATTACCTGAGGTCAGGAGTACAAGGCCAACCTGGCCAACATGGCGAAACCCCATCTCTACTAAAAATACAAAACAATTGGCCAGGCATGGTGGCCTGTGCCTGTAATCCCAGATACTTGGGAGGCTAAGGCAGGAGAATTGCTTGAACCCAGGAGGTGGAGGTTGCAGTGGGCCGAGATCGCGCCACTGCACTCCAGCCTGGGCAACAGAGCAAGACTCTGTCTCAAAAAAAAAAAAAAAGAAAAGAAAAGCCAAATTAGGCCAGTGTTTTCCAAAAGTTGGTCAATGAATTGGTCCAGAGCTGATATTCTCGAAGGTCTGGGGTACAGTGAGTAGAATATGGACAATGTGCTAGTTCTACAGAAGGCAGAGCTTATTCATTTCACATAGCTCCGTTTTTATATTTTTTAAATCATTTTTTAGAACTAAAATATCCTTGGCCTAATGAAAGTAGAAGTGGGGTTCTTAATAAAAATATTTTGGTCAGAAAAGGAAAGAAAGCAATGCTGGGTTGATTCTCCCCACCTTGTAAAACGTGCTGCCCCATGGAATTTCTAGGACTGAGCAGACTCCCCAGTGCATGGCTGTGGGGTGGAGCCTGCTGACTAAAACGAAGTGCCAGTAAACAATGCAACCAGGCCAGGTGTGGGGGCTCACGCCTGTAATCCCAACACTTTGAGAGGCCGAGGTGGGTGGATCGCTTGAGTCCAGGAGTTTGAGACCAGCCTGGGCAACACGGTGAAACCCCGTCTCTACAAAAACTATGAAATTTATCAGGCGTGGAGGTGTGTGCCTGTAGTCCCAGCTACCAAGAGGCTGAGGCAGGAGGATGGCTTGAGCCCAGGAGGTTGAGGCTGCAGGGAGCCATGATCGTGCCACTGCACTCCAGCCTGGGTGACAGAGTAAGACCTGTCTCAAAAAAAAAAAAAAAAAAGCAACAGTGAAATGCAAAGACATTTTTGGTCAATTTATTTATAACAAAAAATGGTGTCCTAAAATCAGGAGTTGTTTTTGCTTTACTCCTTTTAAAATGTGTATACATGCAAGCTTACAGACTAGGGTAAGGTCATCTGATAGCCTTAAATACAAATAAGAAAGGGCCCCCAAAATGTACTTACTGGATGGAGCTCCCCAATGATGAATGTTTTGGACATTTCCCTGGCATCTGTAGAGTGCCCGACATCCTCAAAGTTCTCAGTAGCGTCACCTCCAGCTTGTTCCCTTAAAACTTCTTCCCCACCAGGATGCTGTTCAAAGGAGAGGTAGAATAAAAATTTTTTTTTCAGGCAAATGAATTAAGAGAAAACGGCCAGAATTTATTTAACCAAACAGGTGACTCCTTCAGAAGACACAGATGACAACAGGAGACTAACTTGTCCATAAATGTGGATTAAAACAACACAGGCCTTTATATTCCATTTCCATCATGCAAGTACAATAGGCCTAGGCAGCAGAATCACTTGGGCCCAAGTTCAAAGCCAACCTGGGCAACATTGTGAGACCCCATAACTATAAAATACAATTTTAAAAAATTAGCTGGGCACGGTGGCATGCCCCTGCAGTCCCAGATACATGAGAGGCTGAGGTGGGAGGATGGCACAAGCTCAAGGGGCTGAGGCTTCAGTGAGCAGTGACTGCACCACTGCACTCCAGCCTGGGTAACAGAGGGAGACCCTCAAAAAGATAAAAGTAAAAAAAAATTTAAAAACAACCTTTCCCGGCCGGGCACGGTAGCTCACGCCTGTAATCCTAGGCAGATCACTTGAGTTCAGGAGTTCGAGACCAACCTGGCCTACATGGCGAAACCCCATCTCTACAAAAAATACAAAAATTAGCCAGCCGTGGTGGCGGGCACCTGTAGTCCCAGCTATTCAGGAGGCTGAGTCTTGAGAATCGCTTGAATCCAGGAGGCCGAGGTTGCAGTGAGCTGAGATTGCGCCACTGCACTCCAGCCTAGGCAACAAAGTGAGACTCTGTCTCAAAAAAAAAAAAAAAAGAGAGCGAGAAAGAAAGAACCTTTCACTAACAACATAAGTTGCTTCCCCATGTCACTCATACAGCTTAGTAAAAGCATGAGGCTCGTGTCCTTCATCCTTTGGTAATGTCTGCTTGGTTTTTCCATCAGGCTCTCAAAATTGCTCTTATTCTCTACCCAATCTATTTTTTCTTGACTCCTGCACCTGAGACTGACTTCTCTGACATCTTAGTCTAAGTGTGGCCTCAAGAGCTGGCATGCCTAAGATGACGATTCACAAGAGGCACGTGTGTCACTTCCCTCTGGAAAGCACCCTGCGTGCCGGCAATGCACGGGCAGCACAGACTGTCAGATAGATGAGTCCCTGCCTTTGCAGAACTCACTTTCTGGTAGGTAAAAACAAAACAAAACAAGTAACTTGCTGAAGATGCTGCCACCAGGACACAGTGCTGCCAGGACACAATGGAGGCACGGAGGCAGGGGTTCAACTCCACACTGGGGAGAGGCGGGAAGAGCCTCTTGTGGAATAAAAGAGTTTTAGTGCTTTCAGCTGCTTTAATATGTGAAACAAGGATGGTCATGATGCAGGGAGGGAAATTTTTTCTCCAAGATGATTGACAAGTGGGGATTAGTCACAGGACAGAGGTAAGGAGGTCTGGGGATTCTCAGGCAAGGGAAGCAGCTCTCAGAGTAATAAAAAAGAAAGCGGAGCTTGGGCAAAGCATCCTAAATACGTACTTTTGTAGGAAAAAAAAAAACTTCTTTAACTGAGCTTGAATGTTATTTTAGATTCATCCTGACCTTGAGCAAGTCACCTGCAAGTGTCCAACAACTGCACAAAAACCGGTCTCCCTTGCAGAGTCGACTGTGGTCAGTCCTTAATTTCTCCCAGTAATGAAGACATCAGGGCACATCACATTGTAGGAAGGTGGATCATTATTCTGATTTGAAACTGTTTCTCTTCCTACTTGGTCTAAACATACCTAGTGCTAAGGACATCCACTCTTTTTTTTTCTTTTTATAACATTTATCCATCTATGCTGCAGAAAAACTGGGAAGCACAAAGAAAAAAATTAAAATCACCCATCATCTTGCCTCCAGAGAGCCAGACATACACACACACGTATGTGTATGTAATGTTGGATAGAAACTGTGATGGTTATCCTATGCATTGTTTTAGAAAATAAAAAGGAGGTGATACATGGTACAGAGGCAGAGGTGCCTAGTGGTTACCACTCACTCTGTGAACTTGGGAAAACACGCATGTAGTTTTTGAGGATGAAATCTATGAACATATGTGTCTGGCACATCGTTTATGCTCAGTAACTATTACCCAGCATTTTTATTAAACACTTTCCAGTGTCTCTATGTTAGTCTGTTTTGTACTGCTATGAAGAAATACCTGAGACTGGATCATTTACAAAGAAAACAGGGGTTACTTTGGCTCTCAGTTCTGCAGCCTGTACAAGCACGGCACCATCATCTGCTCGGCCTCTGGTGAGGCCTCGGGAAGCTTTTACGCACAGTGGAAGGCCCGGGGGAGCCCACACATCTCATGGCGAGAGAGGAGGTGGTCCCAGGCTCTTTAAACAACCAACTCTGCCTGAACTAACAAAGTGAGAAGTCACTCACTACTGTGAGGACGACACAAAGCCATTCATAAGGGATCTGCCCCCATGACCTAAACATTCCTGCTAGGCCCACCTCCAACCCTGGAGGCCACATTTCAACATGAGGTTTGGAGGGAACAGGTGCAAACCATGTCAGTCACTAAGTATTCTTCCTCAACGGGACTTTGACATGGCTACATGCTGTTACATTGTATAGGCATTCCCCAATTTACTGAAATGTCTTCTACTGGGGCCATTTAGATTATTAAAAGTCCACCTTAAACAGGCATGGGAATGCACGTTAGATGTGCAGACAACAGAATGGCTACCTCAAAGCCAACCCGAAACTTCTGGATTCCTCGCCAAGGCTGCAGCAATAAAAACATGGTTTTGTTGATTCCAGAAAAGTCTGCTTAAGGTTGGACACTTCCACTCACCTACTGAGTAGAGAGAAGCCACATGGTGAGATATAAAATGACTCAGCCAGGACCCACAACTATGTAAACTCACAGACTGCTGTTACTCGCGTAGGGACCGCTGAACTCAGGAGCTGCCGTAACTTTTGATTCCTGTTAAGGATATGTCAGTGGAGACAAATCGCCCAGAGTCAATCATTATTTGCCAGGGACAGCCGATGTTCAAAGGACGACTTCGAGTGAGGTTAAAAACATGGACTTGGCCCTTTATAAAGAATTGCAGACTTAGACAAGTTTTTAGATACAGAATTCTGATCTTTACAGTGCTAAAATGGAGAAAATACACATTCAATTTCATGGGGTAATTCCACAGTCTTAATCTGAAACAGAAGTACAACAGGGCAACTCCTCACCTTAATTTTTGACCAAGAACAGCAACAAGGGATAGGTATGTATGAATCTACCTATCGACCTCTGGTTTTTACCTTGCCTAAACCATTTGTGGGGCAATTTTCTAACAAAAAAAAAAAAGAGAGAGAGAGAAACATCTTGGATTATATTGGTTTCACTGATAACTCATGTAAAATTTTAAAGATTTAAAAAACTAAAAAAAAAAAAAACATAGCTTAGAATAAACTAACTGATACTAAAATATTTTCACTCCATCCTAAAGGTCTATCTTAATAATTGGTAGGAAAATCAAATCCTAAAAATTGATATTTTGGAAAAAATAACTCATCTTGATAAGACAGTAAAAGATGAGGGTGGCTTTTTGTAATATCTAATATTTTCCTTGAAATATATGTATTACGGAGAGAGAGAGAGAGACACTTGGCCAAGTAAACTGAATCTAAATCATGTTTTGAAACTTGTCAATCTTCTCACTCTTGTTAGTAAATACATGCAGCAATTTTAATAAGCACACATCACTTTTTTTTTTTTTGAGACGGAGTCTCGCTGTGTCACCCAGGCTGGAGTGCAGTGACGCAATTTCAGCTCACTGCAACCTCCGCCTCCCAGGTTCAAGCAATTCTCCTGTCTCAGCCTCTGGAGTAGCTGGGACTACAGGCTCCTGCCACCACACCCGGCTAATTTTTGTATTTTTAGTAGAGACGGGATTTCACCAGATTGGTCAGGCTGGTCTTGAACTCCTGACCTCAGGTAATCCACCTGCCTCGGCCTCACAAAGTGTTGGGATTACAGGCGTGAGCCACACATTTGGAGACTAAAGAAAATGCTCTTCTTTGCCTGTCAGCATTCCGAAGAGACAAAGAAAAATTGGGAATGCTGGTGTTTATGCCATCGTGGTTATGCCCAGAGATAAACGTGTGGCAGCGGTGTTATGTCCTAACCTTTGGGCAGGTTATAGCACTTGGGGGTGGCCTGAAGAAAAGGCAAGGCAGAAAGTAGTAGAATAACAGGTAAGTAAACTTATCTGATGATTATCTAAAAGATTTAAGAAAAAGACCAAAATGTGTGGTTACACATAGGTAAGATTAGAGGTAACAAAAGAAGTGAAATTCTCCCAAAGAGCCTGAGCCAAATGGAAGCTGTGGATCCACTTCGGCGAAGTCAGTAGCAGAAATCTGTCCTCCATAACGCACTCCTTGCTAAGCCTCTACTCATGCGACCATGTGTGGGAAGTGACCAGCTGTAGTGCCCAGAGAGAGGGAGAAAGGTGGGGAGAGGATGTCGCGGGTCAGTAAGGAGGACCCAGAAGTGGGGATGGGCATGGAGATGCAAAGCTGTTTCCACGTGAGCTGACCCTAACGGTCTTCCGTCTTTCCAGAGGAAGATTTCCATTTGTTTTTGTTATTATGCACTTGAGTTAATTCACCCAACAAACACACATGAACGTCTCCACGTGGCAGCCACAGTCGGAGCCAAGATAGCGACGGCTCCCGCCTCGGGGAGTTCACAGCCGGAGAGATGAAACATGAATAACTATGACCATGCCACTGCAAGTGAAAGGAAATGTCCTCAGGTGAAAGAGTTTAGTGCCATGAAGAATATGACACAGGAATGTCACCCACACAAAGGGGTCAGGACGGGCCCTGCTGAGCTGTACCACAAGGTGGGAGCTGCAGTCAACAAGGGCCAAGAGGTGTCTGGGGAAGGTGTTGCAGGGGCGGGGAACAGCGAATTCAGGACCTGGGAGAGAAGGCCTCACAGGGCCCCAGGGTAGGAGAAAGGGCCAGGCCGTGTGCTGCTTTTGCGCCTCTCCAAGGATTCTGATCTTTGTCCTGTGAGCAATGAGAGAGGCCATGGTAAGGATCTAAGTGGGGGAGGTAACGCGATCAGATTTAATTTTAAAATATAACCCAGGCTTCAGAGTGGACAGCAGACAAAAGGGCAAGAGAGGGTGAGGGAAGGCTGTTCTCTGCAGCCACTCCAGAGGGTAGGGTGGGGGCAGCTGCAGGTGCAAGGGTGTGCATGGTGTGAGGCAGAGTGGACGAGAGGGCTTCCGGACGGTAAGGATGGTGGGAGAGACAGGAAGTGCCACTGGAGCCAATGTTTGGTTTGCACAACTGAATGGAAGATGGGGCCAAATGCTGAGAACAGGTGTCAGGCAGAGAGACCAGGTTTAGGGCTAAACCACTTACTGGAACTCACTCATCGTGCCCACATATCTTGTAGCTCCTAATGCCTCCCACAGGCTTTTGCGAAATCTCCACTTTGTAAGTTACCCAAATATACCTTGTTCTCGACAGCATATGAGAATCCCCAGATACAACCCAGGGAATACCAATACAATAACTGGAAATGGCTTTTGCTTTTTGCATCTATAAAGGTTAGCTATGGGAAAATAAACAGGAAATATGCTTTAAAAGATTGAAGGTCGGCACAGTCTAAATTCAGAAGACATTAACTGCCACACCCCTACCCAATACTAAGTGACTTTCAGGAAGACACAGTACACCCCTGCATTGTAAACAGTAATGTCGGCTCCCAGCTCCTGTCGCTCCATGGCTTTATACAGCTCACACATAAAAGTTCGCAGCAGAATTTTGCACAGTGGTTCTCTTCTCCTTGAATTGCCTTCTTTATTTGACTTCCAGGGGAACAGGCTGCGCTTGTGTTCATCCAACCTTCTCGGCCACCACAGTCTCCTGATCGTCTACGTGTCTAAACACAGGAGCACCCTGGGGCTCAGTCCCTGGTCCTCACCCCTCCTCCATCTGCGTTGGCTCTCCTGATGATCTTATCAAGTCTCCCCACTTAGAGAATCATCTGTCAGCCAAGGAAAGCAGTGGAAGAGCCCCAGGTCCCTCCCACACACAGCAGCTACTCAGTACTTCCACTCCATAGCTAATGCACACTCCAGCGTAACAGGACCAAATGGCATGTCTCACTTTCCCCCCCAAAATACACTCCTTCCAGTCTTTCATTCATGGGAAATGCTGCCACCACACACCCAGTTGCTGCAGCCAAAAGCCTAGGAGTCAAGTTTTATTCCTCTTTCTTTCTTCATCTATTCCATCAGCCAATCCAGTTGGCAACCTTCAAAACAGACTGAGAATCTAACCACCTCTCACCACTTCCCCTGCTACCACCCAGGGACAACAGCAATTGTCACTGAGCTGGTCTCCCATCCTCCCTAGCATCAGTTCCCCTGAGATCGCCATGCCATGAAGACTTTTAGAAGCTGATTATGGTACCCTGGGAAAGGATCATGCTTGCGTAGTCTAGAGGGGTGGCAGTAATGGTGATGCAGAGGTAGAAGATAAAGTAGGGGAGTTTCAGAGATGAAACAGATGCCTTCAGTGATATTCTAACAGTAACACGTTCCCACTGCTGTTAACAAACATCCAGTATTTGCCATGTCCTACAAGGCCCTTGCTCATGGTCATGGCCGCACAGCCTCTGGCAGGCCCTCAAGCTGGCCACACTCGGTCCCCATCTCAGAACCCAACATCTGCCTTCTGCTTGGGATGCTGGTGTCCCAGACCTTT
Source organism: Homo sapiens (assembly GCF_000001405.40). Taxonomy (NCBI): domain Eukaryota; kingdom Metazoa; phylum Chordata; class Mammalia; order Primates; family Hominidae; genus Homo; species Homo sapiens. The sequence continues at coordinate 74,270,185 of NC_000018.10, forward strand.
ACAAGATTTCATCCATCACCTCACTTATGCTCTGCTCAAACGTTAACACCTCAGAGCCCTCCCCTGATTTCCCCATCTAAAGCAGCCTGCCTGGGTGTGGTGGCTGACGCCTGTAATCCCAACACTTTGGGAGACCAATGTGGGCGGATTGCTTGAGGCAAGAAGTTCAATGTCGCAGTGAGCTATGACTGCATCAGTGCACTCCAGCCTAGGCAACAGAGCAAGACCCCATCATTCATTAAGTTAAATAATTAATGAAAGCAGGCTGCCTGTGTCCCCACACTATTGCCTTTATCCTTTACTGCTGTATTTCCCTCTCAGTACTTGTCACTACCTACAATTATTGTCAGCTCTCATATCCATGGGTTCCTTACCCATAGATTCAACCAACCATGGATGGAAAATATCCAGGAAAAAAAACTGCTTCTGTACTGAACATGAGCAGGCTTCTTTTCTTGTCAATATTTTCTAAACTATACAGTATAACTGCTTATCTAACATTTACATTAGGTATTATAAGTAATCTAGATTTAAAATATTCAGGAGGATGCATATAGGTTATATGCAAATACTACATCCTTCTACATCAGGGACTTGAGCACCTTCGGGGTTTGGTATCGAGGGAGGTCCTAGAGGACTCCCTGGAGCACACCTAGTGACAGCGACATTTCATATCAATTTGTTTCTAAGATTCATGGATCTGTCTCGTTCATCACTGTTTCTCTAACTCTTAGTTCAATACCCATAAGTATTCATTAGATAAATAAATGAGATAAGCACAGATCATTCTTACACATTGGTTTTGTAACTATTATATATAACCAGTTCAGTGGCTGATGGGAACTTTCCCTCTCATTCCAACTCCTCCAGTTCATAGCACTCTACTTTTCCGGAGCTCTAACAGTTCTTCCCATTCAGATCACATGATTTTGTACTTAACTGCTGTCTGATTCAGTTCATCAAAATATTTTACTGTCTACTATGTGCAAGGCATTGTGTGGGACAGAAAAAAGTACATGAGAAATCAATGTGATCCAATCTTGAAGAAGCATACAGTTCATTTGGGGATAAAGAAATAGCACAGAAGAGACTTCTGGCCTTCCCTGAGACAGCCTCGTAGTTCTGACTGTCTACAGATGACCCAATGGGTCCTAAACTCACAGCAGCTGAGATATCACTGAAGTGTGGATTTGAGTGACTTTCCCTGAGGGCAGGAATGAACGAGCCCCATAGCTACCACGGGTACCTCTCTGACTCTCCAGCCCTCATCCCACAGTGCAGTTTGATGATTCTCACCTTATCTTTTTTAATTTTTAAAAATGTTCCCCAGATTAATCAAGGTATACTTAAGAAATAAAAATTGTTTATCTGTAAGGAATCCAGTGTGATGCTTTGATACACATATACATTGTGAAATGATTCAATCAAGCTAATCACCATATCCATCACCTCATGTACTTATCGTGTGTGTGTGTGTGTGTGTGTGTCTGTGTGTGCGGTGAGATCACTTAAGATGTATTTTCCCAGCAATCTTCAACTACACAATACATTAACATTAACTGTAGTTACCTTGTGTGCAAACTATCTCCAGAACAAGAGTTTGCCACAAACAAAACTACTCTGGCATAATACGCTACTGTCAACTGACTCATGCAAGGAGAGGCCAACATAAAAGCTGAAGATGGCCAAGGACCAAATGAGTCTCCTATGACTCTGTGGCAGGTTTTAGGATCAAGCCTGACCTGTTTCACCATCTTGCCAACCCTAAGGCATAAAGAGATGTAGAAAGTAAAAAGTTTCCTCTTTAAAGCTCCCCTTCTTGTTAAAGAATAAATCATAAGTGTTAGAAATAAAAGATTATTTTAAAGACTAACTTTCTTCAAGCCTCCTTGCTTTGTGCTAATAACTCTTTGCTAAGCCCTATCCTATGTAACTGTTGGACATGCTCACAGACACGTTCCAGCTCACAGCCTATGCCCCTTTCTCATTTGGAATTGTTATTGCTTCCTTAAACCTTTCCTAAGCAACTTTTTTGTTCTTCTTTGCACTTACCTATTTAGGAAAGTTTTAGGCGATTAGCAAACTGGGTATCAGTTTAAGAGTGTGTGGTCCTGCTCCAGCCAATGGATGCAGGACACAGCAGTAAGGACGACCCAAATGTGTAAGGGATAAATATGTCTGCTTTTCCTTTGTTCAGGTGTGCTCTCGTCATTGTTCCATCTGCCATTGAGCACCCTTTCTGCAGAAAGTAAAGATTGCTTTGCTGAGAGATCTTTTGTCTCCACGCTGACGGTTCCTCGTGGTACCAATTATCTATTTCTAACAATTCTGGTATTTCTAACAAGAGGTAAAGTGAAGAAGTTCCTGTCTGGATAATGACAAGGCAAAGAACACTTGCAAGCAGAGTTTCTCTTATTTACACTAATTTAATATAAATTAAGAGTTTTATGGCGGCCGGGCACAGTGCCTCACGCCTGTAATCCCAGTACTTTGGGAGGCCGAGGTGGGCAGATCACCTGAGGTCAGGAGTTCAAGACCAGCCTGGCCAACATGGTGAAACCCCCGTCTCTACTAAAAATACAAAAATATTAGCCAGGTGTAGTGGTGGGCGCCTGTATCCTCAGCTACTTGGGAGGCTGAGGCAGGAGAATTGCTTGAACCCGGGAGGCAGAGGTTGCAGTGAGCTGAGATCACGCCACTGCACTCCAGCCTGGGCGACAAAAGCGAGACTCCATTGCAAAAACAAAACAAAACAAAACAAGAGTGTTTTATGGCTTTAGTCCTTGTTTTTACTATCATTAAAAATCTGTTGTCTGAACCTTTTCAGTTACACTTCATGTAATGTGAGAAACACAGTTGTAATTGTACTTGTAAAGCTGAGGATTTATCAAGGTCAACGGTCCACCAAATACGTACACACAAAAATGAAAGGAACACAAATATGGCAGAAAATGAAGTGTTAGCTGAATGGTATCAATATCTTCAAGGAAAGACGAGGTCATCTTTGCTAGGAAGACAGTCAAGGGAAGAAGCCCCTGTGTGCTGAGTGACTGACTGGAGGGTAAGGTCACCCCTCTGCCCAACACCAGTCATCCCAATAAACGGCACTTCCTGCACCTCTGCACTATTCAATGATCTAAGAGGTACAGCCCTGGTTTCCTAAGAAATAAAAGAGTTTAAAAAGGAAGAAAATACTGTTCTTACAAACTTGGTAAATTATTCTTCACTGGGCACCAAATATCCATAATGAATTAAGCACTATTTACAGTCCTTTAGACAATGCTAACACAGAAACAAGCTTTTCATTTCATCCTTAATTAATAGCACCAAGCCAGTATTTTCAGATAAACACTGCTGAGTGACCTGCTGTGAAAAATCAACACACTTAAGGCTGATGGCCAACACAGAGCTCATCACCTACGAAGCTGGCCTAGCCACGGCCCTGGCCCTGCCTCTTTCTAAATATACTCTAGCAGTAAGGATTTGCTTTAAACTGAAAAAATGCTCAATGCAGGTGGGATTCACCTGCTCCTGGGATTCTTCCTGCAGGAGAGATGCCAAGGCTTTCAGAGCCAGCTCTACACTCACAGCTCCCCCGGGGATCACAACAGGCTTCCTTCCTTCATACCTACATAAGAACCTCGCTGAGAAGACACGTGGCCCACTTAATACCATGGAGCTCAGTGGTTTCCACCAAGGTCACACAAAAAAGAAGCTGACCCAAAACTTCTGGGCAATATTGGCATGCTCCATGGATGGCACGCCCAGGACTGTTCACATGGCACAGCCAATCCCTAGAAGGCCTTCTTCATTTGCACGCCATTCTCCAGTTCCCAAATGCTCCCTACTTCAGTAATAAGTAACAGCGAGAGAGTGCACACGTGGCTGAAATGAAAATAAGGAGTCCACTTTCCCATACAAGAAAAAATGAATAGCAGAGTAAAATAGCAGAAGGTGATTTATAATAGCACAATAGTGCGAATATGTCACAGTCAGCTGTAAAATAAGTACAATCAATAAAGACATGATCTTGGGATGGGTTTGTATGTTGAGGCCAAAAATGAGAAAATATACACAACGAGCGATGTTTCCACTTCTTTTTAGAATGAGGCCAAAGAGAAATGCTAAATAAATGTATTATTAGAGATTCCACAGTATAAAGGATTTTTAAAACTGCAAGAAAATTCTATTTTCTACTTAAGAGTGTACACTAAAAGTGGATCTATAAAAACTGGCAAGATAAAATAAATTTGATGCTACTTGATACAGATGATTTCAATAAATAATAAATTCTTAGTGTGAAGGCAATAATCGTAAGGAGAAAGAAAATGCTGTGGGTAAAATCAGTCACTCTAGGTTTAAATTTGCAGTCTATAACTGTTACTTATTCAGAAGCTGGTCACTGGGTGAAAACAATTACCAGGCCCATTCTTCATTCCTGTTGTTTCTAGGGCCATTTTATAGTTCCTTAGATACTCTACCCAGAAAGTAAAAATGGGTATACACTATATTTTTGGAATTGTCTTTGCCAGCTATATTCTTCAAATAACTAGGTCAAATGAGATTGTCTTAAGCTTGATACAGAATAATATTTTTGTCTAACGTTGCCCTTAACTCCTAAATTTGCTACATTTTAGTGGCCTTGCAGAAACAAGTTATAAAATCTCAAAGTCAAAGGTTAATAGTCTGGCTCAATTGACAGCAGAGGCTTCCGTTCCTGTAAAGGAAACCAGGGAGGGCCTCTGGCTGCAGCCGCCAGCTGGTCTTCCTCACTCCAATCCTTACCCCACTTTTGTCCCTTGCATATATTGCTGCTGGGATCTCATCCTCAAGTACTGTTTTGACCATTTCTTGTACCCTCCTCAAAAACCTACGGTGGAGAATTTCTGCAGCTAAATCAAATGCCTCTGGAACTTCTCGAAGAGAGCGTCAACACCTGTGCAGCACAGGAGGTACCCTTCGCTGAACAAATCAGGTGAGGGGGACGGGGGTGGAATTGTTCATTGCTCCAATGTCTGTTTCTCCTTTCCTCCCTAATACTTAAAACTCTGAGCTGGGAATGGCCAACAAAGAAAGATGTTACAGATACTTCCCAGCCTCCTTGCAGCTACATATCTCATGTGGTTAAACTCTGGCTCATGGAATGGAAGAATCTTCCAGAAGTCTTCCTTCTGGAGTGGTGGATCCTCTGTGCCCTGTCTTCCTTCATCCTGCTGCCTGGAGTTGAGATACCGCCTCCGAGCACCAGGATGAGGCTGTCCCCAGGACAGGCCGAGAAGGGAGCGGGATGCAGTTATCACACAGCTCTGGTGGCAAAGATCACTTCTTTAGGGCAAATAAACTCCTGTCCCGCTTAAGCCAGTTATTAGAGGATCTCCTGAGCCTAATCCTAATTACTACATCAATCATTTAGTCAAGAAAAGTGACCTGTGTAAACATGCAGAAGCATCTGAAACTCACGAATACACAGTCCGAGCCTCGAGAAGCTTCCTACCAATCAGGGTTTGACATGCAGCAAGCAACAAGAGGAACATGAAGGGGCATCCGAATTGTTGCCTGAACACAGCAGAGTCTGGAAAAGCGGGAGCTATTAAAAAATAACCTCAGCCCCTTTAGAATAGTTAGGATGTGGATCAATAGAGCAGATAAATAAAGATGAAGAAGCTGAAAAGGAGAGGCTTGAAGAACATGCTGGAGGAGCCGTCGCCACACAGTAGGGTGGCCAGGGAGGACCCGGCGGTGCGCAGACCAGATACCCCAACACCAGCGCGGCACCGGGATCTGACCCAGCCCAGAGGCGTCTCCAACCCCATTTCTCCCCCTCGACCCAACACAAGCTCCAGCCTTAATACTTAACTCCCTCAGCTTCCTGCACAGCCCACTATCCTCCACCTCCTCTGTGAGCCTGGCATCAAAACCAGGCAACTGACCTGGAGATCTTGACTCCAAACGGTAGGGTGAAGGTGAAAAATCCCAGAGGCTTAGAGGTGCAAAGGACCTTCAGAGACTCAACATCCTAAATTTTCAGACAGAGAAAATGGGACGCAGAGGAATGAAGCCCAGTGCCACACTGATAGCTCACGAGGGAGGTGGGACGGGAACCCTGCTTTCTGACTTTGAGAGTTCAGTTCCCCCCACCTTTTTTTCTGAACATGCAAATAAAGTGACCATTTTTACATTTCTGAACAAAGTATCTTTAAATATAAAAAGATGTCTTAAAAATAAAGTTTCTTCATAAATTTCCCTTTTGAGAATTTGGGAGAAAACTTCACAGACTTCTAAACCTCAAGAAATTTTGTCATCTGCCCTGCCTTTCTGGGTCTTACGAAGTACAAAAGATTCAGCACACACACACACACACACACACACACACACACACCCTTCTGTCAGGGTTCCACTTGACTACAAGGTTGTCACTATTAAACAGTCAAAAGCGTATGCAAAACGACACTACAATATGACAATCTGCAGCAGGTCAAAGTCATGCCTTCGGAGGGTTTGCTTAACCAAGCAAAAATGAACCGAACCCAGGGGAATGAACGCAGGCCGCCTGACTCCACACCAGGTCTCCTAACCACTGTATGTACTAAGAGGAGAGCCACTTTAACAGGCGTCTAAGTCGAGATGATTCCCGTGTCCCTCAGGCACAGTCTGTTTGGCAGCTACCCATCTGCAGGATTAAGTCATATAATTAATTAGTAGACTCCTTGGCAAGTAAGAGAAGTTCGAGAAAGACAACCATAACAAAAAACCCTTTTCACCTAAATGCAATGCTAAGTGACTGAAGTCCATCCATTCTGGAGTTTTAAACAGGATCTTTCATTCCAAATGCTTAACATACCAAAAAAGGTGGAGTACAGAGATTGTCCATAAACAACAAGTAGGCAAAAACAACCTTTAATTTAAAGAGCTTATCTGCAATAGTTAAGCCCAAAATGAAAACAATTCAAAAGAGTTTGGAGAATGAACAATTGATGCAAGATTTAGAATAAGATAACAAGATGCCCTGACCAAACATTTCCTATCATTTCTGGATGCTGTTTTTCTAAGACGGGAAAGGGTGATGGCCTCAAAGTTGGTTTGAGTTCATCAGACTTCTGTCCTGCTCCATTCTGGACTCTGTGGAGGGGCCAGCATCTGCATGGGGCACCAACTCGGGGCTTCATATCCACCCTCTCACTGTATCCCCATAAGCCTTGATGGAATTACTTCCCATTTCACCTAGAAGGTCATGGCATGAAACTAAAGAGGCCCCTCTGGCAGTCACCCAGCTTGCCTATGGGACCCACAAACTCATTCAAACATCTGATGAATGCCAAGCCATGCTCTGTTGCTACCAAAATGGCAAAGTCATGGCCCCACCCTCAAGAAGTTAGAGTCTAGTAAGGAAACTGACATGTAAACAGATAGCTAAATGTGGCGAGCATCAGGTGCAGGAGTCATGGCACAAAAGATGGAGGGATTAACTCTCCCAGGAGTGTGAGGCAGAGAAAAGGCCCAGGAGGGGTCACTCAGGAGGCAACGCTTAGACTCTGTGTGAACATTTCAGCAGGAGCTCGCCAGGTGAGCAAGGGGAGGCATCCCAAGCCCGGGACACAGACACATAGAGGCCCTGAGGCAGAACACAACGGTGTCATGGAGGATACAGGGGTAACTTTATATGGCTCAGGTGAGGGCTTGGGTCTCCAGTGAGAAATTAACCCAGAAAGCCCAGACTGGAAGAGAGCACCTGGAGTTTCTGCCGAAGATCTCTGCATTTCACAGCCTGAACAAATGCCTTCAATTTCTCTCCTTTCCACTCTAGCAGCCAGGGAAAAAGTCTAGGGACAAATAATGATGAATATCAGTGGGTAACATCTAATAAATGCTCACTGTGTATAGGGAAGTATTCTGAGCACTTGTGTGGACCCTTCTAAAGCTCATAAGCCCAAGAGGCAGGCATTACCATTACTATCCCCACTTTACAGACAGAGGTGACGGAGCCAGTTAGGGGAGGCCCTGGGGAATGAACGCAGGCCGCCTGACTCCACGCCAAGTCTCCTGACCACTGTGTGTACTGAGAGGAGAGCCACTTCGCTGAGATCTGCTAACAGGGGTCTAAGTCCAGATGATTCCTGAGTCCCTCAGGCACAGTCTATCTGGCAGCTACCCATCTGCAGGATTAAGTGAATTAATTAGCAGACTCCGTGGCAAGTAAGAGATGTTCGAGAAAGATCAGTTCACTTTTCCTTCTTCCTCATCCCCATTTTATATTGCCACAGAGACTATGTATAGTCCCTGGCACAGTTCCTGGCCTTTGTAAATTGCTGAAGGCCAATTCCAGCACCAAACCCAAGGGACCCCCTTCTCACCACCTCTCCTTCATCTTCAAAAGTTATCTCTGGATTTAATCAACTGGCTGGATTCTCCTGAATCACAGAACCAAATGGCACACATTCACAGAAACATCCTATGATAAAAATAATAGACATTTCTACATGAGATGGTTCTTAAAGGTTAGTTAGGCCAAGGGCAGACAGGTCTTATGCACAGCCTGTGAGCTGGCAATCATCCTGCAGAATGCTGTTAGAATTTCCTCTTCTTGAAAAAGAGAAACAAAATTCTTCTTAATTACTTTTAGAACTGAATTAGTAAATGTTTGGTCTAAAACGTACTGGTAACCAAATTTTGGTCACTATGCCCTGACCAGTATTTCAACTTCTACCATTACTACACTTGTCTCATTGGATAAAATAAAGCAGGTGTGCTAATTCTTCCTCTAATCTCTGAAGAGTACATAAGCCACCAATTCTGACATGATGACCTTGGGGTACAGGGAAGGACCAGGGACAGGCCTGCTTCTGAGGGACAAGAGCAGGAGGGCACTGTGGCACCAGTCCTGCCAGGCCCAGAGCTGCCACAGCTTACCTCCTGCTTTGTAACCCAATGCAACCCGATGTCCTCAGAGGAATATGCAAGCCACCAAAACTGGGGGCCCAGTGGTAGATGAGTGATGACCTAAGAGAGGCTGTTACTCTAACTACGATCTATCTTAAGCTGGAATGGCCAAAAGATGAGACAAGGCCGGGCGCGGTGGCTCACGCCTATAACCCCAGCACTCTGGGAGGCCAAGGCAGGCGGATCACCTGAGGTCAGGAGTTTGAGATCAGCCTGGCCAACAAGGCAAAACTCTGTCTCTACTAAAAAATACAAAAATTAGCCAGGCATGGTGTCAGCCACCTGTAATCCCAGCTACTCAGGAAGCTGAGGCAGGGAGAACTGCTTGAACCCGGGAGGCAGAAGTTGCAGTGAGTTGAGATCGTGCCACTGCACTCCAGCCTGGGCGACAGAGTGAGACTCCGTCTCAAAAATAAATAAATAATAAATAAAAATAAATAAAAAACAAAAGAGATAATAGAATAGCCTACGCTCAGCCCAGAGGTGGAAAGAAAGCAGGATTGACAGTGGCATGTGCCCATCTCTCTCTTTTGTTTTTTTTCCTCTCAATGCCAAATAACTAGGCCTCTCTTTCATGTTTAATCATAATAAACTGGGTTGAAATATGCAGGTGAGACAAAGGAGAAATAAAATAAGGTATCAGAAAATTATTCAATGTCACCCAGCAGCCATTCCACATCAGCTTTCTAGTATTTTATATTTATAAACTTTTAATTCTTATTCAATCAATAAATAACTATTTAGTCCTTTCTATGTGCCAGCATTGTTCTAAAAACTGGATTTATCAGTGAATAAAAGAGAAAAAGTCCTGCATTCACAGAGCATACATTTCTAGTGGAAGGACACAGAGAAGCAAAAACTAATAAATGAGTACATTATACCGTATGTTACAAGGTAATACATGCTACAGGGAAAAACTCAGCAGCATAACTGGGCTCAGCAGTGCAGGGGGCTGGGGTAATATCCAGGCTTAAATACGGTGGTCAGGTGATAGTGTTGAGGTGATAGTGAGTGAGTACTCAAAGGAGGTGAGGCAGGGAACCATATGTTATTTGGGGGGAATAACCTTCCAGTGCAAAGAATTGAAAATGGATCACATTTCTACTACATCTAAGAATTCTTTGCCTAATCCTAAGTCACCTTAAAAAGTTTCACATGTCGGCCAGGTGCAGTGGCTCATGCCTGTAATCCTGGCACTTTGGGAGGCCAAGGCAGGTAGACCACTTGAGCCTCAGAAGTTTGAGACCAGCTGGCAGCTGGGCAACACGGCAAAACCCTGTCTCTACAAAAAAAAAAAAAAAGGGAAATTAGCCAGGCATGGTGGTGCACACCTGTAGTCCTCGCTACTTGGGAGGCTGAGGTTGGAGAATCACCTGAGTCCAGGTGGTGGAGGCTGCAGTGAACCGTGATCATGCCATTGCACTCCAGCCTGAGTGACAGAGTAAGACCCTGTCTCAAAAAAAAAAAAAAAAAGTTTTACATTTTATATTTAGATCTATGATCCATTCTGAGTTAATTGGCATAAGGTGTGAGGTTTCAGTCAAGGTTTATGTTTTTGGTTATTGATGTCCAGTTGTTCCAGAATTATGTGCTGAAAAGGCTATCCTTCCTCTATCGACTTGCTTTTCCATCTCTGTCAACAATGAGGTGGAAATCTTTGTGCGAGTCTATCTCTGGCCTCTCTATTCTGCTACATGGACATACGTATGTGTCCCTCTGCCAGAACTACACTTTCCTGACAACTGCAGCCATATCCTAAGTCTTAAAATGGGGCAGTGTAATCAGCCCTTGAAGGGTTTAAACAGAGTATACGGACTGACCCCATCTGACTTTAAAATGTCACTCTATTATGGTGAGAATATGCTGTCGGGGGCAGGAGGGGACCACGCGAGAGAAGATGGAGGCTCCAACCAGGGGAGCAGCAGTAGACATGGTAAAAAATTGGTGAGATTCTGACATTATGAAAGTTAGGCCCACAGAATGTCCTGGTGGACTGGATGTGGGTATGAGAGCAAGAGAAGAGAGGAGCACAACCCCCAGGCTTTTGGCCTGAGCAGCTGGGAGAATGGAACTGCCATCTGCTGAGATGGGGACATGCAGAGGGAGCAGGTGTGTTTCCCACGTTAGGGTGAGAAGCCTACTGGACATCTAACTGTGATGTAGCCTCAGGGATACAAGAGCCAGTTCAGGACAGAGGTCTTTCTGGCCAGGATGTGACAATCCAGGATTCATTAGCACATTAAAGCCATGCTACTGTGTGAGCCTGCCAAAGCGGAAAAGCCCAGGCCCCAGGGGGGCCCTCCAATAAGGAGGTCGGACAGAAGAGAAGTGGGAAAAGGAGACAGGAGGTGGAGGGAGGAGGGAACCAGGAGAGGATGGCAACCCAGGAGGGTGAGCATCTATGTCAGAGTCTGCTGAGCCACTGTGTTGGAGAACTGAGAGCTGACACAAGGCACCCTGGGAGACCTTGGCAAGAGAAGCTGTGGTGAACAGGTGTGGTTTAAAAGGGAATGGAGGAGGTGGATTGGAGACCAGGCTTAACAACCCTTTCAGAGGCTTCTACTATTCAGGGGAGCAGAAAAATGAGGAAATCCTGGAGGGGGCAGAAGAGTCAAGGGAGGCTGTGTGTGTGTGTGTGTGTGTGTGTATGTGTGTGTTTCAGGGGAGAAGGGAATATGTGTGTTTTTGCAGGAGAGGAGGGTGTGTGTGTGTGTGTGTGTGTTTTGCAGGAAAGGAGAAAACAGCAGGAACACTGATGAGAATAACCCAGCAGGGTGTGGCCTGGAGGGGCCTGGTTTATACTGGGGAACATCGGGTGGCTTAGGGAATGTCTGTGAGTGGGAAGGGGAACAGGATCTCAGGCACAGGTGGAGGCCCGGGCTCTGGGCAGGAAGAGACTGGAAAATGCAGACCAAAGTGCTCCCCTCACCTTTAATTCTCCTCTTCCCTTCTACTGACTGCCTGGGAGCCTCCCTCGATGCCATTCTTGTGTTCCATGCTCTGAGACTATGTCACAATCCAGACTTTCACAATACAGTCCCACTAGTTTCTAACTGTGCAATCCTCAGGGACAAAATCCCAGGCCAAGGCCTACAGAGTAAGAAGAGATCACACTAGCATGTGCCGTGTGTGGAAAAAGGGGGTAAAATAAGATAGTCACAGAGCAGGGACTTGTGTCTGTTTCTCCACCAGGCTCTCCTCTTCCATCCTGGGAAGTTACTTTCTGGCACCGGACAAGGGCCACAGAGTAAGAAGGGATCACACTAGTATGCACTGTGTATGGAAAAAGGGGGAAAAAAATAAGATAGTCACAGAGCAGGGGCTCGTATCTGTTCCTCCACCAGGCTCTCCTCTTCCATCCCCGGAAGAGTGACTTCCTGGCACCGGACATGGGCCAGGTGCACAGCAGGCGGGCAGGCAGGAGCCCTCATCGCGTGGAAAAAGCAGCATATCACAGCCGGGAGGGTCTAACTGCTAGCAGAGGCACAAAACGGGATGGGACACCATGCTGAGACCTGAACAGGGCCAAGCCTGACACAGGGGAAACCAGGGCAAAGGTTTCAAGGTAAAAACAAGTTTGGCTTGTTTGAGAAACAAAGAGAAAGGGTCAATGTGATCAGGTGTGGGCATTAGCAGGGAGGACACAGTGTTATTTGCTGAGGTGGGGGAGGTAGGTAAGGACCAGATCATTCAGAGCTTTCCAAACCAGGGCAAAGAGATACAATTTTATTCTAAATGCAACAGGAAGCCATTGAAAGGAACTGAACAGAAAAAGGACAATCTGTTTCCAAAAGATCAAGTTTTTTTTGTGTGCTTCTCCTAGAAATCACACTTTTCAATGCCATAAATAGCATTTATTACTCAAGCTGAAAACTCATAAAACCACCACCCATTTGATGGAACCAATGAAATCCTGAGAACTGACTGCCCAGTGGCCACCATGAGAGGTGGCAAAGATACAAGAGAGGCCACACCAGGGCATCTGCTCTCAGCTTGGAGGAGAAAGATATTCTAACCACCCTGCAACCAACCTCGTGGCACATGCAGAGGGGATATGGACCCGGAAGGGGAGGGCGAGAGATGAGCGGGACCCACTGAGGGATTTATCAGAGCAGGAACCTCCTCGGATTTCCATTTAAACAATCCTTCCCAGGGCAGTCATTTAAGATGCCTTTCACCAAACAACACATGCCTCCTCACACATACCCACTACACGTGCAAACAATCTCTTTCCGAACCAAAACCACACCGATGATTCAGCCCCTGCCAGGTGAGAGCAGCATCTGGGTCACAAACAAACTGAGGCCGTGAAGACTCCACCCCGACTCCCTCTATTTAAAAATTCCTCTACAAGAAACAGGAATGGCTGTTTCCTTCACCTCCTAGAAGGCAACATAGTAAACTGACAACAGATGGAAAGAAAGGCATATTTTTGTCCATTAACTTTCCAAGGGTTTTGGCTTTGTTCAGATATTTGCATCACAAATTCCCTTTGCTTTCTCCCTGGTTCCTCCAGAGAACTCTCCAGTGATCAAGGTCTCCAGCAAATGACAGCAACTCTGTATCAGTGGGATGCACTTTTGCTTTTAAAGCTACGCTAGGTTCTCATCAATACTCCTTGGATCTCAAGCCTCAGCAACAGACTCAGCACTGAAGACACTGGGTCGCAGCGCCCGCAGCCTGGACTGAAGCCCTGGCTTTGCTCCTTATCGTCTGTGGGACTTGCTGAGCAAGCTGCAAAATCTCCCTAAGACATACCGTCTTACCTTTAAAAGGGAGGACACAATCACCACTGACCCCATAGGGTTGTTTTGAAGATTAAAAGCACAGGCCGGGCGCAGTGGCTCACACCTGTAATCTTAGCACTTTGGGAGGCCGAGGCGAGTGGATCACTTGAGGTCAGGGGTTTGAGACCAACCTGACCAACATGGTGAAACCTCATCTCTAATGAAAATACAAAATTAGTCAGCCTGGTGGTGCATGCCTGTAATCCCAGCTACTTGGGAGGCTGAGGCAAGAGAATCGCTTGAACTTGGGAGGTGGAAGGTTGCAGTGAGCCGAGATTGCACCATTGCACTCCAGCCTGGGCAACAACAGTGAAACTCCATCTCCAAAAAAAAAAAAAAAAAAAAGAGAGATTAAAAGCACAAACGCAAAGAAGGTTTTATGTGCAAAAAGCACTTGGCACACTCCCTAGCACATACTGAATGTCCATAAACATTCAGCCAACGTCCACTGCTATCACTTTTCTTATTAGCTCACTAGGGATTGTTGGGGAGGGGAGGATTAAAGAATAGCATTTACTTGGGGACGATTAATGAATGGCATTTACTTAATTAACACTTTCTGAGGAAGACGAGGGAAAGAAGTCTGGATATATTTTGTGACCTGGCTAATTCTGGACACAGCTGCACAAAGCTTAATGAATAGGTCTGCCAAGAACAAACAATAGCAGGCAGTGAAAGAAACAAGCTGCAAACTGACACTCCCCAGGCCCTCAACTACAGAAGAGTTCAAGTGATTCCATTTCAGACAGGCTCCCGTGCCCACCAGCCAGGCAGAGAGGACCCTTAACTGAGCCTAGAGGCTGTTAATCACCCCATCCCTTCCCTTAGGTCCACATCCCTTATCCCTCGCCCCCTCCAGAGCCTCCCCAGCGTCAGTGCTGGTTCAGATGCCATCATTTTGGCATGGGCCTGCTAGAGACAGAATTCTACGGATGTAAGAAAGTAACTTCTTGCCATCATCCACAGAGCCGTCAGCTCTAAGCCAACAGGCAGCACAGGCCAGATTCTATTCAACAGCAAGAACGGAGCTGTCCCCACCCAATCTTCAGCTCACCCTCCCGGTCCCCATGTTGGAACTCAGTAAAAGGCACAGATACCCAGTTACTATATACACTCAAGACTATGTTCCCAAGAAAACTAGGTCCAAGGGTAATAGGAAAGGAAGCACACTTGATTAAAATGTTCTGTTTTTCAGAATTAAGGGCAATGAATTTCAACACCCATACTCTGTTCCTCTATCCCCAAGCCTTGGAAAGCACTGGTCTATGCAATGTAGGCAGCCATGTTCAAAGGAAAATAACAAAGAGCAAGTCCCTACAACAAAACCTGCTAGAAAGGACACTCTTGAGACTCCAGAAATGGCTCTGAGCCTGCTACTCAGTTTCCCATGTAGTCAGCTGCTGCCTCCGGTCACTTTTCTGATGCTTTGAGCCTTCAGACAATGAAATTCTTTCATAGAATAGACAAGGTATTACTTGCCACAGCTTCACTTTTAAGAGAATTTATAAGCTAAAGGGGATAAAAAATTATTCCATACATTTCCCTTTTTAACAGAAGTACACAGCCAAATTCAGGAAGGGAGGTGAATGAGGCGCAACCAAGTTCCTCCACTCCTAAGAACCGAGAAATGCACACACTGGTGTGCCACCCCAGGGTGCTCTGGTAACATCCATCAAAATTTAGAGTGGCTCATGCCTGTAATCCCAGCACTCTGGGAGGCCAAAGGGGGCAGATCACTTGAGCCTAGGAGTTCGAGACCAGCCTGGGCAACAAGAGACTACATTTCTACAAAAAATACAAAAATTAGCTGGGCATGGTGGCTCATGCCTGTGGTCCCAGCTATTCCAGAGGGAGGACTGGTTGAGCCCAGGAGGTCAAGGCTGCAGTGAGCTGAGATCACACCACGGCCTGGGCAACACAGCAAGACCCCATCTCAAAAAAAAAAAAAAAAAAAAAAGTAGAAGTGTACATCCTTTCACCCAAGAATCCCACTTACAAAGATCTACCATAAGGAGGTAATTGCAGGTGGGAACCTAAAAACATGGAAGGAAAGAGGATTCCGTATATTAGGATCCCTCTATACAATAAGGAGGCAGCCTGGGAACAGGAGTTACTGAAATTCAGGACTGGTCCCTCAACACCTAGTTTAGTGGGGAAAAAGGGAGATTACAGAGCAGCATGCAGAGCACATTTCCATGGATGTAAAGCACATCCACGAGCAAGGTGTTGTAGTAGTGAGTGTGCAAACTGCTCAAGCTGGCCACCTTCGGGGAGCAGAGCTCCAGGCAGCTTTGAGTTTCTTCTTTGCAGTTTTCCACACTGTCCACTTCCTTAACATGATCATGTATTATTTTCCCCTTACACAATAAAGTTGTATGTTTAAAAGCTCCTGAAATGGGATGATTTCCAATCTTGCAAAGCACACATTCCTGAACAATTATATTTCATGTGAATATTTGTATTTTGAGTCATTTTGTTTACTAGTTAACACTATAATTCCTGAGATATGTTCCTACTAAATGGACCTTCCACATAAAAACAATTTATTTTAAAATTTTAATTCAATCAAAATATAGTCACTTAAATGCCTTCTCTACATATTTTTTCCAGTGTTCTCACATATATCATTTCTCCCAATGCAGATGGCAGTGACAGAATAGTTCCCACTTCAGAACAAGGAAAGTGACTGAAAGAAATACCTGACTTGCCCAAGGTCACCTCCATGATATGTCTAAGACCAGGTCTAGTTTTCCTAACCCCAGCCCAGTGCTTTCCCATGAATGCCCAGCGGGACAGGGTTGTTCAGACTCCACTCAACTACAAAGGCACTTATCAGCCATCTTCACCAGGAGGACTTTTCAGAATACCAGACATTCACATTCAGTAAAATTGTGCATGTTATTTATTCCTTGATTGACCAAAGCCGGCTTGCATGTGTTTTCCCTTCCTTATTTACAATTTTCATCAACCTTTAAGATAATCAAAAAGCAAAAGTTAATTTGCTGTTTCTTTACTGTTTTCTTTACTGTTTCAAAACAAAGTTGCCTCTTGGAACCTCTTTTCAAAAGTAGCAACAGGTTACCAAAAAATATAGAGATATATATAGAAATATACAAAAGCCTCACGGGTTCACATTCCCCAGGTGGCCTTCTAAGATGTGGTTTTACTACCACTTTACCCAAGATGCCTAAGCCACCAACACTACCAACAATAACTTTATATTTCCCTTCTACAGACTCTGTAATTTCTAAGTTTTATTTACCTAACGGTATATATTAAATAATAATAATGTTCCCATTTTACATGCATCAAAGGCATATTTGCCAACTGCAGCCTTTAGTAGCATGAGATTCAGAATACTATCAAATTTTCTTGCAAAAAGCAAAGGCATTTAGTATTTTAGCCCTAAATATGGTAGCTTTAACAAGGGTAAAGATACGTGTTCTATGTTTTTCAAAATTAAGGGCAATGAATTTCAGCACCCATACTCTCTTCCTCGATTCCCAAGCCTTAGAACCACTGGTCTACGCAACATAGGCAGCCATGTTCAATGGAAAATAACAAAGAGCAAGTCCCTACAATAAAACCTGCTAGAAAGGACACTTTTAAGACTCCAAAAATCAAAGTGAGTCAGGAGCCAATAGCTTCTATGAGGCAGAATGCTGTAAAGAACATTTAAGGCTCAGGTCCAAGACTATCAGAATCCCAGGAACACTAGAAAATGTTCTACAGAAGCAAGTTTCCATTTTTATGATGTAAAGGGAGAGGAGACAACTTCACAAAAAGACATTCTGCTTTATAAAATTTTCCAGGACAGTATCTATTTCACGAATCAAACACCCACTGACTTGAACCAAAAGCAACAGCTAATGGAAGTGTTGTTAATTACAGGATACCTTTCTCTCTCCCCTCCACAGCTCTTTTAAAAACTGAATAGATGCTGCTGCCCAAATCACAGAAAGGGAAATGCAAACATTTCTCCCCCTGGTCCTAAATGCCTAAGTTTTCATTTCAAATAACTGTCCCTTAAAGTTCTATGATCAAGCAAAGACTCAATTTCACAAATATAAACTCAAAAACTAGAACTCAGGATTGAAAAAAAAATCTAGTTCAAAATATGTAGGCAATAAAGCTCAAAATCTTTTAAGTATCAGACAGTAACTAAGCACCTGCTGCTATGTCGACTGCCATTAATAATAAGCCAGTCTTCCCTCTTAGGTTTCTACCCCTCCGCCTAAACAACAAAAACAGCTTTAGTGGCCATTATTTCAGGAGGTCGGAGCACATGCTGCACCTGTGAGCTTCAACCTGTGTTCTTGGCTTGTACCTGCCAGCAGAGCAGGATCCCTCCACCATCTCACCACACACCTTCTCAACATGAACACGGACATGCACATAAATCTAGGACATTCTGAAAGAAGGGGAAATACTCAGCCATGAGAAATCCTGTCCATACGGATGGGGGATCTCACAGTAAACAAAGGTCTAGCCCATAATGACTGAAAGTTCATTTGAGAGTTAGAAGGAGAAGATAAATCTTTCCTATTTAGGTAAATTAGGTGAGATAAAATATTTGTTAGTTAACACACAAAGGCTTCATGAAATTCTGGAGCCTTTCAACAATAGAAGACAGGAAAGAGGATCGGGCAAGCGGGGAAGAGAGACAGAGACATTCTGCACTCATTTCTGTTTTAAAAGTACGTTTCAGACAAACAGACTAGCCTCATAACAAACTACCTGGCAGGGCAGTGTGCTGAAGAGCTCTGAGCGAGTGAGCTTATTGGAGATATAACCCCAGGAGCACAGGAAGTCACCTGCAAGGAATCCTGGCTAGAGTCTCAGATAGAACCCAGAGAGAGGCTCCCAGAGGCTTTGCCGGGGGCTGGGAAGCCAATGACCAGGACATGCAATAAGCAAGAGATGGTCACAGAAAGTCAAAGCAAATAATAAAGACGGCAAATGGAAAAACACGTCCATAAGAGGTCGAATCGGGAGGTGCCCAGAGGTCAGACACAATCCAGTGAAAGGCTAAGTGGCCTTGCTTGTTCCCAGAACCACATGTTGGCAGACAGTGGAGGCAGAAACGCATGCAGTTCTCGCAATGCCTGAAGATCCCTCCAACCTCTTAAAGTCAACAGGACCAAAACCAAACTAACTCCTTGTGTTTCTCCCAGACCCCAGCCTCCTCACTCACGCCATCCTCCTAGCCGTTCCAGGGGTCAGCCACCCTCTTGTTCATTTTATTTGAGATGCATTCTCCACAAAAACTTTGAGTAAGAAAAAATAAAGAAATTTGTTTTCAGCTAATTTACCCACTCAAGAGCTTGCTCTCATCTCTCAGTTTTTCTCGGAAAATTTTTTGCACAATCCCTCCTTTCCTGACTCACAGGAATGAAATGTGAAAGTAAATAGTTTTGAGTACATTTTAACAATAATCTTCACTTCCCTATTATCGTCTCTGAAAATCTACCCCTAAAGTCATGCACAGTAACCTTAGTAATTCTCAAGTTGGAGAGATTATGTGCCCTAGGGGACCTCTGGCAATATCTGGAGACATTTTGGGTTGCTATAAATAGGGGAGGTAGGGCTGGGAGCAGTGGCTCACGCCTGTAATCCCAGCACTTTGGGAGGCTAAGGTGGGTGGATCACCTGAGATCAGCAGTTCGAGACCAACTTGGCCAACATGTTGAAACCCTGTCTCTATTAAAAATACAAAAATTAGCTGGGCGTGATGGTGTGCGCCTGTAATCCCAGCTACTTGGGAGGCTGAGGCAGGAGAATTGGTTGAACCCAGGAGGCAGAGGTTGCAGTGAGTCGAGATCACACCATTGCACTCCAGCCTGGGCCACAAGAGCAAAACTCTGTCTCAAAAAAAAAAAAAAAAAAAAATAGGGGAGGTGGTGGTACCGGTCATCTAGTGGGTAGAACTCAGGGAGGTGGCTCAATATCCTACAATGCCCAGGACAGACGCCACAACAAAGATCGGCTGGCCCAAAATGTCAACAGTGCCAGGGTTGAAAAAACTCGCTTTAGGAGAAGACAAGAAAAGAAGAAAATGCTTCATAATATAAAATATCCTAATATTCTCTTATGCTACTTCTTCTATAAGCACAAATAGACAAAGCACACACTGTATCTTAAAATTCCACATTTAGAGTTAATGAGAATTGATGTTATATGACAAGATCTGCAGCCGGGCAGGAGGGAGAGGACAGGTCAGCTCTGATTTCCCAACATAAACCCCTCCTTACTAAATGGTAACATGACTTTATCTTCGGGCACTGCTCCAGAGTGAAATACCTTACCAATAAACATCAACTCCAGCCTTATTATTTAATTTTATTTATTTATTTAGAGACAGAGTCTCACTCTGTCCCCCAGGCTGGAGCAAAGTGGTGCGATTTCGGCTCACTGCAACCTCTGCCTCCCAGGTTTAAGGGATTCTCCTGTCTCAGCCTCCCGAGTAGCTGGGACTACAGGCGTGCCCCGCCAGGCCTGGCTAATTTTGGTATTTTGGTTAGAGATGGGGTTTCGCCATGTTGGTCAAGCTGGTCTCGAACTCCTAGACTCAAGTGATCCACCCGCCTCAGCCTCCCAAAGTGCTGGGATTACATGTGTGAGCCACCGTGCTTGGCCCAGCCTCATTTTTTAAAACAGGCCTTTTGATTTTAACATTTTCTGCAAAAACAAAGTCCTCTGATATAAACTGTGATCCAGCTCAGACCAGGCATCTATTTTTGTCCCCTGCTCCCCGACTATGTAAAAAATTCCCATCACTAAACCTTCTCATTATTGGGAGGGGGCGTGAGCATGCGTTAAGATTTATGATTGAGACTCCCCCAAAAGTAGTAAAACACTTCCAGAGGATCTAAGACAATCACCAAAAGCGCCCCTTAGCGTGTGCGGCAAAAATTATAACCGAATGCAAAGAATCTTATCAAAGGAATGTCTTCAAGTTAACCAACGTTTCCTATTACACCTTCCAAAGCTGTTAGGGGCGAGTCCCACGCAGAACGTCCGCTGCTCTGCCTGGCCTCTGTGTTCTTGCTCCAGCCACACACCGCGGTCTCAGGAGTCAAGCACGGCACCTGGCTGCCAAGGCGTGACTGGAAAAGGTTAATTAACACCGAGCCTCTTCCAGGTGAACGCGAACGCGAGTGGGTGTGGACCGCAAGGTCGGCCAGTGGCTGCCGCGGGAAGCGCAGGCCCGGACCACACCCGACCTCCGCACTTGGGGTCCCCTCCGGCGGGATCCGCAGCTCTCGGGGTGGGTGGTCTCCAGCCGGCCACTGCGGGAATGCCGCCGGTCCTGGAAGGACACCCTTCTATTCAAACTCAAGGGAGAAAGGGATCATTTAAATCCCCCGCATGGCTGCGCGCTATCCCCGGAAGGCTGCTCCAGCACCACCTAGCGAGGATGCCGCCGCGCAGGGCGCTCCCAGGTGTGCACGCGCAGGTGTACGGATTCGGGGAGCGCTCCCAGGTGTACACGCGCAGGTGTGCGGACTCAGGGAGCGCTCCCCAGGTGTGCACGCGCAGGTGTGCGGACTCGAGGAGAGCGCCCAGGTGTACACTAGCAGGTGTGCGGACTCGGGGAGCGCTCCCAGGTGTGAGCGCGCAGGTGTGCGGACTTGGGGCGGTGGGGGGCGCCCAGGCTTGCACGCGCAGGTGTGCGGACTCGGAAGCGCGCCCAGGCGTACACGCGCAGGTGAGCGAACTCGGGGGGCGCGCCTAGGCGTAGGTATGCGGACTCCGGGCCGCGAAAGACAGGTCATGCCAGTGAACCCCCAAACCCGGCCCACGCTCCCTGCGCCCCAAGCCGCTCATCCCCAACTCACCTCTTCCAGAAATTTGGTCAAATCGTACACCTTGTGGTGCAGGATCAGCCAGGTGCTCTTGCTGTGGTTGTGCTTCTGAATCTCCTCTAGGGTGTAGTACTTCACGGCCTCGTCCGACTGCTCTGCCATCTCGGTTCGCCGCGAGCCAGGCCCAGCACACACAGCCCCGTCGGGTGGAGCAGAGCGCGCGACTCAGCCAGCTCCACCCGGGACATTCCCCGCGCCGGGAACCCCACTGGGGGCTGGGCGGCCGGCTCAGGGGCGGGGCGCAGTAGAAGGGCCTCCGACGGTTGGCCATCATCCTTGTCACTCAAAAGTCCCCGCCTTCGGTCGACCCCCTCCGCCTGCCCAAGCGTGGTCCCGCCCAGTATGCGGGTGTTAATTGGCTGCCGGAGGTGCCCTTCACAATCTCCCGGCTGCCGCAGCGCGCGGAGAGCGTGACAGGACTCCACGGAGTCTGCGCGGAAGGGCGGGACTAACTGTGGCGAGGGCTGAGGTGGGAGGTCGGGGGCGTCCCCGCGGGTTAAGCGTGCGAGAGAGCGAGGTGCACCAGCGGGCATGGATGGCCTGTGCAGAGTCCAGTCTTGTGAGGGCGGCGAACTAGGCAGCGAATCGCGGGAGTTTCCTATTGGCAGCAGTCCGAGTCCCAGACGTTAATTTGTAACAAAAGTAGCGATGGCCAAGCCCATAAAGGGGGCATCTCGGAAAGCCGTTCGCATGCACGGAAGAGATGAAAGCCCCGTGCGCGCTAGAAAACGGTTTCGCAACTCACTTCGGGAAGCAAATGCGCTGCCCCCCAAAACATAAAGTTGGCGAACTGTGCCTGACCCCGCTGGGGTTTTGGAATGCCTCGTCCTCACAGGAAAAAAATCCAGGGAAATCATCTTTTCCTTAAAAAGCAAAAGTGTCCAAATTATTTCTGTGACTGAAGTAGTTTGTCTGCGGTTGGCCAGTGACATGGCAAGGCCTTGTTTGTGCATTTAAGGTAAATCAGATTCTCTTCTAGGAGTCTGGAAGAGAACTTCCCCAAAGGGCACCCTCTTTCCCTTCTGACACAGAGGAAATACCACATATAAAGAGCTACAAATGTTTGAAGGAGAAAAAAAATAAAGAAAAATTCCAGCATGTTAAAATTTGATATTTTATGTAGGCCCTTTTCAGCAATGGTAGTTAATTCCAAAAAGAACCACACGAGAGGTTTCACATGTGGGGTCATCCATCCTTCCAGGGATGCAGAAGGTTCCTACACATACTAGGTGTCTGATGAATGTGAGCTCCCTTCCCCCTGCTTACCTCCTCCATAGGAATGCATGCCTATCCAGAAAAACACAAAACACACGCATGTCAGGCCTCTGAGCCCAAGCCTGCACATATACATCCAGATGGCCTGAAGCAACTGAAGAATCACAAAAGAAGTGAAAATGCTGAAGCAACTGAAGAATCACAAAAGAAGTGAAAATGGCCGGTTCCTGCCTTAACTGATAAGACAGTCACCTGTCCTCCTGCTCTTTGCTCTGTGAGAAAGATCCACCTACAACCTCGGGTCCTCAGACCAACCAGCTCCAGGAACATCTCACCAATTTTAAATTGGGTAAGCAGCTTCTTTTTACTCTCTTCTCCAACCTCTCTCACTATCTCTCAACCTCTTTCTCCTTTCAATTTTGGCACCACCCTTCAATCTATCCCTTCCCTTAATTTCAGTTCCTTTCCTTTTCTGATAGAGACAGAGGAGATGTGTTTTATCCGTGAACCCAAAACTCCGGCACTGGTCACGGACTCGAGAAGACAGTCTTCCCTTGGTGTTTAATCACTGCAGGGATGCCTGCCTGATTATTCACCCACATTTCAGAGGTGTCTGATCACCACAGGGACACCTGCCTTGATCCTTCACCTTGGTGTCAAGTACCGACCCCCCCTGTGTCTCTGCCCTCTCTTTTCTCTGGGCTTGCCTCCTTCACTATGGGCAACCTTCCACCCTCCATTCCTCCTTCTTCTCCCTTAGCCTGTGTTCTCAAGAACTTAAAACCTCTTCAACTCTCGCCTGACCTAAAACCTAAACACCTTATTTTCTTCTGCAATACCACCTGACCCCAATACAAACTTGACAGTGGTTCCAAATAGCCAGAAAATGGCACTTTCAATTTCTCCACCCTACAAGATCTAGATAATTCTTGTCGTAAAATGGGCAAATGGTCTGAGGTTCCTGACATCCAGGCATTCTTCTACACATCAGTCCCGCCCTAGTCTCTGCTCCCAATGCGACTCATCCCAAATCTTTCTTCTTTCTCTCCTGTGTGTTCCTTCGGTCTCCACCCCAAGCTCTGAGTACTTTGAATCCTCCTTTTCTGTGGAGCCATCTGACCTCTCCCCTGCTCGCCGGGCTGAGCCAGGTCCCAATTCTTCCGCAGCCTCTGTTCCCCCACTCTATAATCCTTCTATCACTTCCCCTCCTCACACCTAGTCCGGCTTATGGTTTTGTTCCTTGACTAGCCCTACCCCACCTGCCCAACAATTTCCTCTTAAAGAGGTGGCTGGAGCTAAAGGCATAGTCAAGGTTGTTGCTCCTGTTTTCTTTATCCGACCTCTCCCAAAACAGTTAGGCTCTTTTTCATCAAATATAAAACCCCAGCCCAGTTCATGGCCCGTTTGGCAACAACCCTTAAACGCCTTACCGCCCTAGACCCAGAGAGGCCAGAAGGCCGTCTTATTCTCAGTATGCATTTTATTACCCAACCCACTCCTGACGTTAGAAAAAGCTCCAAAAATTGGATTCCAGCCCTCAAACCCCACAACAGGACTTAACCTTGCCTTCAAGGTGTACAATAATAGAGAAGAGTGGCAATTACTTGCCTCTGCTGTGAGAGAAACTTCAGCCACATCTCCAGCATACAAGAATTTCAAAACGCCTAAACCGCAGTGGCCAGGCGTTCTTCCAAGACCTCCTACCCCAGGATCTTGCTTCAAGTACTGAAAATGTGGCCACTGGGCCAAGGAATGTCTGCAGCCCGGATTCCTCCTAAGCAATGTCCCATCTGTGCAGGACCCCACTGGAAATTGGACTGTCCAACTCACCTGGCAGCCATTCCTAGAGTTCCTGGAACTCTGGCGCAAGGCTCACTGACTGACTCCTTCCCAGATCTTCTCGGCTTAGTGGCTGAAGACTGACACTGCCCGATCGCCTTGGAAGCCTCCTGGACCATGATAGATGCTTTAGGTAACTCTTACAGTGGAGGATGAGTCCATCCCCTTCTTAATACGGAGGCTATCCACTGCACATTACCTTCTTTTCAAGGGCCTCTTTCCCTTGCCTCCATAACAGTTGTGGGTATTGACGGCCAGGCTTCTAAACCTCTTAAAACTCCCCAATTCTGGTGCCAACTGGGACAGTATTCTTTTATGCGCTCCTTTTTAGTTATTCCCGCCTGCCCAGTTCCCTTATTAGGTCGAGGCATTTTAACTAAATTATCTGCTTCCCTGACTATTCCTAGGCTACAGCCACACCTCATTGTCACCCTTTTTCCCAGTTCAAAGCCTCCTTCACATATTTTCCTTGTATCTCCTCACCTTAATCCACAAGTATGAGACATCTCTACTCCCTCCTTGGCAACTGATCATGCACCCCTTACCATCCCATTAAAACCTAATCACCCTTACCCTGCTCAACACCAATATCCCATCCCACAGCACGCTTTAAAAGAATTAAAGCCTGTTATCACTCACTTGTTACAGCATGGCCTTATAAAGCCTATAAACTCTCCTTACAATTCCCCCATTTTACCCCTCCATAACCCATTCTGTTCTGGATCTCAAACATGCTTTCTTTACTATTCCTTTGCACCTTTCATCCCAGCCTCTCTTCGCTTTCACTTAGACTGACCCTGACACCCATCAGCCTCAGCAACTTACCTGGGCTGTACTGGCGCAAGGCTTCAGGGACAGCCCCCATTACTTCAGTCAAGCCCAAATTTCTTCCTCATCCGTTACCTATCTCGGCATAATTCTTCATAAAAATACATGTGCTCTCCCTGCTAATCATGTCCAGCTAATCTCCCAAACCCCAACCCCTTCTACAAAACAACTCCTTTCCTTCCTAGGCATGGTTAGGTACTTTTGCCTTTAGATACCTGGTTTTGCCATCCTAACGAAACCATTCATTCTCCCCATTTCCCCATATTACCTCTTTCCTGTTCCCCACCCAGACCACGCTTGGTTTATTGATGATAGTTCTTCCAGGCCCAATCGCCAATCACTGGCAAAGGCAGGCTATGCTATAGTGTCTTCCACATCTATCACTGAGGCTACCACTCTGCCCCCCTCCACTACCTCTCAGCAAGCCAAACTCATTGTCTTAACCTGGGCCCTCACTCTTGCAAAGGGACTGCATGTCAATATTTATACTGACTCTAAATATGCCTTCCATATCCCGTACCACCATGCTGTTATATGGGCTGAAAGAGGTTTCCTCACTACACAAGGGTCCTCCATCATTAATGCCTCTTTAATAAAAACTCTTCTCAAGGCCACTTTACTTCCAAAGGAAGCTGGAGTCATTCACTGCAAGGGCCATCAAAAGGCATCAGATCGCGTCGCTCAGGGCAATGCTTATGCTGATAAGGTAGCTAAAGAAGCAGCTAGCATTCCTACTTCTGTCCCTCACGGCCAGTTTTTCTCCTTCTCATCAGTCACTCCTACTTACTCTCCCACTGAAGTTTCTACCTATCAATCCCTCCCCACTCAAGGTAAATGGTTCTTAGACCAAGGAAAATATCTCCTTCCAGCCTCACAGGCCCATTCTATTCTGTCGTCACTTCATAACCTCTTCCATGTATGTTATAAGCTGCTAACCCGCCTCTTAGAACCTCTCATTTCCTTTCCATCGTGGAAATCTATTCTCAAGGAAATCGCTTCTCTGTGTTCTATCTGCTATTCTACTCCTCAGGGATTGTTGAGGCCCCCTCCCTTCCCTACACATCAAGCTCGGAGATTTGCCCCTGCCCAGGACTGGCAAATTGACTTTACTCGTATGCCCCGAGTCAGGAAACTAACATACCTCTTGGTCTGGGAAGACACTTTCACCAGATAGGTAGAGGCCTTTCCCACAGGGTCTGAGAAGGCCACCGTGGTCATTTCTTCCCTTCTGTCAGACATAATTCCTTGGTTTGGACTTCCCACTTCTGTGCAGTCCAATAGCGGACGGGCCTTTATTAGTCAAATCACCCAAGCAGTTTCTCAGGCTCTTGGTATTCAGTGGAAACTTCATACCCCTTATCGTCCTCAATCTTCAGGAAAGGTAGAACGGACTAATGGTCTTTTAAAGACACACCTCACTAAGCTCAGCCTCCAATTTAAAAAGGACCGGATAGTACTTTTACCACTTTCCCTTCTCAGAATTAGAGCCTGTCCTCGAGATGCTACAGAGTACAGCCCATTTGAACTTTTATATGGATGCCCTTTCTTGCTCGGCCCCAACCTCGTCCCAGACACCAGCCCTCTAGGTGACTATCTTCCAGTCCTCCAGCAGGCTAGACAGGAAATTTGCCAGGCTGCTAATCTTCTCTTGCCTATTCCAGATTCCCAGCCTTATGAAGACACCCTATCTGGACGATCAGTTCTTGTTAAGAATCTGACCCCTCAAACTCTACAACCTCGACGGACCGGACCCTACTTAGTCATCTATAATACCCTAACTGCCGTCCTCCTGCAGGACCCTCCCCATTGGGTTCACCGTTCCAGAATAAAGCCGTGTCCATTGGACAGCCAGCCTGATCTCTCCTCTTCCTTCTGGAAGTCGCGAGTACTCACCCCTACTTCCCTTAAACTCACCCACATTTCTGAAGAACAGTAGTAACCCTTATGAGCCTAATACATCCCTTCATTTTGTTAGGTCTATCCTTCCTTACCAGAGTCTTTGCAACAGGGCCTTATGCAGTCACCCCCACTACTTAGACTGCATCCCAAAAACTTTTCATCCCTGCTCTCTTCTGTCTAGTCATACTCCTATTCTTCGTTTTCACCTCTCCATACATGCCCTGCCCTTGTCTACACTGCCAGCTTATACTTTTCCTCCAAACCATCATAGCTGGTCCTGGTCTTATCCCCTAACTGCCACTCTTAACTCCCTCTTGGAATGGATAAATGGCCTTTGCTGGAAAAGCACACTCCACTTCTTTCACCCATTTTACATTTCCAGTTTCGCCTTACGCAAGGTCTCTTCTTCCTCTGTGGCTCCTCCACCTGCATGTGTCCACCTGTTAATGAGACAGGAACATGTACACTAGTTTTCCTTACCCCAAAAATCAATTTGCAAATAAGACCGAGCAGCTTCCTGTTCCCCTCATGACACCAACACTTCACT
The DNA here is from genome assembly GCF_000001405.40 of Homo sapiens. NCBI lineage: Eukaryota > Metazoa > Chordata > Mammalia > Primates > Hominidae > Homo > Homo sapiens. The sequence continues at coordinate 74,298,102 of NC_000018.10, forward strand.
ATTATTTTATTTTTTCTTATTATTAATATAAGAAGACAGGAATAGGCCTTGACTTACTCACTGCTGAAAAAGGAAGACTCTGTATATTTTTAAATGAAGACTGTTGTTTTTACCTAAATCAGTCTGGCCTGGTATATGACAACATAAAAAAATTCAAGGATAGAGGCCAAAAACTCACCAGCCAAGCAAATAATCATGCTGAACCCCCTTAGGCACTCTCTAATTTGAAGTCCTGGGTCCTCCCAATTCTTAGTCCTTTAATACTTGTTTTTCTCCTTTTCTTATTCGGACCTTATGTCTTCTGTTTAGTTTCTCAGTTCATACAAAACCATATCCAGGCCATCACCAATCATCCTATATGACAAATGCTCCTTCTAACAACCCCAGAATATCACCCCTTACCACAAAATCTTCCTTCCTCTTAATCTCTCCCACTCTAGGTTCCCATGCCACCCCTAATCCTGCTCGAAGCAGCCCTGAGAAACATCACCCATTATCTCTCCATACCACCCCCCAAAATTTTCCCCACCCCAACACTTCACCACTGTTTGTTTTTCTTATTAATATAAGAAGACAAGAATGTCAGGACTCTGAGCCCAAGCCTGCACATATACATCCAGATGGCACGAAGCTACTGAAGAATCACAAAAGAAGTGAAAATGGTCGGTTCCTGCCTTAACTGATGACATTACCTTGTGAAATTCCTTCTGGCTCAGAAGCTCCCCCACTGAGCACCTTGTGACCCCCGCCCCTGCCCTCAAGAGAACAACCCCCTTTGACTGTAATTTTCCACTACCTACCCAAATCCTATAAAACTGCCCCAGCCCTAACTTCCTTTGCTGACTCTCTTTTTGGACTTAGCCCACCTGCAATTAAAAAGCTTTATTGCTCACACAAAGCCTGTTGGTGGTCCCTTCACACGGACACACGTGACAATGCACACACACATTTTTTAAGCATTCCAAAATGATCACATTTTTTTCATATCAAGCAGACATTTCCAAGTGTAACATTTTGTTATTCAGAGATATTTCTAAGTACTAAGTAGTGTTAAGAGGGTAAATTATTTGTACTATTATATACTAATCAGTCATGGTTCATATATAATATAGAAATATTTTATTTCACATTAACCAACAAAAATATGTTGAAACGATTTCAAATCTTTAATTGTGAAATAATTGTAGGTTCACAAGAAGTTGCAAATATAGTAGAGGTGCTGTGTACCCTTCATCCAGTTTCCCCCAATGGTTACATCTTTTTATAACTATAGTACAATATCAAAACAAGGAAATTGGCATTGTATAATGTATGTGCCCACAGTAGGCCCCCCTTATCCTCAGGGAATAGTTCTAAGACTCCAGTAGATGTCTGAACCCACCAATAGTACCAAACCTGATTGCCACTGTGAAAGTTGATCATATAAATTGAGTCATTCTTATCATGCCCAATTAAAACAAAGTTGAGAGGCCAGGGGAGAAAAGCACTCAGGAAACATCATATATTACCCTAAGAATGTAATTGTCTGAAACCCCACCCACAGAAACTGGTTATTGTTAACTTAAAACCAGTTTTATCTAATAGCTATTGAAACAACCTGCTTCTACTATAAGACTTTTTACCCACCACCAACACTCACCAATCAGAACTTGCCAGGTCCCCAAAACTTTACAAGTGCTAATGAACTTTCAGAACAATACATGTGACTCCTTTTTATAAAACCTCAAACTTTCCCTTTGTTCGTTGGACATACCAAAGACCACTCGTGTATGCTTGGACTTGCAGTTCTTGCTTCCCAAATAAAACGTTTTAGATTCACCTCTGTATTGTATTTGACTTGGACATACTTGGTATCTGAAGTGGGATTCCAAAGCTGACTCATCTTGGCTTTGAGGTTTGGATGAGGGAATTTTCCTCTTCATTTGGAGAAGACTGTCATCTTTCTTGGTAAATATGTACTTTATTTTCTATCAGTTCTTGCATTTACTTGGCCTTTGTTTATTAGCACTTGCATCTAATTGGCAAGTGCTTAATCACCTAGATAAATTTAGTTACAAATGGGCTCTCAAAGTTCAGAGGCATGGCAAAATTTTTTTTTAACTCCACCTGGTAACATGTTTAAACATTACAGAGATCATTCAAACAGACTATTGTTCTTAAAACTAAACTAAAAAACCACAGCTATAAAATCATACACTGCAAATAAGAATTAGATTTCAATTGATACTTTGAGGCAAAAAAAAAAAATCAGCACTCAAAGACTGTCTAACTACAAAATACTGTCTCAAAGGTAGCTGGGAGGCTTTCCTCTCTGGATCTTCCCCTCCCCTTCTTACAATTCCTCCTCTTCACCCTTTTGTAACCTAAACTTTCTTTTTCTAAAACAGCTAAGCTATTCTGTTGAATAGCTAAACACTTGAAACCAGCAGATATAAAATAAAATTGTTTTGACCTTCGTGCTGTTTCTTAAAAGCTAAAGATTAAATTCTCATGTAAAACACTATACTATAAGGAATGGCAGCATTTTTATCTTCAAGGACAAATAATTGAGAACAAGAAAACACTGTACAGACCTTGTTAGAGTAACTCTTACCTTCTACCCCTCCTCACGTAATTCAGACACATTTCCACAGTTACTCTTTGTCCAATCCACTATGTTGGTAACTGCCTCAAACTGCTTTGCTCAAAATTTGTTTCACAGCCATATCAGGACTACAAACAACAAGTTAAAAGCTTAGCCTTCTCCCAGTTTGTGAGGAAATAATTTCAATTCAACTGCTTTTTAGGAAACCAGTATGTATGTTTTAATATCTCATGACTAAAATTCTAAAATAAAATCTGTAAGATCTTTATTTATATGTATGTGTATGTGTTTAGATGTATTTATGCATATATACATGTATTGTGTGATGTGTTGCATCTACATGATAAAACCTGGTGTAGTCCGCCAGAAATCCCTTAAGGAATTCTATTTAGATAAAATATGTACTCATATAAAATATGTAACAACCCCAAATATTTTTGCTTTGCCTTACTTAAACAAATCCTTGATAAATTAATTGGTTTTTAAATTGTTGATAAAATAAAATTAGAAAAGTCTTCAAAATTGTCAACATTTTTGGCTGGGTTTATTGTTCAGTTTTATATTTGCCTCTGCTAGAGTTCTTAAGGTTATAAAGCTATAAACCCAGCCTAAAACAAAATAATGTTTGTGTATGCAATTCTTTGATTGATAAGGTTTAATATTGTTGATTTAATAAAAACAGCTGTATTTTCTGGGTTAAGAACAGGATACCCATGTATTAAACTTTAAGGTTTCACCTTAGGTAAACACTGGATATTAACAGGCTATGAAATTGGTTAATAAAAAATAAAATAGTGACTTGCTCTAATATTTTAATTTTCGTAAGTAATCTAGGTGTAATTACTAAAAAATAAATTAGGTAATCGGAAATGAAATTAACATTTATAAATGAAACTTCTATGCAATTTAAAATTTTAAAGTTGTATTAAGTAATAATACTCATTAAATGACCAAGTTATATCCAAAATTGAGCCAAATTGGTAAATACATCAAAGTTCTTTCTTGGCTTCTTAAATTTTATAAAAATACTAAATATGTTTAGGTCTATTAATCAAAATATGAATTTAGGGAAAAATAACTTTGTATGAGAAAAAAATCTTAAGTGGTACATTTTTGTCCTGAGATTAAATAATTAGTTATTCCAAAATTTACAAAAAAGAAAAACTATAGGACTAAGAATGGGGGCTTGGGAAAATAATGAAAGTTCTAAACAAGTTGAAGAGGATTTATAGAAGATGGGCTTTATGAAGGAAGTTTTATTTGTGATCAGATTGGCTGGGATTAGAAAGAAATTGTTTATGTGTTTTTCTAAAACTTAAACACTGGTGTCAGGAGTTGCTGATACCGGACCAGAGTATAATCCTCTATATTTAAAATAACAAATATTTCCTGAAGTACTGATCTGTCCTTAATAAAACTGCAAGAAGTTTTGATTTTTAATTCTAAAATCTGTTTAACAGCCATGCTCTGAACTGCACAATTTTTGTTTCTGCCATTTTTTCCTGAGATCTATTTAATTTCTCTAGTTTCAGGTTTAAAATGCTGCCCTTTTCATTGAAAATGGTAATTTCATTTCCTGAGGTAAAGTTTTCCTTTTGAAATTTCTCAGATTCACATCTCAGAGATTCAACTTTTGCTATATCTCGCTACACGTGACTTGTAGATCCGACATCCCTGCTTTCACCTTTTTCCTCCCCTTGTGAAGGCCTGGGGTAACAGTGCTCTTCTCCAACTTTGCTATCAGCTCCTAAAACATTTTTTTTTTCCAGTTCTAACTCTGCTTTTTTGGCGTGACACTGAAATATTTATCTTAAAGGCCTAGAAAAGCAATATTTTCCTTCAGTATAACTTGATTCTGTACTCTTAGCTTTTCTTGATGTATATGAATTGTTACACTCATAACTTTGGACATAGTCTTCGTATGTCTGCATCAGGCTTGACTTCCAGGTTATCTAAATGAGGTTCCATAAGGAGAAACACTCACCCTGCAGAAAGTTTTTCTCTACCTTTTTGGTAGCGGGTCCAAGAAACAAAGATTTTACATTTTGTCAAGATAACTTTCTATGTTGCTTTTATTAGATTTTTTATTACTTAGGAAAACTAAGCTTTGAAAGGGTTAAGCTTTTTATATCTGTGTAACTTTCTGGATTGCTTTTAGAGTCTTTTGACTATCATTCTTTTTAAATGAATGACTATTATTTTACAGTGACCTGTTATTCTGTTTTGATCAAGTGTTTCGAGCTTTTTAACGTCTTTGAAAAACTTCCCTAAAATCAAATCCTAAATTAAGTCTTTCTGACCTAGAATTAACTTTAGGATTTTTCAGTTGAGCCCATGGAAAGCCTCAAAAGATATATGTCATCTTGTAGAGATATTAGTTAGGCTTATTTGGTAAACTGTGTAGGAAACATTGTCAAATAAGTGATACTAGATCTTTTAGTTACATTTATGGGTATGTTGTTGATAATCACGTTTCAAAAATTACATAAATTCACAGAAATCTAATAAGTTAGACATATTAGATAGGTTCATCCTGTCACTGAGGAACAATTAAGCCTTACTACATAATGGTTGGTCCCTGATGTTTTCAGAGAAAAATCCTGATCAGAAAAGGGAAATGTGAAAGGTGATCATACAAATTGGGTCATTTTTTATATTCAACGAGAACAAAGTTGAGAGTCCAGGGGGAAAAAGCACTCGGAGCACATAATATAATAACATTGCACTAAGAATGTAATTGTCTGCAAGGCTGGCTTCAGAAACTGCCTGTTGTAATCTGAAATCAGTTTTAGCTACTCACTACTGAAACAACCTGCTGCTACTCTAAGACCGGTTTTACCCACTACTGTCACTCACCAAACTTTCTAGTGCCAATGAACTTTCAGAATAACACGTAACATTTCTCCTTTTTATAAAACCTCCAACCTTCTTTGTTCTTCAGACGTACTAAAGACTGAAGACTAAAATAAAATGTTCTGTGTGGGGCCAGAATTGCAATTCTTGCTTCCCAAATAAAGTGTTTTAAATTTAGAGATTCATCTCTATATTTTGACTTCAACATTATCAATAAAAACATGTTTCTGTTCATGTCTTCCACTGAGAAATGTAATGCCTTTTGCATCTTAACTAAGCAGTTATCACACACTGTGGTCATAACTTCTGCAGTTTCAGGTGCAACGGCAAAACTAACCTGAATTTTTCTTTCTTCACAATTGCACAGGTCGAAGATCATTCTTACCTTAGATCTTAGCAGTCTCAGCCTATTTTTTTTCTTTCCTTATTAAATTGAGAACTTTCTTTTTTTTTTTTCACTTAAAGGAAGCACTTCACAGCTTCTCATTGGCATATCTGAATTGCCAGCATCACTACTCTTGCACTTTGGGGCCATGTATTAAGTGAAACAAAGTTCACTGGAACACACAGTGTAATACCACAACAGTCAATCTGATAGCCAAGAAGGCCACTAACTGGCTAACTAATGAGCGTGGAATGCCTACAGTGTGGGTATTCTGGATAAAGGGATGATTCACATGCTGGGATGTGAGGGCAAAGCAGGAAGGTGCCAGATTTAATCCTGCTACTCAGAATGCTGCACAATTTAAAACTTATGAATTATTTATTTCTAGGATTTTTTACCTAATAATTTTGGACCGTGGTTGACAGTTGGTAAATGAAATCATGGAAAATGAAACTGTGGATAAGGAGGCCTATGTTAGTTCCATCCTGTCTTAGATTTCTGTAGATGTGTGACAACCACCACAAACAAGATACAGACTGTTCTATCACCACAAACGTCTCCCTGTTGCTACCTCCTTATAGTTGTACCCACTGCCTTTCCCATACCACCCCTAACCCCTCATAACCAGCAACGTTTCCCATCCATATAATTTTGTCATTTAAAAAATGTTATATGAATGGGACCATACAAAATGACCTTTTAGATTGGCTTTTTTCGCTTAACATAATGCCTCTGACATCCATCCCAGTTTTTAAATGTATCGATAGTCAGTGCCTTTTCATTACCAAGTATTATTGCATGGTATGGATGTACAAGAGTATCACAGTTTATTTAGCTATTCCCCTATTGAGGGACATTTTGGTTGTTTCCAGTGTTTGGCTATTACAGCAAAACTGCTATGAACAATTAGTGTATAGGTTTTTATGTGAACATAAGTTTTTATTTTCTTTAGGATAAATGCCCAGAAGTGTGACTGTTGGGACATATGGTTTAGTGTATGTTTAGTTTTTTTGGAAACTGCTAAACAGTCTTCCAGAGTAGTTGTACCATCTTATATTCCTACCAGCAGTGTATGAGAGATCCAATTTTTCCATATCCTCACCAGCATCGGTATTGTCACTATTTTTTATTTTCAATTTTCTAATAGGTATGCAGTGATATCTTATTGTAGTCTTAATTTGGGACATCTTTTCATATACCTGTACTTATTTGTCACCTGGATATCCTCTTCAGTAAAAGGTCTTTTCATGTCTTTTGCCCATTTTAAAATTTGCCCATTTAAAATTTTTTTATGTTGAGTTTTGAGAGTTCTTTTTATACATTAGATATGGATCTATATATTGTTAGATACGTGGTTTGGGAACATTTTATCCCCATTTGTAGCTTGTATTTTCATCCTCTTACTCTTCCTCAAAGCAAAAGTTTTTCATTTTAAAGAGGTCCAATTTATCACTTTTTTTCTCGTATGCATCGTGTTTTTGGTGTCATGTCTAAGAACTTTACCAAGCCCTATATTTTCTCATATGCTATCTTCTAAATATTTTATAGTATTACATTAATTGTATAATTTATTTTGAGTCACTTACACTGGGGTTCATTTTTCTTGTATCTAGTTGCTCAAGCACCATTTGTTTAAAAAGACTATCTTTCCTTCATTGAATTGCTTTTGCACCTTTGTCAAAAATTAGTTCATTGTACTAGTATGAAGCTATTTCTGAGTTCTCTGTTCTGTTCCATTGATCTATATATCTATCCTTCCCCAATATCATCTAGTCTTGATTAGTGTAACTAGGCAATAAGTCCTGAAATCAGGTAGAATGATTCTTTCCACTTTTTTTTCCAGAATTGTTTTAGCTATTCGAGTTTGTTTGTCTTTCCATACACATTTTAGAATAATCTTGTCTGTATCTATTGATGCATTGGAGATTTTGATAGGAACTGCTTTAAACTTGTATGCCAGTTTGGGAGAACTGCTGTTGACTTTTCCAATCCATGTGCACAGAATATCTCTCTACTTATTTAGAAATCTCTCTTAATATTTTTATCAGCATTCTTTAATTTCAGCATATAAGTCCTGTACATGTTGTGTTAGATTTACAGCTAAACATTCCTCTTTTTTTTGAGTAACTGTAAATGGTATTGTAGTTTTTATTTGTTTCTATGGGTTCACTGATAATATATAAAAATACAATTGATTTTTATGTTTGTCTTATACCCTGCAACCTTGCTGAACTCAGTTTTTTTGTAAATTTCTTGGCATTTTCTACATAGATCATTATGTCACCTATAAATGATGTGTGTCTTTTGTTTCCTTTTCTTGTCTTTTCACACAGGGTAGACCATCCAGTACTATGTTAAATAGCAGTGGTGACTGTACACCCTTGTCTTATTCTTGTTCTTAAACAGAAAGCATTCAGTCTATCACCAGTAAGTATAATGTTGTATATCTTTCTAGATGCTCTTTATGAAACTGAGGAAGCTCTCCACTATACTCAGTTTTCTAAGAGTTTTTATCATAAATGGGTGTGAATTTTATCTAATTATTTTTCTGTATCAGTTAATGTGATAATGTAATTTTTCTTCCAGACTTTCATATGATGGAATACATTTATTGATTTTCAAATATTCAAATAGCCTTGCATCTCTGGAATTAAGCCCACTTGTTTATGGAATATAATTCTTTTTATATATTGCTGAATTATATTTTTAATGTTTTGTTAATAATTTGTGTATCTGTACTTATGAGAGATATTGGTGTATGGTTTTCTTTTTATGTACTGTAATAGTCTGGTTTTGATGTTAGGTTAATAGTGACTTCATAGAATAAATTGGGACCTTCTTTTCTATTTTTTCTATTTTTCTGAAAAAGATTTTGTGAAATTAATGTTAGACTTCTTTAAAGGTTTGGTAGAATTCTCCAGTGAGACCATATGGGTCTAGAGATTTCTTTTTGAGATTTTAAGCTATCAATTAAGTTTCTTTAATAGTTATAGGACTATTCAAATTACCCATTTCATATGGGGTGTGTTGTCACAGTTTATACTCTTCCAGAGAATTGGTCTGCTTCATTGAAGTTGTCAAGTCTATGTGTGTAGAGTTGTTTGTAGTAGTCCTTTATTATCCTTTTCATGTCTGCAGGGTCTGTAATGGTATCTTCAGTTTAATTCCTGATATTTGTAATTTGTGACTTTTGTCTTTTTATTTATTTGTCAACATTTCCAGAGATTTACTGATCTTTTAAAAGGGAAAGCTTTTTGTTTCACCGATTTTTTCTATTGTTTTTCTTTCTTCAATTTCATTAACTTTCTCCTTCTATCTTTATTACTTCCTCCCTTCTGCTTGCTTTGGGTAAACTTTTCTCTATTTTTCTAGTTTCTTGAAGTAGGAGTTTAGATTATTGATCTGAGATTCTTCAACATGATCCCAAAGTTCCACATCTAACGTTCCCTTTTCAGGAAACCAAGGACAGTGTTCTTCCACTGCCCTGAATAGGGTGACCGTATTTTCCATGGGCACCCGAACTCCTCCCTGTTTTAACAGGAGTTTAATATAGCAGAGATGGCATAATGTTTAGACTCCGTGTGCCCCATAGTTACTCTGGACAATACACAGACAACTCACCAATCGTCAGGGAGCCGAACAAGCGTTTCTGTGGACCGAATGGATGAACGTTTCTACGCACCTACCAAAGGGAATCGGGTTTCCACATGCCCTTAGGAAAAAGAAAACCATGTTGGCGCACCAGATATTGGGGGAACCCGCCCCCAATATTTCAACATACATTCTTTCTATTTTCCGTGAGTGTCAGCTGGCTGAGAAATAAAGAGAGACAGTACAAAGAGGAATTTTACAGCTGGGCCGCCAGGGGTGACATCACATATCGGTAGGACCGTGCTGCCGGCCTGAGTCACAGATCAGCAAGTTTTTATTAAGGGTTTCAAAAGGGGAGGGGGTGTAAGAACAGGGAGTAGGTACAAAGATCACATGCTGCAAAGGGCAAAAAGCAGAACCACTAATAAGGGTCTAACAAAACCTAAGTGTCCATCAACAGATGAATAAAGAAAATGTGGTGCATATACACAATGGAGTACTATTCAGCCACAAAAAGAATGAGATCCTGTCATTTGCAACAACATGGATGAAAATGGGGGTCATTAAGTGAAATAAGCCAGGCACAGAAAGACAAACTTCACATGTTCTTAACTTACTTGTGGGAGCTAAAAATTTAGAACAACTGAATTCATGGAGACAGATAGTGTAATGATGGTTACCAGAGGCTGGAAAGGGTAATAACAGGGAGTAGGGGAAAAGTGGGGATAGTTAATGGGTACAAAAACAATAGAAAGAATGAATAAGACCTAGTATGTATTAGCACAACAGAGTGACTATAGTAAAAAATAATTTAATTGTACATTTTAAAATAACTAAAAGAGTGTAATTATTTGTAACACAAAAGGTAAATACTTGAGGGGACAGATACCCATTCACCCTGATGTGATTATTATGCATTGTAAGCCTGTATCAAAATATCTCATGGAACCTATAACTATATACATCTACTATGTACCCCATTAAAAATAAAACATTAAAAAAATAAATTTTATCTTGTGCTATTATTATTATTACTCAAAAGATTTCCTTATTCTAAAACAAAGATGAAGAAGCATCCTATCTGGCAGTTACTCCGATGTGAAGTTAATCTAGGCAAATTTAGAGACAAACAACAGAGAAAGCAACACAAATATTTACAAACTCCTCCTGACTTTCCCTACAGTAAAGACAGTTTTATACATATTTAGAAAACCACTCCTACTCCTAAAGTTCCTCAGGTAAAAATATAAAGTAAAAAGCACTCATTCTTCTCTTCTACTATAATACCAAAAAGTAGTAATGTTACTTTTTAAATTATTTTTTCTAATTCCTTCTGTCACTCAATCCACAAGACCTACTTGGGCAGATCTTTCCTGCCCATAGGCAAATAGTTATATCAACAATAGAGAGCTGGTTCCCTCAGCAAATGAGCACTTCCATGCAAATGAAATCTTCAAATATCTACACAAATTATCTGTAATATATCCATGTCTTTTAAATATCATGTTAGCACAGGTTACTTTTTTCCTTCCAAAAATATTTCTATTTCTAGTAGATAACACCACATTTAGTTGATTTCTAAACAATTCCCCATCTATTAGCAGTAATTCCCAAACTCTGCTAAATTTTTAAAGTTTTTATTCATTTTAAAATAAAGCATTTATGACTTGAAGTTGTTTTTCCCTCTTGTACCTTTATAACCCACCAGCATGTCTGCTGGGAGCCTCTGATCATTTGGATTGCCGAGGCAGAACAAGGAGCAGAGCGCAACGGATAATATCTCACCATAAACCCAAAACAAATGTCTGAAGTTCATTGCTGACATAGTGGAATTTTCCTCAGTAACTTCAATGACAAGTTAATTATGTAGGGCATCTTACTTACTGTAAATATGTCCTTAGGCACATTTTTCTTGTAGGTCCATCTTTAAGTAGGAGAAGGCCAATAAGGACAGTAAATGTTTAATTGTAGGACATGGTTGAAATATAAAATTTATTTTTTAAATCTCTTTTTGTCTCCAGCATAAATTGAACAAGGGTAAAATGGTAAAAAGGAAATTCCAGATATCATATTTAACTTTGTAAAGTGTCCAGGGTTCTAGACAGTTCCATGAAATAGTTGATGCTGCCGCTGTCATAAGGTCACTATATTAATTCGTTCTCACACTGCTATAAAGATACTACCTGAGACTGGGTAATTTATAAAGAAACAAAGGCTTAATTGACTCAGTTCTGCATGGCTGGGGAGGCCATGGGAAACTTACAATCATGACAGAAGGCACCTCTTCACAGGATGGCAGGAGAGAGAAGAAGCAAGCAAGAGAGGAACTATCAAACACTTATAAATACATCAGATGTCCTGGGAACTCACTCGCTATCACAAGAACAGCATGGGGAAACTGCCCCCATGATCCAATCACCTCCCACAAGGTCTCTCCCTCAACACCTGGGGATTACATTTCAAGATGAGATTTGGGTGGGGACACAAAGGCTAACCTTATCAGTGACCCAAGTCAGAAGCTTGGGAATCATCCACGTCATCGTCAAAACAGAATTCATCACCAAGTCCTATAGATTTTACCTGTTAAACATCTCTCCAATCGGTGCTCTTCTCTTTATTCCTACAATCTTTGCTCCAGATCTTCCTTCCAGGATTACCTGCATACACTGCTTTCAATAACTTCCTAACAGGTTACTCTCACCTCTAGTCCTGACTTCTTCAGATCCATCCTCCATACAGGAGTGGACTCAAAATTAAAATCTGATCATATCACTACTTGCCTAAGACCTTCCCACGTCTCGTGATAACCAAAGTTCAAATTGCTTACCACAACATAAAAGATCACTCAAAATCTGGTACCTGCCTATCTCTCTAGCTTTATCCTTTGTCATTTCTGCCTCAAACCTTAGAACCCAGCAAAAATTAGCCATTTTTAGTTCTCCACACAGCACACTTTCCCAACTTCCATACCCTTGCTCAAGTCCTCTCCCTTGCCAGAGTACTCTCTTTACCTCCTTTCTCCCACTTTCTCTGTACTGGACAAGGGCTGAGGACTCTTTACGACTCAGCTTAGGAGTCACTTCCTGAAGGAGGCATGTACTGACAACACCCTTCCCTTCCACTAGGTGCCCTCTCAGTGCTTCCTTGATTCTTTGGTTATATCACACACACCAACTACATCGTCCATCTACATGGCTGTCTCTCTCATTGGCTCAAGGGTTCTTTGGGACAATGATGGTTAGTCGCATTGCTATCTCCAGCACTAGCACAGTGCCTAGCACTCAACAGATGTTCAGTAAGTGTGTTTGAATGAATAAGAGCATAAACGTGATCCAGAAGATAGATTTTAAGTACATGGAAAATCATAATTATATTGTAACCAGACTGAGAAATGTGGATTTACTTACTTATCTGTCACTAGCAAGAGTACCAGCAAAGTTTTAAATTTTTTCCATGACTTCTACTAAAGCTGAAATATTGTTTTATTTCTTTTCCAGTATAGAAAACAGAGGGAAAGGGAGGCTAATGTCAGCAGCAGCATGAAAATAGTTTAAAATGAAAATGTGTGCTGTAATCAACTTGGACTTGATTAAGTCCAAGTCTGAGGTGCTTGATAAGTAACACAACAGGAACAATGGAGAGGGCAATGGCATTTTCATACCCTATGCTGCTAGGAGTCACATGTCAGATACACAGCTATCTACTTTGATAAAAATAGTCTAGGAACTCTAAGGTTGATTCGAGATGAAACTAAACCCTGGACATCAGTGTCCAAGTATGCAACTGCATCCATTGGATCCTTCTTTCCCTCAGTTCCCTCAGTGATTACCAATATCACTCCTTGCCACCCACCACTACTCTTCTTTTTTTATTACTGTGGCACAAGTGGGGATGCATAGCCTTTACCTTGCTTTCTTATAGCACTGTTAGAATATTAAAATGAACTTCACAAAAGGATAGCAAAAAAGGAATTATGCATAAAGTACAATGATTCTGTTACAGGATCTTTGGGGTGTCACTTTTCTGGCAGGAAACCTCTGTGGCTGGTGGCACCTTTGCCTGCAGGCCCCCTGGGCTTATTCCACCCACTTGGCCTGGCAGGCGGCACTCAGCTCACGCTACTGGCTGGATCCCATGCCTGCCAAGGGTGAGCCAGGTGTGGAGGGACAAGGGGTGTGTGAATGAGCAAGCATGGGGTTCAGCCACTGCACACAGTCAGGCACACTGGCTGCTGCTGCAGGGCAGGGCAGCTGCAGGTGCTGGCACAGGCACCGACTCTCTGCAAGGCTGCAGCTGGACCAGGCACCCTGCAAGCAGCTTCCACGGCTGCCACCAGGGAATGTGGTGTTGCCCAGAAGCTTGGAGACTCCAGGAACTGCAGGGCCCCAAAGAGGGAGTCACAACCCAGGGTTGGGGAGCTCCCAGGTCTGGGGTCCCTGAAGGGCCACAGTTCTTTCCTTTTCACCTGCAACGTGGCGAGCAAGGGGTGTGTTTCAACCCTGTTTGTCTTACAGCTTTTTCAGCCCTGCCATTCAGTAGGTCCTGAGCTCTTCTCCTGCATCCGGGAAGAATGAGGTATGTGGACACAAGAAGGGTGAGCAAGGCAAAGAGAAGGTTTATTGAGTGACACAATAGCTCAGAGGAGGACTTGGAGTGTGTAGCTCCTCTCTGTAGACAGGTCCTCCTGATGTCTCTGCAGCTCTCCACAGAGAGGAGGCCCTGGAGTGGGTAGCTCTTCTAGCTTGTCCTCTTGACATACGCTCAGCCCCACCCTTATGATCTCATTAATCTTAATTACCTCCTTGTAGGCCCTGTCTCCAAATATAGTCACATGTAAGGGGGTTAAGCTTCAACATATGAATTGGGGGAGACACATGACTCAATCTATAGCAGATAAAAACCAAAGCAAAGGAAGACCAAGGTGGTAAAGTAAGATAAAACAAGAGTAAAGTTAGTAACAAGATGAACTAACATTCAGTAAGTGTTTATCATGTGGAAGTATTTCCAAACATTTTATATACATATATACATTATCTCATTTAATCCTAACAATAAGACTCTGAGCTAGTGACTGTCATTCCCATGTGTCATATGGTCAAATAGTATCTTAGAGAAGCAAAATATCAGGCTGAAGGACACATAGTAAACGTGACTAGTATTAATACCAGAGCCTCCATAGCCTGTTTTATACTTCTTCCCCATGGTTTTAATATTAACTATACCTGACACTTAAATTGTCCTTTCATCAAGCACTGATGTAAGTATTTTATGTATTTAATGTGCATTAACTCCTTTATTATGTTAAGGGGTATATTATCACCCTAAAAAGTACTATTATAATCCCTGTTTTTAAGGTAATGAAACTGCAGTACAGAGAGGTTAAGTATCCTACCTTAACATTACATAGCTAGTAACTGGCAGAACCAGAATTCAAATCCAGGCAGTCTGGCCCCAAAGACCATGCTCTTAACCACTAAACAACAGTTCCTCTCATGCATATATAAAGATGCATTTCCTCAAGTCCTGCACAATTGCTCCAAGTGGATCTCAAATTTGGTTTTGAGCTTATCGGCTAAATCAAAGATGGTAGCAAGATTCAGAATTCATGACATAAAATCTTACCAGTTTCTCACGGGCATACTATAAAAGATTGGGAGACATCTGCTTGTGAATCCATTCAATAAATACTTGTTAGGCACCTTTTATATGATTAGAAATGGCCTTTTTGGTATTTGGGTATTTGGTAATGTGAACATAATTTAAAACTTCACACCAGGCACTGTGACTCACGTCTGTAATCCCAGCACTTTGCAAGGCCGAGGCGGGCGGATCACGAGGTCAGGAGTTCAAGACCAGCCTGGTCAATATGGTGAAACCCTGTATCTACTAAAAAATACAAAAATTAGCCAGGCGTAGTGGCGTGCGCCTGTAGTCCCAGCTACTCGGGAGGCAGAGGCAGGAGAAATGTGGGAACCCGTGAGGCGGAGGTTGCAGTGAGCCGAGATTGCGCCACAGCACTCCAGCCTGGGCGACAGGGCGAGACTCCATCTCAAAACAAACAAACAAACAAACAAACAAACAAACAAACAAACTTCAAATGTCTTTAATTCTGCCTTGGTTAAAATTATTGTTGAAACCAGAGGCCATAAGTTCAATAGCACAGATATTAAGAACATAAAGTGTTCATACATGTGCTTTTTGGAATAAAGAACACTTGGCTTCCCTTTGTTTAGATAGATAGGAAAGGCTAGTGAATATCCACAGTTATCACAAAATTTAAATTGAATCTATATTTACTTTTTACCTGTCTTCATAAAACAGAGGGGTTTCTTTCCCCATGTGTACATACCAAGTAGGACAAAGAGATTTTCTGTAATATCGAAAGGTTTGTTTTAATAATTGCAAGGACTGTGACATAAAACCTTCAGACCGCAGGTGTTAAATTTGAGACATTACATTTGTTAGACTATTTCAGAAGATTGTGTTTTGTTCAATTAATGTAAAGTGTCTTTGTCTTAGGAGGCTGATTTGTCTCAACAACGTTGTGATAATCACTTACTATAATCTCACATCTGGGGTCATAAGTAACCAAACAATTGTAAACATTGAACACATTCTTATTGCTAGGAAGATATGTAAAAATGTTCCTCTTTGCCAAAAATTATTTTGCAAATAAAATAGGTAAATGACTTTAACTGATTAGACATTAAACACAATATAAAATCTCATTCTTTCACAATACCACTTCTGGGAGCTGGCAAGATGTGGGATTGAAAAGTAGCAAATCTCTGACTTAATGAAAATTTCCTGACATTCCACCCATGAAGTTCCTTGTCATCTCCCTGACCTCATATTGGGGTGTCCCAGGATCCAGTGTGAGGGTTCCTTTTCTTCCTAAATGCACTCTCATGGAGATCCAATCTGGCCTCAGGTTTTAAATAGCATCTATTATATGCAGATCTTTCCCCAGAACTCTTATTGTTCCTCTTCATTTCTCAATGTCAACAAGTCCAAAACTGACATGAACCCTCCTGATCTTCAGCCCCAAACTTGCTCCTCTTAGTCTTCCCCTTTGTAATTAATGGCAACCCAATCCTTCTGAATTCTTAGTATAAAAACCTTGGAGTGATGCTTGATTCCTCTCCCTCTCTCTCAGATCCCACATCAATCCATATCCAAATCCTATTAAATCTAATTTCAAAATATATCCAGAATCCAATCCCATCCCATCCCATTCCCTCCACTGCCACTGCTCTGATCCAAGCCACCTCTCTCCTTATTGCCATTGCCTCCTAACTGCTTTTCTTCCTTTCCCTGTCCCCTTCAGTCCATTCCAGCACAGCAGGCTGGATGCACCTTTAATACTTCCATGGCTTATCGGGCCTAACCCTGTCTGGCTCTCTGTAACTCCTCCTGCCTCACGGAGCCACTTCTTTCCTGCTCTACTGCAGCCAGCTGGCGTCCCTCCTGCCCTGGCCTTTTGTAGGATTCCCTCTCTCGTAACAAACATTCTCCCCCGAGACATGCACGAGGCTGCCCACTCTCACCGCCTTCATGTCTTTCTCAAACGTCCCGTTCTCCACGAGGCCTTCCTGACCACGCTATTAAACCTAACGACTTCTCCTCGGCACTCCCCGCCTCCCTACCCTACTTAATTTTTCTCCAATGCACCTATCACCATCTGCCACACTAAGATTTTGCACATTTATCTTGCGTATCTGTTTTCCCCCAACTACCAAGTAAAATGTGCATCCCACAAGGACCGGGAATGCTGTTTGCTTAGTGCTCTATCAGCAGACCTTAGAAACGCATCTGCACACAGTAGGCGCTTCGTGGATTTACTCCCACGAGCTTGCACCACGCTTCCCCTCCACACCAGGCATGAAGATGTTCCAGTCATGGAGATTCCCACCACTAAAGGAACTGCAGAAGCTGTAAATTCGGGCATGAGAATCTGAGGAGAAACGTGCCGAGGCAAGAGGCTGGGTAGCCCCTGTGCAGCACGCAGTTAGCCGGGGCTTCAGCGCCGGAGCTCCCCGTTGGACGTGTTGCGCTGACCCAGCTTTCCCGCCTTCGAGGGCGGCCAGAACCTTGTGTCCCGGCCCCACCCACACCAGCTCAGGCTGAGAGAATCTCACAGGGCTTCACTGGGTCATCCGTGACCAGCTTTGGTCGGTTCCTGCCTTGGCGGGAAAAGTTGACCTACATTGCGTGCCAGGAGCGCAAGGCTTGCAGGGCATGCTGGGAGAGCGCAGGGAACGCTGGGAGAGCGCGGGAAATACTGGGATTGGCTCCCGAGGGCTGTGAGGAGGGCACGAGGGGACACTCCGATGAAGGCAGGGCACGCGGGGCGAGCCGGGAGCGTCTCCTGAGGGCAGCGAGGAGGGAGCTGAGGCACGCGGGCTCTCAATCGACGCCCCACAGAGACCAAGAGGCCTGGCCTTGGGGGGCAGCTGCTTGAAGGAGGCAGAGCGGAAGCGAGGGAGACTGCTGGAGGCCCTGCCGCCCACCCGCCCTTTCCTCCCCCTGAGGAGACGCCTGACGCATCTGCAGTGCAGGAGGCCGTGGGCGTTAGAAGTGTTGCTTTTCCAGTTTGTAAGACCATTTTCCTGATTCTCTTCCCCACGGTTGCGGAGGAGCAGGTCAGGGCCGCCATGAGGGCAGGATCCCGGTGCCGGCGCCGGCACCCTGAGGACGTTGGTTTGGGTCAGGAAAAAAATGTATTCATCTGCAAAGACCCATGAGTCCCAATTTTTCGGGCATTTCATTATATCGGAAATTTATAGAATCACCTTTTAAAATGGATTTAGCTGAACAAAGACCTTAGATTCGTTTCCACTCACGTCCATTACTGTTCTCACAGAAGCCAGGCCGGAAGAGGGGTGGGCGCTCGCCTGGGGGCAGCGGCAAGCCGGGTCTGGGGCCGCCCTGAACCCCGCGCCCCGGGAGGATTTTTAGGAAGGGTCCCTCGTAGCGGCGGTCCCGAGGCTTAGCGCACAGCACTGCAGGAGCTGGGCGCTCCCAGAGTTTTGGTCCTTTGGGGTTCTCTGAGTCCTCCCTCACGTGTAGAATTGCGTAGGTGCCTGTTGCCTGCTCCTAGCACTTGTTCCTTGCCCTGCTGGGGATTGGGAATAAAGATGAAATCCTGGGACAGAAACGTAGTGGAGCGACTCCCTGGACAGGATGTTAATAGCGCATCCGTAGATCATAATAAGGCTTGGCCCACGTTTTGAGCTTCACAATATAGTTCTACAGCCTAGCCAAAGAAAACAACATTCTTTTTGAATCTGCAAGTTTTGCCAACTAGGAACTCACAAAATTAAACAATAGTAATAATTCTAATAAATTCATGCTTATCCCTGAACAGATCACTCTTGTTTACATACAGTGTTGCAATCCGTGAGTATTTGAAGATTGGCAAAACGGGAGGACTTGCACCCAGGAATTTTTTGGTGACCTGGAATTTACATTCCTACTGTATTACATTCCTGCTGGCATTGCCAGCATTCCTCAGATGACACCACAAACTCATTTCAGTACTGTGATCAGAAGGCTGGTCACACTGCACATTCCCGGGCCAGTATATTATTCTTTCTTAAAAAGAAAAAGCATGTTGATGTTGAAAAGTTGAAAGTACTAGAGTCCAGCTTACTTTTCCCTAATGTATTTGTGCATGTTAGTGTACTGAAGCTTCACTGGGTTGCTTTACTTTTATATTCCAGTTTTTGTTACTGTAGTAAAATGTAATGTAGACTTCAAAGGTATACCTTATGAATTATCAACTGTAAACTGTGCCTCCAATAGAATTTGAAAGCTGGATAATTTAGTGGAAACAAAAACTAGGTAACAATTTAGAGACCAGTAAACATTTTCTGTCGTGTACAATGAAAAATAATATATTCCTCAACCTTGAAGTGCTTTACAGAAAAATCTGAAACAACAAAAGACTTTGCTATACATTTTGACTTTTAAAAAATAGTTATTGTTATAGAAAAAGGAGTGATGAAAATATTCTAAAAATTATTGCAATGATGGTTGCACAACTCTGAATACAGTAAAAAACAGTGAATTGTACACATTAAATGGGTGAATTTTATGTTATGTGAACTATATCTTAGTAAAACTTGTACCAAAAATCCTAGAAAATCATTAGAAGACCTTAAAGGTAAATGGCAGGGATACTTAACTGCTGAAGTTTGCAAACTAACTTGTTTGTATCATCCCATTCTAAAACAATATCAAATATTGTGTGCTGACTTGGTATTGGAACTCTATTGGTAAGATAATTTACTACCTTTTTTTGCTGTTTATTTTTAAAGGCCTGATTGCTGAGACACTCAGTCAGGAAAGTATGAATGATTCTAGGCAGCAGTCTCTGTTCTTCATCACACTTCCAGATTTAAACAAACTCTGTGCTGTCAGAATAATACTGAGTAATAAGGTGGCAGATACTGAGATTAGGACTATACAAATGAAGATGTGCAGGTAAAAAAATACATCTTATAACTAAGACTTTTAAAACTTTGAGACCTATAAAAGCTGTTTTAGAGGAATTTTCTATAAAGCAAAATACTCATTCACTCAACTTGTGTTTATAATTTTAAAATAAAGGAAGTCAGATTTTGTTTTGACCAGGTATATTGGATTATATTTAAGGAGGGATTTAAAATACTTGCAATAGAATTATCTCACTGTTGAGTTTTTATATCTGTGACCTCTTATGTGCTTTTTAAAAGTTTAAAATCTCCACAGACATTCATGAATTAAATTCAGGCTCCCAGAAACTTAGAGGTCCTAATTAATCAATATTTATGGAATACCTACTGTTTTCCAGTAGGTATTTCCAGTAGGTGGGGCACTTAGAGATCCTATAAACATCTTAGATTAGTATAGTTTCTTAATTCTCAAGTCAGTATGAGACACTGTGGAGTATTTCTCTAGGATCTGTCTCAAAATATCTGATCCCACATAGTCGTTGAAAAACAGCTTAAGAGGGCCGGGCGTGGTGGCTCACACCTGTAATTCCAGTGCTTTGGGAGGCCAAGGTGAGCGGATCACGAGGTCAGGAGTTCGACACCAGCCTGGCCAACATGGTGAAACCCCATCTCTACTAAAAATAAAACAAATTAGCTGGGCATGGTGGCAGGCACCTGTAATCCCAGCTACTCAGGAGGCTGAGACAGGAGAATCGTTTGAACCTGGGAGGTAGAGGTTGCAGTGAGCCAAGACTGTGCCACTGCACTCTAGCCTGGGCAACAGAGCGAGACTCTGTCTCAGAAAAAAAAAAAAAGGAAAGAAAAGCAGCTTAGAGGAAACCTAAAGTATAATTCCATGATTACTGAGGACCCTCCTTTAAATTGTTTGAGGCACTCAAAGGAAGAGTCATAGAAAACATGAGAAGATTCTATATTTAAATGAATTGCTTAGAGAAGAACAAACAACTAGAAGATACCCAGAGGCAAGAAATAAGGAAGCCACTTTTGGGGTGTCCTTCATTTTCGTCTTATTTACAAAGTTTTTCTTCTCTCCATTGCATATTTTCCCACCCAGGGGCATCAGGGAGCCTGTACCCTTCCTGCTAAAGTATAATATGATACCTGTTAAGGACTTAATCTGTGACTCCTTTTGGAAATACTAAAATAGGTAGAAAACCTAAAGTGAGGTTTTTCTTCTGCTTGTCCTCAAATTGAAGGCAGCCATTCCCACAGAGTGGGGTTATCTTCACTCACCCTCCCGGTAATTGACAGAGAGTCTTGAATAGCATTTGGCTCTCTCTAGTAGCATTTGGCTGTGTCAGGTAATGGCAGGCCTTGCCAAGGCAAGTACCTGATATACCTTGGTTCCAACAAATATGAAGCCACCAGAAACAGATTGGCCCGTGTTGCTTTTTAAGGTAACCCCATACACATCCTAATGGTTATTTTAATTTGTTTCTTTGATGATTAGTAATGTTGAAGGTTTTCAGATTTCCAGTTGTATTCTTTTTGTGTTTTTCCTATCTTTCCCTTGAACCTTGAAATGAAATTATTAATGGTAATTTGATTCTGATGATGTTTGTTTTAAGTTCATTTGGCTGTTGAAACCACTACCCAGTTCTTTCTGGCTTGGGAAGAATTTCCTTTCTGAAGGAAAAGGATTTAGTCAGTAGTTCTAAATGTTTAAGTGGTTGGTAACTTCACTGATAGGTGAATCCTTAGACTCTTGCCTCTGGTGCCCCCTGCCCACCACCTTTTTTTTTATTTTAAAGGAAAAATGGAAGAAATAGGAGTTAAAGGAGACAGATTCTTCACTGTGTGTAGATTTCTTCAAGTATATAGGACAAAAATTGAGTTCTAAAAGATGAATTTAGGTTCACAGATGAAAGAGATTGGGAAATTCAGATGCGGGGACAAGTTCTCAAGTTAGCATTAGTATCTAAAACTTCCTAATTCTCTTAAGTCAAATATTGCCTGAGTACCTACACCTACACTGTTCAAGGTGCTATGCAAAGTGTGGGGAGAGAGTCTCTAACACAATTGTTGCCTAGGAGAAACTTAACGTTTTAGCTAAGCAAAGGTTTAAAATGTTCCAATAGAGTAAAAACGGATAGTGAGTGTATTAGTCTGTTTTCACACTGCTGTAAAGAATTACCTAAGACTGGATAATTTATGAAGAAAAGAGGTTTAATTGACTCACAGTTCCGCAAGCTTAACAGGAAGCATGATTGGAGGCCTCAGGAAACTTAAAATCATGTCAGAAGGGTGAAGGGGAAGCAAGCACCTTCTTCTAATGGCAGCAAGAGAGAGAGGTGGGGGGAGGAAGTGCTACACACTTTTAAACAAGATCTAATGGGAACTCACTATCACTAGAGCAACAGGGGGGAAATCCGCCGCCATGAGCCAATCACTTCCCACCAGGTCCCTTGCCAACACTGGGGATTATAATTCAACATGAGATTTGGGTGGGGACACAGAACCAAACCATACCAGTCCACTTTGTAATATATTTCATCTCCACAGGCAATTGCTGTTTTTGCATCAAGATATTCTTACATCACCTGTGTCTGGAATATTAAACCAAATCTGGGTGGTGATGGCGGTTAGTATTTTAATATTTTGTGAAATGTTATTACTAGTTGAGAACAATATTGATAAATAATAATTTAGGTATTATAGCTAAAGTTAAGATGTTTATGAGGATTAATTGATTAATCACAATGTGTTACAGGTTAATTGGATTATTAACAAACTAATATTGAAATGCCTGATGCTTAAAATCCATTTTTGTGGTTCTAATTTAACATTTATTTTTCTCATTATAAATGCTAAGATAAAGACTGTTAATGAATAAAACATGCTACAGTATAATTTTTAAGATAGCATGGGCTTGATACATTTTATCATATTTTATTCTTTAGACTAAAAGGAAAAAATTTCTCATTTCAACAAATCTCCAGTTGTTTTTAAAGAACTTGGATCAACATTTCTTCTAATGGAACATTTTATTTAAAATTATTTTTACACTTAAAATTTTAAAATTAGTATTAGAAAGATATTTCCCAATTCTGTATGTAACCCTGAATTATAGCGAAGTGCCAAAAATCTTTCTAAAAATCATATTATCCTGAGATTTTTATCAAAAATCTTCCTGGAAATTCTGTTTTTCTGATATTTTAATTCCCAGAATCCAGTGAAATCAGCATTTATTGACAATGCTGATAAATCATCTAAAAGTTTAGTTCTTTTATTTTTCTCCTAGGTCTTGGTTATATGTCCACCTCGTATTTTCCCTCCCTCCCTCCCTCTCTCTCTCCCTTCCTTCCTTTTTTTGAGACAGGATATGGCTCTCTTGACCAGGCTGGAGTGCAGTGGCTCCATCTCGACTCACTGCTACTTCCACCTCCCAGGCTCAAGCAATCCTCCTCCATCAGCCTCTCGAGTAGCTAGGACTACAGGTGCATGCCAACATGCACAGCTAATGTTTTGTATTTGTGTAGAGAGAGGGTTTTCCTGTGTTTCCCAGGCTGGTCTCGAACTCCTGAGCTCAAGCAATCCTCCCACCTCGACCTCTCCAAGTGCTTAGATTACAGGCTTGAGCCACCGTGCCCAGCCATATTTTCTTATTCTTACTATAGTTTTTTTAAAAGGCAAGCTGTTGGTGAACAGGTAAATTAATATCTTATTTGTATCTTTTTCTACCTAAACATCTTTATGGAACAAGGACATTATTTTAGAGTACTAGTAAATTCAAGAATGTGAATTTAAGCAAGGGCGATAAGAGGAAAGTAGCTATCTGTTTTTAAAAAATGTATTGCTTTCTTACAAAGGTATTCTGTAAAAAAAAAAAAAGTTGATGTTTAAAAGTAGAAAATGGGATTACATACATACTATTTTGAAACTTGCCATTCATTTCCCCTTTAACAACCTTTCCTGGATATCTTTCCATGTCAGTACACATATCTTCCTCACTTTTAAGGCTGTGAAATATTTCATTGTATGGATGTATAGTAATTTACTTAATACTTTCCAGTGCACATCTGAGTCTGTGCTCTTACAGTGTTTCAGAAAGCATCATTGAAATTGTATCACTTTTATTTGTCTGATAATTTGTCGGTTACATTTTTAGAGGTAGCTTGTAATACACTTTAAACTATAATATAGATACTGCTAAATTGCTGTCTGAAAAGCTTTTTGCCGGATTGCATGTTAACAAATAGTCTGGGAGGAAACCTGTTTTTCCATACCCTCACGAACACTGTAGATATTCACGCCTTTAAATAGTTGTCAGTCTGTTAGGTTACAAATAATATTTTCCTTTAATTTGTATTCCTTTTATTAATAAGTTGGAGCACTTAGGCCTTTGAACATGATCTTCCGTTTATGTCCATTTTCCTTATTCATGCCTAAGAATTCTATATTAAGAAAGGCGTTAAATATTGATTATACAAAATTTATTGACCTTTTCCTTTATATGGATACTGGGGTCATGTCACTCCTAGAAAGGCTTTCCTCACTTTGAAAATGTGCCCACAGATTCCAATTCAGGGAGAGAATGATCATCACTTCTTCTCCAAGGCACAAACCCTAATTGGATGATGGCCTGATTCTTTGCCCTCTGTAGAATAATGCTTAAAATCTTTATTGCATTATTTAATTATATATATATATGTTAAGTCCTTTTTATAAATGTGGATTTTTGTTACAGATACCATTTTATAAAGCAAGAAAACTTAATGCCTATGTTGAAAAATATGGAGCTAAGGTAAGTGTTAAAAAATGATATTAATACCATATGTTGTTTATAGGGATTATACGTTCCACTCCTTTTGTCAACAAACAAAAACTGGAGTATCTTTCTCATAGACCATTGTTATGCGTATGAAAGAACCCAACAAATTTTTTCTAACAATTATTATGTGCACAATTAGTGCAGAAAGAGGAGAAGAGGCTTTTTTGTTGGATGCTTTATTTCAGGCATTTTATGTGGCATAATCTTATTTGCCATATACATCTTCAGATAAGTGAATCTCGTCATTTTCACAGATAAACCCAGAGTTGGGATTATTGTCCACATTATATAGCTAATATGTAGAGAAATAAAATACTATAGATTGTATTCTACATGGTGATGAGCTTCTGGATCTTCACAAAGAGAAAGATGAATACAGTGGTTAGTATTCATTTACTGAGACCTCTCTGTGTCTCAGTAAGTCATGAAGCCTTGACTAGAGCTCCTTTCATGCCTCTGCATGTAACTCTGAGACACTGTGTCATTGGTTATCCCAGAAGCAACAGCTGTTATTGCTGGCCTCTGTTCCTAAGTCTAGTAGAGTTTGGAATAATGAGGTTTCTAGTCATCTTTAAAATGAGATGTTGCCTTTAGGTCCTAGGGAAGTAAAATGTCAATAACACTTTCCAGTTCCCTGAGAAATCTTTGAATGACCTGAAAGCTGGTTCCAGCCATCAGTTACAATCTGTGGGAAAACAGTATTATTCAGGAGCAATGAGGAAAGAATATGTTTACATCTTTTTGCTGAGACAAGTCTTTGGTCATCTAAGGATTCTGGTTATCTTGAAAGGCCATTTACAAGCTAGCTATGAGAACCAGATTTATAGTATGTCATTCACCTAGAACTAGGACTTGGGTCTTTAAGCAATCTCTACCATATTCTATTATTTATTAAGGCCTAAGAATAGGTAACATTTTAGTATAGCAGATCCTTGAGTAAATTAATTTTGTTCAACGTTGTTTCAATATAACATTAATGAGAAAGGAAAATAATTCAGTTCCCAGCCAAGGCCACTGTCTGTGTGGTTTGCACCTTCTCCCCTTGTCTGGGTGGGTTTTCTTTTGATACTCCAGGTTCCTGCCACATCCCAAATATGCACACATTAAGTGAATTGGCATGTATAAAGTGTCCCAGGCTGAGTAAGTGTGGGTATGTGTGTGTTTGCCCTGCAATGGAATGGAGTCCTGTGCAGGGCTGGTGCCCACCTTGCACCTGGAGCTGCCAGGATAGGCTCTGGCCACCCACCACCCTGAATTAGAATAAGCTAATTGTAAAATAAATGAATAAATTGCTGCATGAATACAAATTATAAAATAAATGTTCGTAAAGTATACAATAATCATACAGATGCACTACAGTAAATGACGCGGTACAAAAGCACTCAGGGAGCCTGTCATATTTGTGATTGTTTTGAACCGTGTGGTAGTAGGAGGTGCTCCTTACAATTTTCGCTTTGCAAACATTTATTCCTTGATTTTACCCACTGCCACTACTACCACTGTCATTCACTGATTCACCAAAAATTGGGTAAATAATTCTTACTTGTTTTTATTAATCTGTCTTAAATGTATGTATAGCTTACATTTATTTCAATGTTAATATTACAAGTGTTTTTGGTCTTTATTTAAAAGCTTGGTGATTTTTGGTGACCAGAACTATGCCATAGGAACTTTTATTTATATCAGCGTATAGTTTTAGCAATAGCCAAAACCAATATAACAAAATTGGTTTTGTTATATGTCATTTTGCTTAAAGTCATGGTTTGTAAGAACTTATCAATGACATTAAATGAGGACTTACTGTATTGATTTAATAAAGCAACATTTATACTAAGCATCATCATTTTTATGTGTACTTTACAAGAAAAAATGAAAAATTAAGAAAATATCACCCATAGTCCTTATACAATAATAAAAATGCTTTGTCCTATATTTTTCCTCCACCTTGTTAATTCACACCTGTGACTTCATCAGTACAAGCTGTCATATTTCCAAAATGTTTAAGATTTTTCTGTTTACACTCTTATCCTTTTTCCATGTGTCTCAGTTTCTATTCCTATAAACTAAATTTTTGTTACCTTCACTAGACTTTCCAACCCTGAATTCTTTATTATTCACAAGGTTTCTTCCAGTATCACTTGGTTTTCTACCCTCATTGAGCCTTTATGGTTATGCTCAGTTTTTCTTTATATGAATACTTTTCACATAATCATAATCAGCAGATATTTATTGAACATCTGTAACATGTCAAGCACTCTACTTGATTCTGGGGATAAAGCTGTGAACCAGATAAAGTCTCTGCCCTTGGTAATCTTATAGGTCTTATTTTTCTAGTTTCTTATTGTGGAAGCTGAGGTCATTGATTTGAGAATTTCTTTGTTTTGTAATATAGAGACATTTCTTCCTAAACACGTTCGTGCTATATATTTCTTCCTAATCACGTTTTGTTTTGATTTTCTTCAGTTAAAAAACACGTTCTAATTCCTGTTTGATTTCTTTTTTGATCTATGGGTTATTTTGAAGTGTGTTATATAGTTTCCAAATATTTGAGGATTTTCCAGGGATCTTTTTGCTGTTGATTTCCAATGTAATTGTTGTTAGAGAATACGTTCTTTATAACTTGAATCTTTTTAAATTAATTGAGATTATTTTATGCTCCAGAATATAGTCTATCTTAGTAAATGTTCCTTGTCCATTTGAGAAGAATGAGTATTCTATGAATGTGTCATCAAGTATTCTGTAAATGTTTATTGGGTCACATTGGTTGATAGTGTTTTTAAGTCTGCTATATTCTCACTTATGTTCTGTTCACTTGTATCAGTTATTAAGAGAGCAGTATTGAAGTCTTTACCTGTAATTATGAATTTCTCTGTTTCTCCTTGAAGTTCTATTCATAGCCCTTAGGCAATTGCTGCAAACTTTCCAAAATGAGGCTGCCCTTGGTTATTTTGGAGGAGTTTCTTAGAGAGATAACAATCCATTGTTCATGCCCATCCTGAAAGCAGTTTTCCCTGCAATGGGAGTCACTCACATAGAAAAGGTGGTAGAGAATTTGTCCTTGACTTTAGCTGAAGTGATAACTCACACCATCTTTGCACTGCAAGGCATCCAGGTCACCAAGCAGGATGGTTATGAATGACAGAATTGCCCCATACTTCCTCTTTGCATGCCAAGGCTGAGTCTGTGCTGATAGATTTTGCTGTATCTGGATTAATTCCTTGGGCCATAGAGAAAGTCAATACAGAAATTAAGAGAGAAATCCACCTGGCCTTCTGAGGAAGACCCTGGTGGTTTATGGGATTTGTACAGCTGTTTGGGTCTGGGCCCCTGGGGCCATGTTTGAGGTCAGCATTATGGAGTCCTAATGATAGTCCTTAATTAAATTCTGTATGAGACAAACTGAAGAAATTTGGTTCCATCCTCTGCCAATAGATTATTCAGTTATGTCCTGGAAACATTCACCAGAAGTCAAAATGGTACAAAAATTAGAGATGGATAATATTGGGAGACAATTTTCCTCGGCTTTCTCATGCTTCTGCATGTCCTTTTTCACAGAGGCAAAGCCAGCAATTTTTTCTGGACTGTATTTTCAAGGATGTTTATATGCCAAACAGCCTTGGCTCTTTCTCCAGCCTTGGGTAGCTTCCTCACATGTCTGTGCTAATCCATACTCAGCTGATTACTCAAAAGAGACTCTCTGTTGACCTCCAGAGTTTGCTTTCTGTGCAGCTCCCATACTTCGCACTGAAAACTCTAGCTTCCTAGACTCTCAGCTCTGTCTCCTCAATTCAGGGAGACTACTGGCCTGTTCCTAGGTTCCCCTGCTCTGTACTGCAGCCTAGAAACCCTCTATCATCAAGAAGCTGGGGAAATCCTAGGACTTATCTTGTTCATTTCCCATCTTTTGGGGATCACTTTTCTTTGTTGCCTGATGTCGGATATGTTGTGAACTGTTATTTCGTATAACTTGCCTGGTGTTTTAGGCATTTCAAGTGGGAGGATAAATCTGGTTCCTATTACTTATTGGTCTTAATTTTAAGTGAAAATCTTAATTTTTAAAATTAATTTTGTATTATACAAATAGAGATATTCTCTTGGTTGCGTGTGCCCATGTAAGTATGTATTGTTTTCTACAGTTGTGGCAGGCAAGGTCTCACTAACTCAGGCCTCCATTACAACTGTCCCAGCACTGACTGAGTAGCAAGGTTAAACATTAAAAGCTAATTGAGCCCATGCCCTTATACAAAGGCTGGAATGTAACAAAGAGCCCACCAAGAGTTTTGCCTAGGCTTTTCCTGGGCCTTGAAGCATGACAAGATAACGAAGGAATTCTTAACCGGACCCTTTTAGGATTAAACAAGTTTTATTGTGAGTCTGAAGAAACTCCCCAGGCCTCCATAAACAAGTTTATTGGGGTCTAAAGGAACTCCCCAAACCTTTATGATTTAGCAGGAGACAAGATAAGGGTAGTCACCTCAGCACCTAGACCCATTTAGATTAAGTAAACTTAATGAGGCTCCACAGGAAGGTCTTCAGGACTCAGACCTTAGTTATAGATTAAAAGAAGTTAATCACTTATGTCTTTAGATAAATGCACACTTACACATAGACATATAGCTTAGAAGGTGTATAAGCTCTGGAAAACTTTGTAATTTTGAGTTTGTCTGGCAATAATTTCCAGGCCTTCTCCTTGTAACCAGTTGCAGAAAATAAAAACTCTCTTCCTCCCCAGTTCATTTGCATCTCGTTATTGGGCTGCAAGAAATAGCAGCCCAACGTTCAGTTTGGTCCAGGAACAGAGTGAACAATAATGAGAACGATTACAAGTTTGTCCTTGTTTGGATTTCTCTTTGTGGAGCAGAATACAAAGTGAAGATCAAGGGTTTTAGCACAGAACTCCCAAGATTTAGACTTACTGGCCAGGGTCAGCAGGTAGTATTTGGCCATGATAGCATGACAATAGTAGTGGTTTTGAAGTGAATATATTTTAACACTTCTTTAACTTTAGAACCAGATGGGATTAGCTCTAGCAATGGCTATAAGTTTTACCTAGAACACCCGAGTTTGTTGGGTGGTGATCTAAATGGGCAGTCATTTCCTATTAGTATATGCATACACAGCAATTGTTCTAAATTGGCCCATATTTTGCCATTTAATATTTTTAGATGGAGGCTCCACAAAGAGTAATTCCTGTAATTCTTCAGAACTGCCTGTCATATTCATTCATGGCTAGACTTGCTCCAGCCTGGAATAGAACTGGTCATCTCTTGATACAAGGTAACTTTATCTTTTTAGTCATTGGGGCTTTCTGAACTAGATTACGTCTGTTATGTGTGTATTAGTCTATTCTCATGCTGCTAATAAAGACATACTGGAGACTGGAAAATTTATAAAGGAAAGGTTTAGTGGATTCACAGTTCCACATGGCTGGAGAGGCCTCACAATCATGGCGGAAGATGAAGGAAAAGCAAAGGGACATCTTACTTGGCAGCAGGCAAGAGAGCATGCTCATGGGAACTCCCCTTTATAAAACCATCAGATCTCATGAGACTTATTCACCATCATGAAAACAGCACATGGAAGCCCCACCCCCATGATTCAGTGATCTCCCACCGGGTCCTTCCCACAACATGTGGGAATTATGGGAGCTACAATTCAAGATTCAGATGGGGACACAGCCAAACCATATGAATGTGCATCTGTTCTTAAT
Organism: Homo sapiens; assembly: GCF_000001405.40. Classification (NCBI taxonomy): domain Eukaryota; kingdom Metazoa; phylum Chordata; class Mammalia; order Primates; family Hominidae; genus Homo; species Homo sapiens. Next base: position 74,328,492 of record NC_000018.10, read on the forward strand.
TTTAAGATATACAATTTTTAGAAAATAACTCTTAAAACTGACCCAATTAAGCAATCTCAAGCAAGCCCACAACAACATAAATGTCATTTCTTTACTTTGGGATTATATACAGAGGCCTGATGTTTCTTTAAAAAAATCAGTATGTAATACTTGATACTTAGGAATAAATGTAAGTTACAAAGCAGTATGATAAAATGAGCACAATACTGTTAAAACTGAGAAGCTATCCTGAATTTTTCTTGAAGTCTGACTGTTTTCTAAATATTTTATAGCAGGAAATAGACATTTGGGGGAAGAATTGGGTATTTCCATTCTTTTAATTGAAGAGATACCTTTTGAATGATTATATTTTTTCAGCTGTCATCAGGTATTACTTTATATAACAACTGCATTTTAAAGTATTTTCTTTAGCTTTGATAATCTCACATCAAGCATAGTTATAAATATCAAGCATGATTATTTATGAGTTGTAATAACATGGCATATTCTATGAATTTTTTAAGGAAGAGATTTTCTTTCTCAGATGGGAAAACAAAGTGCTGTTGGTAAGTAAAAATGCATAAGTCAATAGATAAAACAATATAATTCATAGTTGCTAAAGAAAACAGTATCATATGCTGGGCACAGTGGCTCACGCCTGTAATCCCAACGGTTTGGGAGGCCAAGGTAGGTAGATTGTTTGAGCCCACAAGTTCAAGACCAGCCTGGGCAACATGGTAAGACCCCATCTCTACAAAATTATTAGCCAGGCACCACACCTGTAGCCCCGTCTACTTGGGAGGCTGAAGTGGAGAGCCAGTTGAGCACAGGAGGTTGAGGCTGCAGTGAGCCATGATTGTGCCACTGCATTCCAGCCTGGGTGACAGAGCAAGACCCTATTTCAAAAAAAAAAAAAAAAAAAAAAACCAGTAACATAGATCATTGGGTTGTATAATTATTGATTAATTAGGTTGTATAAGACCTTAATCAGATATTATTGTAATCAGAATTTCACCTGGGAAATCACTTCTTATTCAAAATGTACATTCTAGACTGTATGAGAAAAATTCATCTTAATTGGAAAAAGCTATATTTTTATTCTCTCTACTTTAAAGAAAATCATGACTGTGAAGGAGTTTAATTCTGTAGGCATTTATAATGTATAGTTTCCAGAATCATATCATCAAAAATTCTTTAGTACTGATGTAAGTCAAAACTTTATTTCTTATAAGAATAGGATTCATTTTCTCCTTAAAAAATTGGAAAAAGAGACACAGATGATCTAAAGTATACAGTTTACTACATGGCCTAATCCAGTTCTTTCATTGATTTGCACAGTTGTGTTTCAGATAGACACTTTCCTAAACAGTAGTCCAGAGATAGCAGATAGATGATAATCCTGAGTCACCACCGTAGACATTATTAATCAATCATGGTAGCTTTTCACATCATTTGGGCATAGCCTTAAAATCCTGACCTGTAATCTACAGCTATTAGATCTGGGTTGACTTTCCAGCTGAAGCCTGTTTGCTCTCCTTGCACTAGTTGTATGTTTAATTTGTGTAGTGTCAGTCAGTGTGCCCTACCTCTGGGTGAATGGGTTCATTACCTACATCTAGTTTCATCTCCAAACACTGTCATGAGACTACAACTGTAGGGATTAAAAATAACAGTTTAGGAGAGGAAAATTCCTCACTCCTGTGTTAGGATTTGTTTTCTTTTACTTTTATTGAAATGTAATACACAAATTTTAAGTGTCTAGCTCATTGAATTTTAACAAACTAAACATTCTTGTAACCATTTCTCAGATCAAGAAACAACATTAAGAGCACCCCAGAATCCCCCTCATGCTTTTTTCATGTACTAACCCTTCCCAAAGTCACCACTATCCTGACATTTCAGAAGTAGTTTTCTTTATGAAAAAGAAAGGTAAAGACTTCAAGGCTCTAGGAGATTTGGAATATATCTGCCAGTATATTTGAGGATATTTGTTAGTAAAAGACTACTCAAGTCAGAAACATGGTGTGATACCTCTTTAGATTACAGAAGAGGACAATCTCCATATTTATATATATAATATATGTCAGATTTGTGTAAGGTATTTGTTGGATTTTTCTCTTAACTGTGGGGTGTCTCATTTTTTTTATTCTAACCTTGCCTATGACCTGCACCCCCCACACACATTCATGCTGTTTCATACCTTTGTCCTCTTTTAGATGTCTCATCTGTAAAGTGTCAAATATTAAGTGGTTATTATTTGAATTTTACCATGTGCGGAAAAAAATCTGTTCTTGTTTTTGACTTGAATAAGTTAGTTTCCTTTGTTACTAAAATACTTAATTTAATAGTAGAGTAATAATTCCAGGTAGTTCACAGTTAAATATTTTATTTTCAGTATTAAACATCAATGTAACAGAAACTCAAGTTTGTCTAAGTATAGAAGCTTGCACAATCAGACTGCCAGCACCTGAGGTACCATATATTGTGATTTCTATACTTTATTATATTTACTATATACTTTTTATATTTATTATTGTTACTAACGTGATTAGGTTTTAATTTTTAACATAAAGCGTGCTAGAAAGGTTTTTATTATCAAAATCTGTATTATTAAATGCTTGATATATTTATGTCATTCTAAATCTGCTTCCCCAAAGAAAATATTGTTCTGTCCATTTAACACAGGTCTTCATATTATTCCTTTGTTCAAAAACTTTGTTAAGATGGTATCCGAGACTCTCCACAACCTATCCTGTCTTAGCACCCACTTCTTGCCTCTTCTTTCACCTCCAAATATAAAAAGCATGATTTCAGCTCTTACTAAATTTAATATTAATTCCCCTGCCCTTGATATTCTGGTAGCATTTTTTTGCATCTATTTTTTACACATAACACTTTCTGTCTTCTTAGTAGAAGGATATGTCTTTTATTTTGTGGATTCCCATAGCACCTAGCATAGAACCTTACACACTAGTGTCACTCAATGTTATTGTCTTTCCTCTAGGCCAGTAGTTCTCAATGGAAGCGGTTGAGGGCAGGGAAATGAATGATTGGCTCCTTATGAGAAATTTGGCAATGTCTAGAGACAATTTTGGTTATCACAGTGGAGGAAGGATGGTGTTGCTACTGACATCTAGTGGGTAGAGGCCAGAGAAGGGATGCTAATGAATATCTTCCCCTGCACAGGACAGCCATCTTATCCCCACCCACAGAATTATCCAGCCCAAAGTGTCAATAGTGTGGAGGTTGAGAAACCCCAGGCATAGAACAAATGATGCTTTCTTTGCTTAGAATGCCCCTCTGATTGGCTATACGTGTCCTGCTCATCATTTAAGGGCCAACTCAAATGCTACTCCTCTATTCATTTATTTCCATTTAATTCTTTGATTACCTCTTATGTGGATAAGTAACAAAGGACAATGGATAAGTTCAAGATGAATAGGATCTACTTTTCTGCCCTGGAGAATCACTTAAGCCAGTAGGGAAGATGACCTGCATATAAATAACTGGAATGGGTAACATGACATGTATATCTTGGACTGATGAGGAACCTTCCCAAGGTTCCAAACCGTGTGTGATCTCCCACCCTCATTTAAACCCTCATACTCTCCTGTACCAAACTGTCTTTGTTTTCTGTCGCTTAGAATACCTGAAATTGGGTAATTTGTAAAGAAAATGAATTTATTTATTAAAGTTATAGAGGCCATGTCTGGTGAGGACCTTCTTGCTTTCAGGGTCTCTCTGCTGAGTCCTGAGGTGGCACAAGGCATCACATAGCAAGAGGGCAGGGTGTGGAAGCTGAGGTCTCTCTTCCTTTTATAAAGCCATGAGTCCTACTCCCATGATAAACCATTAATTCATTAACCTTCTAATCCACTAATCCATGAATGGATTAATCCATTCATGAGGGCAAAGCCCTCATCACTCAATCACCTGTTAAAGGCTCCACATTGGCTCAGCACGGTGGCTCACACCTGTAATCCCAGCACTTTGGGAGGCCGAAGTGGGTGGATCACGAGGTTAGGAGTATAAGACCAGCCTGGCCAAAATGGTGTAACCCTGTCTCTACTAAAAATACAAACATTAGCTGGGCATGGTGGTGCATTCCTGTAATCCCAGCTACTCGGGAGGCTGGGGCAGGAGAGTTGCTAGAACTGAGACCCAGGAGGCAGAGGTAGCAGTGAGCCAAGATCATGCCACTGCACTCCAGTCTGGGCTACAGAAGAGCAAGACTCCATCTTAGAGGGGAAAAAAAAAAAAAAGGCTCCATCTCTCAATACTGCCACATTGGGGATTAAATTCCAAAATGAGTTTTGGAGGGGACAGATAGTCAAATTGTAGTTTATACTCACATGCTTATTTCTATTTTTATACCTCTGATTTCCTTATAAGAAGCATCATGAAGACTAATATTGTGGCTTATTCAACTTTGAATTTTCTACAGATGATACTTCTGTGTTCTACACCTCAGTTTGAACCAATTTAGAGATTGACAGAGGAGTAAGACATAAATAGAGATCAGAATGTCACTTGTATTACTTGGGTGAGATTATAATTTATCCTCAAAATAGGATGCTTCTGAGAGTGAAAGTGGCACTAACCTGATGAGATACTGGCCCAACATGCATGAACTGGGATATATAGTCATGCTGTTCATTACTGGAAAGGAAAAACAGCTCTTGGAGGACATGGTTTATCTGAACCTTAGAATTAGGCAGACTTACCCACCCACTTATTGCAGTAGTGGAAAAACCTTAGGCCTCCCTTGGGAGACCAGGCACTCGTTCTGATATGACAAACAGAATGCAGAACACCACTCTCTGCCAGCAGGCCAACTCCCAAGAGGAAGGGGAGGAGGTGAGCCAGCATGCCTGGTTATTCATCCCAATTTTACCATCTGTATTAGTCCATTCTCATGCTGCTCTGAAGAAATACCTAAGACTAGATAATTTATAAAGGAAAGAGGTTTAATTGACTCACAGTTCCTCATGACTGGGAAGGCCTTAGGAAATTTACAGTCATGGTGGAAGGGGAAGCAAGCATGTCCTTCTTCACAAGGTGGCAGGAGAGAAAAGTGCAGAGCAAAGGGGGAAAGGCCCTTTATAAAACCATCAGATCTCGTGAGAACACACTATCACAAGAACTGCATGAGGGTAACTGCCCCCATGAGTAAATTACCTCCCACTGGGTCCCTCCCACAACATGTGGGGATTATGGAAACTACAGTTCAAGATGAGATTTGGGTGGCAGTGCAGCCAAACCATATCACCATCCATATGCCCTAGGGAGGAATGAATGACAGAGCAGAATGATTCCAGGAATATGTGTTAGTAGAGCTTTCTGGGCATGGAAGGAAACACCAAAAATTGGGCAATAACATTCCTCTCCTCTATTCAACATTATACACTCAACATGTACTTGTTAAATTAAATCAATTCTCTAAATTATGATTGTTCATCAGCTTCTCTGAATCTCACTTTTACTTATGTTTTTGATATGATGTCTTACACATTCTGACTGCTACAAAAATTAGTTTCATATATACCTATGTTCCCACTAAATTGTAAAATTTTTGAGATTCTAGGTCCTGTGTTATTCATTTTTATTCCCCATGGAGCCTAAAAGATAATTGCATTTAATTTTCCTTTTATTAAAATCTGGCATTGGTTATGTTAACCAAAAAGTGACTGAGGCAGATCTCAGTTGACTCAGGTTTATTTTGCCAAGGTTGATGACATGCCCAGGGAAAAGAAATACAAGTTACAATAGGATCTGTGCCCCATGCTTTTTCCAAACAGGGTTTTGAGGACTTCAGTATTTAAAGGGGAAAGAACAAGCAGAAGGGGAAAGAGGAAGGGGAGAAAAGAGGAGGAGGGTAGGCAATGAGGCAAATGGTTACATTCTTGTGAGGCTTTGATTACAGCTGAGTGAATCTACATTATACACATGAAAAGGGGTAGCAGAAAAGTCAATTATGCATTTCTCTCACTCAGTAAATCTACATTTACAGTAATAAACTGAAACTAAGCTGTCTGGGAATGAAAGGAAGGCAGGGGTTTTTTGTTTGTTTTTTGTTTTTGTGTGATTCAGTTACCAAGCTTAATGTTCCCTTTGGCATAGTGAGTTTGGGGTTCTGAGATTCTGGTTTTTTTCTTTCATAGTTATTAGGTCAGGTTGTGGGGAGGGGAGAAATAAGGATGAAGAGGTGAGAAGGAGGATGTTTCTGGTTTCTCTTCCCTCCAGTTTATTTTGTTTGCTTTCATTTCCCCTTTCAAAAATCTACCATGGCCTCCATTGACTATAAGATGAAATCTCAGCTGTTTACTATGATATACAAGGTCTTCAGCAAACTGATCCAAACCAATCTTACTTATAGCCTCATCTCCCATTACTGCTCTCCAAGTAGCCAGACTATGAATTGTTTCTCAAAGATAGTATGGTCTTTCATCCTTCCATGTCTTTGATCTCACAGTTGTCTAAGCCTGTAATTCCCTTTCTTCTGCTCATCTTTCAAGGCTTATCTCAGACATCACCCCTTTGAAGAATTCCCCAGCTCCTAAGTCTCATCTCTCTTGGTGCTCTCTACCTTGTTTATCACATATTATCTATGCAAATGTCTCATTCAACTGAGAAGTCCTAGAGGGAAGGTCTGTGTCTTATTAATCTTTCTATCATAGGAGCCTACTCTAGTGCCTGTCACTCACTTTAGTAAAGATTTATGGAATGAATGGAGCATTGACTGGAGTGAAAGACTAATTTATTTTTTGAACTAGGTGACTTTTGTTTCTAAATTCTTTTTTAATTCCTCTGGGCTAGAGATTGGAGTAGTTTTCTAAATCCTGACCTTTGACCCTATTTAGACAAATTTTGAAGCAGTTTATTATAATTCATTATGAAAAATGGGATTTCAGCCCTTATCTTTACAATTTAAATAGAGATAAAAAAATTTAAGAGGTAATTGAAACAGTAATTTACTCATTTCTCAAATTTTGGACTGTGCTAAACTTTAAAATAATGCTTTCCTGGAAGTAATTAAATGTTTCTTAAAGGAATTTATATGCACAAGTTGCCATTTTACTGTTTGGTGCATTGAGATTATAATTGAATCCACAGTTACATGAGGGATATATTTCAGAAAAGCATTATGTAATATTAAACTGTTTGCTTTGAAATTTAATTATATGGAAAATTTGGGAAATGAGTGCCTCGAAACAAATTTCTATTTATTTCGTAGATGGATATTTACTGGGTACTACTATGTATATATGCCAAGTGCTGATGGAAAACACCTTTTCCTCCCAGAATGTTTTATCTAGGTCAGAAGAAAGAAGAGCATGCACACATAAAACTTACCAGAAGAAGGGAACATTTACTGAGTACTGGTTAATATTCACATACCCAGAAAATTCAGTGTAGGCCTAGAATCACATTAAAATTCTCAGATCGGCACTTACTGGCAGTGCCTCTTTGGCATGTTAGTTAATCTCGCAGAATCTCCATTTTTCTTATAAATTGGAGATAATGATATCCCTTCTAGGGTTGTAAGGAGGTTATGGTGTAAAGTACATTAAGGGCCTAGCATAGTACCTGGCAGTAGAGGTTAAAAAATGATAGCTATTGTTATTATTTTATAAATAAGTAAATTAAGACACAAAGCAGTTAAGTAAGTTGCTCTGGATCATAAAGGTAGTAAGAGATTCAGGATCTGAGTTTGTCCTTCAACTCTGTCCTTTCTGCTGTACCATGCTTCCTTCACCTAGCCTTAGGTTTTTTGGTTCAAATTTGTATGTCCCATAGAGCCTTACAGAAATAGAAACCTAATATATGTTAAATAAAAATACATTAAAAAACAATGTTTGTTAATGGAGTATCAAAATTTGTGTTATAGGAACTATGTTACTTGAGGAATTAAGAGAAAAAGAAAATGTCTGAGGGAATCATATGTGAAATCTTTGAAACACTTATAATATTTTTCACACTTTTCTTCTTGAAATAATCTCCTCTCTTGATTTATCTGAAACTGATTTTTCTAGAATCTCCTGGAATTCATTTATCTTCATTCATTTATCATTTTAAATGTTGCTGTTTCTTAGGGTTCCATTTTCAGCCCTCTTTTCCTTAGCAGGCTTACCCATTTCAGTAGCTTCAGCCTATACACCAGTACCTCCCAAATATTCTTGTATAGTTGTAACTTTTCTGTCATCTCTTGGATACTTTCAAATGAATGTACTAATGGCAGTCAGACCCAATTATGTCTAAAACTGAATGTATTTATGTGTCACCTTCCTCAACCCCAAATCTGTTCCCCCTGTGTAATTATTCTTTTCATTAGTGGCATCAGCAGTCAATAATTTACCTACCTAAATACTTCAGAGTTATCCTTGGCTTTCCCTCTTTCTCACTTTCTCTTTCCAGTTAGTCTTTAATAGCCTACTGTGGTCTCTGAAATGGACTCCTCTCTGCCTCCATTTATGTTGCTCTAATTCAGACTCTCTTTTTTTACTTGAACTATTAAACCAGTCTCCATATGGGCCTGTTTCCAGCCTTTCTCCTTCAAGTTTATTATCTAATTTTTCCTTACAATGTCAACAGAGTTCACTTTCTAAAACAAAGGTCCCCAGCCTAAATATCTTTAGTATTTCAACATTGCCTAGAGAAAATTAAGTCTAAATTGTTCAGATTGGCGTTATAAGGAGAAAATAATATTTATTGAATACCTGCTTTTCAGTATGGTTTTAGTCATCATATAAGGGCACTTTATAAATATTTGCTAAATAAAGAAATACAAAGGGTTAGCATTCGCAGTCTCTTGGAGTATATGGTGAACAGCTGGGTGGTTTGCCAGTCTTTAATCTGTGTTGAGAAAGACCAATGTAAACAATAAGTACTGGTACTTACTGAGGTCCCTGCAGCAATCGACTTGAGTCTCTGAATACTGTAGAAAGTACCCAGAGGATGTATACTCAAGCTATATAAGTAGGTGTATGTGGGAACCCATAAACTTTAAACATTTGAACCTGATACCTACCTTCTGTGAATTCAATTTTAAGTTCTGTTTTCTCTCAGTTTAGTCCTCCCTCTGCAACCAGTCTTTTCTGACATTCATAACCATGCCTCCTCTAACCATGTTTTTATCACACATTTCAGGCAACTGATCTCTTAAGCACAGTACATCACAGTGCAAGATTTATCTCTTGTGCACAGGAAAATATGTGTCCTTATTCATTCTGCGTGTCCTTGCTCTTTTACCTCACAACGTAACTAGCATATCTTATCTTCCTCTTCCTGCATTCATGTTTTCTGCTCTTCCCTGCTCCTCCATTTCCATTAGTCTTAATGAATGACATAGGAACTCAGAGAAGGATCAGTCACTGGACATGGAGAAGATGGGTCTAGATCCAGGCATTAGGACCTTATTGGTAGGAGTCCAGGCAATAAAAAGTTGTCCAGTTTAGTTGGACTTCCTTGAAAAGTAGTAGGCAGCGAAGTTAGAACATTGTTTCCCAAAAGATGTTAGGTGGTTGGTTAAGAATGGGGTAAGGGTTTATGAATCATTCTGTCTAATGTTAATATAGTGTCCTTTCACCCATTAATACTTTATTTTTTCACCCTCCTTGAGGTCTCTTTATATCTTTGGCTAACTGGAACAGTGCCTCTCAGGGAGATTTTCCAGGGTAAGAGAGCTGTAATTGGCAAACTCTTGTAGGTTAAATACAAGCCAAAATGCCCTACAGGGAGGACACTTGAGGAACAGGGAAGAAAGTGTTCTAGGAAGCTGGGAGGGGTATAAAAGGAGACTGGAGCATTGGCTCTGTCTTTTCTCCTCCAAAAGACCAGATGGAGGTATAATTCCCTTACTCATCCTCCATTTAAAAAAACAATTGAGGTTAAAAGCTATTATTTTAAAATATGAACACCTTCCTTTGGAAGAGATTCAACTTCCTGCAAATTAACATAATTAAAAAAACCACCTGAAAACCAACTAAAATCACTGCAAAATAGGAGTTTGGGCTTGGATGGTAAGAGGGAAAGCATGAAATACTTCATATATTGTATAAAGGAGAAGCAGGGTGAGCTGCAACTTTGACTACTTATGTAAAGTGGTTATGCATGATTCAATGTAACTTAAGTCTTTAAATCTACTTTATAACCTACTGTGTGTGTGTAACAAATATGTATCTTTTAAAATGTTTCCTTTTTTGCCAAATGATTTGAGGACTTACAAATCTTATTTCTATTAAAAGCTAAAAGAGTTTGAGATTTCCCAGAGTATTATAAAGGATTTTCATGCTAACAAGCATGCTGTCATTGAGAGACATTCCATTTTAAGCAACTGGTGCTACGTTTTGCCAAGGTGAGATTTCAATTTGTAATATCTAGGGTGGGTTCAAAATATGGTGGTTTCCCTTATTTTGCTTTCTTAACATTGATATGTGTAAAAGTATAAACTATTTTGGTGAATTTTAAAATACTGAATTATGACTTCACAAAGGTATTGAAACAATATTGTCATATTTACAAAAGCCATGAATTTTCTTTATCAAATTAATAATTTTATTATATATTCACATCTTATTAGATCTAGTTTCAAAAAAGGTAATATTTCTAAATTTCTCATTATAAAATGAAAACTATCAAAATAATATTAATAAAACCTCATAAACTTATATCTAATAATGATTCATTATAATTTGATATGAGCTGAGTTTTGAGTTTGTACTATTTTCAGGAAAAAATAATTTGTTACTAGTATAAGCAGGACTATTGGGATAAAATTTTAAATTGCTTAGGAAAAAGAACTTCAGTAGCATACACATAATAATTCAATCATTGAAGCTGGGAGGAGGTAGGTAGAAAACATAGGTTTGACTCTCTTTACAGACTTTTCCCTAAAGTCTAACAATTACCAGCAATATCTTTGGGTGGAAAAATTTATTAGTCATTATTTTGTGCTTACAATTGGCACATTGTTTACAAAAATCTAATTTAGTTTTTTCTAGTAATTCTAGTTGTTAAAATATAATACAAATAAAGGCCATATATGACAAACCTGTAGCTAACATCATACTCAACAGTGAAAAATTGAAAGCTTTTTTCTCTAAAATCAGGAACAAGACAAGGATGCCCACTCTCTCCACTTCTGTTCAACATAGTACTAGAAGTCCTAGCTAGAGCAGTTAGACAAGAGAAAGAAATAAAAGGCATCCAACTTGTAAAGGAAGAAGTTAAATTGTTGCTGTATGCAGGTGACATGATCTTATGTATAGAAAACCCTAAAGACTCCACAAAAAAACTGTTAGAACTAATAAACAGATTCAGTAAAGTTGCAGAATACAAAATCACATAAAAAAGTAGCATTTCTATATACTAACAACAAACTATCTGTAAAAGAAATCAATGAAAATAATTTTGTCTGTAACAGCTACCAAAAACATACTTAGCAATAAATTTAACAACCAAGGAGGTGAAAGACCTGTACACTGAAAACTACGTATCTGTGAAAAAGCACAGACAACAAAAGCAAAAATAGACAAATGTGGTTACATCACTGAAAAGCTTCTATATGGCAAAGGAAACAGTCAACAGAGTGAAGAGACAACTTACAGAATGAGAGAAAATATTTGTAAACCATACATCTGATAAAGAGCTACTATCCAAAGTATATAAGGAACTCAAATAACTCAATAGCAAGAAAACAAATAACCTGATTTTAAAATGGGCAAAGCCCTCGAATAACATTTCTCAAAAGAAGATATTTAAGTGACCAACAGGTGTATGAAAAAATGCTCAACACCACTAATCATCAGGGAAATGCAAATTAAAGTCACAATGAGCGATCACCTCATACCTGATGAATGGCTATTATCAAAACGACAAAATATAACAAATACTGGCAAGGATGTGGGGAAAAGGGAACACTTGGACACTGTTGATGAGAATGTAAATTAGTTCAGCCATCATGGAAAACACTATGGAGGTTCCTCAAAAAATTAAAAATAGAACTATCTTATGATCTAGCAATCCCACTGCTGGTGATACATACAAAAGAAATTAAATCAGTATGTTGAAGAGATATCTGCACCCCCATGTTCATTTCAGCATTATTCATAACAGCCAAGATGTGGAATCAACCTAAGTGCCCAGCAACAGATGAATGGATAAAGAAGTATGTGGTATATACACAAATAGAATAGTAGTCACCCTTAAAAGAGAAGGAAATCCTGTCATTTGCAACATGGATGAATCTAAGGAATATTATGTTAAATGAAATAAGCCAGGCACAGAAAGACAAATACCTTATGACCTCACTTCCTTGTGGACTCTAAAACAATTGAACTCTCAGAAGCAGAGAGTAGAATAGTGCTTACCGGGGCTGGGTAGGTGGGAGTGAAGGAGTGGATTGGGGAGATGTTGGTGAAAGGATACAAAATTTCAGTTATATAGGAAGGATAACTTCAAAAGATCTGTTGTACAGCATACTGACTATAGTTAATAAAAATGTATTAGGTTGGGGCCGGGCGCGGTGGCTCACGCCTGTAGTCCCAGCACTTTGGGAGGCCGAGGCTGGCGGATCACGAGGTCCGGAGATCGAGACCATCCCGGCTAAAACGGTGAAACCCCGTCTCTACTAAAAATACAAAAAATTAGCCGGGCGTAGTGGTGGGCGCCTGTAGTCCCAGCTACTTGGGAGGCTGAGGCAGGAGAATGGCGTGAACCCGGGAGGCGGAGCTTGCAGCTTGCAGTGAGCCGAGATCCCGCCACTGCACTCCAGCCTGGGCGACAGAGCGAGACTCCGTCTCAAAAAAAAAAAAAAAAAAAAAAAAAAAAAAAAAGTATTAGGTTGGTGCAAAAGTAATTGCAGTTTTTGCTATTGAAAGTAATGGCAAAAATCGCAATTACTTTTTTTACATACATATTAAAAATCACTAAGAAGGGGTGAGGTGGCTCACATCTGTAATCCCAGCACTTTGGGAGGCCAAGGCAGGCAGTCACCTGAGGCCAGGATTGAGACCAGCCTGGCCAACATGGCAAAACCCTGTCTCTACTAAAAATACAAAAATTAGCTGAGCATAGTGGTGCACGCTTGTAATCCCAGCTGGCGGCTAAGGCAGGAGAATCGCTTGAACGATGGCTTGAACCCGGGAAGCAGAGGTTGCCATGAGCTGAGATCGCACCACTGCCCTCCAGCCTGGGCAACAGAGCGAGACACTGTCTCAAAAAATAAATAATAGCACTAAGAGTACATTTTAAGTGGTCTACCACAAAAAAAAAAAGTATGTGAGTAAATGCATGTTAATTAGCTCGACTTAGCAATCCACAATGTATACATATTTTGAAATATGTCATACATGATAAATAATATATACTATTTTTATTTGTCAATTAAAGCAAAATAAAAAGATTTAGTACAACGTGTTTGAAACTTGAGATGTTTAGTTTACTATATATAGCTAGTGAGATAGTTGTTGAATCTTTTTTGAACACTTTCTAAATCATGTAGTTGACTTATTAAACTATATTTAAGCATTGGCTCATAATAGCTTCCTCTCATTTTTCATAGTATGAAAATGGGACAAATTATAAATATTTTTCATGCCATCCCCGCTGCCTGTCCTTTTCACTCATATGGAGATTTCCAGAGACACTGGGATGCCCTGGTAAGGAATGGAAATATATGTTACATTAGAAGTTATTTGATTTTTGTTTATTGTAACTTAACCTAAGTTTAGCTTTCTCCAAGATATTTAAAATTTTGTGCTTAATTTTTAGTATGGCTATAAACTTCCAGGTGATTGTGGAAAAATTAAAATATACTGCAACATCTATTTCAAAATGCTCGGAGAAAGGACCTTCACATATCCTTTACACACCAACTGAAGCAGATGCTGTCTGCCCACCTTATAATCTAGTTTTGCTCCCACTCTCATGTCATACTTTTCAACCTTCTTTCTCTGTGTCTAACTGAAACTATGGTACATTTCCTCCTACTTCTTATCTGCACAAGTGTTTCTGGTTTGCTTAGAATATCTTCCTATTTTTATTTGAGGATGAGCTCAATAAGGATATTTTCCTTAAACACCATTTCAATAACTTAGAAAAGTTAGAAAAAAATGTGTACTTAGAAAGTAAGAAAGCAATCATGATTCTCCTTAGCCAAGTGCTCCCTCCAGTGGCATTTCAGATACAATTGAAAGGGTTGAATTAAAAGCTTAGGTTGTAAACAAAAACAAGATTTTTCTTTTGAGGAGATTATCTAATTTTATAGGCAAATTTTCGATGATTTGACTTATACTTAATTGCACCCCATTGACTTAAGAAAATATCTTTTAAACAATATTTTTTAAAATCGAAATATACACACGAGAAGAGCATAAGTGCTCAGGTGAAACTCTTAAATCTTAGTACTGATTTCACCATTTCCATCTTCTGACCTGCTGGAGTTTAAAAATGGAAGAAGGAAGAGCCTCAGTGTTGTCTTTTTGCGTTCTTTGTTTCCTAAGCCAAACTTATTTTAATAGTAAAACTGAGGTTAACATACATCAGTTATTTTATTTCATTAGATGCCAACATGTTATTCAAAATCTACAGAATATGTTTCATCAGAAAAAGTAACTGCTTTCTCAAAGAACTGCTTTTGCAGCTTGAATACAATCTATATGTGTTGTTTCTCTGTCCTGAATTTCTAACTGTTTTTGGAGGTGCAACCTGTTCATTGTTTATTATAATACTTATTTTGTAATTGCTAAGGCTTATAGTATCTTCCTTATAAATCGTTTTTGGAATATCACAGTTGCCTTTCCATTTAGAAAGCCATATAGTAAGATATTATGAATTGTCTTGATTTGGAATGTTAGAATAGAAGGAATGAAGATCCCTGTGAGAAAACATACTTTCATCTGTGGATGGTATCAGATAAGCAATATAAAAGAGTTAAGATATATTTATGTGTGCCTTTTTAACATTGCTACTTTACTACTTTTTAAAATCCCTTATAAATTTCTGCCTCTTATGTAATAAAATCAGACATTGTTCTTTAACATTGTTCAGATATCCTCTCAGTTGCATCAGAAGTCAGCCCATGCAGTTCTTTCCAAGGGTAGATTCGGAAGTTGTGTTGAAAAGTTTTCTTTCAGATTTAAAATCTAAACTGCCCCATATATGTGGATTTCCCATAAAGATGACAAGTAAACCATGCTACTACACACAAGAACTAACTAAACCTAATATACAGGTAAGAGATCTCTTGTCCTATCTAGTTCTCCAAGACATACTATCCATCTATTTTACTTGAATCTCTTGTCTTCTGGGGTGGAACACCCAACGCAGTGTGCAGTAATTCTTTTATCTCAGTTCAATGCTTCCCTAAAACTATTTGTTATTATTATTACTATACTTAGTCATTTGTTATTATTATTATATTTAACATGGTATTATAGTAGTAGTTGTTTACTGAAATGTTTCACCTACATCAAGGATATAAATGAGTTGGGTTATTGGAGATTAAAGAGACAGAGTTTTATGAAGAGTATTTATTTGGAGATACTGTGCTGACAGTATAAGTTCAGTTAAATGGAAGGTAAGATGCCTGCCCCTCACCAAATCAAGTAAGTTGGGGCTTCTATGGAACCACTTAGAGACTGAAGTATGATCCCTGCTGTATAAGGAAAACAGAGGGCTAGTGTCTGGCTCCTGTCTGATTTCATTAAGAAATTAATATAATTGGCTGTCTGCTAATGGACAAGTTAAAGATGAAATGGCCATATGGGCATTGGCCTACATCTCAGAGTTTGTCAGAACAAAGCTGTTGAAGACTTAACTTGAAATCAGATTCACGGTTTTTATTTTTACTGAGGCTGGAAACTATTGGGGAGGGAGGGTGTTTTCTACTGAGTTTGTCTCCTCTGCATTTTTAAAATCTATTCTTATGGTGACATATGACACACATATAGAAAAGTAATACTGTATAGCTTAATGAATATCAAACGTCCATGTAACTATCACACAGATGAAACATAGAACCTTGCCAGGACTTAGGAGCCTCCTACTTAACACCTTCCTAGTCATAACTCCTTTCCTCCTCCCAAAAGGTGACCACTACTATGGAAATTATTCCTTGTTTCGTTTTTATCAACTAAGTATGTGTCCTTAAACATCATATTTCATTTTGCATGCTTTTGAACTTCATGTAAAATAAATCATAGAGTATGTATTCCTTTGTGCCTGGCTTTTTAGGCTCAGCATCATGTTTGTGACATTCATCCACGTTGCTCCACTTAGCTATAGTCGGTTTATTTTCCTTTATATGTAGCATTTTATTATGTGATTATGCTGCAATTTATTCAGAATATTATTGATGAATATTTGGATTGTTTCTCTTTGGAGGCTATTACTAGTAATACTGTGATGAACATTCTTGTATATGTCTGCTGGTGCTCATGTACATGAAACCTCCAGGAGTAGAATTGGTATGGGTATTTCCAACTTTGCTGGCTACACCAAACTATTTCCCTAACCAATCTGTATTCCCCTCTGCCCCAAAGCAGTATAGGAGAATTTATGCTGCTTCACATCCTTGCCCATTTTTGGTATTGTTGGTCTTGAATTTCAGCCCTTCTGATAGGTGTATTTATTACTGTGTGTTTTTAATTTGCATTTTCCCGATTATTAATGAAATTGAACATCTTTTCACATGTATTTTGGCCATTTGGATTTTTTTTGAAATGCCATTCTTTCATTTTTCTACTGTGTTACGTGTTTGTTTGTTTTTTTATTGATTTATACGTATTTTTAACATAAGCCAGATATGAGTTTTTCATCAGTTATACATAATTATCTTCTTTCATTCTATAACATGCTTTCTCTCTTAAAGGTGTCTTGGTGTCTTAATAGTATCTTTTGGCAGCAGGTCCTAATTTATAATCAAAATGATCAGTCTTTTTCTTTATGGTTGCTACTTTTTGTACCCTGTTTAAAAAATCTTTCTGTACCCAAAGTCATGAAGGTATTCGCCTCTAATATCATCCAATAAAAGGTTGTTTTGCATTCACATTTAGATCTGCAATGCAGTTGGAATTTATTTTTGTAATGTGATGTAGGGAGTCAGATTTCTTTAATATGGATATCCATATGTCCAAGCCAAAAATAAAAAACACAATTCTTACCCCAGTACTTTTTCCCCAATAGTTTTTCTCCCCTCAGTACTTTGCAGCACTACCTTTGTCATAAATCCAGTGTCTTTGTGTGTATGGTATTGTTTCAGGCCTCTTTAATCTCTTTCTCTGGTCAGTTTGTTGATCCTAGCACCAGCACCATGCTTTTAGAATTATCTTAATTATGTAATCTTAAATTTTATATTTATTATAAATAGTGTTTTAATCTTAAATTTTATAAGATTTTTGAAATCTGATAAAGCATCTTATCTATTGATCTGTGCATTTCCATACACATTGAGTTTCAACTTGTCAACTTACACATAGACACAGACACACTCGTGCACACACACACATAGAGACAGAGAGAGCATGCTGGGATTTTGATGGGAATTTCATTGAGTCTTACAATCTAAGAATAGTGTATATTTCTCCACATATTAAATATATATTCTTTAATTTATCTCAATAATAGTTTATAACTTTATGTATGGGAAGTCTTTTGTACTTCCTATACATAAATTACTTCAAAATGTATTAATTACATGAATTATTTTAATATGTATTTATTAACTTTCTAAGATATGGGAATTTTCTAGCTATCTTTTTCTTATGTTTCTGGCTTAAATACATTATGACCTGTCAGTCAGTTGCTGAGAAGTGTGTTCTAATCTCCCAACATGATGTGGATTTATCACTTTTCCTACTTTCAGATTTTGCTTTATGTATTCTGAGACCACAATATTATATACATGTAAATTTAGAATTGAGAGTTGTTTATCTTCCTGGTCAGGGGTCAACTCCTCCTACTGTTAGTTAGAGAAAAATTGTACAAAAACCTGACAATCTAGATACAAAGGCCTACAGGCAAGGTCATCTCCTTAGAAGGGAGAGTGAGTGGACAAATGCCCATTGACATCTTTAAAACAGTATTAAAGTTTTGTCCAGACATAATATTTTTTAAAGTTGCAGGCCAAATATGAACCTAAAGAATCTGGAAGAAGATATGTTGTTACATCATGCATGTTTATTGAATATATTTCTGGAATACTTAAGATTTCCAGCCCATGTCTGTTTTAAAAATAGTTAATCAGAACAATGCACTTGTTAAAATTTGCTTCATAAGTGTAAAATAACACTTAATTGGAAGTTATGGTTTTATATTGTTCCTTACAATAAGAATTTATCCTACTCAATTCTATTGAGTGCTTTCTGCATGCCAGCTGCTTTTATGTGTATTATTTCATTTAATAATCAAAATTGATCTTTGGATAAAGAATTCACTCAATTTTGCAGAAGAGGAGACCGAAGCTCAGAACATCCAAATAATTTAACCAAAGCCACACAGTTAAATGCATTGCAGAATTAGAATTGAAACCCAAGATTCTTAGTCCTGTAATTGGAAAAAGTTTATATTTGTAGCTAAGAGCTCAAGCTCTAGAAACAGGCTGCCTGAATTTGAACCTCTTATTAATTGTATAATTTGGGACAAGTTATTTGATCTCTGTGTGCCCCAGTTTCCTCAGTTGTAAAATGAGGCAGAGGCTAGCGGTGGTAATGATAAAACTTGTCGCAGATTCGGTTCTCTAGGAGCTGATTCTGAGGTGGTCTAGTGCACATGATGTTTGTTAGGGACTGCCCTTGGAAACAATACCTGTGGAAGGCAGGGAGGAAGCAAGAGTGGAGAAAGGGAGAAGTCAAAAACAAAGCAGACACCAGATGGCCTTGGCCACTCTTCTGAGGAGCTCTGAGACTAAAATGGCCCATCAGAGTTGTTCTGCACTGGTCCAGATAGCCAGGCCTTTATAACCCTTTCTGTATCTGTCATTGGATTTGGGCCACCGTGAAACAGGCACATCCTTGGGCATTGGCCCTCTGTAACCTATTTCTGCTGACAGCACTCTACCAGAGGCAGTAAGTCCTTCCTTTGAAGGGGGTCATGTCTTTTGCAGTACTTACTTCAGAGGGGTTTTTAGGACTAAATGAGATAACACATAGAAAAGTTTCTTGGTGAGCTCTCAGTAAGTTGTTATTACTAGACCATATACATGTTAACTCTAAGATTCATGCAGTGTAAAAGGCATAAATTTAAAAAATGGAAAATAAATTGATCAGACTACTTGATAAAACTCAGCCAGCTTAAAAAAATTAGGAATCCTTAGTCAAACTTGTTTTGTTTTAACATATAGAAAATGTCAAAGATACATAAAGGAAATTAGTATAATCACCTCTCATGTGCTTCTCATCTAGTTTCCCCTTGACATATTTTTGGGTAGGGAGTAAACTGGGGGATTTTGGAACCAATCCCAGATATAGTGTTTTACCTGTAAAGACTATGGTGTACATTCTCTCTCATTTCAAAATATTTTTATATAACCCCTATGTTATTATTATACCTAACAGAATTAACAATAGTTTCTTAATATCTATTAAGTACTAGTTCACACTGAAGTTCCCCATTTATCTCACACAGACTTATTTTTAGGAGTTTTATTTAAATCAGAATCCAAAAAAAAGTCCACATAATTTTATGTATGTCTCTTAAATCTCTTTATTCTGTAACATCTCAAACTCTCTCCCCTTTTATTTAGGCCAGTTATTTGCTAGAAAACTAGATTGTTTTCCCTGGAGAATGTCCCATATTCTGAATTTGACTACTTCCTTGTTGTGTCATGTCACTTAAAGAAAATATTCTTCAAAAACCCATATGTCCTATAAACCTGTGGTTATATCTAAGCTTGACTGAATTCTGATTCAACTTGAAGCAAGCAAGAAATACACTGAGGTGGTGCAATGCACTGAACCAAATTTTGATCGATAAAACACTTTTGATTAGTCATCTTTGTCATTTCTCAAGTTTCATTTTCATTTAATTATTGCTTTAATATTAAGCTTCTGTGAAATATTCGTTCATATCTAAGTTCAAGCTTTTGGCCTTCTTCTATAATGTTGTGTTAATGTATAAAGTTACATAAGTTGTATATAAATTCTAGAAATTAAAATTCAACCAAGTTGCATTTGCCAATGACACTTGGCAGAATAATGATAATGATATAATAAAGCATATTTTTTTTGTTGGCTTGCGACTTCACAAAGCTGTAGTTTGTTGACTATTAAGTATATTTAAGTTCTGTGAATTATTTATCATCTCATCTGCTGTTTACATAGGCTCTTTTGTAGTCTTTTTATAAATTTGAATATAAACCTAGAGGTTTCCCCCTTTGAGCTATTTACTTTATCTTAAACGTTGAAAGAATGAGTAAATAATATATTGACAGTCTAGGCTAGGGAGCAAAAGAAACTTCTGGAAATTATGTTCACCATATGTATATTTCCAAAAGACAGCTGAAGAAGAAACAGTGTGTGAATATAAACATATTTCATATACCACACACATATTCTAGTACAGTTTTATGTTCGAATACAAATAACTTATATGAATCTGCCTATGAGTTTTCTTTTATCTCAAGTAGTAGATATGTTGTTTAAATGTTACTACAGTTTATAGAACCCAAGGGTCCAAACAGTGGGTGTTCTTTGCTTTTCTATAATTCATTTTAATTCTTTAACTTTTTTTCATGAAACGGAAAAAAATTCAATCTGGACACTTCAAAGTGACTCAGTCCCTTATGACAAAACATCTCTTTAAGGTAGAAATGTTCTTCAATCCAATTTAGGAACCCTTCTTCTCACGATAGCATCTGTGCAGAGAAACCTTGCATAGGATGAGGGCAGTGGTATGTGGTGAAGTGCACTGGTATGTTTGCCTAGTATGCTCTATAGCAGGGGTCCCCAACCCCCCAGGTCATGGACCTACCAGTCCATGGCTTGTTAGGAACCAGGCCACACAGGAGGAGGTGAGTAGCAGGAGAGCGAGCGAGCATTACCGCCTGAGCTCTGCCTCCTGTCAGATCAGCAGCAGCATTAGATTCTTGTAGGAGCACGAACCCTATTGTGAACTGCGTACACGAGGGATCTAGGTTGCATGCTCCTTATGAGAATCGAATGCCTGATGATCTGAGATGGAACAGTTTCATTTCAAAACCATCCCCCCCACCACCCCGGTCCATGGAAAAATTGTCTTCCACAAAACTGGTCCCTGGTGACAAAATGATTGAGGACTACTCCTCTATAGCAAGAGAATGGTGCCCTACATTCTGCTCCCCTACACTTAAGCTGCTAACTCTGTAACTGAAAATCAAAGGCATTCATAGTTAAGCGTTTCTGCAAAAACAGAAGTGTGGCTAGACCTTACTTCTACTTCCAAATATTTTATGAGTGCATCTGATTGGCTGGTTCTAAATCACATCCAAACCCTAGCTGCAAAAGATGAAATATAAATTTTAGATTTCCAGGCTTTAGTCTGTATAGGAGCACAAGGAGGAGGGTGGAATGGAGGTTGAACACCAGTCCATCCTATCCATTGCAGTCACAGCATAGAGATTGGCTGTGGGGTGTGGGGGTAGGAGGCCTTCACACCTTCACTTCTTGACCTGGGTTGATTTAATGGTGGTGGTCTCTGCTCATATGGTATCTCAACAGAGATAGTATATGAGGTTTTATCAGTTACTTTTTAGCTTTACCCTAGCTCCCTTGTACAGGGAGTCTTCAGAAAAACAGCTCCCTCCTCTCTCTGTTCTCTCCAGAAGTGTATATCCAACCCTGTTACAGGTTGAATTGTGTACCCCTCAGATACATACACTGAAATCCTAACCCCCAGTTCCTTAGGATGTGACCTTATTTGACATAGGGTCACTGCAGATATAGTTAGTTAAAATGAAGTTATACTGTAGTAGGGTGGGCCCTTAATCCAATATGACTAGTGTTCTTATGAAAAGGGGCAATTGGATACAGACACACATAGAGGAAGAACACCATGTGAAGGTGGAGATGGTCATCTACAAGCCGAGGAAACAGGCCCGGAACAGATCCTTTCCTCCTGGCCCTCTGAAGGAACCAGCCCTGCCAACACCTTGGTTTCAGACTTCAAGGCTCTAAAACTGAGATAATATGTTTCTGTTCTAATACAAACCCCTTCTTGATGCATGCTTTTTCACTCAGCTGAGCAATGTCAAGGGGCAGTAAGCCAGTAATTCTTCCTTGGTTAACTTCTGTATTTCTTCATTCAGGGTCATGAAACTTAGCTGGGTTTTCTTTGCACCCCTTGAAAATAATGGGCAAATTAAGAAGGATGTGCTATGCTCTGAATGTGTTTCTCCAAAATTTAAATGTTGAAACCCTAACTCCCAAGGTGATGATATTAGGAGGTAGGGTCTTTGGGAGGTGATTAGGTCATAGGGGTAGAGCTGTGCTAAACAGGATTAGTGCTCTTATTTAAAAGGCCCAAGAGAGATTTGCCTTGATCTTGGACTTCCCAGCCTCCAAAACTGTTGCTTATAAACTACCTACTTTGTTATAGCAGCCAAAAGAAACTAAGACGGTGTGTCTTCTTGCCCTGGTGGCATGGGTAAGCCTCCAACTGAAGTAATCTCCAGATAAGAAATGAATCCCAATCACCTATTTTCAGCATCGCCCCCAAATCTCACTCAATATTTTCTTGGGGACTTTCCGTTTTTCCCAAGAATAGTCAACATGGAAGGAGGAGTATTGTCCTCTATAATGACTTTCTATTATGTCAACTTAAGTATTATGGAACTAAGTTTCCTGGAATTTCCTTCTCCACATCATTTTGGTCATGGGACAATACTCCTCCCATTGAGGTATGGGTCTCGTTCTCTTGAGTCTGGATGTCCCTATGACAGAGTGATGCAACATACCCTGAGGCTAGGTCTTTAGGAGAAACAGCTTCCACCTGGTCTTTCTGGGGACATTTGTTCTTGGAACCCAATCTGTGAGAGATCCCCAGCACAGGAAGAGACTGCCTGTCAGCATTCCAGCCAACAGCCAGCATCACGCATCACATGTGAAAGAGGAAGTGACTCCAAGGTGACTCCAGCTGCAGAGTATCTAACCACACAGCATGAGAGATGCCAAACTAAGCCAAGCCAACCCCCAGAATAGTGAGAGATGATAACATAATTATTATTGGTTTTAAGCAACTAAATGTTGGTGTGATTTGTTTATGCCTAATAGATAATTGGATTAGTCTCTTACTTGTGCCTATTTCCAACTCTGATTTCCCAAAATCTTTCCTATTCTCTTCTCAACCTAATTCAACAATGGAACCTCCAGTAGTGGAGAGAAAAACCAGTCATTCAAGTTTGCATATTATTCCTAGCAGTTTTAAAATGTTTATTTCAAGCTGTGAACCTGTGTTTTGATGGGGAAAGTGAGAAAAGAACTTGGTGTTCAGTGTTTCAGGTTATTGCTACCTATCACTCTTTTACAGACAACAGGACAAGATATGTACTTTAAAAGACAATACTTCCACCAAGAGATGAGTGGATAAAATATGCTATATAAGTACAGTGGAATAGTCAGTCATTAAAAGGAATAAATCCTGACTCATGTTGCAATATAAATGAACCCTGAAAACATTATGCTAAATGAAATAAGCCAGACACAAAAAGACAAATATTGTATGATTCCACTTACATGTGGTACCTAGAATGGGCAAATTCATAGAATAGAAAGTAAAATAGAGGTTACCAGGGGCTAGAAGGAAGAGGAAACAGGAAATTACTATTTACAGAGTACAAAGTTTCTGTTTGGAATGAAAAAAAATTTTTGGAAATAGTATTGATGGTTATATAATACAGTACAGTGGTAAATGTACTTAAAGTCACTGAATCGTTCACTTAAAAATGGTTAAAATGGTAAATTTTATATTATTTATGTGTATGTGTGTGTGTATCCACAGTTCATCTTTAAAAGACTGTAAACGCTTGGCTCTTTTTAATGTATCTGACAAATTTCTTTGACAAATACTTGCTGAATTGCTACCACGTACCAGGCACTGTGGTAGGCAGTGAAAAAGTAAACATGATTAAGACACAGATAGCGCCTTCCCTGTAGTCAAAATCCCACTTATTCCTAAAGGCCCAGTATAGATGCAGCCACCTCTTCATTAATTTCTTTCAACAAGGATTTTTAGTAACTGTGAAGGATATAAGAGTAAATAAGTCATGGTTCTTACCCTCCAAGAATCTGGTACCTACTTAGGAAGATGGAATATGTGCACTAAAAGATAAGAGAGCTTACCTTGTAATATTTTTTTGTGACAAATATTATTTAATTGATAGCAGATCCTTGGAGAGTTGACAGAAAAACAGTCGCTCTGTGGTAGATTGATGGGTGGGAGAAGGTGGGACTTTGAGTATCTGAAGGAGGTCATACCTTGCTCAGTGAGCAAGGCAGCAGCATGAGCATGTTTGGAGGACAGTGGGTAGCTGTGTGAATGGTTTTTATGGTAGATTTATATGAAATGTAGTATATACCTTTATCTTAAGATAGTATCTTGGATAGTATCTAAAGGAGGATACAAACCATAAGAAATGTACTCATTTCCACCAGAAGGCTCATTTTTATTTTGTTTTTCTTTACCTGTTCTGTAAATCATAGTGTTGCTTTATATTCTTATTTGGATGATACTTTATATTTTATTTCTTTTCCATTAAGGACATTATTAACATTTTAAATTTTTTTTTAATCTCTATCCTTTTCAGGAACACAAAGTCAAGCCACCCAATTTGACCACTAAAAAAATGCTTAGGGCATCTCTGACTCAAGCCACTTCCAGAAAGCCTGCCTGTGCTCAAAGTCTTCTACCATGTTCAGTAGCAGTGGACCACAAGGTGGAGCTTTCAGTCAGCCAGCCAACATCAGGCATTTTCTCAGCTTTGCATCTCCAGCCAGAGTCTGTTCAGGGTAGAAAGAAATCCCTGTCTATCAGGGCTCCACAAGTACATTCAGAAGTATTAATGCCCAACAGAGGAAATACTCAAGTTCAGCACACAAATCTTAGCTCCCAAAGCAACATCACCCCTAAGTTTGTACCAGTTTTCAAAAATAGATTGTTACAAATGAACAAAAATACCTCAGTACTTGGCAGCCCAAAAAGAAAACAGCATGATGTGACACAATCTAAATTGTTTTCACTCAAAACTAGTATGATCCAGCATGACAAACTGAATTTAGGTCCAGCTATAAAAAACCGTTATAGTAGTAACATTCAGATGCAGGCTGCTAACAATTTAAATCAGGAGAATTCCAGACCTCTGCAAGAAAAAAATACAGAGTCTTCTGAAAATATGACAAAATTTCCCTCTTCTCGTGGAAAATCGACTGTGAGTTTAAACAAAAATAAGCAACTATCTAATAGTGCAGTATTTGTGGTGTCAAATAACAATTTAGGGGTGGTAAAAAGTGCTGTTGACTTCCAAATGAAAGGAAAAGAAAATTTAACAGGCAAAGGTATAACACAAATTTTAGGGAAAAGCCATGGGTCACTAAAACTGAAAAGACAGCCACACATTTTTGAATCAGATGGAGAAACCGAAGATCCACGACTGCTACAGCAGCAATCAGAAAATCAAGCTAAAGAAGTTGGTACAAGTGACCACAGGTTGATAGTAAGCAAAATAGCCCACAGGTCTAAAAGAAAATTATGTCCAGAGTCTTCCAAAACTTCAAAGAAGCATCATTCCGATACTGTGCACTATGGCCAATCCAGTTCTTCTAAGAAGCAGGTAAAAAAAAAATTAATCTGGCACTACTTATCATATGCTAGACCCTTAAAACCCCTAAATAAGGATTTAAATGATTTCCCTAAGATCATTTAGAACCATACTAATTAATAAACAGAATATCTACCCTAGAGCGACTGTAAGTCTATGCAGTTAATTTGTAACAAATGTGATTCTTCAATCTAATACAGATACTTGACTCGGATAAATCAAAACTTAAGAAATCTCTCATCATTCATAATGCTTAGAACATGGACCTGAAAGAAGGAAATGTCTACCAGGTAACTGAAGTGATAGCTTTTGATTTGTTTTTACATTATCTGAATTGGGATTGCCAAGTTTAGGGGTCCCCAACCTCTTGGTAAAAAGCAGCTACTTTTAAATTCTTTGAAACCGTAAAATCAGCAAAGAAATAGGACATGGTGGGAACAGTTCACTCCTTGAATAAGGACCATACACAGCAGCTGTTTTGTAATGATTTCAAAGAGGGATGGGTGCAAATGGTCCACTGTGGGCTCCCCCTCACTCTGTTCTGGGGATCCTTGCAGACTAGGAAGAGCTCACACAGCAGCAGCAGACTATCTAAAAATAGAAGATTTGAACAGCTACTACAATATCCACTTTTTGGGATACCTACCCAAGATAATAAACCTTAAATGATGTTTCAAAGGTTAATCATTTAGTTAAAATTTACTCCAAAAGTGCTACAGTGCTGGCTATGTTTAAACTTGATACTCAGTTAATAATGCCCAGTTCATGGCACTGAATTTACAACATGATACATCTGGAAATTACATTTTATTTTGTTCTGCCATCTGTTCTATTCTAAGAACAAACATATTACTAAAATACCCACAAGTTATTTTTTTACATAGAACTATTGGAATACTTTCAATTCAGATTCTTTAAGAACCAACTAGAAAACATTTTCTTTTCCAACTGCTATTTCTTCCTATAACTAATAAAATTTTCAGCCTGATTTTAATTAACCAGAAAGTATTTGAGTCTATTCCTATATACGTTATGATGTTGTATTTTATGTACTTTTTGACATCTTAATATTTTAATGCACTCAGTAGGTGACTGAGGGAAAAATGCATGTGCCTTTAAGATGTTACTTGCATTTTTAGAAATCAATGAAATCTATTCTAGGTTTCATATTGTTTTAGAAATATAGCACTTTCCCACTTTGAACTACTTAAGTCCTGACACAATTTTTAAAATTAAAAAGTCATCCAGGAGGGGGGGCTTACACCTGTAATTCCTACACTTTGGGAGGCTGAGGCAGGCAGATTGCTTGAGCTCAGGAGTTCCAGACCAGCCTGGGCAACATGGGTGAGACCCTGTCTCCACAAAAAATATAAAAAATTAGGGCCGGGCATGGTGGCTCACGCCTGTAATTCCAGCATTTTGGGAGGCTGAGGCAGGTGGATCACCTGAGATCAGGAGTTTGATACCAGCTTGGGCAACATGGCAAAACCCCTTCTCTACTAAAAGTACAAAAAATTAGCTGGACGTGCTACTCAGGAGGCTGAGGCAGAAGAATCACTTGAACCCGAGAAGTGGAGATTGCAGTGAGCTGAGATCACGCCATTGCACTCCAGCCTGGGTGACAGAGTGAGACTCTGTCCCCTGCCAGAAATATTAGCTGGGCGTGGTGGTGCATGCCTATAGTCCCAGCTACTTCGGGGACTGAGGTGGGAGGATTGCTTGAGCCTGGGAGGTAGAGGTTGCAGTGAACTGTGTTTGCCACTGCACTCCAGCCTGAATGACAAAGTGAGACCCTGTCTCAAAGTCAATAAATATTAAATTTTTAAAATAATTTCATCAGGTAGAAGGAATAACGAGAACATTTTTAATATTTTATTTGTATAAATTTGTGGGGTACAAGTGCAACTTTGTTACCTGCATGTATTGTAGGGGTAAAGTCAGGGCTTTTAGTGTATTCATCATTGGAATAATGTACATTGTACCTGATTAAGTAATTTCTCATCATTCACCCCCCCTCCCTTCTTCTATCTGTCAACGCCCTACTCTTCTTTCTATCATTCTGCACTCTATGTCCACGTGTATATATTATTTAGCTCCCAATAACAGGAATCATTATAGAAAATAATTTCCCCTAAATATAAAATTAATACATACTCCTATACTTGAGTAGTACAGAGCAGTTTCAAGAAAAAAGTAAAAAACCATCTGTAATTTCTCTTTGCAGAGATGAGCATTCTGAATATAGGATGAACACTCTTCCAGATGCCTCTCACACTCCTGTGACCATGAAATCAGCTCTACTTACTGCTGTGGAACCTCCTTTTTCACTTGACAGTTTCTTTTTATTGTTTGCATAGCATCTTGTTGTATGTGGGTTTCTGTATTTAACTAGTCCCCTATTGATAGACACTTCAGTTCTTCCCAACTTTTCACTATTACAACATCATGTAGTCTGCAGATCTTTGCAAAATATCCAATGATCTTATACAGTAGTTTTGATAGTTGAAAATATCTTTATTTTGCCCTTATTGAAATTATCAAACCACATAAAGCACAGATAAGAGTATGAAGAACCTCTAAGTACCTATCACCCAGATCTACCAGTTATTAATATTTTGCCACTGTTTCATCTGTTCCTCACAGACATGCTTTTTTTTGCTATAATCTTTTAAAGCAAATTCAAGACATCATATAATTTTACCCATAAACACCAAAGTGTATATATTTCTAACATAAGATATAGTATATTTTTTAAGAAAAAAAGAATGTGTATATATATATTACATTTTGGGGATCTCTACTATATCTCTGCAGGCTCACTAAATTTCACTTTTGCTTTTATATGCAAATTAACAGGAAGCCCTGAATAAATGTAAAAGCTATTTCTCAACAAAACTGGAGCCTTTATTGGGGTGGAGATTTCTGTTTCCACCAGTACTCATTAGCATCTTCTGTGTGCCAGGCAGTGGGGACAACACTGTGTCCATGGCAGAAATGGATGAGACAGCCGTGGCCTGAGCCCCTGAGTGCTGGTGGTCTAGTCTCAAGCAAATTCATTCTGGGTTCCTGGCACAGACTTAGGGATATGTATGTATTGAAGCATATGTCCAGAATGACCTTCTAGTCCATATTACAAATAAATTATCTAACATTTGAAAAAAAGAGAAACAGAAGTGGAGCTTCTCAGACAATGAATATTATTCTGGCTTTCAAACATTTTATATGTTTGATATACGAAATATTATATAATTGTTGTAATATATTTAAAAGAAACCAAAATCTTCATTGGCTATTCCACTGAAACAATAATTACATAAAAATAGCCACTAGAGATCCAAGTATAAGTTGAACTCTGATTTTGTAAATGTGATTTATTGTCTCCACCACTTTACTAAACCATTGCAATTAAAAGCAAAAGTAAACAAACTCTCCTTCAAACGTTAAATGTTAACTCCTGCTCCTGAAATTGTGTTTAGTTAATTAATTTGCTATATACCTTTATTGTAAGCATTTCTGTTTTCCAGAATTATCTCTATTTCCCAATTATTTTACCATTTTCATAAGGATAAGCATTTTGTCTGAAGCCCATTTTGAGTGTGCTTTTCTCATTCCAAAGTTTGTATTATAGATATCTAGTAGACTGTTATAAAGAGTGGTATGTCATTTTGTTTATGAGGCTATGGTGAAAATAACATTAGTAAATATGCATTTTTGATGAGCACAGTCATCCACAGCATGTAATCATTCCTAAAACCAGCCTTCCCCACTGTTCCATACATTCCCAGGCCACCTTCCTGCTACTGCCCAGTCACTATGCCTCAGGTAATGGACACTTACTTTATTATTACACTGAGCAAAATAATGAAAACCATACATCCACTGCTGAAGTGGTATTAACATCTTCCAGTTCTTTATATAAATAATCTTGATAGCCCCTCCTATACTCCATTAGTGTCTAAAATTTAGAATATATAGTATAGTACTTGAGTTTAGATCAATGTTAACCTACATGGCAAAACCTGCCATGTTTAGTGTATTTTTTTGTATAAAGTAGGTTTGATTTTTATCTTACAATATTTATCCTAATGAAAGTTATAAAAATATATGCATATATTTATATGTGAGATTTAATATAGATAGGTATATAGATTGTTGATTTCATATTTCATGTTCCAAGAAGAGGTTCTAGATCAAATTTCTGTGTTCAGAATCACCAGAGAAATCAATTAAGATTTTGGTTCATTTTAAACATTGCAATTTTTGAAAGCCAAGATAATTCCAAATCTAATTAGGGAAAGCTACATTTTACTTCTTTGTGTAAGTTATTGGTGATTTATATGCAGTATGGACCATCCTCCCCCCAGAAATTATTCTTATATTCCAATTGTGCATTAGTTTTAGAACCATTTTAATTTTAAAACCATAAGAAAATAATTTTATGTTTGCCTATGTCCAGGAGCTGAAGAAATCAGCGATTACTTTAAAAAATATATGGCAATGTCAAAATAAATGCCAAGAATCATATTTCTAGGAATGCAAAAGTGCTTCTCATATACTCATATATTAGGTTTCACAGTATTGGTTGCTTACTATATTTGTTTTTATTTTTATTATATATCATAATTACACATTTTTATTTGCATTTGTTGCTTATTGTAGTAAAAAGGTAAAAAAAAAATGAACTTGTTAATGATTAGCTTTTATTTGACTAACCAGTTGACCAATTTTGCTCTGTTTTCAAATTGCATATGATGGGGTATTATGCTGAAACTGCTAATATATTGGGTATTTATTGATACTTAGGAATAGTCAGTATTTATAAATATTTAAGAATGTCATGGTCCTTATGTTTTGATGTTTAAAATGTTCACTTTGTTGTACGTTACATAGTGTCTTATTCAAAATTGAAAATAATAAAGGTATTTCTAATAGATGTAGTTTTCATATGTCAGAGTGACTGTATAGGAATGGAAAGGCTTAGATAAATTACAAATTTCTTTCCCTCTGTGGTTCCATTTCTTCACATACATTTGCTGCTGGACCCATGTAAACTACCTTAGGTCCTTAGTGCTTCACAGAACTTTTATTCTCAAAAGTTTTATTCTTTCATTTGACACATATTTTAGTATTTGCTATGTGCAACCATTATTGTAGATACTTGAAATATATCTGTGAACACTGAAATTACATTCTAGCAGGCAGACACAGATGATAAGCATACGTAATTAAATTATATAATGCATTAGAAAATGGCAAGTACAGTGGAAAAATAAACAGAGTAAGGTAAGATAAATAGTAAGGGTAGGCTTCCTTGAGCAGAGACTTGAACGAAGAGAGCACATGGAGTTGTCATCTGAAGGATATGCTTCCCAGGCATAAGGAACAACCTGTGTGTTTGCAAAATGTTTCAGGGGGAGCCCAGGCCAGAGTAAAAGCAGCAGAGAGGAGGATTCGCTTTACCCTGACTGAAATGGGGTTGAGGCCAAAGAAGTGAAGTGATCTGACTTAGGTTTCAACAGGACCTTTCTGGCTGCTGTGTTATGAATAGACTTGGGGTGGGGGTGGGGGTGAGAAGAAACAGGGACACCAGTTAAGAATGCAAGAAGTGGCCGGGCGCGGTGGCTCACGCCTGTAATCCCAGCACTTTGGGAGGCCGAGGTGGGCGGATCACAAGGTCAGGAGATCGAGACCATCCTGGCCAACACGGTGAAACCCCGTCTCTACTAAAAATACAAAAATTATCTGGGTGTGGTGGCACATGCCTGTAATCTCAGCTACTCGAGAGGCTGAGGCAGGAGAATCACTTGAACCTGGGAATCGGAGGTTGCAGTGAGCCAAGATCACCACTGCACTCCAGCCTGGTGACAGAGCAAGACTCCGTCTCAAAAAAAAAAGAATCCAAGAATCAGATGGCAATGATGGCTTGCAGCACTGTGGTGGAAGCAGAGAGTATGAGAAGTGGGGATTCTGAAGGGTAGAGCCCACGGGCTTGGGGATTTGAGAGAAAGGTGTCTAAGATGGCACCAAAATTATTGGCTCACTTGGAAGCATGGGGTTACCATCAACTGGGATGAGGAGTGGGTTTTGGAGTAGGAAGAGGTCTGGGAATTGACCATGGGGTTTCACACATGGGGACCACTGTTACCCTGAGGAGCAGTTTCCGTGGAGTGATGTAGAAGCCCGACTGGAGTGGATCTAAGAGAGAAGGGAGACCAGAATTGGAAATCGCAAGAACAGACAGCTCCTTAGAGAAGAGTCATCAGTGGACTTTTCTAAATCCTTATTTTCATTTTCCCCTAAATATCATTGCTTTTGATTATATCCTTCTTTAAATGCTGTTCTCCCATGGCCGTTATAGTCTTACATCTCTGGGTGCATTTTTTCAGTCTCCTTTACTGACTGGCATTAAGTACCCCAGGGACCTTGAAGGAAGAACACATTTGGGTCACAGGAGAAATGGGAAGAAGGCCATTCCAAAGAGAAAGACTACAATGAGCAGAGGTATGAAGATGCATGTGTGTTTAGGGAGCAGTGGATGCCGATTCTGGTGTGTTTAGCATGAGCTTCATATTGGGACCAGAATGACTGCAGAAGAAACTGGAAGATTGTCCCGGGCCAGGGCCATGAAGTCATATGGAGACTTTCAGAAAACAAATCCAGAGGGCGGAGATAGAAAATCACCCCAGGGACACACCCAGAAATGGCAGCTCCTGGAAAGCTGAGAGCACCGGGTGCTATAGAGGTGGAGGCAGAGATGAAGCTACATTTTCAAGCTTGAGTCGCTGCAAGGAGAGTATTGCTTCTTAAAAACAGAAAATGAAGGCGTGGTAGGAAGCAATGCTAGCAGATAGATGCCTGGTTTATGTGTTACAAACTGGGTTGGTGGCATTAGCGGAAGACCCTGGGAAAGGTAACCAATCACTGAGACTGAATATCAGGAACTGTCAGCATTTGGGGAGTCATCCACATAGACGTGTCAGCTGGAGGTGTGTGTGCGAGTGCTGGGAGTGAAGCGCAACTGATGCTGGCGGAGTAGGGAGGGAGGAAGGAGGACGGAGACAGTCGGCTCGAGTCAGAAAGCAGAGGTTGTTAGGTCAGGGAGGCCGGGGAGAAGGGAGCGTCAGCAGCCCACAGTGTCAAGTGCGGTGAAAAGCCCAGGAAAAGGACTTGAGAAGACATGAGGGGACTTAGTCTCTGAGGGGGTCCGGATGGCCACCACAATCCAAACTCAGGTCCTGAAGACATGAGAGGTGGTCGGGCATGGAGGAGACGAGTGTCCGAGGCCGCTACGAGAAGCTTGGCTGTGAGGCAGCACAAAGAAAGATCAAAGGAATCTTTGTGATGTGAAGCAAATGGATAGACAATCTATTATATAATTATAATTATATATTTATATATAATTATAATTATAATTATATATAATATAATTATATATTTATATATAATTTATAATTATATATTATATATAATATAATTATATATTTATATATAATTTATAATTATATATTTACATATAATATAATTTATAATTATATATTTACATATAATATAATTTATAATTATATATTTACGTATAATATAATTTATAATTATATATTTACGTATAATATAATTTATAATTATATATTTACGTATAATATAATTTATAATTATATATTTACGTATAATATAATTTATAATATATGCATATATAATATAATTTATAATATATGCATATATTATATAATTTGTAACATATGCATATATTATATAATTTGTAACATATGCATATATTATATAATTTGTAACATATGCATATATTATATAATTTGTAATATATGCATATATTATATAATTTGTAATATATGCATATATTATATAATTTGTAATATATGCATATATTATATAATTTGTAATATATGCATATATTATATAATTTATAATTTATATAATTTAGCCAGGAAATTCAAAAATACCTAGTGAGAATATAAAAATAGGTAGGATTTTTCCATTTTAACCTTTTCCCCTATGATTTTTTAAATCTGGGGAATCTGCTACCACTTAATATTAACAGAAGAAAACTCATAAGTAGTCAGTTTATTGAAGAGTAATATGACTGAATTTTTAAATATTACATATATTTTTACTCTTGTTTTCTGCAGTAAAATTTTTTCTAATTTCCATAAAAAATAAAATGCATTAATGTTTTATTGTATTCCACAAAGATCATCCTGATTACTAATATATATATATTCATTGTACTATGAAATCCCTGAATTTAAAAATACTGAAGAAATGTTTTGCTATTTGCATTCAAAGGTTATATATTATACACTTTGATACTATGAAATTATATAGAGAGTATACACACAATATTTTAAATTTTGTTCCACTAGCTTCTTTCCAAAGCATCGAAAGGAATTATTTCTACTTAACAGCCTGTATTCCTTGCATAAGAAGTACAAATCTGCAGTCATCCTCAAGGAGAAAATTGGCAAAACATAATTGTTGTGTGGTTTATTCTATATCTACTTCACCACTAAAATAATTTTGAAATAAAATCTTCAAATCTCTGAAGAACATGAGTTAAGCTGCCTTAAAATAAAGTCCTGGGTCAGTGCTTAGAGGGAACACACATCAGTATAATCATTTAGCTAAAATGAATAACATAATGGAATTTTATAAACAAACTGTTTAAACCATTATGGAGTCTTTTTTTTTATTCTCCTGATAACTCACAGAACAACAAAGTTTTATTTCTGAGAATAAAAATTTTATATAAATTTTCAAATTCATTTCTAGTTCTGCTATTTACCAATATTGCCATACTAAAACAAATAAGCATATTAAGCAATATATAAATATATTAAGCAAAGAGAGCCTCACTACCTTCTTTTCCTCTTTAGTTCTAAACTCTTGTTTAGGTCTGAATCAGAATTTGAAAACTAACGGCTTTCTGCTGGGGCCATTGGCAGCCTAGGTTATTCAAATTTGCCTCTCATGGACCACAGCTCATCATGACGGATTTTTTAAAGTTTATAGAAACATCAAAGAACCAAAATAATATAAGGAATTACCTGTCTAAAACCAAAAAGGTAAGCAGAAACCAAAATGAATTTTGCTCTGAGAAGATTTGATAACCTAGATTTGAAGCTGAGCTGCAGTTCTGATGATGCCGAGGAGTGAGGGGAACAGAAACAGAGAAGTCCAGGGCCCACCAAAGATGGCAGTCTCCCCAAAGCTGCCCACCAATCCCAGCCGCACACACATTTTGCTGGGTCCCTGAAGGGCTGTACCCTCAGAGTAAACCTAAGCCACAAGTCACCAGCTCCACTCCCTCCACCCGCAGGACACCATGGGGGTCTGTTGCCTTGGTGCTGAGTAAAGTAGGGGAAAAGCATCCCTGAAAAGACCCCCTCATCATCCCTGGTGGATTTCAGCCTATATTCATATCACCAACGTGATCCAGGAAACCTCAAACCAAGTATTTAGTTTAAAATAACATCAGAAATATCAAAAACTTTAGGGAGAAAAATGAAACTTTATCCAGTGGCATTAAAGGAAATCAAAGTAAATGGAGAACTCTGTTACGTTCATAGATTAGTCTTGGAGATGTGGATGTAACTCATTCCAGAGATGAGAGTGAGCAAGGAGAGTGTTTATTAGCAAACGGTGGCACTTTTTCCTGCTGAACTTAAACCGTCAGCTGCTGTCTTGGCAGTGTGAAACTGGGATCAACACAAAAAAGATGATAACTCGTCCCAGTGATGTCTGAGTCCCAGTGAAACAGTGCTTGAAGCCAGCTCTTCAGTCTTGGGAACAAAAAATTTCCCTTTGCTTTTCAGCTGGTTCATGTTGGGTATTACTGACTCTTGTGACTCAAGGAGTCATAATCAGTACACACCCTAATTATAAAGAGTTTATACAGAAAAATGTAAAGAAGGAAATTCAAAATCATCACCCCAAACCCCACCACCCCAAAATAATCATTGTCAACATATTG
The DNA here is from genome assembly GCF_000001405.40 of Homo sapiens. Classification (NCBI taxonomy): domain Eukaryota; kingdom Metazoa; phylum Chordata; class Mammalia; order Primates; family Hominidae; genus Homo; species Homo sapiens. Next base: position 74,364,239 of record NC_000018.10, read on the forward strand.
GCATTCTTCCCTCTAGATTTTCATGGGTATGTGTATAAACCTATATTTATTCTACAAAATTCCCGTCATACTGCCTGTTTTGTACCCTGATTTGTTTCAGTTAACATTGTTTTATATAACCCTCATTTGTTGAATATGCTTCAAAAAATTATTTTAAGAAATGTATAAGTTTCCAATATGTGAATATGCCAAAACACAAAAATTGTTTTCTTCTTATCCTACTTTTTTTTTTTTTTTTTTTTTTTTTTTTTTTTTTTTTTTTGTAGAGACAGAGTCTCACTCTGTCGCCCAGGCCGGAGTGCAGTGGTGCGATCTTGGCTCACTGCAACCTCCACCTCCCAGGTTCAAGCAATTCTCCTCCCTCAGCCTCCCGAGTAGCTGGGACTACAGGCGCCCGCCACCACACCCGGCTAATTTCTTTGTATTTTAGTAGAGACGGGGTTTCACTGCGTTGTCCAGTCTGGTCTCAAACTCCTGAGTGCAGGCAATCCACCCGCCTCGGCCTCCCAAAGTGCTGGGATTACAGGCATGATATTCTACTCTTTTAGCTATTAGCAGAAATTTAGTAAACCATTTTTGACTCCTGGGACTCTATTCTATTATGAGCATTGAGGATACAGAAATAAAAATCCCCATAGTCAAAGGGCGCCTCGTGGGTTAGGGACCAGCCATTCTGACTCGAATGAAACCCGCGCCATCTGTGTAGGGAGAAGCACAGGGTCTGTGTCCACTGTCTACGTGACTCTTCTTTTATATCTGCTATTGCTAGGAAAAAACTAGGAATAATTATATAACCTTACTAGGTGAATCCTTTATTTTCAAAAAAAAAAAAGTGATACTACTTTAGCCAATAGCGTTTCATCACAGTGGCAAATTAATGAGCTTACAGCAACTAAGATCTACCAGAATTCTTTCTACTTTGAAAAGCTAACAAAAAAAGAAATACAAACTAAGTAAAATGCGCCACCTTTAGAAATTTTTTTAGTTAGGAAATAAGAGTTTATATAATTTGCAGATACTCATCTTGGCCCTGAATTTTTTTATTTCTGTTTTTATTCTATGAAACATTTTAAAATTTGTACAGTTGCTTTTCAAGGTCACAAAAGTATAGCTTTTTGATCAGTATTATTTATAACAAATTCTGAAAAAATACATATAATAATATGTTAAATTGTACTATATTTTATAATTAAAGGCACTTTCACTACAATTTTCCATTGTTATTCCTCACAATATCTTGAGGTTATTATTTTCATTGATGAGATAAAAAAAATTGATGTGGAAAGAATTTATAAAATGTGCTCAAAGTCATACAACCAACTACGTGATAATGCTAAGGCTGGAACCCAGATTTTCAGACTGTTAGATTTTTACTTTTAGATGGTGATGGCTCCTGACCTTCTAAAAGGGTGACATTCACAAAAAAGTAAGTTAGCCTTTGCTGAGCCAAGTAAAGAATAAGAATCCGGGGCCGGGCGCGGTGGCTCACGCCTGTGATCCCAGCACTTTGGGAGGCCGAGAAGGACGGATCACAAGGTCAGGAGATCAAGACCATCCTGGCTAACACGGTGAAACCCCGTCTCTACTAAAAATACAAAATATTAGCCGGGCGTGGGGGGTGCCTGTAGTCCAGGCTACTCGGGAGGCTGAGGCAGGAGAATGGCGTGAACCCGGGAGGCGGAGCTTGCAGTGAGCTGAGATTGTGCCACTGCACTCCAGCCTGGGTGACAGAGCGAGATTCTTGCCTCAAAAAAAAAAAAAAAAAGAAAAGAAGAATCCATCTTTGAATGTGGGGAGTTGCAGGGCAGTTCTGAAGATGAAGCTTTCAGCCAGTCTGCGGACCCTGGAACTTCCTTCCTGCTCTTTCTCCTCCTCTGTAAAAATGGGTGAAATATAAGAGTTCTACTAATCCAGAGTGTAATTAACCTCCACTGCGTCCCTCTTGAGAAGCACAAGTTCTGGCCAGCCAACAAGTGGTCTATTTAAAGTAAGAAAAATAAAGGGTTACAAATGGAAAGGAGGCCTGGCAGGTGGGGGGCCTCTGACCACAGCTGAGGAACAGGGGCCTCCACTGTCCAATCTGCTGTCCAACAAGCTGAGCTCTTTTCGCCCTGGAGTGGGGGGATCCTGTTTTTGTTATTGATAAATTCTGGTCGTCTTTTGGACAGCCGCTTGCAGGGGAGAGATCCAGCACGATTCCAAGGAAATGTATTTCCTTTTTTGGAAGTTTAGAAAGTGGAACAAGAAATGATTGTCTTCCAGATCCATTACTTATGTAGGAAAATGTGTCTATTAATAAGGAAATTCTTCACAAGATGGAAATCACTTCATATAATGGTAAGACTATAAAATGCTTTCCTGAGATAGTATTGCAATTTTTAACTTCTGAGTGAATTGAAAAGTCCTAGAAATAAACAGAATTCTCAGACAATGTGGTTGCCAACCAATACACCCACAGCTTAGTAGAACTAGATTGTAAGCCTCACATATGACCTGCTGTGGCATGAAATGTAATCATATGAGGCTATTAGAGAAGTTCATACTATACATGGTTAGTGATAAGAACGCGAATTGAGCTGTGATCTTAGGTCTGCAGCTGGCTTGCATGGCTTTTACTTTGAGGGCCTCTTTTTAAAAAAATCAACTCATGTGAGTTCCAGAAAATAACAATAGCTCATACTCTCTGTTTCCAATTTAGTTTAACAGATATCCACATAATGAAGATGCTGAGAGATAGACCTGAGGACAAAGAGTGGTGAAGGAAGCTCCATGATGGAGCTACTTGTGACCCACGGGAATCTAAGGTATTACTATTTTATGTGTCTTCTTCAGGATTAACTAGAGAACAAGAGTACACCAGAAAACTATTCCTTTCCTCACTTGAAAAGCAAATGCAAGTTGTTACAGTGCGCAATAGGAAGCACTATGAAGAAAGAGCCAGGACCGAGCATATCTTCAATTTTAAAGGGAGGGGGAAATGCCCCCCTCCAAAAATTAAGTGACTCAGAAAAGCAGGAGATAGTCACCAAAAAGTTTGATTGTTTAAGAATGGATGGGGGAACAGAATTCACAGCTATGGTCAGTATTGAAAACGGGAAACATGGATAGATGGGAGGCAAGTCCACCCAGCATCTTATTAATCACAGCAGGGTTACTGCGGGCCTCCAGGATGGCTCCCACGGAGTCCCACCTTCCTCTGCGTGTGGCCTGTGTCATCTGTTCCCATAGCCAAGCCTCAATCAAATCCCTGGCCCACAGAAACAGCAAGGAATAAATATTCACGGCTGTTTTCGGCCACTGGATGTTGGGGTTAATTTGTTACATGGCAATAGATAACTAACACAGTGGTGCAGTGTAGGAACAAGGTCAAGAACCAGGGTTTGCAAGCAAAATGGCTAGGTAAGCCCTTGAGAACAGTCATATGAAAAATATGAGAAAATGTCTGGCAAATTAGACTGTGCAAATTAGACTGGGCTCACTCTCACCTCACTTTGCATAGGAGGAGAACAAAGCTCTGAAGCCTTACTACCCAAAACAGATTCCTCAGAAACTCTGGGGAAACCTGTGTTCTTACCAAGTCCACCCACTCCATGGGAAACACTGATCTAACTGTTATCTCAAGATTGGGAAATGACAAAATGCCAGGGCTTCTTTCCCCAGTTAACTCCCCCCAGTGTTGCTAACATACAAGAGCCTGGTCAACCTGAGTCAGGGTTAGGTGCCCCCTTCCCAGTACCCTGTCTTTTCCCTTTCACGGGACTTTCTTGGTTTTGTAATTGCCCTTTTACTTCTCTCTGGGCCGTGCTGGCCTCCTGAGCCAGTCCTGGGTGGCAGGAGCCATGTGGTATTGCCATGCCTGGCAGCCTGGAAAGAAAGCCAAGGCTGTGAGAGGCAAGGTGACCTCTGCCTGAGGTCAGTTCAGCAGGCCGGTGACACACAGAGCAAGAATCGGATCTTTCAATGCTTAGCGCGGTATTCTCCCTGCTAAGCCACACAGTATGTCGCTACTTTCAAGAAGTGTTTAAAAACACGTGATCTAGGCCGGGCATGGTGGCTCACGCCTGTAATCCCAGCACTTTGGGAGGCCAAGGTGGGCAGATCACCTGAGGTCAGGAGTCAGGAGTTCAAGACCAGCCTGGCTGCCATCGTGAAACCCCATCTTTACTAAAAATACAAACATTAGCCAGGCGCCTGTAATCCCAGCTACTTGGGAGGCTGAGGCAGGAGAATCACTTGAACACAGGAGGCAGAGGTTGCAGTGAGCGGAGATCACGCCACTGCACTCCAGCCTGGGTGACAGAGCGAGACTCCATCTCAAAAAATAAAAAATTAAAAAAAAAATTTTTTTAATGTAAAAATTGGCTGGGCATAGTGATGTGTGCCTGTAATCCCTGCTACTTGAGAGGCTGAGGCAGGAAAATTGCTTGAAGCCGGGAGATGGAGGTTTCAGTGAGCGGTGATCGTGCCGCTGCACTCCAGGCTGGGTGACAAGGGTGAAACTCCGTCTCAAAAAACGAAACAAACAGAAAAATGTGATTTAAAGGAAGGACCTAGAAGGCACGTTCACATGGTCATTTTCATGGGTGTCAGCAGTCTCCGCTGTATGTACATACAACTCCTTTGAAAACCTTTCTTCAGATTAGTAGCTCTCCGTCTTTTCTGTCCTTCCTTGTTCCCATGTAAACTCACTTCTCACTTCACTCAGGGGTGACCGAGGCTTTGAGGGCAGTGCCTGGAGCTGATCTATTTGAAAAGCCGCTCCTGAAGTTAGCTGTATAGTCAGGGAGTGCCTTCCCCACTTCTCCTCTGTTGTCCTCGGGAATCACTCTTAATCGGCTTGGGCCAGTGCCCTGAAATCTTCCTAGTTTACAGCACTGAGAACTTTTTGAGAAACAAGCGTAAACACTCCTCAGTTATCAGCAGAGATGATTGGCCCTCAGAGATTGTGATCAAGGATCCAAAGTCCATCGAGCAGTAACACATTTTCCTGCCAATCCCCAGTCCCCAGCCAGGCAGTTGTTTTGCAGGCGGGGAAGCCGGGGGACTGACAGAGCCCCCGACGCACGTGGCCATGTGATCCACCGCCTCAGAAGGTCCCCAGGAAATGTGGTAAACTTGCTACGGCTCCCAGTGTAAATGACAGCTAATGGTTACAACTGAGATTTTTATGGCTTATCTATAAAACAAAGAACTTTTATATATTGTAAAATTGAGTAAGCTTGGTATTTCCCAGAGCAATAAATTCAGCCATTTTCCTCCCAAGAACTTTAGGACTTTGTAAACCAAAGTAAACCACACTATGTACAAGGCTGTGGAGATGAAACAAAGGAAAGTATTTTTAGTTAAATTTCTCTTTAACCAGATTTACCACATTTCATTACTTTGCTGCCTACTATTGCTCTGTGGTCCCTAAGGAAATAAGTAGATGAAATTGAGAATAAAAACAACATAAAGGAGGATATTCAATACCCCAGGTTGCATATAGTCAATCGGGTCACACAATGATTAAATTTAGCTCTAGTTAACCTGATTTCAAGTGCGGTTCCATTCTGGGGCTCTGAGAAACAGAATACTTACTCTAAATTATCAGAAAATATTTATATTGAAACATATGGTTTTGAGTTTCCCTGCCGGATAGGAATACTAACACACAGCAGGCAGGTTCTACTTTCAGGGATCACTGAACATGGCATTTGCCATCAACTTCACAACTTTATTTGGCCAAGGAGAACATCAACCAGCACTCCTTGCTGCTCACCTCTTCACAGACCTGTGTACACACACACACCTCCCCTATCTGTAGCATCTTGGCCCTGTCGTGTCTAGGAAAGAATATAGATTTCCATTGTCTTATGGGAACTGTGACATTTTGACAGGCAGCTCCATTTAGATTTAGTCCTCCAAAATTTTGCCAGCCTTGAATGTGTTGTAACATTGTTTGGAGAGAGGCTCCAAATTGTGGAAAATCTGTGTAAGTCAAGAGAAAGAATTTTCAGACACTTAAAGCTGATGATATAACCAGGCTGTGTAATTTCTTCCTGGGGAAAGGGAGGGGTGGGGTTTCCAAATCAGATTGGTTCTCTCTTGCCTGAACTGGTTTTAATTAAATAGTAATTCTGCAAGGAGAGTATGGAGATGCCCCAGATGTCCCCTCAAGATTCTGTCAAGCCTGCCTGCGGTTGACTGAGTCACAGGACACAGAACAGAAAGGGATCTTCCTCCTTGTGAGCCCAGCGCCTTCACTTGTCAGGGAGGGAGCTGAAATATGAGGATGCTATGCTGTTCCCACTCACACAATGATTATGAGCAAATACCACTATGTCACTTGGTATATTTCCATCTTCCCCTTGTTTCTTTTAAAAAAATTTTATTGTGAAGAATATAATGGATTCAAAAGAGTTCATGCAGTCATGTGTACAACTGAAAGAATAATAGTGAATAATAATGAAACAGAGACCTTGCACTCTCACCCAGGCTGAGAGACAGACCCCCGCAGGAACTTCAGAAGCTTCCTAAGAGCTCTTCCAGGGGTCGCCCTTGCTTTTCTTTAGAGTTTCACCACTGATGTATCCATCTCTATACAGTACATCGGAATGTCATCTAAATGGACTCAATACTGTATGTGTTTTTCTGTGACTTTTTTCTTTTTCTCAACATTATGTTTTGAGGTTCAACCCTGTCAATGCCTTAGTTGTAGTTTATCCATTTTCATTTAGATATACAGTCTCATCATATGAATCTACCATAATTTATCTAGTCCACTATTGAAGGAATTTGGATCATCCCCAGTTGTCATTTGTTTGTTTTTGTTTGTGTGTGATTTGCATATGTGTAAGTTTCTCTGGACCCTAGAGGTGAAAGTGAAGGGAGAACCACCTTTAAATTGAAGTGGCATTTGAGCCGAGTCCCCAGTGGTAAGAAAGAGGCAGCCATATGAACAGAGCAGAATGTTCCAAACAGGAGCGACGCGTGCCAAGGCTGCGGTGAGAAACTTGGGGTGCTAGAGGAAGAGCAAGAAGGCCCGAGTGGCCAGTGTGTCGGGAGCCCATGGGAAAGCCGTAGAGATGAGATCTAAAAGGCAGACAGACGCAAGATCACGCAGGCCAGTCAAGGCTGGATGCAGTGAGTGGAGTACAGGGGCTATTCTGGGTGACATGTAGTGAACCGATTATGCATGTACAAAACAGAAGGCAGGAGGACCATGAGGAGGCTGTTGAAATAATACAGGCAACATGCAATGGTGGCTTAGATAAGATGAGCTGGAGGTGGAGAGATGAGAACGAACACAATTTTTTGGAGAGAGAGAGATGCATTTGTTGCTGGGTTGGACATGAAGCGTGAAAAAAAAAAGAGAGCAATTGAGCTTGAGTCCTGCATTCTTCCTGCCTTGAGAAACCAGGTGGCTGTCATGGTGGGTACTGGAGATGCAGAAGGCTAGGGGAAAGACAGAGGTGTTTTAGAGATATGAGGAAAATAAAACTTTTGTGTTAGCGATGTTAGGTTTGAGATGCGTAATAGACACCCAGAGAATACCTCTGAGAAAGGTCTGGGTTGGAGAAGTCAGCTTGGCATCATCAGCAGATCACTGGTAGTTAAAGCCATGGGAGAAAATAAGATTACCCTGGGAATGTCTAGAAAAGAAGAGGTCCAAAAGGAAACCCTAAAGTACCCTCAACAGTTTTTAGACAAGATGAGGGAGAAAAGCCAGCAGAGGATGCAGGGGTGAGAGGAGAGGCAAAAGGGTTGGGGTGACAGAAGCCAGGAGCTGAGAGTGTGTCTGGAAGGATGGTTTGCTCTACTGAATGCTGCCAACGGGCTAGAGAAGATGAGGACAGAGGCGTGGATCTGATCAGCAATGGTTGGTAAGCTCACAGAAAGCAGTTTTAATTCAGGGGTAGATGATATACCTGGTCAGCGTGCATGGGAGTGAATACTGGGTAAGGAAGTGGGGACTGTAACCAAGATCAGATCTTCCCATAATAAGTGTAGCTTTCAAGGGAGCCAGAGATATCAGTGTAAAGCTGGAAGGGAATGCAGGGTGAGACGAGGGCTTTTGTTCATTTATGATGGAAGCTATTAGAGAATGTGTGTGCAGATGGGAAGAATTCATGGGAGAGAGAGACATTGATGGAGCAGGAGAGAACGTGACTAACTGCAGGGATGAGGTCCTTGAGAAAGCAAAAGATGACCCAGAACACAAGAGGGGAAGGTGACCTGTGATTCAAGCCGAGATGCTCACACAGAGTAATTTATATTAGTAAAAAATAGGAGCAACCTAAATGTGCAACAATAGAAAAATTGTTGTTTAAATAGTTATAGCATATCCACAAAATAGAAAGTCATAAAAATTATTTTTCTTTTTTTTTTGAGACAGAGTCTTGCTCTATGGCCCAGGCTGGATTGCAATGGTGTGATCTTGGCTCACTGCAACCTCTGCCTGCCGGGTTCAGATGATTCTCCAGCCTCAGCCTCCTGAGTAGCTGGGATTACAGGCGCTCGCCACCACGCCTAGATAATTTTTGTATTTTTAGTAGAGACGGGGTTTCACCATGGTGGCCAGGCTGGTCTCGAACTCCTGACCTCGTGATCTGCCTGCCTCGGCCTCCCAAAGCGCTGGGATTACAGGTGTGAGCCACCACGCCCAGCCAAAAATCACTTTTTTGGGTTATGATGTATGTGAAAAAAGTAATGTACAAAAAAATTTTAATTTTGAAAAGAAAAATACACATCTGTCTGTATATGTATAAAAAGTTATGAAAAGAAATGCAACAAGACATTCCCAATGGGCTGGGCGCAGTGGCTCATGGGAGGCCGAGGTGGGCAGATCATTTGAGGTCAGGAGTTTGAGACTAGCTTGACCAACATGGTGAAAGCCGCCTCTACTAAAAATACAAAAATTAGCCCAGCATGGTGGTGGGCACCTATAATCTCAGCTGCTTGGGAGGCTGAGGCAAGAGAATTGCTTGAACCTGGGAGGCGGAGGTTGCAGTGAGTTGAGATCATGTCATTCCACTCAAGTCTGGGCAACAGAGCAAGACTCTGTCTCAAAAAAAAAAAAAAAAAAGACATTACCAGTGGGTATTTTGTGTATTATTTTGGGTGACCCATTTTTAAATACTTTTAAAAAGTGTCCAAATTTTCCATAATGAATATGAATTATTTGTATTATCAAGGAAAAAATCATTCATATTATTGTTTTTTTAAAAAAGGTGGCACGAGGCACGGCATTTTGCCGTCAAGCCAGATAGCTATTTCCTTTTGTTTGATATGTGCAGATACCACAGGAGTGATAGTGTTAAATTTAGGTTAATTCCACTTTGATTTTCTCGTCTTATTCTTACCTTATCTGTTTTATCTCCTTTGTGGCTTTAGGCCTGTTTCACTCAGAGACGTCACGTTATGGCTTGTGCTGTTTCTAGGGCACTAGGTAAGCACCCACATCCTTTTGAACATGCGAAGCTAATACATATGTAACAAACTTGCACGTTGTGCACATGTACCCTAAAACTTAAAGTATAATTAAAAAAAAAAAAAGTAAATAGTCAAGCCAGAAAAGCCTAACAGGAACCTGCCAGATACCTTCACCCCAGTACCGCTCATTAAAGGGGGATGACTTAATGGGAGGACCCTGTACACTTCCAGGGAATCCCAATAACATATTTAACTGAGAAATGATAGTTTTAAGTAACTGAAGCCACAAAAACAGATCTGTTTTCTCAATGATGAATATTTGAGCAACTACTTGAGCTGGGATAAGTGGCTTCTCAGGAACCTCATGAGCCCCCAACAGAATTCAGGGCGGTTATTAAAAAAGAAAGACAAATGGATGCTGGGAGATGCCCAATGTTGACTGCGAACTGTGATCCAGGAATGCTGATCTTCTCAACCTGTAACTACAAATTAAGTGGTCATATTTCCACTAAAATAGGCTTTCATTCATTTGTCAAATAGATGTTAAGCACTCAATAAGTGCCAGAAAGTGTGCAAGGGGACAGATACACAATGTGATATACAAGACGAGACCCAGCTGCTGGGGAAGACAGACAATTAAAGAAATCACGAGCATAGGTTAAATGCCACCACAAAGGAAGTACAATGAGCTAGAACGGAAGCGTATAGCAGGACCCAGCCTTCCAGAAAGAAGAGAAATTCCATGGGTGGGAATTAGCAGGGTGAATTGGAAATAAAAGAGTGGTCAGGCAAGGAAAATGTGTGTGAGATGACCCAGAGAAGACCATGAGAGCTTTAAGGAACTAGAGACATCAGTAAGGCTGAAGTGCAAGGAGAAAGTAGTGGTGAGAGGTGCAGCTGACAAGAAAGAACTGGGAATTTGGGGTTGGAGATGACTTAAGATAGGGGGATCAGGAGGCTGTGACAGCAGGACAGAGGGAAGGAAACTGATTAAGAGTTATTTAGGAAGTACAATTGACAGGATTTACTATTAACTGAATATGGTAAAAGCTTAGATGACTGACCTTAGACTTCTCTTTGCCAATAAAAGCATGAAATGCTATAATCCTCAAATCACTGCTTTAGCTATATCTCACAATTTTGACATGTTATATTTTCATTTTCATTCAGTTTGAAATACTTTCCAATTTCCATTTAGAAGCTTATTAATTTCCAAATATTTGTGGCTTTTCCATATATTATACCTTTCTCTTATTGCTATTTAGTTTTATTCCACTGTGGTTACTATTTTAAATTTATGTAAGCTTATTTTATAGCCTAATGTATGATCTGGTATAGCGAATGTTTTACAAGCACTTATGAAAAATATGTGTTCTGCTGTTGTTGAGTAAAGCCATCTATACATGTCAGTGAGGTCAATTGATTAATACTGTGTTCGAGTCTTCTATATCCTTACTGATTTTTTATCTACTTGTTCTATAAATTATTCAGAAATTAGTTTGATTCCCTTGAGGTTTACTTATAAGCTTTTTGGGGCCTAGAGTAGCCTTTATTCCAGGACTGATTTGACTCCTCTTCTAAGTCATGGCCTTTCTGGGGCTTGTTCTAAATGCCCCATATATTCAGTGAGGTCTCTCTCTCTGGCTGGAGGGAACTTGAGTGATTTTTGGCTTTGCAATTTTAGGGAATTGTTCATTTTAGAACTCCTCACCAGGTGCAGTGGCTCATGCCTGTAATCCCAGTGCTTTGGGAGGCCGAGGCTGGCAGATCACTTGAGGCCAGGAGTTTGAGACCAGCCTGGCCAGCATGGTGAGACTTCATCTCTACTAAAAATATAAAAATTAGCTGGGTGTGGTGGTGGGTGCCTGTAATCCCAGCTACTCAAAAGGATAAGGCATGAGAATCACTTGAACATGGGAGGTGGAGGTTGCAATGAGCTGAGATCATGCCACTGCACTCCAGCCTGGGCGACAGAGTGAGTGAGACTCCATCTCAAAAAAAAAAAAAAAAAGAACTCCTCATAATTACTCTTTCACCAGAAGCTTTTCTTATCTGGCCTTATATTTCTATAGACTTCTGTTTTAAAAAGATTCCATGAACTCATGTGCAGATTTCCGGAGTACTTTTATCTGTGTAGCCCCTTCCCTTGAGAACTCTGCCTCACAGGTTCTTCACAGAGCCGCCTGGCCTTCCCCATCTCTGACCTCTGTCTCTGCAGCTCTGTGAAGCTGCCTCACTTTTTTGGAGTTCTCCCTCCCTGGACTGTAGCCCAGGACTTATCTCTAGGCAGAAAGGCCAGCTGATGGTAGGGCTTACCTTGTCTTCTTCCTTTTTCTCAGGAATCACAGTCTTGTTTTGCCCTATATCCAAATAGTGGCTTTCTATATTTTATCCTTTTTTTATAGTTGCTTACAGAGGGAGGGAGATCACAGGCCGTCTTACTCCCTCATGGCCAGAAGCATGAGATCACTAGCAGATCATTAATGAGATCCAGAGACGATGGAGAAAGCAATGAGTCATGCGCAGTTTTGAGGTTACTGCCATGGGCAAGCAGGTGGATGATGGTCCCATTCACGGAGATGGCAAAATCCAGGGTGATAAACATGGGTAGGGGAGGGCATGAAAGAACTTCATGGGTTTACTGTTGTGTATGTTGGATCTGAGTCACTTGCAAGTCATTAAAGAAGCGAGTAAGCAGTGGAGGTTACAGAACAGCTCCCTCACGAGCTTCCACCTCCTTCTCTTCATTCCACTCTGGGCTGCAGTTGCCATGGACTAGTGACCCCTTCCCAGGGTAATCAGCAGTGGTTATAACCACTTATTTTAGAAGAAAAATTTATTTGTGAAATTTAGTTGGGATAATCCAGCCCCACAGTCTTCCAAATTATTAGGGTGCATGGCCCAGCATTGGTACATTTCCCAAAGGCTGGATTGTCCTTTCTAAACAACACAACAGATGAAACACCAGTAACCTAGTGCAAGTAGCACGGCCCCAAGCCCAGTTCATTCCTTCCCTTTTGCAAGCTGCACGGTCCCAAGCCCAGTTCATTCCTTCCTTTTTGCATAGCACGGCCCCAAGCCCAGTTCATTCCTTCCCTTTTGTAAGTTGCACAGCCCCAAGCCCAGTTCATTCCTTCCCTTTGTTTTTCCCCCGACCTGACCTTAACTTACTTTTCCTCCTGTCTTTCTCTTTTTCCTTTACAATGATCTCTCCCCCACTGCAGAGAAGTGAAGAGAAGGCCAAGCTGTCAGGGTTTCCTACAGCATGGGGAACTTCTCTAGGGACCGCCTGTGAGGAGATATGCACCAACTCCACAAAAATAAGCAATAAAATATTTGCACATTGTGGTCTATAGCCATATTTGGGAAAGAAAATTATTCTAAAAAATTATTCTAAAGAAACACAATCTGCAGCAATGTAACTCTGACACCGTAATCACAACCTTTACATTATTATCCAAAGGGGTTAGCTCCTTGGAGCCTAAGCCACATTATATCTTCTTCCTGGAGGAGGTTCATTCCCCACTGGGGTGATTTCCAAGAAGAAAGAAGGCCTCAAAAATAAATTCAAGTTTCTATCCCTTAGGAGGCAGGAAATCGCAGGAACTTTAAATTTACAACGTTTAAATATTATCTCTTCATTAAGGACGTGTGTGTGTGTGTGTGTGTGTGTGTGTGTGTGTGTGCGCGCGCGCGCATATATGTACCATTTATATATAAATAAAACCAGCCGGGAGCAGTGGCACTTTGGGAGGCTGAGGGGGGCGGATCACCTGAAGTCAGGAGTTCGAGACCAGCCTGGTCACCATGGTGAAACCCTGTCTCTACTAAAAATAAAATAAAATAAATAAAAATACATAAAAAAATTAAAAAAATTAGCTGGGTGTGGTGGTGTGTGCCTGCAGGTCCCAGCTACTTGGTAGGATGAGGCAGAAGAATCACTTGAACCTGGGAGGCAGAGGTTGCAGTGAGCCAAGATCATGCCACTGCACTCCAGCCTGGGTGACAGAGTGAGTCTCTGTCTCAAAAAAAATAAATAAATAAAGTAAAACCTTGGGATCTGGTCTCAACTTGCATTTTATTACTATTGTTTGATAAGGAAGAGAATCCTGTATTGGGAGCACTGGCTAGAAAATGTGGATTTTGCTTTGTTTTCTATAAGTGGCTACAGCATAAAAATAACCTCTGAATCTCGATGAGTATCTATTGATATCTAATGCCAGCTCCTTTTTCTAAGTATAATGGTCCCTGGAAAGTGTTGTTCAACTTCATTGTTACAACACTGGAATTCTAGTAACTTTGGAGACACTGTGGTGGTTTCTGCTGTTGCAGAAGAGTTAGAATATGATTTAATTGGGTGAGAGCTGTCCTCAGGAAATGCTGTGAAGGTCCCTGCCTTGTAAGCTAACAATCAAAGGAGTAGTTGACAAAAATATAGTGAAGAAATTCTGGAGCTGGTAGTTTGAATTCCTGTAAGTCCTTAAAATCACAAATTTTAGAGAACCTGGTGATATTTAAAGAGAAGAAAACAGAGCTTTTTGTTTTTGCCATTCAGAATTGTGTACTTTGAAAGAGGAAGTGGGATGAAGAAAGGACTATAAAGTGAGTTATGGTGTCCAATGGTAACCTGCAACAGCTTCAACTCAAAACAGCTTGAGGACATGTTTTATTCTCCGGGTCCTTAAAACCATGATCTCTACCCACACTCCCTAAAACTGGGGATTTTTAGCCACATCCGTCCCTCATCTGAGAACACCACATTTCTCCCTCTGTCAACATCTTGAGGAGCTCTGTGCCAGCAGCCACCCTTGCAGTTTAGTTCATTCCTCCATCAGGCTCCAGTTTGGAATCCAGTCCTGATTTGACCGCAGCCTCATGGGAGAGGCTGTACACTGTCTAGTCATGCTCATGACCACTGGAAACCTCCACACGTCATGCAGCTGCCCAGCCTGGGCACCCACAGCCCAGCTTCTCTCCACATGCAGACCTGTCCTCCCTGACTGCTGGCCCAGCTCCTGCAGTCACCCAGCAGCTACCAGAGGGCCCGGCCAAAAATCACACAAGACTTTTACTCAAGTTTTCTAAAATAAGATTGCTTATAAATGCCACTGACAACCATGTTCATAGTTTCGACTTCTTAATTTCTGCCAGCATTTCTACCTTAGAAGTTTCCACCAGCTTCCTGCCGAGCAGTCTTCATCTGTCCCCCTGATGGACTCCTGAGGACCTTTCTATCTGCACAAGGTAACAGGTAGGAGCTGGAGGGTTTCTTCTAAGACGATTCTGTGGAAGAAAATCCAGAAGACACTATGTGGAAATTATTAGATAGGAGATTAGGATCCAACAGGACATGCTATTGTATCTGTTGCCTCAGCCCCCCACAACAAAGAGTTCTCTACCCAAAATGCGAAGCTGAGGTTAAGAGACCCTGAGCTAGAGAACATGAAGGTACACCTGCTGACCCTCATCTTAGAACTACAGAGTTATAAAAATTACATTTTCTGTAACCCAAAGTTACAGAAAAATAGGACCTAATCTACACCAGCAGTCCCCAACCTTTTTGGGACCAGGGACTGGTTTCACAGAAGACAATTTTTCCACAGACCAAGGTTGGGGGATGGTTTGAGGATGCTTCAAGCCCACTGCATTTATTATGCACTTTCTTTCTATTACTATTACATTGTAATATATAGTGAAATAATTACACAACTCACCATCATGTAGAATTAGTGGGAGCCCTGAGCGTGCATTTCTGCAACTAGAAGTCCCAACTAGGGGTGATGGGAGATAGTGACAGATCATCAGGCATTAGATTCTCATAAGGAGCGTGCAACCTGGATCCCTCCCATGCACAGTTCACAGTAGGGTTTGCACTCCTACGAGAATCTAATGCTGCCACTGATCTGACAGGAGGCAGAGCTCAGGCAGTGATGTGAGTGATGGGGAGCGGCTGAAAACACAGGTGAAGCTTCACTCACTTGCCTGCCACTTCACCTCCTGCTGTGTGGCCCAGTTTCTAACAGGCCGTGGACAGGTACTGGTCCATGGCCAAGGGGTTAGGGACCCCTGATCTACAGGATATAATTACATTGGAGGAAAATAACTTGGACACACAGCATAGCTAATAAAGACTAACAAGTGGCCCAGACAATAAGTGCTCTGAGTTCAGTGGACAAAGAGGGTCCTCCTGGGATCTGCTTCCATCTGGCACAGGTAGAGAAGATGCCTCTGTGAATTGCAGACTTGAGAAGAACCCTGAGAAATGGGTAGGAGAGGCAAAAGAGGACATTTGCAAATGTCTGATGCTGGAAATTTACAGATGTGTTGGAGGCAGGGAGTAGACTGGCTTGTCTAGAATGGGGGATTATGAAGAGAAGTGGTAGGAATTTAGGTTGTAATGGTGTATTGGGACCAAATGATGGGGGCCTTCAGGCGGCTTGGGATTTTACTCAAAATGATCTTTTTTTTTTTTTTTTTGAGACAGAATCTCACTCTGTCACCCAGGCTGGAGTGCAGTGGTGTATTTGTAATCTTGGCTCACTGTAACCTCCACCTCCTGGGTTCAAGTGATTCTCCTGCCTCAGCCTCCCGAGTAGCTGGGATTACAGGTGCCCGCCACCACGCCCAGCTAATTTTTATATTTTTAGTAGAGATGGGGTTTCACTATGTTGGCCAGGCTGGTCTTGAACTCTTGACCTCAAGTGATCCATCCATCTTGGCCTCCCAAAGTGCTGGAATTACAGGCATGAGCCACTGCACCCGGCCCACAGTGATTTTATAATCACTAGAAAGCATCCGGTAAGTTTATAAAATAAATGATAAAGATGAGAAGGGAGACCTGCATTTTGAGTTCTCCTCCCGCAGTGTGGCTGCTAACAATTCTATTTCACGCCTCTGCTGCCTTCCCCCTAGACCCGAGACAAGTAGACGTCCTCATGCTGCCAGTAAGAGATGGCAGCAGAGGGGGAAGAAAGAAATGCAGATTTTTTTCAACCATGGGAACCAACAGCAGGGAACCCTATATCCCCACTATCCTGCATTCATTCAGGCAACAAACATTTATTGCCAACTGTTTACAGATGTTTGAACATTGATTCATTATGGAATCATAAATCTCAGGTAAGAATGAACCTAAAATGCAGTCCAGGGCCTTAAACAAGGGCCTTCAATGAACTTGAGTAGAAATAAACCCCTGATGTGAGTGAGTTTCCAAGGCCACAGGAAGAGATGACAGTCTGCTTCCTACCTGTACTGAGCAGGCCTGTAGCCAGAAGCCCTGGGCCAGTGCGGGGAGGGGACTGGCTTTCAAGCTGTGTCTGGCAGTGGCGGTGGGATTGTCTTGCTTCACATTTTCAAACTAGAAACAACACTGTGTGGCACCATTGGTGTTTGTTAAGACATTGGATACCAGTAATTCTAAGAACTAACCAAGCAGCAGCAGCTCTGCATCCCCACTGCCGGGTAAGGATTATGGTCGGGCTGTGGAGCCCATCAACATGTGAAAAATAAAACGGACCCCACGGTCACCTCCCCATGGTCACCTCTGCCAGAGAATCAAGCCCACCAGGCAGTAAATTGCCGAGACCTGCTCAGTCGGGGAGACCCTAACCCAGCGGCACTAGAGGAATTAAAGACACACACAGAAATATAGAGGCGTGAAGTGGGAAATCAGGGGTCTCACAGCCTTCAGATTTGAGAGCCCCGAACAGAGATTTACCCACATATTTATTAACAGCAAGCCAGTCATTAGCATTGTTTCTATAGATATTAAATTAACTAAAAGTATCACTTATACGAAGGGATGGGCCGAATTAAAGAAATAGGTTGGGGTAGTTAACTGCAGCAGGAACATGCCCTTAAGGCATAAATCGCTCATACTATTGTTTCGGCTTAAGAACACCTTTAAGCGGTTTTCCACCCTGGGTGGGCCAGGTGTTCCTTGCCCTCATTCCCGTAAACCCACAACCTTCCAGCTTGGGCGCTAGGGCCATTATGAACATGTCACAGTGCTGCAGAGATTTTGTTTACGGCCAGTCTTGGGGCCAGTTTATGGCCAGATTTTGGGGGGCTTGCTCCCAACAGTAAATGGCAAGAGTGAGTCCTCGCCCTCAGAACTGCTTTTAGACAAAGACCGCTGCTTGCCTGAGGTCTCAAAGGCCGTCCTTGTCAGATGCAGCTTCCCAGAGGCTCAACATCGGCTGAGCGGTGCCCTCGTCCTACTGCAGGAGCCGCACCCGGGAAGAAGAGAGAGAAATGCTGCTCCCCCGTGTCCTTCTAGCCAATGGCTTTGGCTCTGGGGGACAAAGTAACAGGAAACCATTTCTAAATCCTCCTTGTCTATGATTTTTGCCAAGTCAGTTTCAGGCAACGGGGAGGACAGCTGCCCTTCTGGAGTACATGTGTTCTTGGAGAGGCTGTCCCACCCTGCACCTCTGGGGGACAGCTGTTAATGGCCTGTGGACCAGGGCCTCCATCCGCACGGGGAGGGGCAGCCTGCAGACAGTTTTTTGTGTCAAAACTGCTAACAGTGCCCCGTCCAACGCCCTCCTCCCCACGGGTGAACAGTCCTCCTTATGAACATCTGAGCCCCATGCCATAACTTCAAGTTTTTCAAAAGCTGTATTTGAGTTCTACAAGACTCAGCCATATTCGTGTTAAGATGTAAATCTCACATCGCACCTGTGGCCCTTCTCCTCCCGCAGAGCAGACCCAGACTATCCCTGGGAAATTTGTGAAGTCTGTGCATTGTGGGGAGGGGTGGTAGGAAAGTAGGGGGCAGGGGCTGCTCTTTCCCCTTCCCTCTCCTGGCTCAATCTCCGACAGGGGCCGGGGAGGATGAAGAGAGGCAGAGACAGCTCATCTCCAACACAACAGCCCTGGCAAAGCCTCTCCCTCTGGGCTGATCATGGCTGCACTTCCAGCCGTGGATCTGAGGGCTAATGTGCAGTCTACGGGCCAGCAGCCCCGTCCACCCAGCAGAGCCCTGTGCCCTGGTCCCAGGGAGGCTCGGAGCTTTCTCTGGCTCCACGGGCCCTGCCTTTGGGATTGGAATCTTGGGTGATGGCCCTTGCCCCCTCCTCCTGGCTGTCCCAGCACACCATGCCTGCTCCAGGAGCTGTGGGCAGGTCAGCTTCCCCATGGCTGAGCAGATGCCTCGCTGGGAAGGACATGAGGTGCCCTTTCCTCGAGGACGCCTGGGACATGATGAGGGGTTCCCTTGGGCCTTGCTGCTCCTCTTTCCCCACTCCCCTGGGGAGGTGCAGGGTGGGGCAGCCTTTCCAAGAACACACGTACTCCAGAAGGGCAGCTTCCTCCCTGTTACCTGAAACGGCCTTGGCAAAAATCATAACAATGAGAAAATTATGTGTCGATGAAGAGTTGAAGTCTGTAAAATATTTGAAGAGATTTACTCTGAACCAAAAATGAATGACCATGGCCCGTGACCCAGCCCTCAGGAGGTCCTGAGAACATGTGCCCAAGGTGGTCGGGGTACAGCTTGATTTTATACATTTTAGAGAGGCAGGAGCCATCAATCAAATACATTTAAGAAATACATCGGTTTGGCCGGGCACAGTGGCTCACGCCTGTAATCCCAGCACTTTGGGAGGCCGAGGCGGGCGGATCACGAGGTCAAGAGATCAAGACCACCCTGGCCAACATGGTGAAACCCCGTCTCTACTAAAGATACAAAAAATTAGCCAGGCGTGGTGGTGCGTGCCTGTAGTCCCAGCTACTCAGGAGGCTGAGGCAGGAGAATCGCTTGAACCCAGGAGATGGAGGTTGCAGTGAGCCGAGAATGCGCCACTGCACTCCAGCCTGGGGACAGAGCGAGACTTCGTCTAAAAAAAAAAAAGAAAGAAATACATTGGTTTGGTCCCGAAAGGCGGAACAACTCAAAGACTCAAAGCGGGGTTGGGGGACTTCCAGGCTATAGGTGAATTTGAACATTTTCTGGTTGACGATTGGTTGACTTTGTCTAAAGACCTGGGATAGATAGAAAGGGAATGTTCAGGTTAAGATACAGATTGTGGAGACCAAAGTTCTTTTGAAGTCTTATAGTGGCTGCCCTTAGAGACAATAAGTGACAAACGTTTCCTATTCAGATCTTAGTTAATCTCTTCAGGATTGGGAGGGTCTGGAAGAAAAAGATCTAGCTGTGTTAATAGAGATTCTTTACAGATGCAAATTTTCTCCCACAAAGAACAGCTTTGCAGGGCCTTTTCAAAATATGGCAAAGAAACATGTTTTGGGGTAAAATACTTTGATTTTCTTCTTTGTCTCATAATGTTATGCCGGAGTCATTTTGGAAAGTAAATCACAATATATAGGGTTAAATAAAACCCATCTGATGAGAATTTGTGATTTGTAGGGCATGACTCCTCAGACCCCTTAGATAGGAATTTGGGCAAGATAAAAAAATCAGAGTTTAGTCCTCATATGGCAGTGAAGGAGATCTGATCTAGCCAATCCCCATCTTGCCTTAGGCCTTCAAATCACCCTTGATTATTCCTGGACTTGGGTCAAACTTTGGGAGACACGGAGTTTATAGTTTAGATGCTAATAGCCTTTCTGTAAACTCAGTCACCTTTGTAAAGCTAATGCAAAGCTACCAGGCTAGGAGGATGAGAGGAGCCTGAATTCCACTAAGGTGTGGATATAAACATTACAAACCATTATTCCAGAGCCACAGGATATGCACCTTCCCCAGTTACTCCTGTGGATAACATCACTATTGTAGAACCTTAGAGAGGCCTTGTGAGATATCGTTTCAGGCTTTTTTTTTTGCATGTCTGATGACTGAAGGCTCCACCTGGACCCACCAACTGCTCCTGTGGCCCCACCCAGAAGCGACTCATGGTGCATGAAGACCATTTCCCACTGCCCTGTGTTGCACCCCCAACCAGTCAGCAGCAAGCACCCATTGCCTAGCCACCCCCACCATTCTTCCCCCAAACTGTCCTTGAAAAACGCTAGCCTCCAAATTTTTGGAGAGGCCGATTCAAGTAATAAAACTCCAGTCTTCCATTTAGCTGGCTCTACTCGTGTAAATCGCTTTCTCTACTGCAGTTCCCCTGCCTTGATAGATGGGCTCTGTCTGGGCACCAAACAAGGAGAACCCATGGGGTGGTTACAAGTCCTCCCCTGATGCTAGGTGGGGCTCCATCAAGTGCTGCAATGGTGTCTTTCAGCAAGTGACAATCCCAGTGGCTGTGGTTTTCTAAACAGAGTGGGGAATTCTTGGTGCCCCCAATCTTACCGCTAAAGGCAGCCGGTGTTAAGTTTCTTATGATTCCTTAAACCCCTTCCACACTGTGCTTCTCTAAGCGTACATTAATCTATCCATTTATTTTTTAATGGCACGAGAGGGACCCTGCGTGCACAGAGCCCCACATCTCACTTTTCCTACAACTACATTTTGGAGAGCTTGTCATATAAGCCTACAGGTAACAGCTACATCCTAGTCCTTCAGGTGCATAAAATGCCATTCACCCACCACCAGCTCTGTACTAGTGAAGACATGGTTGATTCAAACTTTGTGTGCTGTTACCGACACAGCTGCAGCAAGCACCCTTTCCTCGTCCACAGCATATGCTGCCTGCAGAGCTTGCTTCTGGTCTTTTTAATGCATGTGATTCTGCTAGGAGAGTATCAGCTCCATAGGAATTCCCTGACTTTGATGAAGGATCATTGTTACGAACATTCTGCCTAATGGTAACCCTTACATGTGTGAGGCATCTTACACCAGACCAAGCACGCACACACCTATCTTCTATTCACAACACCCTGCCAGCCAGAGGATTTCCCTCCCTCCTGGCCACATATTGGAACCCATGGGTGGGGGACTTTAAACATCCCCGTATTTGTTACCAGGGGCAGGTATCTGAGTTACCACGAGTTACTGGTGGCATATTCGGACAGGTCTGCATCAACTTCAGCCGTTGCCTCCTCAGAAGAAAGAATTCGATGAGGGGCATAAAGCAGAAAAAGAGACCGAGAAAAGTTTCAGAGCAGGAGTGGAAGATTATTATTATTATTATTATTATTATTATTATTATTATTATTATTATTATTATTTTGAGGTGGAGTCGCCCTCTCTGTGGCCCAGGCTGGAGTGCAGTGGCATGATCTCAGCTCACTGCAACCTCCTTTAGAACAGGAAAGAAATAAGATTCACTTGGAAGGGACCCAAGTGGGCACCTGAGGGTCAAAGAGCAAGTGCCCATTTAACTGTGATCCTAGGACTTTATAGGCCCGCCTCTTTCCCATGATTCTCCCCTCGGGGCGGGCTTCTCACATGTGCAGTGCCCTCTTTACCCTTAGGAAGCGAGCATGCACAGTGCATTTAGGAAGTCATATGCATGCCCATCTGAGGCTTTCTTCCCTTTGCTGTGGAGTGCCCCTGGAAGGTCAGACTTCACCATTTTGTCTCTTAACGTGCACGCCCAGGAATTCTTTTCTCCCTGGCTCTGCATTCAATGAACACTTTAATGTTAACAGCTGTGGATCATCAGGAGACTGTCTGTCCTTGGTGCGCTGGCACCAGCTGCTAAATTATTGTTTTTAGAGAGACAGTGTGATAATTGTCGAACCATCACCTGGCATTCCTAGTGGATGGGAGGAGAGCCCTTTTCTGCCCATGCCAGGCTCATGCCTGTCTAACTACCTGTAATATATACAGGCTGTACCGTACAGCAGTTACACCAGAGCTCTGAGGATGGGACCCAGGTCTCAGTGTTGCCTTTAAAACCCTGGGTGATTGCAGAGGGCAGCCAAGGTTGAGAACCTCAAAGCCATTCTGGAAATGTGAGCAGAGAGGCCAGACGGGAGGTGGTGGTCTGACTCCACCTCAGTGCATATGGAGAGTAAAGGTAAGACGCTCCTGAAGTGTCTGTCCATTTACGAAACCAAGACAGACTCACCATCTGCACCCACTGCATTTTCTCAGCACCGTTTTCCTCTTAGCTACTGCGTTCTGACTCTCCCACCTATGGAGTCCTAATAAGGGAAAGGGAGTCAGCCTGGTAAGAATAGGGGAGAGCAGAAAGAAAAGCAGACAAGCTCTCAGTCTGCCTTTCTTTGTGGTCCAGGACACATAGCCCTCCTGCACAAATAACTCACAATCTTCCTGCACCTGGCTTATCCTCAGACACCTTGGCTGATAGAAACATGCAAGTTAGCTCACTGCAACCTAGGCAGCCCTCTCCAGCACAAGCACCATCCTATAAAACACCTGCAAGCCTGCATCTCCTGGCAGTCAGCTCGTCTCTTGCTAATCTTCGTCTTGCTTTCTTGCAACATATTTTCCTACTTTTTCTAATAAACCTGCCTTTCTTACCTACAACTGTGTTGGTAAATTCTTTTTACCACCCACATCACTGGCCCCAGATAGTTGCTACGCGCACCGCCACCCCCATCTCTCCACTGAAAATATCCCTAACAGAGGCCACCAAGGCCGGATCTCATGCCCACCTCTCAGCCACAGCCATGTGGACTGACCCTCCTGTGACATCAAGCGGGTGGCCCCCACCCTTCCTTCTGAGGTGTGTCCCCAGGCTATGGGACACCAGCTGCCTTGGCTTTCTTCTGTCTTTGGTTGTTCCTCCACATATTCCCATTCATCCCCCTCTCCTTGCATGTTGTGTTCCCAGGATTCTGTCCTCACTCCTACACTCTCTAGGGACCTGGATCACTCCATGGCTCTAATTACCACTTATATGCAAACAATTTCCAAGTCTGTATTTCCAATGCAAACCTCTTTGCCTAAGCTCACTCAAGCTGGTCATCTCTACATCAGTGCCTAGTTAGCACCAACGTTCATCAGCAAATGCCTGAGTTCTGACTCTTACCATATTCTCCCTCAGTTGCTGCAATAACCTCAGCTAGTTTACACATCTCTGGACTGGCCTCGCAAACCTGATCCGTTCTTACAATGCAGCCTGAGTGCTCCTTCAAGATGTAATATTTCCATCTCCCAGATTTATAACCATGACGACTTCTCCAAAACTTTCAGAGGATGATTCACTTGTTTTGGCTTAACCTGCAAGCCTCACTCCTCTCTAACTTCATGATTGCCAGGACCCTTTCGTTCCCACTACAACGAATGGCTTACCCTTCTCCCAGGCCTTTGTGATCTTTCCTCTTGGCCAGAAATGCGTTTCTCAAGGTGGCATAGCTCTAAAGCCCACCTCCACTGCTCCCCCTTTTCTCACGTCCATGGAGCTTATACGCAGCTGTCATCTCACATTTACTTGGGTGTACCACCTCCCTCCCAGGCCATCAACTCCTTCAGGGCCATTCTCGTGTTATTTCATTTTTTTCTTTTCAGACCCAGCACCTGAGAAAATATTAAAAGAACTTCTGAGATCCTGAAATGAGTTGTTTTTATATATGTTATTTATTATTGTGCTAGTTCAACCAGCCAAAAAAAGTGCAGTGTTGCTTCTTACATGAAATTAACTAGATACTTTTCTTTTGTTGTTAGTTTTGTAGCCAGAACAATGGTTGTTTACAGAAGGAACAAAAATGAAAAGGATCTGCAGGTACAAAGTCACCTGTTTCCTGCACACACCTCTCTGTATTGTCTGGGTCCTATATTAGTATGTTTCTCATTAATTGAGAATATAAATGTTAGAAATAAATATGTAGGCACACACAAGGCATTGCCAGTAAAATGTTAATCAATGACCAGATACAAAGAGGCTGGGGAAGGCTTTAAAATTCCTGGCTTGGAGTGCAATGAAATTTCATCAGCCCCTTGGGCCTGCTGGGACCAGTTCAAAGCTGATGGGGTGTGCTGCCTGAGGCTGCCAGGAAAGTGTTAGCAACGGGTGAGGCTGCAGTTGTGCCTCAGAGAATGGGTAGGGTTTTGGAACCTGGAAATGTGGATGCAACAGCAGATTCAGAAACTGGAAAATCCAACAGCAGGTAGGCAAATGGTTTGATGTACATGCAACTTCCCAGAGACATGTCTATGGCATGGAGGTACCTGGCACTGCACAACTCCATCTCATGTGTTGACTCCCTGAGGGCAGAGAGGGCTGAGTAGCACCTGCAATGGGTCCCCAAAGTCAATCCATGCAGGACCTACTGTGGGTCACAGGCAGAATAGGCCTGAAAATGCCATTGAGGTGCTCCTGGTTGACGGTGCCAGCCCGGTTGATGGTCCCCAAAGCACAGTGCATCTTCAATGACAGTGGTTCCTAAATCCATGGAGTCTTGGCCCTTCCTTTGTCAGATTTAGTTTGGGCACCCCCAGCAGGATACAGTTCCTGAACCTGGTTTCAGTTTGAGGAAGCCAAGGTTGGGGTTGGAGCTCTCTGCATGGAGTTTGGGGAACACAGCCCATTTCTCTGCCAGGAAAGCAGTGGAAGTGACATAGCTACGCTCGGTGAGGACAGCCTTGGTTTTGTTCAAATCACAAAGGCAGAGCTGCCTTCCCCTCCCTGCCAGCAGGGCCCAGGCTCTTTAAGCCTGGTCCTGGGGCTTTCCGTAGACTGTCCAGAGAGATGACACTCACCATTCCATTCCTTCTCTTGATTGTGACAGAGTCTGAACCTGGGGAGGAAATGATGAACCTGTGATCTTCACAACTTCTCCAGATTAACTGGATCAAAGCCTGCCTCATGGTGAAATTAGCTCTTCAGGAAGTGTCTGCTCAGCTCGTTGTAGAGGATGCAGTTCCTGCAGGCTCCAGATACCATCTGACACCCACCAACAAATTCTTTCCTCTTGTTTTTCGCCTTCCTTCCCGGATCCCTAACCCTAGTCATTAATCTTTGTCTTTCAAATGTTTTCCTAGACCGTGGGAGATGGAATGAATCCTAGTGTGGTCTGCCTGCATTCTGAGAAAGTCAGAGATAACATGGCCACGAGGCCAGGGGAGGAGCACTGGGGGTCAGGTCCTAGGACCTGCTGCCTACAATCACCTGGATTCCAAACCCAGGCCATGAACTGACTGCCAGCCTGGTGTGAGGGGGATGCAGAGTAGGTGAGCCCCAAAGTGGGGCTTATCCTGTGAGGTTCTTGGCTTTGCCCAGGAAAGAATTCAAGGGCAAGCCAGAGGAAACAGCTTAACTGAAGCAGCAGTGTGACAGCTTCGTGACTGTTCCTGCAGAGACAGAGGTTAGCAGTTCAAGGCAGTTCTGCAGTCTTATTTATTTATTTTATTATTATTTTTTTTTGACTGAACTAAGTGGCTTTTTTTTTATTAGAGAAAGCTAGAATTACAAAGGACTTAAGAGTTGGCATTGGGTCCCTTCTTCTTGCTAAAGGTGGGCACGACATTGACAAAGCGCCGGTTGTACTGCATCCGCCGCGTAGCCTGACCTGTCTTCTTCTTCCTCTTCTTCTTCTTCTTCTCCTGTTTGGCCACCTTAGGAGTCTGACCTCTCACTTTTCCAGCACGGGCCAGGGAACCATGGACTTTACCTCCAAGCATGCGGCCTGCTACTTCCAGGGCAGTCAAGGCCTCCACGCCGCACTGGCCCAGAGTGGCCTCATCCTCCAGCGGTGCACCTGCCAGGAGCACGACTTGATCTTCCGGGGCAATGCCCTCCAGTGAGGCTACATGAGCCTTGATCTGGGCGACCATTTCCTGGCCAGTCACCTCAAGGGTGTGTAGCTCCTGGGCGCGGACAAAGAGCTGCATATTGGTGACTGAACCGCGGTCCCAGCTGCCACTACTGCGAAGATGGAGTCGAGAAAGAGGAAGAAGCGAGGGCGCGTCCGTACAGACCGCGGGCTGCATGTCACGTCACTGCTCAGTCATATTTATACCTACTTTTAATTACATGTGGACTAAGAGGTGGTTTATGGAGAAATTTCCAGGTAAAAGGCAGTAACTTTGGGGTTGTCAGGTCATTGCCATAGAAAAAGGCAGTAACTCCCGGGTATTGCCGTGGCAATGGTAAACTGACATGGCACACTGGTGGTTATGTCTTATGGAAAGCTGCTTCAACCCCATTCCAGTTTTAGCTAGTCCTCAACTTGGTCCAGTGTCTAAGCCCTGCCCTACATGTTGAGTCTCAACTCCCACCTCAAGGGCACCACAGCAGAGAGCAGAGAGCTGCAGCCAAAACCCCAGGTTTCATGGGACTGGCTCATTCATGCTGGGCAGATGGTCCCCCGACAGGTCTCCCCTAAAGTGCTCCAAGTCCTTCTCAATCCCTGTATGTCACAACTCTTATTTTAATTAGGCATAAAAATTACATAATGCAGAAATTACATAATGTGATTACATAATTACATTAGCCTTTGGGGTTGGAGTATTCTGATTTGCTAAATAAGACCACCAGAGAATTATCTACAGAAAAAATACCTGCTTTAGAACAAGTGAAGCATCCAGCACAGTTCTCATAAGTATTGGTTGAATGAATATGTTTTGGGTAAAATACTAAGTAAGTCATATAACACATTATATATGACATGCTATAGAAAGCTTGGAAAATATAGGGAGAAAACTACTCATAACCTCACCATTATGACCCAACTGTTGCGGTTTTGTGGTTTCTCTTTTACTTTTTACATGCAAAAGTCAATAGTTCTCCTCATCGTGTTCTGGTGATCTTGCAGCTTGATTTTCTTCATCTTAAATGTATATCATGACCAGCTTCCCATGTTGCCCGTATAATCCACATAATTACTGTGTCAATGACTATGTTTCCGATTTCATGGTGAAAATGTTTCATCGTGAACTTACATTTCCCTAACATTAGGCATTTATGTTGCTTATAATTTTTGCCATTTTTACATAATGCTGTGATGAACATCTTATTCCATATAGCTTGCTTAATAATATTAACAATTTGATGCAGCTACAGCAAATCTGAGTTTCATGATTCTTATCTTCATGATACTAAGCACTTAGGCTTAGCACTGAGAAGAGAAAAAGACATTTCAGATGATAGTCAATCCAATAAAAGCCTTTGTGTGTTTAATCCTATAATATAGCAAAACTTCATTAAATCAGATTAACTAGGGGAAGGTAAGACTCAGTTAGTGGATCTAAGTAAGGAAATGTTATTTTATTACTTCTAATTACACAGAAATGCAAGTTTGTTGTTTAGTTTTTCCAAGTGAAAATCCTTCAAGATTTGCAAATACTATTTAATTTGTGAGAAACACTGACAATGTTAAGTTGACGACAATGGGCACTGATAATGTACTTACAACATAGTTGATATAATCTAGTGGCAAGGTGATTTTAAAATCCGGACAGCATCCTGGCCAGCTGATGGGTGACTTTGCATGGCTAGGAAGCAGTAGGATGAAGTAAGGCATTGCCGGAGGTTTGTCTAAAGAGCAAGCTCATATTTTCCTGCTTCTGCTATGTAGGTGACTTGGTTGCCACAGACAGGCTGGGGTTTCTTCTCCACAGACATGATCCAGGCTCTTGGGCTGGGAGAACTACATGGCTGAAAGCTGGAGCACGCTCTGAGGAGAGGGGAGAAAGGCCGACAGCAGTGCCCAGCACAGAGCAGGTGCTCCATAAACATGTATTGAATTAATTTTTGATGAATTAGTAATGATTTAATTGGATAGGGAGGCTGTGATAGTTTGCCTCTTTGCCTACTTGGCCAGGCCATGGTACCCAGTTACTGAATTAAATGCTGACCTAAGTGTTGCCATGGGGTCTTTTGTAGATGTGGTGAACACCTACGATCAATAAGACAGATTACCCTTGATAATATGGGTTGGATCAGTTGAAAGTCTTAATAGCAAAAACTGAAATTTCCCAGAAAAGAGGAAATTCTGCTTCAAGACTGCAACATGCCCTCTGGCCTGAGTCTCCAGGTGCTGGTCTGCCCTGCTGAATGCACACCTGACCGCTCCTGTGGTGGTCTGAGCCAGTCTGCTGCTGGCTCCGCTCCTCTGGAGAGCCCTGGCTCATTCAGAGGGCCTCGGCTTTCCTCCAAGTTGCTCCTGGAACTCTAGCACCAAGCTCAAGACCTCCAGGCAACAGACTGAAAAATGCTGTTCTGGGGAACCTGACCAGCCCAAGAGGAAATTTCCTAAATACAGGTAGTGGTGCTAGTGGGTCCCCAATGACACAGCCCAGCAGATCACCCCACGAGAACCCTACACCCACCAAACCCATACAAATCCTCACATCTTTGATCAGCTTCTTGGTTCCAGTTACCAACTGTGAAGAAGATGGAAATCCAGGAACACTCAGGGAATAACAATAAAAGGGCTCCTGGCTATGAAAAGATAATGGCAAAATGAAAAACTCAATAGAAGAATTAGAAGATAAAGATTTGGAAATCTCCAGAACATAGAGCAAAAAGAGAACAGAAAAGAGGAGAGAAAAGATAAGACAAAAGTAGATCGTTCCAGAAAGCCTAATATCCTAACATTTTTATAAAAACATAAAAATAATATCTAAAACAGAAGAAATAATCAAAAAATAATTCGAGAAAATTTCTCAAGTAAAAGGCATGAGTTTCCTGATAGAAAGACTCATTAAAGACCCACTAAAATGAATGGAATTTTATAGTATGGTGAAGGTTCAAAACGCTGTACACACAAAAAAACTACAAATGTCCAGAAAGAAAAGCGTAAGTGACATCTAACAAGCAGAAATCAAAATCACTTCACTAGGCAATAGCAGGAACTCAGAGGCAATGGTGCCTAATTTCTTCATTATTCTAAAGGAAAAATACATTTTCAGCTTAGACGTCTATGTCTAGCCAAACAGATTGCATTACAGCAGATTCAAGGCATTTCAGAGAAGCAAGGTCTAAAATAAATGAACTCCCAGGCTCCCTTTCTCAGACAGACACTGAAATGTGCTCCACCAAACCAAGAAAGTGAAGCTATGGAATACAGAAAGAAGTGAGAGGAGGACAATGCGTGTCACAGTAGTGAACGGCCATCTCGGAATCTAGCTGCTCACTTGGCCTAGAGGGTGACCCTCAGATGGAGTGGGGTAGGAGGACCTGGGAGACGCCTTCAGGATAGCAGGACTGGTGGCTGAATGTCTTGACAGGAGATTCGGACAAATGGAAAGTAGTTTGAGGTTGAATTCTTAATAAAAACATGAAAACCAAGCAAACAAAACAAGACACTTAGGAAGTACAGGGAAAACAAAACTTTGCAGAGCAAATGCATGGCTCAGCTGTGGATAATCTTTAGTCATAATGATATAAACATTGAACACTGATGTAAGCAAAATGATGGTGGGACAACACTGGGGAGGTCTGTGAAGGTGGTGGGGATGGAAGTGGAGTAAGGGCAGGTGGAGAGTCCAGTGAACCTTCGTCTCCATCACAAGTGAGTAAATAATGCCTGATGTTGCAAGGTGAAAGGTGGCAGTGGCAATTGAGCATGGGTTTTAAAGACAGAGAGGTAAATACTCAAATCTCAGCTCCCAGTGAAGTGACTACTTCCTTGAGGGGGAAATGAGGGACAGGAGGGCTGGGAGCCACTGCTTTTTGTAACAATCTTTGCAGAGCTTTTTGAATGTTTAAACTATGTGCATACATAACTTTGGTGACAATAAAAGCTAGAACACAAAACAAAAAATGAAAACCTTAATATTCAGCCCAGCCTATGTCCAAATGATCTCAAAAGTGTCTAAGTATTCATGACTTCTTGCTGTCATAAAACCACCACACCACTGAGTAGTTCCAGCATTCACCATTTCATTAAAATCTTACCACTTTGGAGGCACAGATGAAATTGTAGAACTTGAGGTGCTTCCCAGTTGGGGGTGTGCCCCGCTCTAGGATAAGGCGATATTTCTATTCCCTGTGGAGCGAGAATACCCATAATCTTACCTAAGCGGTAATCTTCTGTCCCCTATTCTAGAATGCTTTTCACCTTTCCTCTAGTTGCTTGGTAAGAGCTATACTACGCTGAGCCTGGTGACTTATCAGTGCTGACCATGGGTGATACTCAAGCACCAAGGTCTGTAGTCACAGGTTTATTAACACCTGTGGGCAGGTGTTAACCCCGACACAATGAGAGACCTCACAAGCTGAAGGTGGCAGAGAACTCTGAGGGAAAAAGGCAAATTTTGGTTAGGAAAAGAAATTCACCCTGGTGTTCTCAATACTCTTCCTCCACACCCGGTGCATTAGTCTGTTGTCATGCTGCTAATAAAGACATACCCGAGCCTGGGTAAATTTATGAAGGGAAGAGATTTAATGGACTCACAGCTCCACATGGCTGGAGAGGCCTCACAAATCATGGCAGAAGGTGAAGGAAGAGCTTACATGGCAGCAGGCGAGACAGTGTGTTCAGGGGGAACTCCCCTTTATAAAACCATCCGATCTTGCAATGCTTATTCACTACCATGAGAACAGTGTGGGGGAACCTGCCTGCATGATTCAGTTATCTCCACCTGGCCCCACCCTTGACATGTGGGGATTATACAATTCAAGGTGACTTGGGTGGGGACACAGCCAAACCATACCACCCACTCATGTGACGTGGGTGGTCGTATGTTGGAAGGGGGATGGAACTATGAGACAATCGTATTGGGCAGACTGTTTTTTTGTGTGTGCACCTTTGTGATTGGCTCACGGCCCATGGGCTGGGTCTTTGGGAACATGGACCAGCATCTCTGAAAAGGAGACATTTTCACCACCTCCTTTTCTTGATAGGCTGAAGAGCATTGCTGGCCAGCAGCGAGCCGGTACTTGGTATTCAAAGTCAGATCTGTCTGACTCCCGTGCTCATGGTCTTTCAACTATTCTTGAAAAATTTTAGAGGCCTGGTGATAGTTAATTTTATGTGCCAACTTGACTGGCCCACAGGGTGCCCACATATCTGGCTATACATTGTTTTCCCTTGCTTTCCTTTTTTTTGGAACTAATTAAACTCTAGACTTTATTTGAATTTGATTAGTTTTCCATTTAGGGTTTTTTTTTTTTTCTTTTTCTGGGATCCAATCCATGATGCCACACTGCATTTAGCATATATAGATTTTTGAGGAATGTGATTAAGCACTGGGCTTTTCACGGTTTTGCTTTAAAAAATCAAATTTGCTTAAACAGAAGGAAGGAAATTGCACAAAAATCAACACAGTTTGTTGAAACTATTTTTGTTTGACAAATAAAACTTAACCAAATCAACTCACAGGTCTGATAATTACAACACACACACACACACACACACACACACACATGCTCCTCTTGACAGAACATAAAATGCAACATTGGAACAAAGAGAAACTAGGTGAGCGATTGGTGCTGACTGCCTGCTGTCCACTCAGACCGCAGCCAGCCACCAAAATCCTCCCTCCCCTGGAGATGGATTTGCCCAGTGACCTTCCCAGCATCAAGTCTGCTACTCACATGCAGAGTGGCAGGCTGGGGCCTGGAGGTCAACCTCACAAATTAGGACTTGCCCGAGACCCGTAAGGGACGCACTGGTAGAGCGGGGGCCAGAAAGCAGGTCTCCCCATGTGCCTGGGGTCTCACTCTGGGAGCCGGCTTCAGGCACACAGAGTACACCCAGGCACTGGCTTCCAGGACCAACCTGGAGCATGTCAGACGCACGCTGTGAGAGAAAAAGGGACAAATCCCAACACCATGAGAAAATGAAGGAAAGAAAAATGCTTCCAGACTATCGCTAACCTAATATTTTCTTATTTCTTAAACTTGGAAAACCTTTGCCCATTTTCAGATCTCTGGGCATGTTCCCAAGAAATCCTGCTACTTCCAGTGATTAAAAGCCCCCTGGGACAGCACTCTTGGGCACTTAAGATTCGAATTTCTATATTACGGTCTCATGTTTCCCAACTGGAAATACCACAGTTAATATATCTAGGTTTAAAATACAGCACTCGAAGTATTTGCTAATGTTTCACTTAATCTTGCATTCCTCTGGCACCTGTAGAAATTAGGAGCCTGGGGAAAATAGTGATTAGCAAGCATTTATAGCTGATAGCACCCTGTAATTGCAAAAGGAACTTTTAAATGCTTTTAGGCCGTTCATTTCCCAGTCCCTCTCCTGTGAGAAGGTGGCTGTATTCCAGAAAGTTTGCTAGGCCGTTCCAAAAAGTTATAGCACACATGTGCGGGAGACAGAATCCTCGCCGTTCTCAAGCCCAAGTTTGTCTGCTCCTGAAAAGCATATGGGGCGCTTCCTCAGCACAGAGCTGGGTATAAACCCGGGATCAAGTGGTTGCCCTCTACAACCTTCCACCCCATTAGCACCCAAAAAAGGGGAACCCTTCGCCCTAGCGAACTTCAGTACATAGAATGCACAAATCACTTAGATGATTTTTCTCTGACATGGTAAATCCCAGCTTCCTCAAGCTTTTTCATGTCATTCCATCACATCAGCATAATACTCTTTAGGAAACCATCTTTTTTTTTAAGCAATAAAATGTCAAGTGCAGGAACTACGAGTTTCCGCCTTTAGTTGTGCAATCTAAAAAGCCGATGGTCTGAGGGGTGCAGGGCCAGATCCCAGAAGGGGCACAACTTCTGTGAAATTGCTTCTCAGTTCCCCTGTTTTTAAAAGAGGAGGTGGCATCTAACATAAAAGAATGCATGACTTGGCCAGGTGCAGTGGCTCACACCTGTAATCTCAGCACTTTGGGAGGCCAAGGCGGGTGGATCACCTGAGGTCAGAAGTTCAAGACCAGCCTGGACAATGAGGTGACACCTCGTCTCTACTAAGAATACAAAAATTAGCTGGGCGTGGTGGCATGCACGCACCTGTAGCCCCAGCTACTCAGGGGGTTGAGGCAGGAGGATTGCTTGAGCCTGGGAGGTGGAGGTTTCAGCAAGCTGAGACTGCACTACTGCACTCCAGCCTGGGCAACAGAGTGAGCGAGAGCGAGAGGGAGAAGCAGAAGCAGAAGAAGAAGAAAAGGAAAGAAGAAAGAAGAAGAAGAGAAGAGAATGCATTACTTTACTCATTGTGGAATCTCAGGTATCTGCTGGAGTAAGGAGGGGCAGGAAGAGGGATCCTCTTCCTCAGTGTCTCAGCTCAGACAGTGGAAGCTGCCTGGGAGATCACAAGGCAGCTATGGCCTCCTCGGTGTACTCTAGGACCATGGTTCTCAAAGCCTGGTGTGCACCAGAATCACCTGTAAGTTGGGGTGGGGCCCGCATTTCTTACAAGTTCCTCGAGGTGGCTCCTGAGGCTGGTCGAGGGACCAGGGCACTCTGAGAACCACTGGGCTGTACCTGACAAGGAGCATCCAGGCCGCGCTTCTCTTACTCACTGTGCTGCCAGACACTGGATTTGAACTAAGATGTGTGCTGCGATTCTCCCCAACACCATCCATATTTTCTGTTTACTGTCTGCCATAACAGAATACCATAGACTGACAGCCAGGCATGGTGGATCATGCCTGTAATCCCAGTACGTTGGGAGGCCGAGGCAGGCGGATCACTTGACATCAGGAGTTTGAGACCAGCCTGGCCAACATGGCGAAACCCTGTCTCTCCTAAAAATACAAAAATTAGCTGGGCGTGGTGCAGATGCCTATAATCCCAGCTACTCAGGAGCCTGAGGCAGGAGAATCGCTTGAACCTGGAGGCGGAGGATGCAGTGAGCCGAGATCGCGCCACTGCACTCCAGGTTTGGTGACAGAGGAAGAATTTGTCTATTAAAAAAAAAACAAAAACAAACCATAGACTGGGGGGCTTAGACAACAAGCATTTATTCCTCACAGTCCAGAGGCTGGAGGTCTGAGATCGGGGTGCCCACATGGCCGGGCTCTAGGGAGGATGCTTCTCCAGAGTACAGACTGCTGCCTTCCAGCCACATCCTCACATGGCTGAAGGAGGCTTAGAGGGCTCTCTGGGGGCCTCTTTTGTGTGTTTGTTTTGAGACAGGGTCTTACTCTGTCATCCATGCTGGAGTGCAGTGGTATGGCCATGGCTCCCTGTAGCCTCAACCTCCTAGACTCAAGCGCTCTTCTTGCCTCAGGCTCCTGAGTAGTTGGGAGTACAGGCATACACTATCACATCTGCCAAATTTTTTTTGTATTTTTTGTAGAGATGGGCTTTTGTCATGTTGCCAAGGCTGGTCTCAAACTCCTGGGCTCAAGCAATTGTCCATCTCAGCCTCTCAAAGTGCTGGGATTACACAGCACCTGGCCTGGGGGCCTCTTGTATGAAGGCATTAATCCAATTCGTGAGAGCCCCATCCTCATGACCACCTCCCGAAGGCCCCACCTCCTAGCACTACCACACTGGGGATGAGATTTTGATGTGAATTTTGGGGTGGACACAAACATTCAGTCCATAATAACCGTGTTTAAAGTGACTGAGCTAAATCACTTACGGGAAAAACAACAATTTTTAATGTGGGAAAAAAAAAATCAACTGTTTTGTTGTTGTTTTTAAAGGAAAATTCCTAGGCTTTGAAAGTCTCACCTTTGGAACAGAATAGTGCTGATGCGTTCCTGTTGAGAATATTGAGCTACCCAGGTGAACGTGTACTTCACTCTGCTTCCTCATCTTAAGACTCACATTTTCTACAACCTCTGAGCTTATCTTGTTTTACCAGCCGCAGAGTATATGTAAGGGTTGCTATGTTTTAAGGCAAGAGCAGAGGAATATTAAAGAACCCAGTCTAAAAGCAGAAAAAGCCAACAGACGCAGAGATTATTTAAAGCTCTAGCACATTTCCGTGCTTAAGATGAACGGGTTCCAAACTGCCCCATTTGCCACTTAACGACCTCCTTTCCCTCCACCCGCAGCTGCATTTGGGGAATGGAGCCAGAAGAAACGTTTCCCCATGCTTAGTGGTTCTCCTCTTCCTTTTCCTCCACCCGCAGCTGCATTTGGGGAATGGAGCCAGAAGAAACGTTTCCCCATGCTTAGTGGTTCTCCTCTTCCTTTTCCTCTGGTAAGTTCTGGAAGGATTCTTATGCAATCAAAGAGCATGAAAAATGACTTGCAAGAGGAAAATAGACAAGTCAAAATAAAAGCAAACAAAACAAATGTGAAGGGGGTGCATGGGTTCTCCAAAACAGTGCAACTGTCATTCTGTGTGGAGAAATCATGGTCAAGTCGACGATCTTCAATTGGTCTGTCAGCTACAAAGTTCAAAGCAAATGTGCATCCAGCCTTCCTGTGTTTCTGTGGGCTTTGCTCCGTGCTTTCACTGGCTTTATCTCAAGCCTATCCGGCAATTATTTTTGGCTCATTCAATAAACAGCTTTCAGTCAATTTCTTCTGTTTTGAATGCTTAAAGTAGGGCTCATTCTCATGTACTATAGTATTCAGAATATTATTGGAATTATTATTCTGATCAGACTCGGTCAATTAAAAATTGGCCAGCTATTAGATGGAGTGTGATGTTGGATGGGGGCTGCGGCATTCTAGAGGGGTCAACACAGGCCTTGCTTTTGAGGGTCTCACAGCACCAGGAGGGTGTAATAGACAGAATCATGGTCCCCACAAGGAGGCTGCACATCCTAATTCCCGGAAACCATGACTATGTTGCTTTACACAGCATCAGGTACTGATAAGTAAAGGGTCCTGATGTAGGGACAGTTTTTTGAAATATTTGGGTGGGTCCAATGTCCTCCAAAGGGTCCTTCTAAGGAAACAGGGAGATGGGAAAGCCAGAGAAGGAGCTGAGACAACAGAAGCAGGGGTCCAAGGGAGGGAGGCGCGGAGGTGGTGTGCTTCTGGCACTGAGGGTTGGGGAGGGGGCCGTGGGTGAAGGAGGGCAGGCAACCCCCAGGAGCTGGAGAATGCAAGGACACAGATGCCCCCTTGCAGCATGTGGAAGGAACGCAATCCTGCCACCACCTTGGTTTCAGCCCAGAAGACCCACTTTAGACTCCTCCAGGACCGTAAGGGCATAACCTGCATTGTTTTACGTCATGACGTTTGTGGTAGTTTGCAACAGCAGCCATAAGAAACCATATAGAGGAAGAGGGACATAGAGAGGATGTGGAACGAGCCTGAGTGCCCCACATGCCTGCCCCGAGCCTGAGTGCACCTGCCCCGGGCCCAGGTGCAGCAACCTATCCCCAGCTACCTGTCCCCAGCTACCAGCAGGGGCCTCTGACCTTGGCTTCCAAGTGCAGCGCAGACAGCCTCGGCCAGGGTTCTCCTCACCCCCACTGCTTACCACCAATCCTTAAAGACTCTGGACACATGAAACATTGTGTAAATTCTAGGACAGTATTTTTCAGATGTGGGATCTGAGAAGCAACTCCTCAGTAGGGAACCCACTTAGAATTCTTTACCGAGGTGACCAGATAGGCCACACACAGCACCCAAGAACAGGAAACTGGGCTAAGGATAAAAAGATTTGTTAACAAGAAATACTTTCCAGTAATATTCTGAATACTATAGTACATGAGGATGAGCCCTACATCAAGCATTCAAAACAGAAGAAATTGACTGAAAGCCATTCACTGAATGAGCCAAAAATAATTGTCCAATAGGCTTGGGATAAAGCCTGTGAAAGCATGGAGCAAAGCCCGCAGAAAACACGGGAAGCCTGGATGCACATTTGCTTTCAACTTTGTAGCTAACAGACCAGTTGAAGTTCGTCCTCCCTGTCCTGCACCCTACTTAGAAAGAGACCAAAAAGGAGGTAAAATCCTGTCCCCCAAGGTCAGAGGAGTAGAGACTCCCAGTGGCTCAGAGCATAACCATCGTTCAGCCAGATTCTTCACTTGGCAAAGAGATACAAGACTTGATTTACTTTGGCGTTTGTGATGGGGACTGTGGCCACAGGAAAGAGGACCAGGGATTGTTGGGTTGAACTCTACACATCATTTATCCAACAAGCTCTGAGCACCAGTGCACCAGGTGCTATGCCAGGTAATGAGATACAATGGTGCAAGAAGCAGTTCTGGGCCATCCAGGACTCCACCATATGGAGTAGAGGGGAAGGAAGTGAAGCACCCACAAAGGTGTAAGTAATTACTTATAACAGAAAGTGTGGCAGAATAACTTGAGACTCCATGGGACATACTTAGTGAGCAACTGGTGGTCTTGTCTTGCTCAGCAGACTGCTTGGCTGGAATGTGCAAGTTGACAAAGCTTTGAGGATCTTGGGGAGAAAATGGTTGCTTCTGCTTAAGAGGAGATTTGGAGGGTTAGAGAGGGAAATAATAGGAATTAAACAGCTGCCCTAGGGAAAAGTATCTTGGAGAAAGAACAGAAACATTTTTAAAGGGATTTTAGAAATTCATGTGGTTTGCAATATAATATCCTTCTCCATCTTTTCAGACATATTCATAAAATTGACATTACTTTTCCATGCTTCTGGAGTTGGTAGAGGGAGTTTTGAGTTGCAAGGATATGCTAAGTCTATCAGTTAAGATTCTGCTTAGCCTATGTATAACAGAACTATCCAAAATAATAGTAGCTTAAATGACATGTGTATTCCTCTCTCATGTAAAGGCAGTCCAAGGCTGATATGGCAGGTCCATGATAAGATCCAGGCTCCTTCCAGTTTTCTGCTTCACTATCTAAGCAGTGGCTTCCACACTTAAGGAAACCTCTTTATCCATCATGGCTGCTGGAGCTTCAGTCATCACATCTGCCTTCCAGGCAGCTAGAAAGAAGGAGGAAGGGTGGCTGGGCGTGGTGGCTCATGCCTGTAATTCCAGCACTTTGGGAGGACGAGGCGGGCAGATCACCTGAGGTCAGGAGTTCGAGACCAGACTGATCAACATGGAGAAACCCCACCTCTACTAAAAATACAAAATTAGCTGGGTGTGGTGGTGCATGCCTGTAATCCCAGCTACTCGGGAGGCTGGGTCAGGAGAATCACTTGAACCCGGAAGGCGGAGGTTGCAATGAGCTGAGATCGCGCCATTGCACTCCAGCCTGGGCAACAAGAGTGAAACTCTGTCTCAAAAAATAATAATAATAATAATAAATAAATAATAAATAAATAGAAAAGAGAAGAAAGAAGGGGGAAGGGCAAAAAGGATATACCAATTCTCTCAATAAAATAAGGTTTCTGATATTAAGGAAAAAGAGAATGGCCACTGAAGGCCAACTGAACAGTCTCTGCTTCACTTAGTCCAACCTATAAATGGGAGTGGAGTAAAAACAAGAGGGGCAGCCCAAAAATCCCCATGTGAGTTACAAATGTGACAAAGCTTCAGTGACGAGATACATAAATGCAGTTGGAGCTGACTCGGACTGCATGGGCTCTGAGAGGCTTCCTAGAGGAAAGTATGCAGTATTTGAACTGAGCCTTGAGGCATGTATGAGAGGCCACCAGGTGAAAGGGGAATGGCATTCCGGTAGAGAAACAACCAAAGAACAGAAGCTGAGTGGCACTTTTCAAACTCTCACACCCTGGGCTCTTCTTATTCCATTTCTGTCCTGGCTGGGTTTCCTGCAGGGGAAGCCTGCAGCCCAGCCCTCTGCAAGTGGCTCTCGGAAGTCACCAGCAGCCTGCTTATCTCCAAAGCCCGAGACCAAGCCCCAGGCCTCGTCCGCACTGCAGAGCCTCTGCAGGATTAAGCCTGCATGCCATCCTCTGGCTCTCCTCCCATCTCCATTGCTGCTGCCTCTCCTTCTGAAGAGGGAATAACACTGTTTACAACAGCACCCCCAGCCACATCTGGAAACCTGTCCCCAAACGGCCAGCATGGAGGATTTGAATCAGCCTGCTCCATGAACCCGCGGACCCGGGCTGCCAAAGTCTTCTCACTTCCAAAGATGTGTCTCTATGTGTGTATGAACTTCATAGGACCAAGTTCTTTTCAAGAAACACTCTAGTTCAAGAACATAAATCTAAGTGTGTGTGTAAATGAGGCCATGGATATGCTGGTTAGCTTGATTTAATCATGCCACATTGTATACATATTTCAAAACATCACATTGTATACATGTATCAAAACCATGTATCAAAACATTACATTGTATACATGTATCAAAACATGAATATAACATAATGTATACAATTATGATTTGTCAATCAGAAATTTAATATATATATATATATATATATTTGAGATAGGGTCTCACTATATCACCCAGGCTATAATGGTGCAGTGGCATGATCATGGCTCACTGCAGCCTCAACCTCCCAGGCTCAAGTGATCTTCCCACCTCCACCTCGGGAGTAGCTGGGACTACAGGCACGCACCACCATGCCTGGCTAATGTTTTGCATTTTCTTTTGGTAGAAACAGGGTTTTAACATGTTGCTCAGGCTGGTGTAAACTCCTGGGCTCAAGCAATCTACCTACCTCAGTCCCCCAAAGTGCTGGCATTACAGGTGTGAGCCACTGAACCCGGACAGAAATTTTAAAAATTAATTAAAAATAATAAATAAATTCATAGAGATCATGAGGAACTACATTCCTGAGACTAGAAGAAAGAACACAGGCCTATCAGTAAAAACTTCTTCCTATTTCTTGGCTCTTTGCACATATTACTTAGGGTGTCCGGCCAAGACTTTGCACCATTTTTCCTTCCATGCTCTTTCTCCTGTTGATTGATTTCAATGTTTTATGTATTCTGCATAGAATCTATTATCATAGCCATGTGTGGTGGCTCATGCCTGTAATCCCAGCACTTTAGGAGGCTGAGGTGGGTGGATCACCAAGTCAAGAGATTGAGACTATCCTGGCCAACATGGTGAAACCCTGTCTCTACTAAAAATACAAAAATTAGCTGGGTGTGGTGGCACACGCCTGTAGTCCAAGCTACTTGGGAGGCTGAGGCAGGAGAATCGCTTGAACCTGGGAGGCAGAGGTTGCAGTGAGCTGAGGTCATGCCATTGCACTCCAGCCTGGCAACAGAGCAAGACTCTGTCTCAAAAACAAAAACAAATCTATTATCATATCCATGTATTGCAAACACTTTCTTCTACTCTGTGGCTTGCCAAATCACTCTTACTGGTCATTTTTGAACATATAAGTGGTTGATTTTAATATAGCTCAATTTATCAAACGTTTCCTTTATGATTAGTATACTTAATGTCCTATTTAATATATCTTTTAGTACTCAATACAGGTATCGGCCTACAAAAACAAAAACCAGTTATCTTCAGAAGAAACCTGTGCAATAACATTTGTCTGTCCATAGCTGAGGGATGGAGAAGTATTAGCATCTCTCTTCTCTAATCAGCACATTTTTTTATTGTAGTAAAATACATATAACATAAAATTTACCTTTTAAATCATTTTAAAGTGTACAATTCCATGGTATTAAGTCCATTCACAATCTTGGACGATCATTACCACTACCTAGTTCCAGAACTTTCTCATCACCCCAAAAGGAACCCACAAACCAGTCCCTTTCAACTTCCATCTCCTCCCGCCCATTGGCAACCATGGATCCACTTTCCCTTGCTCTGGATTTGCAGACTCTGGCTATTACATACAAACGGGATCATAGGACACATAGCTGTTTGTGCCTGAGCTTCTTCCACTCTGCATTATGTGATCAAGGTTCATCCGCATTGTGGCTTGTGTCAGTGCCGCACTCTTTTTTATGGCTAGATGACACACCATTGTGTGGAGAGATGGCATTTTGTTTATTCAGCTGCTGATGGGCCTTTGTGTTTTTTCCCCCTCATGGCAATTGTGAATGATGATACTATGAACATTGGCTTACAAATGTTTGTTTGAACATCTATTTTCAATTCTTTTCAGTATATACCTAAAAGTAGAATTGCTGGGCAGTATGGCAATTCTGTTTTTAACTTTGAGGAACTGCCAAACCATTTTCCACAGCACCTGCACCATTTAACATTTCTACCAGCAGCATATGAGGATTCTAATTTCTCCACATCCTCACCAATACTTGTTATTTTCTGGTTGTTTATTATTGTTATGACCATCCTAGTGGGTATGATGTGATAACTCATGATTGAATGATTGATTGATTGATTGATTTTAGATAGTCTTGCTCTGTTGTCCAGGCTGGAGTGCAGTGGTATGATCTCAGCTCACTGCAACCTCCACCTCCCAGGTTCAAGCGATTCTCATGCCTCAGCCTCCCAAGTAGCTTGGATTACAGGTGTGTGCCACCACACCCGGCTATTTTTTTGTATTTTTAGTAGATGTGGAATCTCACCATGTTGCCCAGGCTGGTCTCGAACTCCTGAGCTCAGGTGATCCACCCACCTCAGCCTCCCAATGTGCTAGGATGACAGGCATGAGCCACCACACCCAGCTCTCATGGTTTTGATGTGCATTTCCCTGATGACTAATGTGAGCATCTTTTGGTGTGCTGTTTGGCATTCATATGCCCAACACTGGCTATGCCAGTGAGGATTAGGTGTAGGTCCTAGGTGGCTTATCTAATCAGCAATTTAAAAAAGTTGTTATTTCGTCATTTTCAGAGGTCAACTAGAGGAATATGAATTTAATCTATACCACTTGTATTCTTCTTCTATTTTTTTCTAAAAAATATGAAGTTTTCCTCTCATTTTGAGAACTTTTTCTCAAATCAAATCAAATACATATCTGTCATCACCATGGAGGAAAGGTAAGAAAATGACTTCCATTGAGAAACAATTTTGCAACAACCCTGGACTTTTTTTATTGACTAAACATTTTGTCTCTTTTCCAGGAAAGGAATGGCAAGGTTTGCTTCTATCTGCATGTTTGGCAGCCTATTTCTGTGTGGTACCCTTAGTCCCCAAGAATAAGCCATCAGAAGACCTGCATAGCTACAATCAGCATTCATGGCATTGGTCACTCCTCATTCTAAAAATGCCAGTGTTGTTTTCTCTCCCACTGCCTCACACCAGGCACACTCTCCATTTCTCAAGGCAGGTAATAAATACACAGTTATGGCTTAAATATAATTGAGAAAATCAAGAAAATGAATATGCTGCCTAGGTTTACAACTCGAAGACTTCTATTCATGCTGGAAGAGGAGAGAAAAAAATGAAAAACAACAACAACACAGAGATTACAGGCATGTGCCTAAATCGAATTTAACAATCCCTCCCTCACCACCACCTACTTGGGAGTGGTATAAATAGGGCATTCTCTTTTGCTGTCTAGGACTGCTTGATTTTTCTTTGAACCATAGAGATGAAGTATCAGTAATGAGACAGTTCTTGCACCATATAGATCAAGAACCTTCTCATTTGGAATCAAATATC
The DNA here is from genome assembly GCF_000001405.40 of Homo sapiens. Classification (NCBI taxonomy): domain Eukaryota; kingdom Metazoa; phylum Chordata; class Mammalia; order Primates; family Hominidae; genus Homo; species Homo sapiens. The sequence goes on from NC_000018.10 coordinate 74,406,667, forward strand.
ATCTGGCAACTCCCTGTTAGAACCCAGTGCCTTCCATGTGAAGCCCAATCGTCATGATGAGATCACATGCAGGTGCTCAGGCGACGCTCCCAGGTGAGCTAAACTTTAAGTCATCTCAGGCCAGGGAGCAGCCCTGGCAGGGAAGAAGCCATCTTGGAAGTGGATCCTCCTGTCTCATCTGTTCTAGACTCAGATATAGAAGGAGGGCTTCCCCACTGCAGGCTTTCCAAACTCTGACTCCAGAATCCGTGAGCATAATAAAAAACGGTTGCTTTTATGTCACTAAGTTTGGGTGATTTTTTTACAAAGCAGTAGCAACTATGACAAACTGACACATTTACAATATTATGTCTTCAAATACACAGACATTGCAGGTCTTCACACTAACCTAAGTCTCCTTTCTATCCTTTTTTTATTTTTATTTTTAATTGTTTTCGAGACAGAGTTTCACTCTTGTTGCCCAGGCTGGGGTGCAATGGCACAATCTCGGCTCATTGCAATCTCTGCCTCCTGGGTTCAAGCAATTCTCCTGCCTCAGCCTCCTGAGTAGTTGGATTTCAAGTACCCGCCACCACACCTGGCTAATTTTCTGTATTTTTATTACAGACGGAGTTTCACCGTGTTGGCCAGGCTGGTCTCCGCCCGCCTCAGCCTCCCAAAATGCTGGGATTACAGGTGTGAGCTACCTGGCTCCTTTCTATCCTTTTTTAAAATTATGTAATTTTCTGCAGAAAGGATATACACACCTTATGTTAAATTTATTGCTACTTTATTTTGTTCTTGTTGTTACTGTTATAAATGGCAACTCTTTCAATTACATTTTCTAACCACTTGTTGCTTCCAGCAAAACTGCTGCATTTAATACAATTAATTGGTTCTTTTTGTTTTTTAATTTGGGGTTTTGTTTTAAATGTATCCATCCTAATTGAAACTATGTACTCTTTGACCAGTATCTCCCCATACCCCCAGCCCTCATAACCACCACTTTATTCTCTGCTTCTCAGAGTTTGACTTCTTTAGATTCCACATGAAAGCGAGGTCGTGCAGTATTTGTCTTTCTGTGTCTGGCTTATTTCACTTAGTGTAATGTCTTCCAGGTTCATCCAGTGAGTTTTCTGAAAACAAATTCTTTTTGTTTTCCACTTAGACAATCATATGATCCAAAAAATAATGACAGTTTTCTTTCTTTCTTCTCGTACTTAAACTTTGATTTCTTTTTCTTATGTTGCTGCATTGGCTAGGACTTTCATCCAGGGTGGTGAGGATTTCTCCCCACTGTGGCATTTTTGTTTTCTATTTGCTTTGCTTCGTATTTGGCTCCTTTCTTCATCATTTCCTTTTTTAAAATTGAATTTATCAAGGTTTCTTTAGTTTTCCTCTTTCTCTCTTTGTTAGACAGTTACAGTTTCGATTTCTATTTTAACACACATACCTAATCTTAAAACCTCTAAATGTTAACCCCATACTTACCTGCCCCTATGGGCAGGCTCAACATTCCAGAATATTCTGTCCAGATAGCTCTGGATCAAACTGCTCTGGATGAAAAGACATCAGGAATAGCAGCCTTTTCCAGTTCAGAGGTTCTGGTTTCTGGGGCTTCTTCCCAAGCTGTCATGCTAAAAAAAAGGCTTAAGACAATTTAGCATATATTAATTATTGTATGTGATTCATTATTCAACACTGATTCCACCCAGGATTATTGATAAGGTGTATGTCACACCTGTTTCTCTCTTTCCTACTCAATGGTCACAACACCTGCCTACACCTGGGTGGCAGGTATTGGCGCCTAGTGAGTCGCCGCCAGATTCCCAGCTTCAAATGGCATCTAGCAAGCAGCCCACGACCCATCTTCCAATTTTCCACTACAATCCTGGGGAGTATGAGCACTCCTATTGCCAATCTCCTTAGCTAAACTTAAATAAACACAACTCACATTTCCCTAAAATGGCATCCAAGTGGTCAGAACCATTTGCATATTTCTTGATGAAACAGAAGACATACAAGCCGTGAAAAGGATGGAATTTTAATTTTGATAATGGGTGACAGCTTGGCTTCTCTCCCAATGTGGTCTAGTTTACTTAGATTTTCCTAGTTAAGCTAAAAGTCTTTCCCTCCCTTTGGAGAATAGGTCTCCCTTGAATACTCTGGAATTCATTTCCTCTCACTCAAAATTAAAGCTAATGAAAATTTCTATTATTTTCTTTAAAAAAGAAAAAAAAAACCCACTCCCTCAGAATGTCTTCACTCCACATTCCCTCCTACTTCCCACATCATTTTTTATTATCTTAGTTCCATTCTTGTTTCCCTAAATCAGTCATTTTTAAGAGCTAAAACTTATCTAGGTTTCCTACCTTATGCTATTGACTTCTTTTCTTCCTGTGTGCCTCTCTCACTCACTGCTCCCAGAAACCAATCCCATTCTTGGATATACCCGTTGGTCATTCTTTCACAGAGGGCATGGCCTGGCAAACATCTTAGACTGCAAATGTCTTTATTTCACCCTCACTCTTGAAGGATAAGCTAGCTGAGTACACAATTCGAGGATGAAAGCTATTTTGTCTCATTAAAAAAAAATGTTATTTGCTGGTGTTTAATATAGGTTGAGCATCTTTAAGCCAAGAATCTGAAATGCTCCAAAACCTGAAACTTATGTGTGCAGACATGATGCTCAAAGAAACCCTCACTGGAGGATTTTGGCTTTTTTTTTTTTTTTGAGACGGAGTCTCGCTCTGTCGCCCAGACTGGGTTGCAGTGGCATGATCTCGGCTCACTGTAAGCTCTGCCTCCCGGGTTCACGCCATTCTCCTGCCTCAGCGTCCTGAGTAGCTGGGACCACAGGTGCCCGCCACCACGCCTGCTCAATGCGTAAGTATAATGCAAATATTCCAAAATCCAAAAAAAGTCAGGATCTGAAACCATTCTGGTGCCAAGCATTGTGGGTAAGGGATACTCAGCCTGTATTGTCGATGAGAAATCTGGTATTACTCTAATTGTCATTCCGTGGTAAGAGATGTGCCATTTTTCTCTGAAGTTTATCTTTGATATTTAATAGTTATGATGAGTCTAAGTGTGAGGTTGCTTCTGTTTTTCCTGATTCGGACCTCACATGCTTTTTGACATGAAGACTTAAGTCTTTCTTAAATTTTAAAACATGGCTAGGCATGGTGTCTGAAGCCTGTAATCCCAGCACTTTGAGAGGCCGAGGCAGGTGGATCACCTAAGGCCAGGAGTTCCAGATCAGCCTGGCCAACATGGCGAAACCCCGTCTCTGCTTAAAAAAAAAAAAAAATTAGCTGGGCTTGGTGTGGGGGGGCCTGTAACCCAGCTACTTGTGAGGCTGAGACAGGAGAATTGCTTGAACTAGAGAGGCGGAGGTTGCAGTGAGCTGAGATTGCACTGCTGCACTCCAGCCTGGGCGACAGAACGAGACTCTGACTCAAAAAAATAAAAATATAAAATTCTAAAAATTTTTAGCCTTTATTTTTTCAAATACTTTGTCTTTCCCATTCTCTGCATGCCTTCCCTCTGAAGGAAGTTCTATGGGTTCGATTATGTCTAAGCCAGTTTACATTTCCTCTGGGCATGTGTTGGAAGTTTTCCTTTCGTGTCCCATGCTGTTCTGTGTCCCTCCTGCGGTTCCCTCTGCCGCGTCCTGTCCCATGTTCCTGGTAGCTTCTGCAGACCTGCCTTCCCACTCGCACATGCTTTCAGTCGCGGCTGGTTTACTGTGCAGTGCATCAGTTGAGTTTTCATGATCACAACTGCATTTCTTAATAGAATTCCTACTCGTTCCTTTTTAATTTTGCCTGTACTTTTTTCATCCCCTCTCCTGAGACTTCAAGCACAGTTTTGTTGACATCTCTTCCAGATCCTTCCAGGGTGTGCTTTATTCTCATTGCTACATCCAGCCACTGGCACCAGGCAGTTTGTTCCCCACGTGATGTGTAATACTTGGCTTCAGTGTGAGCTAGTTCCATATGTAGACACACACCTGCCCTGGGGCGTGGGACATCCGCAGAGCCCCCAGGTTTCCTCATCTCTGGGCCAGTTTCCTGTGTTCTTTTCTCAGCTTATAGGCAGTGTGAATTCAGAGCCCGCACCTTCAACTGGCCCAGGATTCTGCCAATGCTTTTTCCACTCCTGGCGTGGAGGGGATGCCTCTGAGCTGTGTCCCCCGTCAGATGGGTGGATTTTTCTAACTCCCAGATCACAGTTGGGGCGATCCTCCTGGCTCCCTCATGAATGACAAATCCCAGCTCTGTGTGGAGTGTGGGGCATGAGGCAGGGGACAGAGGACAGCTGTGGGCTCAACTCCTTCCTCCAGGCAGGTGGAGGCAGAGCTCTGAGCGCTTCACAGTCCACTGAGTTCCCATCTTGGTTCTCAGCTGTGGCTTGGAGTTGCCTTCATTCTGGTGCTAGAGAATTTCAAGCGAGGATCTGAATTTCCAAACATTTTGTTACTTTATGGAGCATATTTATGTGTTTGGAGCAGGGCCACTCTGTGAGCGGTTGATCTCCCTATCAGCTCCGTTCACCATGGGGGTTATGGGGGCAGAATTGGAATTCTCAATTCATAATATAACCAAGTTGAGCTTGAAAGGAAAACCCAAGGACGTTATGTCCTGGTGCTAGCAGTGGGCGCTTCGAGTCTGAGAGCTGTTGCGGTTCCCTGGACCGTGGAAGGGGTAATCTCTGCCTCTCCTTCCATTTTTAGGATCCAGCCTTGTGCCTAGCCCCTCCTGGGTGCCCACACAGCAGACAGCTGCCCCTTGCTCATGCTTTACAGACGTTGTCTCTAATTCTCATAACTTTTTGAAGTAGATATGTTATGGCTTTTGTTCCTTTTTAAAATTTACCATTTTGTGCTAAAATACATTTGAAATAAAATATACCATTGTAACCATTTTTAAGTGTACATTTCAGGATGGAATACATTCATGCCATTGTGCAACCTTCACCACCGCCCATCTCCAGAACTCTCTTCATCCTGCAAAACTGAAACTCGGCCCCGGGTGCCCATCCCCCTCCCCGCCCTGGCATCCACCCTCTACTTTCTGTCTCTCTGATCTTGACTGGAAGTAGGTATGTACTTAGTCCGCATTTTAAAGTGCAGAGCCTGGGACCCAGTGAGACGGAGTCACGTGCCTGTGGTCACTCGATAGAAAATGGCAAAGCTGGGCATCCCACCCGAGGTCTGTGTCCACAGCCCCTGCCTTGGCGGCCACTACACTGTGGCTTCTTTCAAGTGAGTGCTGAGGAGGAAAGGGGATTACGCTGCACAACCTCAGTGGTGAGATGAGATGAACGGGTGGAAACTAAACGTAAGGAATGTAAGGGATGGGTGAAAAGACGCCAGTGAGCCTCCTGGAAGGGCAGCAAGTTCCCAGACATTCGAAGAATCAAGGTCCTGAAAGGATGACCCAGCAGGGACAGGGCAGAGGGGACCCTGCCACAGCTGAGCGATGGCCTAGATGCTCGTTCTGGGTGCTGTCCCTTCTGGGACTCTAGCGAAACTGTTTTCCTCTCTATTCAGAGTCTGCCATTCATTGGACTATAATGCCCCATTTCATCTGATTGATGACCCAAATAGCTTCAAGTAGCTCTCCGCGGGTGGCCAGCCGCCCTGGAGGGTGTCCAGTTACAGGAGCTGAGCACACTGGACGCCTTTTCTCTTCCACAGTGGGCAATGCACGGTGGGTCCCCCCTTGTCAGGATTAATGAGAGCTTTGGTTGCAGGGCCCCCCCGCCTGTTGCCACGTGACAGTCTCACAAGCTCACCCGGGAAGAGAGGAGAGAAGCCCATCAGGTCACTGAAGTGGGCAGTAGAACCCAGGAGAGGAAGAAAGAAAGGAGAGAGGGGGGAAGTGGATGCAGAGACAGAGCCATTGAAAGTGTTTTCCAACAATGGACTTGGATCGGCTTCCCCTGCCCCTGCAGCAGGGAGCTCGCTGTGCCTGCACTGCTGCAGTACTGACAAATTCATCCCTGTCCAAGGAGAGTGAAGTGAAGGTCCGTGAGGCGAGACCTGCTGGCACTCAGGGTACGTGGGGCCTGGCCCCATGTCCAAGTGCTCCCTCCTTACTGAGGAGTTGGGTTGCCAGGTGCAGCGGCAGTTTCTCTAAGCCACGTTCAGAGCTGAGTTACTGGGTTCTGTGTGAGAAGGGAGCCCACGCCCGAGCCTGTGGAACAGGTCTCGGCTGGAGCAGGTGGTCTGTGCCCCTCCTCACCCCATCTGTCCTGGCTTGCTCTCACCTCGGCTTCCTGGCCTTCCCAGGGCCCTGGTCTCATCCTCACCCTAAAGCAGGCCCCTCCACCTGAGGCGCCTTCGCACTGAGATGCCCGCTGATCTTCCCAGGACCCTCATCTCCGTGGCTCTAAGCTGTTCACCTTCACCCTGGACCCCCAGGAGGGCAGTGGATGAAGGACAAAGAGCAACAACTCTGCTGCCAGCACCAAAAAGCCCTCTGCTGACTCCCTCAAGTCCTCTTTTGCAGATACCTACAAAGGGCCTTGAAAGAAAAAAGAACTAGAATTACGAACAAATCTCTGATGTGGTGGCTGCTTTCATTCTAGTCCCATCGCCCCTGAAGACAGTTGGGAAGGACCTGCTTTTCCCCTGTAGCCCTGGGGGACACCTGCCCTAACAGCCCTGGTCCTCAGCTCCCAGATGGGATGGCTGGAAGTGGTGTGGCTCCAGGCCATCTTCTCTCTGCATAGGCATGGGTTTTCAAACACAACCCTGGTGCCATGCGTGCAAAGGGAAGGCGATCTGCCATCCTGTGGTTTTTGTCTTAGGAAGGTCCTCCCCACTGGAGTGAGCATAAGGATTCAAGGATTAACAGGGGGAAGAGGATATGAAGCCCCGATAGGGCGGTTTCATCCTGGACAGAGAGCAACTTCAACTTTGGAGAATGCTCTTGCAGATGTCTACAGCTATTTACATCCTGAACCCTCTCCTTCTGCTCATTTATTATTATTATTATTACACATTTTTGAGACAGAGTCTTGCCATGTTGCCCAGGCTGGAGTGCAGTGGCTCAATCTCTGCCTACTGCCACCTCCACCTCCCAGGTTCAAGAGATTCTCCTGCCTCAGCCTCCTGAGTAGCTGGGATTACTGGTACACGCCACCACGCCTGGGTAATTTTTGTATTTTTTGTGGAGATGGGCTTTCACCATATTGTCCAGGCTGGTCTCAAACTCCTGACCTCAGGTGGTTCACCCACCTTGGCCTCCCAAAGTGCTGGGATTATAGTTGTGAGCCACTGTGCGCCCGGCCTCCTTCTGCTCATTTAGCCTAAGCTGTCTGCATTCCAATCAGCTCTCCTGTGTCACGCTGATCAAAGTGCTGGCACAGACTAGAAGGAATGAGAACAAAGTGAACACCCATGGTTCCAAAGACGGGAGCAGCACAGCATAACTGATGTCAGCACTGTTTGGCTTGGGGGGAAGCGAAAACGAGAGACAAACAAAGCATCTTCATGTTCTGTTTTATAACCAAGGGGGTGCGCCTGATCTGGGACAGGTCATAGTCTTGAAAGAAATCATTTCTGGGTCACAGATTTTCCTAAAGAATGGCCCAGGTCACCTGAGTTACACCAGGAGGTACTCGAGCTCAGGGACAGTGTCTCCTTGCCTTTGTCACCCAGAGCTAGGAGGCACCTGGACTTAGCGGTTGTTCACAGAGAGGGTGGCCTCAGCACAGTGCAGCAGGGGCCTCGGTGCTCCACAGACGCTGAGAAACAGAGAGGCTGCAGCACAGGCCTCTCGGGCTCTGCGTGTTGTTTGACGCAAGTCCACCTTAGAAATGCCAGAAAGAGAAGACAGGAGAGAGGCGGAGGGAGGGTGCAGAGATGGAGCCTTTGAAGGTGTTTCAAAGACAGAGCCTCATGGATGCCAGAGCAGGATTGAGATTGAAATTCATGGAAGTTAAATTTACGGAAGCTCTTGGCAGGCTGTTGAGGGGTGTTTGGGGGAAGCAGCTTCTGTAAATGTTGGTTTTAAGTATTGCTTGTGCCATTCAGAGCACGGTGGGCAGTGGAGGCCCATCATTCTGGGACCTGGTCGGGTGGAGCATCAGCGCATCCAGACTTTTCCCCTCCAAGGTGCAATTTTATTTTTTTCAAGTATAGACAACATTCTGAAATACTCACAAAGCACTCCTAGGCAAAGTCCTGTGTCTTCGTGGGTCACACTCATTTGTAATACACAGGGCCTGGCTGAAGCTCTGCAGACTGGGCTAAACCCCTGCTATTGGTGAAAATTCCCTTCCAATGATGCACATTGTTACACTAAAGCCCTCAAATATCATTCTTCTCCATAGGGTCCTAGCGGCTCTACCATGTTTTTCTTCTGTGACCCTCGCAGCCTCGCCTGCTCTCTTCCCCTGATTCCAGTCATTTGTCTTGGGCGGGAGACACGCGTCACACCAGGGCCCTCTCTGCTGTTGTCTTTGGTGTCTGGCCACAGGGCTGCTTTCTAGATGCTACAGCCCCTGTGCTGAGCCAGAGGGCGGACAGTTTCCCACCAAGTCCTGTTCACACTGCAAGAATCTCCCAGAATATCTCAGCCTTGGAGCCATGCCAACCCTCCTCATGTGAGGGCTCACTTCAAGTGAATCCCCAGGGCAGACCTGAGCCAGAGCTATGGGCAGAGGGGGCAGCTGGGAGGCAGGGCCCCGGTGTCCAGCACCCCCATGTCAGAGCCGAATCCGGGCTGGGTGCATCTCCTCACTGCCTTGCTCCTCCCACAATGGCTGCAGTACTTAGTTTGGGTTGAATTAATAATTCTAATATAATCGTGTCGTGTAAGGAGAGTAACTGTCCATGTAGCCATGGAAATAAGTTTATAGTGGTCACCCCTAAATAGGAAAGTCAAGCCCTGTGAATGTTCACAGCATTTTTCTGAGCGGTAATCATCAAAGCATCATCCTCTATCAATTACAGAGTGCTCTAGTTAGAAAAACACCATCACACAATCCCTCCATAAACACTCATTTGAGCACCAACTATATGCCAGGCACTGTGTGTGGTGCTAAGGATTCAGGAACAAATAAAGCTTAGTCTCAGGCACTGAGTGCACTGTGCCCAGTGCTTCTGAGAGTTGACCACATCTGACCCACAAACAGGGAAACCAAGGCACGCATGCACTAGGTAGTGATGATGTGGCATGAACCACCTGTGCCCTTCAGTACTATGCATTGTTGCCTCCAGATCCTTATGAAGTTTGAGGGCATTTGATCCTACTTAATAAAGCAAAAACCAACAAAATACAGAGCTCAGAAAGAGCTCTGAAACTCAGGAGTCTGTGTTTCTGCAAAATACAGAGCTCAGAAACACAGGAGTCTGCGTTTCTGCTAAGGTGAACCACTGACCACCAGCAGTCCACGTGTCTTATATGTTGTCAGCCTCCAAGGCTGGCTCTTCCCCAGGTCTCTCCATTTGAAGTTGTGACATGGCACAGACCCCACGCCAGCAGTAAGTCTCCTACATTCAAGGGCAGAGGCCAGCAGGGCCGGGCATGTGCTGAGGGAGGAGAGCCTGTCTCCCCGGGCATGGGCTGCAGGTGTCATCGTCCCGGCGTTTTCCTTTCCGACCCCAATGGAAAAGGATGGCTTGAGATCCTGCTGTGGTCTCCAAGGCCTGCACAGAGACACCCTCCCTAGGGCTCTCCTCTTGGCCACCTGCCACAGGTCACAGGGCTCATTCTCCCACTGGAAGGCTCGCAAAGAAAGAACGCGTTCCCACACACCCAGAAAACGGGACACCCACTCATTTCCAAGCCCGTTCCCAGTAGGAGCAGCTTAAAAAATGTTTCATTTTAAATGACTTCATTTGGTGGCAAACACAAAAGCATGGTAATTTATTCGTGCTTTAAGGAAAAGAATGTCTCTTTTTAAAAAATATCGTTATTTAAGTTCAGGAACTTTCTATTTGGAATCTTGAGATACGTTTAAAAAATACCCCCTTCCTTTCGACCTTCCTTAAAGACCTTGTCAAAAGCTCTGCATGATTTGTAATCTGCTAGTCTCCATGTTAATATTTGCAGCTGTGAAGCTTAGAAAACTCTCTCAGGTTCGCGTTAGTGAAATCTTTTGCAGGAGAAGAAAGTTTCTCAGAGCACTGTGGCTTTAGGTTAAAAGGATAAAATAAACAAAGTGAAAATTAAGTGTTTCCTTTTGGGAACTTGATACCTTGGTATAGGCACCATCTTTGTGTACAGGTTATAGCAACGGTATTAATCACTAACACATGTCTAAAAGTCTCTTTCCCAAAGTGTTCACAATCGGACGCAGAGGTGGCAGGGCGGGTGTGGAATCCTTACCCTTTCCCCTAAAAGCCTCCCACAGAAGCAGATGGTGCTTGCCTGGCCCTTCCTGCCCTTTCCCTCCAACCCACAGGCAGCCTCGCTCTGCTCCTCAGACCCCAGGGTTCACTCACCTCTGGCAGACACAGGAGCCACAGCCTTCGCTCTCCTCGCTCTGCAGTTCTCTTTCTTCAAACAAAAATTCACCTTCACTCTCCACAGTTGATTTTCGTTACATTTAGGAGGTCAAGTAACTTGCCAAGTGTCTGCATGGTTCATTCATCCAGAGTAGGGTGAGTGGTTGGCTGATCATGACCCCCCCCAAAGATGCCCACATCTTCATCCTGGAACCTGTGAACAGCGCCTTCTATAGCAAAGGGAACTTCACAGATGCGATTAACTTAAGGATTCAGAGATGATCCAGGTGGGCCCTAAAAGTCATCACAAGTGTCTTTGTAGGAGGGAGGAGGTGTGATCACGAAAGCAGAGCTTGGAGTGAGGTGGCCACAAGCCCAGGAACAGGAGCAGCCACCAAGCACCGGAAGAGGCAAGAAGGAAATTCTCCCTGGATCCTGCAGAAGGAACCAGCCCTCTGACACCTTGACCTCATGAACCTGAGTTTGGGCTCTGGCCTGCAGAATTGTAAGGGAATAAATTGTTGTTGCTTTAAGCCGCTAAATTTGTGGTCATTTGTTACAGCCATAGGGAATGAATCCAGGTGTATTATATAACAATTGACTCTCCCTGAAATGCAGTGTTTGCTTTTGTAGAGGGGAGTCCTTGGTTTTGGGAATTAATATGCACTTTGTGGAGTATTCGGTAGAGTGAAGGGCAGAGTTGTGAAAGGGGCATTTTGCACCCACTTCTAGCTGGCCCTGCCTCAGTTTACTAGTGTACCATTGGCCCCCTGGCGATGAAGAACTATACCAAAAGTATATTAGTATTAGCTGTTCGAATTAGCACTAGTTTTCAAAATGTCCTAGTTGATTACTTTTCTCTACCAAAATTTGGCAAACCAACCTAGCTGATCATCAGAATGACAGGGGAAGCTTTTCTTAAAAAAAAAAAAAAAAAAAAAGCTGACTCTGGAGTCATCCCTAGAGATACAGATTAAGGAGGTTTGAGATGGAACCTGCATATTTGCATTTTAAAACGTTTCTGTGGGAGTTCTCATGGTTCGCCAGCTTGGGGAAACAGTTTCCCCAGTAGTTTAAGAAACCCAGTGTCCCAGTAGTTTAAGAGACTATTTACTTTCTAGCCCTCAGGAAATGTTTATTAAGCAGAGTCTGCCTCCAGGGACTTGACTTCCTCCAGAGATAGAATTTCATGATCAATTCCAGAGCCCAGTAATAATTGTGGCAAGGAAATCCTTCACCACACTCAACTCAAACTCCTTATTCTGCAGGGTAAGTTGGACACATCCATGCAAAACATTCATTGGGTATCTGTAATGTGCCAGGCACTGGGCGTATACAAGTGAACTAAACAGGTAAAAATACCTGCCCTTCCAATCTAGACTTGATTATCCCCTTCTGTCACCCATGCTTTTCTTCCTGGGTCATCCTCCAGTCCATCCCTGACGCAATCCACTTACTAGCCTCATGGCTCTTCTTTACATTCACCTCCAAGTTCTCTTTATTCCTAGATGGTCAGGGATCTGTGAGAATCCCATGCTGATCACAGGTCACTCACTGACATCACTGGGCACTAAGCTGAGTGATGGGGACATGGAGGTCCCCTCACAGTCTCAAGGAAGGACATGCGCTGATTGTGTCCACAATGACGGAGCTATGTGCCAAGGCTAAGGGGAGTGCAGAGAAGGGGGCCAGGGGTCTTCTCAAAAGAGAAGAGGAAGAGGAGAAATGGGAAGCACCCTGAAGGATGGGTGGGCACCTGCCTGGTGCAGGAGGTGGGGAGAATATTTCAGCATGTGAAGAGGCAAGGAGGCAAAAGAGGAGCGTGGATGTCCTTGGGATCTCAGTCCGCATTATTCAAACAGCCACAGTAATGACCTAAGCGCCTGTAAAATCCTCACTCAAAGATCCCCTGGTTTCAGGAGGCCTATTCTTGCCTCTGACAGTCCCCTCCTGCCTCGCTGCTCCCAAATCATTTCTGGACCAGCAGAATTCCCTCCCAGACCTCAGGAAAATGCCAATCTGCCAAAATGCCAGTCTACTTTCCCAGATCAGTAAACTTTGCCATGCGACTCTAGGTATCCCCCTTTTGTGAGCAGAGGAAGCAGCCCACATGTACTGTGTGATTGATGTGGACAAGTCCCACCCGTGAGCTGGTGAAACTCCATCAAGAAGACCTCAGGTTAGAGCTGATGTCCATGACAACAACACCCATTTGTGGCTGTGAAATACTTTGCTGTCCCCTTGTGAATGAGTGGTAAACTCCAATACTGTTGCATCAGGCATTCACAAAGGATCTGTGGCTGCTCCTCATCCTCCTCCATGGCATACTCTTGCCCACGGAAACATCTGTCTCCACCACTTTTCATTTATGGTTTTAGTTTTTCTCTCCCAACCCATTTCTTTGTTTAGTCCCCAATAAACCTTCTTTTATAGATTTCTATTTGTTTCTTCCAAGGAATTAGAAGGCTTAATGTCAATTTCAATCTCCAAAGCTGGTAGCAATTGAGAAAGTGCTTTCTTCAGATCAATACTTCCTCCTGACTTTGACATTGAGCTATTAATAATTACTTGATATATGCTGTCACCAGGAAAAACATAAGAGCCAATAGAACCACAATACGTGGATATAAAATGAGCTGGTTTTCCCTGAGAGAGATCTTTATGGAGAGGCTTAAGTGCTTAAAAGAGACAGAAAGGTACCCTAGTTCACTTCACTCCTGTTATCCACTAAGCTCATTATCACATCGCCAGAAGTGAGGTCCATTTGTTAAGATGCACTTCAGTGACTTTTCTGCCAACCATGTATCAGCACGTCTCCCTCTCCAAGATTTCAAACTGATGACTCCTCTGCCCATTTCAGCAGCTTGCTCAGCATTGTAAATTATTTACAGCTGCTAATTGACTTGTTGGGATCCCTTATGAGTCGACTGAAGACATCTTAAGTGGGTTCCACTCCAAACATGAAATCCAGTCACCCTCCAGGGGCTGCCCCCACACCCCTGTGGCTACCCCTTCCTCCTCCGCCTCTCCAGAATCCATGTCCTCACTTGGGTACCCCAGCAGAGCAGAGGATGACAGTGGCCTGAGCGCCCTGCCTTCTCAGCCCCAGCCCTTCATTCTCTATGCCACGTGAAGTTGAATAAGATTTTCTTGAAGGGTTTAGAACAACCAAAGGGAAACAAGTGGTTGAATAGGAAGATTTTCAACTGTGTAGTGTAGGATGGCCTCCATAGTCCAAGGGGAATGTGATGGTTAATATTAAATGTCAACTTAATTGGTTTGAAGGATGCAAAGTATTGTTCCTGGGTGTGTCTGTGAGGGTGTTGCCAAAGGAGATTAACATTTGAGTCAGTGGATTGGGAGAGGCAGACTCATCCTCAATCTGGGTGGGCACCATCTAATCAGCTGCCATCATGGCTAAAATAAAGCAGGCAGGAGAAGACGGAAAGAGCAGATTTTCTGAGTCTTCCCATCTTCATTTTTCTCCCATGCTGAATGCTTCCTGCCCTCAAACATCAGACTCCAAGTTCTTCAGCTTTTGGACTCTCAGACTTACATTGGTGGTTTGCCAGGGGCTCTTGGGCCTTTGGCCAGAGACTGAAGACTGCACTGTCTGCTTCCCTACTTTTGAGGTTTTAGGACTTGGACTGGCTTCCCTGCTGCTCAGCTTGCAGATGGCCTATTGTGGAATTTCACCTTGTAATCATGCGAGTCAATTCTCTTTAATAAATTCCCTTTTATATATACATCTATCCTATTAGTTCTGTCCCTCTAGAAAACCCTGAGTAATACAGAGAACAACACAAAACAGGCCAAGACCTAAGCAGGCTTAACCCCTTCTCTTACCCAGAAAGTTGCCCCAGAGACAACGCGGTTCCCACTAGCAGTACCTTCCCCTGCTGGGATTTCCCGTTTAGGATGTGCCTCTTGGTGCTAGAAGAACAGTCTGGGTTGGTGTGGGCTCTTGCCAGCAGCCACCCACATCTCCTCACCCATGTGTCTCTTTCTCCCAAACCTCACTCTGGTGCCAACTGGTGAAACACACACATTCCCAAATTCAACGTCATGAGAAGCAACAGGAAGAATACAAACGTCCTCCTAAGAACCCAATTTGCAAGATCTTGAATGCTGACATAGGAGCTGGTACATTACTCATCTTGGGCAGACTTTATTTTTGTCACCACAACTTTCTCTGCTATGATTTGAATGGGTCCCCCAAAGTTCATGTGTTGGAAACTTAAACCCAACGCAACAGTGTGAAGAGGCAGGGCGTTTTAGCAGTGCTTATGTCATGAAGGCAAAGCCCATTACTGCTGTTATCATGGGAGTGGGTTCTTGGTAAAGGGACGTGTTCAGCCCCCTTCCCTTCTCTCTCAAACACACTCTTTGCATTTCTGTCATGGAATGTCTCAGCAAGAAGGCCCTCGCCAGATGCCAGCATCTAGATAGTGGACTTCCCAGCCTCTAGAACTATGAGAAATAAATTTCTTTTCAGTATAAATGACCCAGCCAGTGGTATTCTGTTATAGCAGCATGAAAAGGACTAGGATGGTCCCCAAACCCTTTCAGATTATGTTTCCTTGGGCCTGTTAGAGGTAAAAAATGGGATTGTTTCAGAGATACCTGCCTGCTTCTCTAGCTTCACAAAGACCCAGGTACAACTTTAAAAAGAACTGCTTACAAAAGCCTGGAAAACACAGGCCATCCTCTTCACCTGGGAGAAAAGGGAAAGGAGGGGAGAAATTGAGGGTGAAATGTGATTTTCCTTTCACTTATACACGGCGGGGAGGGGGGTGCGTTTTAAAAGGAAACTTTCATGAAGGGGAGAGGGGTCGGGGTGGCTTTCTCCAGCCCCTCATTCTGTCACCCGCCAGGAACACTGAGTGTTCTGTAAGCTTTGCAGCAGGTTGGCTCCACCAGTGCACTTACGAAGACTTGGCACCCCAACTGTGAAAGGTTTCCAATTTTTGTACTAATTCATGTCATTTATACTTTCAGCATCATTGTAGATATTACTTCTCAAAAATGGTACCATCTCACTCAATATTTTCTTTTCAAAATAAGAGAGCTTCTGTGGAATCTCCTTTTAGGTATATACTACCATAAGATGGCTAGACAATAGATAGATAGATAGATAGATAGATAGATAGATAGATAGATAGATAGATAGATAGATATGGATGGATGATGGATGGATGGATGGATGGATGGATGGATGGATGGATGGATGGATAGGTGGATAGCTAAGATAACAGCTTCTCTCTCTAAAGCTAACACATTCCAGCTATTTCCTTAGAGCAAGTACCTAAACCTTCTGACTACTCATTAGTTGAAAATGGGCCCCCTGTTTTAATCTTCAGACTCAGCTGTTCAATCAAGCTGGGGAGGAGATGACTGTATGGACAACTTCATCAGGAATCTCAGGCATATATGTTCCAAGGAAAATTCACATTAGAATTTATTATGAGCCCATATGGACCCCTGGAAGCAGCAGCAGGAACAGCTGTCTTCTGAGGTCCTTGCCAATGGGCCCGAAAATCAGTTGCACCATTGACCTCAAGTAGAAATTTCCTCAGCCACCCTGCCGTGAACTTTCCAAGTTGCCATATGGTGCTTCCTGCTCTCCCATGAGCCCCTCCCATATGGTCCCCCTGTGGGGAGGTTACAGTCCCAGGAAGATTTGGAGAACAGAGTCCAAGGATGGATCCAAGAACAAAAGGTATGGCCAAGCTGCAGATGTGTGTACATACATTTCCAACAGGTTCCTCCACACAGCTCATGCTGGACCTAAAAGGATGTGTTTAGTCATCCCTCTCCTCGGTCCAGAAAGGATTTAAGATAGATGGCTATGTTACAGCCGTTGTTCGTGATTTAGGGGTAAATATATTTTCTCAATTATCCTCAAGAAGAAAAATAAAAAATCAAACCAAAGCAAAACAAAGTATCAAAGACTCGAAAGAGATTTTAGCAAATTACTATCACAAATTTTACAAACCTGCTTTCTTTGCCTGACACATCTCAGTTTTTTTCCTATCCGTATCTGTAGAGTCTCAGAAAAAGGCTGCAGGGATCCAACGTCCTTCGTCAATTACACTGCGACATATGCTGCAACAGCAACCACAGACTTACCCCATTTTTGTAGAGAGAGAAAGAGATTTTGAAGACATATCATTTGTCTCTACTTATATTTAGGTACACAGCCTACTTATCCTTGTTACCTGCTTTTCTTCCGCTCAAAAAAATGAAATAAAATAGGAATTAATTACATCCAAAAAGGTGCAAAACAAAGAAAAAGCAATATCAGAAGTCAAGTCAAATTCTATCCAGACAACATGTGAGTAAATAGTGCCTTGAATTTTAAAACATTTTGAGAATGAGCAGTAGATTCAAATAATGGAATTTTCTTTTCAACTATGAGCATAGCATATCGTAGAAACTGGGTTTATTCAGGGTTATAGTCACGAATACAAGTTCTATGTTCCTGACAACATGAAATCAAGCCTCTTACATGCACACAAATGTGAACGTGCCTCTGATGTTACTCCAAGATAGGTAGTGCATATTTTGGATGTAAGAGCAGAGTTGCTTCGCTTCCCAACTCACAGAACAGTTCTGTACTAAGGATATGAGCAAAAAATAAACTTGATTTTTATAGACGTGTTTTTTTCCAAGGCCTTGGCCCATAATCTTATTAAATTTAACAGTTCAAAATAAGTTTCCCTGGGAAACTTCAAAAACTGACTCATATCTTTGAAAACACTGACTTTTAAAATGTTTATTATCAAAAAAAGTCAGAAATTTCCAATACGGAAGATTACGACTTAAGAAGTAAACATTCACCCTTTATTCCCTCTCAGAAACAATTGAATTGTAGTTTTGTGTATGTACCCTTTCAGGGTTTAAAATTTATAGAGATAGATATTTGTATAGCTACACACGCACCGACAGATGTACTGTTTTTTCTTTAACGAAAATGGAACTGGGATTTACCAACTGTTCTGCAGCTTGCTTTTTCCATGTAATGATCTATCCCGGACGTCTTTCAATTCCCATGTCCCCTTTCTCTTGGGAGGTCCCACTTTCCCACCCCTGGTGTGGCTGGGACAACAGCCCCTTGCTTACCCACCCCCTGTTGAGGGACAGTTAACAAGGGGTGGGTAGGCTGCTGATTGCTGTCGATTTTTAGTAATTGTGAGATCCAGCACTGAGTCTGCTGTGCGTGCGGCTTTCCTGACTTGGGCAAGTGTGTCTCTGGAATGGTGCTGAGTCCCTCAGTAAGGGACAGGATGAGCGTGGCACAACCCTGTGGACAAGGAGAGCCTTGCTGGCCTCAGGAGGTGGCTTCCAGCCTCAGATTCACAGTCACTGGGAGTGGGCCTCGAAGCTCCAGAAAAATGTTTCCAACTTTTTATTTTAAAACAGACAGATCGCTTTTCAAATAAAAGCTGACTTGGGCCACATGTATCTAAGAACATTAGGAAAAATGTTCTGGCTGAAATAGGATGAGGGGGCTCAGGGACAGGCCTTAGTTTCCCCTTTTTTCCCCATGCGTGCTCAAACTCCTTGCACTCCAAGAAGTAAAGTTTAAAGCACCAGAGTGAGAACCAGCAGGAGACAACGACCTGTGAGACCGGGGGTAGAGCAAGGACCCTGTAAACAGGGCAGGGCAAACCGCAAATCACATCCTCCTGAGCCCTGCGGGCACACGGGGAGCCCCTTCTACAGGACAAACTTGGGCTTCAAATGGGAAAGAAGTCTGCAGAGCACAGACAGTACAGGGTGCAAGCAGCAGCGTGCGGAGGAGCAGTGTGAAAACTGTGCAGCCATCCTGAAATTATGAAAATTGTCACGATACCCCTCATATTGTGTGCCTCTGCCCCGTTCCACCGTGTGCAGGCCTAGAAATCACCCGTGGGCAAGTCAGTTTCCCATCAGGAAGTCAGTCAGTTTCCCGTCAGGAAGTCAGTCAGTTTCCCATCAGGAAGTCAGTTTCCCGTCAGGAAGTCAGTCAGTTTCCCGTCAGGAAGTCAGTCAGTTTCCCATCAGGAAGTCAGTCTCCCATCAGGAAGTCAGTCAGTTTCCCATCAGGAAGTCAGTTTCCCATCAGGAAGTCAGTCAGTTTCCCGTCAGGAAGTCAGTCAGTTTCCCGTCAGGAAGTCAGTTTCCCATCAGGAAGTCAGTCAGTTTCCCATCAGGAAGTCAGTTTCCTGTCAGGAAGTCAGTTTCCCATCAGGAAGTCAGTTTCCCATCAGGGAGGGAACATTTTGATGACTGTTTTGAGCCTAGCAAGTCACCTTCCTGAGTTTCACAGATCTCAGGAGGAGACATTTGCAGCAGGTTCCTCATCTCAGTCAATAGCCACTGTGTTTATTGCACAGCTCCTCCAGGCCAGGCCTTGTGCCTGGTGGGAGAATATAAAAAGAAGCAAACAGACGTGGCTCCAGCCCTGGCGGGGCTTCTTACATAAGTGGTGACCGACTGTGCGGTGCTATGGAGGCAGCGTCAGGAGCTGAGGCCACCCTGGAGAGAGGGGCTAAGCCTGCAGCATGGGATAACTTCCCTGGGGAAGAGCCCAGGGAGGGGATGAAGAAGGTGGGTGGGGTGCAGGGTAGAAAGTGTAACATGGAGAGGGCTTGTCTCGGTCCAGTCCTGGGGCAATGGGAAAGTCACTGCTGAGGACTCACACTGTCCTCCGCTGACCACTTTTGATGTCTCTAGCCCTCCTCCCCGGGAATACCCCTCGGTTTACTCAATATCTCTGCTTCAGTGGTGGACAGACACCCACATTTGCCTTGCTGAAAACTCAGCGGGCTCCTGGTCTCCCCAGCGACACCAAGTCTCAATGAAGAACAACTGCATCTTCTCGCTCCAGTGGCCACAAAACATGGGGTGCTGCCGGGGTCCTTTCTCAGCCCACGCCTGGTCTGTCGGCAGATTCCATGCAGAGGCCGCCACTCCCCGACGGGGCCTCGCTGGGCCCAGCCATGCCCTGAGCTCCCACCAAAGCCTTCACCCTGGTCTTCCTGTTTTGCCTCCCCCAGGCCTGTTCTCGACACAGTCTCCAAACCCCCTCTCCACTTCCCACCCTCAGAATCAGAGCCCAGCCTGTGGGATGACCTCCCCTGACCTCTTCATCAACCTCTGCTCATCTCTGGCCTCCAGAGAGCTCCTCTGCCACACCGCTCCCACCTCCACGGTCCAGCCTCACAGCCTTTGCCAGGCTCTGTCCCTACCCAGACGCTCTCCTCCCCGGACAATATCCCTACGTGGCCACCTGGCTCTGCTTCCACCCAGAGTGCTCACCATGTTTTAGCTTAAGGTAAACATAACTTGCTGTTTGCTGTATTTGTTATTTGTTATTTATTATCTGCCTTCAGCACACCCATCCCCATGCATCGGAATATCAGCTCTTTGAGGACATGGATTTTTGGCCTGTTTTGTTCATTGATCTGTCCCCAGGGTGCCGGGCACATTGTAGGTGTTCAATAAAAATGTGTGGAAGGAATGAATCAGGTTTGAAGGAGGGAAGGCTGTGAACAGAGCCTTGGACTTCTCCACCTAAGAGCGGGTTTGTGGAGGCTGCTGACGAGGCTGCCACATTGATCCAGGTACCAGAGGAGAGTGGGGCTGGGCCAGGGTAGGTGGAGGTGAATGGATGGAGTGAACTGGAAAGCACTGATGGGCTTGTGGGGGAACTGGGGATGGGGGAAGAGATGGTGTTGATGGACCCCCATTTCAGGATGGGGCACAGGGGTCTGAAAGCCCTGAGGAGCCCCTGGTCTGGGGAGCTGACACATTCCATTTTGGAGAACTGAGTTTGTGAAGCCTGTTAAGAACCAAACAAGAAGGAAGATTGATTCTTATGGAACTGGGGAGTGTGGATTGGGAAATAAAATTGTATTTGGCTTCACCTTGAACATGGAATAGGACTGCAGGGGCAGTGATGGGGAGAGAGCCCGGGGGTCTGTGGGTACCACTCGGATGGGCAGTGTCCACGCACCGTCAGCTTGGCGAGTGCTCACAGACAAAGGGAAACAGATGACAACAATGTGTCATGAACTATACAATGATCTCAGATGCTAATGTTATTAGTTTCCCACCCAAATTCTGTAAAGGGCTGATTATTCTGGAACGCGTGACTGCGCTGTTGCTTTGGTGCTAGGTAAAACTCATAGTTTCCTATTTTTGGTGACTCTCCACCAGTAGCAATTTTGAAAAGTAGGTTTCCTTTGTTTTCCCACAGACAGAAAACCTTCAGTGACTTGGGCAGAGTGTCGCTTAAGTGAAATGGGTGCCAGTCCTGTTAGGAAGGGTAAACAGGTCTGTATCGTTCATGATGTGGGAAGGAGAGAGGCAGAATGAGGCGGCGGCCATTGATTCATGGAATCCCTGACGGTGCTAGAGCCATAGAGGCAAGCGGCAGTTCTGAACTAGATTCCTGGTGTGTGTGTGCACGTGTGAGCGGACATGGGAGCGAGGATGCGTGCATGAGTGTGATGGTGTGTGTGCACGTGTGAGCGCGCACGTGGGAGTGAGGATGCGTGCATGAGTGTGATGGTGTGTGTGCATGTGTTAGCATGCGCGTGGGAGCGAGGATGTGTGCATGATTATGATGGTGTCTGTGCGTGTGTGAGCATGCGTGTGAGAAGGAGGATGCGTGCATGAGTGTGATGGTGTGTGTGCATGTGTGGGCTTGCACGAGTGTGTGTGCATGTACAAATGTGCACGTGAGTGTGTGTGTGTGTTGGGATTGGGGGTGGCTTCTTAACCAGAAGCAGTCAAACACAGGCCGCGGGTTTTCTGCTGGTGTCAGCAGAGAGGAAAATGATGCCCCGCAGGCTGGAGTGAGCACTTGGAGCTCTAAACCCAGCAGGAGCAAAGAGTGGGGAACCAGAGGCAGTTGCTACAGAAGCTGGCAGGCTGTTGCACCTTAACAGAGATGCTCTTGGAAAAAATGATGCCCTGGTCCAGCCCAGGCCTTGTGGTCCCACCACTGATCATGAACAAGAAAGAAGACCTCCTTGGTCAGAGTCTGGGAGAGTCGGCCTGCTCTTGGTGCCCATGGACCCAACCAAGCCAGTGTGCACACTCTTTCCCTTAGCAAACTGGATTATAAATACCCCTCGGTGATCCAGATTACAGCACTTCTGAAGTTATGCTATTAAAGAAGCATTTAAGAATTTGGCTACTTTCCTTCCAAGAAACTGCATAAATTACATTATTATGAAAGGCAGAACATCAGGATTTTTTTTCCAGGCTATAAATTGTTCTTAGTAGAGATGTTGCTTTTCTTCTCTGGGATTTCTGAGCCTCCACAGTGAATTAAAGTTCATAGCTCTTACAACTCAGGTAAACTATTTTAAGTTTTCATAAATAGGTTTGCCTGTTTGCCCTTTTCACACTAGCTATGTTAGCTAAAGCCTCTTGTTCTAAATGTTTGTGACGTTGCTGGCTAATGAGTTCAAGGGCATTGATTTTTCTTTCAAAGACAGCATCTTCCCTAATTATACTTCCCTGGCATGCAGCATGGCTCCCACCTGCCTCAGACCCTCCACACAGAACCTGGGAGCTGTGACCCTCTCAGATCAGGGGCAGAGTCTCTATCAGGTAAGCCAAGGCCCCTCCCACAACTGTACCCTGGTCCATCTCATGTATTAAGGCCTTAGCCTACAGTCCTCCCTCCCTGAGCCTATCTGGGAACATCTTTCTAAACTCGCTTGGAGTGATGAAGCTTTGTTATCGCAGTGGGACAAACCGACCTCCTGCCCATCTCCTGTGGAGAAGGATGAGCGGCCAAGGTGGCCAAACAGGGAGGTGAGGGAGAGAGAAATGAACTTAGAGACTGCAGGCTGGCAGGGCCGCTTCTGCAGGGAAACCCTCCATCCTGCTGCCCAGCTTGCCCAGGGACAACTGGCTCTTGCCCACAGGGCAAATGACGTCTACAACAACCAAGCTGCTGCCTCCTCCACTCCAGAGGAACTGCAGGCTTTGCCCGTCTGCTAACCTCAGCTGCTCGAGGTCAAGCAGGAGCCAGGAGCTCTTGCATTGACTCAGTTCTCAGCTGCACAGCCAGAAGGTTCTCTGCAGTCCACAGCTCCACAGCAGAGCCCACCATTCTCAGGCAGGGAAGCTCGGTAAGTTCTTAGACAGGTGATACGCATCAGAATCACGTGTGGAATGTGATAGAAAGACATGTACCAGGCTCCCCACCCCTGAGGCTTTCTTTCCTGAGACAGGAGGTGGGGCCCAAACTCTGCTGGCTGAGGAGGCTCCTGTGTCAGCTGGAGCCCGTGTTTGGATTCCCCTGTGTGATGTGGCTTCCAGAGGGCTGGGGATGGGGCTGTCGCTGCAGCATTAGATCACTGAACAGAGTCTGTTCCAAGAAAGGAGTTCAAGGGTGCTGTGAGAAGGGGTTAGGAAGAGAAGCGGGAGAGACTACTTCCTACATCAAAGCCAACCTTGTGGTTTAAAATAGTCAGCACTCACCAGTTACTGATCTCTCTTGATATGTCCACTGTCCCATTAAACCCTCACAACAGCCCTGGTGAGATAAGGCAATTACAATTATTAATGTGCTTGCAGATGGGGAAACTAAGGCACCGGGAGGTTAAGTAACTTGCCCAGTATCAATAAACTGATAGACGACGCTGCTGAGAAAAGAATTTCAGATTTTCATCTCAGAGTTCATGTTTTAGCCACCAGATGTAGGAAATACAATGGATGCCAGTGACTTTAATTTTTTGATTTTTTTGAGACAGAGCCTCATTGTGTCACCCAGGCTGGAGTGCAGTCCCATGATCTCAGCTCACTGCAACCTCCACCTCCCAGATTCAAGTGATTCTTGTGCCTCAGCCTCCCGAGTAGCTGGGATTACAGGCGTGTCCCACCACACCCAGTTAATTTTTGTATCTTTGGTTGAGACAGGGTTTTGCCATGTTGGCCAGGCTGGTCTCGAACTCCCGACCTCAGTTGATCCGCCTGCCTCCCAAAGTGCTGGGATTACAGGCATGAGCCACCATGCCCAGCCTGCCAGTGACTTTAGAGGAGGAAAAGGTAAAGTCTGAGCCCAGAGTAACCCAAGGAAGAGGCAGGAGAAGCAGAGAAGGGTGGGTGAGCTTCTGGAGCACAGAGACTTCCAAAGACAGGAAGAAAGTGCTCTGCTTGTGAGCTCCTGGACTCCTGGCCATGTATGGCAGGTGCACTTGACAGTGATAACTTAAGCACACCCTCAGAATGGCCATGTATGCATGATTCCTTAGCTCCGTTCAGAGCCAAGGAATCTGGGAGTGGCCATCCTGGAGATTCATTCCTTATCTCAGAGGAACATCTGAGCCCCCAGCCCACATCACAGAATGCGAGCAGTACCAAGGATAGAGGCCCTTTGTTTTGGGTTAAATGAAGGTTGCCGGGTGGAGGTTGTTCCTGGGAGGGCGCTCAGTGAAGGTGCTATATAAACTGCATGCCTTTTGCAAGCGACTGCAGTTCTCCTGTCCAGCCCAGCACTGCTGGATCATTCTGTATAAAAGTTCCCCTCAATGAACTCTACGTCTTGTGTGCTGGCTCTGGGTCTTTTCTTCAGCCTCCCAAACCTGCTGATACATGAGTTAAGAAGAAGTTACTTAGGCAGATAGTGAGGGCAGGGAGTCCTCGGTAAGGCCTTTCTTTTTAATGACAAAGCAGCCCCAAATCATTTTCTAACAACGAGCAGCCTGTAAAGTCGAGCTGCAAACAGAGACAAGCAAGCTGGGAGTCTGTATGAGTGAATGCCGATGGGAGCAAGGGACTAGATATCTCCAGGGTAGCAACTCCATCTTCCCTTCTCTGCCAGCACGTGTACAGTAAAGAGCAGAAAAGATGGCCCCGATCCACTGGAAAGTCTATTTGCATAATAAGATTAGGGTGGGGTGACCAGCCTTCCCCACTCACTATGTAAATGTCGTACCTGATCCAACCAATCTGTGAGGCCTCTGTAAATCAGACACCCCCTTCTTAAACCAGACTATAAAATCCAGCACATTGGCCACCAGCTGGTCCTTTCCACTTGGAGACCCCTTTCTCTGTGGAGAGAGCTGTTTCTCTTTCTCTTCTGCCTATCAAACCTCTGCTCCTAAACTCCTCATGTGTGTCCGTGTTCTAAATTTTCCTGGCGCACAACAAGGAACCCCAGGAACATAGATCTCAGACAATGTAGCTGCTTCACTGCCATCCCTACTGCAGTTAATATGGGCCCAGCACCACAGGCCACGTCAGCTGCTCAGACGAGACACTCAAAGTGGAGCCCAGCAAACGCCTTTCTCTGCTCTTCAAAGTGTCCTGTAGGATTTCTTGAAAGGCTGAGCCTCAGCAACGTGCAAGAGTGAACTACGCCCCACTGGAAAAATACAAGGAGCAGAAGGAAGGCCAACCTTGGGAATCGAAAGCCCTCAGGGCAGGTTTCAGGATCCAAGAGTGGGGACAAATCGTTCCTGGGTATTCTCACTTCACAAAGCAAAAGCAGCTAGTCCAGCAGAGGGCGTGGCCCAGGAGCAGACAGGTCCCTTGGGTGCATTTTAGAAAACAAGCATGAAAGCCCTTCGACTTGGGGGTGAAAAACAGGCAGGCAGCCTTTTACCCTAAAGTGTACTCAACAGTGAAAAAAAAATGTTTCTTAGCAAAGGGTAGCCAGCTTCAGTCATCTGTTTCCTCACTGACAGTGGCAGTCAATAATTACACAGGCCATGCATTGGAAGAAAATATCTGCAGCATATATACTGGATTAATCATTTCTTGAAAAGACAGCCTAGTGAAAAATGAGCAAAGTATGTGCACACTTCACCAAAAAAGTACGCATGTAGCTAATACATGAGCACAGCCTCACCAGTGAGTGGAAATGTGAATTGATAAGATCTGTGTCTCCCCCTTCTATTAAATAGGCAGAAACAGAATCAACCAATAATATCCAGTTTTTGTAAGGATATGAGAAAAGCATGTGGGCAGGGGGGTAAATTGGTGTAGTCTTCCTCAAGAAAAATTTGTCAACACCTATCAAAGTGTGCTGGGGCCCGGCAACAGAAGCTAGCTGAGGATGTCAATGTCGCTGATAGCAGCGTCCAGCTGGATGCACTCTCTGGTCGCCTTTCATGCAGGGGTCCCCAACACCCGGCCATGGACGGGTACTGGTCTGTGCCCTATCAGGATCTGGGTTGCACAACAGGAGGTGAGCAGTGGATGAGTGAGTGAAGCTTCATCTGTATTTACCGCCCCTCCCCATGGCTCACATCACCACCTGAGCTCCGCCTCCTGTCAGAACAGCAGCAGCATTGGATTCTCACAGGACTGTGAACCCTACTGTGAACTGAACATGTGAGGGATCTAGGTTACATGCTCCTTATGAGAATCTAATGCCTGATGATCGGTCACTGTCTCCCATCACCCCCAGATGGGACCATCTAGTTGCAGGAACACAAGCTCAGGGTTCCCACTGATTCTACATGATGGTGAGTTGTGTAATTATTTCATTACGCATTACAATGTAATAATAATATAAATAAAGTACACAATAATCATCCCGAATCCACCCCCGCTACTCCATCTGTGGAAAAATTGTCTTCCATGAAACCAGTCTCTGATGCCAAAAGGGTTGGAGACCGCTGCTTTAAGTCAATAAGGAAAACCCGGATGAACCGTTTAGCCAAGACCAGCATCCACAGAGAGTGGCTCCAGGTGCAATGTCATGCAAAGCTAAAACCCACTGGGTCTTCTTGAGACAGTGCAGGTGTAGTGGGATTCAGACGCTGGTCCCCTACCTGGAGTCCTTCTCATTGGCATTTGTCCACTGCTACCGAGGAACACTCCTGTGCTTGTTTCTGCAGCAGACACTGTGCCAAGGGCTTGGTACTCATCATCTCCTTAAATCCTCACAATAGGCTGTGATCGAGGTGATTATGCCCATTTCAGAAGATAAGGAAGGGACTCTGAGAGGTAAGTTTTTAAATGAAAATCAATAATCAGCTCCATCAGCTTCAGCTGTAACACAGATAGCTTTTTTTTTTTTTAAGGTACAGAAGTAAAAGGGTGGTTTTAAGGAGGAGCAGCCCATGAATGTGAGCCGGGTGGGCGCATTTCTTTTTTCTGACTGAACCAATAGATGTTAGAGCCAGAGTGGCATTTGTTTGCCAACCACAGGGGCTAGCGTGGTGAATGCGAGAGTATCTTTATGCGGTCATTGGTTTTAGAAATCTCCAACCCAACTCCTCCACTTACTGCTGTTCAAAGAATAGCTTCCAAATCAAGATTTAAAAGAGTTATTCTTCCAGTAATTTAAGGTAATGTCCTGGATGTTCATCATAGGTACTCTGGAAGGGCTGAGCAGGCTGGGCCTTAGTATGGGGCAGGATGCATGGGAGGCTAAGCCTGGTGGACTTCTAGGAGGCAGCATGTCTCTGAACTGTTAGCTTTAATTTGTCTCATGTGAGATGAGAATTGAGAGGAGGGTTTAGCAATATTGGCAGTGTTTGTAAACGTTTGTGATGTTATGTGACATTGCCAGTTGACATTGGCCAACTGACTCATTGACCAGTCTAGGTATCCACGAACTTGTCTCCTGAGCCACCTACGATTTCTATACAACCCACGTGTATTAAGGTTTGTCAGCTGTAAGCCAATGGAGTATACAATTATGGAATTCTTTCTTTTCATCAAATGAAGTTTTAACTACAATTTGTCAAGGTAAACTGTGGCAATGGAATCCTGATGAAGGACTGGACATGAATAAAGCACCATTTGCTTTAATTTGGATACAACTTAAAGAGGAATAGCCTGAGCTTGATGAGTTTACTTTATAATCTTTTTCAGATCCCATCAACATGTCTCTGAGAGTGTTCTGTCTACTATGTGTTATTACAACAAAACATAGAAATCATTTAGGGAGACATTTTCCTCTACGAGTGCGGTTGTTGCTCAATTAGATCAGCCAGAAAAAAACCGATTTGTCATATTCAAAATACTAAATATTGATATACACAGTGTTAATTTATTATGTTATATAAAAGCATTGATTTGCAAGGTTTCAAAATTAAAAACAAAACTGAGCTTCACCACAATTTGAGAGCCACTGCTCTAATGGGAATTCCCAGGCAGGGATGGAAAAGGGTGTGTGTGTGTGTGTGTGTGTGTGTAACTGTGTAGCCAAACATAAAGGGAAGAGATAAAACAGCTCCCTTTCAGCAATAAAACCACAATTGTGTTGGATAATTATATATTGCACAGTCTCCATCGTAAACAAAAACAATTTGTTTCCATTTTGGTTGAAATGAAAACTAACTATTTCTCTTTTCCAGGCTGGCTTTGCTGCCTGGTCAGTGAGCTCAGGCCACTAATGAATGGCTGGCATCCCAGCGTCTACCCACAAAAGACCCACTCTGACCTCCCAGAGCGAAACCCCACTGTTTAAAGGGCACAGAGGGCAAAGCCCTGGTGGCTTCCCTCCTTCCCCCCCTCCATCTCACACCCGTCTTCCTGTAAACCTTTTTGCTTGTAGAGAACCTGCCTAGAAGGTGAGCATGGCCCAAAGTATGCCCCGACCACCACAGAAAGGCATTGCACCCAGCGCAGCTCTGGGGAAAATCGGAGCCTCCACCCAATAGCCCGAAGCCCGCCCTTTCCTTTGGAATCCACTAGTCCTAGGCCTGGCCGTTGAACTTTGGTTTTAATTTGCTCGTGCCACAGGGTGACTGACATGGGTTTTTTCCTTCTTGCTAGAATACAATTGCAAAGCGAGTCTTCATGTCCATGATGAGGAGGCCCTCTATGGAACTCTGTGTCATTTGGAAGATCCCCAGTGGTGATGGGTAAGAATAACAGCTGGCAGTGGGCCTTCCAACAGGTCTTTGGGGAAGGCAGAATTTAGAGCTGGGGGCCTCTGATCATGCTAGTCCCTCACACACCATTTCTCAGCGTGCCCTGAAGGGCAGAGTCAGTAAATGTGACCCCAAAGTCTGGAAGAAGGCATTCCCGTTTCTCTGGTTTAGAAAGGGGCTGCAGGCCAAGATAAGAGACCATTTGGAATGTGTCAGTTTGTGACTTTCACAACGTCCGATTAATTTGTCTTCTTTAATGTGTAAACTGCCAACATGACTTCCTGATTCTCTCATCTTTCTCGATTTCCCTTTTCATGGGATTTCTGAAAAGGGGTGACCCGTTGGTTTGTTGAGCACTCGTGGGTCACAGTTATGGGTAGAAACCAGGTCCCTTTAAGTGAAAGCTCACTGGCTTCACCTGGCCTGTCCCCCTGCCTGTATTTTGCTGGAAAAGCCTCCTTGGGATCACCACTGATGAGCGTATCATGCCACCATAGGATTTGATGCCTATCACTTGGTCTTCAATCCATCAAAAGAAAGGTGCTGGTCTCTGGTCCTGCCTGGAGTCAATGCAGACCTCAGCATTTGCTCTACTTTAAATTTTCTCTGAAGGTGAAGACAATGCTGCATCAAGCCAACCTACAAGTCCCTGCCCAGGGGAAGGTGTATTGCAATACGAGGCGCCCTAAAACCCATCCATAACCTTGGTGGATTCCACAAAATGAAAAATACTATAAGCTGCCGTTACACACGCTCTCCAATGCAAATTCCCTTCCCTAAAGATGCAGCTTATTTTCTTTTTATTGTATTTAATTCCGAAAGAATGGTCACACTTCTTTGCTAGGTAGGCAAGATGTTCCGGAGGACACACTAGAGAAAGCACCACTCCCCACCCTAACCCACATCCCCAACACACTCACCTGCCCACACTCACACAATCACATACACATGCCCACACTTATATACACATGCTGACACCCGTGCACTCATGTGCACACACTCATTCACACTCATACATATTCACACTCAGGCATACTCATACTCCTCATGAGCACACCACACTCACCTGTGCACACTCACCTGTGCACACTCACACACATGCAGACACTCATGGGCACACTCACACATGCTCACATGCTCATTTGCACCCAGACACAGGCATACACATCATTTGTATGCACACACGCACACTTTTTAACGTGGTAACGATTTACAGGAAAGAACAGCTGGAACTCGTGCTGGGATAACCAGGTACAAGTGCTCTCTGCAGAGAATAAGTGCACACAGGTTGGTGTCTTCTGACCGAGAGCCCTCCTGAAGGGAGGTCTGTACCTCCTCCCTCATCTCATTTTACACAAGGCGACAGGTCAGAGGCCAGGGTGGGACGAGAGCGAGGGAGCACTGTCTCTGGCAGCAGCACTTGCCACTCCACAATGTGGAGACCAGAACGGCACCCCAGAGAGCACAGGGGAAATGGCTCATCTTTAAAACAATGGCAGAAGAAATCCAGCCAAGGTCACTTTTCCTGTGTGAGCATGTTTAAGGCCAGAGAGTGGCTACTTCTCTGCCTCCTGCAGCTCCCTCAGTGTGGCTTGGAGGAGTTGGCGAAGCTTCCAGAACACGCTGGAGGCTGCTCTCCGGGTGTTCCCACTGGGGACCCCAGGGTCTGCACATTCCTGCACCGCCTCCTGTAACTGCAGCTGAAGCTGGAAAGAGACCGCAGAGCTCTTGAGAGGCGCGGAAAACCAATGGCGAAATATTTTGTCACAGATGACCTGAGGGAAAGAAGGGTGGACAGTTAATTTAGGGCAGCAAATCCTCCTAAAAGCTTCCCAAGCCCAGGATTGGTTCTGAAACAGATTTCAGCTTCTCTCCCACCCCCACCCCCGTCCTTCAGGGAGCACACTCCAGAGACCATCCGATTTGGAAACATGCCTTCACTTCTGCCCCTTAAACCCTTCAGCACCATGAACAAAAGACGCCTCCGAGAGGAGAAGCCAACATCTGTGTGAGGCAGAAACTTCCCTTTCCAGCCCCCTAGCAGATGGACAAAGTTCTGGGTGACACTGTAAAAGGACTGGACACATTTCTAGGGAGGAAGGGAAGCAGAAGTCACAGACAGTCACTGCTGCAGAAGGAGTTGGTCCTTTGCAGGCCTGAGGGAGGCCGGCTTTGCTGTTACCACCTGGAGATGAGGTTTCTTATCCACAAGCTGGTCCTAGTGACAACAATGACCATCTGACCGGGCTGTCCAGAGGGCCAAATGGTGCGTGAGGGAGAAGTGTGTGAACTTGTATGGCTGCCTGTATAGCACTTTAAGGCTCATGAAACAAAGGCATATTTGACAGAAAAGACTGCAGGCATAAGGCTCTTTGAAGGCTCTGTGAAATGTGTTATTCTAGGAGCAGAGGTAAAAATTAGACACTCTCTTTAATTCTAATCGGGTATGAAATTCAGTGATGCTGAGGATCACTAGAAATTTCTCCCTGTAAACATGTTGTTTGTTTTATAGCTCCTACAGCTTCCCCCACGCTGGGAGAAATGACCTGCGAGCTGCGTGATGCATCATGCTTTATTTCTCTACATCACACTTTATATCAGACTCAATTAACAAATGCCTCCATTGTAAAGAGCTACTGCTTCATAGAGGACAAAAACCTTCAACTTCCATTTCACAATCCCTGCAAAAGCAAGGATTCTTTTCAAAACCTAATTATGGTTTTTTTAAAATAGAGAATACATTTTCATGTGCAAAATTTAAAATGTTCTTAAGGCTAGACCGTGATCTCAGGCTCCACCTCACCCCGATGCTCAGCTCCCGCTCTGAGAATGAGACATTCTTTGACATACACACTTCCTTTTCCTTTCATTTTACACACAGGTAATATATTGTACACACTGTTCTCAAATTTCCACCCCCATTTATATGAGGGAGATCCCTCCAAATTGATTTCTTTTTCTTTTTGAGACAAGGTCTCACTCTGTGACCCAGGCTGGAGTGCAGTGGTGCCATCTTGGCTCACTGCAACTTTGACTTCCTTGGTTCAAGCGATCCTCCTGCCTCAGCCTCCTGAGTAGCTGGGACTACAAGGGCATAGCACCATGCCTGGCTAGTTTTTGTATATTTTGTAGAGACAGGGTTTTGCCATGTTGCCAACACTGTTCTTGAACTCCAGGGCTCAAGCGATTCACCTGCCTTGGCCTCCCAAAGTGCTGGGACTACAGGCATGAGCCACCACGCCCAGCCATCCCTCCAAATCAGTTCTTATGAGGATATCCCATGTGATTTAATGGCTACTTCTAAAATGTGTGCGTGTGTCGTAAGTTATTTAACCAGTTCCCTATTGATGGACTTGAGGTTGCATAATAACTTTTGCATTATGAATAATACTGCAATAAATGTCTTGCAGATATATGCTATTGCATTTTGTGCATGTGACTACATTTCTAGAAATAGGATTTCTGGGTCAAAGGGCACGTGCATTTTTTGTTTTGATAGATGTGTTAAATTGACTCCATAAAATTTCTACTCATTTACACTCCCCGGCAATGTATCCAAGACTGCTCGTCCTCCCTTAGCCTCTCCAACGCAAACGCCACAGATTCATTTTGCCAACAGGTGGGTGAAAATGGTTTAATTTGCATCTTTCTTAGTTTGAGAGTTATTTGTGCTTCCTTTTCAATGAATGGTCAAGTTTATATTTTTGGCCTTTGTTGTGTTCATTTGTAGATACTCTTTATATCTTAAGGATATTGCCCTTGCTTTAGGTTGGTTCCCCAGGAAGTAGACTCCAAGACGGAGGTTTGCATGCAGGGATTCTTTGAGGCCTGTCCTTGAGAACCACACTCCATGGAACTGAGGAAGAAGTAAATGTGTGGGGCTGGGGTGTCTCTATGGAGTTGTCCCTTAGTGAGGCATAGGGGGGCTTGGTGTTGGGCCCACCCTCTTTAACCAATCACTAGATGCTGCCCCTGGAAAGTGGGTCTCCCCTTGGCGAAGCCAGTCCTGGGGAGAATGAGCCCCAGCAGCAGGGAATAAGGCCCCTTCCACCCTCTACATTCCTGGTCTATAAGAAGAACTACAAATGTTTTGCAAATTTTCTCATTTAACTTTTAAATTTGCTCCTTTTTTTTGTAATTTTATTTATGCCAACATGGGTTTTTGTTTTTTGTTTTTTTTTTTCTGAAAGATAATTAAATTTGTCAACTGTTTCTCTTAGGCTTTGTTCATACTTACAAAGGCCTTCTCTACACTAGAATAATATTTGAAACTCTCCCAGCTTTTTCTGGTACCTTAAAGATTTCATCTTTTTGTGTGTAAGTATCTGAGCCATCTGGAATCTAGTCTGAGGTTAGGAGGAGGGAGCTACCATGGTGTTTGTCATGCCTGGCCAGCCAGTTTACCAGCACCGTTCACTATGCAACCCAGCTCTCCCTGCCTTGGTCTACAAGGCCCCCTTTATCAGGGCTAAATACCCGTATTTCATTAGTCTATCTCTGAGACAGTTTTTATTCCATTTCATTGATTTGTAAATTTATATAGAGCAAGAATTTTGGGGGTAATTTGGGTTCAAAATGCAGAAAATTAAGGCTGGGTGTGGTAGCTCAAGCCTGTAATCCCAGAATTTTGGGAGGCCAAGATGGGAGGATCACTTGAGACCAGAAGTTTGAGACCAGCCTGGACAACATAGTGAGACCATGTCTCTGCAAAAAATAAATTAAAAAATTAGCTACATGTGGTGGCACACACCTGTAGTCCCATTTATTTGGGAGGCTGAGGTGAGAGGATCACTTGAGCCCAGGAGTTCGAGGCTGTAGTGAGCTATGATTGTGCCACTGCACTTTGGCCTGGGTGATGAAGCGAACCCTGTCTCTAAAATAAAATAAAACAGAAATAAAAAGTAAAAAAGTAAGAAAATATAAAATAGATAAAGAAAATTGTAATCCTACCTTCCATAAATACTTGCTTTTGACATTTTGGTATATAAGGGATCGTATACTTTTTTTTTTTTTTTTTTGAGACGGAGTCTCGCTCTGTTGCCCAGGCTGGAGTGCAGTGATGCAATCTCGGCTCACTGCAAGCTCCGCCTCCCGGGTTCACGCCATTCTCCTGCCTCAGCCTCCCGAGTAGCTGGGACTGCAGGCGCCCGCCACCTCGCCCGGCTAATTTTTTGTATATTTAACAGAGACGGGGTTTCACCGTGTTAGCCAGGATGGTCTCGATCTCCTGACCTTGTGATCCACCCACCTCGGCCTCCCAAAGTGCTAGGATTATGGGATCGTATTGTAAATATTAATTTGTAACCTGCATTTTTTTCACCTAATAATGCTTCATATTTTCTCATATCCTTAAAGAAAATGTAATTTCATTTCTAGGACTGTATTCAAAGTCAATAACCAGATATGTGCACAAATAAAATTGCTCAGCTAAAGAGCATGGCTATGTCTAACAGCCACATCCCCTCAAGAGAGAAGTAATTCATTACAATCACGTTAACAATATAGACACTTTTCTATTTCCCTGAAGCCTCAACTGTTAATTAATAGCATTTAAAGAACTATTCCCAATTGGTAAGTGAAATTTACTATCATTGGATTTTAATCTGAATGTCTTTGAATGGTAAGATAAAATACTTTTCCAAGTTGTTTGGCCATTTGGATTTCATTGGTTGTGTATTCGGTGTCTGTTCTCCTGCCAATTTTCTGTGTGTTCCTCTTGCCCCTTAATGAATCGGTAAGAGCCCTTTCTACAGAAAGGGTATAAACTCAGCCTCTCGTTACATTGCAAAGAGCAGGCGTTTGTGTTCCCATTTTGAGGGTTGGGATCGCAAGGCGGTGGATGCTCAGGTGAAAGTTATCTTCTTCCCACAGCTCAAGAAGAATGATTTCATGACGAACCCCATCAAGGGTGTGAGTCCACATTAAAGAGGCTGGGATGGAGACGCCTCTGAAAGCCACTACATTCCTAGGCTTCCTGAAAGGGGAATTACTCAGTGATTCTTTGGCCCAGAAGGTCTGTGTAGACCCTGGGGTGGCAGAGTCGGGGTGTTTGTTTGGCCTGGCTGGGACCACTAGGTTAACAGCGGACCTGTCCCAGCCTTCCCAAATCATCCCCCATCACAGCTGATGCAGCACCATGCTGGGCTCCCCTCTCCTGCTCCCACCTTACCTGCGTTTTGGGTCTGCAGTGGGCTCACATTGGCCTTTCAGGTTTAAGGAATGAGGAGGACAAGCTACAGTGGAGGGCCCACTAGGGGAGCGGGTTGGATAGTGTGGGTCCAGAGCCTCTGTAAGCCATCGCATGCAACCAGGCCATGGGGAAGGTCTGCCTAGACACTGTGGGGCCTCCTCCGGGTATGATCAGCACCTGTGGGCCCAGATGCATCCTCCCTCACCTGAGAGCCTCAAGTGAGGGCAGAAGGAGACAGCTTCTGCCAAAAGAAGAGAGATGATCCAACCCCAGATGGGGGACCTGAGACCCGCCAGCTCTGAATGCCTGAACCCTGTATGTATTCCACTTGTAGCTGATCTCCTGGACTTGGCTCCTTTCTTCCTGTCTAAACCACCTCCTGGTCCTGACCTCTGGCCTGTCTGGATGGTGGTTTCTGTCTAACCTCTAGTTAGGCCAGTGTCTCAGGACTGCTTTGCACCCTTCTCAGTATTATCTTTGATGGATTAGTCTCAGGATTCTCATAGTGTATGTGCCCATGTTTATGAGAGGTTGTAGATACGTGGGGTGGAGCCTGGGCAAGAGGAAGCCCAGCAGCCAGCTCTGCAGGGAACTCCCTCATCAGATGCCCCTGGTCGCCTGACCAACAACCCTGGGGGCAGGCAACCAAGAGCACGATTGTCCCATCCCCACCGTCCTGCCTTTATTGACCACATCGATCCAGATGGATGGCCTGAAAAGGTCGACCTTGAGCTCCACTGAGGGTATCTGAAGAGCTAGCGGGCAGAAACAGCCAAAGAGCACCCTCTCCTCCCCCAGCCCTGGCGGACTCTCATACCTGCAGGTTGTTGTTTACGCGCTGCGCTCCGCATTTGTTGACTCGTAAATCACATCTTGAAAAACAGTCAAAGAAATTGCAGTCTTCATCTCCTGTGCAGTTTTGCTCAAGGATTTCCCTCATTTTAGGTTCAAAAAAGGCCATGTCCACATCAATAGCCACCACCTGTAATCAAAACAGCACGGGGCTATCAAAGGGCTACTGGTGGGCTCTGCAGAGAGGGAGCCTGTTCACAACTTCTGTTCACCTCGTGCGGGTGCCACTGTCCAGGTCACAGGTGATCCCAGAAGTCCCAAGAGCCAAGAGGAAAGCCCCAGCCATGCCCTGGGGAGTGGATTCATCCCCTAAAGTGTCTGCATGCATTTTCTTTTTCTTTTTCTTTTTTTTTTTTAATTGAGACGGAGTCTCACTCTGTCACCCAGGCTGGAGTGCAGTGGCGCGATCTGGGCTCACTGCAAGCTCCGCCTTCCGGGTTCACGCCATTCTCCTTCCTCAGCCTCCAGAGTAGCTGGGACTACAGGTGCCCACCACCACACCCGGCTAATTTTTTTGTATTTTTAGTAGAGACGGGGTTTCACCGTGTTAGCCAGGATGGTCTCGATCTCCTGACCTCCTGATCTGCCCGCCTCGGCCTCCCAAAGTGCTGGGATTATAGGCATGAGCCACCGTGCCCGGCCGCATTTTCTTTTACACAGGCAACTGTCATAGCTACAGCGGAAGGCTTTAACTGCAAAAAGGACCTCTGCAGCCATGGGTGAAAGCCCAGGATTTGGAACTATCACCACAAGTATTGCTTTTCATCTTTAGACACTTTCTCAGCTTTGCAAGTAGAATCTCTGAGAGGCGTTATACATGAATTTCCCCTCTACTGCCTTATCACTTGGGTCTGTGACCTTCAAGATTCAGGACTGTAAAAGCTGTAAGATACAGAGAACCTATTCCGTGAATACAAGCTATCCAGGGAAGCCACATTCGAGTGGCTGGTCTCCGGGTGTGATGGAGAAACTGAGGCGGGCAGTGCCTACGTTCTCTTCATGACACGTCTGTTACCTGAGTCAGCTGGCTTTGGACTGACCAGTCAGACGACAAAGTGGGGGAAATATCAAAGTTATCGAATTAGGACTGATACGCAGAGGCCCTGAACAGGAGCGACGCCTGAGTTCCACTGTCATTGTGAGAACCTGATGACCCCTGGAACTTCAGATTTATCTCCCTGGCATCCAACCAAACAGACTTCAAAACCAGAGAGAGAATAACTTCTAAATTATGCAGCTCTTCCTCCGCCACCTGGATGCAACAACAAAAACAGATGAGCTCAAACCTGAGAAAACCTGGAATCTGCCCAAATCAAGCCGTTTATAGCTTCGAGGTATTAAACAGCCACTAGGACAGTTGATGAATTTGATGGAGTCAGTGGCATTTCACAAGCCTTCACAGGTCAGCATCGAGATACCAGCCTTTCTGTCTCCCCCTGGGAGTTTCAAAAAGGGTTGCATTTGTTGTTCATTCCCTCTTCAATTCTACGCAGTCTGGGAGGCACCTTTTGGTTTTGGTTTTAGTTTTTCATTCAGGATTGATGCTAGAAGGCAATGAAGTTTCTTAGGGATTATTTAGTAAAACAGAGTAGGGGGAATTATTTATTTCAAAATATGTGGAGAATAATGAAGATAAACAATATAGACCTTTTCTCTATGTAAGGGGTTTTGTCTAATTACTAATTCAGGTGCTGTAAACAACTTCTCATTTTAATCTTTCCTATCCCATTATTTAGCCACAACAAATAGCCGATTTCATTATTTACTCTGGTTAATAAGTGAATAAGGACTATGCTAATGAATCTCCCATCTTTATAATTCATTACTGGGGCTACACGACTCTTCTATTCTTTCTATGGTTTCTGCCGATCTCCCCAGCCTCCCCTGGGCCCCTACTCAGAATTTTAGCTTCTTGCAACTTCTCCTTCCCATTTCTGATAGTTTCCTTCTCATCTCCCAGGGAGAGCCAGGTTTATTTTTTAATTTTTAGTGTATGGGGTCTAGAATGGATTGCAGCTGTTATAAACATAACCCTATGCACCTAAAATAAGAACAGTATTAAAAAAAAAAACAGAAAAACCTACATCATGTTTCTTAATATCAGGAGAATCATAAAGTCCTTCCTGCATAAAATTACCTAACTTGCCTCATCTTCTTCAGACTTCCTCCTGGCATCAGAGGAGGAAGATGAATGAGAATTATTTCATTCTTCACCAAAAACTGTGGCCCTGGAGTAGGAAGCCATACCATCTGTTGGAAAAGAGCACTGGCTGGCAATAGTTTCAGATCATGAAGGTTCCTAGTTATTCATTTACAGCCACTGGACACTTTCTCAAGATCTGCAAGTGGGCACCTGCCCTGCAGATGAGAGAATGACTGTGAATGACCAATTCTTACACCTCTGCTGGGAGGCGCCCCTTCCTTCTGCCAGGGCAGCCCAGCAACCTGGGCTCAAAGGCAGGACCCACCCGCCGGGACTCTGAGATCACTAGCTCTCAAACTTAAGCACATATGAGAATCGACTAGAAGCCTTGTTTTGAAGACAGGGATTGCTGGCTCCCACCCCATCGTTTCAGATTCAATAGGTCTGGCGTGGCATCTGAAAGTTTGCATTTCTAAATGAGCTCTCTGGTGAAGCAGATACTGTTGGTTTTCACTTAAAAGTTGTACAGTCTTGGGTAAAATAACTCCTTGAACCTCAGGGTCTGCAAGAAGGGTCGAGAACCGGACTGGTGAAGGGGACTCCTCCTGCCCTCCCCTCCCTATTCTTGTCCAGGCCAAGGCTGCAGTGGAGGTAAGAGCCCTGAGCGGTGCAGCACCAGCCGACAAAACACAGTCTGGGGCTAGGTTGAGGACGCATAGTCACGATTTCATTGAACAAATATTTTCTGCTGATGGTGTGCAAGATACTGGAGGCACAACTTAGGGGGCTCCCACAAACCAGTAACTGGATAATCAACAAGTATGTAGGTAAAAGCATCTGATGTCGCCCACTCGGCATCACAGACCCCATCAGCCCCAGCTCCTTCGAGAAGCAGATATCCTTGAAATTCCCTCAACAATTACAGCACCTTCTGGGTCCCACTCATTGATGCCCACTGATACCTGCTGGAGGAAGAAGGGAGTGACTGAGTGGCGAGAACTGGCCCGCAGCTGCCCAGAGCTGGGGGTGGGGGTTGTACGTGGACACTCCCTGACTTCCTCCCCAAGGCCTTAGTGTGGCTGTGGGTCGTTTCCCCCCAACACACATATCAGGACAGTGTCTGGGAGACGCACATGGCACTCAGGGAATTGCAGACGCGGGTGAGTTCCCCCAGAGCTGCCAGCCCAGCACACAGACCTCCTGGAACCTCCCAGAACCTCCTAGTTATTTCCTTGCCACACTTTGAGGCACCCGTAGGTTGTCAGCCCCTCCAGGGCAGCAGGGGGCAAGGCATTAGGACAAAGCACTGAGGGTAAGATGTATGATGCCCTTCACAGGCATGAGGGCATGCTTAGAGAAGGGATTTACACCGGCAGCAAATTTAGTTTTCCAGCTGCTTTCAGAAGACCATGCCATTCCTATGCCACCTGCCTTGGAGGCCATGACTGGCAGTCACAGTGCCTGCTTTTTGTCCTTTTATGTTGCAACCATGCTGAAGAGCACGACCCCACCATGAGCCAGGCTCCACAGTGACCAGCATGCCCAGGTGACGAGCTAAGCTGGTCTGGCCGTTCAGCTGCCGGCACTGGCCGCCTAAGAATGAACTCGTTACAGCAGGTGGGGGAGCAGAGCACTCCGCCCTCCCCAAACCCATCCCGCACCCATGACATGCCTGCCAGTCTTATTACTACTTCCTGTTGGATGGTCCCAGCGACTGGCACAGCGTGAGGGCACTGGGATGATCGCAGCAGCATGAATCTGACCCATCAGTGTTCGCCTAGCTGGGTGAAGGGAGAGGGGTTTGTGTTACACGGAGACACTGAGGCTCCTGCTGCCGTTCTTGCACACCTCCCTGTTCTCACGCAGCTGCCTGGCCCCACGTGCCCCGTGGTGCGGTGACAGATATTTCTACCTGGCAGGGCTTTCCCTTGTGGAAGGCACTAAAACCCCATTTGTTCCTCTAGAAGTCTTACATACGGAATGGAAACTGACTGGAACCTCTCCAGACAAAAAGCACTGGGAAAAGTTACATGTTGTCACAGAGCATGGGCAGCTTGAGAGCAGCCTCTCCACACCGGAGGCCATCCTCCCTCATGGTCTTCTGCAGCTCCTTGCCTCCTGCGGACTGTTTTCCGCACAAGTTAAACAGGCCCGCAGGAGAGGTTGCTGTTACGTGAGCTCAAAGCAGCCACAGAGCTCAGGTGAAGGAACCAGAGCAGCCCTCTGGGAGGACGAAGCTGGCCCGGCCTCTGCCTCCCACTGTGGGCTCCGTTCATTCAGATTCTCACTGGAGATGCATCTGTTCCTTACTAACACCCGGAAGGAAGTGTTCTGGTAGGTGGGAGTTCTCTAAGGCTGCAGAAGCAACAGTAGTTTGCTAACTCAGGCCAGGAGCTCAGAAACCTTCTCATTTCCTTCCCTCCAGACCCGAGAGCTCCGTTCTCTGCACATAAACACACCGACCTGCGCCACTTACTGTGAAGTCGCTCCGGATGGCAAAGTTTTCCGGCTTGATGTCGCAGAGGTGGAGGCGGTGGGAAAAGTCACTGTCAAAATGGTTCACCATGTCCAAGAAGCTGAGTGCGATGTCACTGATGGCCTTGGCCTGGCCACCCCCAGGGGCACCTGGGGCCCGGTCCAGGGGGAAGAGTGCCCTGTGGTGGGGGCTGCCCGCGGCCAGGAACTCCACCGCGTAGAAGTGGCCGCAGGAACCCAGCACGGGCAGCACGTGTGGGCTCAGGTCCTGCAGCAGGCTGAAGTAGACGTACTCCTCCTGCTGCAGCAGGGCCCACAGGCTGGCCAGCTGTCCCCGCCAGCGTGGGCCCCGCCTGCCCGGCCACCACGGCCCCAGGCTGCTGTTGGACAACTCCAGGCCCAGAGCGCTCTTGACCTCCCCAGCCACCATCAGGAGGAGTTCGGCCTCGGGCATGTCCTGGCCACCCTCCCCTGCCTCCTCTTCCAACAGGCTGAGGGGCGGGAAGCTGGAGAAGGCCTCCTC
The DNA here is from genome assembly GCF_000001405.40 of Homo sapiens. NCBI lineage: Eukaryota > Metazoa > Chordata > Mammalia > Primates > Hominidae > Homo > Homo sapiens. The sequence continues at coordinate 74,447,128 of NC_000018.10, forward strand.
CTTGGACTTGAGGACCACGGGCCGGCCGCGCCAGTCGGCCTGCAGCACCTTCTTGCCTCTGTTGTAGTGCAGGCAGCGTTGGAACAGCAGCTCTCCCGCCACACACAGGTCCTCGCAGAGGTCCCCGGCCAGCGTGCCGCCCTGGTAGTCCTGGCACTGGAAGGAAGGGAACAGTCGGTCACCATGGGGAGGGCCTGGTGCCATCCGTCTCTCGGCTCGGGTTAGGGAAGGGGACAGCCTAGCCTCTGCCCTCAGGACGCTGATAATCCAGCTGTGCAGAGAAACCTCAGCCCTGTGGATCTCAGAGGCCACTCAGCCAGTGAGTAATTCAGAGGAAGGTTAAAGGAGCCGCTCACAGTCATTACACGACTCAGTCAGGCCTAGGACGGGTCTACAGAATCAGGACACCTGCGGCCGGGAAGCACGACTTCCCATCGTTCAGCTGGGTGACTCCGGGAAAGCCAGAGGCCAGGAAACCAACAGGTGAAGGGGCTGGACCAGGCCAGTAGCTCTCGACTCTGCCTACACTTCAGGGTCACTGGGAGAGCTTCTAAGTCCCACATCTAAGCAGCTAGGTCAGGTCTCAGCAGAGGGGACCCCAGGAGCCCTATCTGCCCCCAGGCTTGACCGCAGTAATGACCCTTCCTGCAAGTACATTCCTTGAGCTTACTGTTTTCCACATGAAATGGAGTGCCCTATAAAGCTTGCAGGCTGCAGGTTTGCAGATGTTTAGAGGAGAAGCCTCTAGAGGACACATGAGTGGGCACAGGGCTCATGGCTGGTGACCTGGAGAAGAGGAGGGACCAAGGAGGACCCATGCAGGATAAAAGAGTAGGGAGTGTTTGCATCTGAGCGGCGGTGAGCAAGGCTGTCCAGGAGCCCCCGGATGGGGTGTTTCTCCTAAACCTCAGGAGGCCTTAAGATGGAGCCACTAGGGGACCTGGCGACCTTCCCCACCACACCACAAATTCCCTGAGAAGCCCGTCCAGCCCGATAATCCTGCCAGAGGCAGGGAAGGAAGAAGTGCAGAATGGAAGGAAGGAGAAGACTGTCATCCTCTTCTCTCTTTTGTTTTTCAGAAAATCTAAACCATGGGACCACTTTGATTAGGGGTTGAGTGTATTTCCTAATCCCGCCCATTTCCCCGACAAATGAATCTTCCTCCATGTCAGCAAATAAAGGCCGCTCTTCCTTCCAGGAACTTCTATAGCACATGAAACAACAGAGTCACCCTCGTTCCTCTAAGGGCATGAGAAATACCAAATCCCAAAGCTGTTGTTCTCACCCCATTTCATTTGTGAGAAAGGACCTTGAAGGCTCAACAGTAGCAAAGGGCAGCTTGGTGCTGGGACAAAGGATGGGGCCAAGGGCCACTGAGCTTGGATTCCATGGTCTAACCACGCTGCCACATCCTTACCTGCTCTGGGCCTCAAACTCCTTCCTTGCGTCACACTCCCTGCCTCCCTGCATGATGATTGTACTGGCCAAGAGGGAAGTGTGTGTGCACACCACAGTGTATGCACGAGCACCAGGCATCAGGAGAAGCCTGGGAACAGCCTTGGGTTCATAATCAGATACTGCCCAGCCTCGCAGGTGGCTAGGTAGATCAGCTTTACCCATTCCAAGCAGATTACAAGTAGCTCCTTGAGGTCAAAAGCTGGACCTCCAGTGTCTAGATGTATAAATAATTCCAAAATCAGGCTGAGCATGGTGGCTCACCCCTGTAACCCCAGCACTTTGGGAGGCCGAGGCGGGCAGATCACTTGAGGCCAGGAGTTCAAGACCAGCCTGGCCAACATGGCTAAACCTGGTCTCTACTAAAAATACAAAAATTAGCTGGGCATGGTGGTGCATGCCTGTAGTCCCAGCTACTAGGGAGGCTGAGGCAGGAGAATCACTTGAAACCGGGAGGCGCAGGTTGGAGTGAGCTGAAATTGTGCCACTGCACTCCAGCCTGGGCAACAGAGCAAGAATCTGTCTCAAAAAAAAAAATCCAAAGTCAAAAAGCCTCTGAAAACTACGAGTTTTTCATGACTCATTTGACCTTATGTGGTGTCAAAACCCAGCTGAAAAGACACGAGCCTATTTGTATCTATATGTGTTTGACTTGATGTGAATTCGCATACATTTTGCTGTAGAATTATTAACTTGATTACTGGCACTGCCCCATAAGCAAAATATAAGGTACTATATGATCTTTCTAACATTCAACAAGATTTGAATTTTGAGACACACCTGGCCCCAAAACAGCAGATAAGAGAGGGACTGGGGGCCTTTATAAACACTGCAGGCTAATCGTTCAAAGCGCTTACTGAAAAGAAGCACTCCCAGTGCTTAAAAGAGGTATCTAGATATTTTTCAGAACTATTTCAGGTAGTACAACAGCCTGAAAGGCCAATGCCAAGCTGTCTGACTGCCCCCCTGGCTTCCTGCTGCGGGGGTGCTCCTGCCAGCCGCTGCATTTTAGATCTCTGTATAATGCATTGGGCGGGGATGAGGGGGGTCTTGCTTGGCTAACACAATGATGCACGCGAGACAGGCCTGTAGATAGAAACTCAGGAACCTCGCCCTGGAGCTAGTGACACCACCCTATTTGCCTGGGGCTGACTTTATGTCTTTGGAAACCCACATCCTTTAGGAAGTTGTATGAACACACACTCACCAGCTGCTTTAAACACATTTGGAGTTGTGCACCTCCTGTGTTCATCTTGGAATTGAACTCAACAGAATCTTGGTTAAATGTCATTCTTTGGCTTTAACCCGGGTCACTCTTTCCCAGGCACGGGGTCATGAAAGGTGCATGGGAGGATCCGGACCCTTTGCGCCCAGCATGCTTTGCTTGCGATCACCTCCACATCGCCCTTCGGAGGAAAGCGGCAGCTGGTCAGGCTCCTCTGAGACCTTTCAGGAGAGCCCTGAGAGGTGAGGTGAGGACGAATGATAAGGAACTGAGGCCACCGTGAGCAAGAAGATATAGATGGCAGGAACAGTAAGGGCTGTTCATTTTACTTGTTGGGGTTTGTCCCCTACTTGTTCTGGTATTTACATAGTTTCACGTCTCTATAAATCTGATAAGAAAGTGCAAAAAAAATTGTTTCCTGATCTCCTTTTAAATTAAAAAAAAGCTTCTGTAAGCATGATACCCAAAATAGTTGGATTCACTCCCATAAAATTTTATAGTGTTATCACATATCTAATTTAATCAAAAGTACTTTTGCATAAAGTAGAGAACCATTGAAAAAGAAAGAAAAGCACACAACAGGACTCCAGTGCAGCCAAAGGTGTGATCCTAAGCTGGGAGCTTCAGAGTCCCACAGTGCTGAGGAGGGGAGGGCGGGGAGATGTGGTCCTGGTTGCAACTGAGAGAGGAGGCTCAGGAGAAAAATGTCAGAGACACTGGGCCTGGTTTTCCATTAGCCTGTGAAAAGCAGAGTGAGGAGGGTGCCTACTGTGACTGCCAGGGCCCTCACCCCTCTCATCTGAACTGTGGCCACCATAGCCACTAGCCATGAGAGACACCTGCCGGCCAAGAAGCCACCTCCTCTCTGCCTCACTGGGATTGGGACTGGGCCACTCCCAAATCAACAGCTCCAGCTTTCCCAGCTGTGCATGAGCCTGGATGGGCCACCATCTGGCCACAGCTGCCAGGTTCCGGAGTTCACGGAGCAGAGGGGACAGGCTTCGAAATTCCTAAATGACATTAGAGTGACAGGGCAGGGCCACAGTGAGGCTAAGCTTGGCACAGATTGGGTCTGCCTCTGGGCTCTGCCCCTGGCTTGCTGTGTGGCTTGTTTCCGAGTCTGGAAAATGAGGACAATGGTACTGTGTAATGGAGTCAAACAAGGTCACAGGGAGACAGTCCCAACACAGTGCCCGGCCTAAGGTGGCTCGCTCAAAGCTAGCTCCCTCTCCAGCCCTGGCCAGGAAAGGGTGGGGGGCCGGGGCATCTTCTTCCTGGGGGAGACGCCTCTGAGCTCAATTTTGAAAGCGAATTAGAAGTCTGCCTTAGCAGACAAGGGAGAGGGCAGCTGAGTCACGGAGAAGAACTTGTGCAAAGGCCCCGAGTTTCAAAGTAGCCCTGTGTGTTCAGAGAACCAGAAACAGCCCCTGGGAGGAGAGGGCACAGTTGAAGCAAGCACCTACTGACAGGCTGGGCTGCGCTATTCGAAATGCCGTTTTGGGTGTCTCCATTGTACTTACACGCTTCCTACCCGGCCTGGCCAAATCAACCTTTGCCCGGAAGCCAGTCCCACCCCTAAGTGGAATTCTTGTCTTCCTCTCCTACCCCAGTGCTCATTAAATCATGGCCATGTGAGTGCATCACTGGGCCAGGTCCCCACAGCACCGTGTTTAACACAAACTGTGCCTCATCGATGAAATACAAATCTATACGAGATTTGCCCCTGTGAATTTGGAGGGCGATTCCAAACAGGAGTTGTGAGACATTTAGAACAATGGTATAACTTTGAATTTGGCATCCAGCTCATGGATTTTGGAAGGAAACGTTCATTTTGGCTGTTTTTCTGAAGATCAGCACATTGACTTGTAAACCTGCCTCCCTGACGCCTGCTTCTTGCGGCGACACTGGGTGTCAGAAAGGGCAGAAAGTGCAGCAGGTGACAAAAGCGCTGACCAGACCTGCCAGCTTCCACAGGTAAGGTCTTGGGTTTATAACCTAACTTTTCAGTATCCCAGTCACCGCGCTTGTCCTAAGAGAGCATTAAAACGCACACAGCTCTTCCTCAACTTAAAATGGATGATACCCCAACAACCCCAGAGTAAGTTGAAAATGCGTTTCATACACCTAACGCACTGAGCATCATCGCTTAGCCCAGCCTACCTTAAACATGCTCAGAACACTTACGTCAGCCTATGGCAGGGCAAAATCATCTCATACAAAGCCTATGTAAAATAAAGTGTTGACTATCTCACGTAATTTATTGAAAACTGCCTTGAAAGTGAAAAGCAGAACGGTTGCATGGATCCTCAAAGTGCAGTTTCTACTGAATGCATCTCACTTTCACCCTGTCATAAAGTTGAAAAATCATAAGTGAAATCATTAAAAGTCAGGGACCGTCTGTATACAAGTGTGGTTATGGCACAGATATTCCTTGATATCCTTTACAATGAAGTATTTTTGGCGTTTCAGTTCCTACTCTTCTTATGTAGAGTGCAAAATTCGTCTCCCATGGCTTACCAGTGTTAAAGTAAGTCTGCAGCATTGTTCTGCATGTCTGTGCCTGCTAAGCACAGAAAAAGATTTCATCCAGCCTTTTAAAAAAAAACAGTCAACTTAATGTACAAATTGCAAGTTTGAATTTAAAATTTTCATCGGGCCAGGCACAGTGGATCATGCCCGTAATCCGAGCAGTTTGGGAAGCTGAGGCAGGAGGATCACTTGAGCCCAGGAATTCAAGACCAGCCTGGGTGGGCAACATGGCAAGACCCCTGTCTCTACAAAAATTAAAAAAAAAAAAAAATTAGCTGGGCCACACTTATAGTCCCAGCTACTTGGGAGACTGAGACAGGAGGATTGCTTGAGGCTGGGAGGTAGAGGCTGCAGTGAGCCACCCTGTCTCAAGAAAACAAACAAAAACTCCAAAAACTTTCATCATGTTAAAGATAATAGTAGAATCATTTTATTAGCAGCATGTCCTGTTGAAATAGCTGGGTTTTTTTTTAACTCAATAGAAGTTGTTTATGCAGGTCCATTTTAAAAATCAGTCTTTCTCAGACTCCTTCTGTGCGTAGGAGGAGTTCCTAAGGCCAGCTTAAAGACAGGTACATTTTTGTACCCAAATGTGTGCGCATATAAAATCCACAGGTATTGGAGTTGAAAATAAACTGAAAAAAACAAGTTAAAGTCTCATTGCAGCTAACTCTAGTGTGCTTTTAAAATTTAATAACATTTGCAGTGGATTTGTGCTTCTCATGGATGTGAAAATATCTACATTGATGCACATTCCCATCAAATCAGCCCCAGCTTTGGTAAGCAGCACTCTTTGCAATCATTGCTTAGTATGTCTCTAATTTATGTCATGGTTCTCAGGCAAAAACAAAACCTGTCCACTCTAGTCTAGAAAAACTGTTGATAAGGTCCCAGAGGTCATGTCTGAGGGCCGGGTTTCCTTTTGTGTGTTTGTTTTTAAGGAGCATTAAGCTCCTAGGCAGTTAGCAACATTCAGACTTCACAGTGGTATTCCTTCCCGAAGTAGCTATGCTGTGCTTTGCAGAATCTCAGCTCAGTTAGCTCGTCCACTGTGTAACCGCTCCCTACTTTAGGAATGTGGCCGAGCATTCAGGCAGAACCATTCGCTGCTGAGAAATCTCTCTGGATATGAGCCCTGGATGCTGTAGTCCCATTGGGACCTTGACAGTTTCTATCACAGCAGCAAAGAAAGATAAGCCTGCCCTATTAAAACCGAATCTCTAATGTAGACAACTACATGAAATTCCATCAAGACCTAACTAGCCAAAAGGCAGTTAAGCCTTCAGGACAACAGAGTCTGTGGGAATATCTTTGACATGCTTTGAAAATGATTTGCTATGGAAGGGTTAAGTATACGAGTTGTTATGTAGGGTTTCCATTATTAGAGAAGCCACTTACTGTCACGTCATTGCTACCATCAGACTACACAGAGTCATGTCCTGGCTCCTCACCATATTCACCGTGTGAAGCAGGGCAAGTCACTTCACCTCCCTGGGGCTCAGTTTTGCCATCTGTAAAATGGGGATACTAAAAGCAAATACTTCATAGAGGTTGTTGAGGGAATTCAGTGAAATAAGCCCCACGAAACAATTCGCACAGTGCCTTCCCAGAGGAAGAGTCAACAGGCAGCAGCCCACATCTTCAGCCTCTGTGTGAAGAGTTCAGCCTGCAGAATGAATGAGAAGCCAGGTGTATCAGTGATCCAGCACCAAGCTAGCTCCCCAGCTGGCTGGGCCTGCTGACACAGCCCACTAGAAAAGCGGGCCTCCAGAGATCTGAGTGCACCTATTTCTTGATTACAGTGTGTTGTTCCTATTAAAGCTGCCATTAAGAGGAGCCCTAGAGTCTGACCAGGAAAATCCAAGCTGGAAGACCAGGGACTCAATTCCTTTGGAACAATTCAGGTTGGCTCTTCTAGAAACTTGTCAGGGGGGTGTGGTTGGCTAGAGGGGAACCTCCCTGGGGAGGTGGAGTGTGGGCTTGGGGAGAACATGGAGACCTCTGACCCCCATCCCCTGACTCGTCCCTAAGCTTTTTCCTCTGATTCCTTTATCCTACAGGTGGGTTCACCCCTGCCAGGCCAGCAACGCCCCCCGCCAGGCGAGAGCCTGGGAACACTGGCAGCCCCCGCTACTGGGGGTGGGGAATCCACCACAACTCCCTGGGCGCTGCCAGAAAGTCTCCCTTCAGCTCAGCTGGCAAAGTGGTTTCTTCTGTGCTCTGGTATTCAGAGTGAAAGCTAATGAGAGTCTGGAGGCCCATCAGGAAAATAACAACCAGTTTTATTATTACGGATAAAAGCCAGGCAGAATGAATTGGAAAGTGCCAGGGGAGCGGAGACAGAGGCTCAATTCAGTTCAAGTCCTCGGAAGCCACAATGCCAACCTCTACTTGGCAACTCAGCCCAGCAGAGTTGGGATTGTGAAGATTGGGGTCGTATTTAAACCCTGTCCTGAGAGTGTCCTGGGTAAAATTTGAGCCAGGGCACTGTGTGGATCTCGCATCAACACATCCAGGATGAAAACGGTAGAAAAGGAAGTGGCAGGAAGACAGGGGGAGAAAGAGTTCTGAGAATGTGTAAAGAGTAAGGAACTCAAACAGGGCCTGTGGCAAAGTCTGCTCCCCCACAAACCAGTTCGTGGAGACAGCGTCACATCGACACCTAGGGAGATGGATGTGGCCTCCGACATCGTTCTTTTGGCAATAGGAAAGACTGCCAAACCTTCGATCTTCAGGGGCAGAACCAACCTCTCCAGCTTTATGTCTGACTAGAAATGATTCCATATGGCTGCCATTGAAGATATATTGGTAAAGCCTCTAAACAGAATTGGTTTTAATTCATGACCTGGAATGCTGGGAAAGTCATGATTAGCAATTACTTAAATTATACTAGACGATTTAATTTCCATTATTAAGCCTTTCCTCACTTAACCAAAGGTAAATGAAAAATGGCATTCGTTTTCTATCTTAATCTAAAGGATTACTACATTAAATTTGTAAATAGGTATTCCCCTCTAGTTAAACCATCAATGTTTGTTTACTATAATTAGTCTATCAGCACTCCCTTCACAAAAAAAGAAAACCAGGGGGGAAAAATTTATAAATGAAAAGGACTTTTATGGGTTACTAAGAAAAATCAAAGAGCTCTTGCAACTTAAAACTTCATAAAACTGGCCCGGTGTGGTGGTTCACGCCTGTAATCCTAGCACTTTGGAAGGCCGAAGTGGGCGGATCGCCTGAGGTTGGGAGTTCGAGACGAGCCTGACCAACATGGACAAACCACCATCTCTATTAAAAATACAAAATTAGCCAGGCATGGTGGTGGAGGTTGCGGTGAGCCGAGATCACGCCATTGCACTTTAGCCTGGGAGACAAGAGCAAAACTCCATAAAAAAAAAAGAAAAAGAAAAAGAAAAAAAAAACCAAACCAACAACAACAAAACTTGCTAAAACTTCAGTGTAACACTAGAAGGGGTCAATAGAATCTATGAGTGACTCACCTATGTTCAATTCACGATGACACGATGACACGCGTCAGAATCAATTAGGAGCATAACTTGTCTTAGCTAGTATACCTGGCTCATTTTTTTAAAAAACAATTTCAATCTCACTTAAAAAATCATTTACTTTAAAAACTTTGTGGTCCCACATTTTGAAAATCTACAATCTCAAAAGGCCCACCCATATGTAAGCAACTGGACTGAAAACTTCCCATGTGTTTCTTGAAGATTTTTTAGAAAATAGATCTCTTTTCAAACCAAATGCTTAGATGGTCACTATTTTAGGAAATGAATAATCGCTTAAGAAGTCATGTAAGAGTAGCTGCTACTATCTTCCCCTTTCTGGGATTTAGGGGACTCCCACCTTTACTGAAGTCTCCTTTGCGCCTGAAAGAACGGCTAGCCAAGTTTCCAATCAACTAAAGGTGGGCGTTTCATTCATATGATGTGAGCCCAGCGTACGCAGCAGTCTGCAAAATGCGAAATGTTTCTTTCTCTCCCTAATTCTCTGGCTCAGCTGAGGAGCTGCTGGGTGCGAGCTTTCGGGCCCTCCCAGGTTAGGAGGCGCCTGTCGAGGACCGGGACCCGGGATCCTCCCGGTCCCAGCCGCCTCCGCAGCGCTCTCTGCTCGCCCGAGCGCACACTGCGTCGGTTCCCACAGACCGCGACCGCGGAGAGCCTGGGCTCTGGAGCGCAGGGGGGCCGGGGTCAGACCAGCCCTCCGCATGGGCTCGGTGAGATAGGGGGTGACCTGGCAGCTCAGGGTGGAATCACAGAACGCGGGCTGGGCTGGAGCGCTGCGGACCCGAGAGACAGAGGCGTGGCACCCCGGATCCCGAACCCCGCACTGGCTTGCGCCCCGAGCCCGGCGGCCTGACACCGGACGCGGCACCTCCCTGGACACTCGGATCAGACCCGCAAACTTTCTTCCGGAGCTCGGGCTCAGGGGTGGCGAGGGTAGGACGGAGAGGCTGTCTGGGGACAAAGGGCGAATTCTGGCGAAAAGGGGAGAGACACCCCCAGCGCGCCCACAGAGCACTGCCGGCTGCGTCCCCATTCGGGGGACCGGGGCGTGCGCCTCTGGCACTCCACGCAGGTGTCGGGAACCCATGTCCCCGGCGGGTGCCACCGCCACCCAAGTCCCCGGGAAGGCTGGGGACCGGGAGCGGGTGTGATCCCCCCTCCCCGGACGCGCGGCGCGGGGCAGAGCGGCGGCGGGACCTACCAGCGCGGCCAGGATGCGCCGGCTCTTCTCGTCGGTGCAGCGCTCGGAGAGGACACCCGGGTGCGCGCGGAGCAGCAGCGCGGCCGCCAGCACCCAGCCCGCGGTCCACGCGGCGAAGGCGAGGAGCGTGCCCCGCCCGCAGCGCCCGCGCCTCCTGCACCACCCGGCAGGGCCCCGCGCGCCCGCCGCCCGCGCCATGGCCAGCCCTGCCCGCGCCCGGGCCCCACCGCCGCCCGCGCCCCGAGTTCCGCACTCGCGTAGCTGCTCCGCGGCTCAGGCCCGCTCGGCGGGGAGGGGGAACGGGGGAGGGGCCGCGCGAGGGTTGGGGCAGGCCCCGCGCCTGGGGCGGAGGTGCGGGGAGGGCGTCCAGCAGCAGCAACACCCCGCGCGCCCCGAGCACCCACTGGGGGTCCACTCGCCGCATCCCCTGCTCCACCCTCTCTACTTTTCTTTTTGCACTTTTTTCCCCCAAGAAGACCAGCTCCCCACTTAAACGAAATCCGGGTAGATTCAATCGCCTCTCTCTTTGGGGACTGATTCCTCAAGACTACATATCTTTAATTGTCACATTGCCCTCCCCCACCAACTTCTCTGAGAGGCCAGGTGCCCTTGCCCCCAGCGCTCTGTAGAGCGCACCCTCGCCCCAGGGGGCTGCAGCGTTGTCCCCCCCCGTTTACCTCTCCACTAGAACCGCCCCCCTCTGAGTCTCACCCCAACTTGGGTTTTCTCCGGGCCCTCCCGGGAGTGAGATCCGGAGCATGCAGAGAGTCGGGGGTCGAGGACAGTCAGTAGGTTCTGGGACGACCCAGCCCTCCCCTTCCCACGGGCACCCCTGAATCAAACCCCCCGCCGTCTCCCAGGCTGCACAAACTCTCGGGCGTCCTTCTCAGGGCTGCAAAGATCTGCTCTCTGGAAACATCTCCGTTACCCCGGGGAGGAGAACACGTCCACCACGTGTGTCTAAGTCTATATTTATAGATTCGCAGTATCATCTGGGAGAGCAGGCATCCGTGTTCCCATCCCAATTGTTCTGTAAAGCAGGCTGGCCCTGGGCCCACAGGGCGTCCCTGGTTCTCACCAGCATCCCCCACCCCACCCAGGGATGCTTCTCACTCCCTGAACGCCTTTCCCCAGGATAGGGGGAGGCGGCGCCACCCCAGGGGAACTGTCACAGCTGAGGGGCTGTGAAAGCCGCCACGCCCGGGGCTCCTGCATTCACTGAACAAAAGCTTATTCAGTGCCCAGTACGTGCCAGCCCATCCCGGATCGCTCTCCCGCCTGCCCTGCGCCTGAATTTCACATGACCCGTTCCCGAGTTTAGAGATAATAGAAACATGCCCTGATCACTGCGTGCTGTGATTGTCCCACAGGAGCTGGCTTCTTGCCCTTGTCTCTTCTGCAACTCGCTGCTTTAACTTTGTTTTATGGCTGGCTCGGTGGTAGGAGTCCCCAGGAATGACCAAACATCAGATGAACAAACCCTGAGCCCCAAGAAGCACTTCGGGCACATCACAAATATGCCCCGAATGCAACAGACCCTTGGGGTTTGGGTGTCACTCAATCAACAGCAGGGTTTGGGTGTCACTCAATCAACAGCGGTAAGGCCAGGTGAAGCTCTCTCTGTGTGAAGCTTCCCCCCACCTCCATCCATCCCAGCACACGCCCAACCAGAAGTACCATATTTTCACAGGCTGGCTGTATGGAAACTGTGTTGTTTCATTTCAAAATAGGTGTGGAGCATAGAAAGCATCCTAGTAAAATACTGCATTAAACTCTCAATTCAAGGCCAAGCCTGCTGGCTCATGCCTGCAATCCCAGTGTTTTGGGAGGCCAAGGCAGAAGGATTGCTTGAGGCCAACAGTTTGAAACCAACCTGGGCAAAAAAAAAAAAAAGTTAGCAGGCATGGTGATGTGGGCTTGTAGTCCTAGCTGCTCTGGGGGTAGAGGCAGGGGACCTGCTTGAGCCCAGGAATTTGAAGCTGCAATGACTGTTATCACACCACTGCACTCTAGCCCGGACAACAGAACGAGACCCTGTACCTAAAAGGAGAAAAAGAAATCTCAACCTGATGTGAAGTTGTTTTCCTTTCCCAAGAATTGTATTTGGTGTGGGGAGGGGAGTGCAGGAATGGGAAGAATGAGATGAAGCAGTGTGACTACTTATCTTTTAAAACATAGGAACAGAAATTACAGGGGGGAAAGCAGAACTTGAAATCAAAATTAACCACATTCAGATCTACATGGTGTTTTACTTTTGTGGGTTTTAAAAATCCGTTATGAAGCCCACTTCTTTTGGCATTTTATAAAGTATTCAGAAGAAAATAAACTTATAATCCCACAGTAAAGAAATCCTTTTCATATTCAGCACTGTTTTAACACGGAAGTGATGGTGCTCTCTAGCACAAGGTGGAGAGTGCAGCTTAGGTTGATACCACAGGAAGTTTTGTTTATTTTGCAGTTTTGCCTAGGGCCCTGAAGCTGCCTAGTTTGTAAAGCTTATGAACTGTTTTGCACTGATTTAAGGTAATTAGGAATTTTTGTAGGATATAGGCAGATATTTAGCATCAAGATGTTCTTTAGAACACAGTTTGTAATAGCAACATTGGAAGTAACCTACTGTGTGCCATGAGGACTGGTGAAATAAGCCTTAGTCCTCCGCTGGTGGGAAAATGATGCTGGCATAAAAACTGTGATGTGAGGTGTATGTGGGCAGGAAAGATATTACAGGAGAAATTTGCCGTTTCTCCTTGTCCTGCGCCTCTTCCCCTCCTCCTTGCACAGAGCTTCCTTGGGAAATCACACCCTCTCAAGCTCTGACCCCATCTGCAGCGCCAGCCCAGGGTGGGCTCCCGATCCCTGGGCTGAGATCAGCTACTCATTCCCCAGTCACAGGGGCCAGTCAGGCAGCCCAGGCCCCAACACGCCAATCCCAGCCAAGCACGCAGGCTTCTCAGGCTTTTTCTGAACAGTTGGGAAAGAGAAGCTTTATTTGGGCTGAGATGGCCAGGCTCTGAGGATGTGGTGGCCAAGAGTCACCACAAGGGGAGAATCTGCTGAAGGGGAGGCCAGCCCAGAGGAAGGGGGAGGAATGGAGAGGGACTTCTGAGGATGTCCTCCGAGTTCCCGACTTTCCAATTACCCAAATGATACATTCTCTTCATGGCTTAAGCAAGTTCGGGTTGGGTTTCTGTCATTTACAATGGAAAGAGCCTTGACCAGTACAGATGTTCATGATATCATCGAGGGAAAAAGCAAGTTCCAAAACATTATGTTCCGTGTGATTCCATCGTACTTGTTTTTGTTTTTGTTTTGTTTTTAAAGCATACCATATCCTTAATGCAATGTACACACACACAAAATCTGAAAAGTGGTATGAAAATGTTGCTAGTGTTATCTCCAGGTAGAAGGATTGCAGGTGATTTTTATTTTATTCTTTTTGCTTACGTCAATTTTCTAATTTTATTTCAGATAAGCACATATTATTTGTGTAATAGTAAAGCCGTGTTATTAAAGAGAAGAATTACCCAAAGAGACTCAGTTATGGGAGTCCTGGCCTCCGCCGCTCTGGTCTCTGCAGCTGCTCCAATGAGCGGGACATAGGAAAGATACAGCCTCGGCCATACTGAACCACTTTGAAAGACTTATTGCTTCGTCTGCTGTGATCTCCCAGCCATGTTCATTTTTCTGTAATAAAGCTTAACTTGATAGGAGTTCATTCATTCATTCATGCATTCATTCATTCATTCATTCAAAGCACTACTGAGCACCTCTATTTTGGTGTCGAAGATATAAAGATGGGAGAAAGTGGGCTCAGCCCTCCTTGGTGAGGGAGACCATCAAGCAGCTCTCCAGTGGGTTCTGTGCAAAGGGAGATGCTGCGTGTCCGTCACTGTCTGTCCCTTCCACTATCCCTGCCCCATGGGGCTTTGCCAGAGCCAGGGCTGCTGCTGCTGCTGCCCTCACGAAGGCCAGTCCCAGGGCCACGGGTGAGGTCTTGCACTCCAAATGTCCATAAGGATCCCCAGAAGGACTCGGGTGAGAGCCATAGCAGAGGAACTGGAGTGGGCCAAGGCACAGGATCCTGTCATTTTTCTTTTTCTCCTGATGACTTTTCATCTCCTCATCTTGCAGGCCTGAGCGAGTCTCTCAACCATCTGCCCAGGAACTCAGGACAACAGCTCTTGCCCCTCCAACTCCTGCCTGTAGGATGAGAGGTTACATATTCTTGAACCTCATGCCTCCTCTCTTTTCTTTTTTTCTTTTTCTTTTCCTTCCTTCCTTCTTTCCTTCCTTCCTTCCTTCCTTCCTTCCTTCCTTTCTTCCTTCCTTTCTTTCTTTCTCTTTCTCTTTTTTTTTTTTGAGACAGGGTCTCGCTCTGTTGCCCAGGCTGGAGTACAGTGCTGTGATTATAGCTCACTGTGGCCTCCAACTCCTGGGTTCAAGCAATCCTCCTGCCTGGTTACAATAATTTTTTAAAATTTTATTTTTTGTAGAGATAGGGCTCAATGCGTTGTCCAGGCTGGTCTCAAACTCCTGGGCTCAAGCAATCCTCCTGCCTCTGCCTCCCATAGTTCTGGGGCTGCAGATGTGAGTCACTGTGCCTGGCCCATGCCTCCTTTATAAGGGCAGGGGGATCATAGCTCTTCCACACCTTAGGTCTTCAGACTACTGCTGGGTTATAGTCGTCATCTTATTTATTTATTCACTTATCTTGAGACAGAGTTACACTCTGCTGCCCAGCCTGGAGTGCAGTGACATCACCACAGCTTACTGCAGCCTCTACATTCTAGGCCCAGCCATCTTCCCACCCCAGCCTCCTGAGTAGCTGGGACCACAGTTGTACACCATCACTCCCAGCTAATTGAAAAAAAAACTTTTTTGGTAGAGATGGAGTCTTGCTATTTTGCCCAGTCTGGTCTCAAACTCCTGGGCTCAAGGGATCCTCCTGCCTTGGCCTCCCAAAGTGCTAGGATTACAGGCATGAGCCATGGTGCCTGACTACTATCATTGTTTTTAAGCAGATTTATTGAGGTATAATTTGTATACCATGAAATTTCCTGAGTTTTAGGCATTCAATTCGGTGATTCTCAAGACATGTGCAGAGTTCTGCAGCCATCACCAACATTGTGTGGCTGTGGAACGTCTCTATCATCCAGGAAGCTCCCTCCTGCTCACTTGCATTCCCTCCATGCTCCCACTTCCAGCCCCAGGCAACTGCTAATCAGTCTCTACAGCTGGGGTTTTTTGGACACTTCATATAAGCAGAATCATAGAGCAGGCATCTTTTGCACCTGGCTTCTTTCACTTAATGCTTTTCAGGGTCATCCGTCTTGCACCATGTATCACTACTTTGTTCATTTTGTGTTAAAAACAGCATTCCATTGCACTGTGTGAATACACCAGACAGTGTTATCCGCTCTTCAGTTGAAGGACATTTGAATTGTTTCTACTTTTTGGCTATTGTACATAGTGCTGCTATTTGGCTATTGTACACTGTGTACACAGTGACACATATGCATGTGTCTTATGTGGACGTATGTTTTTATGTCTCTTCAATTCCTAGGAGTAGAATTGCTGAGTCTCATAGTACATATATGTTTTGCTTAAAAAAAAAAAAAAAACTGCCAACCTATTTTCCAAAGTGGTTGCACCATTTGACATTCCTATCAGCCACGTCTAAGGATTCCAGTTTCTCCATATCCTCATCAACACTTGTCATATTCCTTATAACCATCCTAGAGGGTGCACGGTGGTATTTCAGTCTGCATTTACATTGCATTTCCCTGTGAAGAGTCATAGCTTTTATTTTTGATAGCTAGAAGTCACCCTGCAATTTAAGTAATCATTCTTTCGTTGTCCTGCAGCTGGGTCCTTTTATGATAGAACCACATTTTAGGAATTTTAGTCCACATTCTCTCAACTTTGTGGCACTGCCTGGGTTGACCTAGTGGCAAGAGCCTGCACAAGAGGTGAGGAAAATACTGTTTGTCATGGAGTTATCAGGGGAGCTGCAGCCCAAGAACGTGGGGTGCCCCATCTTCATTGTGGGTGCCATGGGGATTCCAGCTCCCGGAGTACACATGAGCACAGTGTTATCCTTTGATCTTAGAACAACTACCATATTGATGAAGGCCTGGGAAGTGGAAAACTGAAGATGCTGAACGTTATTTGCTTGGCTGTTTTGAATGTCATACCTCTAGAACCACTCACTGGAGTCTTTGCTGTTCCGTTTTGCGATGCTTTTGTTGTTTGTTGAGGTTGGCTGGAAACCTTTTTACAAAATGAAGCACTTTGTTCCTTATAGGACTCAGCTTGGTTTGTAACCCTCTGGGATTTCCTAACCACCCACAGTTGCACTGCATTCATTGGGACTAAGCTTTAGGAAATTCCTAACCGTTTTTTGGCCGCCCTTCTTGTATTTTCATTCCAACTGAGACACAGCTGCTGGTTGAGATTTCCCTCCAGTGCAAAGGGAGAGACAGGAGGAGTCCTACTGATGCTTGATGCTACTCCTTCCCGCCCTCACCCCCACGTACCCGGCACTGTCTTCAGGCAAGCGCATGAAGATTCCTGTCAAGCCCACTCTACTCAGGCGAAAGCACAACGCAGGGGAAAACATATCGTGCTGTTTGGCTTTGGAACTCTCACACCAGGGTCCTTAGGAAAAAGTGACATCCTAGGATTTGTCATTTCTCTTTCAGCAAATAACGTGCAACTCTTGCAGAGAGCAGTGCTCCATTGTTAAGCCTGCCCAAAAGAGCCTGTAGCCTGACCTGCTCGCCTGACACGAAATCAGCACCGACTGGGTGGGTTCTTCTCAGCAGCAGACGGAAGAAGAAGGCTCTTTACTCTTTGGTGGGCCCAGGATGTTCACATCCAAAAAGCTATGGCTGCTTTGCCAAATAATCTCTTAAAGATTCTGATGGCTCTGAAGTTAGATTCCCCTTACCAAAGGATCAGGTGGTTACTAAAGGTCAGCATATAAGAAGCCATAGAGTCACATCAGCACCATCTCCCTCACCCCCTTTAATCTCAGCTCTCCGGATGCTGGTGTAAGACAGCACTGGCTTCATCAGTGAAGACTGCACTATTGCATAGGAGAGTTGGTGGCAGCTGGCCCCACTCCCCAAAAAGGGCCTCATAGCCTTTCTACTCTCAGACAACTTTTGCTCAAACCCAGTACTCCTGGGAGCCCTTAAATCCACCAATGAAAGCACAATCTACCTAGTAACCTCCTAATACAGAAAGCCAGGAAAATCCTTGGTTCCACCTCTCTCTCACACCCAACACCAGATTTTTAAAAATAGAATTTTTAAAAGCAGTTTTAGATTCACAACAAAATTAAGAAGGTACAGAGATTTTCTATCTACTCCTGCCCCCTGGCAGGCACATCCTCCCCCACATCAACATCTCCCACCAGAGTGGTACATTTGCTACCATCAATAAACTTACACTTGGCACGTCATTATCACCTGAAGTTCATAGTTCACATTAGGGTTCACTCTTGGTGCTCTACATGCTGTGAATTTGGATAAACATATGACATGGATCCACCATTGTAAATACAAGGCAAACATAAACATACAGAAACAGTTACAGATGGAGTTACAGATACAGATACAGTGACAGTTACAGATACAGATCAGTTACAGATACAGTTAGAGATACAGTTACAGTTGATACAGACACAGATATAATTAGAATTACAGATATAGATACAGTTTCAGGTACAGATACAGATACAGTTACAATTATACATACAGTTATAGATAGAGAGTTACAGTTGATACAGATACAGTTACCAATACAGATACAGATAGACACAGTTACAGTTACAGACACAGATGCAGATACAAACATAGATCCAGTTACAGTTACAGTTACAGATACAGTTATAGATACAGTTTGTGTGTGTGTGGCAAGTGGGGGGTGGGGGGGGTGGTTTGATAGGGAGTTTTGCTCTTGTTGCCCAGGCTGGAGTGCAATGGTGCTCTCTCTCCTCACTGCAACCTCCGCCTGCCGGGTTCAAGTGATTCTCCTGCCTCAGCCTCCCGAGTAGCTGGGATTACAGGCGTGTGCCACCGCACCCAGTGAATTTTTGTATTTTTAGTAGAGACAGGGTTTCTCTATGTTGGTTAGGCTGGTCTCGAACTCCTGACCTCAGGTGATCCACCCACCTCGGCCTCCCAAAGTGCTGCGATTACAGGCGTGAGCCACCGCACCTGGCCTAGATACAGTTTTAAATACAGATACAGATACAAATACAGGTACCCATACAGTTACAGATACAGTTACTGATACAGATACAGTAACAGATACAGTTACAGTCACAGATATAGTTTCAAATACAGATACAGTTTTAAATATACAGATACTATACAGTTGCAGATACACATACAGATACAGTGACAGTTACAGATACAGACACAGTGACAGTTACAGATACAGATACAGTTGATACAGATACAGATATAGATACAAAGCTGTTTCATGGCCCTACAATTCCTCTACATGTCACTTTACTCATCTCACCCTCCCCACTAACTCCTGGCAACCACTGATTTTTTTCCTAGGAAATCATACAGCATGTATCCTCTTCAGATTGGCTTTTTTCATTTAGCAATAATCATTTAAGCTTCATTTATGTCTTTCATGGCTTGATAACTCATTTATTTCATCAGCGCATCATATTTGATTTTCTGCTTGTACTGCAGCTTATTTATCCATTCACCTACTGAAGGACTCCTTGGTTGCTTTTAGATTTTGGCAGTTATGAATGCTATAAATATATGTGTGCAGGTTTTTGTGTGGATTTAACTTTGCAGCTCATTTAGGTAAATAGCCAGGAGCATGATTGCTAGATCATACGGTAAGAGTATGTTTAGTTTTCTAAGAAATTGACAAACTGTCTGCCAAAGTAGCTGGATCGTTTGCATTCCCACCAGCAATGAATGAAAGTTCCTGTTGCTCCATATCCTCACTGGCATTTGGTGTCGTCAGCGCTCTGGATTTTGGTCATTCTAACAGATGTGTAGTGGTATCTCATTGTTTTAATTTACAGTTCTCTGATGACACATGATGTTAAATGAATTTTAAATGGGCATCATAAGCACACTTACAATGTTGAAGGCACAAGGATGGCACAAAAACTCAAAATAATTTTTAAAATATAATTATATTAATTATTAAATTAAATATATTAAATAATTTAAAAAATAATTTGATTTTGGATAGTTCATGAAAGGCAATGAAATAATCATCATGGGAAGCTAAATTTGATATACTCCCTTGCATGTGACTTATGGTGGAGAATTATTTTTGTGTTGACTTAGTTTTGGGGGATCACTGCCATCATTCAGCACTTTGGGACACAAAAGAAAGATCTTCACTGGCCTCTCAGGCCTCGTACCCAGTGTGCAAGTCCTATCTAGACCACTATGACAACATCTCTTCCTCTCCCCAAAGGCTGCCATTTGCTCAGCTCCCTTGTAATCTCTGTAGACGTGGGCCGCAGACTCTAGGCTGGCCTCTTCTAATCCTGCCTCTGTCAAGCTATGAGTTATTTTCTTGGAAAAGGAAACCAACCAGGGTCCTTTGATTGCCCTGTTAACTGCTCCCAGCCGGTGCAATTCCCGCCCTTTCCTGCACAAGTCTCCAATCCCCATGGTCTCCATCTGCTCCTCGATATTTGTCACTGGAAGTCTTGATCCTCCCTTGTTCCTGGGCCCCTGCTCATCCTTCAAGACCACCTCCAGTACCACCTCCTGGGGCCTCACTTGACTCCTCCCTCCTCCAGCACCTTCTAACACTTCCTCGTGTGTTTAACTGTGTGTTTGTGTGTGTGCACATCTGTGTGTCTGTTACAGACCTGGTCCTCCCACTAATGGGGGACTTCCCATTCCTCCTGGACTCAGCATCCTGCCCGTTGCACGGTGTTGGTCCTCAGATAGCAGTGAAGAGGGCTCAGCCTGCTCTTCTCACTCACCAACTTTGAGATTCAGAATCAGCAGGAAGCCCTTCCAAAGAATACTTTCCCTGCAGATAGCAAATCTGTGGAAGACAACACCCCAAAAGATGATACTGGGAAATAAAAGTCACTTCAGGAGAAGTTGGTAAATGAATTTACAATTACATTGGTTCCATAGTGTTTCCATGGATACCTCTGCTACAGACATAACCGAGACCCAAGACACTTTTTCATTTCTCTTAAGGCCTACTGCTCATATCCTACCACTAGTTGCAACTTTTACCTCACTAAATAGTGCTTCATAAAAGGAGGAAAGGCGATCATGACTTCCTGAGTCAATATGCACTTTTTAAATTTTCTAGATAATTTTGCCACCGAAACAAGGAGTAAAGGCAAGAAAAGTCAGTAAAGGATAAACCATGAAAGCAGCTCATAAATAGATTAATGATATTATATATTTTTCTTTGTTGATATTAATTTTTAATGATAAAACAAGTAACTGCAAGATACATAATTCCCCATTATAAAACATAATTCTTTTATTATGGTAAAATATATATAACATAAAATTTGCCATTTTATCATTTTTGAGTGTACAGACATTAAGTGCATTCACATTGTTGTATGAGCATCACCACCATCCATCTCCAGAACTTTCTCATCTTTTCAGACTGAAAATCTGTACCCGTTAAACACCAACTCCCTTTTCTCTGCTCCCTCCAGCTTCTGGCACCCACCATTCCACTTTCTGTCTCTATGAATTTGACAATTCTAGGGGCCACATATAAGTGGAATTATGTAGTATTTGTCTTTTAGGTGATGCTTATGTCATTTAGAATTGTCTTCCTAAGGCTGAATCACCTTCCGTTGTCTGTATATACCATGTTTTGCTTATTCATTCCTCGGTCGGTGGACATTTTAGTTGCACCCACCATTTGGCTACTGTGAATGGTGCTGCTATAAACATTGGTATACAAATGTCTGATTCCTTGCTAGAAAACTTGTTTTTTAATAAATAAAAATATCAAGCAGTAAAGAATGTCTTTTGATAAAGCATGATTGCCTTTGTGAAATTAAAAAAAAACCTGATTCTCTATAAAGCATGGGTTATGGCTCTTCTGTTGCAACTAAGATATGATAGCCATGTGTTTTTTTTTAAGTTTAAAAACTATATTTTACAAGCTTGCCAAGATACAGTATTACTCAGGAAGACAATCTCATACAACAAATGCCACTCAATGCAAGGAATCAGATAACTCTAGCCAAAAAATAAAGTTGACTTTCATCTGCACAGATCAATTAACTCAATACCTTGATCATCTAATTCCCTACAGGCCTTCCTCCAGCATGCCCTGTGGCTCCCTTTCCAGCCTCGCTGCCAAGTTTCTTTCCTTCTATCATGTCATTTTCCCCTTGTTCACTCATGCCTTCTGCCAAATGCACTTACCCTTTTTCTTTAATGGGTTCCAGTTTTAATGGGAAAGGCTTGTTTAGTTGTCCATAAGCCTTACATGCCCCTTCACATCAATGCTGTCTTAGATTGTAAATTCCAGGAACGCAGGGTAGGTATTGGCTTTGTTTACTTTGAGTTGGGAAGTTGCCTGTGTTTCCTGCTCCTCTGTGTGGAGGAGATGGAGGGAACTGGGGCAGGGAAGTTGCAGAGCAGGTCCTGGCCTCCCTTCCATGTCTCTCTCTTGCTTTTATCATATCAGGGGGTGAACATCTCATCAGCATACTTAATTAGCTTGTCTTATTATGGTGCAATCAGAAAGCAGACCTTTTTGTTCACAGCATCTAGTGTTTTTAATGCTCTTGGCTCCTGACATTTTTGGCAACTCTTATAGATTAGTCACTTTCCCTGCTAAACAATAGCCTCTTTTTTAGGTAGTAAAGCGTCTAGTCCTGTTTAACATTAGGACTCCAGAATTCATTACAAATTCTCTCCTCTCTTGGCTCAGGTCAGTCTCAGACCAGAACATCTGCGCTGAAGAAGGAGGGGTATGATCAGTTTTCTCTCTATTTCTTGGTCTCCCTCCTCCCCTGCTTACAAATAATGATGTTTTTATTTCCTTCTTCCAATCCTTGTGTCTTCAATTATTTTTGGACCTCCAGTGCAATGTTGTTTAGAAGTAGTAGTTGTTGCAGTAGTAGTAGTGGTAGACATCCCTGTCTTGTTCCTACTTTTTTTCCTGTAATTAAATCAAATATTTTATTTGCATAACTGAAGAAAGCATACGGCTGGTACCAGGAGCTTTAAGGAGTTCTTCTTTAATGAAGGTCTTGCAGATATCTATCATTTAAGATACATAATAATCATCTGTACAAATTCTGATATAGCTTCTACAGTTTTATTTTTAAATTAGCATAACAGAACAAGCCTTTGTGTGAAAATGTGTACTGTTCTATGAATTATAACACATGTATAGATTTGTGTAACTGCCACCACAATCAGGATATAAAATAGTTCTGACACCAGAAAAAACTTCCTCATCTACTAGTTTATAGTCACCCTTCCCCTCACCCCTAACTCTTGCTTAAGCTGCATCTCATCATTTTTGGCATGTTGTACATTTGATTTAATTTGTTTCAAAGTATTTTCTAAATGTCTTTGTGATTCTTTATATTTGCCTATTGATTATCAAGAAGTATGTTATTTAATATCCAAATACTTGTAAATTTTTCAAATTTCCTTCATTCATTGATTTCTAATTTTATGCCACTGTGGTCAGAGAACATACTTTGTATAATTTCAGTCATTTTAAACCTGCTAAGGTTTGTTTTATGACCTAACATATGATGTAGCTTGGAGAATATACTTGAGAAAAAACGTGTATTCTGTTGTTGTTGGAGAAAGTGTTCATTCATGTCTTTAGGTCTCATTGGTTTTTACGACGTTCAGGTCTTCTATTTTCTTGTTGATCTTCTATCTAGTTGGTGTATCCATTATTGAAAGTGTTCATTCATGTCTTTAGGTCTCATTGGTTTCTACGACGTTCAGGTCTTCTATTTTCTTGTTGATCTTCTATCTAGTTGGTGTATCCATTATTGAAAGTGGATTAGAAGTCTCACTCTTGAACTCTCTGTATCTCACTTCAGTTCTGTCCATTTTTGCTTCATGTATTTTGGGACTCTGTTGGTAGGCAGGTGTATGTTTACAGTTGTTATGTCTTTCTGATGATTTACCCTCTTAACCTGATAACATGTCATTCTTTGTATCTAGTAAAAAGCCATAAAACTTGTTTTGTCTTCTATTAGTATAGCAACTCCGTCTTTCTTTTGGGTACTGTTTGCATGGTTTAATTTTTTCTATCCTTTTACTTTTCACCTCTTTGTGTCTTTGAATCTAAAGTGTATCTCTCATAGACAGTATAGAGTTGGATCATATTTATTTACCTATTCTGCCAATCTCTGCCTTTTAAGGGAGTGGTTAGTTCATTTACATTTAATGTAATTACTGATCAGGTAGGCTTTATATCTGCCATTTCACCACTTGTTTTCCATATGTATTAGAGTTTTTTGTTCCCCTATTTATTACTGCCTTCTTTTGTGTTAGATATTTTGTAGTATAATATTTTAATTTCCCTGCTCTTTCTCTCTCTCTCCTCTTCCCCCCAGCATATATGCATGCATTTTTTTGAAGTTATTGTCCTAGTGGATTCCATAGAGATGACAATAACATCTTAAGACAATAAAGTTTGAATTAATACCAACTTAATTTCAATCACATATAAAATCTTTAATATAGCTCTACTCTCTCTTCTTCTTTGTGCTATTATCACAAATTACATGTTTAAACATTATAAACTTATCAACATGGTTTTATAATTATTAATTTATACACTTATTTTTTAAATCATGTAGGAAAAAAGAGGAGTCACAAATCAAAAATGCAGTGCTACTGGCTTTTATATTTGTATATAAGTGTATATTAATAAATATATAAATGGTAGTTACTTTTACCATTCTTCTTTCTTTCTTCATATGCTTTTGAGTTACTGCCTCATGTCCTTTCATTCCAGCCTGGAGGACTTCCTTTAGCATTTCTTGTAGAGCAAGTCTACCAGTTATAAACTTCCTGATTGTTCATCTGGGTGTGTCTTGTTTTCCCCCTTCACCTTTGAAGGATAGTTTTGCCAGATATAGAATTATTGATTAATAGTGTTTTCCTTTCAGAATTGTAGATCTGTCATTCTGCTGACTTCTGGCCTTCATGGTTTCTGAAAAGAAACTGACTATTAATCTTTTTGAGGACGACTTACACATGACACATTGCTTCTCTCTTGCTACTTTCAAGATCCTGTCTTTGTCTTTCAACAATTTGACTATGATGTATCTAGTTGTCTTCTTGAGTTTGTCCAACTTGGGGTTTGCTCAGCCTCTTGGATGTGTAGATTAGTATCTTCATCAAATTTGAGAAGAGTTCAGCCATTATTTCTTCAAATATTCTCCCTGCCTCTTGCTCCTTCTCCTCTCCTTTTGGCACTCTCATCATGCATATATTGGTGTGTTCAAGTGTGTTCTATAGGTCCCAGAAGTGCTTTTCACTTTCCTTAATGCATATTTTCCTCTGTTTCTCAGACTGGATGATCTCAGTGTCCTATATTCAAGCTCAGTGATTCCTTCTTCTGCCATTTCAAATCTATTGCTGAGCCTCTGTAATAAAATTTTAATTTCAGTTATTGAACTTTTCAGCTCCAGAATTTTCCTTTTGTTCCTTTTTACAATTTTGATCACTTTGTTTGTATTATCTATTTGCTGAGCTATCATTCTCATACTCTCCTTTAATCCTTTAGGCATGGTTTCCTTAAGTTCTTGGAGTATATTTATAGCAGTTGGTTTAAAGTCTTTGTCTAGTAAGTTCAACATCTGGGCTTCCTCAGATATTTCTATTGATTGCTTTTTTTCCCCTCTGTGTATGGGCTATACTTTCATGCTTCTTTACATGTTTTGCATTTTTTGTTGAAATCTGTACCTTTAGAATAATATAGTGTGTCAGATCTGGAATTAAGATTCTTCTTTTATTCCCAAGTTTTGTTGTTTTTTCTGTTTGTTGTTGTTGTTGCTATTTGCTTGTTTAATGAGTTTATTGGACTAATTATATGAAGTCTGTGTTCTTCACCATGTACAACCACTGTTGGAGCACATCTCTTCTTGCAGGCAACTTACAACTCTGTCTTAGTCTTTACTTCCTGCTTGTTCAGAGCCTCAAGGTCAGCCAGAGATGAGACATTAGAGCCTTCTGAGGTTTTCTCTGGGCAGGCACAAAGCCTTGCATTTGTGTGTGGCTTTCTCAATTCCCAAAAATATGTTGGAGTTTTTCAAAGTCTCCGTAGTCATCTTACTCATTAGTTTTTTCTTTAAGGTTTTTTTGTCCTAACTGTTATCACCACCTCAGGAGGATACAATGTTAAACAATTGCTACTGACTGTTTTTGAGGAATGCTCTGGAGATAGGGCTGTTTACAGCATGAACTCTGAGTCAGGTCAAACTAAGACAAATAGGGTCAAATAGAGACAAAACGAAGCTTTTCCAGAAAGCTTCCAGACAGGTCAAATAGTGACAATTCTCTGGGGATGGGACTTTTTGCATAACTCCAAACCTCTCCAGTGACTGCCAGGCTGAGCAGCTTTTTAGGCTACTGCAGAGCTGGGGAAAGGGAATATGAGAATAGGTCAAGTTCAAATGGCACAAAGCTCATCATTCATGCAAGCATGCTCTTAGTTCACCCTCTTTAAAAAACAAAAGGAAAAAGCAACAAAAACTCTTTGCCTCCATCTTCTGCCTAATCTCTCTCCTTCTATGCACAACAAAAATCCTTGAGAAAATCATCTATTCTCTGTCAATGTTGTCTTTTGAATCCATTCCAGTCATGGTTTTGCCCTTACTACTCTGATGACCCACCAGTGCTCCTCCTCTCCAAGTCACCGATTGCCTCTACCTTGCTATATTCAACGGTGATTTCTTGGCTGACATTTAATTTGAGTGAGCACCAACATTTGACCACATTCATCACGCTCTCCTCCTAGATGCTGTTATTCCTCTGCCTTCCAGGACACAATCTAACCTGGTTTTCCTCCTTTTTTCTGCTTCATTCTGCTTACTGGTTTGTTCTCAACCCCTCGGCCTCTGAATGTTGCAGTGCCCAGGGGCTCAAACCTTGGACTTTTCCTTTCTACTTACACACACTCCCTGCTGATTTCATCCATTCTCATGGCTTTAAGTACCTTCTGTGTGCTCATGACTTACCACAATTGTATCTCCAGCTCTGGCCTGTGACCTGGACTCCTGACCTGTTTAATCGGTCTCCAATAGGATAACGAATATGCATCTTAAACCTAACCTTTCTGAAACGGAGGTCCTGCTCTTCCTTCCTTAACTAACTCCCTCTGCATTCTTCCCCAACTCAGGAGACAACAACTTCCTTCTTGCCATTGCTCAGGCAAAAGCCTTTGGCGTCTCCTTGCCTTCTGTCTTTCTCTTACTCCCAAACCCCATTCATCATCAAATCCTGTTGGCTCTGCTCAGCATCTATTCAGATTCAGTTACTCATCACCACGCACTGCCACCCATTCACATCTCTACTCACAGTAAGCTAACTGTTCAGCCAACCTCTACCCTTGTCCTGCTGCAGCTCATACTCAAGAACAGATATTCCTCTGCTCAAACCCTCTCATGGATTTCCATCTCCCTTAAGCAAAGCCCAAATCCTCACCACTTTCTACAGTTTCTGCCCTTGGTGACTTCTCAGACCCCACCTCCTGGCTTTCTTTTTCCCACTCTCTCCATGAAAGCCTCACATGCTCCTTTGCTGTTCTTTGGCAGCACTGGGCACATGGCCACCTAACAGCCTTTGAACTTACTGAGCCCACCAGGAATGCTCATCCCACAGAAGTCCTGTTGGCTCACTCCCTCACTTCCTTCTGACCTGTACCCAAAAATCACCTTCACTACTTGTCCCTGTTTAATTTTTTTCTCTCTAGAACTCATTATTATCTTACATACTATATATTTTGCTTCTGTTATTTAATATTGTCTCCTCTCAAGAATATAGATCCAGGAGTGCAACTATATTTCCAGGGCCCAGATTAGAGAGAACTTGGTAAATATCTGTTGAGTAAATGAATGCATGAATCACCTCGTCACTCAGCAAGGCTTTGGTGCTGCCCTGGTTCCACTCCCACAGACAACCTCCATTGTTGGTCTTGGGCGATGATTATCCCTATGCACTGATGAGGGAGGCAAGAGGAGAACTTAAATTGCTTTGTTCTCAATTAACTTACCCCCTCACAGCCACCCCAGCTACCACTTCCCCCCAACCTCTCCCACACCAACAAAAGCAGCCTTCGGCCTTCCCCTCTCCCCAGGGGCTTCTTTATTTGCCTGTTTGTGGTTTTCTTGATTCCAGGTTTTTCTCTTTTATCCAAGGTTGATTTATGGAAAGACAGCCAGAGCCCATGCTAAGTCTGCATTTTAGCAGAAACTGGCTGTCCCTCCCCCTCTTGTTGGTTGATGTTTCAGGCCCCTGCAATGGTGGAGTAGGCAACAGTGAGAAGCCATGCTGCCCTGTGTGATGGTGCAGGCTGCACACTGCAAAACTCCAGGGAGTGATTTCACATGCATATGGCAGCCTTGGGCAGGAAGGGTCTCACTTGAGGAGGACAGTTGTAATTTGACATTGAAGCCCCCAAGATATCGTGTATTTCAAATGCTGGGGGGTTTTCCCTCAAGGGATGCTTTACAGGCTCTTCAGAGATGACACTCCAAAAGCTGAGTGTCTCTCCTACAATTTCCTTGATGGCTCCTCTGGCTGCTTGTACCTGTGTCCACCGCCCCTGCCCCTTCCAGGTGGTTCCCGTGAGTGGTGCATAGTCTGAATGTTTGCGTACCCCTCCCTGCATTCATACATTGAAGCCCTAACTCCCAATGTGATGGTATTGGTAGGTGAAGCCTTTGGAAGGTGATTAGGATTATTAGAAAAGAAAAAAGGAAGCAAAAACTGCAATTACTTTCGCACCAACCTAATACGAGGTCATGAAGGTGGAGACCCTATGGTGGAGTTAATTAGTGTCCTTATAAAAGGAAGAGACCAGAGCATGTGCGCTCTCTCTCTCTCTCTCTCTGTCTCTCTCCCCGGCCCCCCAAACCTCTCCATGTAAGGACACAGCAAGAAGGCAGCCAGCCACAAGCCAGGAAAATGGTCCCCACCAAGAACCAAATCTCCTAGCATCTCGATCTTGAACTTCACCCTCTAGAACTATGAGAAAAGAACTCCCATTCTTTAAGCCACCCAGACTATGGTGTTTTGTCATGGCCACCCAATCTGGCTTATTCAGTTGAGGCCCTCACAAGATGATCCAGTCTGATTCCTTCCATGGGATCCATACCTGGCCCATGGGAAACTCTAGAAACAGACCAGTCCCATCCCAGCCACTTCCTCTCTGCTTTCCTAGGGCAGCCAGCAGCCATAGACATTCATCTGCAGGCTTTTTCAGCATAAATCAAACTCACATCAGTAGATACAGGCCAAGCACCTCCTCTCCTTCCCAGTGGGGAGAGGAGAGCAAATTCTAGCACCCCGACAACTCACCCCAAAGAGATTCGCTTCACCTGCCTCCAACCTCTGCCATGGTCTGAAGGTTTATGTCTCTCAAATATGTATATGTTGAAACCTAATCCTCAATGAGGTGGGAATAGGAAGTAGGGCCTTTGGGAGATGATTAGGAAATAAGGGCAGAGCCTTCATGAATGGGATTAGTGCCCTGATAACTGTCCCCAAGGGAGCTTGTTGTCCCATTCAGCCATGTGAGGATGCAGTGAGAAGGCGCCACCCATGAACCAAATCTGCCAACACCTTGATCTTGGACTTCTCAGCCTCCAGAACTGTCAGTAATACATTTATATTGTTTATAAGTCACCCAGTTTGTGGTATTTTTGTTATAGCAACCCAAATGGACTAAGACAACCTCTCTAAATAGTCTTAGCTTTGCTGGTAACCAGGGGACTGGGGAGAGGTGAAGGGCTAACCCTGGTAGGACCCAATTTGGGCATCTCCTTTGCAAGTCTTGCTGGCTAGTCTAGCCCCTCACGCTGAGATGTCAGAGTACTTGGACCTATTCTATTCTGGTCTTCGAGCTTTCTGTCAAAACTCCAAGGCTACAGGAAGTCTCATGTAACATCTCATCACACACATAAAACAAGGTGGTTATTAACAAGAGAGAGGAAAGAGGGAGGAACGGGAAAGGGAAGAAATGTTTTCTGTGAGCCAAGTGAACACGAATCCCCCATCCAAGCAAAAACCCGCTGTGCGGAAGCAAGAGACCCCCAGTGGTCCTTCCGGATACTGCAGGATGGGTCTGAGAACTGACTGTTCATTTCCCAGACTTTTCCACTAATACCTCACAGTGTGGGGGCCTGAATAGTGACCCCCTCCTCCTCAAAGATGCTTATGTCCTAATATCTGTAACCTGTGAATATGTTACCTTATATGGCAAAGGAGTCTTTGCAGAGGTGATTAAGTGAAGGATCTTGAGATGGGAGACTATCCTGGATCATCTGGGTGGACCCAATACTGTAATCAGAAGATCCCTTAGAATAAAGGGAGGCCAAAAGGTCAAAGTCAGAAAAAGTAGGTGTGAGGATGCAGCCAGGGGTTGGGTGATGCACTTTGAAGATGGAAGGAGGGGCCACAGGCCCAGGAATCGCGGTGGCCTTCAGAAGCCGGAAGAAGCAAGGACATGGATCCTCCCCTGAAGCCTCAGGAAAGAACCAGCCCTGCCAATACCTGGATTTTAGGCTTCTGACCTGAAGATCTGTAAGAGAATGAATTCCTCCTGTTTTCAGTCACTAAGCTTATGTTAATTTGTTACAGTAGCTACAGGAAGCTAATACGGTATACACAACTTTTATTTGCCTTTTATTTGCCCAGAGGAAGGAAAGTTCTCCAGGCACTTTCAACATCTAGAGAGCATAATAATATACAGTTATGAGGCAAACACAGGTGCTAAATGCAAATGGATTTTCCAGTATCTCCTGTGGATTTTCAGCAGACTTAAAGGCGAGACTGGAACACTTCCAACATTCAGCTGAAATCCCACTGTGGGCTAATTTAAGGATGAGTTCCTCATGCCCATAAAGCCAAGCTCTGATTCATTTGTTTTTCTTTTCAGAAGCACAGTGAAAAGTGACACCTGAATTGTGAGTGACAACAACTGTTCACAGCTTGAAACCCTGAATAATAATCCATGACCAGGTTACCTGCCTGAATTCATGACTTAATTTTTCTTGCCCATGTTCATCCAATAGGAAACATGTGTTTTAAAGAGAAATAAAACTTTATTCAGGGTTCCCAGCAGCATTTAACAACTGAGCCCGTCTGTTCAGTAAAATCTTTAATTGGGAACTTCTCTTCAGTTGTACTGAGGGAATTTTTAAGCCACCAAATTGCAAGATAAGTTTATGTTAATATTTCTGCCGTAGTTCAGGCTGCTCTAAAAGAATGCCACAAACTAGGTGGCTTAAACAACAAACATTAATTTCTGAAAGTTCTGGGGACTGGAAGTCTGAGATCAGGGTGCCAGCGTGGCCTGGCTCTGGTGGGGACTCTTTTCCTGTTTTATGGATGGCCGCCTTCTTGTTGTATCTTCACCTGGTGAAGAGAGAGCGCTCTGATCTCTTCATCCCCTTATAGGGACACTAATTCCCTTCCTAAGAGCTCCACCTTCACAACCTAAGTACCTCCCAAAGATTCCACCTCCAAATACCATCACATTGGGGATTTAGGCTTCGCCGTATGAATTTTGGGAGGATACATACGTTCAGACTCTAGCAGTTACCCATATGTTTCCAGTCTTAGCCGACAGTGACTAAGAAGTAATGACACAGTTCCTCTCTACGCCCACGTTCTAGCCACGCAGCACTCCAGTCGGCTTAACATTATACATTTGCCCATCCCATAAGTCCCCCATAGTTCTGTGTCTCCAATGGGGTGGCTCAGGGCCTCACACTGACCCCAGGTCTCCTGGCCCTCCTGTCAGCTCCAGCACCTGAGGGCACCACCATCCCCTCTAGGCTGAGTTGGGTGCTCCCTATGCTTACAGCCCTGCAACATCAGAGTGCTGCTGGCCTGGGATGCAAGTAGGAGAGGGGCTGCCTCCCTAGCCTGGGGCCACACTGCATCCCAGAGCAGCGCCCTTGTGGTCAAGCGAATTCTGCCTGGGCCTGGTCCTCACACCCCTGGCCACAGGCCCCCAGCCCTGCCTGCAGCCTCAGCCCTTCCTGCTCCTGCCCCCACCTGCTCCTGCCCCCACCCACTCCTCCCCCCACCACTTCTGCCCCCGCCTGCTCCTGCCCCTTGACCCAACTCCCAACTCCAAGGCCTCACTGGACCCGCAGTTCTAAAAGAAGGAAAACCTTCCTTACACATCTCATAAACACACCGCAAAGGAGGAGTGATGGGGAGAAGAAACCCCACCGCCCATGCCCCAGCTGCCTCCCTGGCTCCTTCATGGGCCCAGAACCCCATGACCCATTACCCTGAGTGCACAGAAAGTTCCCTAGCTTCTTCCCAGACATCCCGTCCTAATGGCCCACCATGCTCCAGAAAGCAGGCCTGGATTTCAGACCTACCGGGCTTGGAGACACCCCAGCGGCTTGAGCATCTTGACACTCTTGCTGCACCACAGACCAGTCACCTAGACTTTCTGGGGCACTGGGGATATGGCTGTACTCTTTAAAGCTTCCCAAGAGATTGTCCATGGACCGAGATAATTCTCGAAGGTTATCAATATCCTAAGCTAAAAGCGGTAGTGGAACTGCTGACGCAGATGGTTTCTTAAATTTTATTTTGTCAAATTAAGTACAACGAAGAGCTAAACGGTTTTTGGAAATAGATATCATGACTTGAATCAGGAGATGGCAGAAGCCTCCAGAATGGGGCCCATGTGATATCCTGGGCAGTGATTTGCTGCAGCAGCTGGGACCCAGGTGCCTTAGCTGTCTTTGCCTGATGGTTCTGAGCAGCTCCACCCTCCTTAATTAGCCCAAGGCTGGAATCAGGCTTGTGCAACATGAAGGTTTTGCAATTTAGGGATTGCCCTAAGAAAAGGAACTCAAAACTACACGTAAAAGAATGAAGCACAAAAGTGAATGCTTATTTAGAAGGAGCCTTTGGGGAGGAGCCCTGCAACTTAAATTTTATTGATTTCATGGTAGATAACGTCTATGACTCGGCTTCAATATCGTAGCACAGGCTGGGCTCTCTCTGGTGCTAATCAACCATCAATCAAGCGTCACTGACAAGCCATCCTTGCTTCTCGTGTGTGGATAACTGGTTGTGTTCTTAGGCCTTCCAAGGAGGGACTCCTATGTTCAAGGGCCACGAGGCTCTAGACAGTGGGCTGGCAGAGGCTGTACATTCTGTGCTATCTGTGCCAGGACTCCCCAGCCCTGCTCCCAACACTCCGTGGATGAATGGCAGTTATCTGCCGCATGCCTGACGGAACTAGCATTTCTATACTACAGTTCCATGCAGTGAAATTACTGGAAGACCCGGTCTTGGGCATCATTTCGCTCATGCTTTTGTGCTTCACATGAGTTGCTTAAAGCAACTCACCCGCGATACTGTGGGTGGCTGGGGTATTCATTTCTCACCCTGGCCCAGGGGAGGCTGCTGTGCCCTGACAGTCAGCCCCTCGGCTAGGGGTTCGCACTGTCATCTCCTGGCTACAATTTCTGGTCTCCGCTAAGCATTCTTTTCTTCCCATTTCCCACCAATTTTTCTTCCTCTTTTTATTTCTCTTCTTCCTTTTAGAACTACCAGTAACCCTCAGCTGCCCTAGACATTGCTCATGAGCGGGTTTGTTTGGCTGACTCTGCAGCGTGAGACATGGTTGGGCATAGGAGCTGTATGAGTCTGTTTCCACGCTGCTGATAAAGACATACCTGAGACTGGGCAATTTACAAAGGAAAGAGGTTTAAGGGACTTACAGTTCCACATGGCTGGGAGGCCTCACAATCATGGCTGAAGGTGAAAGGCATGTCTCACGTGGCAGCAGACAAGAGAAGAGGGTTTGTGCAGCGAAACTCTCCTTTTTAAAACCATCAGATCCCATGAGACGTATTCACTATCACGAGAACAACACAGGTAAGACCTGCCCCCATGATTCAATTACCTCCCATAGGGTCCCTCCCACAACATGTGGGAATTCAAGATAAGATTTGGCTGGGGATACAGCCAAACCATAATAGGAGCCATTGGAGGATTGAGTCAAAGTGGTTTCAGGAGGCCAGGAACACAGAATCTGCTTTGTAACCCTATGTAAATAATACGTGACTCAGGATAGCATGCCCCAAAATTCACGTCCACCTGGATTTCA
The DNA here is from genome assembly GCF_000001405.40 of Homo sapiens. Classification (NCBI taxonomy): domain Eukaryota; kingdom Metazoa; phylum Chordata; class Mammalia; order Primates; family Hominidae; genus Homo; species Homo sapiens. The sequence continues at coordinate 74,480,402 of NC_000018.10, forward strand.
GAACAGGACTTTATTTGGAAATAGGGCCTTTACTGATGTAATTCATTAAAATGAGGTCGTACTGAATTAGGGCAGGCCCTAAACCCAATGACTGATGTCCTTATAAGAAGAGGAGGGGCACACAGAGACACACAGGGACAAAGGCCATGTGAAGACAGAGCCGAGGTTGGAGTGACGTGACCCAGGAGCCCTGAGGTTTGCTGGGGAGGAAGGGTTCTCCCTCATGGCTGCAGAGATGGCGTGTCCCTGACAGTGACTTGACCTCAGACTTCTGGTCTCTGGATCTGTGAGACCATGCATTTCTGGGTTTTGTGAGCCATCCAGTTTGTGCAATTTGTTACCACAGCCCCAGGCACCCAAAATACATGGAAATAAATTACTTTGATAAACCAAGTCTCCAGTGTGTGGCTGACTGTAAGGTACTGAGAGAGAAAAACACTGCAACTTGCCTGTTTATGCCTGGATTTTTCAGCGTGGCTTTCATTTCCTAATTAAATGCAAGACCTTAAAGCAAATGGGTCCAGGAAAGGTAATACATTGATTTGACTCAGACTTAATGGTAAGTGATGTTTCTGAGCCAAACATTGTTTTGAAAACCTTACTTGGGCACTGACAGTGCCAAGTATTTGAATGCAAACAGAAAATGCAGTCACATAAGTGAACATTTCTTCATGCATTTGGTTATTTTGCTATGTCCGAAGAAGGAATGAAAATCTCCGGTCTCTGCTTGCGGACTCTGTGTGGTAACACATGAGGCACAGGGCGTGGGCTGGCGTTTGGCCTGCCTCCTGCTTTCTTCCATTCCTCTGGCCCTGGGTAGACTGCTATCACCTAAAGCACACAGAACTTTGGATATTTGCAGGAACTTTTGATGGTTTCAATTTCCCTTTGCTTATCAAGGGTTTTTTTTTTTTTTTTTTTTTTTTAGACGGAGTCTTGCTCCGTCGCCCAGGCTGGAGTGCAGTGACGCAATCTTGGCTCACTGCAAGCTCCAACTCCCGGGTTCACACCATTCTCCTGTCTCAGCCTCCTGAGTAGCTGGGACTACAGGTGCCCGCCACCACGCCCAGCTAATTTTTTTGTATTTTTAGTAGAGACAGGGTTTCAACGTGTTAGCCAGGATGGTCTTGATCTCCTGACCTTGTGATCCATGTGCCTCGGCCTCCCAAAGTGCTGGGATTACAGGCGTGAGCCACTGCGCCCAGCCCTTATCAAGGGTTTTAAAGCTGTTTATATTCTGAAACAGGCTAGTGCTTTTTTCTCCTCTCACATAAAAAGCAAGTTGGGAAAATAGTTTCAAACTGCCAATAAAAGGTGTAGAAATTATGAATGTTTTTAAATCCCCAAATATACCCTTCTCTTCTCAAATAAGAAAATGGAAGGTAACTGGAAAGTCAGTCCATCAAAAAGGGAAAATTAGGCTGGGCACAGTGTCTCATGCCTCTCTAATCCCAGCACTCTGGGAGGCTGACGCAGGCAGATCACTTGAGGTCAGGAGTTTGAGACCAGCCTGGCCAACATGGCAAAACCTCTTCTCTACTAAAAATACAAAAATAAGCTAGCCATGGTGGCACATGCCTGTACTCCCAGCTACTCAGAAGGCAGAGGCAGGAGAATCACTTGAACCCGGGGATGGAGGCTGCAGTGAACTGAGATCACACCACTGCACTCCAACCTGGGTGACAGAGTAAGACCCTGTTTAAAAAAAATAATAATACTTAATTAAAAATAAAACAGGGAAATTGAAACCATCATCTCTTAACTGCCTTTACTTGCAGAAGAATAAACCACCTTGGCTTAGAAATAGTGATGATATAAAAAATCGTGAAACAGTAAGTACAACAGAGATGCTTTGGCAGAAATCTACTACGAGTTATTGATTAATGAGTATAATTTTGGGTGAACACATATATATTTTTATTATGTTTTAGTCCCTTTATTTTAAATCTGAAGTAAGCTGCAACAAGTGTTGTATGTTTATAATTAAATCCAGCATTCAGTTCTTTTCTACATAATCCATGCAATACGAGGAGTGAGGACAAGCAAGATTCAACATAAAACAAAGGTTTTTTCCTGATTAATTAGTGAATATAACCTTCAAATATTTGGATTTTTAAAAAAATAAATGGGAAATGAATAATGGCATTCTTGCAGTATCTAGGGATGACATAAATCCAGAAGGCTCACCCCAGGCTCACAGATGAATCCTGACAGTTTGTCACCTTGTAGAAGGTGACAAACCTGTCAATCAGCATGATTAGTTGCAAAGTTTCAAAATTAGCTTGAAGCTCACAACGGCATGGTAATGAAAATACATTAGTAGAGTAGAATAGATGCAAATGATTATGATAAAAATAAATCATTTTATTCAAGCTATTGTCATAATACAATGCATACATGAAAACAGAACCCAATAAGTAAACTCGGCCACCGGCCATCTCAGACCTTCCCAGCGTGGGCATCCGTGTGAGAGCCCGGGATTCTCAAAGCTCCCCTTGTGCTGCTCATGGGGCAGCTGCCCGCTTCCGACCTGTGTGTTTCCTGAAGTCTCCTTTCGTGTGATGGGCCGCAGCATGACATAAATTCTCTCTTCATGTATTCAGGTACATGAACCTCTAACCACAAGTGGAGTGCTACCATTTCTCCCAACAAGAAGTTCACGGTTTTCTCTTTGAAATACAAAAAATGGGGGACTTTGTGAAGCCGTGCTTAGAAATGCCAAATGGAAATTAAACTACATTTTGAGAATTAAACTATATTTTGGAAATTCTGCCAAAGTTAACTTTTTTATGTTGAGCGTCTTTTTTTTTTCAATAAAAGACAAAAATGCATGAGTCCAGTCACCTTTCAGGGTTTTGGAAAGCCTAACAAGGATGTTTTCACAAATGTAGACAAGACAGCCCCTCTTCTCAGCCACCACCCTCAGCTTGCCACACATGCAGGTTAAATGAAAGTAACTAGAAAGGTGGCAGATTACAGAGGAAAAAATATAGCCTCGAGGTTTGCTCTGAGGATCGAAGAATGAAATGAATAATGAAACGTACTTTGTGAACTGCTAAGCATTACAATTTTTGAACGGTACTGTTTCTTTTTTTTTTTTTTTTTTGAGACGGAGTCTCGCTCTGTCACCCAAGCTGGAGTGCAGTGGCAGGATCTTGGCTCATTGAAACCTCTACCTCCCGCATTCAAGCAATTCTCCTGTCTCAGCCTCCTGAGTAGCTGAGACTAAAGATGTGCGCCACCACCCCAGCTAATTTTTGTATTTTTAGTAGAGGCGGGGTTTCACCATATTGGTCAGGCTGGCCTCGAACTCCTGACCTCAGGTGATCCACCCACCTAGGCCTCCCAAAGTGCTGGGATTACAGGCATGAGCCACCACACCTGGACTGAACGGTATTTTTTAAAGGGCGTTTCTGCATTTTTCTTCGATTTAATGACTGCAAGAAACCTCAAGGGAAGTTACCATAATTTAGTTTCATATACGATCTAAAGATTCAATTCAAGTATACCTGAAAACGTAGAACCATGTGAAGGCTATTTAAACAGCTGTCACACCCAGCTGGCGATTGGTCCAGCATCTCAAAACCTGTACATGAATCGAGGAAGGGGCTTTCTTTCCTTATGTCCAAGGACTGTACATATGGCAGAAATTTTGGACTGTGTTGCAGTTTTGCTGGGGTCAGGGATTATACTTATTTTTTGCCTTGGATAGAATTAGATTGCCTATAGGCACTTATAACCTGCAAAAGTAGTTTTATGCATTTATTCAGATGTGCAGTCTCAGATTATAAGTAACTATAATCTTGAGTCTCAAACCTTTATAGTCTACATAAATATATATAAATACACATATGTGTACATATACACATAGATAATACATATATATATATATATATATATATATATTTTGAGATGGAGTTTCACTCTTGTTGCCCAGGCTGGAGTGCAACGGCATGATCTCAGCTCACTGCAACCTCCACCTTCCAGATTCAAGTGATTCTCCTGCCTCAGCCTCCCGAGTGGCTGGGATTACAGGCATGCACCACCACACCCAGCTAGTTTTGTATTTTTAGTAGAGATGGGTTTCTCCATGTTGGTTAGGCTGGTCTTGAACTTCCGACCTCAGGTGATCTGCCTGCCTTGACCTCCCAAAGTGCTGGGATTATAGGCGTGAGCCACTCCACCTGGCCAATACATATTTTATATATGTACTCTCACTGTATATATATAATTCTGCTTGCCAGTGTGGGAAGAGTTGGGGGAAGAGAAAGCATGGTAACTTTCCTGCAGCTATAAACCTGCTTGAGAGGAAGATCTGAAGCAGAGAAGGAAAGAAGCAAAGAAAGAATAGCTTCATCCACCCATTCATTTATTCACTTACTCTTCAAATTCATATGGAGCCAGGCATGTGGCTAGTTCAGTATTTGAGGTCAAAGTTCGGTGTTGGCTGGTGCTTTGTGCTGGCATGACGTACAGTGATATTTCAGAACAGTCTTTCAAAATGTCATATTTTGAAAATCTATGTGCCACACTAACACATCAACAGTAATGCATCTCTAAAAGACAAACGTTAAAAAAGAAAAACGCAGTGTTAAGCTGATCACAAGACTCCTATTCAGACACATGGCAGCCAAACTCTATCTCTAGTAAAAAAAATATATGTATGGCTAAAAATAACGGCAGTAAAACAGAGAACATACTGTCCGGAAGGCGCAGACATGACAGCACAGGACAAAAAACCAGAACGACAGATCTAACCACTAACCACAGCCACATTGAGATTTACTCTCATTCCATGATGTTTTTTTTTTTTTTTTTTTTTTTTTTTTTTTTTTTTTTTTTTGAGACGGAGTCTCGCTCTGTCGCCCAGGCCAGACTGCGGACTGCAGTGGCGCAATCTCGGCTCACTGCAAGCTCCGCTTCCCCGGGTTCACGCCATTCTCCTGCCTCAGCCTCCCGAGTAGCTGGGACTACAGGCGCCCGCCACCGCGCCCGGCTAATTTTTTGTATTTTTAGTAGAGACGGGGTTTCACCTTGTTAGCCAGGATGGTCTCGATCTCCTGACCTCATGATCCACCCGCCTCGGCCTCCCAAAGTGCTGGGATTACAGGCGTGAGCCACCGCGCCCGGCCTCCATGATGTTTTTATTGACCTTTGTAAAAAGCCTGTAAGTACTAGTGGAAAAAGCGATGCCTTATGTTTTGAAGCTCTTTTGAGCTTTTTGAATGTGAAAATCTGTGGCATAGTGCAGAAAGATTTCACTGAATTGGAGGAGATTGCAGCCAATTTTTTGAATTCATTAAATTAACTTTCTTTAACATACTTAGAGTTAAGGTATTATATAATTGTTCTGAACCAGAGAGCAAGAAGTACTCATAGAAAATGTTTAGACTAGGTTTTGCTGCTGCTGCTGCTGTTTTGGGTGGAGGGTAGTCATGGGAATAATTGGAGTTCCTTCAAAGTAGTGATTTACAAGACTTTAAGGGCTTAATTCTGTATGCTTGTTTGCATCTTCTTAACTGCCTACTTGAACTTCTCTGCCCAGGTTGGCCCCTCTAGATTCTTGGATAAAAATGCTGCCTGGGGACCATGGAATCAAGAAGCATGCACTGAGTCCAGCGGCAGCTTTTAACTTAAGGATAAAAATAGCTCTGTTTTTACAATGCAGAGAGAGAGTCCCAACCTGATCCCAAAACTGTGGGGAAAGAAGGCACGGGAACCTTCTGCCTCCTGCTGCTTGCTTCTTTCCCGCACTTTCCCTAGTGAGCCAGTGAAAATGGCCAAAAGGCCTGTCCTGCCATGTGTCCAGTGAGCTGGGCTGTCCCACAGGCCCTGTGGGGTGTGCCAGCTGTGCAGCCCGTGTCCTGGGACAAGTCCCAGAAGGCCCTCCATGCCCACACTGCTCTAGGGGGTCCCCAAGCACAGATGGCTGCACTGTGTGCTGTGCGGTTCTGCCAGGTGGGCACCAGACCCAAAGGCAGCCATCAGCATGTGGGATTGGGCCAGTGGCTCTGGTGGCCTGGAGGGAGCCTGGAGTGAGCATCCTGCCCAGCTGGGGAAGTTTAGTTCTAATGATAACTTGCTAAATGAATCACAGGCTCTCTTTTGAGAAATTTCAACCTGAGATGTGGGAAACAAAGTATCCAAGTAGAAACTGGAAGCAGCAGAATGACAGACAGCAGGGAACAAAGGCCGGGTGGTGTGGACGCCTCGGCAGCTGCCGGTCATCAGAGGGGGGCTGACCATCCCATGGTGTGGACGCCTCTGCAGCTGCCGGTCATCAGAGGGGGGCTGGCCGTCCCACGCAGCGTGTTCTCCCAGTTCACCGTGAGAAGCTCTTCCCTGGTAAGCCCCGGTAGCCTTAGCAACCTGTGTGCTACTCTGTTCCTGGCTGCTTGAAAGTCTAACCCAGGGAGGTTCAGGAAATATGTTAGGCCTGGTCCCGACCCTAAAGGAGCCTGTCCTGCAGTAAAGGCTGGGTGGGTGGGTGGGTGGGGTGGGGGGACAAGACTAAAGATCAACAGAGAGCAAGGAAGAAGCTGCCTTACCCTCCCCAACCTGCTTTCAATCTCATTCTCAAAGCATCTTCCTGGGCTAGGAATTGGAAAACACACGGTTATTTGTTAGGTACAAAAGTTACTACCTGTGGGGTGTTGTACTGTCCCACATGTACAAGCCATTATTCTAGAGAAACAGATTCTGGGCAGAGAGCACATTCCCACTTTCTGTGCTCATAAATGCTCTCTGCAGGGACACACAACTTACTAGGTGGGAGACTGTGGCAGGATGAAGTGAAGCAGGAATCCAGGGGTCACTTGGTCCCTGCAGTCCTTCATCTATCCTGTTGCTGTCACTTAGGCCAGAACTCGTACCCCCTGCGGCTGGGGACACACAAATTGAAAAGACACCTGCTGTCCATAGACAGCAGCACTGGCATCAGCCATGAGCTTCACATCAACCTGGGGCAGAGGGGAAAACAGGAGGCGAGGGGAGGGACATGAATTCTAACTACGACTAAGGTCCCATGGGAACTAAGAAAATTCACTGGAGTGAGTGCCTCTATCTGGAAAGGATTCTATTAGTTTCTACATCAGATAGACCTGGGCCTTTGAGATAACAATCAAGTATAGTTATAAAAAAATTAAATCGTGTTTTGCAGATAAAGCATTGGGGCTTAAATTCTCTAACACACATAAGGCGCTTCTGCAGCCCCCTGCATGCAGCAGGTGCGTAGCCAGGCAAGCCGGTATTCTGTCTCCCACCCATACAGTAGGATGGACTGGTGGTGAGTGACGGGAGGGACGCACTGGACTAGCACACTGGGTGCCGCAGCTGAGACACAAGGAGAGAAAGGCCCAGAGAATGGCAGCTGTGCAAATAAGAGAAGTGTTTGAATGTGGAAGCCATTTCAGATGAAAATCATGTCAGTCATATTTAAATAAGTATAGATCTGTCCTGGTCAAATAGTGTCTCCACAAAAGTCATGCCCACCTGGAATATATGCATGTGGCTTATTTGGAAATGGGGTCGTCGCAGATGCCATCCAGTTAAGAGGAGGTCAGGCCAGGCGCAGTGGCTCACGCCTGCAGTCTGGCACTTTAGGAAGCTGAGGTGGGAGGATCACTGGAGCCCAGGAGTTTGAGACCAGCCTGAGCGACACAGGCAGACCCTGCCTCTACCAAAAAAAAAAAAAAATTACGTTTTTTAAAAAAGTTAAAAGGGGTTGGGCGCGGTGACTCACGCCTATAATCCCAGCACTTTGGGAGGCTGAGGTGGGCGGATCACTTGAGGTCAGGAGTTCCAGACCAGCCTGGGCAACATGGTGAAACCACTCGACTAAAAATACAAAAACCAGCCAGGCATGGTGGTGGGTGCCTGTAGTCCCAGCTACTCAGGAGGCCGAGGCATGAGAATCACTTGAACTCGGGAGACAGAGGTTGCAGTGAGCTGAGATCATACCATTGCCCTCCAGCCTGGGTGACGGAGAGAGACTTGTCTCAAAAGAAAAAAAAAGTAAAAGGAGGTCCCCTGGATTAGGATGGGCCCTATCCAATGACTGGTGTCCTTCTTACTAGGCCATAGACACAGACATACACAGAGGGAAGATGGCTGATATGGTTTGAGTCTCTGCCCCCACCCAAATCTCATCCGGTACTGCAATCCCCATGTATCAGGCGAGCGGTCTGGTGTGAGGTGATTGGATCACGGGGGCGGATATCCCTGTTGCCGTTCTGGTAACGTTGAGTGTGTTCTCATGAGATGTGGTGGTGTGAAAGTGTGTGGCACTCTCCTTTTCTCTCCTGCTCCACCATGGTAAAATGTGCTTGCTTCCCCTTCACCTTCCACCATGGTTGTCAGTTTCCTGAGGCCTCCCCAGTCTTGCGGAACTCTTTTCTTTGTAAATTACTCAGTCTCAGTAGTTCTTTACAGCAGTGTGAGAACAGACTCACACAATGGCCATGTCCAGATGGAGGCAGAGACTGGAGTGAGGCAGCTATAAGCCAGCAGACACCAAGGATTGCTGGCACAGCCCAGAAAGGAGAGAAAACAATGAAACAGGCCCTCCCTCAGAGCCTTCAAGCCCCAGAAGGAGCCAACTCTGAGGACAGACACCTTGATTCTAGACTTCCGGCCTCCTGAACTGTGAGAAGATAAGCGGCTGTCGTTTGGGGCCACCTGATTTATGGCACCTTGTACAGCAGCCCTAAGTTAACGAGCAGAATCCACAATGAGAAAGCCGACCGTTCCTCAGGTGACGTGAGTTCTGGGTCAGACCTGTTAAATTCGAAAGGAAGTGATATCCTGAAAGCCTATGGACCTGGGTAACTAAAGGACCTTGAAGGTGGAGGGGAGGAGGCAAATGCTGGCCTCTCAGAGGAGGACTGGGGACCCTTTGGAGAAATTAGATGGACCGGAATTAGATCCATTGGTGAAAGTGGCAAGGCACAGGAAGACCTTGTGGAGGTTCGGGAGTTTGCTCTTTAACAGCTGGGCACATTCAGAAGTGACAAATCCATTGGCGAACTGGAGACAGGAGAGGGTCTGGAGAAAATGCAAAGACAATCAGTATGTCTGTGATATTGCCCTCCCAGGAATGTTGGCTCTTCCTATAATAATCTATATGTTCTTGAGGAATATATGAGAATGCAACCATATAGCCTTCAAATTCTTATTGAGAACTTTGCCAAATCAAAACCCCAGCTGATCTATGAGGTGTTCAGAGGACGTTCCTGACTGCTTGGTCTTAGACTAGACAACTGCAACTTCCCGTCATCCTTTGATATTTAAGGGTTAATATGAGAACTAAGTGTTTAGCCAAGAAGCTGAAATTATAAACTGAGATGTTTTTGTCAGCCCAGGCTGCTATAACCGAACACCACAGCCATGGAGGGCTTAAACCACAGGCATTTTTTTCTCACAGTTCTGGAATCTGGGAAGTCCGACATCAAGGTGCCGACAAATTTCATGTTTGATGAGGGTCCACTTCTGGTTAACAGATGGCCGTCTTCTTACTGTGTCGTTAGAGGGGAGAGAGACCAGGAGGGAGGGAACAAGGGAGGAGGGAGGGGAAAGAGAAAGAGAAAGAGGGAGGAAGGGATGTAGGGAGGGAGGGAGGGAGGGAGGGAGAGAGAAAGTCTCTTCCTCTTCTTATAAGAACACTAATCCCGTCGTGGGGACTCCAACCTGGTGAACTCATCTAAACCTAATTACTTCCCAAAGTCTCCACCTCCAAATACCATCAGATAGGATATTAGGGGTTCAACATATGACTTTTAGGGATACACAAATATTTAATCCATGGCATGAAGCAATAAAATTTACTAAGAAAGTTAGTTCTGGAGGCATAGTCGGGACTAAGATTTATTGGCCTAGTAGCTTTTTTTAAATCAGCTTGTTAACAACAACAAAAAAAAATCAGAAAACACACATATAACCTTCTAGACCAAGCCATTAAATGTCCTGTACTTTTATAAAAGCATAAAATAACATAATATCTTTCCCTGAAAATGTAACTACTAAAAAGAAACATGTTAAATAATCCATGCTACTTTTAAAAGAGGAAACATTCTTCTACTTTATTAGTAAAATCAAAGCTTTTCTTTTTTTTTCTTTTTTTTCTTTTTTTTTTTTTCGAGATGGAGTCTCGCTTTGTCATCCAGGCTGGAGTGCAATGGTGCGATCTCGGCTCAGTGCAACCTCCGCCTCCTGGGTTCAAGAGATTCTCCTCCCTCAGCCTCCTGAGTAGCTGGGATTACAGGCATGCACCACCACGCCTGGTTAATTTTTGTATTTTCAGTAGAGACAGGGTTTCACCATGTTAGTCAGGCTGGTCTCGAACTCCTGACCTCGTGATCTGCCCACCTCGGCCTCCCAAAGTGCTGGGATTACAGGCATGAGCCACCGTGCCCGGCCATCTTTTATTTCCTTTTTTGCATTTTCTGTTACGGTGGCACATTCAGAGTGTGTGCAGTGACAGCCTCTGGTGTTCTTTCTGATGACAGACTCACACATGGGAAAAGTCTCTAAATTATAAGACGAGCAATATGGTGGTTATTGTTTCTTTAAGAGTTTGCTGTCTGCATATTACAATTGCTACACAAGACATAAGAGTTCCAACTATACAGGTTAATCAGCTCACAAACCATGATGTGAAAATTAGATTTGGCATGCAACCAAAGAAATAGCAAAACAAAGGGAAGTACACATAGGGCTTAATAATACGTATGCAAAAAAAAAAAAAAAAAAAAAAAGGCTTGGCGCGGTGGCTCATGCCTGTAATCCCGGCACTTTGGGAGGCCGAGGTGGATGGATCACCTGAGGTCAGGAGTTCGAGATCAGCCTGGCCAACATGGTGAAACCCTGTCTCTACTAAAAATACAAAACTTAGCTGGGTGTGGTGGCACGTGCCTGTAATCCCAGCTACTCAGGAGGCCAAGGCAGGAGAATTGCTTGAACTTAGGAGGTGGAGGCTGCAGTGAGCTGAGAGCATACTGTGCTCCAGCCTGGGTGAGACAGAGTGAGACTCCGTCTCAAAATAATAATAAATATGCACTGATATAAGACTTACAGTGGGTAACGGTCTACTTTCCTGATCATCTGAATGAGATAACCTTAAAAATTACCAGTTTTACTGGCCTCAGAACCATGTTAAAGGTTATAGATCAGAGATTTCCAATTCTTGAATTTCTCAATTTCAAAAATTCTGAATTCAATATGTTTAAGGTGAGGTATGTTTATCATAAGAATTGTAGCAAGTTTGACCACACGGGTGGTACTTTGATGAGAAAGGATATGTGAAATGTGAAGTACATTGAGATTGATTCATGATTCCCTTAGGTACTGAATAATTCCTGATATTTAAGTTTAAAATTGTATCTGTGCAAGAAACACATTCAAATATATGGGACAAGCAAAATCCACTAAGAAAACATGTATTTTCCTACTCCTGGTAGGTTTCTCAGGCTCTGCTTGCAGAATAAAGAGGGAAATGTCCAGAAAATGTAGATGGAAGTGGGTCTAGGTGGATCAAGATGTGCTTAGGTGCCATGTGAGGATGTCTGCATTTTATTCTGGGGCCATGGCAGCCACTGACAAGCAGAGGTCCAGTTGGGCAAAGAGAGAGGCCCAAATCTGAGCAATGGCCAAGAGGATGGAGAGAGGGAGCAAATGAAGTCATCTCAGAAGTAAAGTCCAAAAGGTCCCTAACTGATTGGAAGGTTGCAAATTAAATGAAGAGCCATCGTGGGATTGTATTGGTTTTCTATTGCTCTGTAACAAATCACCACAGACTTTGCAGCTTCAAACAACACCTGCTTCTTGTCTCTGTTTCTGTGGCTCAGAAATCTGAGCTACTCTTAGCTGGACCCTCTGTTCAGGGTCTCACAAGACTACTGAAAGTGTGGGCCAGGCTGTGTCCTCATCTGGATGTTCGACTGGGGAAGAATCTGCTTTCAAGCTCATTTGGATTGTTGGCAGAATTCACATAAGTGAGGCCCTTGCCCCCAGAGGCCGCCCTTCGTACCCTGCCATTTGACCCCCTCCACAATGTGGCATTCACTCCTCAAGGCCAGAGGGAGAACATCTGCTGCAGCTGCAAATCTCTCTGACTTCTCTCATCTATGACTTCTGCACCCTCTTCCAAAGAGCTCACCTGATTGGGTCAGCCCCACCAGTGCCCAAGGGGAGGGCCAGGAGTCTTAGAATTCTGCCTACCATAGGGGTGGCAGGAGGTGAGAAAAATCAAGTTTGGCTTTGGACATACTGATATTTGAAGGGCCTGGGGGATATGCCAGTCAGAGAAAATATGATCATTTGGAGCTGGAGAATTAGATTGGGTGATGCCATGGGAATGAACACAGGGCCAGAGAGTCTCCTGGAGACCAACTATTGAGTGGACTGGAACTGACCAACTGCTTACAGCTAACGAAATGTGACGTCTACGTGTAGTTGTTCCTTCCTAACCTCTTTATACTCTGCTTTCTTCTTTATGCCTTCCTACTTGGCAGGGATTCTCTAACATAAATATCAACTCCTTCCCTGAATATGGGTTTCTGGAGAAGAATTATACTCTCCAAAGTGGTCTCTGTTCCCAGGAAAGTTCTCTGTTTTCCAGGGGAATGCATGCTCCCACTGTCTGTATGTTAAGTTTGGTTAAACAGGTCAGGTGTTGTGGCTCATGCCTCTAATCCCAGCATTTTGGGACGCCAAGGTGGGCAAACACTTGAGGTCAGGAGTTTGAGACCAGTCTGGCCAACATGGTGAAACCCAGTCTCTACTAAAAATACAAAAATTAGCTGGACGTGGGAGTGCACGCCCGTAATCTCAGCTACTCGGGAGGCTGAGGCAGGAGAATCACTTGAACTTGGGAAGCAGAAGTTGCAGTGAGCTGAGATCATGCCACTGCACTCCAGCCCTGGGCAACAGAGACTCCATCTCAAAAAAAAAAAATAAAAACAAAAGTTTGGTTAAACAGACATGACAGATTCTGAAGACTAAACTCCATCTCATGCTGAGAACTACAAATTTCGGCAATTGGAAGCATGATCTAATGTTTTGTTGTTGTTGTTGTTGTTCTTGTACCATAGCATTTTTATTAGAATAATCACATAATATTAAATTAATTTTTTATTTTGAAATAATTTTGTTTTTTGAGTGGGTCTGTTATCAACAGTGACTTTTACAATGTTTGCATTCCCTAAGTTCTGAGAACAGTCACAGCCTTTCTCTTTCTGAAGTACTTAACCTGTGGTCACTCATCCTCATACTTCTTTGTTTTCTCTCATAATGTCCCTGTTGTCCTCAAAATCATCAGAGAGGAATAGGAACACATTTATGTAGCTCTTTAAGCTCAGGTTTGTTGCCACTGAGCCACCTGCAATGCACACTTTAAGAAGCAATGGACTTGCAGGGCCACCTGCTGGAAAATCAGAACTGAGCACACAGGCTCCAATACCAGCTACTTGCATTACCAGCTGTGTAAGGCAGTGGTCTTGAGAAAGATGACTGAGGGCACAAGGAAACTTAGGGACTCAGAGAGTTCTAAAGGGCATCAACCTCCAGCTTCTCAAATTTTCCAGAGGCTCTCTCCTAGAGCATGTAGGCGGTGCAACTGACCTGCTGACCTCAGCCAGGGTCTCCTGTTCCTAGGAGTCCTGGTCCCTGCACAAGGATGAGTAATTAACACTCATGAGGCACCTTCTCAGTGCCAGGCATTGTTCCTGATGCTGTATGTCATCAACTCTTGAAGCCTGGCATGCTCCAGACAAAGGGACAATTTGAAATGCCACATGGTATCACTGGAGGACAACTCCTTAATCAAGGACACTGATCAGGTACTGACTTAACATTGTTCCCAGGGGAATAATGACAATTAACATATTTCCAGGTAACAGGGTTCTATATTAAGGGTAAATGTTGTGTTTTGTATTTTCTTAACATTTATTCAGATTCATAGGAGAAACATGTTCACCAACTTCTTCAACACTGAGTACTGCAAATGCATTTTCATGTTTTCACTTGGACTGAAGCATCTGATTGCTCTAAAGTTCTCAACTACTTCTTTGCTCATTATTTATTCTTACCTTGAGCCTATTAAATTTTGGTAACAGTAGTGTGTTATGGCTTCTACTCTAAATCACTTCTTTTTGCTATATACATATGTGTGTGTGTGTGTGTGTGTGTTTTGTTTTTTTTTTTAACCAAACCCTCTTTTCAGCAATAATCTCATTTATGGATACCTGAACGAATTTATTTAAAAGCCCAGTAGATATGATTAAAGGATGTATCTTCCACCAATGTTTACTTTTTGCAATGTTTGCAAAATGTGTAATATAGTTTTTTCTTTTTATCATTCATGTACAATAATTATTATGAGAATTTAATCCAGAAGAAAAAATGTTAATACTTAAAGCTTTTTGGTTATAGCAAAGTGTCTATGGCCATACCACCCTGAACATGCCTAATCTCATCTGGTTATAGCAAAGTAAATATTAATTTAAATTTTTATCATAGTCTGTTGTAGAGAAATGATTAGGATATGAGTAAGACTATTAAGTATAAAAATGTTACATTTAACAAAATTCTATGAGGGATGTGGAATAGAAATAAAAAATAAAAGAGGAGGCAGGGATGGGGGGGACGGGGTGGCTCACGCCTGTAATCCCAGCACTTTAGGAGGCTGAGGCGGGTGGATCAGTAGGTCAAGAAATCGAGACCATCTTGACCAATATGGTGAAACCCTGTCTCTACTAAAAATACAAAAATTAGCTGGGTGCGGTGGTGCGCACCTGCAGTCCCAGCTACTCGGGAGGCTGAGGCAGAATGGCTTGAACCTGGGAGGCGGAGCTTGCAGTGAGCTGAGACTGGGCTACTGCATTCCAGCATGGCAACAGAGCAAGACTCTGTCTCTAAATAAATAAATAAATAAATAAATAAATAAATATAAAAAGAGGAAACAAACCATGTAAATTTTAAGGGAGGAGACAATTTTAACATTTTACTTTATGTGGGAACGTATACATCTCTTACAACTATTAAATTCATTTTTAAAAAATAATAACTCCCGAGCCATCACTCCTTAAAGAATGTGGTAGTGGTACAAGTTTAAAGAAAGTCTTTTGAGAACACTCTATTGGAAAAGTGAGCAGACTAGGGAATAACAATTTTACCCCCAAGAATTGTTGTTAAGATTAAAAAGGAAAGCGCTGTCGCAGACGCTCAAACACGGTGCTGGCTCTGCTTCCTTCATCAGTTCCTAGGGTCATGGGACACAAATACTAAAATATTTCCACTACTGGTAACGATGCTGGCGAACGCTTTCCTAATCCAGTTCAGACCGACCTCTCATTGGAGCTTGTGTGACCCGCAGGAGTCCGTGCCCCGACTCCGCCGGGACTGAAACGCAACGGAAAGTGCAGTGCTGGATGCGCAAGGGAATGGGAGCGTCGTGGGACCTCCGGAGCCTGGGAGATCAGAGGGTGGAGTCAGGGCCCCCTAGTTTTGGACTCCATTGCCGCACTGCAGGCGACTTCTCGGACCCCACCGTTGAAGCACCAGGCCCCCCGCCCACCCAAGAGCAACCGGGAAGCACAGCACAAGCCCACAGCTCCGGACACGCGCTCCCGTGTGCCCTGCCTCCCCTGAATCCCAACCCACGAAATCTCCGCCCCCTCGCCACGCCCACATCCCCGTCTACCGTCGGGGAGGGGCGACGAGGCGAAAGCCTTGTGGACCAGGCCGGGATTGGTGGGCGGGACGGAAATGGAGCTGGGAGAGGTGACGTCACCTTCCGCACCTGGCTCAGGGCGGAAATGGGGCGGGGAGAGAGTGACACCACCCCTCTGCCTGTGGCTGGATTGGTGGGCGTGGCGGGGGCGTGGCGATGCCTGCCCTCCGGACAAGGCGGGGTTGGTGGCCAGGGCGACCGCGGGGCGGGCCAGCGCCGGGGGTCGTGGCCGGGACACGTGGTACGGAACCGGCGCCGCGCTTGCTGCTGGTAACAGGGCCTTGCCTAGTGGGCCTTCCTTCCCAGGTGGGTCTTCCTGATGGACCTTCCTTCCCGGGTGGGCGCCCTGAGCTGGGAACGGGCTGGGCGGGGAGGACCCGGGTCAGCGGCGAGAGTCACGCCTCATTCGTGGGGGAGCGTGGGGCGCCCGGCCGCAGCCAGGCGGGAACAATGGTGTCCGGGCTGTTCCCGAGCGCGCGGTCGGGGGCGGAGGCCCGTGACGGCCATGGCCCCGGGGCCTCTCGCACCTCCGGGCCACTCGTGTCCCAGCAGCGCCGAGCGCGTCCCCGGTACGCAGGGACAAGCTGGGCGGCGCACTTGGCCTGAGCCTGCGTGGCCCTCCCTGGTGGAGTCGAGTGGAACGACCCGGGTTGGAGATGGGGTTGCGGGGAGCCGAGCGCTGGTCAGGCCACACCCCTCCCCAGGGGCCTGCTGAGAACTCCAGCCTTTCTCCAACGGATCCCTTTCCCGGAGACCTGGGGTGGGGAGTGTGGCGGGACAGAAGCCTCCCAGGTTCAAAGGGCCCTGGACAGCGTCCCTAGCTCCCGCCAGCATTTGAGGCAGCGTTTAAGGCTATAGGAGGAAGCGTCTGAGGGGAGACAAAATTCCCATGCCAGCTTGATGGTCTGGGGCAGGTGTCTTATTCAATTGGCTTCAGTTTCCTCATCTGTGAAATAGAGACAATATTTGGTCCTCACAGACAGGGCCACCAAACCAAACTCCCCACCGCCTGCCAAGGTCAGATTCCGTAGATCATCCAAGCATAGACTGCAGGAAGAGGCGGAGAACCCGGGGCCTGCTACCAATACCTTCCTTGTCCCTAATGTTTGCAGGCAGGAGTGGAGGAAGAGAAGTCCACATTATGCTTAGGGATCAAGTTCTAGCTTGGGCAGATTGGAGATTCTTTTATTGGTTCTTAATCAGACATGAAGGTGTGATTCAGTTATTTGTGTTATATATGCCTTCAATTATCAAGGGACAGGGACTGAGATTCTCAGAACTAGAAGACTCATTTGTGTGTACTACTGACGGTTCCAGGTGCCACAGCAATTTCTCCTGCCCTCCACTAGTCTCAACATTTAAATCATGTTACTCCCTTGCCAGGCATGGTGGCTCATGTGTGTAACCTCGGCACTTTGGGAGACCAAGGCGGACAGATCGCTTGAGTCCAGGAGTTCGAGACCAGCCTGAGTAACACGAGCAAACCCCGTCTCTACAAAAAATACAAAAATTAGCTGGGTGTGGTGGTGCGCACCTGCAGTCCCAGCTACTTGGGAAGCTGAGGCAGGAGGATCATTTGAGCCTGGGAGACAGAGGTTGCAGTGAGCCAAAATCACAGCAATGCACTCCTGCCTGGGTGACAGAATGACAACCTGTCTCTAAATAAATAAATAAAGTTACTCCGTATGAACTTTAGATTTTTAGAGGGGAGTGAGGTGTCATTTAAAAGGATAATGCTTTTGCTTAAATCAGCATACTGCTTTTACCTTAATTAGTGGTGTTCTCCAGAGCATATAAAAATGGTTCCATTTAATGGCTTTGTAACGGGGGAGGTGGGGGGAAGTGAAACAGGAGTAACCCAGAAGTGTGAATGGGAGGAGAAACTGGAACCTGGCCTAGCCTGGTTTGACTGGATGAGTGATTAACAGGAGTTGCTTTTTAGCCCATCTCTGATGGTGGAACAATCTGATCCCTGTTTCCTCTCTTTTAGTGAAAGTCGTAACTTAGATAATTACAGTCATATGTTGCTTAAGGATGGGGATACATTCCAAGAAAATGCATTGTTAGGCGATTCGTTGTTGTGTGCACATCCTGAGCTGCGCTCACACAAACCTGGATGGTACAGCCTCCTACATACCTAGGCTATATGGTGTAGCCTATTGCTCCTAGGCTACAAACCCGTACATGTACCTTTACTGGATGCTGTAGGCAGTTGTAACACAGTGGTAGGTATTTGTGTATCTAAACATATCTAGACAGAAAATGAATTTTTTAGCTCCATTATAATCTTTTGGGACCACCGCTGTTGTTGATGGAAATGTTATGTGGCACGTGACTATATTTTTGAGTGACTTTAGCTACAATGCCACTGGTTAATTTGACTACAAGAGAATAATATTAATGAGAATGTACCACAGTGAGCTTGGGATTTGTGGCATTTAATAACCAGGAACCCAGATGAAAATCACCACATGTAGCATATTGTCCTGCTAAATAGGATTTCCTTTAATGTGAACAGGTAGCTTCCCTGCGTACATTTTTGGCAACAGGTGGATGACAGTGTTATTTATTAACACTGATAAACGCCTCTCCAGCGTGCTCATGGGCTCCATCTTACTTGAGGCTCCTCCAAATGAGTGCCTCAGCAGAAAGATCCGAGCTGGCTGGGAGGTATATAACCATTCCATGCTCTGTGGCTAGTGTTTGAAGAGGAGGAAGAGGGCACTTGAGAAGGCAGTGGTTGGATGTCCCACCCACATAGAAATCACATTTGCAACTTGCAGTGCCCTGCGATTTCATCACCCTGCACAGCAACAGCCACTTTTGAACAGTTGCCACGCTTGGTGTCGTGGTGGATAAAGTCACCTCTCTGTTGAGAAATCACTTTGAAAGCCTATACCAAGGAAACAATGCTCTTTACCTGCAGCATGTCAATGCACAGGCGTTTGTCTGGCATGTAGACACGAGGCTGTAGTAGGGTCCTGTCACTCCACAGCTGTGACTCTGAGGCACTTCATGTCCCCGCAGTTTTGAATTTGCTCCGTACAGCTGTGTGCTTTCTGCTGCGGAAAGCCAATTATAAAAGTCCCAATACCAGAATCAATTTTCCATTGTATTCATTGTGACTAACAAAAAGAGTCTGAGGATGTGTTTTCACCTCTATCTGTGAGTGGGGCGGAAGTTGCTGGGTGTCACACATGGAAGTGGGGTGAGAGCATGCGCGCTGGAGCCTGTGTGGCCTCTTGGTCAGGTGCTTGTGGAGGTTTAGCTGATGCCCTTTGGCTGTTTCTGGACTAAGATCATCAACTTTCTTAAACTGAATCTGGTTTTCCTTGGGCTCTGTCGTCTGTGTTGTGGGTTTGTGGTGGTGGACACAGGATGTGACATTCTTGCTGGGATCCCTGAAGTGACTATATCCTCTGCAATAACAGAAAGTGAAACTTATCTTTGTGCTTTAAGAGTGTAAAAATTTTTATTAAAGTACCAGTAAAACTAAAAGTGCCTACTTTTAGTTTTCACTGTATTTTCTTCAACTCAGGCCCTCCCTCTGTTGTTACCTGCCATCTGACACGGAATTTTGTGTAATTTTCCTTCCAAGTAAAGAAGGGAAGTTTAGCCCCAGCCTCTAACTGGTTCCCAAAGTTTTTGTCTCTGAAGCCGCAGTCACTTCCTGGAGCGTCTCTGGCTGGGTGTTGCAGTGCTGGCTGGGAGGGTGGGGCAACAATTTACAATTCTGAACACGTGCTTTCTGGGCAGGTCGCCCCTCAGTCTCCACTAGAGACAGGACTGACCAGTTGCTCTTCCTTCCAAGAACCTTCGAGATCTGCGGTCTGGGGTCTGGTTGAAAGATGGCGGCCCTCACTACCCTGTTTAAGTACATAGATGAAAATCAGGATCGCTACATTAAGGTAAGGGAATATTCATTTTAGGAAACAGTAAAATCTGATTTAATCCCATGGGGCCCAGAGAAGTTGTCAAGAGCTAATATGAATTATGCCATTTAAATCCAGGGTTAGAAGATCTGCCTAGAGATCTGTTCATTAGCTTCTTATTATGGCATAGGTTACACTTTTGGTTTTTGACAAAGTGTTAATGTATGTTTCTAAGAATAGCAAATCTAATTGAAATTTTTGTTTCATCTCCATCAACAATTTCTTGTGATAGTTACAGATTAAATAGTTTGCATTAAGTATGTTCTAAGTAATTCAATAGTTATATATTAATCTGTTTCTTGATGTTAACTTAGAGCATTATGTTTTAAAGTTATTCTTCGTACATACATTACAGATGAAATCTTTAGAATTCTCATGCTAAAATTATACTTTAGAAAATTTGGCCATTGTCGGGATGATAAATAAGCTAATTTGGACTGTGGCAACATTGGGTATTTTCTGTATCTTTCAGTTGTAATTTAGTCACATTCAGATAAAAACTTATTTACGGAACCTGGTACATTTTACATTTACTTCCTCCTTAATTGTTAAAAATAAACCATGTGACATTTTTCTTTTGTACTCTAGTTCTTGGTACAGGGTTAGTACTGTAGCAGGACAAGCCACAGACAAAACCTCTCAGACACCGAGTTGTAGAAGGAAGGGCTTTATTCAGCTGGGAGCATCGGCAAGCTACTGCCTTAAAATCCGAGCTCCCTGAGTGCACAATTTCTGTCCCTTTTAAGGGCTCACAGCACTAAAGATTTCACATGAAAGGGTCGTGATTGATTTGAGCAAGCAGGCAGTACGTGACAGGGGCTGTATGCACCGGTGGTCAGAGAGAAACAGAACAGGGCAGGGAATTTCACAGTGTTCTTTTATACAATGTCTGGAATCTATGAATAACATCGGTTTTTAAGTCATGAGTTGATTTTTAACTACTAGGTTTAGGCCAGGCAGGCCCGGGTCCGGTTTTGGGCCTGGCGCCGGGCTGCCTGTCTTTGATTTCACTTCCTTGTTTTTTTTTTGTTTGTTTTTAAACAGGTACTGAGTGTAAAACAATATGAGAGGGTCTCTCTCTTCCCTCAGTACAAACAGTTTTTAAAATCTTTAACCCAAAGCACACGTGATGGGTCTGTCCTATTTCCAATCAGCCTGTTCAACTGCAGCAGCCACAGAGGGTGAGCCTGGAATGTGGCAACGTTACGGGAGCCTCTTCTCCCTCAAGGACACCTTTTCAGAATCCCTCGTTGCTTCTTGTCCACAAACAGAAACTCGCAAAATGGGTGGCTATCCAGAGTGTGTCTGCGTGGCCGGAGAAGAGAGGCGAAATCAGGAGGATGATGGAAGTTGCTGCTGCAGATGTTAAGCAGTTGGGGGGCTCTGTGGAACTGGTGGATATCGGAAAACAAAAGGTAGGAGGCAACATTCTTTGCATTGCAGGACCGTAGACAGATTCTGCCTGAGGGGTTGACAAGACGCCACAAGTTCTTAAAAGATCTTTTGCTTCACATACCCCACTCACCTTTAAAACAAAAAAGGAAGGGCCTGATTTGGATGGTAAGTTCTGTACGTGACTGCTTCAGTTGGATTGGGGCAAAGGTTTTGTGGCACTCAGCATTTTTCTCCAGGAAGGAGAACTGCTGACAGTTACTCAGGACTAAGTTAATGTAACAGTCATTCTGAGAGAATGGCTGAGATTCCCCTCCCAGCAATCCATAAGCTTTCAAACTAGGAAGTTACACTTTATTCAAGTCCATTTAAAAATTATAAAGACTCCCCCCAACCCCCGGCTCCCCCTCACACACAGTGCTGCGTCCTTGAGCCTTATTTTTTTATTTTTTTTATTTTTTTGAGACAGAGTCTCCCTCTGTCGCCCAGGCTGGAGTGCAGTGGCGTGATCTCGGCCCACTGCAACCTCCGCCTCCCGGGTTCAAGCGATTCTCCTGCTTCAGCCTCCTGAGTAGCTGGGCGAGCGCCACTACACCCAGCTAATTTTTATATTTTTTGTAGAGACGGGGTTTTGCCATGTTGGCCAGGCTGGTCTCGAACTCCTGACCTCAGGTGATCCGCCTGCCTCAGCCTCCCAAAATGCTAGGATTACAGGTGTGAGCCACTTTTTCATAAGAGATATTTTGTGTGGGGGTCTGTTGTTTTTCAGTGCAGGATTCTGACAGGTGAGAATGGTTTGTTTTCTTGCTAAATGAACAGTCTCACTTTGTGGTACAGTAAGTACTCACGTCATCCATAGGTTCTTAGAAACTGCAACTTTAAGCAAGACAACATACAACAACAGGTCCTTGAATAAGGTAGTTTTGTTCACTTAAAGTCACAGTTTCTAAAAGCCTATCCATGAAGTTGAGTGAGGACTTACTGTGTGTGTGTATATATATGTGTGTTTTTTTTGTCTTTTTGGTTTTTTTTTTTGTCGGGATGGGGTTTCACCATGTTTCCAGGCTGGTCTCAAACTTCTAGTCTCAAGCGATTTACCTGCCTTGGCATCCCAAATTGTCACGCCACCATACCCGGCCTCTTACTGTATGTTATTTCACTAGTTTATTTCAAATGATTTCAGCCTTATGTTAATTGCATGTTTCATGCCATATATTTTCAAAGTTTGTAATATTCTTTTATATTCTTTGATCTAATGATAAGCTATGGCTTATCTCGGTTCTTTGGCCTGATGATTTGGGTGTCAATCTGAAATCACAGCACTAGAAGCTTGAGTGTGGCCATTCAGTTCAGCGCATTCGTTTCATCAGAGGGAGAGAGTGGAGGCCAGGCAGCTCTGTCCACTGGGAGCCCACAGGAGGCTCATGCAGAGCAGGTTCATGCCCAGGCCTCCTGATTCCCCAGGCAGTGCTATTCATTTGAGGTTTTCTTCTGAAAACAAATTTAATAATTGACTTAGGGTATATTATAGCTTCCCACCAATTTTCCCCCCATCTTTGGGAGACTAAACCAAGTTTCTTCATGTTGTTTCTTTTTAGGGTCAGACTCACCTTGCTCCCTTTCGTTTTTTTTTTTTTCCTAATATATTGAAAAATCTAGGTGAGGTAAATCATTTTTAGGAGTTGTTTCATTACAATAGTTATATTTACTTCGTTGATCACTGACATTGCTGTGCAATTCTTAAGAAAGGGCCTTTCATAAAAAACTAAATTACTGTTATACTATTTTGAATTACATAACACTGATTTTTATCAAGGAATTGAAATATTTCATCACTGGTGGAATCTTCTGCAGAGATGCTTGCGGTGTGGGGTGACCACACATCTTCTGTTCTCTTCCCGCATGTCCATGTGGCAGTGGTGTTCTGTTTTTCAGAGTGATGATGACTTGATGCAGGGGTGAAGGTGGAAGTGGGTGTTTTCCTGTGTCAGTGCAGAAGTCAGAGTATTTTCAGCTGATGAAGGAAAGGTGATGTTGGGCGTTTCAGAACAATTTTACCTGTGGGCCAAAGCAGTTTCTCAGAAAATGCCTAAGTATTTCAGAGGAGCCCTATTGAACAGGAATTTATGTAGAGAAAATCTGTGGTCATTTGAAAATCATTTTTCTGCTCAGGCAAGCTGAGGGCCAGCTGGGACTGCCAAAGCCATGGGTTCCCTGGGACCAGAGCAGAGAGATTTCAGCCACAATTCTTTGTCCCTGGTGGGTACAGGCTGTCCTGGTGAGAACTGAGGCACAGATACAGCCACAGTGACGCTGGGACAAATGAGGGGCGTCAGGCCATACACTGCACACGCAGCCACAGTGCCGCTGGGACAAATGAGGGGCGTCAGGCCACACGCCACACACGCAGCCACACTGCCGCTGGGACAAATGAGGGGCGTCAGGCCACACGCCACACACGCAGCCACACTGCCGCTGGGACAAATGAGGGGCGTCAGGCCATACACTGCACACGCAGCCACACTGCCGCTGGGACAAATGAGGGGCGTCAGGCCATACACTGCACACGCAGCCACACTGCTGCTGGGACAAATGATGGGCGTCAGGCCATACACTGCACACGCAGCCACAGTGCCGCTGGGACAAATGAGGGGCGTCAGGCCACACGCCACACACGCAGCCACACTGCCGCTGGGACAAATGAGGGGCGTCAGGCCATACACTGCACACGCAGCCACACTGCCACTGGGACAAATGAGGGGCGTCAGGCCACACGCCACACACGCAGCCACAGTGCCGCTGGGACAAATGATGGGCGTCAGGCCATACACTGCACACGCAGCCACACTGCCACTGGGACAAATGAGGGGCGTCAGGCCATACACTGCACACGCAGCCACACTGCCGCTGGGACAAATGAGGGGCGTCAGGCCACACGCAGCACACTAGCAGCCTTCAGGTTGCAGGGGTTACTTAAATTACTGGGAACACAAATCCTGGATCCCATAAGAATCCCAGCCACCTGCCCAGTTTCGTAAAGTGCTTGTACACTTAGAGCTGGAGGCCCTGCAGTTTGGAAGGGACACTTTTCTCAGCCTATCACCAGCACTGTCCTGATCCAGTTGTCATTTCAGTGACTGCTCATTTTACCTCTTAATTGCAAACTGTTAATTTAACTTCATTATCAATTTAGTTTTTGCGTTGTGTCTGTTAATACCTATTTTCATGAACAGTATTTTCTAGCAACTAGACTAATATATATGTATGTCATGTTTTAGTATGAACAGTCTCTTCCTCCTACAGCTAAAAGCATCTCCTGCCACTTGCTTGTGACACTTTGTGATGATCATGGGGTATTTTCCTATTGGAATATAGGCACTGGTAGAGGAGCTACATGGCCACAGGAGTTTTGCACAGCCTGAGTAGGCCATAGTCTAAAGTAAAAGGTGGAGACCACTGACCTGATGTGAAAACTGGAAAAGACCTAAGATTGATTTGCCTCCATTTAGATGCAGGGGTGGGCTGGGATGCCTGTCCCATTCTCCATTCCTATGGGATTGTGGAATATTGGTAGTGCTTCTGGGACAAAGCTCAGAAGGCGTACCTGCTATCACTAACTTTTTAGAATGGCTAAATGTGAATTTAGGTATAAAGATTTTTTTATATATATCTTGGTTTATGGCATTTTCCATGCATAATTGTAATCAATGTACAGAATTTCAAAAATACCTCTTCTGATTTAAGATTATAGTTTATTTTAACCATCATTTCAGAAAATAATAAACTAAGTTGCATCCCGAACTCAGCCTGCGTGTTTTGTTATATAAAAGTCAAAGAAAAACCAGCCTTTAAGAATTTACCAAATCCAGCCAGGTGCAGTGGCTCATGCTTGTAATTCTAGCACTTTGGAAAGCCGAGGTGGGTGGTTTGCCTGAACTCAGGAATTCGAGACCACCGTGCGGGCAACAGTGAAACCCTGTCTCTACTAAAATACAAAAAATTAACCAGGCATGGTGGCCGGCACCTGTAATCCCAGCTACTTGGGCGGTTGAGACCTAAGAATCGCTTGAGCCTGGGAGGCAGAGGTTGCAATGAGCTGGGATCACGCCACTGCGCTCCAGCCTGGGTGACAGAGCAAGATTCTGTCTCAAAAAAAAAAAAAAAAAATTTACCAAACTGCCTGCAATTGGCAAACATGTACATGTGCTCTGGAGTACAAGAAAGTAAGAAAGTAAATCTTAATTAGTGACTCCATTGAACAGTGTGCTCTTAAACTCTACAATAGAGGTTGATTGATAAGGACAGATAAGGAAGCTCAAGGTCTTTTAATAATCTCCACCTTAAGCACTGAATTTCTTAAACAAAGGCTGTCCTTGGTTCCTTTCCTCTCCATGCTCAGCTCCCTGATGGCTCGGAGATCCCGCTCCCTCCTATTCTGCTCGGCAGGCTGGGCTCCGACCCACAGAAGAAGACCGTGTGCATTTACGGGCACCTGGATGTGCAGCCTGCAGCCCTGGAGGACGGCTGGGACAGCGAGCCCTTCACCCTGGTGGAGCGAGACGGTGAGCGCCGCGCGCCTATGCGTGCCCAGAGGAAAGGCACTGACTTTTGGAAAGTCATTGCTAGTCCGTTTTTCTGTTTCCAGTACAGACTGTTTTTATTTTATTTTATTTATTTTATTACTTTTTAAAAATCTTTTTTTGAGACAGAGTCTCACTCTGTAGCTCAGGCTGGAGGGCAATGGCAAGATCTCAATTCACTGCAACCTCCGCCTCCCGGGGTTCAAGCGATTCTCCTGCCTCAGCCTCCCCAGTAGCTGGGATTACGGGCGCCCATCACCACGCCTGGCTAGTTTTTTTATTTTTAGTAGAGACGGGGTTTCACCATGCTGGCCAGGCTGGTCTTGATCTCCTGACCTCAAGTGATCCCCCCCACCTCAGCCTCCCAAAGTGCTGGGATTACAGGCTTGAGCCACCACGCCGGGCACAGACTGTTTTTAACGTAAGCTAGAAATGGAGGTTTCTTACAGGTGCCTCTGTTGCTGAACTTCCAGAAAGCCTGCCTTTTCCTGTGCAAATGAGCCCCCCGTGGCTGGCGTCTGCCAGGCTTCCTCTACTGCTGATGCTTTTTCTCAGAATGCACATTTGGAATCCAGGCAGGGCCTTCCTGAAAAGCCTGTCCCCTTGTCCCCCTCCCCGGCCCTTACCAACAGCTGCTTCTGCGGTATATGTTAGTGGCCTCCTTCACCCTGGCTGCCCCAGTGGGGGTGGCGATGTCCCTGTTATTCACCAAGTGCTTCCGTGGGCCTGGCACCTGCAGGCCTTTTGAGGCCCGTGCTATGAGGGACCCCGCAGGCCAGCCTCTTTTCTTCCTGTTCCTTCTGGTGTAAAGGCCTTCTGCTTTCATTTCTGAATTTCCACATGTGCCTGCACGGGAGGCTTTGACCAGATGAGGAATCCTCCCACCCTCATGCTGGGCCCCTCTGGGCTAAGTTCCAGGCTCTTCTCATCGAAGCCCTTCCAACTGGATCATTGCATCTGTGTTCAAACCTTTCCTGGCCCAGTGTCAGTTGTGTTCATTACTGTGCAAAACTGAAACTGACTTTACTTAAAGCAACATTTTTTATGAGATGTAATTCCATGTCATTGTCCTTGTCACGGTGGAATTACTAACTTGCGGTGGATTGTAGGATTAACCCTCTCTGTGCACTTGGGCGCCCCTCCAGCGTCAGACCCACCTGTCTGCTTGGCCGTGCCCTCACTCCTGGAACTCGCTCTCTCTGGACAGAAGTCTTTGTCTTTGCTCCTTGTCCGCTGTCTTACAGTCTCCGCGGATGGCACCATCTCTCTGCCACCTGCACTGGGAACTGGGTCCCCATCCCTGCCAGGCTCTCCTCTGGGACCACTGCCCTTCCCACGTTGAAAGCTCCCTGTCCCCCTCACCCACTCCGTGGCTGGGTCCTGCTCTCCACTTCTGGGCCTTCACGGTGCCACTCCTTTTCTGGGCTGCTCCCAGAGTGACCTCAACATGCCACTTCTCTTCTTGACTCCTCTTGGGGGACTCAGGATGGCACAGAGGGTCCCTCCCCTCACCTGCCTTCTGCCTGCCCCTTCTCCCACCTGTACCCAGCCACACGGGACCACGTGCAGCCCCCAGGAGCCTGTGCTGCTCAAAACTGCACCTGGGCACCTGCGCGGGCGTCAGCCCCATCACCGCTGCCTCGTCCTCTGTGAGGCCTGCCTCCAGCCATCCTCTTAGCCCTCCCTGTCCCAGTCTCAGTAGGCTCCTGACTGTCAAGGAACCTAGAAGAGCACCTGTACTGTGGGAAAACTTCACTCACTGCCAGCCGCCCGGCCTCCCTCTCCTTGTCAGGGAGCCCTGGAGGGTGGGGGCAGGTCACATTTGTCGGCAGCTCTGAGCCAGCACCGTGCCAGCCGCTGTAGTTGTTCAGTGTTTGTTGTAGGGATAAGGATTGTTGTTTTAGAAAAGCTTATATTTGATCTTCAGTTTTTGTGAAAAGTTGGGTTTCATTCGTCAAAGGAAATTCCCCAGGTGGTGATGACTTTCAGCCTCATACTACCTTGGGCTGGGGCCTGCTGAGGCTGCGGGACCTGGGAAGCAGGCTGAGCCCCGGGAGGTCAGGAGACTGGCCACGCAGACCCAGGCCCACGAGAAGGCCACGCCTTGAGGACGGCTCCCTCCTCTGGTTCCATGAGGCCGGGACTGCGTGGCAGAGGATGGAGGAGGCGTGGGGCCTTGTCTTCAAGTTGTCGCTTGTGTTGTCAGCTTCCCCAGAAGCAATTGTGGTGAGGGGCCGCTGTGACTGATGACGCTGATTAGAAGCAGCGTCTTGTCTGTAGTTTTCAGAGTGATAACTACAGAAAGAAAGAAGCAGAGGTTAAATGATAAACATGTTCTTTGTTTTTTTATCAAATTAGGTGTCACAATTGGGTGGGGGTGAGATTATGGTTCTTTTTTGACAACGGTGCCTTGAGGTTCCTAAGTGACTGGGCTTCCTGTCCCCATTGCTCCCCGCTGCTTCTGGTAAATGGGTTTTAATGAACTAAGCAGCTGGCTGCGACTCCCTGGAGTTAGACTGGAGGTCTCCACCCTGACCCAGCAGGAAGCCATGCCCCCACCTGACCACCGTGACCACGGTGGGAGAAGGAAGGGGTTCTTGGGAGCATCCACGTGGCTTATCTCTTTGATGATGCCAAATTCTCTGACAAATTTAACGATAGTGTTGGGTGGAAATTGGGGGCTCCTGATCGGAAGGGGAAGCCTCTCTCGTGTTTGCTTGGCTAAGGGGTTATCAGATGTGCACCTGAGACACGCTGCTTCTGGGTTCCTTGTAATCATCACTTTATGAATTTGTGGATTGCTGTTCTAGGCAAGCTGTATGGGAGAGGTTCGACTGATGATAAGGGCCCGGTGGCCGGCTGGATAAACGCCCTGGAAGCGTATCAGAAAACAGGCCAGGTATGCCCCCCACGCTGACTTCTGCCTGAGTCCTGGGTTCCATCTGAGCCATACAAAGACAGGCTCTCTGTTCACACAACAGCTTATAAAGCTCACAGGAAAAGATAAGACAAGCGTCCCCCAGCCCTTATCAGCACAGATGACTCGGATGTAAGAGTATAGGTTTGTTTTCCAGCTTTAGGAAACATTCAAAGTGTAATTGTTTTACAGCTGCTTAAAGGTCACAATATTGGCGACTCAGCGTGATTTTTGCCACCGCATGAAATGTGACTTTTCAGTCCCTGCCTGTCTCTGTGAGTGTGGTCCCTTGCCAGAACATAGTGCAGGCTCTGTCACATCACACAGGCCCCTCACTGTCTCTGTGTGGTTTACGTCCTCCTAAAAATAAATTCTGATTTTTAAAATGTATTCTCTGGCTGGGTGCAGTGGCTCACACCTGTAATTCCTTTGGGAGGAATTACTTTGGGAGGCTGAGGTGGGTGGATCACTTGGGGTCAGGAGTTCAAGACCAGCCTGGCCAACATGGTGAAACCCCGTCTCTACTCAAACTACAAAATTAACCGGGCATGGTGGTGGGCACCTGTAATCCCAGCTCCTGGGAGGCTGAGGCAAGAAAATCGCCTGAACCAGGGAGGCAGAGGTTGCAGTGAGCCGAGATCATGCCACTGCACTCCAGCCTGGGTGACAGGGCGAGACTCTGTCTCAAAAAAAAAAAAAAAGCATTCTCCTACCTGTGAAATATCTGTTCGTTGTTCAAAGTTTGCTAAAAAACGGACAAGTAGAGAGAAAAATACTTGCCTAGAATCCAAAGACAGTTAGTATTTTGAAATCTACCAAGATTTTCTGTTGCTTTTTTCCTAGTTGTGATCATGCTGTATAGACATCTTTGCATCTTGCTTTTATCTTGTATCATGGTGACATAAGAATAAGATAAGCATTTTTGTCAAAGCATGGAATGTTAGGTCTGAAAAGGGTCTTAGCCCTGCTGGTCCGGGGGATTACTTTACATGGTGGGGAGGTGACACCCAGAACCACCTGGCCTGGTGCGGCCGAGCCTGCATGCTGGGCGGGAACTAGGAAGCCTCCCCAACCTCTGGCCCCGTGGAGCCCTCAGCCTCAGCTGCAGTGGAGGCACCTCGGGCTCTGGGGCAACCAAGTGTGACAGGTGGCTGTGCACGGGCAGAGGTCCTGTGGAAGATTTCATGTGACGGGCAGAAG
The DNA here is from genome assembly GCF_000001405.40 of Homo sapiens. Classification (NCBI taxonomy): domain Eukaryota; kingdom Metazoa; phylum Chordata; class Mammalia; order Primates; family Hominidae; genus Homo; species Homo sapiens. Next base: position 74,510,147 of record NC_000018.10, read on the forward strand.
AGGAGGAGGAGGCAGGGGAGGAAGCACATCCATGAACAGGGCTGTCTGGGGGCAGCCTGGGTGGTCGTGAAATAGGACTCAGTAGCCTTGAGTCCTCATTTAGGCCCTGATGTTCTTTAGCCTGCCTGGCCTTTGGCAAATCGCCAGCTTCACGCACAACCTCATTTTTCACCTTTGGGTGTGGGGGTCAGAGTCGGGAGAGCACCTGCAAAGCCACAATGATCCAGACACACGGCAAGGTGGGCACATTCCCATCAGGCTCCTCGGGGAGAGCAGCGCTTCTGTGCCCGGGAGCAGCGAAGGTCACACAGGAGGACCCGCACCTCCTCGTGTCGGTGGCTCCGCTGGTATAATCAGGACTCACGTGGTGTTCCTCGTGTCGTGGCCCTTATTGCAGAGGGAGCAGCACAGGCTTTCCTGGAAGCTCCCCTCGGTCATGTGGGGTGACTCCAGAGAGCCCCACCTTGCGAGACTGGACCAGTCCAAGTGGCCTGGAGCCACAGCGGCCTGGCAGTACCTGGGGAGGGGGTGATGACAGGTGCACACGGAGGCCCATGTGGTCTGTCTGGAGAATGCCGGAGATGTGAAATATGTAATCCTGAGTGTGGCTTCTAGAAGGAAGGTTCGCAAAGCTGAATATCCACTCGTGCTGTTCCCTTCTCACAGGAGATTCCTGTCAACGTCCGATTCTGCCTCGAAGGCATGGAGGAGTCAGGCTCTGAGGGCCTAGACGAGCTGATTTTTGCCCGGAAAGACACATTCTTTAAGGATGTGGACTATGTCTGCATTTCTGACAATTACTGGCTGGGAAAGAAGAAGCCCTGCATCACCTACGGCCTCAGGGGCATTTGCTACTTTTTCATCGAGGTACAGTGCCAAGCTGTACGGGTCACTTCTTTCTAACCCCTGAATCTCCCGGTTCTCCCAAACGCAAAGTAGACAAGGACCCAGAAGTCAGGTGCACAGGAAGGAGAAGCACAGGGCTCACTTAGTGCCCCAATTCCCAGCTTCCATAAACCACCGTCCTACACCAGGGTGGACAGCAACACTTCCAGTGATCAGAAGTTAATCTCACAGCAGCATCAAGGTAGGACAGTGTGATTTGTAATGTTGCTTTGGAGCGGCTGAGAGGAGATTAAATGCTAGTTCATTTCAGAAGATGCAAACACATACAAAGCATTTTAGAAACACTTCCTTTTGAAGGTGGAAATATTTATATGTTAGCACTTAGGCTCCTTATCCCATGACTAAGTGACGCACGGGAAAAAGAGAAACCGAGGCCGGGTGCAGTGGCTCACGCCTGTAATCCCAGCACTTTGGGAGGCCGAGCCAGATGGATCACTTGAGGTCAGGAGTTTGAAACCAGCCTGGCCAACATGGTGAAACCCCGTCTCCACTAAAAATACAAAAAGTTAGCCAGGTGTGGTGGCAGGTGCCTGTAATCCCAGCTACTCGGGAGGCTGAGGAAGGAGAATCGCTTGAACCCGGGAGGTGGAGGTTGTAGTGAGTGGAGATTGCACCATTGCACTCCAGCCTGAGCTACAGAGCGAGACTCCACTTCAAAAAAAAAAAAAAAGAGAAACCGAGGCAGCACCAAGAGTGGGAAGGGACAGGCCTGGCTAGATTCTGCCACTCACTGGCTGGTGGTCATCTCCCAATACCCCACAGGATGACTGTGGTGATTAAATTAGGTCCTGTCTGCAGACGTCATTTATAACCTGAACAGTGCTAGAAATCACTGCAGTTGCTGCCCTGAGCCCTCACTCTGAGCAAGGTACTGTTCTGGTTTTAAAAGTGGCTGCCTGTCATCCCCAGTGCTGGGAGGAGCACTACGCCTCTTCCCATTTGCAGGCGAGGAGGCCGGGCACTCAGCAGGCAGCTGCCCTACGCTGGGTATGCAGCTGCTCAGTGCAAGGGCGAGGTCCGACCCCAGGTCTCCAGCTCCAGGCTTGTGGTGGGTCTCATTCCTGTTGGGCTGCCCTCTCAGCAGAGGTGCAGGGTCTTTGTTAAACTTCTAGCAAAGGCTTTGAGTGGTAGGCAGATTGCCCTGTGGAATGCTTGTACCTGTGGCTAGTGTTACCGTCTTATCTGTGGTTGGCATATGCCACAGATAAGCTGGTATGTTTTTGTTCCTGCCTAGGTTTTTAATTTGGGAAATGCCTTGCTTTGCTCCCTGAGGGAGCAAATTTTGATTTGGGAAATTGTCAGGCCTTGTAAATGCTCTTTGTTGAATTTACTGTCACATGATAAAAATAAGCTCCCACTAGGCAGCCAGACACAGTGGCCTTTGTTTCCGTGCAGGTGGAGTGCAGCAACAAAGACCTCCATTCTGGGGTGTACGGGGGCTCGGTGCATGAGGCCATGACTGATCTCATTTTGCTGATGGGTAAGTGCGGGATGGCATTCAGTCCGCAGTTGAGGGGAAGTGGATGGGCGTGACTTCCAGGCTGTCTGTCATCAGCATTGGGTGCATTTCAGCATTCCACATGAACCAACTTCTGTCTCAGTTTCCTACTGTGCCTCTCCCTCCTTCCACTCACTTGTCCCTCTGAGAGGCCCCCTTGTTTGATTTTTGCCCCTGAAACCCTCCTGTGCCTGTCACCACCTGGTGAAACCTTGCCCTGCCTCCAGCACCCAACTCAGTCACCCCCAGGTCCTGTCTGGCCAAGCCCCTCGAGGCACGTGGTGCTGTCCTTTCTCTGGTGTGGTCATTTTCCATCTCTCTCAGGGCGTGTGTTTTGGCCTGTCTTATGTATAACTGGCCCCATCCAGGTCCCCCCGCCTGATCAGCTCTTTGAGAGCGGGCATAGCCCATCGTGCTGTTCCCGGTGTCCTCCTGCTCTCAGGCCAAGCACAGCCCTCCCTTCCCGCACCTTCCACAAGCTCTCCATTCCTCCCTGCCAACGCCAGCTGCCTGCGTGACGTCCACTCTGTTATACCCACAGTTTACCCCCCTCAGCTCAGGAGCAGCTTGTTTCTTGTGGAATGCGCATTAAAAAGGCACATGGGGCAGTGTGGTGGTTGTTAGAGTGGGGCTGCGTGAAGCCAGTCTGCTGGTTTGCGTCGTGGTCTATGACCAAGGACAATTTCCTTTCCCCACTTGTTCCTCAGTCTCCTTACCTGAGAAATGGGAATGCCCAAGCTGCTGCCTCATTGGCTGTTTGGCTGATTACATCACTGGCTGAGCCTGAGGCCCCGGACGGTGCCTGACAGGCGATATGTGCATGGGATGCATCTGCGAGCATCATTCTGTGGACGCTTGTGGCTGCTCTTGGCCCCTCCTCAGCCACGTGGCTGTGGGGCCTGAGCCGCATCTCTCCTGAGCCTGGCTTCCTGGGGTCGGTGCAGGAAAGAGCAGCTCGCCTTGGTGCGGCCTCCCCTGAGTGCTGTAACCCTCTCCGGCTTCCCTCAGGCTCTTTGGTGGACAAGAGGGGGAACATCCTGATCCCCGGCATTAACGAGGCCGTGGCCGCCGTCACGGAAGAGGAGCACAAGCTGTACGACGACATCGACTTTGACATAGAGGAGTTTGCCAAGGATGTGGGGGCGCAGATCCTCCTGCACAGCCACAAGGTCTGGTTCAGGGCTCGACTCTGCCACCTGCCCAGGCCACGCTGTGACACAGGTGTCCCCCAGGCCCTGTCACCTTCCCTGGGTCCAGGGGGTCTCTGAGGGAAGAGCTGGAATGTCCGATGCACATGAGTCACTCAGAAAGCAGACTGTGACCAGGTTGCTGGTCGTTGGAATTTTTTAGTTTCAAAATCTACTTTTGATTCCATCAGACCTGGAGAAGCATGCAGAGGGGACATGGGCTGGCTCCTGCTGGCAGCGGCTCTGCTGTGTTTGTGTTTATAGAGTAACCTCCTTACCGCTGGGCCCAGGGCTCATTTAAGCCACATCAGAGCCAAGTGCTAGGTGGAAACTGTGCCGAACGTTTACCTAACTTAGGGGAAAAGTGGGTCATGACTTTTCTCTTAATAGGCTGTAGGTTTATGCGGTACATATGTAAGTTCTGCAGGCTGTAGGGTTATGCGGTATAGATGTAACTTCTGCGGGCTCTAGGTTTATGTGGTACAGATGTGAGTTCTGCGGGCTATAGATTTATGTGGTATGGATGTAAGTTCTGCAGGCTATAGGTTTATGTGGTATGGATGTAAGTTCCGCAGGCTATAGGTTTATGTGGTATGGATGTAAGTTCTGCAGGCTGTAGGTTTATGCGGTACAGATGTAAGTTCTGCAGGCTGTGGGCTTATGTGGTACGTATGTAAGTTCTGCAGGCTATAGGTTTATGTGGTATGGATGTAAGTTCTGCAGGCTATAGGTTTATGTGGTATGGATGTAAGTTCTGCAGCCTGTGGGCTTACGTGGTACGTATGTAAGTTCTGCAGGCTATAGGTTTATGTGGTATGGATGTAAGTTCTGCAGCCTGTGGGCTTACGTGGTACGTATGTAAGTTCTGCAGGCTATAGGTTTATGTGGTATGGATGTAAGTTCTGCAGGCTGTAGGGTTATGTGGTATGGATGTAAGTTCTGCAGGCTATAGGTTTATGTGGTATGGATGTAAGTTCCGCAGGCTGTGGGTTTATGCGGTACGGATGTAAGTTCTGCAGGCTGTAGGGTTATGCAGTATAGATGAAAGTTCTGTGCCATTGATTGAGCCAGCATCAGTTGAATTAAGCAACTCAGCCCCTGGGACACAAGGGAAATAAGGCCCGGCTGGGCTCTTGAGTTTTGTCTCCCAGAGACAGACAGGCAAGAACTCTGGAAGGATATGCTGAGGGCCACGCTGGGCAGTACCAAAGGCTGTGGGCCTGCACGAGGGGAGGGTCATGGTGCTGGGAGCGGCTGAGGCTCATCAGGGTCCTGTCAGCCAGCAGAGGTGCAGGGCAAGGCTGGCATGCCCGGTCAGCAGGAGCACAGACATATCAGCTGCTTAGGGACAGATGGGCAGCAGGGTGAGGCCTGGGACTGAGACCGACATGCCGGCCTGATGGCCTGGGCGCTGCTGTGGAGCTCCGGGTCTTCCAGGAGATGGTGAGCCCGGCCAGGATTTGAGTTCATCAGATCTCACATTGGGAAAGATCATGGGTCAGGATGTCAGAGCTGAGTCGGTGGAGCTAGGAGACCCGTTAGGCTGTTGCAGGCACGGGAGCCTTGGCTGGCATCAGGGAGGAGCCTCTGGAATAGGAAGAGAAGGTCCCCACCGGCAGTGACTGGACAGTGATGTCAGGGACCGAGGGGTTGGGCACGGGGAGGAGCGGGCCTGGGAGAAGGTGGGTCTGTTTCTCCTGCCCTGACCCTCAGGCTCGTGTTTGCTTCTGTGTACAGTGTTTTAGGGCCTTGTCTGTTCCTCCCAGATAACACTGAGCTGTTTGGTTGACAAACAGAAATCTACACATTCAGTGGATAAGTCACTGAGGAACCTTCTGGAAGCCCCCTTTGGGGGCACACCTACTCTCTTGACCCACCTTCTGCTACTGCAGGGATGCAGGGGGCGGGGGCAGGCAGGAAGGTCATGATATTGATGACACACTTGGGAAACAGGAGATGAAGTCTCTCCTGGTCTGAGGAGATGGCATCATCGGTATTCAGGGGGCCATACCGGATGTGCTGGTCAGCCTGGCTCTCCTCTCTCAGTAGGAACGGGCTGCTCGCCTGTGTCCCATGGGCCTGGGAGAGGCCTGCACACAGCCTGGGCTGCATCCCCTCTTACTCCTGGTGCCTCTGGCTCATCAAGAGCTCCAAAGTCTGTGGGACCTTGACACCCCCAGTTCTACAGGTGCTCAGTGGCCAGCGTGGCTCGCCTAGTTCTGCCAGGTGGACCTGAGCCACCCACGCTGCAGCGACGGGCAGTGAAATGCCTCACCTGAGGGTGTGCAGCCTGTCAGGGGCCTCCTTTGTGCTGAGTCACTCACTGCAGTCGCACCTGCACCTGGACCTCCTGCCTGTGGTTGTCAGGCTCCTGGGCCAGGCCCTGTTTCATACCGCTCATTTCCCAGACAACATTCCCAGCTCCTCGGTGAGCAGACAGGGCTGGCACTGAATGCCTGAGGTGTCCCTGACCCTCTGATTTTTCTGCAGAAAGACATCCTCATGCACCGATGGCGGTACCCGTCTCTGTCCCTCCATGGCATCGAAGGCGCCTTCTCTGGGTCTGGGGCCAAGACCGTGATTCCCAGGAAGGTGGTTGGCAAGTTCTCCATCAGGCTCGTGCCGAACATGACTCCTGAAGTCGTCGGCGAGCAGGCATGTGGGGCTGGGACACGGGGTGGGGGCCAAGAGCTACTGTGTCCGGGCAGAGACTTGGGTAATATAGGCTGTTACTCGACAGACACCCGGGCCATGCATGCCCCCGCTTCCTGGCTCTGGCCAAGTCAGTAATTATGACAGTCACGGTTCAGAAGCTAATCAAAGATAATGCATCACATGTAAGTGACCTTTGTTACTGATGAGGCAGGCCAAAATCTGGCCTTTGACCTCACTCACCTCAAGGCTCCAGGCCAAACACCAACTTTGGACCAAGCGTGTTCTGGTCAGAGTCCCAGAGCCGCCCCTTACCATGGTGCCTTGTGGAGGGGACTCTGGTGGCTGGAGGTCAGCCCAGCTTCTGACTGTCCCCCTCAGCTGGGATTCCTGGGGAGATGGAGTCTTCCCACTGGGAATGGGAGCCTGGGGCTCACCCTTCATGCTGAATACTGAGGTCTTGTCACGAGGAGGTGTCCCCGGGTCAGCGCCTGGCTCTATCCTGGGTCTGGATGCAGTGTAGCCTGTGGTCATTGATTTTATGAAGTACCTCGGTCTGCTCAGGCTGCCACAATAAAGACCACAGACGCGGTAGCTTACGTGGCAGACGCGATAGCTTACGTGGCAGAAACGGATTCCTCACTGTTTCGGAGGCGGATGAGTCCAGGACCAAGGTGCCGGCAGCTGTGGCATCTGACGAGGGTTCCTCCTGGCCGTGGCCGCTGGCCTCGCTTGTCCTCACATGGCAGAGGGCAGGCTCTCGGTATCTTCTCACCCAGGCCCACCCTTCTGGCCTCATTTAACCTTTGTCTAAATAAGGTTTAGAAAGAGAAAAAAAAACTACTAAAGAAAAAAAGCTAGGCTTTTAAAGAATTCAAGTTAGTTTTATTCAGGCGCCTCACTGAGGAATGCGGACTGCGGCCCGGGGCCCAGGAGCAGCCTTGGAGAGGTTTGGCTGGGCTGCTCTGAGAGAGCGGCTCAGCCCGCAGCTCATCTGCAGGTGGAGGAGCTTCGGTGCGTGCTGAATCACATCGCACCTGCTCAGATGTTACATTCCAGCCAAGCCACACTGAGCCTCGGTGTAAGAGCACATGTGGTCAAAGGTCACAGAGGCGCAACCACTAATGCGGTCAGGTGCTATCTTATGTGTGGGAAAAGGTAAGGACAGGGTCATTTATCTCCTAAGGAATGCAGCGACTCGGGCAAGAGGCAGGGGTGGTGTGTGCTCCCCCGTTTTGTCTTCAAAGCATCTTTCCTGAGAGCTACAGGTAGTGGCAGGGTGGAGCCTGTGAAAGGCCGGCAAGCAGAATGGCGCAAACGCAGCTTCTCACATTTGTGACTTTGTCTCACACCTTAGTTACTTCTGTTAAGTCCCCAAGTGTAGTCATAATGGAGTTTAGGGCTTAAATATATGAATTCTGGGGGCACGCAAACATTCTGTCCATAATATAAAGCAGGTCAGGGAAGATTGTTTTTAAACTTAATTTAAATAGTATCATCATTTAGAAGATCTTTGGAAAGAGTGAATTGCTTGATATTAAAACTTTGTCTTTTACTTTGAAATAACTGGGTTTTATTTTTTGATAAGAAGTCCCCTCTTTCTGGCCGGGCGCGGTGGCTCACACTTGTAATCCCAGCACTTTGGGAGGCCAAGGCGGGCGGATCACGAGGTCAGGAGATCCAGACCACGGTGAAACCCCGTCTCTACTGAAAAGACAAAAATTAGCCGGGTGTGGTGGCGGGCGCCTGTAGTCCCAGCTGCTCAGAGAGGCTGAGGCAGGAGAATGGCGTGAACCCGGGAGGCGGAGCTTGCAGTGAGCCGAGATCACGCCACTGTGCTCCAGCCTGGACAACAGAGCGAGACTCCATCTCAGAAAAAATAAAAAATAAAAAAAGAAGTCTCCTCTTTCCTTACTCTAGTTATGTAGCTCAGTATTAAGCAACAGAAAATGAGACTCATCGTAGACTCAGCATAGACCCATCACAGACCTGTCAGAGGCCGATTGTAAGCTCGCTGTAGACCCATGATAGCAGACCCGTAGGTCACTAGCACTGGATCAAATGCAAGCTTATAAAGCATTGTATACCTCTATTCTATTTGTGGTTTAGGTCACAAGCTACCTAACTAAGAAGTTTGCTGAACTACGCAGCCCCAATGAGTTCAAGGTGTACATGGGCCACGGTGGGAAGCCCTGGGTCTCCGACTTCAGTCACCCTCATTACCTGGCTGGGAGAAGAGCCATGAAGACAGGTTGGACGCTCTCCTTGTGGATGATGCCGCGCAGGGCCCTTCGCACGTCTGACAGGACTCTGCTATATCGCGTGGGCGTGTAGCTATGTCGGGGGCGCTGCTGTATCGTGGGGGCGTGTAGTTAAGTCAGCATGAGGACAGCTAGTGTGTGGGATGAGCCTGGACCCCTGGCGGACCTTGAACGCGGGCTTGCTGTCCCCAGGGCCTTGCACAGCATCTGACTGAGTGCTACTGAGTAGTGGTCTGAGACAGATCCCCAGCCTTAGGGCCCCAAAGCTCACCGTTTATTTTATTTCATTTCCCCCCAGTTTTTGGTGTTGAGCCAGACTTGACCAGGGAAGGCGGCAGTATTCCCGTGACCTTGACCTTTCAGGAGGCCACGGGCAAGAACGTCATGCTGCTGCCTGTGGGGTCAGCGGATGACGGAGCCCACTCCCAGAATGAAAAGCTCAACAGGTGAGAGTCCAGGGTGCGGCCCAGGTTGGCGTCTCCTGCACAGCGTCCCTCTCGCCCCTTCCCCTTCCCCCCGTGTGCAGCTGCCAAGAGAAGCAGGTGGGGGTGATGGCCCCGTGACCTGCCCTCCTGTATTTGTGTGAAGTGGGAACTTCAGATGGGAGGCAGGACGAGGCCTTGCAGGAGAGGGGTGCTAAAAACAAGGTTCATGCAGTGTTTATCTCTGCACTTCATCTACCCCTCTCTCCATTTCCTTTTTTTCCTGTTCATTTTTCTGTTTCCTTTTTGAGGAATTGCAGTGTCATTGCTAACTGCACACGTTGCTGCTTTGACACATCCCTGACTTGGGCGGACGTGATGGGAATTCTTCCCACAACGGGGCGGGTGCAGCCTCTGAGCCAGCCTTGGGAGCAGGAGGGGCCCACCAGGCAGGGGTCTTGGGTAGTTCCGGGGGAGGCCTCTGGCCCCTAAAATTGCTGAGGAGGGCAGAAGGCAAGAATGCATCCTGGGGTAACCAAGGCAGACGATCAAGGACTAAGACAGAGGCAAAGACCCTGCAGGAAGGAGGGAGGGGTGACAGAGACCTGGCTGCGAGGACCAGTGGGGAGGCCTGGTCTTCAGAAACAAGCGGATAATGGGAGGAGCCCACGATCCGAGCTTGACGTTTACTACCGGGGCACTAGGGGACCAGGATTGGTCTCTGGGCTGGGCAGTCAGACTGAAGCTGCACTTGAGAACCGGGGTGCTGAATTCTGAAGGCAAGCAGGGCTCAGGGCCCCCAAGCTGGGATGGGGGATGCTCCCCAGGAAGAAGGCAGAGTGTGTCTGGGCTCGGGAGGAGTCACCCCACACCTGGGTGTTGGCTCACGACACCAGCCAACACAATGATGTGTTCCTCTCTACCAGGTATAACTACATAGAGGGAACCAAGATGCTGGCCGCGTACCTGTATGAGGTCTCCCAGCTGAAGGACTAGGCCAAGCCCTCTGTGTGCCATCTCCAATGAGAAGGAATCCTGCCCTCACCTCACCCTTTTCCAACTTGCCCAGGGAAGTGGAGGTTCCCTCTTTCCTTTCCCTCTTGTCAGGTCATCCATGACTTTAGAGAACAGACACAAGTGTATCCAGCTGTCCACGGGTGGAGCTACCCGTTGGGCTTATGAGTGACCTGGAGTGACAGCTGAGTCACCCTGGGTAAGTTCTCAGAGTGGTCAGGATGGCTTGACCTGCAGAAGATACCCAAGGTCCAAAAGCACAAGGTCTGCGGAAAGTTCTGGTTGTCGGCCGGGCACCACGGCTCACACCTATAATCGAGCACTTTGGGAGGCCAAGACAGGAGGATCACTTGAGGCCAGGAGTCTGAGACAAGCCTAGGCAACAAAACAAGACTCTGTCTCTACAAAAAGTTTAAGAAATGAGCCAGACATGGTGGTGTATGCCTGTAGTCCCAGCCACTCAGAAGGCTGAGGCAGGAGGATCGCTTGAGACCAAGAGTTTGAGCCTGCGGTGAGCTGTGAATGCACCACGGCACTCAAGCCTGGGCAATGTAGCAAGATCCTGTCTCTACAAGAAATTTTTTAAAAATGAGCCAAGTGTGGTGGTGCATGCCTGTAGTTCCAGCTACTCAGGACACTGACGTAGGAGGGTTGCTTGAGACTGAGAGTTGGAGGCTGCGATGAGCCATGAATGCCCCACTGCACTCCAGCCTGGGCGACAGAACGAGACCCCATCTCAAAAAAAATAAGTTCTGGTTGTCATTGAATTGGGATAAACAGAGAGCTTGATGCTTTCTGCCTTCTGTCTCAGGTGATGCATTGCACATTTGGGATATTTGGAAAGGAAATGAGGAAAGAAATTAGGGCCTCCTCTGATCTCTCGCTATCTGCGGGTCCTGTCCTTTTCTCAAGACCTTCACCATTACTGGCATTTTCCTGTCTTCTCTTTAGTATGATCCCTCAAAACCTCACTAACTGGAAGGATGATTTTGTCTCAGTTTGTACTCCTAAATAAAAAGTAAACATGACACCTCTAAAAGAATCGCTCCATCTCAGTTGCTCGTCGCGTGCACACCATGCTTATTGAGTGGTGTCTGGTTGGTGGTGTCAGCTCAGGGCAGGGGACAGCAGGCAGGACCCGGAAAACAGAACCCAGGTCTTCCCAGGCGAGCACTCCCTCCCTCGTCCACACAAGTGGAGGCTCACTCGTGGCCCCCTGCATGTTCCGAGAAGTGTCCCTGTCTCTGCTCCTTAACGGCTGTGGGGCCACAGGAAGTCCAGCTGGCTTAAACAAAGAATTGATTGGCCCACTTGACATAAAAGAACAGAGTAAACTCAATGAAAGGAAAAGGCTCCTTGAAGTGGTTGGTTCCAGGGCTGGGCAGGGAAGATGCAAGATGAGTCTGGACCCTCTCACATCGGAACGTAAGGATGCGCTCCTGAGGGCGTGGGGCTGCGTCCAAGGACACAGGAGCCAGCCTGGAAGAGTTTGCAGGGGCCCAGGGGAGCAATTGGAGTGAGAAAATAGCAGTAGTGTTGGATTTTTACCATGGAATAAACAACAATCCATGAGTCCATACTAATATAAATAAAGTGACAAAGTGGGTGAGAAGGACCAGTGCCCCTGGATGAAGAATCTCTGCTCATGTGGGAGGAAGGTGGGAGATCAAAGCTGGAGCACTTGCTGCTGCAGGTGAGACCCCTGACACACTCTCAAATTGGTAGGCAAAGGTTTAAAGAACGGGATATTTGCTTAGCTTAAAAGCACCTCCCAAGGGGAAAACAGTAACTTCACAGTGGAGAGACCTGGCAGGCACCACCCTCAGATCAAAATGAACCTCAGCAGTAATGACACGTCCACATCAGCACCCCCAACACCACTCCCTGAGGAGGACATGCCAGTTCTGGGAACATCACACTCATCGTGACAAAACATCAGACAAACCCAAACGGATGAAATGTGAGGAAAATCTGTAGTTGGTTTTACGTGGATGTTAATCTCTTAGTTTTGATCATTGTGCTGTAGCTGCATAAGAGGTTAGCTGGGTGAAGTGTATCTGGGGACCCTCTATGGCTTTTGCATCTTTTCTCTAAGTCTCCTGTCATTTCAAAGTAAAAACAAAAAAAGAAGACAAGGGTAGCGGCTTCAGGTACAGCTGGACCCAGCACTCAGTGCTATCTGGGCTTGTGGCTCCAACTCAACTCCTCCATCAGAACTGTGAGAAATGCATTCTTTCAGCTTCTAATCCTGCAAAAAGAACTGCATGGTCTTCCCCCAGAAATCCTAAGAGTAGCTGCTGGTGTCTCATGCATGCGAGCTGCATATGGGCCCCCGTTAGTCAGGAACCCATGCTGAGAGGTGCTATGCTTTGAATGTTTGGCTCCTCCCAAACTCGTGTTGAAACTTAATAGCCATTGTAACAGTATTAAGAGGCAGGGCCTTCAAGAGCTGGTCAGGCCATGAGGGCCCTGTCCTCCTGACTGAGTGAATGCTGTTATTGTAGGAGTGGGCTTGTTTGGCCTCCTCTTGCTCTCTCTACCCCTCTCTGAGCCCTTGTGTTGTGGGATGACACAGCCAGAAGGCCCTTGCCAGGTTCCGGTCCCTCCACCTTGGACCTCCCAGCCTCCCGAACGTTGAGCCAATACATCTCTGCTCATTGTAAATTACCTAGTCTTGGGCATTGTGTTACAGCAGCAAAAAGCAGCCTACGGCAGTCACCGTGCTAACACCTGCAGCAGCCTGCGGCGGTCACCGTGCTAACACGTGCAGCAGCCTGTGTGGCTCAGGCCAGTCAGCTTCCCCTGGAAGCAAGTGTGAGGTCGTCGCCTCTGGAAGTGCTAGCGGAGGGTGATCTCCCGGAGGAAATCAGAGTGGTGTTCTACTAGAAGGCCGATGACTCCTGGGTAAAGTGCCAATGCTCACCTCCATCTCTGCAAGCTCAGTCCCTCGTGGAATTTCCAGGAGCACAAGGGCAATCTCGACAGCTCCACGTTCCCAGTGCCCGACCCAAGCCTGGCCCATGATCAGATAAATGCCTAAGTGGGGTGGCATGGACATTTGCACACGTCCAGACTGCTTTATGTTAGAAGCTGAGCTGGCATGCCACTAGCTGGTTTTGATGTAAACAACAATTTTGTAAAACCCTGGACTGAATGGGTCTGACTAACGGCTGGTTCTGTGAACTTGAGCCTCAGCGTCCTGTGTCAGAAGAGCACAAACCACTTTCCCAGAGAGGTTATGAAGACAGAAATGACCCTGTGACCCCTTTGCAAAGTATGAAGAACGGTTCCCACTCATGCATGGAGCTGGATCTTCTCAAGTGGGAAACAGGCGTGGTAAATAAATACTGTTGTTTCAGCTGGTGTAATATGGGACCAGTTTTTTTTAAAGCAAGTCTAAAGTTTTTTTCAGACTACTACAATATGGTACATGATAGGAATATTGAAATTTATTAAAAACAAAAGACTTTCTCTGAATGTCACTTCTAATTTTTATTCAAAAAGCAGATATATCTTAGGTCCTTTAGAGAAAGGTGTTTCATACATCAAGAGGCATTGAAAACTGCAGTCACTTGGCCCTTTAAACATTATATTATCAAACTCTTTTATTTACTGAAAAGACAACATCCTTTGAAAAGTGTCCATGAATCCAACGGTGGTCTGGAGATTCACATACAAATTATTTGAATATTTCTAGAAGGGCAACAATAGATTTATGTCCACACTATCTACTGGCCTAACAGTTGCAAGAAATTGTATTAAATGGAAAAATGTGAGAAAGTAAATATCTGCTGCCTGACATTGAAGAGGAAAATTGCTACTGTGTCACCCAAGTAAGGAGCTGCCAATTTTATGGATCATTTCCCTTTGAAAAATGATTGACAGTACCTTTAGGGGGAGTTAGAGTTCTTCCCAAAGGATTCGTTCATTACTATTTATAGAATTCATGTTACAAAGGGCTTTAAAGATGTTTGTCTAATGTTTCATTGCATCCCGGTGAAATAGGAGGTTTTTTCCCTGTGCTATAGAGGGGACAGGCCTGAGAGACCTTGTGATGGCCTGCCATCACTCAGCTCCTGGGAGGCAGCCTTGGGACCCAGGCCTTCCCCTCTTCCCCTCCCCTCGCTGGGGGACACTCATGCCCTCCCCTCCATGGCAGGAGGCCAGTTGTTCCTGGTGTGCACTTGGCCTCCCGCCTTTCCCACTGAGGTCTCAGCATTTCTCCTTTCGGTTTCCCCCATGGTGATTTATTGTTGACAGCTTTGGTAAGTTACAATTCATAGACCAAACAATCCGCCTGTTTAGTGTGAACAATTCAGTGGCTTCTCGTATAGTCACAGAGTTGCACAACCATCACCAGTTGATTTCAGGACATTTTCATTGCCTCCAAAAGAAACCCAGTACCTGTAACCTATCACCTCCCCCACACAATCACCCTATCTCCCTCAGGCCCAAGCATCCACTAATCTACTTTCTGTCTCTACTGACTTTCTTTTCTCTTTTTTTTTTTTTTTGAGATGGAGTCTGGCTCTGTCACCCAGGCTGGCATGCAATGGTGCGATTTCGGCTCACTGCTGCAACTTCTGCCTTCCGGGTTCAAACGATTATCCTGCGTCAGCCTTCTGAGTAGCTGGGATTATAGGCGCACGCCACCACGCCCGGCTAATTTTTGTGTTTTTTAGTAGAGATGGGGTTTCACCATGTTGGTCACACTGGTCTCGAACTCCCAACCTCAGGTGATCCGCCCACCTCGGCCTCCCAAAGTGCCAAGATTACAGGTGTGAGCCACTGCACCTGGCCTGGACTTTCATATAAATGGAATTATGCAATATATGGCCTTTGGTTTTTGTTTGTTTGTTTGTTTGTTTTTAAGAAACAGTGTCTTGCTCTGTCACCCAGGCTGGAATGCAGTGGCACCATCTTGGCTCACTGCAGCCTCAACCTCCTGGGTTCAAGTGATCCTCCAGCCTCAGCCTCTCAAGTAGCTAGGACTACAGGGTGCGTGACCGTGCCCAGCTAATTTTTTGTAGAGATGGGGTCTTGCTATATTACCCAAGCTGGTCTCGAACTCCTGGCCTCAAGCAGTTCTCCCACCTCAGCCTCCCAAAGGCATGAAGCCACCATGCCTGGCCTAATACGTGGCCTTTGTGTCTGACTTCCTTCACTCAGAATAACGTTTTCAAGGTTCATCCGTGGTGTCCCATGCGTCAGTACTTCATTCCTTCTTATAGCTGAGTAGTGTTGATTTTAAGTATAGACCACAGTTTGCTTATCCATCCATAAGTTGGTGGACATTTGGACTTTCTCCACTCTGGCTATTATGAATAATGCTGCCATGAATATTCGTGTCCCAGTTTTTGTGTGGACACATCTCATTTCTCTTGGGTATATGCCTAGGAGGGGAATTGCTGGGCAATATGGGAATTCCATCTTTAGCTGTTTGGGGAACTGCTAGACTGTTGTCCAAAGTGGCTGCGCCATTTTACATTCCCGCCAGCAGTGTACCAGGATTCTGATTTGTCCACACTCTCAACAACACCTGCAATCTTTCTGATCGTGCCATTCTAGTGGGTGTGACATGGTATCTCAGCATTTCTCCCTAGACCCAATCAATACAAAAATGATCTTGCTTCCAGATCCTGAAGGTTAGAGATAAGACTTATAGTCAAACACCTGTAGAATCCGAGAGTTGGGAGGGCAAACGTAGGGAGCAGCCATGACTCCTGGGACAGAGAGGCCGAGGAAGAGCCGCTCCTCAGGGCTAAGTCCAGACCTTGCTGGAGATAGCATAGCCCTGGCCCAGTGCCCGGCAGAGAAGTCCCTGTGGAGAACTTGCTGGACTGTGACCCCCAGGGATGCCAGGGAAGTTGTGTACAGGGAAGTGTCTTGCTGAAGGCACTGCATGATGAGACTTCCCCAGGAGGGCGTCAAGGGGAATGCCGGCTTCCAGTTGCTGCTGGTCACCATGCTTCCAAGAGCATGGGCGGCTACAGGAGCTCCTCTGCAGGAAGCTGTCCACGAGGGGCATGTTCTTCTTTGTCCCTCCAGGGCTGCAGTGGGAGGCTGCCTCATTCTGGGAATCGGCATAGGATTACCTACACATACAATCCGTGCTTTAAAATATCAGCTTAATTAATTACAGTCCGCTTTGCTATTTTGACTCATAGGTCGGAACTTGGATGGGAAAAAGAGGTGCCATTGCCCAGACCTCTCATGCCCAGCACTTACTAAAAAGGAGGGAAGAAATTGGAATACCTCTGCTCCCCGGGTGCCTGCCCTGGGGTCATCCCTCAGGGTCTTCAGCAGCAGATGTTCCCCACCTCTCCCAAGTCCTCCCTAAGCCCTGCAGCTAGTCCTCTCAGGTTTATCCTAAAAAAACAATTTGATAGCAATCATTTCACGTGCTTATGTAACCCAGATCTCCCTCAAGGGTCTTTGCATTCATCAACAAACAGTTCCAGGAGATGCTGCTTTGGGAGCCTTTTCTCTATGGCCAAAAGCAAAAGCCTGTCCTGTATCAAGTTCAGGCCACAGCACAAAGTTGGCCAGTGAGAAAAACACCGTAATCTTGTCTGATGTAGAAAAAGACAGAACTTGTTGTGCCACATTCTTAACCTAGAAGAGAGTCAGCTCAGTGAGCCCTTCTGACCTGAAGGAACAGTTAACGTCCCCATGTGATTTAGAGAAAGTCAAGTTCATTCTTTGCTTGTTATTTTTTGGTGTCTGGGCCAGATAAGTCATGCTAGAAATGTTCAGGATCCTTAATCAACAGTGTATTAATTAATGAGGATAAGTCTAAGCTACTGTGACCAAAATGATCAAGGCTTCCATGGGGTGAGGGTTTACGCATTTGTTCTTCACACAGAAGTCTGAGCAGCAAGTTCAGGGCTGCTTTGGGGGCTCCTCTATCATTTGGGACCTGGATTCCTTCCATTATGAGCCTCTTCCTTCCTCAGTTTTATCTCACAGGCCAAGATCTCTGCACCAGCTCCTGCTGGAGCCGCCAGTGGGAAGGAGGAAAAGAGAGGGCAAGACATGATCCCTCCATTTGAAGGCACAAGCCACAATTGAAAGTTTCGACCCCTTGCCTCTACTCTCCAGAAAACAGTCAGATGGCCACATCCAACTGTATGAGAGGATGAAAATATGCCTAGCTAAAGATTCTACGTAGGAGAGGGAGAACAGATGTTAGAAAACAATAATCAGTTTTTTGCAAATTGGATGTCAACCTTTAAGTTCCTCTATTACATCAATTATACCATGACACCTGCCCCAAGGAAAACAAATAGAAAAAAAAAAGAAAGAAAAGGCATCCAATTTGGAAAGGAAAAAGCAAAATTTTCTGTTTGCAAATGCTATGATCTTACATATAGAAAACCCCAGAAGAACTCCACCAAAATACCCTTAGAACTAATGAATAGTTCACTTACTAAATGAACTCAGTAAAGATTTTGAATACAAAATCAACACATAAAAATTAGTTGCACTCCTATACACCAAAAATAAATTACCCAAAAAGAAATTAAGAAAATGATTTTATTTACAATAGCATCAAAAAGAATAAAA
The DNA here is from genome assembly GCF_000001405.40 of Homo sapiens. Classification (NCBI taxonomy): domain Eukaryota; kingdom Metazoa; phylum Chordata; class Mammalia; order Primates; family Hominidae; genus Homo; species Homo sapiens. Next base: position 74,527,653 of record NC_000018.10, read on the forward strand.
TACTTAGGAATAAATTTAACCAAGGAGATGAAAGATCTGTAAACCAAAAACTGTAAGACATTGATGAAAAGGAAGATACAAATGTAAAGGTATCCCACGTTCATGGATTGGAAGAATTAATATTTTTACAGTATCCATAGTACCCGAGGTGATCTACAGAGTCAGTGCAATTCCTATCAAAATATCAATGGCATTTTTCACAGATAGAAAAAAAATCCTAAAATTTATGTAGAATCATGGAAGACCACAAATAGCAAAAGCAACCTTGAAAAAGAGAACAAAGCTGGTGGCATCACACTACCTGACTTCAAAGTATACTATAAAACTGTAGTAACCAAAATAGGGTACTGGCATAAAAACAGACATTTAGACCAATGGAACAGAATGGAAAGCCCAGGAATCAATTCACACACTTACAGCCAATTGATTTTCAACAAAGGTGCCAAGAACATATGGGAAAGGACAGTTTCTTCAATAAATAACAATGGGAAAACTGGATATCCATATACAGAAGAATGAAATTGGACCTTTAGCTCACACCATATACAAAAATCAACTCAAAATGGATTGAAGACTTAAATGTAAGATTTGAAACCATAAGAATCTTAGAACACAGAAGAAAATCTTCATGACATTGGTCCTGGCAATGATTTTTTGGCGATGACACCAAATGCATAGGTAACAAAAGAAAAAATAAACAATTGGGACTTCACTAAACTAAAAATTTTCTGCTCAGCAAAAGAAACAACAAAATGAGAAGGCAACCTATGGAATGGGAGAAAATATTTGCAAACCACATATCTGATAAGGGGGTTAACCTGCAAAATATATAAGGAACTCACACAACTCAGTAGCAAAAAAAAAAAAAAAAAAAGTAACCCAATTTTGAAAATGGACAAAGGATCTGAATAGACATTTTTTCAAAGAAGATCTACAAATGGCTAACAAGTATATAAAAAAATACTCAGTATTACTAACCATCAGAGAAATGCAAATCCAAACCACAATGAGGTATCACCTCACACCTGTTAGTATGGCAAAGACAAGAGATAATAAGTGTTGGAGATGACGTAGAGAAAAAGGAACCCTTGCACACTGTTGGTGGGAATGTAAATTAGTGCAGCCATTATAAAAATTTCTCAAAACACTAAAACTAGAACTACCATATGATCCAGCCTTGTTGCTTCTGTGTATTTATCCAAAGGAAATGAAATCAGTATGTCAAAGAAATGTCTGCACCCCCATGTTCATTGCAGCATTAGTCACAATAGCCAAGATAGGGAAACAACTAAAAGTCCATCGGCAGATGAATGGATAAAGAAAATGTAGTCTATATACACAATGGACCACTATGCAGCCAGATAGAAACAAGGGAATCCTGTTATTTGTGACAACATAGATGATCTTGGAGACTTTAAGCTAAGTTAAACTAAGCCAGACACAGAAATACAATGCTGTTAAATCTCACTTCTATGTGGACTCGAAAGTCAAACTCATAGAAACAGACTGGGATGGTGGTTGCCAGAAGTTGGAGGGAGGGGGAATGAGATGGTGAGCACAGGGTACAGACTTTCAGTTACAAGATAAACAAGTGCTGGGGATTTACTGTACGGGAGGGGTGGTGATGTTGTGTTCATTCATTTGATTGGGATAATCATTACACAATGTATACATATATCAAATGATTGCATTTGACACCTTGAATATATACAATCTTTATTTGTCAACTAAATTTTTTAAAGTGTATATAACAGATAGAGGAAATACCCATGGAACACACTTTGTTATCAATGTTTTGAAGAAAACTCACCATCTGCATCAGCCCCAAAGCTGTGGGAAGCATGCAGCACGGGGGGAGAAAGCAGTCCTGGTAAATGGTGCTCACGGCCCTCCTGTTCCTTTCACCACTGCACAATCAGGAGGCAACTGTGGACCCTCTCAGGCTTGCAGGGCCCCCTGGGCAGGTGGTTCCTCGTTGATGACTCTTCAGTATCATAGGCGCCTGCGTGTAGTAGAATCTGTTACTACTCTACATGGTAAGACAGTGGAGTTTTCACTCACTTATGCAGAATTCTGTCAGTCTGAGTTTCCTCAAATGGCCTTTGACAGGAGTCTGGTTCGACAGACAGGTGCTAACTCAAAAGAAATAGTGGTTTAGTTACAGCAGAATTTCCTCAGAACAACAGATGGTCATGACCAAACCCCACCCAAAAGGGCGCAGAGTGGGCTTTGACTGAGATGTTCGCATGAGATGGTCCTGTGGCCTGAACCCCTGGGGTCCGGGAGACCAGCCAGGGTGAGGCTGCTGGAGCCACGCCGGAGGAGGTCAGGGCCTGGACGCCCTATGGAGTGGAAAAGACCAGGAGATCCGAAGCCCCATCCAATCCTCGGATCTTGCATCTTGCTTTCTGCTAATGGGCGCCCCTTCTGAGAAGACGGGTTTCCCGCTTGCCCTTGTTGCAGCCCCATCCCCACCCAGAAGCCCCCACTTCCTCTGCCTATCCCTGTTTCTCATCTGCCCATCTGAAATCGGATGATTTCTCTGGGGGTGGGCCTCGCCGCTGGCCTTTTTGAAGCTCCCAGGTGATTCTAGCATGCTTCCCGCTGGAGGGCCCGACCTCTCCAGTCCCACCTGCCCTCCAGGAAGGCTCACCTCCTCCAGCTCCCCACGCCTGCCCCAGCATCTGCCCCAGCATCTGCCCAAAGCGTCCTCTTCCACGTTCAAACCCAGGACTTCTGTCCACGTGAGTCACTTAACTGTTAGCTGCATGCTGCTGGGCCATTTCCTACATTTGTCCCGTCTCCTTGAAGGCAGGGCTTGGGCACTTGCTCCGCCATTGTACCCAACGCAGAGCAGCAGCCAAGATGCGCTCGTGAAATCTCACTGAGGTGGGCAAGGCCTGGGGGAGTCTGGGGTGAGCTGGAATCATGTCAGCTCCTGTTCATTGTGCACCTACTGTGTCCAGTACTGTGTACTCGGCCCTGCGCCGGTTGTGATACACACTGTTTCCACTGCCCGGACAGGGCTCCCAGAGGGCAAGAAGGTCACAGCGTGCAGGCCACACCTGGGCTTGCCACTTCTGGGAAAGCTTCCAAGAGAGAAGGAAAAGCTAGATTTCTGTGGGGTTATAGAGAGTTGAAGGGACAGACGGGAGAGTGTGTGTGGAGATTTATTTTCCCAGAACTTGAATGGAAGCTGTTACTGTCAACTTCATCTCTTAAGAGCCCTCTTGGACATGTTTTAATGTCCCAAGACAGGGCAAAAGGTCTGTTTTCATCTCTAATCATAACAATAACCAGCTTTGCCTCATTGAACCCAGAGAAGGTAGGTTACTTTCTCCTCTTTCCAGGGAAGTAAATGGGAGACTTGGAGAGGTGGTTCCCACCGGCTCTGTTTGAGTCCTGGAGTCAGGGAGGACTCTTTGCAGACCAAAGCATGAAGTTTTCAGTGCTGCAGGATTCAGACTGATCGGCATCGTGGTGCGTCATTACACAGATCCTTGGTGGCAGTAGCTTGGTCTAGATGGTTGAGGAAGAGGAGAAAATGGAAGCTGGTGAATACCGCTGAGGTAGCAGATCTTTCCCTCCCTCCTGGGAGTACAGGCTGCCTGAGGTCCATTTCTCTCTCCACTGGGTGTGACTGCAGGGCGCTACGTGCTTGTGCTACACCAGATACAGAAAGATGCCACACTGCAGGGAAAAGGGCCCCAGGCATGCTCAGGAAGCCTTCATGAGCCCCAGCTAGCTGGGATAATGAGTTCCAACTCTGCCACTCCAGAGGTTTCTTCGTTGGTAAAAAGTATTTGTCCTTTCATTCAACAGTTACAGAGTAACTTCCAGTGTGCGAATCCCTGCAACAGTTATCAAGAGAGAAATGATGCAAAAGAAGACTGCTTGTAAGTGAGTAAAGTGCCTCCTGGGGAGTGATGATGCCTTATGAAAGGTATGGAAGGTGCTAGGGGATCTGGCTGAAGAATCGTGATAGGATTTTGACCAAGCGAGGTCTGTAAATGGGGCATGTCATTGGCACAGAGCTTACTTACCAGGCACAGACCTAGGATGTATTTCTCTCTGCCGACGTGGTGTACATCATACTCCGCCGACAGACACAGGTGGTGGCCTCTGACACAGCAAAGTTAGAGGGAAAACTAGCTCCAGGCATTGCCCCTCGTACTCTCCAATGGAAACCTGGGAAGCTGAAAAGCACAGCCTAGCTTAGGTTCACATGTGTTAGGAGTAGGGAACCCAGAGTAGCTTCTTCGTCTGTCTCTTTCCCTCTCTGTCTCCCCCTCTCTCTCTCCACCACCATCTCTCTCTCCTCTCTCCCTTTCTCCCCTCTCTTCTCTCCACTGTCTCCCAGATTTAACTGGCATCGAGATGGAGATCTGTGAAGATGGAAGACTGAGAAGGCAAAATAATTGGAATTCTTGTAGGAGCACTTTCCCCTGGACCTGTGTTTGGCTTCCGTTCTTGCTAATATCTGTTGGAGTCTTTCCTTCCTTCCTTCCAAACTATATTAGTAATAGAATCAAATGTCTTCTTTTGTAATCAACTAACAAAACATTTTTTAAATTTGTATTGATTTATTTTTAATTTTTATAAAGATGGGGACTCACTCTGTTGCCCAGGCTGGTCTCCAACTCCTGACAAGGAATCCTCCTGCCTCAGCCTCCCAAAGTGCTGGGATTCTAACAAAATATTTGAGCCAGCTCTGTTTTCCTCTTTTCTAGAAAAAAAATTATTGTGAGGAACACTCATATCTCACATATTTTCTGCAAGGAAAGAGTAAAGTGCATTTGACAGAGGCTGAGAAAGAGGAATTCTCTGATCTGAATTACATGGGCTTTTGAAGCCCTGGGCTCGCCCGTGCGCTATGCTCTTGCCAGAGGTGACTTTGGCTGGGTAGGGGCAAGGTTTTCCACTGATGACTGCAGGCAGCAGGGCCCCCACCCTCCTAGGATCACAGCCCACACCTGGGCCCAGCCTCACCCTCTCCTTCCTTTCCAGCCCTCGGAATTCTGAGTATGATCCCAGCAACTTGGCCTTCGGAAGAAGGGCCAGGCCCACTTCCTGGGAGCTGCTGTGCTGGGCCTGGAGCTCAAGGAGCCCGGCCTGGCAAGTGTCAGGGAAAGGGTGTGAGGATGGGGAGGAGGTGCAGAGACGCAGCTGGTGGAGACGCTGCCCCTCTGCAAGGGAGAGGGGCCCGGCCCTGATAGCCACAGCTAGCCTTAACTAGCAGGGATAATGAGTTCCAACTCTGCCTTTCCAGAGATTTCTTTGTTGGTAAAAATTATTTGATTATTTGTCCTTTCATTCAGCAAACAGTTAGAGTAAGTCTCCAGTGTGCCAATCCCTGCAAGAGTTATTCAGAGAGAAATGATGCAAAAGAATCCCAGTCCCCCAGAAAAGCCCCGGGACCCCTCAACCCAAGGCTCTGGCCTGTGCCCTGCTGCCTCCTTTTCTCTACTGTCCCCTGACCTTCCCACCAAAATTTATATGTTGACATCCTAACCCCCAAGACCTCAGAATGTGACCTTCTATGGAGATAGGGTCATTGCAGATTGAATTACTTATCTTTAGATAAGGTCACATGGGCATAGGATGGACCCCTGATTACACACAACTGTGTCCTTATGAGAAGGGACAATCTGGACACACACACATACACAGGGAGAACATCATAAGAAGATGAGGGCAGAGATCGGGTGATGCTTGTACAAGACAAGGGACACCAAGGACGGCCAGCAGCCACGCGGGTCAAGGCCTGGAGCACGCCCTTCCCGCTCAGCCTCAGGAGAAACCTGCCCTGCCCATACCTTCATCTCAGACTTCCAGTCTCCAGAATTGAGACCGATTTCTGTTGCTTAAGCCACCCAGTGTAGGGTACTTTTGTTAGAGCAGATGTTGGGGCTCAGAAGCCAATACCCCAAAATATGGTGCTTTGTTCAAGCTGAACTGAAAAGGAACTTCAAGGCCTCTCGGCTCCCCCACCCCCACCATCTCTCCCAGAGTTCCTGAAGTGTCCTTATCTCCTTCAAGTCTGACCCACCAAAGAAGAAAGGAATGACCTCTAGTCCCTTCCCTGAGTTTTCGTTAACTGAACCCATATCTCAGGAAGGAAGGCTGACACCGAACACGCTGGACAGACTTGTCAAGACCATTGTCTGCTCCGGGGCCCAGCAGACTTGAACGAAGACCGTGGCGTGCTCTTCAAGCCCACTGAATCCTCCCTCGTGAGCGCTGATTGCCCTCAGCTGAAGTCCTCTTTTCTCCTCCCATAACCTGTTGCGCGAGAATCTAAGCCGCCACTCCTTGTGGAACCTCAAGAGGGTGTCTCAGCTTCCCAACCCCATTAGGGATTGGTCCTTCCTTCTGAAGGCTCCCATGTCACTTAAAACTAGGAGCAAATCAATCTGTTATGCCTCTTCTCCAATTCAACTGCCCTTTGCAAGCTGATTTTGCAGCGAACCTTCAGAGAGCTGGGAAAACTCTACCCTCGGCCCCTGCACAGCCCTAGGAAGCTAATCCTCGGCCGTAACATTCCATCACAAGGGCCCACAGCCACAGTGTGTGGGGGCCTGTCATGTGAGGGGGCTGTCACCTGAGGGGGCTGTGCCGCTGGCTCAGCTCTGCCTGCTGGCCGGGGCCCTACTCCCTCTCAGAGATGACACACAAGTGCCCCCAAAGAAGAACCCGAGGAGTCGCAGGCTGGGCCAGGCTGCTGGCTTCCAGTGACATCACATGACTTTGGGGCCACTGCCTCATCCCGTATCTGCGCGTATGAGATGCATTGTCTCTTCCTCTGCAGTTGAGCTGAATGAATACCTCCGAAGCCGCTTTGTTCTCCAGATGTGAATAGCTCCACTATACCAGCCTCGTCTTCCTTCCGGGGGACAACGTGGGTCAGGGCACAGAGAGATATTTAATGTCACCCTCTTGGGGCTTTCATGGGACTCCCTCTGCCACATTTTTTGGAGGTTGGGAAAGTTGCTAGAGGCTTCAGAACTCCAGCCTAATGGATCCCAAACTCGGGAGAATGGTGAGTAGGACCTCCTCCATCAGAGTCCGTGCATTGGGTGCCAGAATTCCATTTGTCCCGGGAGCATGTGCGTTAAGCCCAGTTGGGCAGGGCAGGCACCCAGCGTGGCCCCAGATGCTGCTCCTCATGGTGTTCTTAGGTGCTGTCTTGGCCGAGGAATGTGGTATTTGGAATTATATTTTATCAGTAATGCTTTTGGGTAGTTGTGTGTTCTTAACAATAATTAAATGGCATTATTGTCAAGTAGTTCATATTCAAATTGTTCATGAACTCAGTCTTCTTAAATCAATTTTTTTCTGTACTTTTTCTCTTTAAAAAAAATGAGTTTGCTTCCTGGAAGAATTTGCCTAAATAATGGTAACAGACAGTGTGCTGTTTGTCCTGGTCCCAGGTTCCCGACTTAAGGGCTAGTTTGCAAGAGCTAATCACCGGGCTAAATCACCCCAGGCCTTTCTCGGCGAGGTTTCCATGGTTCAGGTGCAAACCTGAGTGTGGGTGTGGCGGGAAGGCTTCTCTCTAGGAAAACAAGCAGGCAGGTACCTTTGGCTGTGAGGTTTTGTGGGGTTGTGTTCCAGACTACTTGGAAAGATAAAATTCATGGACGCTTTTTATTTCCATTGCAAACACACACATACACACACAGAAATTTTCAGAATTTTGTGGAAGGTTGATACGTAGAAGACTCTCAAAAGACATACTGAAACAAATACATGCAAATGCGAGGCTGGAGACACAGTGAGCAGGCAGGTGGTGACCTGACCACAGCCGGATTCTAGAAGTGGGCTTTGCCCACCTGCAAGACCATGAGATTCCCACACCATGCTGCAAAATCACTGCTCTGAGAGAAAGAACCTCACCCTGTGGTCTGGCCATGCTTTCCATTGCTGACTTTTTTTTTTTTTTAAAGAACCCATGACTGGCCAGGGCATTGGGGTGGGGGTTAGAAGAGGACATTTCACTGAATACTGTCTTACTTTAAAAAATCTTTAAACTGTGTCATGATAGTATCTATTCAAAACATTAAAGTTAAAAGCAACATGAAAGAAAATAATTTCCCTGGCTGGGCATGGTGGCTTATGTCTGCAATCCCAACACTTTAGGAGGCCAAAGCAGGAGGATCACCTGAGCCCAGGAGTTCAAGACTGGCCTGGGCAACATAGTGAGACCCTGACTCTACAAACAATTTTAAAAGTAGCCAGGCAGGGTGGAGCATGCCTGTGGTCTCAGCTACTCAGGAGACCAAGGTGGGAGGATGGCTTGAACCTGGGAGGTCGAGGCTGCAGTGAGCCATGGTTGCGCCACTGCACTCCAGCCTGGGAGGCAGAGTAAGACCCTGTCTGAAACAAAAAAGAAGGAAATATTTTGTTTTGGACTCAATATAATACCCTTTGATATGAAAGAGAGGAAGAGATTGTACTATATATTTTCCCCTTTGCTATTCTTTTACTTTTTTTTAACTTTTATTTTTGGTTTAGCAGTACATGTGCAGGTTTCTTACATAGGTAAATTTGTGTCATGGTGATTTGTTGTACAGATTATTTAATCACCCAGGTATTAAGCCTAGTACTCATTAGTTATTTTTGCTGATCCTCTCCCTCCTCCCGTCCTCCACCCATAGGCCCCAGTGTGTGTTGTTCTCCTCTATGTGTCCATGTGTTCTCATCATTTAGCTCCCACTTACAAATGAGAACATGCAGTGTCTGGTTTTCTGTTCCTGCATTAGTTTGCTAAGGATGATGGCCTCCAGCTCCATCCATATTCCTGCAAAGGACATGATCTCATTCTTTTTTATGGCTGCATAGTATTCACCATGGTGTAGATGTACCACATTTTCTTTACCCAGTCTGTCATTGATGGACATTTAGGTTGATTCCATGTCTTTGCTATTGTGAATAGTGCTGCAGTTAACATTCACATTCATGTGTCTTTATAGTAGAATGATTTATATTCCTCTGAGCATATAACCCAGTAATGGGATTATTGGGTCAAACGGTAGTTCTGTTTTTAGCTGTTTGAGGAATTGCCACACTGCTTTCCACAATAATTGAACTAATTTACACTCCTACCAACAACGTATAAGTTTTCCCTTTTCTCTGCAACCTCACTTGCATCTGTTATTTTTTGACTTTTTAATACAGTTGTTTGATGTGAGATGGTATCTCATTGTGGTTTTGATTTGCATTTCTCTAATGATCAGTGATACTGAGCTTTTTTTCATATGCTTGTTGGCCACATGTATATCTTCTTTTGAAAAGTGTCTGTTCATGTCCTTTGCCCAGTTTTTAATGGGATTGTTTGTTTTTTCTTGTAAATTTGTTGAAGTTCCTCGATACTGGATATTAGATCTTGGTCAGATGCATAGTTTGCAAATATTTTCTCCTATTCTGTAGGTTGTCCGTTTACTCTGTTGATAGTTTCTTTTACTGTGCAGAAGCTCTTAAGTTTAATTAGATTCTATTTGTCAATTTTTGCTTTTGTTGCAATTGCTTTTGGTGTCTCTGTCATGAAATCTTTGCCTGTTCCTATGTCCAGGATGGTATTGCCTAGGTTGTCTTCCAGGGTTTTTAGAGTCTGGGGTTTTATGTTTAAGTCCTTAATCCATCTTGAGTTGATTTTTGTATATGATGTAAGGAAGGGGTCCAGTTTCAATCTTCTGCATATGGCTAATGGCTAGCCAGTTATCCGAGCATCATTTATTGAATAGGGAGTCCTTTTCCATTGCTTGTTTTTGTCGCTATTGCTGACTTATTACCATCACCTTTTTCTAATACTGAGAGAGAAAAGAAAGTCATCAATTCTATTCTTGGGATCTTGAGCCCAAGATTGGGCAAACTCTT